>NC_000022.11:26209564-27459564 GCF_000001405.40 Homo sapiens
AGGAAGGAAGAAAGATGGATAGATGGTAGGAAAAAAGGAAAGAAGGAGGGAGGAGGGAAGAAAGGAAGAAGTAAGGTAGGAAGAAAAAAGATGGATATATGGATGGAGAGATAGATGACAGGAAGGGAAGGAAAAAAGAAAGAGGAAGGAGGAAGGGGAGGAAGGAAGGAGAGAGGGAGAGAGGAGAGAAGGAAGGAAGCGAGGGAGGGAGGGAAGAAGGAGGAAGGAACAAAGATGAATAGATGGATAGATGGAAGAAAGGAAAAAAGTAGGAGGAAGGAAGGAATGAAGGAAAGAAGGGAGAGAGGAAGGAAGGAAAGAAGGGAGAGAGGAAGGAAGGAAAGAAGGAGGAAATATGGATATATGCATGAATGGATGGCAAGAAGGAAGTAAAAAGGGAGAGAGGGAGGGAGGAAGGAAGGAAGGGAGGAAGGAAGGAAGAAGGATGGGTCAATGAAAAAAAATATGTATTATGAAGCTGTAAATACCATGCACTATGTTAGCAAAAAATATCATTTGTTTGTGAACCAAGGTGAGGAATTGGGAGGATGACACTTAGTCCAACCACCTGGGAAGCCTCTCAGTAGAGATGAACCATGGCCCTCCCCCTGCCCTTCAGGCCAGTGCACATACCACATCTTCACATTGGTTCTGATCTGAGACCATCAGGTGGAGTTCTGTTGGGGGAAAGACAAAGCAACAATAAAAGCAAAAGAAAACTTTTCGGTGAACTAATCAAAAGCCTTAATCAATTCTCCCTGTTTCCTTCTCTGCCCCCAGAGAGGAGGGAAGGCTCACATGCACAATGAGCTCATTTTCCTGAGTGGGTTCTAATAAAGGACAGAACATTAGGTTTTTCTCTTTAAGGGAACATAACGCTCCTTTTAGAATTCATTGGGATATTTTGGAACACAAATAACAACAGTGGAAGGCACTCGTGTGGTGATAATTTAATGTAATTCCGATGTCAGTGACACGCCACAGTGGCCTAGTCAGCTTCCCTGGGGGCGGTTTCTTTTGTGTTTTGCCTGGGAGAGTGAGTGCGCGGACATTCATATACCAGCCTGGCAGCCCCGTGCACATTTCCTCTTTTCTCATCTCCATTCTCAGAATGGTTTTTTTATTATAATCCAAAGGACTCCTAGGGAGACAAAAGAAGTTGGAGATTTTTCCAAACTCCTAATCAGAAGAGAGTCCACAAGCCAAAACTAGCCCACATGCATTTTCGGGTTTGGCCTGGAAATATTTTGTAACACTTTAAAGGATTTGTTCCAACATTTAAAATAGAAGACTTTGCATGGCAATTCCAATGTCAGGCATCCCTAGAAAAATCAGAAGAGTTGGCAACCTGGGACTCACCCTCCTGCACTCCAACAATTGGCTGGGGTAGAGTAGCAGTAGCCTGCCCCTTAATTTGGCCTGCCACGTTCTCTTATATACTATGGACCTATCAGCTCCACTTCACTCATCCGCATTTTTTGCCAGCCTTTGTGGGCATCTGACCCTGCCAATCCTGCCCTTAAGCTTTGGAAGCCTCAAGCCCTGGTCTTCTCCACAGACTAGCCTAGGTCTCTCTATTTCTTGAAGAAGAGAGCTCTGGGAGCCAACCGGGTCTGTACTGTTGTGATGGAAATTTCCACCCAATGAAAGGAAGAACTAGTTCAAGATTTCCCTTTTCTCTTTCAAAAGGTTTTGCTGTAGTACACTTTCAGTCCTGCCGTTTAGTTGATGCAGTTTGTTGGAATGACATTGGGCTGCTAATGGTGTTGGCCAAACTCTTTGCCATTTCACTGAAGATCAGTGTCATCCAGAAGCAAGGCTATGGAGAAGAAGCAACCCAACCACCCACCTCAGGTCCTAGGCCCAGAATATAAGTTCTAAAGGAAGGTAGATCCAGCTCTGCCCACCTGCCCACACTGCTACTCCATTTTATATGCAACTGGAGCTGCAACAATAGCTCTACAGAGCGTTAGGCTCAAAAGATACCTTACAAATAATTCAGTCCAGTGTTTTTTTCCATCAGGAGCCAATAGAAATCAAGAAAGTGATGGTCAGGCCAGATGGCTTTAGAGCCTCCCATCCCATTCAAGCATCATCAGATATTTGTTAATAGCCCATTTTGTAGCCAGGTGTGGTGGCTCACACCTGTAATCCCAGCTACTCAGCAGGGTGAGGTGAGAGGATCACTTGAGGCCAAGAGTTTCAGACCAGCCTGGGCAACATAGCCAGACCTCGTCTCTAAAAAAAAAAAAAAAAAAAAAAAAATTTAAATTAAATAAAAATAAAAATTAAAAAAATTAAAGAGACTGTTTGTGACAAGCAGAATGGTAAGCAAAGGTAGACAAAATTCATGCCCACCCAAAATAAATCAAATATAAATGAGGAGAGGAATATGGGGGCCATTCATTTGCATAACAGGGATTTCAGCTAGACCTGATGGCTGGGAAAGATTTCCCAGTGAAATAATAAAATGTGACGGACAAGTGGAAGCTAACTAGGTGAAGGGGAGCAAGGACAGACTATTCCAAAGAGGATGGCAGATTTCAGAGGCCTGGGATGAGAGGGAACACGCAGAGTTTAAGGAATTAGAAGCGGGTCAATGGGCGGAGATGAGACAGGGAAATGGGGAAATTTCAGACCACACATGGCCTTTCAGATCATGGCACGGGGCCTGGTCTTTATCATAAACAGAATGTAAAGGTTTTACAGTCCCATGAAGTTTCAGCCAGGAAACTCCATTTTTATCTTCTTTCTATGTTGAGATTCATGATATGTTCTCATTGGAATAAAAGATTCTATAGCTAAAATGAGTTGGAAACCCCATTGCTCCAAGCAATACTTCAAGACAAAGGACTTTTTTAAAAAAATTTTTTTCTGAGGCAAGGTCTCACTGTTTCACCCAGGATAGAGGGCAGTGGCGCCATCATGGCTCACTGCTGCCTCAACTTCCCAGGCTCAGGTGATTCTCCCACCTCAGCCTCCTGAGTAGCTGGGACCACAGGCATGCGCCACCATGCCCGCCCAATTTTTGTATTTTTTGTAGAAATAGGGTTTCACTGTGCTGCCCAGGCTGGTCTCAAACTCCTGGGCTCCAAGGATTCTCCCACCTCGGCCTCCCAATGTGGTGGGATTACAGGTGTGAGCCACCACGCCTGGCCAAGATAAGGGCCTTGAAAGTAGACCCTGCCCCTTGAGAAAGAAGGATGGCACAGTGGGGAGAAAGAGTGAGAAGCTGGAGATGAGAGGAAAAGCCAAATGTGGTCCCTGGAGAATAAGACTGCAAATGGTGGCCATGCATCAATCAGAGTGGGATTAGAGTGAGAGGATGGACCTCAGCCTTGGGGTCAGAACTCCCGTGCTTGGGATGGGGGTTGGCAAAAATAAAGTAGAATTAATAAGACATGGGCTGAAGGTCCAGATGAAGACAGAAGCCCTGTTATCAGAACCAAAGCCCAGTGCTAGATATGTGTGCATCCAGGAGGGCTGGGTTCTAAATCCTGGAGGATGGGGATGCTTAGGCTCCCTACATTCCTCCCACTAATAATGGTCAGTATGAATCATGTGGCTGGCTGAGGTGAGGTTTAACTTAGCCATATAGTCTTCTCCCTGACCCCCAGGTTTTCTTTTAAAGCAAAATACCTGCTTCATCATGGAAACAGAGTCTTTGACTTAACAATGGACTATTACAATTCCACATGAGAGCATTAGAGACCTAATACAAGGAAGCAAGGAAGTGAATTCAGCTTCTGGCTCCAGACACCGGCTGGGTGGTCCTGGACATGAACCCTTACCATGCTGGGCATTCGCTTTCCGACGTGCAGAGCGGAAATACTGATGTGTTCAGTTTAGCTTGAATTTTGCCTTTACTATGGAAGCTGTCATAACACATGCAATCTTTATCTGTTTAGAGGATTGTAATCCACTCATAGCCATGGACATTGTCACCCCAAAATGCAGTTCATTCACAGATCACTAACCCGGGGCTATCCCTGCAAGTTAACAACCCCTGGTTACTTTTATTTATTTTCTTCCTTGACAAGAAGGATTAAACCTTCCCTTCTCTTCCTAACACCCAGCACACAGCTGGACTAGGCAAAATTCTTAAATTAGAGTGTGGATTTTAAGAGGCTGAGGCAGGAAGATGGCTTGAGACCAGGAATTTGAGACAAGCCTAAGCAAGACCCTGTCTTTACAGAAAATACAAAAATTAGCTGGGTGTAGTGCCGTGCACCTGTAGTCTCACCTACTTGGGAAGCTGATGTGTTAGGATTGCTTGAACTTAGGAAGTCTAGGCTGCAGTGAACCGTGATCATGCCACTGCTCTCCAGTTTGAGCAATAAAATGAGATCCTGTCTCTTAAAAAAAAGAAAAAGAAAGAAAGATCTTGAGCAAGGATGGATTGGGCCCACAGGACAAGCCCAACATTGTGCAAGGCACAGGGCAGTACAAGGACTTCCCAATGATGGCCTCTGTCCACACATTGCTTAATAACCAGTGGCATTCATAGTAGTATTTCAAGAATTCAAAGAGGTCTGCCACTGCAAGAGAAACTAATGACTTTGGAGATCAGTGACCTTCTTGAGTAACTTGGGAAGGAAAAGCTATACAGTCTAATGGTTAAGAAAAAAAGGCATTGGGATAAATTTTGCTTTAAACCTAGCTGTGTGTCCTAGAGCAGCTCACTTCACCTCTCTGAGCCTGGTTTCTTCATCTGAGAAACGGAAGCAGTGATAGTTCCTGCCTCACAGAGCTGTCCTGAGGATTAAAGAAGTAGATGCATGTGAAGTATTTCATGCAGGGCCCGGCACACGGAAAAGAACCAATAAACGTCAGCTATTCTTAGCTACTTGCATCCTAGACCCGTTTTCTCAGATAGAACATTTGCAGGAACATGGATTAAAGGTTATGGATTCCCTGATGGGGAAGAAGAGGGAAGAAAAAACTTTAAAGTCCTGAAGGAGCCAGAACTATACAAAGCAGGAATATCATGTGGAGTATTATATATAAGAAATGCTGGTCGGATCTCCTGCGGAATTTCAGGAAGGAAGCAGCTTGCCCAGAGAAAAGGTGTGAACAGACAGACAGCAACACCTTGTTTTTTTCAGAAGCTTCAACAAAAGGATTTTGGCGCCAGTTGGCCCAGATTTGGAGGGGAGGAAGAAAAGAGTGGGTTGCCTGCAGTCAGAAAGAGACTGAAAGGAGAAGGGGAAAAAAGTAGAAAACACAGAATTATGACTTGGGGAATAGACAGAGTTTGCGGGGATGTTTCTGGGTGGGTGGTGGGCATGGCATTGATCAAACTTATAACACTGATGAATAGAAACATATAAATGACTACATAAAGGAATACATTTAGAGTGCCTGGCATATGACAAAAAAAAATGCTCAATGTGATTTAGTACGTATTCATTGGGCAGGCACTAAGTAAGTGTTTATTGAACTAAAGAAATGAAAGTGGTACATACTTTTTAAGGGAGGAGAACAGAATCGTTCAAGAAAAATGTTTCTCAGCCCTGAACTTTCATCACATGGGTGGTGCTTGGTTAGAAGCGAAGACCGAATTACATGTATCAGTAACTTTGTAATTTACTTAAATTTATTGTTTTAATCATGATGTTAACTGAGATCATTGTAGAGTTTATGTTTGTCCTAAGATGTACTTCTTTTTTAAAAAATTTTAGGTTCACTAGGTATATGGGCTTGTTACACAGGTGTTACATGCACAATGGTGGAGGTTAGACTCTAGTGCACCCATCACCCAAATATTAAACATTTTACCCAATAGGTAATTTCTCAACCCTCACCCCACCTCCCACTCAGACATACTTCTGCATGTTCTTGGTGAGGTCCTGGTCTTCTTTTTCCTTGCTTGGAAAACTTGCTGGATAGATGACTCCCACCATCTTGAAATGGCAAACCAAAATGGGAGAGGCGATTCGTTTTGTTTCCAAAAGAAAACAGATCCCTAATGGAGACTCAGGAAGGGATGAAAGAAAAAAAGAAAAGGCTCAATCCATATCAATCCCTAAGAACACTGGAGAGCCTAGCTGTGAGAGGTAAAGAGAAAAAAGGGAGCAAAAGGAAACCCCATAAAGAAGTAAATGAATGAATGAAAAGAATTCCCCAGGCCTTCATTTCATAGACTGAAGGTTGTGCCCCCAGCCTGAGGTGGGTTTGGATCAAGTGCTCAATCCCAGTGACTTGTCAGGGATCCTTTCAGATGTGTTCACCTCTGGGAAGAAGGGCCATTCGCCTGGGGTGAGCAGGGATCTGAGGAAACGTTTAGGGCATCTTGACTGATGAGCTGAGCCTTATCTACAGAGCAGTGTGAACAGCCTGATGTGATGAGCTCGCTTTGCAAGGCACTGAATCATCCCAGCTTCTCGCTGACAGAAGCAGAGCAGAGGTCCCGGATGCTCCTTATTGCATGACGGGAGCACTAGGTGAAGCCACGGAAATTGGATTTGAGTGATTCCCATCTTCCTCTCTCCCTGCCCCCAAACTAGAGCATTCTGACCATCCAGCAAGCTTAAAGGAACAGAAGCAAAGCCCAGAGAGGAAGAAACAGAAACCCTGTCAGAAGCAAAGCCCAGAGAGGAAGAAACAGAAAACCAGGGAGAGCTGGGACCTTGCGCAGTCCCACGTGGTCAGTTAGTGGAGGAGCTGGAAATGATCTAGCTCTTTCTGCTAAATCAGTCTTTCCTGTCTCAGAACTTTTCCTGAGAAATCACTCAATCCCTAAGGGGACAGCTGACCTGTCCCCAAGTGGTGGATGTTTAGTTTATTGTCCTAAGAAATGATCCAGCAGGGGCCGAGTGTGATGGCTCACACCTGTAATCCCAGCACTTTAGGAGGCTGAGGCGGGAAGATCACTTGAGATCAGGAGTTCGAGACCAGCCTGGCCAACATGGTAAAACTCTGTCTCCACTAAAAGTACAGTAATTAGCTGGGTGTAGTGGTGTGCAACTGTAATCCCAGTTAATCAGGAGGCTGAAGCAGGAGAATCATTTGAACCCGGGAGGCGGAGGTTGCAGTGAGCCGAGATTGCGCCATTGCACTCCAGCCTTGGTGACAGAGTGAGACTCCATCTCAAAAAAGAAAAAGGAAAAGAAAAAGAAAAAGAAAAAGAAATGGTCCAGCAGGTAAAAGTAGTGTCCTTATGTGAATAAAACCAATTTGGCAATCATCATTATCATCATCAAAATGGCCAAAATTTATCAGACATCATGCTATTAATTTGTATTAAATCTGTACAACCACCCACTAGGTCATTCTCATTATTGTCCCCAGTTTGCATATGGAAAATCTAAGGCTTTGAGAGGTAAAGTCACTTGCTTAAGGCCATATAACCAGGAGGGAAGTGGTAGGGTTTAGCCTGGACCCCTTGATGTCTGGTGTCAATGCCAGAGCTCTTAACCACTGGGCTCTCCTGCACCCCTGAGGATTAAATGGGAATAACTGGGATTTGAACCCAGGACTTCTGACTCTTTAGTGCTTTGCTTTTTTGACTAATGATGATAACAGTAACTCACTAATTATCATCTCATTTATTCCACACAATAGCTTTAAGTACCTGCGTGGCAACTTGCACTCCTCCAGGATTACAGTGCTAGTAGGTAGCAGAGCTGGGACCCCAGAATGCCCCATTCTTCCCTTCCCACCACCATAGTGACATTTCCAAACCCAACACTGACTATAACCCTCCAACCCTTGAAACCAAACCCAGACTCTTCTTTGGAACTTACAAGACATGCACAATCAGGTCCTGGCTATCTTCTGTATCAGTGACATCCTCCCTTTTTTCTTTCGGCCACACTGATCTTCTTGTGGCTTCTGCCAACACAGGGCTTTTGCACCTGCTGTTCCCTCTTCCTAAACATTTCTGTAAACCCCTTCCTGACTTTTGGCCTGATTACCTTCTACTTCTCTTTCAGACCTCAGTGTAAGTGTCACTTCTGAAGACAGCTCTGTCTCTTCCTCTGGGGTATCCGTCTATTAGTGGGTCCACATTAATGTGATTATTTAATTAGGTAATGTTAAGTCTCTGCCCATCCAATTTCAATTTCTATGGCCATGAGCAAGTCCCCCACTCTGGGCCTCACTCTTCCAATCTGTAAAATGGATGACAAGGCCCCACGGTTCTTTCAAGATCAGCTTATATGGCCCCAAGTGGGCCTCGCAAATACAACATGTTGTGTGGGACTCCTCCTCCTCAAGGAATTTCCCCTTTAGGTCCTGCCATACGGCATTTTCTAAAATTCCCTTGCCACCTGCTGCGATGGAAGGCGAAGTGCCTGGCTTTCTTTCATGAGAGTTGAATTGAATTCTGAACGTAGAAGACACTTCTGAGGCTGATGTCGACAAGAAATGAACACAGACACAGGCTCCCTCTGCAAACAGTTCCTGGAGACCCTTCTCTGTCCTGTCAATCTCCTGGGTGCTGGAGAGCAGAGGTAAATTAGACACACTTCCTGCCGTTGATAAACACACAGTTGAGTAGGAAAACAGATGCAGGAATATACACAGCCATCAGGTAGAGAGAAAGAAAAACAATGTCTCCCATTTATTGAGGACATGCTTTGTGTCAGGCCAGTGCTGAGCACTTTATAAATACCCATTCATTATCCCTTTGCAACCCTAACCAAAGCCATCTGAACCACTAGTTTTGTTTGTTTGTTTTGTTTTTTTACTTTTAAGTTTTGGGATACATGTGCAGAACGTGCAGGTTTGTTACATAGGTACAATACATGTGCCATGGTGGTTTGCTGCAGCTATCAACCCGTCATCTAGGTTTTAAGCCCCACATGCATTAGGTACTTGTCCTAATGCTCTCCCTCCCCTTGCTCCCCACCTCCCAACAGGTCCTGGTATGTAATGTTCCCCTCCCTGTGTCCATGTCTTCTCATTTGAACTGCTAGTTTTATATATATTACTGAGACTTAAAGAGGTGAAGTAGGCTGGGCGTGGTGGCTTACGCCTATAATCTTAGCAATTTGGGAGGCTGAAGTGGGTGGATCACTTGAGGTCAGGAGTTCAAGACCAGCCTGGTCAACATGGTGAAACTCTGTCTCTACTAAAAATACAAAAATTAGCTGGGTGTAGTGGTGCATGCCTGTAAACCCAGCACTTTGGGAGGCCAAGGCAGGTGGATCACCTGAGGTCAGGAGTTTGAGACCAGCCTGGCCAACATGGTGAAACTCTGTCTCTACTAAAAATACAAAAATTAGCCAGGTGTAGTGGTGCATGCTTGTAATCCCAGCTACTTGGGAGGCTGAGGCAGGAGAAATCGCTTGAACCCAGGAGGTGGAGGTTGCAGTGAGCCAAGATTGTGCCACTGCACTCCAGCCTAGGCAACGGAATGAGACTCTGTCTCAAAAAAAAAGAAAAGAAAAGAAACGAAAAGAAAAAAGAAAAAAGTAAAGTAAGCAAAGCACCTGGTCCCCCTGAAGAGTCATAGGCTTTTCCTTTCTATTTCTTTGCCTTAAATCATTCCCCAGCCATAGCCAGAAAGTTCTGGATTCGAGTGCTGGTTATGCCTTTAATTGGTACATCACTTCTTTAAGCCTGAGCTCCCTCCACTAGCAAAGTAGAAATAGCATCACCTTACTCACAGGGCGGCTGTAATGTTTAAATAAAACAAATCTTGTAAATATTCCCAGTTGGTCATAGAAGATGTTCGAGAAATACAAGTTTTTTTTTTTTTTTTCGCTCCTGGCAAATATCAGTAGGAAAGCAGGTAGGAAGAAAACAACCCCACAATGACAAAAATGAACAAGATTGGACAAGTCTGAGCCCTCTTGCCTTTTTATTTTTTTTGTTTGTTTTTTTACAAAATCTGTTTTATATATAGACAGTTTGAAAGAATCAAGAAATTAGAAAGTTTCACTGAGCAAATTATAGTGCTTGCTTCTTTATTTTCCATACGGACTCTTGTCTCAGACTTCAAGAACCTATTTGATGTGAATCCATCTCCTGAGCCCAGGAAACCTACACAAGCCAGTAAATTAACCACTTTCTAAGGGCATTTTTAAAAATCTGAGGCCATGAGAAAAAGAAATAATAATTAAAACAACTAAGAGGAGAAGTTCAAAGAGGATCATTAAAGTTCTGGGTATGTGAATAGGGAAGATGTAATCTCAGCAATAAAGAGGATCATGCAATGCCTGGTGACAGCGATGAAAATAAAAAGAACAGTGTCACAGGGAAGGGAACAACACACACCAAGGCCTGTTGAGGGAGGTAGGGGAGGGAGAGTATCAGGATAAATAGCTAATGCATGCGGGACTTAATAACTAGGTGATGGGTTGACAAGCGCAACAAACCACCATGGGACACGTTTACCTATGTAACAAACCTGCACATCCAGCACATGTATCCTGGAACTTAAAATAAAATAAAAATCTGAAAAAAGAACAGTGTCTTTCCAACAGCACACCAGGTAGGTGAAGAGGCTTCTGGGGTGGGGATGCCAGTGAGCTTTGATGGGTGAAGTAAGCCTCACAGGAAGTGGAGAGACGCAGATGTGGGAGTCTGATAGCTCCAGTTAGAACCCTAGGTCCACCACCTACTCACAGTGAGACCCCAGGCAAGCGGCTCCACCTTTCTGGGCCACAGATGCCACAGATGCCATATCTGCAAAATGGACATCATCATACATTGATCATTGAACAAATATTTACTGATCTCCGGCCTTGTACCAGGCAGGGTCCTGGAGCTACATCAATGAACAAGACTGGCAAAACCCTGCCAGTGAAGCTGACATTTGCATAGAATTGTAAGTCAGCATCAGTAATAACAGCGAATCTGCCATTGACCCTCTCCTCCTCAATTCTCCCCACATCCCTTTGAGGCAGGCAGAGCAGCTGTTGTGTCCCCATTGTGCAGATGAGGAGACCGAGGCCTAGTCACACACCTAGCATTGGGTTGCAGGGCTCCTGACTCTCCACTTAGTTGCCTGTGTGTTAGTTGCCTGTCTGTCAGTTGCCTTGGGTGAAGCAGGTCTCATTGCCAGGTGAGATGATGATGAGACAGGTGCTACACAGGCTTCTTCCTCTGGCTGGAACTCATCCCTATGATGTCACTATATGTAAAGCCTACAGAAGCTGTCACAGTCACTGTCATATGGTCCTGCAATCCCCTGCCTGTCCCTCCCCCATTAGATTGTGAGCTCATCCATGACAGGGGCCACTGGGTATCCCCAGAGCTTAGCATGGGGTTTAGCACCCAGTAAGCACTCAGGTAGCACATGATGAATAAAAGAATGGATGAATTGAGAGAAGGAGAAAGGAAGGGGGAATGTGCTTACATCACACAATAAATACTGTATGAATGGATGGATGGATGGATGGATGGATGGATGGATGGGTGGATGGATGGATGATGAGTGGTTGATTGGAGGGAAGGAAGAAAGGAAGGAAGGTGGGAGGGAAGGAAGGAAAGGTGAATGGATAAAAGAAGAAAGAAAAGAAAGAAGAGAGGGAGAGGAAGAGGAAAAAGTAGGGATGGAGAGAGGGAGAAATAGGCAAATTTCCTTTGGAAGAGTCAGTGAATGTCGAACAAATAAAGTATTAAATACAACCCAGATCCCTTCTTTTGCCTGCTTAGCTTACCCCCTGGCCTTATTCACCTGACCTTCCCTTCATCCTTCAAACTGCAGTTAAATCTTACCCCTGTGGTCTGTTCCAGCCCACAGAGACTGGTCTTTTTTCAAGCCTTGTAGTGTTCCTCCAATCTAATTTCCAATTAACATCTTGGTTGCACACTCTTACCTCCCCTAATTGAAACCAACCATAGCAGTTTTTAGCATTGGGTAGTGGTTACCATCACAGGCCTATAGGAGGAAAACTAGCTGGCAGAATTTTGGCTCTGTCACTTTGCTAGAAAGTGACTGAGAAAGTCATTCCAACTCCCAGAGCCTCCATTGCCCCAAATATGAAATAGACACACTGCCTCACAGAGGTATTAGGAAGACTTACACCCTGAGAAAGTGTGCAAGGAGCTTCATGTGAATCCCGGCACATAGCAAGCACTCGCTCGTGTCAATGGCTATCATTACTATTGTTGCCTAACCTGTGATTGTCTCATCTACTCAACAATATTTTAAGGTTCTAAGAGAAAAGCACCATCTCTCGTACCTGGTGTGTGTGCACCTGAATTCATGCGCGTGCACACGCGTGCACACACACACACACACACACACACACACACACTCCCTAGCACAGGACTGGATGACCAGAATGCTTATTGGTTGATTTCTGCTTGGACCCAAGTCAAGAAAGTTTCATTTCTAAAGATTTATTGTAGGTGAGAATCAATTCGCCAATGGTTTTATCTAAGCCAGTCTTTTAGAAAGGGCCTTATTGCAGGAAACCAGAGACAAATGAAAAGGCAATCTGTGTGCATGTTGTCAACAAGCTTGTGGGAGCTCCTAATACTATTTCCCTGTCAAGGTATCAATAGAAGAGAAGACAGTTTCCCAGAACATGGGCCCGGTACTCCCTCCACATAATCGCCTGGGGTGGCAGTGGGTGGCTGTTTAGAAATGACGATTTCTGGGATCCATTCCAGACTTACTAAATCAGAAACTCTCGAGTTATAACCTGGGAATCTGCATTTTAGCCCACTCCTTAGATGATTCTGGTGCATGCTCAGGGAACTGCTGCCATGCCCAGCCTCACAGGAACTTAGAGTGCAGCACTTGGAGGGCCTTTGAGGGTTTCTAGTCCAACTTCCTAACTTTACAGATGGAGCAAGTGAGGCACAGAGAGGTTAAGTGGCTTATGCAAGGTCACACTGCAAGGCAGTGACAGGGCTGAAACACAAACCGAAGACCTCACTGGCCAGCTGCCTTTACTCCATTGCATCACCCACCTTTTTCTCTGGAAGGAGTTATTGCTGCCTCTGCAAGGGGAAGAGGTGACCAGCATTATTGAGCCCTTCTTGTGTTCTAGCCACTTGACATAGGACCTTCTAGCAATCCTAAAGGCTAGGTATTACCATGCCTATCATTCTGGAGAAAAAAAACTGAGGATTGGAGAGAAAGCATCATGTTTGCTGAACAGCAAAATCCTCTGGTGTATAAGACAAATCTCAATATCATAGGGAAAAACCGGGGGGAACGCCCACATACATGTGAAATGATTTGAAAATGGGTTTACATAAAAAAATTTTTTTCATTTATGTAAGCAGGATATATTATATGCTAGAACCCAGTAGGAAATCTCTGGCCCATGACTTGCTGTTGTTAGAATTTTATCCATCACAGTGGTTCTTAACCAGGGGCAATTTTGCCCACCAGGAGATATCTGACAATGTCTGGAGACATTTCTGGGGGTCACACCTGGGGTGTTTGCTACCGGCATCTACTGTGTAGAGTCCAGAGAGGCTGGTTAACATACAATGATGCATGGGACAGCCTCCCACAAAAAAAAAAAAAATTATCTGGCCCCAAATGTCAATAGCGCCTAGGTTGAGAATTCCTGATCTGTAAGATGTGAACTTTTTACTTTTGTTGTGACATCTTTGTGGCCACCTCCACCGTAGGAGTTGTAGCAGCTCACCCCAAACGTGGTAGTCACAGGATTCTTTCCTTAGCTGTTCTGTCTTCCACCCACAAAATGGGTATATCACGGTGGTGTTAGATGTTGTGAGTAGAAGACAGAAAATAGGTTCTATGTGAACCAAGTCTCCTGTCAAAGATAATGCAGCTACCAAGAAATAAAATTAGACTCCAAGTCCAGGTAGGTCTCATTCCAGAATTAATGATATTTCAAGTGTTGTTCTTGCCTCATAGATGAATCCTCCATATACTCCATATATTTTGCAACATAAGCCACTAAATTTCCTTGCATTGAACACAGTCTATTTTTAATTATATTGTAGAGTAAATTGGATTTCACAAGTTTAATTTCAAGCACAAATTGTGGCTCCTCAGCCTCCCCTTCAGTGGTAAGAGGTATTGCTTGGGAGCTAAGAATGTGGATTTATGATCAGCCTGAGTTTGAATCTTGGCCCAGCTGATTTTTAGCTGTGTGTCCCTGAGAAAAAAAAATCCCTTCATTTCTCTGGAACTCAGTTTCCTCCTCCAAAATGTGGAGATAACAATAGAACCCACTTAAAAGGATTATTGTGCATTTTAAATCAAATAATGCATATAAAACACTTTGTATGGTGCCTGGTACATGAAATGCCCTCAATGAATATCAACAGTAATAATTATTATCATCATGGTCATTGTCATCATAATTGTTATTATAATTAAGGCCCCCGGATAGGGAGAAGGTGGTAGATTGGAGAGTTTGGGGAATACTAGGCATTTGTAAAACAAAGCTGGTACAGTCTGGATCTGATAATTCATCACTTACTAAATTTGACCCATCATTTTTGCTTTTAATGAAAATATATTCAATATTGGAACTAATTACTATTAAATTGGCCTCGTTATTAAGCATCAAGGGATCAATGGTGGACTCAGTGGGTTATCGTCATTGAATAAAATGTCTCAAGGAGAAAAAAAAAGTTGAATTAATACACAATCCTGGAGCCAATTGAAAAATCCCTAATAACACCGGCTGTTGCTGACAATTAATTCTAGGAGTCTGTAAATCATGAAAGAGCTTTGGAGGCAGAAACCAAGTTAGAAGAAGAAATGAAGAATTCAACTCATGCTGGCTCTCTCAGAGGTTCTATAACCAAGAGGGAGTTAGGGAGATTTGAGGAAACCTATTACTCCAACGAGGGGTATGGGGCAGAAGGAGACCTGAACTAGGAGTCAGCCTGGCAGGGCCTGGCTCAGCTTCTGTTCTCTATTACTGGGTGCAGGAGTAAAGGGGGAGAGAAATATGAGCTATCAGAGAAGGAGACAGACACAGATCATCTAGTGCCCTTAAGCCCATGGCAAGGAGTTTGGGCTTACTCTATGTGTAATGGGAAGTCTTTGTTGGGATTAGAGCAGGGAGTGGCTTCATAGGATTGTGTAAAACTCACTCTGGCCACTAGACTTCAGAAAGACAAAGTGGGAAACTGGTAGGAAGTTATTGCAGTTGTCTAGATAAGAGTCTACAGAGGTTTGACATAGGATTAGGGTGGTGGCAGTGGTGATGGAGAAGAGCATACAGATACAGGATATGTTTTAGAAGTCAAGCTGGCAGGAAGTGCTAATAGACTGGCTGTGGAGGGTAAAGGAGAAGGTAGGCAATCAAGGATGCTGCCTAGATTAGAGCTTAAATAGTTAGGTAGATGTTGATAACCTCCATCAGTCAGCTATTGCCACGATAATGCTGTGTAAGAAACTACCCCCAACTCAGGGACTTAGAACTGCAACCACATGACTCTGCAGCCATCTGCAGTTCAGCTGGGCTATAATTAGAAAATCTGTTTTAGATGTGCCACTAGCTATTGTTACAAAAAAAAAGCCCTACAATTAACATGTTTCACTTTGGGGCCTAAAACAAACAAATAAGCTACTCTTAACAAATGAAAAAAATCAATGTTTGAAGAATCTGTGGTGGTCTGACACTAAAGTGACCTGAAAAGATTTGTCCCAGCCATTCTACAACTCAGGGCATCAAGAGAGAGGAGAACACTCCAATTTCTCCCAGGCTCAAGTAATTTCAGTTTTCTGATTAGCTTGGTGCAGCTCTCAGGAACTCTGTTAGGCAGATGACTTGTCACACCAAACACAGGACGAGCTCATCACTGGTCAGGAAGCCAACTCAGTCAGAGAGATTGGCTTGCCTCCCCCTAATCAATGCCATCCACAAAACACTAAGAGTCACAACCACTGCCAAGCCAGCTCTTGCTCCTCCATGACTAGTTTTGAGCAGCGGGATCACTCAGTCTGTCAGAAGCTATTAGACTCGGATTGGCTGATTTTGAGAAAGAGGGTGGGGGGATTTTTTTCAAGGACAAGCTGAACACATAGAAGGGAAAACACAGTGGCCCTAGCCCAGCATCCACGGCTGAGGAGAGGAATTAGATGACTCGAAGAAGAAAGACAACTGACAAAATGATGTTTTTAGCTGTGTTAGGGTAATGCATTGTGTTCCCCACTGAGAAAGAGGGATTAGGGATGTGCTTGAGGAAAATTGTTGCCATCCCAAGTGGTAATTTGCAATCTGGACAGGAAGTAAATAAGTGGGACTCCACGAGAAACCTTAAGCAGCTGCATTTAGGAACAAGCTGGGCTGACTGACTGTGGCTGTCTGGAAGGTGAAGGAGTTTGCAAATAAAGAATGGCTTCTAGTTCCACCCAGCAGCAAATCTTCCCTTGGCTTTCACTTCTCAACTCAAGATTCCCCCCATGCCCTAGACCTGGTCCTGTCTCTGCATTATTTGCTGGCTTAGTGAACGATATCACCATATCTATGGTTGAGCAAAACAAAAACTTGGAAGTCATCCATTACTCCTTGCTCTCTCTCACTTCCCTTATCCATCCATCTCCAAGTCCTGATAATTTTGCCTCATAAATATTTCTCAAAGTAACTCGATTTTCTCCATCCCTGCTGCCACCACCCTGGTCTAAGCCACCATCAGCTCTCACCTGGCCAACTGCAACCATCCCTCACTGGGCCTTTGGCTTCCAGCTTGTTTTGCTTTCCATCCATCCTTCACATTGCTTGCCATAGAGATCTTTTCAAAACACACATCTGCCAATTCCACCTTCCTGTTATAAAACCCTTCTGTGACTCCCCATTGCTTTCAGAATAAAGACCAAAATGATGAATGTGATCCACTGTTCCCAGCATGGTCTGGTTCCTTGCCCACCTCTCACCACTGCTCAAGCTGTTCCATGGGCTTGCAACACACTTCCCTCCAACTTTCACCAAGTTCACTTAGTGGCTTCTCAAATTCCAGCTCAAGCATCAGTTCTGGATAGCACCTCTCTGTTGCTCCCAAACACCCTTACATTTGAAATCAGAACCTTAAGCATATCAGAGAATCAAGTTCTTTTCCTTCAGTGCCCTTATCTCAGCTAGTAAATACACCTTTGTGGGTTTTTTGTGTGTATATGTATGTGTGTGTGTGTGATTATTCAGTGGAAATCAGACTCCTGGTGAGCTCTGTGGCAGAAACTGTGGATAAGTTTACTGAACACCCAACCCCCTCCCATCCTCTCTAGCCTTTCTCTAAAATGGCTGAATTTCCAGCCTTCCTTGCACCCAGGAATGGCCATGTGACACCATCTGGCCAATGGGATGTAAGCAGAAGCTGCCAGCTGAGACATGCAGGAAAGATTTTGAAGAGAGCAGACTCAACTTGGATGCCCTTTTTCCTTTTGCCCCATCCCTTTGTTCCTCTCTGAAATAGAGAGACAAAGACCCCTTCTACCATGAAGAATGAAACCACACAATAAAGATGAGAGAGCAGAAAGAGGAGCTGGGGTCCTTGTTGTCACTGTTGGTGGTCTGGTCAGCTTTGGTCCACGTACCACAGAACTCTTACTGCCAGTAGGTCAGGGTTTCCTGTTACTAGAAGCTCAGTTCAATTCTAACTGATACAAGCTCCATGAACATGTGCACCGTGTCTATTTTTGTTCCCCACGCATCCCCAGCGCAGTGTCTGGCACATAGTAGTCTCTGCTCAGCGAACATCTGCTGAATGAGTGGCTGGAGAGAGCACGGTCTTTGGAGTCCTGCATATTCAGGCTCAGAGTCTTGCTCTGCAGCTGAAGGCTGTGTGGCCGCTTAATTTCTCTGAGCCCCAATTTCCTCAAGCATAAAAACTGGATGATAACATCCCAAGGTTTTATTCTGAGGGTCTAATGAGCTGACGTGTAGAAAGTGCCAGACCTTGACTAGAAGCTCAGTTAATAGTATTTGTTACTATTTTTAGTAACATAATAGGGCTTTGTTTTATTTTTAGAGTTGAGGTCTCATTCTGTTGCCCAGGCTGGAGGGCAGTGGTGTGATCATAGCTCACTGTAGCCTTGAACTCCTGGATTCAAGCAGTCTTCCCACCTCAGCCTTCTGAGTAGCTGGGGGGCTACAGGCATACGCCATCATGCCCAGCTAATTTTTAATTTTTTTTTTTTTTTTGTAGAGACTGGTTCTTGCTATGTTTCCCAGGCTGGTCTTGAACTCCTGGCTTGAAGTGATCCTCTCACCTCGGCCTCTCAAAGCACTGGGATTAGAGGCAGAAGCCACCACACCCACCCTTTGTTCGTAGTACGATTATGAGTGATTGGGTCTGTCACCTCCAAATGTCACTTTGGGTGCTGACTGTGTACAAGGCACTATGATAGGCACTTGGGGTGCCAGGGAAGCCTGCAGAGTGGCCTCTGCCCTCCAGGACTGGGCTGCTCACTTAGTGATGGAAGATTTGCACACATGCATGGAGAACTCACAATGCCCATCTGTAAAAACGTGCCAATGGCCACAGAAGGGACACAAGCCCCGCGAGAGTGGAGGAAGGGGCAAAATAATGTGCATTGATAAAATTGTCCCTGGGAACAGTGCAGGACAGGGAGCCTGCTTCCTCTACATTCACTTACTTAACAAACACTTGTCAATCACCTTCCATGAAGCAGCTAAGTGCTAGGATAACACAGGCACCCACCAACAGAGGTGCAGAAATGATTAAATGAATATGCTTGCCTGCCTGAACAATGGATTAAATGAGCAAGTGCGTGAACAAATGAACTTCTGAAGAAAAACAAACGAGCTAGAAAATGAAAGGAGTATTCCCAGGAAATAACCATGCTCTAAAAAATGAGAGTCTGGGTCGATGAAGGGCCAGGCTGCAGGCTTGTGGCCCAAATCAGAGTGGGGAAATGTGGTCGGGCGAGGTTAATGAAGGTGAGGGGCGGAGTTAGGATGGGAAGATAAGGCTACAATCCACACCCTGCCCCCTGCCCCAATGTCCTGTATGTGACACTGTGCCATTTGTCACTCCACACGTTTTTACTGGAAACCATGTATACACCAGCATGGTGCTGGGCAATGGGTACCCAGTGGAGAAGAGGACAAAACCGTTCAGCCCTCTATGCCTCCTCATGCTTCCCAACCTTCCCTCCTTCCCAGTTCTGCTTCCTCCTCTCAGCCCACCTTGAAGATAGCAGAGATGATGGTGGATCTAATCTAATATGAATGGTAGTTGCCACTTACTGGGGGCTTGCTTAGAGCAAAGTACTCTCCAAACATCTCCTTTAATGATCACAATAACACCATGGGTTAGGAAGCCATTGCAATGAGGAAATTGAGGCTCAGAGAGGAAAAGAAACTTCCACGAGGTCCCACGGCTATTCATTGGCTGCACCAGAAGAGGAACCCATCTGGCCTCTTTGTTACTGTGCTCGCCTCCTCAAGTTTTTACTCTAAGCAAGTGAGGCTCAAAGTTTAAGGTGCATCAGAGGATGCTCTTGAGGGATTACCTATGACCACCGTGTTGATTGTAGTGGTGGTTTCATGGATGTATGTATGTCAAATTGTATTAAACTGTACTTTGTGTTTTTTTGAGACAGAGTCTTGCCCTGTCACTAGGCTGGACCGTGTGGCATGATCTTGGCTCACTGCAACCTCTGCTTCCCAGGTTCAAGCGATTCTCCTGCCTCAGCCTCCCGAGTGGCTGGGATTATAGGCATGCGCCACCACACCTGGATAATTTTTGTATTTCTACTAGAGTCGGGGTTTCACCGTGTTGGCCAGGTTTGTCTGGAACTCCTGACCTCAGGTGATCCACCCGCCTTGGTCTCCCCGGGTGCTGGGATTACAGGTGTGAGCCACCACTCCCAGCCTTCAGAGGTATTTTAATCAATTATGTTAACCTTTATTGAGTGTCTCCTATATGTCAGGCTCTGCCCCGGGCTTGTAACTGTACTCTTTAAATGTGCAATTTATTATATGTCAGTAATGTCTCCAGCTGTTTTAAAAAAAATAATCAAAATAATTAATATGCATAACAATCTCTCAGGCTGCGTATTAGAAGACTCTCAGACCCCACCCATTGCCAATAGGGATTTTGATTCAGCAGCTCTGGGGTGAGGCCCAGCAATCTGTGACTTAAGAAACATCCTCTGGAGGATTCTGACTCTGCTGCCCCAATTTGTGTGTAGCCTGAGGTCCTTAATACAACTGCACCTCAGCATCCCTTAGGGAACGTTTACAAAACACCAAGGCATAGGACTCACTCCAGATCCACTTAGACAGGGTCCCTGGGGATGGGACCTGGAAGCAGGTATTGTTTTGAAAGTTCCCCAGATGATTCAAATGTGCAGCCAGGACTGGGGACCACCACTGAGCTAAGAAGCATTTCAGGACGTCAGGCTAGGGCTGTTCAAAGCCAGGTGCAGGTGTTAACAAATGCCCCCTGCTCTGCCAGGAAAGGCAAGTCAGGTCCTGCAGCTATTCCAGAAGAAATGGAAGGCCCAAATTCTCTTGCTAAAATAAGCCTTCTCTCTCTGAACCCTGGAATTGTTCTTAATGCATGTGGCATCATGTTCGTCAATAATCTCCTGGGCACAGCATCTGAGAAGCCATGCACAGTGCCCGCAGCTGTGAAGACGTCTGCTGTGTAGGAGCTGAGGCTAAGCCGTGGCCCTGGCATCAGCATCCACAGGAACAGGCATCCCTCCAGCTCAGCTTACAGGCTGTAGAGCTAAGGGTGACTGAGACAAGCAGAATCTGCTGTTTCATGAAACCCAGAGGCAGAGCTAGCAGGGCCATGAGAACCATCTCATCAAGCCCCTCACTTTACAATTTGGGAAACTGAGGGAGAAAAAAAGATAACCATTTGAGAGTTACTCCTTAACCATAAAGGTAAAAAAAAAAACAAGAAGAAGTTTCTCCTCCATGCAGCCTGCCTTGACTGCACTGTCTCTCTCGTGCTTTGGGACCCTGGTCAGGTCGCTCAGTCATTCAACAAATACTTATTGAGCACTAACTCTGCGCCAGGCACAGAGCTGAGTGCTAGGATAACAGCCATGAGCAAGACTGACAAGGTTCCTGCTTTTGTGGTCCTTATATTCTAATTTCTAATGGAATGAATCAGATAATAAACATTCAGCACACAGCTAGATAAACAGAAAGTGCTGCTAGAACAAGGACTGAGGAAATCCTTCAGGGAAACAGACTGGAGACTGCCTGCAGTCACCACTGGCCAGAGTGGCCAGATGAGGCTTCAGTGAGGAGGGGATATTTAAGCAGAAGCCTGAGAAAAGGGAGGGAGAGAGCCCCGGGAAGAACCAGGGAGAATGTTCTGGGAAGAGCCAGAGAGAATGCATTCCAAGCTGTGAATGCAAAGATCCTTAGGAGGGGAAGATTTTGATATGTCTAGGGAACCAAAAGGAGGCCAGAGCAGCTGAAGTATAGTGAGCCATGGGGAGGCTGATTATTGACGAGGCCAGCACAGTGACCTAGGGACAAGTCGCCCAAGGCTTTCCAGGCCAGCATGGAAGTTAGTTTTAATGAAAGACGAGCAAGCCCCAAAACTGGGGCTTAGCCCAGGAGGGTTCTTGGCTTTGCCTAGGAAAGAATTCAAGGGCCAGCCAGTGGTGTTAAGCAGCAACTTTTATTGAAGTAGCAATGCACAGCAGCAGGCGCAAGAGGTATTGCTCCCTGTGGAGCCCGGCTACCCCATAATAGTGTGCCCAGAGCAGTAGCTCAGAGGCAGTTATGCACCCATATTTATACCCACTTTTAATTACATGCAAATTAAGGGGTGGTTTATGCAGAAATTTCTAGGATGAGGGTGGTAACTTCAGAGTTGTCTGGTCATTGCCATGGAAAGGGACAGTAACTTCTGGGTGTTGCCATGGCAATGGTAAACTGACATGGAACTCTGGTGAGCGTGTCTTATGGGGAGATGCTCCCACCCTGGCCCTGGTTTAGCTAGTCCTCAATTTGGTTCAGTGTCTGAGCCCTGCCTCCAGTGTCTAGTCCTGCCTCCTACCTCAGCTTGATTCTCAATATGCTGGGAAGCCTATGCAGAGTTTTCTGTTTGGAAGGGATGCCTCTATCTGTACTGCAAGGAGACCAGCAGTCATTGTCCAGTGAGAGTTTGCAGTAGGGGATGCAGTTTCTACCACACTGAGTAATGGCCCTAGAAGTAGACTTGCTGTCCACATTTGTTCTATTCTTCCTTTGGTGCTGCCTTCAAGCTAATATCTCTGTGTCAAGGCCCAGGAGACAGATCATTCATCACCCGCCCTGCCTTGGCATCTGGCTCCGCAACTTGGCAGAGGCAGAAAGCATTCTGCGTTTCCTTGCCTGCCCCCACGATGCAGAAGCCCCCAGCCCTCTGTGGCTAAGCAAGTGACCACTGGTCAAAATCAATTCCAACCTAAGTTTGGCCCTTAGCTGTCACCTGAGTGGAGGCCAACTGCAAGTGCCATGGCTGTGGACCCTGGTAAGCCAGTTTGTCATCCTGTGACATGAGGGACATGCAAGTGGAGGGGAAGGCTACCTGCCCTGGGGTCCCCACAGCACTCCATGGGGCACTGCAACAGACCTGGGTTTGAATGCAAGCTCCACCACCTACTTGGTCCGTCACTCTGAGCAATGACTTAGATTCTCTAAGGCTCAGTTTCCTCAGGTATGAAATGGGGCTCATGGGGTAGGTGAGGAGAAAAAAGTGAAGGCGTAACACAGTTCCTGGCACCTAGTGAGCACTCATTCAATCAGAATTCCCATTCTTCTTCTGGTTTCAGAGCAACTATAGCACCAGGAAAAGTCCTTACCCGAAAGGAGTCTCAGTTTCCCCATCTATGAAAGGAAGTAGCAATATGAGCTGAACTCTGAGGACCCTCCTGCCCTGAAAGTCATTAAGTCTCTCTCTCTCTCTGTCTTTCACACACACACACACACACACACACACACACACACACACACACACACACTAAGAGCCCAAACTCTGGAAACAGACAGACGTGTATTCAAATGTCAACCTTACCTGCCCTGACTATGTGACTTTGTACAAAATACAGCCATGTGCCGCATAACAACATTTCAGTCAAGACAGCCCACATATACAATGGGGATCTCATCACATTATAATACCATATTTTCACCGCACCTTTTTCATGATCCGATACACAAATGCTTACCATTGCATTACAACTGCCAATAGTATTCAATGCAATTACATGCTGTACAGGTTTGCAGCCAGGAGCAATAGGCTACACCATCCAGCGTAGGTGTGTAGTAGGCTGTCCCATCTAGTGCACTTGTGCAAATGCACTCTCTCATGGTCACACAACCACAAAACCATGTAATTATACATTTCTCAGAACATATCCCTGTCATTAAGTGACACATGACTGTATTTAACCCCTCGAGCCTCAGTCTCCTCATCTGTAAAACAGGGAGGAACACGGGGACGATGTCAGAAAGTGGTCTGGAGCTTCAGAAGGACCCTGCAGGTAAGCACTTAGCCCAGGGGTTTTAGAATCAATGTACAAATGTCAGCTGTTAGACTCTGTCCTCCCCCGACACACACACCCTTGTGTACTCAGCGGCGCTCCGCCATGGGTTAATCTAAGATTGAAGCAGAGACACAAATTTTCCATTCAAAACCCGAAGACCATTTTTGTTCAGTAATAGATTTAAACAAAGTTTTCTCTCACAGCAATCGTCCCTAATCTCCGATTGTTCCCTTTTTGGAGATGCAGTGTCTTTTTGCATTGCTTAGAGAATACAAATTAGATATTGTCTGAAGCCTTTCCCTGTCTCCAGCAGTGCTGCTTCCTCAGGGACATTCACTCTCTCTCCTCATGCGGCGCCTCTTCCTGGAGCTGCCTTCATCCTGTCATGGGTGGCGTGATCCCCCCTGGCACATCTTTGCAGGTGGAAGGTGGACATTTGTCCAGGATTGCGGGCTGAGGACCCTGGAGGAGCCTCCCCGAAGTCCTCACTCTCCACCTTCCCACCCAGGGAAGAAATAATAAGGAAAGAGGAGGGCTGTGCTGTATTCATAGAACCCCATGCCTCCTGGCACCATCATGAGGAAGGGAAGTCTATTACGCTCATTTTACAGATGAGGAAGCTGAGGCTCGAAGTCGAGCATGCGGACCAAGGTCCCACACCTTTGCTCCAGTCCCTGATTCTCCAAGCTTAGGGAGAATGTGCCAGATCAGAACTTCCATTCCCTCATTCTACATGTATTTATTGAGCACGTACTACATGCAAGCCTCTGGTCTGAACATGGAACACAGATGACAAACAAGTAAACCCACAAATAAGCAAGGTAATTTGAAATTGTGACCCCTGCTATGCAGTGTCATAATGAGTGTTGGGGTATGGGGGAAGAGGGTAAATGTGGTTCCCTAGAAAGGTAGTCCCCCATAGAAGGTGACATTTGAGCTGGGGCCTGGGCAGTGAAGAGGAGCCAGCCAGGTGAAGACCTGGAATAAGATGGTTCCAGGCAAAGGCAAGCACCAGATGGAGGACCGGGCTCACCCATCCTGGCTGGGCATTGGGAAGAAAGGCAGGAGTGCAGGAAGTGAGGCTGGGAAGCCAGGAGTAGTCAGTTCACATGGGGTTCTGATGCCAATGTAGGAGTTTGATTGTATTCTTAGTGCAATTGGAAGCCATGGCATGGGGGACGTGAATCAGCCACTTGACACTTTAGAGGACTTCCTGACCACCTTGTGGAAACTGGGGTGTCAGGATCCAAGAGAGGGGGCAGGGGAGTCATTCTGAAACATCACGTTAGCTCCTTGCTGCATCTTGGGAAGTTCCCAGGAAAGACAGATTGGCCCGAATTGGAACCCAGGTTTGTGTGATCCCAAAGCCCACGCTCTCTTGGCTCCAGCTAGGCTGGACCTTGGGGGAAGGAAATAATGGGGCCAGCAGAGAGAGGGGAACTTAAGCCAAAGAAATGTTCCATCTGAAAGCCAGTGCATTCCCTCCCTAGCAGCTGCGAGTAAAAAATAGAGTGGGTCGGAATTAGCAGACCTTTTTTTTCCTTTCTAATTTATAGCTCATTGGTTGACGTGCTCCTTGGGAGAACGAACGTCTTGCTCTCTGGCTTGGCAGCAAAGTCAATGACAAAGTACTGACAGCCCAGAACAGCATTCTTCCTCTGTATGAGGTCATGAATAAGGCTGGGGGCTCATCTCTATGCCTGGGCATCTCAGCAGAAGGTGGGGAAACCCAACTGCTGGCTTGATAGCCACAATAGGCCTATTTCTGAAGCTCATTTTCCCAAACATTTAGTAAACTATATACTGTGCTCTAGGCACCAGAGAAATAAAGGCAAATAGAGCACAGCCCCTGTCCTCAGTCTAGAAGGGACACAGCCACATATACAAATAATTACAGGAAAGTGTGATGAAAACTGCAGTAGCAGAGAGAAATGACCTCGGGTATCAGGGAAGGCTACCTGGAAGAGGTGATATTTAAGCTAAGTCTTGACAGATTAGTAGGAGTTCAACAGGGTAGAGATACCCCCAACGGCTGATACTGGGAGGAATTCAATAAATGTTAGTGTCTTATTCTGTTTCCTAGTGCTTTCTCGGATGTTGCTTTTGTGTGTCTCACCATATTGCGTGTTCACTGGGAATGGGAAATATGCCTTTGCCTTCTCTTCCATCCCCTACAGTAGTGAAAACAGGACCTAGTCATAGAGCTAAGTCTCTCAAATTTGGCACTATTGGCATTTGGGGTTGGATATTCCCTGGTTTGGGACAGGAGGGTGGAGAAGGGGAAGCCCATTGTATGATGTTTAATAGCATCCCTGGCCTCTTCTCAATGGATGCCAGTAGCACCTCCTCCATATCCCCAAGCAAACATGTCCCTCTGGGAACAAAATCACTCTTGGTTGAGAACCACTGTCATAGAGTATCCATGTATTTATTCATCTACTTAATTTTCATTAATGAATTCAACAAACATTTACTCAATATTCACCATGGGCCAGACACATTGCTAGGTACTAGGAACACAGTGTTATATAAGATACAGCCACTGCTGCTGCCCTCAGAGTTGCCTGGCTGGAGGGGCAAAGAGACAAGGCTATGATGGGGAAGCACCGAGGCTGTGGGAGCATGTAGGGTGAGGGCATTTGAGATATGGACACATTCCAGGAAGGGTCCCTGGATGAGGTGATAAATAGACATTAGCCAGGTGAAAGAGAGGGAAGGCATTCTAGGCCAAGGAAGAAAGAGAAGGCATTCTAAGCCAAGAAAATGACAAGCAAAAGGCTTAGGGGCTTGAATTAACTTGCCCTTTTGGGGAAGTATAGCAGCTCATACCTGGAGCATGGATCTCCAAGGAGGACAGAGGGGTAGAATAGAGGACTCTCCAGTCATTGAGAAGAGTCTGCTTCATCCGGAGGGCCATGGGGAAGCCATCGGAGAATTCCAAGCGGAAAAAGAAGGAATATGATCAGATCAAGTAAGAAAAACTCTGGCTGCAAAGTGACAGAGAAGTTTCATGAAGCTGCATGAGTCACTGGGCTTGCGGCCTTGGAAGATGCTCTCATAACATCAGAGGCACCTCCTGGCCTTGGCCTGGCCTTGGCCCTGCACTTCAGGTTGGATCTTGCCCCCCTGTCTCGGGCAACTTGAAATCTGCATCTCAGGCTGCTGTGCCCACAAAAGCCTCCTTCCCGTCCACCAGTTTCCCAGCCATGACTGTCCCTCCAGGTGGATGCAGGAAAGTGTTTTATCTACCCATGCCATTAAACCTGCCACTGAGCCCAAATTGCCTTTGGAGTTTGAGGGCAGATGGCAGTGCAACGTGTGGCTCAGCTCTGGAGATTCGGCATGGCCAACCCATTAGTTCTCCTGGAGCTGAACAGAGGGGGACCGACCCTCTAATTGCTTGAGAACTTGGGTATTATTGAAACTCCCTCATGCCTGAATGATGTATGACTCTCACAGTGTGGCTCAGCCATTGCCAGCGGCTCTCCAAAACAGACCCTGTCTTATTTTTTATTCCATTTATTTATGCATTTGGTCGATCTCTCTGGGAAGGTAAGTTTTTAAAATACTGGGTATGGAAACAGGAGATAGTCAAACTTTCCGAGCCTGTGGACTTGATTGATTGAGGTTGTGACATTTATTTCCAAAGCATCCTTCAAAAAGTTGGTTATAGACTAAACCACCAGTTTCAAATCTGGGGTCCCCCTGACTCTAATAGTCTTTGAAAGGAGTGATGGGCAGGGAGAGGAGGGGGCTGAGAGAGAAACGAAGTGTTTTGAAAACTCTAATGGAGATTCTACTTAGCAAAACTAAGGCTGAATGTGCTAGCTAAAAAGGTCAGGTTTTTCTGGCTTAAAATCAATCAGTAATACCTGCAGGATGACATCCTGACCATGGCCTCTGAGCCTCAGCTTGGTGTGGCTACCATTAGCCTCTCCTCTGCCTTCTGTCCATGCAGAAGCCCCCATACACAACAGTCCCCCTAACACACCAGCCTTATTCATATCCAGAACCCTCAACCAGAACCTGTCTCTGCTCCCCCTTTCATTCTCTGCCTCGCTCTCAGTCTTCCCACTCCCAGAAGCTGCCACTGACCATCCAGGCTGGGCTAGCTGCCAGGGAGTCCTAGGCAGTGGGATGTTGAGTCACACAGGGATAGGTTCAAATCCAGGCTTAGCTGCTCAACTCGAGGTGTGACTTCCCCACTTCCCCTCCCTGAGCCTCAGTTTCCCTGTGTGTCAAACAAGGATAATCAAGTTTCTACCTAATATGGTTGTCATGAGAACTATTACGTAAAGCTTCTTAGCACTGACTCGCTGCTGAGTAAGCTCTAATTCACGTTAGCCACTGCTTCATTCCTTCAATTACACGCCTGTTTCCCACAATGAGCAGGGACCAGGTCTTTTGCCTATTCTCAGGTTCTGGTGCAACGTCTCACAAATAGGAAACTCCCAATAAAATGTTTGCATGTAGAAATCCAAAGATGTCAGAGTGGAAGCCAGAGCCACTTATACAGTGGATAAACCTGGCAAGTTATTTCACCTCTCTGTGCCTCAGTTTCTTCATCTATAAGATGGGTATCCTGATGATACCTACCTGTTGGGTTGTTAGGAGGATGAAGTGAGTTCATATATGCAAAGTGCTTGGAACAAAGTAAACACTACACCAGTGTTGCTCTTATTGTTTTACTAAAACCAAGGAACTGAGTGATTTATTTGTTCACCAATACAGTGTGGAAGACAAAGCACATTTTACTGTGGACAATGCATAGTGGGTGGGTGGATATTAATGATGAAATGGTTAGGGCTACTGAGGCAGCCTCATCTGCCACCCACCCCACCCCACCTGCTCCTAGGCCTCCAAGCCTGTGAAGGTGGGGAATAATGATTTGGATTTTTTTTTTAATCAGCAGAGCACAAGTGTGCTATTTCACATGCCGGCTGTTTAAGTGTACACCTAGTTACAGCTGACTGCCTTGGATGATTGGTTGAGAGGGCTGAGTTCCCGTTTGTCCCCAATCAATCTGGAAACTGAAAAGGAGCCAGAATATTCATTTTCCACCATCAAGCCTGCAGCCCAGGATTATTGTTGATAAAGGAGCTGTGGAACCCAAGTTCCCCGGGGGAGATGGAAGAGTAAACATCTTACTGATATCCCAGGGCAGTGGATGAACAGAGGTCGGGATTTGAGCAAATCATGTCCCTATTATTAATTAAAGGGGCAGGGCATTGGTCAGAGCAGGCAGAAGGGCAAAGGGGCTAAGGAATAGCTGTGGGCCCCATGCAGTTGATGAAAAGGTTGTGTCCTAGAAGGGTTTAGCCTGAAGGGCTGCGTAGGCATTCAGGCTGGTATTTTGTACGGACCCACTGTGAGCCACTACGGGGCAAAGCACTCAGGAGGGAAACACAGAAGGATGTGCAAGAACTAAAAATATGCATTCCATCTGGAAGAAGACAAAAGTTGAGGAACCGTGTTTATGAAGATGGCCTCATGACAAGATGGCATTCATTCAACCACTCCTTCATCCACTTCAAAACTGTTGATTAGCACCTGTGTTGAGCCAGGCAGTTCCGATCCCTTGCGGATGTCAAATAGGAGTAAAACGCAGGCACTGCTTCCCAGGAGACAGCAGCATAAGTGGCCAGATAAAGAAAGTACATAAATAATAACAGCTGTAGCAATAATAGCAAAAATAGTAATACCTGCTGTTTTTTGGGCACCAACAATAAGCCAGGCTTCGCATAAGTTATTTCATTCAATATTCTCCATTGCTTAATGAGATGATAGGTCCTATTTTTACCCTGAGTTTGCAGATGGAAAAGCTGAGGCATGGAAATCGTTAGTCACTTGACTGAGGTTCATGCAGTTAGGAAGGAACCATGATTCAAACCAGTTCCTTCCAACTTAAACCCCTGCTGGTCACACTAGGCTGCTCTGCCTCTCGAATAACTAGAACAACATGTTGTAACTGCTGGGTTGAAGCTGCAGAAAGTCCAGTGTGACTTTAGAAGTGTAACTGGGCCTCTACATAGTGGCTCAACCCTGTAATCTCAACACTTTGGGAGGCCAAGGTAAGAGGATCACCTGAGGCCAGGAGTTCAAGACTAGCCTAGGCAACATAGCAAGACCCCATCTCTACAAAAAATTTAAAAAATTAGCAGGGCATGATGTCATGTGCTTGTAGTCCCAGCTACTTGGGAGGCTGAGGCGGGAGGATTACATGAATCCAGGAATCTGATGATGCAGTGAGCCATGATCGGGCCACTGCTCTCCAGCCTGGGCGGCAATGTGAAACCCTGTCTCAAAAAAAGGAGGGGGAGCATCTGGCCAGCTGGGGGGCAGGGTGGAGTGGAGAGGGCTGTGGCTTTAGGTCCCCTATCCCCAGCACACACCTCAGCATTTGCTCATAGTAGATGGTCAAGAAGCACTTGCCAGTTAGCCAGCAAGTTCTTTGGAAGCCTTCTCAAGCATCATCAGACAGGTTCTGCACCCTCTTGTTCAATGCTGTTCACAAAGCAGCATTTTATCCAGTGAGACCATGAAAAGGGATTGTGGGAATCTTCATTTTGTATAGAAGGAACTGCAACTAGCGAGAAGGAGAATCCACACCTAAATCCAAGCCTCCAGTACTCTGAAACCAAAGTTCTTTCCCTCAGCCTTGGAGCCTCTGGGAGGACTGATTCAAGATGAGACCCCAGACCCCTGACTCCAACCCCAAATCCTTCTAACTCCACCTGCTACCTCTTCCTCAGATCCAAGGGGCAACTTATCTTCCCCTGGTTTCTTATCAGCATGGAACAGCTGTGGTTTTCTGACTCACAGAGCCGCTGAGGTTGTAAAACATTCTCTTTTCACTTTCCATGCTGGCCAAATGCATCCTGAACCTGCTGGCGTGACCTTCTGTTGCTGCATGCAGGCCCAAGCACAAAGCCATTCATTTTGTATTCATTCTCTCCCAACCCCAATCCCCTCTGCCATCCCCCCACAACCGCACACAGCCCCCTCCACCCGCACCTTCACCTCACCCTTGGCTTAACTCAGAGAATTCAACTTCCCTCAACAAGGCTGGGGCTGGGGCTTCTTGAGCTGCAAATATCAATTTGCAGCTTTCTGTGTATCCCCTCAACACACACATACACACATACAGACACACACACACACACACACACACTCACACACACACACACACACACACACACACCATTGCATCTTGCCTTGGGCTGGGCACATAGAGGATGCACAAGAAATACATCTGGTAGACCCCCACACCTTTGCTCATGCTGTTCCCTCTGTCTCATATACCCTCTCTCCTCTTGTGTTTGACTTTTTTTCAAAGGCTCAAACCAAACAGCCCCTCCTCTTTGATGGAAGGAGAGTCCCATTCATCAGGTACGTCCCACATTCAGGCACCCAAGTCCTGAAAAGAGGACTTGGGACTCAGGCCTAGGTGTGATGCTGAATCAGCCCCCTATTCCTTGTCAACTGTGTGAATGTGGGCAGTCATTCCTGAGCCTCTGTCAAATGGGCACGATAATAGTACCTGCCTTATACTTGGTTGTTGGGAGGACTGAGTATGTAGTTAATGGCATCTGGTCCCATCCAGTCCTGACAGACAGTGGACACAAAATTGCTTGAGGCAATTTAATAATAATTAAATAATAATGTTATATGCTATCATTATTGAGCTACTACTGTGTTGTGGGAACCAGACTCAGCCTTCCACATGCATCATTCATTCAGCATTAGTGGAGCACCTACTGTGTGCCAGGTACTGTTCTAGGCGTTTCAGAGTCATCCATGGAAGAAAAAGGCCATAAATCCTTGCCCTCGTGGAGCTTACCTTCTAATAAGGAGAGACAGAGGGTGAGAAACAAACAAACAAAAATATGTGAGTTAACACAGAGTGTTGGAGGGTGTCAGGTGCTATGGGAGAAACGTGGAGCATGTCAAGGAGAGAGCAGGCAAGAGGGCATTCTGGAAAGGCCTAGGAAGATGGTGACATTTGACCTTCATATCCACCAACCCCCAGCACAAAGCATTTGCCAGAGGCAGACAGAGGAGGGCAATGGACAGTAGGCGTCCATGCACCCAAGTGAGGGAGAGAGACATGCAGACACTCTAGAGAAGAGTGTCCAGGCAGGGGAACGGCCCTGTTCGTTCATCATTTCATCCTCATGAGATATGTTACGTGTTATCCCCATTCGAAAGATGGTGAAGCTGAGACTCAAGAGAGGTTAAAGTCACATGAGAGGGTCACAGAGCTAGCAAGGGACAGCACTTACTGGTTGCAAGTCCATGCTAAATATAAGACCTTGTCATGACCCAGGGCTTGGTGCCCCTTATAGTGAAGATCAGAAGAGGAATGGATCGTCATCTTCCTCTGCTTGCTACCCTCGCTGGTTTCAAGACCTACCCTCAGCTCTGCCTCCAGGAATCTAGCACCGACTGTGTCTCACGTGGCCTTGCCTCATGCCCTCCAAGGGATGCAGCACTGGACAGAGGCAAAAGAAAGGGAAATGTCACCTTCTTCTTCTGGGCTTGGCTCCTCCGTCTTGGAAAGCGAGTCTCAGAACATCTGTTAAACCAAGCCCCAGCATATTAAACAGCCACTGAAAATGTATTGTTGCTTCGTTCAATACATAGCAATTACACGGCGAGTTTTGCTCATTAGCGGGAAATTGACACAGAGGCAATCCTGCTTTTTAAATTACCACTAATCTCACTGCACCTGTTTGGGAAGAAGGCAGGAGGAGAAAGGAAAAAAGTTGATAATAACCATTTCATTACATTTTAAAAACAAACACTTCTAAAATTCCCTTAAATATAGCTTTTGGGCTCTCAGATTCCCATCTTATCTTAGGAGGAGCCTCTTTGCCTCATGCCACAGGCTGGAGTAACTCTCCATTAATGTCACAGGCTTAATGGCACATGAGTCTGGGCACCAAGGACACCGGGAGGACAAGCTAGGCTCCCTTAAGGTTTATTTAAAGTGAGATTCTGTGATTAACTATGGTTAAGGGACTTGGTGCACATTGAGGAGAGCCACCATACCTCAGAGGCTCATGGAAAACTGACTTATTCAGTGGGTGGGCAGGTGTTAGGGGAGGTGGATGCAGATGCCGCTACAGGTGTCTCCAGAGCTCAAAGACAAGGTGTCACTTGACCAAATCAAACAGCTGTCAGTGAAGCTGGCATTCAGACTTGCTGCCCAGGCAGGTTGCTGAAATCATGGAGCCCCAATTCCCCATTTCTGTCTCAGTGCACGGGGTTGCATGCCATGCCCAGCACAGAGGCTGACTTCACACAGTAGGCACTCAATAAATGCTTCCTAACACAACCTCGGGGCTGCTTCCTGAGATGCTCCTTCACTGATATCCTCCAGTCCATGGGGCCAGGCTCATTCTGTATGAGGCACACTGCCCTGGGCTCAAGCCCCTCCCTGGCTGGGTGATCTTGGACAAACCTCTCTACCTCTCTGAGTCTTGGCTTCCTTATTTGGAAAATCGGGATAATGATAGTAAGTCCAGCTCAAGCTCGTGGCTTGCTGGCTTGTTGGTGAGGGTCTTGTGTGATCATAGGGCTGAAAGTGCTTGAGAAACTGGAAAAGTGGTTTAAGAACCACGACTATTGATACCCGTGGAAATGGAGAGAGAAAAAAGAAAAATAAAAGCAATGTAAAAAAGAACAATTATTATTATTCTGGAGTTGGTTGCTCCTTGGAAGAGGAGATGCTGGGGCCTCGGATTAACATGAAACTTACCAGAACTTAACATAGCACTGTACACATAGTGGTTCTTGATGAAGACTTGAAAAATGAATTCTTTTATTTACCTAAAAAAATGTTGGTAGAGTGTCTTCTCTTGCCAGGCAGTGGTCAAGATGGCAGGGATTCAGCGGGAAACATGCTCCCAGTCCTCCTGGAGTTGGTTAGTGCCCTAGGGCCACCATGACAAAGTGTCACAAACCAAGTGGCTTAAAACAACAGATATGTATTTTCTCACTCTTCTAGAGGCCAAGAGTCTGAAACCAAGGTATCAGCAAGGTTGATTCCTTCTGGAGGTTCTGAGGGCAAATCTGTTCCGTATCTTTGTTTCTGGTGTTTGCCTTGCAACCCTTGGTAGTCTCTGCTCTACCTCTGTCTCATATGACCTTTTCTTTGTCTCTGTGGCCAAATTTCCCTCCTCTTATAAGGACACCAGTCATTGGATCAAGGCCCACTGTAATTCTGAATGATCTCATCTTAACTTGATTATATCTGCAATGACTCAATTTCCAAAAAGTTCACATTCACAGGTACAGGGGGTTAGGATTTGAACATATGTCTTTGAGGGAGACAATTTGACCCACCACAAGGATATCAAGGATAAACAAATATCCATTGAATTTATCAGAGGGTGCCATGGAGAAAGTGAAGCAGGGTTAAGGAGGATTTCAGATAATGAATAAGCAGGAAAAGCCTCTGTGAGAAGACAGCATTGAGCAGAGAGAGCTGAGTGAATGAGGACATGAGCCATGCAAATAACTGGTGCACAGCATTCTGACAGAGCATGTGCAAAGGCCCTGAGGCAGGACCACACTGGGGATGTGCAGGAAACAGCAAAAAGTCCAGGGTGCTGGATCAGAATAAGTGAGGGAAGGGTGGAGATGGAGCAGAACAATCATCTTAGAGACTGAGGGTGTCTTAAAGAGACAGGAAGCCACTGGAGGGTTTTCAGCCATGGAGCGACCTTATTGTGGTTTACGTTTTATAAGGATCACTCTAGCTGATGCGTTGAGAAGAGATTATAAAAAGGACAAGGATGAGAGTAGGGCAACTAAAAGAAGAGGAGGAGGACAGAGCTCTAAGTTCATCAAAGCACCTGGTCTGGTAATTTTATTTAACCCATTAAGCCCCCAGAGAAGAAAAATGAGCAGGGAGGCCTGGCGTGGTGGCTCACAAGAGAAGAAAGATGAGCAGGGAGACCTGGCGTGGTGGCTCACACCGGTAATCCCAGCACTTTGGGAGGCCGAGGTGGATAGATCACTTGAGCTCAGGAGTTCGAGACCAGCCTGGGCAACATTGTGAAACCCTGTGTCTACTAAAAATACAAAAATTAGCCAGACATGGTGGCACAAACCTATAGTCCCAGCTACTTAGGGGGCTGAAGCAGCAGGATCACTTGAACCTGAGAGGTTGAGGCTGCAGTGAGCTGAGATCACATCACTGCACCCAAGCCTGGGTGACAAAGTGAGACCCTATCTCAAAAGAAAGAAAGAAAGAAAGAAAAGAGTAGAAAAATGAGCAGGGTGACCCATCACCCAAGTTGCATGTGCATTAAAGAAGCTGTGAACCTTGCAATAAAATGAGCTCATTTGAGAAGCCCTGAAATCATGGAAAATCACCGTGCCCTGTTATGTGAATGACTTAAAAACTTACCTGCTTCCATTTGTTTCCTGAGCACCCTTTGGTGTTAAGTCCTAGCCACTGGGGAGAGGGAGGGCACAGGAATGAGGAATGCAGAGTTTCTACATTCAAAGGGCTTCCCAAGGAGAGAGAAAGGTGCTCTCTGCACACACAGCTCAGCCACAGGGAACTCTAGAACAGAGAGATATTTGTTTTAAATAGTGTATCTAGGAAGTCTTACTGGAGGAAGTGGCATCTGCATTGAGCGCTCTAAGGATAGGAAGAATTTGGCAGGAGTTGAGGTGTGCACCTACCTGGTCTTGGAGGAGGCATCTTGAGGAGGGATGTCAAACTCCAATTTGTCTCACAGGAAACTGAAGCAAAGGCTATGTTGAGGGTAGGAAAAGTTGGCACTTTTTATTCCTCCCTTCTTTTATATTTTTCCCCCTTCCCAAGTGCCTACTACGCACCAGGAGCTATACGAGGCACCAGGGAAGCAACAATGAACAAGGCTGTAGGGATCCCTCTGGGAAACCACAGACTGATGGGATTTCAGTGCAGCTGAGTTGGAGAAGAGAGACAGAGAGGGAGACTTAAATAGCAGAACGAGGGGTTTGTGTTTGCTCCTTCAGCAATGGGGAGCCACGGAGGGTTTTGAGCAGGGAAATGACATGATCTGAACTGGACAAGTAATAATTATTTGGGCAGCACGCAAGGATGGGTTTGAAGGGGACCAGAGGCAAGGAAGCCAGCTCGCATCAAAAGATAACCCTTAAGTACATCTGCCTTTGTTGGGGCGCTCTGGTTTCCCGTGCCCCTTTGTGGTGGGGAGGTGAGGGATGGAGCATCAGGGGAGGGAGAACAGGCTGCAGGTCTGAGAAGGGATGAAGGGTTTCCATGGCAACCTTTTGCTTGCCTGTAGCCAAGGTAGCTATGCAAATTCCCCAGGCACCATTCCTGTGGACCTTGAAGCCAGCATCCCCGGCTGCTGAGAGCCTGACTTTAGAAAAACTGGGATGCAGTAAAATTGAACAAGAGAGACGAGAGACAAAGATGTTCGGCTGGAACAGGGGTGCAGGCTCCCAGGCAGCCCTTGAATTCCCTTGAACCTGTTCTGCAGGCTCCTTCTCCCTCCTCTAGGGAGGGACTCTCCCAAGCCCACCCTTCCCCATTTGGCATGCATTTTACACCATGGGGACTTGGGCCACCTGGAAAATGGGCTGACCTGATGGTGGTGCCTCCTTTAAGTTTTTGTGATGACTTGCAATATTGTTTGCCAAGCTTCGTACACAATGCCTGGGTCAGGGTAAGCAGGTCAAAATGCTAGCAGTTATTGTTATTTGGCATTGTGATTAAAGAATGCTGGCTCTTAGAACACCAGGTCCTCCTCTGAGAGTGGCCGCTGATTGATGTGTGACCTTGAGAAAGTCACTTCCCTTCTCTTTAATCTTCCTGTTCTTATGTGTCAGATGGGGATGCTGGCTCTACAGTCTCTTTATTAGCATTTTATTGTTGTTGTTGTTGCTGCTACTGCTGCTATTGTCACCATTATTATTAGTATTGCTGTTTTATCATTGCTATTATTATAACACCTATGTTGCTGCTACCTGCTACAAAGGGCAATGATGATGATTCCTGTAAATACTCCACGTAGTTAGAACGTGAAACTCTATGCCAAAGCAGACCATGCAAAAATGAGTTTTCGAGAAATTGTTACATGAAGAGTTTATAAAAATGAAATGCTGTATTCTACACATATCAAGACAGGATTGCTTGTGGGTGTTGAAACTTATTAGGCGAGGTAGTCCTTAGACATTCACTTGTCTTAGTCTTAATAATTGACCAAATCTCCTCTCCTTGAGTTCTCACACTGGGTCTGGGTTCCATGTCCGTTTCCATTCTAGGTGATCCTAAATTCAATTGAGAATCCTGAGTTCAGACCCTTGTAAGACACAGCCTCTCCTGTTGTAGAAAGACACCTTCCTTTACCTAACACAGATTTAGTCCACATCGTATTACTAACCCTAACCCTAACCCAACCTGAGTATTTGGCATGTAATAGACACTCACATTTGTTGAAAGGAAGAAAAGAAAGAATTAGAAGGAAGAAAATGGGGCACACTGCTTTCTAATCCCAAGACCCTCTAGTTATTAATCTAGAGAGGAAGGTAGAAGCCAACTCTCTCATATTCGTCTCAGTGGAAAAGCCATTTTTCCCCTCTAACTCCAGACTTTCTGTCTTCTTTTTTTACTCACCAATGCCCAAAGGAAAAAAAAAAGGTATTTCCAAGTACGAAAGTACAAAGTTTCAAACCCACTCGTGCTCCTCCTTACAATGCAGTCGATTAATCCCACAACATTTCTCCTGGGTGGTTGCCGTTAATTGAATTAAATGAGATAATATTTGTTGAGTACGTAGCACTGCGCCTGGAAATGTTTATTGCATAGAATTGAATCTGTAATGGGTAGAGATGATTAGCATTGTTGTTGCTGCTCTTAATTAGAGCTATTAATAACCCCCTTCATTAGCACAGTACTTTGGAACTTCCAACCCATCTTCTAATGCATTTCCTTATGGCACCGTCTGGGTCTCAATGTTTCTGTCAGATAAATGGGGGTGACAATTTGAACTATGTGAAATTCTTGAGAGGTCATTCTCACAGTGCTGAGTGCGAACGTGCTTTGCAGACTCTAGAAGGCTTTGCAAATATCAAGGGTGTGCTATTTTATTGTTGTCTGAATTGAGAGGTAGAGATAGACTCTGATATATGAATAGGAAAACCCCATACCCTCATCTCATGATGTGAAATGACTGCCTGGCTGTGTTCTTTTTGCCCACACCAGGCACACTTAAGATTCAAGTAAACAAAGGGCATTTGTAGGGCAGGTAGGTCCCAATGATGTTATTAAGAAAATCACTAAAATAGGCATGGACTTGGGCTTCACGGAATCTGGGTTCAACACTGAGCTCTGCTACTTCTTCAGGCAAGTCATTCCTCCTTTGTACTGTGTCAAATAGTGTCCCCACCCTCCCCAAATTCATGTCTGCCGAAAAGCTCAGGATGTAACCTTATTTGGAAATAAGGTCTTTGCAGATGTAATTCGTCAGATGGGGTCATATTGGATTGGGGTGGGCCTTAAGTCCAATGACTGGTATCTTCCTAAGAAGGTCATGTGGAAGATGCAGAGAGACACACTCAGAGAAGAATGCCATGTGATGATGGGGGCAGGTAGGAGAGTGATGCAACTGCAAGCCGAGGAACACCAAGGATTGCCAGGGGCCACCATACTGAAAGACACAAGGAAGGATTCTTCCCCGGAGCCTACAGAAAAGACATGGCCCTCCTGACACTCTGATCTTGGACTTCTAGCCTCCAGGACTGTGAGAGAATATATTTCTGTTATTCTAAACCAGCTAGATGGTGGTAATTTGTTGTGGCAGCTCTCGGAAACTAATATACCCTCTCTAGGCTTTGGGATTTTATAAAATTGTGATGATATAGCGGAAATCTCACATCTCACTAGACAGATTCTGCAGGATGATCCATGCAAAGGTTGTAGAACAGTGCCAGCACTTAAACGGTCTCCAGATGATCACACATTGACACCATCACCGTTAGAACCCACAATGACCTGGGCTGTCTCCTTGATGTCCCTGCCTGCCCTCAGCCTCCAGAGAGTGTCCAGGCAGTCACCTGACTCTAACTGAGAGTTCTGTCTGTGTCTCCATCACAGAGAGCCAGACTGGACAAAGAGTTCAGGGTGCATTTGGAGGATTGCAGGGCAGGGACAAGGAAAAGCTGCAATACCTGGACAAGTCCCTGATGACAGCTCAGCATCAGGACCTACTGTGTGCCAGGTAGTTCGTAGAAGTCACACCAAATATTCAGAATGCCTCCAGTGTCAACATCATTGTACTACCTCCTTAAGCCACAATGTCTTCATCTGTAAAATGTGAATGGTGACATTCCTACCTCATAGCATTGGAATGAGATTAAGGATACATAATGACTTGTACATAAGTGTTTAGTAAGAGGGAACTACTATTGGTATCTTTTTTGTTTAGAGAGAGACAGGGTCTCACTCTTTTGCTCCAGCTGGAGTGCAGAGGCACAATCATACCTCACTGTAACCTCGAACTCCTGCGCTCAAGCAATCCTCCCACTTCAGCCTCCCAAGTACCTGGGACCACCATGCCCAGCTAGTTTTTCTATTTTGATTGTTGTAATGACCTCTTTTTCACGGTTGAGAAAATGAGGTTCAGAGAGGTAAAATAACTGGCACAAGGTTGCCCAGCCGTGAATCACGGGATCCAGGATTTGGACATACAATTCTGACTCTGACCTCATGCATCGAAGATCCTCTCTTGCCAACTTGCCTTCTGCTTCCAGCAAGGAGACAGAATGGTTAAGTTGTGAGTGGCATTTTCAACTCTGGAAGTTTAGGTTGACCTTGCATAAAAGACCAACTCCATTTTCCTTGGAAAGGACTCTGGTTTTAAGGAAAGAAATTTCATGGGGTGGATCCTGCTGCAAAGCTGGTACAAACAACCCAGTGGCTGAAGCGGCTATGCAAGACTGCCTTCCTAGGGGAACCTGCCCATGCCCCATGCATTTCTTTTCTTTTTTCTCCTGATAAGAACTGTCTTTTAATATTTTGGAATGGTAAAGCTAAAGTAATAAGATTCAAAAAGAGCCATCTTCTGGTTGCACTAAAACTTTCTCTTTTTTAAGTATTTTTTAATTGACATATAATAATCTTATGTATTTATGGGCTACAGCGTGATATTTCAATACGTGTACACAAATGATCAAATCAGGATAATCAGCATATCTATCACCTCGAAAATGTATTATTGCTTTGTCTTGAGAACATTCAAAATTCACTCTTCTAGCTATTTGAATATATACAATCAATTGTTAATTATAGTCACCATCTAGTGCTATAGAACATGAGATCTTATTCCTCCGATCTAGCTGTAAGTTTGTATCCACTAACCAACCTCTCCTTCTCCTCTCCCCTTATCCTTCCCAGACTCTAGTAACCACTATTTCACTCTCTACTTCTGTAAGATCAGCCTTTTCAGTTTCAACAGATGAGTGAGAACGTGTGGTATTTATCTTTCTGTGCCTGACTTATTTCACTTAACACAATGGCCTCCAAGCTTATCCTTGTTACCTCCAATGACAGATTTCTTTTTTAAATGGCTGAATAGTATTCGTGTGTGTGTGTGTGTATGTGTGTCCATTTCTTGGATTTTCTTTATCCATTCATCCATTATGGACTTAGGCTGATTTCTTCTCTTGGCTATTGTGAATAGTGCTGCAATAAACATGGGAGTGCAGATATCTCTTCAACATACTGATGTCCTTTCCTTTGGATATATACCTGAGAGTGGGATTGCTGGATCGTAAGGTAGTTCTACTTTTAATTTTTTGAGAAACCTTGATACTGTTTTCCATAATGGCTATACTAATTTACATTCCCACCAACTGTGTATAAGAGTTCTTTCTATGCATCCTCGCCAGCATGTTATTTTTTGTCTTTTTGATAATAACCATCCTGAGATGAGATAATATCTCATTGTAGTTTTGATTTGTATTTTCCTGATGTAGTAGGGATGTTGAACATTTTTTCATATACCTGTTGGCCATTTACATGTCTTATTTTGGGAGATGTTTATTCAGCACATTGTCACATTTTTAATCAGATTATTTGTTTTGTTGCTGTTGAGTTGAGTTCCTTGTATATTTTGCATATTAATCCCTTGTTGAATGAATAGTTTGCAAATATTTTCTCCCATTCTGCAGGTTGTCTCTTCACTCTGTTGATTGTTTTCTTTGCTGTGTAGAAGCTTTTTAGTTTGATATAATTCCATTTGTCTATTTTTGCTTTTGTTGACTGTGTTTTGAGGTCTTACCCAAAAAATCTTTGCCCAGACCAATGAACCAAGATGTTTCCCCTATGTTTTCATCTAGTAGATTCATAGTTTCAGATATTACATTTAAGTCTTTATCATTTTGAGTTGATTTTTGTATATGATAAGAGATAGGGGTCTACTTTCATTCTTCTGCATGTGGATATCCAGTTTTCCCAGCACCATTAATAAGAGAATGTCCATTCCCCCAGTGAATGTTCTTGGTGCCTTTATCAAAAGTCAGTTAGTGTAAATACATGGATTCATTTCTGGGTTTGCGATTCTGTTCCATTGGTCTATGTATCTGTTTTTATGCTGGCACCATGCTGTTTTAGGTACTATAGCTTTGCAGTATATTTTGAAGTCAGGTAGTATGATGCCTCCAGCTTTGTTCTTTTTGCTCAGGATTGCTTTGGCTATTCGGGATCTTTTGTGCTTCCATAGGAATTTTAGAACTTTTTCTATCTCTGTGAAGAATGTCATTGGTATTTTATAGGGATTGCATTGTATCTGTAGATCACTTTTGGTAATATAGTCATTTTCACAATATTAATTATTTCAATTCATGAATATGGGATGTCTTTCTATTTTTTTGTGTCCTCTTCAATTTCTTTTATCAGTGTTCATAGCTTTCCTTATAGAGGTCTTTCACCTCCTTAGCTAAACTTATTCCTAAGCATTTTATATATTTTTGAGGTAGCTATTGTAAATGGGATTGTTTTTCTTGATTTCTTCTTTTCAGCTAGTTTGTTGTTGATGTATAGAAGTTCCTCTGATTTTTGTATGTTAATTTCATACTCTGCAACTTTACTGAATTTGTTGATCAGTTCTAAGAGTTTTTTGGTGGAGTCTTTAGTTTTTCCTAAATATAAGATCATGTCATCTGCAAACAACTTTCCACTTTGGATGTTCTTTCTTTCTTTGCCTAGTTGCTCTGGCTAGGGTCTCCAGCACTGTGTTTAATAGGAGTGGTGAGAGTAGGCAGCCTTGTCTTGTTCTAGTTCTTAAAGGAAAAGCTTTTCACTTTTATCCATTCATTATGATGTAAGCTGTGGATTTTCCATATATGGCCTTTATTGTGTTGAGGTATTCTCCTTTTATTCCTAATTTGTTGAAAGTTTTTTTTTTTTTTTTATCATGAATGGATGTTGAATTTCATTAAATGCTTTTTCTGCAAGTCTTGAAATAATCATATGGTTTTTGTCTTTGATTCTTTTGGGGTAGTGTATCACATTTATTGATTTGCACATATTAAAGCATCAGCAAGTGCTGCATGTCCCAGAAGCTACTTCAGGGCCTGTAAAGACTGAAGGGGAGCTGGAGAAAGTCAGGCATCTTGGGTTTGTGTATTTGGGGTGGTGGGAGGAGGCTTGGAGTCAGTTTTTCATTCTAATCCCATCTTGGTTAGCTTAGGGCTGCTAGGGGGATCCTTGCTAAGGCAGCAAAGTGCCTGCACAGAATCAGTGCCCCCTGGAAAGGGGATGTCATTATGGAAACTGCTCAGTGGTATTTGTGAAATGGAGGTGTCTCACCCCAGGCCAGGGAGACTCACAGCCCCTGAGCCAGGATGGACATCTATATCCCAACACACATTCAAGTCTTGCCTGATAGAGCAAAGGAGTGGTCCTGTGTGTGGCCACTCATCCCCCTGGAAGTAAGTGGGGGTGTCCTGCCCACTCCCTGCTCCTCCCCATGCATCTCCCTGGATACCTTTGGAATCCTGAGATCACCCCCACCCCACCCCTATTTAAACTCAATGGGGCAAAATAACTCCAAGTGTTGTCTGTGAATGGCGGCAGCAGGAGCAGCGGCGGCAGCAGCAGCATCAGCGACAGCAGCAGCACAGGCAGCAGCAGCACCTGGGAGCTAGTTAGAAATGCAGACGCTTGGATCCCATCCCAGGCCTACCCAGTCAGAGTCTACATTTTAACAAGGTCCCCAGGTGTCTCATGTGCACATTCAAATTTAAGAAGCTGGACTAGAGAATGAAAAAAGGAAAGGGTTGGGCTAAGAAAAGGGTAACCTAACTCTAGAAAGGAAGTAATTTAGTTTTTCAGTGATTTATGCACTTATTTTTGGTTATCTATCTGAAGTTCAGACTCTACCAAAGATCCTTGAAAAACCCCTTTGCAGAATCATTCCCTACCTCAGATGAAGTTCTCAAAATTGACAAAGAAACATGTGTGTATATATATAGATATTTCAACTTTTATTTTAGATTCATGGGGTACATGTACAGGTTTGTTACATGGGTATGGTACATGATGCTGAGGTTTGGAGTATGATTGATCTCATCACCCAGGTACTGAGCATATTACCCAATCTTTAGTTTTTCAGTCTTGTCCCCCTCCCTCACTCCTCCCTCTAGTAGCCCCACTGTCTATTGTGACCATCTAAATGTACATATGCATCCAATGTTTAGCTTCCACTTATAAGTGAGAACATGCAGTATTTGGCTTTCTGTTCCTGAGTTAACTCACTTAAGATAATGGCACCCAGTTGCATCCATGTTCCTGCTAGGGACGTGATTTTGTTCTTTGTTTATGGCTGCATAGTATTTCACAGTGTATATGTACCACATTTATTTTATCCAATCCATCATTGATGGGCACCTAGGTGGATTCCATGTCTTTGCTATGGTGAATAGTGCTGTAATTAACATGCAAGTGCATGTGTCATTTTAGTAGAATGACTTATTTTCTTTTGGATATATGCCCAGTAAGAGGATTGCTAGGTCGAATTGTAGTTCTGCTTTAAGTTCAACAAAGAGTAATATTAATAGTGGTAGCAGACAGTCTTCGGGGCCTACCTCTGGGCCAGGCATTGGGCTAAGAGTTTAGAGTGAATTATTTCATTTAATCCTCACATCTCCCTAGAAGGGTGGGTATTATTATTCTCCTCCATTTTATAAATTTGAAATCCAAAATGATGTGGCTGGCCCAGAATCACAGTGTAAGCAAATTACACATCTGGCTTTGAACGAGGTCTTCCTGCTCCTAGGCCTCTCTTTGACCACCAGGATACCCTTTCTTATGCATCAGAAGGGCATCACCAGCATAGTCTTGGCTTCAGCTCTCCACTCCTGCATAAAATGTGTATGTTCCCCTGCCTCTGGAACCTTTATTGTTGGTGGTACTGCTGCTGCTGCTGATGATGATGATATTTAGTTGGTTTTTTTGACTGTCCCTAGACCCTTATTTAGGCTGTTCCTTTTACCCCCCTACTTGCAATGTCCTTTCTCAACGTTTTCACCTATTTGCATTAAAAGTCCTAGAAGAAAAGATATCAGGGCTCTTGACTTCATTTTTTAAACCCACAGTGCCGAGCTCATTGCTTGTACAAAATAGATGCCCAGAAAATGCTTGTTGAAGTTAGTTTATTATTTAGTTCAATTATTATTTGGTTCTTTATCATTAGTGCGTTATTATTTAGTTGAACTATTTAGTTAAATTTAGTTTACTGTATACATTCTCAATGAGGGCAATGTTGCCCCCAAAGGGACAAAAATTGGTGCTTAGGTTCCTGTGTATGTATAAAAAACAGATCTCCTATGGTATATAAATAAGTATACAGTATATCTGCAGTATTAAATTTTCATGGAAAAAGTCATCTTAAAAGGCTCCTGGGACAGGTGATAATGAGGAAAAAAGATTTTATAAGGATGAGTTTATAATATAATTCATTCAAAGTTTTAGTCTTAAAAATCTGGACGACAAAACACAAATAGACAGAATACTTAATTAAATAACTCACCAAGGATGAAACACAAGTGGAAAACTCATGGGAAATGTTCATCCTTCGTAGAGGTCAAGTGAATGCACCTGCAACTACCCTTGAGGGACCACATTACACCAACTAAATTAGCTTAGAATGTTTAAACCAATAACACTTGGTGTTGGCAAGGTTATTAGAACATTGGTAAGCTCAGGGGCTTTGTGATTTGAAAGACCCCTTAGGAAAGCAACACGGCAATTCTGTCCAGCTAGAGCGGTAAAACTGTTCATGCCCTTTGACCAAAGGATTTCATTCCAGGGAATTTCTGCTTGAAGATGGATTCAACTGTAGCAAAAGTTGTATACACAAAGATGCTCATTAACTACAGCTAGCACTGAAAAAGAAAAAGGAAGAGGAGAAGTGAGGAAGGAAAGGGACGGAAGAGGGAGAAGGGGAAGCAGAAACGGAGAGCAGGAAGGAGGAAAGGAAGGAAGATGGGAGGGAAGGAAAAATGTCAAACAAAATGAACACATGTAGGCCAGCTGCAGTGGCTCATGCCTGCAATCCCAGCACTTTGGGAGGCCACGGCGGGAGGATTGCTTGAACCCAGGAATTTGAGGCTGCAGTGAGCTATGATTGTGACACTGCACTCCAGCCTGGGTGATGAAATGAGATCCTGTCTTTAAAAATAAATAAATAACACATGTAAAACACCCAACAGAGTGCTGAGCATTTGGTGAGTGCTCTACAGACAGTACTATCGCCATTAATTCTTCCTCTCTACTAGCAGTAAGACCAGAGCAATTGAGCATCTGTCCTACTGGGGGGCTTCAGAAGGAGGGTGAGTGTCAGGGGTCTTAATGAGGAGGGTCTAGAATACAGCTCCAGCAAGCTAAGATAGTGGACAGCTGCCAAGATCGTGGATAGAGGGATATCCTACACAGCTCTATTTATTAAGGAGTGGGTGTCTCCAGGCATGAATTTGAGGGCTGTTTCCTGTCCTCAGAATTCTATCACCTGGTCCTAGCTCATTGTTGATGAGCAAGCCACTGTTTCCAGTTTCCTTGGATAAAGGAGCTTCCAGCAGAGCCAACCTGGGATACATTGTGCAGACCAGTTCTAAAGAATACTTTAGAATTCTCTCTTTTTAAAACCACTTTATTGAGGTGTAACGGGCATACCAAAATGTGTAGGTATTTGTTACATGCAATTTGATGGATTTGGAGATGAGCACACACCCATGAAAACATCAGTGCAAACCTCCAGTGCCCATTTTTCCTATGACCTAAGGATGTGAAGGCATCTTAAGACTTATCCGTCTAAGGCCCAGGCATCTGCATTTACAAACTTGCCTTTTGCTTCCCTCGGGAGCCTGGTTAATGCTTGAAGGAGGCCTAGAATAAATCACCAAAGCTTTCCTATCTGGGTGGCCTTCATAGAGAAGAAGAATCCCCTCTGCTGTGTAAACATTAAACAATTTGAGATTTCAAAGTGGTGTCTCCAAACAAAGAAGATGGCTAACACAAGCCTCCCTTGCCCACTACATGGAAGAGAAGGACTTTCTGTGAGGTTTGTGAGCCTGAATCAAAATGCCAGCACCTGAGGCCACCCTGAGAAATCCTTCATGACTCCTGAGGATAATTTTTGCCGAGACAGAGGGAATTAGGCCTGTTCCTGTCTCTGCTAGGAAATCTCAGAACTCATCCCAGCTCACAGTTGCTGGGGAAAGAGTCTTGGGGCTGTCACCTCCATGTCTACTTTCTCCAGCATAGCAAAAGCATCCCCAGAGGCAGGAGAGGGTAACGCGCAGCAGTTGTCTATCTGACCTCGCAGTGTTGAGCACCTGCTCAGGGAAGGCTTGGTGCTAGTCACTGGGAATCCAATAAAAGTGAAATAAATAGGGCCTCTGCCTTCGTGGAGCAGACAGCCATGTAGGGCAGACAAGCAGCCATCATCCCATTTAAAATCATTGTAAACTTACAGCTGTGAGATCTTTAGTGTTGGAAGAGCACATGAGTGGGGTTTAGGCTGGCCTGGGAGATCAAGGGAGTGATGGTTAAGCTGAAGTTCAAAGGAAGATTAGGAAGGAAGGGAAGGAAGAGGAAGAGAGTTCTATGTACAAAAACCTGTTGCCTTATTCATCCTTCTCCTGCCCTCTCTTCTCACAAAAGGAGAAATAAATAAGCAAAGATAAAAATGGGAAGGAGCATGAGCAAGTAGTTGGAGAAGTAAGGAAATGCGTAAGAGACTAGGTAAACAATGAAAGGCAGATAAGCTAGAGGGGTATTCGGGGATGCCAGGGACGTGTGCATGAAAGAATAAATAACAAAGGAATATGGGTACAAGGAGATAAGCTAAGAAGTGAACAAAGGAAGTGAATAAGAGGTCACCTGAGTGAGGAGGAAACCAACATATGAATGAAAAGCAGGATTCCTCCATTCCAGTATTTCCCCATAGCCAAAATGGCCAAAAGGCTCTTTCCAAATGCACACAGAATGTAGAAAACATAGAAGAGACCCATGGCTTGCTCTGTGCCACAGTACAGAAGTTCTCGGCCTTGTCTGAAACATTGGAATCACCTGGAGAGCTTTAAAAGACACAGATGCCTCAGTGCCACCCCAAAGAGGCTGATGCAGTGGGCTGGGGTGTTGCCCAGGCATAAGGATTGTTGAAAGCTCTCTAGGTGACTCTCGTGGACTTCCACGGCTGGGAACCACTGCCATAAGGCACTGGTTTCATAGCCTGGTCCCTGGACCAGCAGCATCAGCATCACCTGGGACCTTGTTAAAAATACAAAATCTCAGACCCTTCCGCAGACCCACTGGGTCAGAAACTCTGGGGGTAGGGCCTGGCATCTGTGCTTTAAGAAGCCCTCCCTGGGGTTCTGATGCTCACTCAAGCCTGACATCTACTGCCATGGAGGGAGTTTGTCATCGGCTGAGATTCCTTCAAGAGGAAACATGCTCCTGTTGCAGCAGAGAAAGTTCAGGTTAGATTCAAAGCAGGACCAAGTGTAGACTCCTGAGCATGATCATCAGAGCCACCATGGTCTGGGCCAGTGGTTTTCAACAGGGGTGGGGAGCAATTTTGCTCTCCAAGGGACATACGGAAATGTCTGGAGATGTTTTTGATGGTCACAACATCCCCACAACAGGTGGGGTGGGGTTACTGCTGGCATCTAGAGGGTAGAGATTAGAGATGCTATTAAACATCTTAAAATGCACATGACAGTCTCCTATCATAAAGAATTATCCAGCCCAAACTTCAATTGTATTGAGGTTAAGGAACCCCAATCTAGGTAAATGCACCTAAGCAAGCTCTAGTCCTTGAAGAGAAGCACCCAATGCAAAATACTTTTATCTTGATCTCATTCCTATAAGCTTATAGATGATGGATCTGGGGAAAAAATCCCCTACAAAATCCCATTTAACTTCTCATTTTACAGGAGAGAAAACAAGCCGCAAAAATGAAATTATTTTCTAGCATCTCACAACACTCCTAATTCCTGTCTATTAATTTCCTCCATAAATATTTATTGAAAACTTGCTAAGTGCAAGGTACTGTGCTGATAAGAAGAATGTAATGGCAGACCAGATGGACAATTCCTGCCCTCAGGGAGCTCCCAATAATCAAAGGCATCAGTAAAATTATAAGGACTTCTTAATTTAAGGTGGCAGGAGAAGGCTCTTCTGAGGAGGTGACATTTATGCTGAGGTCTGAGGACTAAAGAGGGAAAACCATGAAGAGAGGGAACAGGTAGTACAGAGGCTGTCCTATCTCCATTACTCCAGCCTGCAAGGAGAACCTAGCTTCTCCCTGCAGCCAGGTGTCTGCCGCTCACCGATCTGGAGGGAGTTGCTGGAGCTTGGAGAAGAACAGGCATTTAACTCCAGACAGCATTCAGAGTCTTATAGAAACCCCAGGGAGTTTATCACATCTAAGACCCTGATAGCATCTGTATTAGAAATGAGAATCCGAACAGACTGCTCATGAAAGATTAGCTTTAATTCTTTCAGAAGAATAAATGCTTATACCAACTCTGGCCCGCTTTATCTGCTTGCTCCTGCCAGCCAGCTGCCCTTTCCCTCTATCAAGATGGCCACGAGAGGACTTCCGGAATGAGTCTGTCATCTCCAATTCATTCTAACTAAACAGTCTTTTGTGAGCATCCGCTCTGCCCAGATCTGGGTGGAGAGCTATGGAGGAGAGACCAGAGGAGAAGGTACAGCCTCTACCTTTGAAATACACAAAGACGCATAGGGAGAGTAAGTTTCTTACATATCCATTCATTCAACAGGTGCTCCCCGAGTTTAAACCCCACATCAGGCACCGCACCAGGCACTGAGGATGAAGAAAGGAAGCTCATACTCACATAGCATGTGTCAGACATGTGAATGGTTACAGGACAGTGTAAGAAGTGGGCAGGGAGTCATCACCCCAGCTGCAGAATCCAAAAGGGCTTCCTGGAGGAGGCAATGCCTGAATTGAGAGTTGAAGACAAGCTAGCAATTAACCAGATGCAAAAGAGAGGGCAAAAGCACCAGCATGAACCAAGGACAGAGAACACAGCACATTTGATGATAATTAAAATGGCACCATGTTGAGACCTCTTGTGTGAATTATCTCATTCACCTACTACATTTTTTTCTGTGTTTAAATGAGGAAGTTGGGGTACAATGATATTACATACAGCTAGCAAATTGCAGTATTTATTGCAGTCTGACTGTTGGGCCTGTATTTCTAATCACTATGTTGTATATCATATCTATCTAGAAAATGATGCATAATTCTCTATAACTGAATTATAAAGGATCTGTGGTAAGAAGGGGAGTGAAGGAGTTGAGGCTGCAAGTGCAGACCTGGGTAGACTTGAAGGGCCTTATACACAATGTTTGAAAAAGTCAGACCTTGTTCTGAGGGAGGAAATATGAAGGATTTTAAGCTGGGGAACAATATGGTCCTATTAGAATTTTAGAAAAATCATCATGGAAGGAGGATCTTTTGGAGGGAGAGATTGGAGTCAGGGCAACTAGTGAAGAGACAGCTGTAATCATCTAAGGAAGAGAAGATATTAGTTTGGGCCAGTGGGCATGGCCCAATGGAGGTAAAGGAAATGATAAAGTTTAAAAACAAACAAAATTTTGTGATTGACTGGATACAGAGGGAACAGAAATGGGAGATTTTCAGATTTCTGGCTTGAGCTAGGACTACCACAATAGCTGAAAAGAGAAGAAAAATATTTTTCATCCCAAATGAGAGAAAGAAAAGAGCTTTGGGGTAAGGTTGGGGTGAGAAGGTGAGGATGAAATGGTCAGCACCAAGAGAGGTAGGATAATAATTGTTGATATCTCTCTCTATCCTTGACAATTTTTGAAAGAATTGAGGCAAAAATAGCCCATATACCTATAGTAATGATTTCAAAATAGAGTTTAGCCTTCAAGGGCAATCTGAGGAGGAGAGAAAGGTGAGGAACCCATGTAATTGCAGCTGGAAGGCTACTCTGCTCCAACTAGCTTTCCTTTTCAACTCAGCCTACCAAGAAAAAGCAAAAGCACAAATTCAACATGATCGGTAAGAGGCAAAAACTGAGTACAAATATTGAAACAACAGGAAAGATCATGGTAGAATAAAGGGGTCAGGAGGGCAGAGAGGAGACTCAACTTAGAGAGATACCCTGAGGCTTCTTAACACAGGTGTCGGAGCTCTTAAGGGCATGATCTGCTGAGGTCGCCATCCACCACGTGAATAGCTCAAGTATTTAAAGGAGGCACCCATGCGGGGTGCTGTCCGCTGTGCTGAAATGCCATTGTGTTCTGGGCTGCTTGCAGGGCCACCTTCTAATCCTGGAATGCCAATCATATCTATCACATCTCCCACAGCTCATAATTTCTCCTAATTTATTGATGAAAAGCTTGTGATTTATGTGCTATTAAAGAAAAAAATTGAGCCACGATTTAGGTGTGACTATATAGGGATCTAATTTTATGAACATTTGATTATGTTTCCAACAATTACAAATTGATTTTCCCTCTGGGAACTTGAGTGGGGAAATCATTACAACTACCCACCTCCCATATCCTGATTTGGCATGCTTAGGGTTATTATTAATCTAATAGAGGAATAAATTATACACAATGCAAAGGTAAACATCAGTTTGAGGTATGCATTTGATGAATATATCCAACAAACATTTACTTTTTAAAATTTTTTTTTTATTTCCATAGGTTTTGGGAGAACAGGTGGTATTTGGTTACATTAGTAAGTTCTTCAGTGGCGATTTGTGAGATTTTGGTGCACCCATCACCTGAGCAGTATTCACTGAACACAATTTGTACTCTTTTATCCCTCACCCCCTCCCACTATTTCCCCTGAGTCCCTGAAGTCTATGGTATCATTCTTATGCCTTTTCATCCTCATAGCTTAGCTCCCACTTATGAGTAAGAACATAGGATGTTTTGTTTTCCATTCTTGAGTTACTATGCTTAGAATAATAGTCTTCAGTTCCATCCACGTTGCTTCAAATGCCATTAATTTGTTCCTTTTTATGACTGAGTAATATTCCATCATATATACATATGACAATTTTGGAGAGAATTGAGGCAATTCTTTTGGAAAGAATTGATATATTACATATAGGCATAGATATAGACATTATATATATATATACATATCACAATTTCTTTATCTGCTCATTGATTGATGGGCATTTGAGGTGGTTCCATATTTTTGCAACAGCGAATTGTGCTGCTATAATCATGTGTGTGCAAGTATCTTTTTCATATAATGACCTCTTTTCTTCTGGGTAGATACCTAGTAGTGGGATTGCTGGATCAAATGGTAGTTCTAGTTTTAGTTCTTTAAGGAATCTCTACACTGTCATCCATAGTGGTTGTACTAGTTTACATTCCCACCAGCAGTGTAGAAGTGTCCCCTTTTCACTGCATCCGTGCCAACGTCTATTGTATTTTGATTTTTTTTGTTATGGCCATTCTTGCAGGAGTAAGATGGTATTGCATTGTGGATTTGATTTTCATTTCCCTGATCATTAGTGATGTTGAGCATTTTTTCATATGTTTGTTGGCCATTTGTATATCTTCTTTTGAGAATTATCTATTCATGTCCTTAGCCCACTTTTTGATGGGATTATTTGTTTTTTTCTTGCTAATTTATTTAAGTTCATTGTAGATTATGGATATTAGTCCTTTGTTGGACGTATAGAGTGTGAAGATTTTCTCTCACTCTGTGGGTTGTCTGTTTACTCTGCTGACTGTTACTTTTACTGAGCAGAAGCTCTTTAGTTTAATTAAGTCTCACCTATTTATCTTTGTTTTTGTTGCATTTGCTTTTGGGTTCTTGGTCATGAAGTCTTTGCCTAAGCCAATGTCTAGAAGGGTTATTCGATGTATCTTCTAGAAGTTTTATAGTTTCAGGTCTTAGATTTAAGTCCTTGATCAATGTTGAGTTGATTTTTGTATAAGGTGACTGATGAGGATCCAGTTTCATTCTCCTACATGTGACTTGCCAATCATCCCAGCGCCATTTGTTGTGTAGGGTGTCCTTTCCCCACTTTATGTCTTTGTTTGCTTCAACAAACCATTTATTGACCACTTACTGTACTGCATGGATTCAGGAAACAGAGGGTATAGAGATGAATCATAGTCCCTAACCTTGTGAAATTTACAATCTAATGAGGAAGACAGACTCTGAACAAGGAGTTACAAGAGAAATACACAGAGGAGACAAGTAGTGTGTGCCTACTAAGCATAAAGTACAGATGCTGTAAAAAGACAAAATTGGCCAAGGTGAGGTCTCTCCTTTGAAAGAATAGAGTTGGGAGGGTAGATAAGCGTGAATAAAATGGGGATGAAATAATAAAAAGTGTGGTTCAGGCAAAATTGATACGAGTATTTTGGAGAAGTCAGATTGGACTGAGATTATTGGAGGTAGCTTTAAGGAGGAGGTGGGATTGGTCAAGGAGGAGCAACAGAGGAGACCAGTGGATTTCAGCTGAGTGATCATCCAGAAGTGAGGAAGAGTTAGCCTCCACGATTGGGAAACAGAGGGAAATAAGGAGTTTGTTTGACCCAGCCCTAGTGGGTCTTGAAAGCTTAGTCAAACCATTTGGGTTTTCTCTTGTTTCCAGGGTAGCAAGTGAGTTCTATGAGACAAAAGAATTCTGGAAATAATCTGTTGGCCAGAGGTATAATGGGAATATATATATATATTTAATATATTGATATACAAACAAATATATATTTATATTGATATATAAAAGATATATATATGCACCTTTTATATATTGATATATTTTATCTATCTATCTATCTATCTATCTATCTATCTATCTATCTCTTTTAAAAAGAAATACATGGCCCTTCTTGTGAGAAGAAGAACATATATGGCAGGTGTGAGACTCAACTGCAGCACATCTCCTCATGTAAATCTGCAGAAATCTTTGAGGGAAAAAGGGAAAGATATTAATCCAGATGTGATTAGGAACCAGGATGTAACATACAAACTCATTCATTTATTCTTGTATTCAAGTATTTAGTACATAGCCTTTTCTATGTGCCCATATTGCAGCTGCTGGTGCTAGTTTTATAAACGCAAATACCATTCCCATTCTCAGGCTTCTTTCCTAGTGTGAAGGACAGACGTAAGTGTTACCAGCACAGGGAGCTCAGGGAGCTTGTAATGGGTGACAAAACTAGTCTAGAAAGCCAGAGAGGTGATATTTAAGCAGAGAACCTGAAATCCAGGTAAGAAAGACTAGCCAGACGGGAGAAGGAGGACCAGCATGTGCATGGGTCGATGGGGGAGCTTCTGAAAGCCCAGGACATGAAGCTCAAATTCTTTATCAAGAGAAACCTTGGTCCCTAAAGGGAGACCACCATGAGTTCACTAGACTTTCAAAGCAAATCACAAGGGTGACGAAATGGTTTGAGCACAGGGCTGAGAACTTTGATTTCTTTTCAATTCACAAAATTACTAAGCTCATATTTTGAGCAGCTACATCCATTTTCCCTTCTTCCCATAGTCTTGCCCTGCTATATTGACTACCATTCAGTCTCAGAATTAATGTCATTTCCACAAAGAAGCCCCCAGGAGCACCTAGCCCTGGTTCCCCTAAATTCCTATGGAAAGGACTCTTGGTATCACTCAGCACTTTCATGCTTCCCATGGTCTACCGGGTGCCACATGCCACATTAACTCCTCCCCTGGACTCATTTCCACAACCACCCAAGAGGGGGAAGTTATTACCTGCAGAGTTTACAGTCCTGCATTTCAAATCCAACACCACTGCCTACTGTGTAACCTGGAGGCAAGTATGTTTACTTCTCTGAGCCTTCTTGTCGTCATTTGTAAAACAAGCCTTGCAGAAGTAGCCCCCACCCGTCAGGGTGCATGTGACGGCTAATGGAGATATGCAAGTGCGCTTAGCACTGTGTCTGCTCATCCATGTCTCAATATCTCTGGATGAGACATCAAGACTCAGATAAGTAAAATAAAGCATCCAAGGTCACCTCATGTGTAAGTGGAAGATGCTGGATTTGAATGAAAAGTTCTGTGACTCCAAAATCCACATTCTTTCCATCCTGCCATAATGCCTTTATTGACATCCTTTTATCTTCTCAAATCACACATTTAAGGAATACAGACCCTACGTCCAGCTCTGCACAAATGTTGTCCCAATTCCCAACGATCATCTGAGATAGACAGTTTCCCTTTTATGCAGTGGCCTGTAGGGCAAATCTGATCTTCCCAAAGCTGGTCCTTACTCAGCATTTACAGTGCAGGAAAATCTCCACTCCACCTGGTTGCTCAGGCAGAAGCCTGGGCATCCTCCTTGATCTCTTCCTTCTCTCAGCCTTCTCCCGTCTCTATCCAACTCAATCCCAAGACTTCTTGACTCTAAACAGATCTGTTTTAAATCTTGTTCACCTTTTAGTCCCCACAGCTAGCCATGCCTCATCATCTCTCACCTGGACTGATCTTTTTGCTTCCACCCTTAATCCCTCTCAAAGCTCCAGCCAGAAAGTAGAGTGATCTTTGCAATTCTAGTGATGTCCCCTCTACCTCACGTGTGAAACCCCCCATTGCTTTTGACAGAGCATCTAAATCCTGCAACATGGACAGCTAAGATTATCGTTGGCCATCTCTCAGATCAAGGATTCCAGTCACAAAACTTGGTGTTAGCAACACAAAGAGTAAACTCAGGGTCATTCCAATTCTGGAATCTTGGCAGATTCTGAGGCTGCATTTGCTAGGGCAAGCACTGCCTGGGAGGATGTGAATATTTGGTAACTGTGAGAGTTCTGAGGTTGACAACAGAGCACAGGCTTTGTCAGGGCCCTCTCTGGTCAGAGGCACATGGATCAGGAAAAGCTTCTGCCCCGATCTTGTCACTTTGTAGCTGTGTGACCTTTGGCAAATCACTTAACCTCTCTGAGCTTCAGTTCTGTTTATTATGCAAATACAAATGAGGAAGATGGATGAAACAAGCTGTATGACTTCCAGAATTTAATGCCAAAATGGGTCATTAGATAGAACCCATGAAATTATCAAAATTTGACCTTTTTAAAGTTTACCTATTAAAATACATGGTAATATCATATGTTTATACTTCTCTAAAGGAACAGACATTTGCCAGGGCTGGCAAACTTTTTCTCTAAAGGGCCAAATAGTAAATATTTTATGCTTTGATGGTTATTTAGTCTCTGGGGCATCTATTCAACTCTGCATGAAAGCATCCTTAGACAATACATAAAAAGAAAAAGCAGGACCATGTTCCAGTGAAACTTAATTTACAAAAACAGGAGGAAAGCCAAATTTGGCCAGTGGGCTGTAGTTTGCCAATGCCTGCTTTAAACCCATGGATTTTCTGTTATCACAGGAAGGGGAAATGATTGGGATGTGAAGTTTGGAGTTTTAATGGAGCTTCTGCAAGTGCTTAGCAAGCAGCAAATATGAGTTTATTTCCTCCCTTCCTTGTATCTTCTTCCAAGAAAAGCAACTTAGAGACAATAATATGGGGATATTCTGCAGGCTACGGTGCATTCATATTGCACTAGATGTGTTTTAGGGGTGGAGGAAGTTTACAGACAGGACCACCTATCATTGATCTCTCCCCCTCTTAGCCCCCACTCTTAATGACATTTTGAACAGTGTAGCAGGATCCTATATGCCCCACTCTCTGGAAGCTCCTCCCTGTGGCTGGGCATCATGAAAACTTATCCTGGGAGGAGGTAGGGATGGCATAGCTGGGGCAAGTTTCCTTACACCACCCTGTGCACCTCCCTTGTCAACCTGAATTGCCTTAGCTTATGCTCTGTCCTCTTCTGGTAACCCGGAAAAGTCCTCTGAGCCTGATAGGAATTCAGATCTGCCTTGTGTGAACAGAACCTCCCGCACGCAAGTTCTGAGCTGAGAAAAAAAATGAATGCTTCCATCAAATTAGGCCAAGTAATATCCATCTACTCTAGGGGGAAATTATTTAAATAGCATCAAAATCAATTTCCATGCCATTAAATATTCTGGTCTGTGTTTTAATTGAGACGATTACATATTCCCCAAAAAGAGAAGAGCTATTTGAAGAATCGTGTCTTTTCTCTCTTCCTCTCACTGGAACTGACAAGGAAAGCACCTCAGAGAGCTGCAAACCGCCTGTTAGCCTGCCTTCGTTCCTATCCATCTTCTTTAGAGCTAACCTGGTTTATTATTTTTCTTTAAGAAATAAAAATGGAGCTCTAAGAGGCACCCAGGGCACTGGGAACTCTGAGTTCTTCAAATAGAATAAACCAGGTCATTCTCTCTTCTTCTTCTTAAGGGCTTGGGTTTGTGGTCGGTGGCAAGAGGCAGACATGCCTTTGATGTCCTAGGAGCAGATAGGGAGGTGAGGATCATTCCCAACCTCTGCTGCTCCCAGGCCTTCTTCCTATTCAGTAAATATTTTGGGTGCATCTTCCATGGTCCAAGAACTCACTGTGGCTCCCTGGAGGAGCTCCCAGTCTGATGGGGGGATGTTCCTGAAAACAAGTCATTATAATGCAACATACAAGGCTCTCCACCTGATCACTGCCTCGCTGCCATCATGGACATGAGCTGTGTGCATCCTGTCAAGCTAGTCAAGGCCACCAAGGTTCTGGGTAGGACCAGCTCACAAGGACAGTGCACACGGGTGTGTGTGGAATTTATGGTGAGTCAGAGCAAGAGGCTGCGGAGGCTGTGCTGCACTCGATTGCTGAGTCCTCAATGGCAGAGTTGACTGCTTGGCCCACAGAGATGATCTGTGACTATTAAATGAAGCATTTATGTTGTGTGTTAAAAAAATCAAAATAAAAAGCAGCTGGGCACGGTGGCTTACGCCTGTAATCCCAGCACTTTGGGAGGCCAAGGCGGGTGGATCACGAGGTCAGGAGATCGAGACCATCCTGGCTAACACAGTGAAACCCCGTCTCTACTAAAAAAAAAAAAAAAAAATACAAAAATTTAGCCGGGCGTGGTGGTGGGCGCCTGTAGTCCCAGCTACTCGGGAGGCTGAGGCAGGAGAATGGCGTGAACCCGGGAGACGGAGCTTGCAATGAGCCGAGATCGCACCACTGCACTCCCGCCTGGGCAAAAGAGCGAGACTCCGTCTCAAAAATAAATAAATAAATAAATAAATAAATAAATAAATAAATAAATAGCAACATATTAGGAGCAAGAATAAAAACCAAGGCCCCAGTAAGTGTCCCCATAGCTCTCATCCTGGTTGCAGGTCATTATCTTTGCCATGCTTTATTCAAGTCTGACTTTCTTTCTAGACTTAGGGCAGAGACCAGGTCAGTTCTGTTTCTATTGTGTTCCCAATACCTATAAAGTGGCAAGCAGAGTAGAGGCTCAATCAGAATTAAATGCATAAAGCAACAAATGAATGAATGAATGCAAGGTGAAAGCAATGAATGAATGAATGCAAAGTGCTGCTGGAATATGGGGGAAGAAGCACCTATTTCTATCAAAGGGATGTAAAGAAGGCTTTGCAAAGAAATGATGTTAGAGCTGAGATGAATAAAGGCTCATCTTCACCAGATGGCCAATTAGAGGGAAGGTATTTTGAGCAGAGGAAATCGTGTGTACAGAGTCAAAATAATATAATTAAACCAAGAGCTAACATTTATTATTTACTATGTTCTAGGCTCTTTACTTGCATCTGCTCATTTAATTCTCACAACTACCATATGAGGTGGTGCTCTCATACCCATTTCACAGATGAGGAGATTGAGGTCACGATGGCTAACTCTCTAAGCTCACACTTCTAGGAAATGACAAAAATGTGCCTCAGTGGCTTTACTAATCCTGTGATACCAAGCTTGGCTGTCACTGCCAGGTTTTCCTGCCTGCCCTTCCAAAACGTGGGTTTTCAAAACACAGGAAAGTATCCAGGGGTTTGATATGGCTGTAAAATGAGTGCTGGAAAGTAGGACATGAGGCTGGTAATATAACCAAGGACCTTTTTGTAGAGAGCTTTGAATGCTAGGCTAAAGATCTTGTGGTCAATATTTCCCAAACTGGAATTCTGCAAAACACTATTTTACAAGATGTAAATAAGTGAGCTCTGGGTAAAGAGGGAGTAGGGGGGAAATTCATTAAGCAAATTATTTGGGAAACATAGCTTCAACCAAGCTAAACACATTTTCTGTTTGCTGCAGGATTTGTCAGAGCCTCTACCATGAAAGTAGGCATTTTAATTGTGCAAGAGACAGAAAAGGCACTTCGAACTTAATTTTTGAGGCGTATTTCTCAATAACCCACAGAATAGTGAATTTGGGCATTGCTAGCATAGATGATGGAGATCCATGGAGGGAATTTAAGGATTTAAGGTCAGATGAGAGGGGTCACCAGGACTGCAGGGAAGGTGACTGAAATTAAGAGGCAGGAGTTAGAGGGTTTGCTGAATTCAAGACCCTCCCAGTCAGGATGTGCTGAAGACCAACAGGAAGAGGAAGTCTGGCTGCATCTGGACCATTGGCATCAAAGACAGGTTTCTACTCACAGTGGGTCCAGTGGGGAAGAAACTGAATTCATACACATGGCACTATTCAAACAAAGCCATGCTGCCTCTCTATAGAACAATGGGCTGGCTTTTCAGGGCAATTTAATGACTGTGGCAAATAGCCCAGGCCATCAATTAAATACCAATCCAATTTCCTTCCAATGCATTCTCTGCCTCAGGAGTTTCCTTTGTAACGTGGAACAAATCTGGCTGATGAGGTGGGAAGATGGATTGGCCAACATGCACAATGACTTTGTCCTCTGCCTGGGCCAGCTTCTCAGATCTTGTCTCTCTTTCTGAAGGAGATCACCCGGTATGAACAGAAAAGTAGATAGAATTAGATCACAGGACATTTTTAAAGTGATAAGAGGCATCTTGTTTAGCCTAGCCCCTCCACCCCTGCTTTACCTAAGGGGAAACTGAGGCTCAGCAAGGAGGGGCAACATGACCAAGGTCACACAACTGTTAAATTAGCTTCCTAAACTGGTCTCCCAGTTTGAGTCTTTCTCCAGTCCAGCACACTCCCTCTTCAGTAGCCAGGGGGATCTAGCACCTTAATCTGATCATATGACCCCTTAAGCCAAGAATTCCCCGGAGGCATCCCAATGAATTCAGAATAAAATCTGATAAGATGGAGCAGAGGGCACATAGGCCAGGGTCTCTCCATCTCCGCACAACTGACATTCGGGATGTTTAATTATTTGTTATGGGAAAGGTGCCTGTCCCGTGCATTGTAGGATGTTTAGCAATACCCTCGGCTTCCATCCACTATATACCAGTAGTACCACTGCCCTAGCTGTGACAACTAAAATTTCTCCCGACATTGCCAAATGTCCTCTGGAGGACCAAATTACCGTCAGTTGAGAACCAGTGGCCTATGGAAAATTTCAGAAAGCAAGATGTGTCTGAAGAAGGGTTAGGGAATAAATACTGCCTGGTTTATTTACCCAACGTGAGGGCTTTTGCCCAGCCCTTTAGTCTCTCTGAGCCTCAATTCTTTTATCTATAAGGTGAGAAGGATAATTTCTCCCCTGCAAGGTTTTTGCTCTAGGATCAAACAGGACAATGGATGTGACTGTGCACTTGACATGAAAAGGTGCTTAAAAGTCACATGATTAACTGTGATGCTGTTCAATGCTGTGCTGGTATAATGGCATGGTTGGGGGATATTATGGGATGTAATTGTCTCCATGTCCAGAACTCCTGAAGGCAGTGGTTCTTAAATGTTAATAGGCTTGTGACTCACCTGGAGTCCTTGGTAAGTGTGCGAACACCTTGCTCCCACCTACATCAGTGGGTCAGAATGAGGCCTAGAAATCTGCCTTTTAAAAATCATCCCTGGAGATTCTGCTGCAAGTGGTCTTTTACGCGTGTAGGAGAAGGCTTCCTCAGAGCTTGAACTAGCAGTACCCACTGCTCTCTGGCAGGGGGTCAGGAACTTAAATGGATGCATAAACCTAGAGCAGGAGTGGGAGAAGGTATTGCTAACACCACCCCAGGTCAAGATTGGAACCCTAACCTCGTTGTTTGCTGATCTGAGCATTTATTGCATTTTCTGTGTCCCTCTGGAAATTTGAGGTTAATCCCAATCTTCGACGCACCAGCTCCCGTCCTTGCCTTTATTTTTCATTTGCTAATTATGCAGCGTGACTGCCTCCCAAACATATTTTGCTGCTAACGTCTCCCAGTCTCTGATCAAAAATTGTGGTAAAACATTGTCTTGTCATGAGGCTAATAAAGCGTGTTATCCTGCCTGTCACAGAAGCTGCCTTACAGATGCTGTTTGCTATCTGCCAGGGCCTGGCATTAATCTCCCTTCCACTCGGCTACAAGGAATAGAGTCTACTGTGGGAAGATCAATATTGTATTATCTCGGCCACCAGTGTTGTTCCAGCTATGGCCAATGAGTTGTCATTCTCGTGTTACAAGTCAAGTGCACAAAGGAAAAGGACCAGAAAAAAGAGGGAAGAGAAGCCAGCCCAGAAGGGGACAAGAAAGACAGTATCAGGGAAAAGACCCCGGAGAAAGACTCAGAGAAGCAAGGACATGAAAAGTGGTTAAGGACACTTGCCCCAGCCTTGGACAGACCCAGGGACACTGCTAAGCCTGCCTTCAGAAGCTTCATGTTGACAATTTCATTCTTCTGAACCTCAGTTTTCATATCTATAAAATGGACCCCCCAAAAATAGAACCTGGCACAGAAGGATTGAATAAGATGATGCGTGGTAGAATGTTTAGCCCAGTTAACGCACACAGGGAGGGCTCAGTGATTATTATGGAGATATTATTGCTGTTGTTCTTGTTGTCATCTTTGTTTCTTCCTGGGTAACACTAGACAAGTCACCTTTCCTCCCTGGGCCTCAATTTCCCCAACTCTAAAATAAGAATTCCTTTGCATCTATGAAACAAAAACAAAACACCAAACAGGAGGCTTAACTTGAAATAGAATTATCAGAGATTTGGGGAACAGAGATGTTGGTGCTGACAATTGTGAGGGGTGTGTGTGTGTGTGTGTGTGTGTGTGTGTGTGTTTCAGAGAGTGAAGCACTCCTGGAGGAAGAAACAGCATAGATATGATGGACAAAAATTAAGAGGCAAATGTATGGAATAGGAGCTATAGACACCTTCAGTGCTCTGCAGGGAGAGGACCCTTAGAGATTTACATTTTGGATTATTGAAGATTTGAGCAATTTTATCTTTATACCCCTTCTTTATCTCTTCCTCATCAAGAGGGGATCAGGTGGAACAGTGGAGGAGGCATTGCCTCAAGCTTAAAGCCTGATTGCCTAAGGCTGGCTGTCAAGGAAAACCCCTCGCTGGTGTCTGCTAGGACACTCATCTTTCCTCCTCCTGCCTGGACAACCTGCTCCCCAGCCTCGAGCTTCCAACCCTCATAAGTGGGCAGCCACCTTGAAACTTCATTAAAGGCAAGCCCAGCCCCTGCATTCATTTCATGCTTAGTTAAAGAGGAAGCTGTGAGAAGCAATCCCCATTCAAGGGCGTAATGAGATGTCCACTAATGATCCAGATACAAAAATAAGGATGAAGCGTGGCCAGTCGACCCTCAGAAGATGACAATTTGTCTTAGAATAATAATGTCTGATTGTCCTCTTTGGGTGCACATGTGTCTGGGTTTTTATTCAAACCATTCATTCGGTGCTTAGCATATCCCTTCATTCCCAAGTCCTTGAAGGATAGGAACTATAGAACAGCAATAAAATCGTAATTATTCGTAGTATGTATATAAACAACATTAGGTTTCTGTTGCTCTGCTGGTTACAGCATCATAGGAAAGCAGCTGTCTAGATTCTTCATCAAAATCAGAACATTTGCACTAAGTCTTTGTTAGTATCTATTAAATACAAAAGTACCATATCCTGCAACCAGCATTCTGTTGGGAATATTCCTAACAGAAATGAATATACACATACACCAAAAACATGGAATGGAGTTGATATTGTTTGGATATGTGTCCCCTCCAAATCTCATGTTGAAATGTGATCCCCAGTGTTGGAGGTGGAGCCTGGTGGCAGGTGTTGGATCATGGGAGCGGATCCCCCCTCATGATCATAAATGGCTTGGCGTCTTTCCCTTGGTGATGAATGAGTTCTCACTCAGTCAGTTCCTGTGAGATCTGGTTGTTTACAAGTATCTGGGACCTCCCCCTTCTCTCTCTTGTTTCTGTTCTTGCCGTGTGATGTGATTGCTCCCGCTTCATCTTCTGCCGTGATTAAAAGCTCCCTGATGCCTCCCCAGAAGCCCAGCAGATGCTGGCACCATGCTTTCTGTACAGCCTGTGGAACCGTGAGCCAATTAAACCTCTTTTTTTCTAAACTACCCAGCCTTGGGCATTTCTTCATGGCAGTGCAAGAGCAGACTAACAGAGAAATGTCTACAGTTGTACTATTCGTAATAATAACTGTGAAGCAACTCATATTGCCCATCAGCACTAAAATGGATAAACTGTGATGTAGACAGAAGATGAATAAATTGTGGTGTTGTCCTAAAATGAAATACTACATAGTGAGAAACAAGGAATGAACTACCACTGCATGCAGCAACATAGATAAATCTTGCAAATATAATGTTGACTGAAAGAAGCCGGATACAAAAGAGAACACGTTGCATAATTAGCCAATGAATTCTCAGTAGTCAGAATTGGTCCTTGGCCATAGAAGGCAAAATACAGGTTACCCTTGAAGAGAGCAAACCTAAAAATTCAGAATGTGATGGAAATGTTTTGCATATTTATCTGGTAGCTATTTATCTAGGTCCTATTTGAGGAATTTCATCAAGCTGTGTTCTTACAATTGGGGGGAGTTTTCTATGTCCGAGTTACATTCAATAAAAGTTTATGAAAAACATGAAAAGATATGCTTAGGACCATGTGACTCTAAATAGGTTCTGCATGACATCCCTCACTTTGGATGTTGGACCCCAAACACTTGGTTTGTGTTTGGGCCACAAAAAAACCGAATTTTTACCCACGGTTATCACCACTGGGCCAGGCTGCAGCTGGTCATCTTATGCCCAGGGGAAAACTCAGACTGCATAGGCAGGGGTGAAGGATAAACTTTGGGATGTCCCTTGCTCCTGGTTCCACAGCCTCAGAAAGGTGGGGGTGCCTTAGAGAGGAAAAAGCAGGGACTCTGGAGTATTTTATATTCCCTTCCATGTTCCTTAGCAAAGCACCTGGCAGCCACTGGGTTTGTAGTGAGTGTTTGTTGAATGACTATATGAGGGTATGGATGAATGAATGAATTCATGAGTGAATTCATTTTATTTTGTGAAAGTTAAATAATGTATTTAGAATGCTCTTAACATCACCTAAAATAAAATAGAGCTAGTAGTTAATGGGGCTCATATCAGACAGACCTGGGTTTGAATCCCAGACCCATCAACCTCTCTCAGTGTGTTTGTGGGTATGTGTACTTCCATCTCTGAGCCTCATTTTCCCCATCTGCAAAATGTAGAAAGCAACAGTCCCCACATGACAGAGTAGTTCTGAGGATTAAATGAGACAATGCATGTAAAACACTTAGCACATTGTAAGGCTGAAAAAGTGGTAGCCATGGTTGTCATTATGAAAGAGTTGCTATCATCATGTGAATGAAGTTGTAGCTATTGTTCATGGGTGGGGGGAATTGGCATCTTTCCTTCTCCATCTCTCTGCCTCTCTCTTCCTCCCTTTCTCTGTGTCACAAGCCCCACGTGTGCTTAGCCAACCTTGGCAGAGTTGCTGCTGAGTGAATAAAAGGGCATCTTTCCCCCACCCCAGGACAATGGCCTAGTGCCACCGCATGCAGGCATCATGCCTGTGAAGGGGGCCAGGTGGGTGCCAGGGCACTGAGGCGCTCTGTGTAGCCCCTGCCGGGTGGGGAGCTGACAATGGCCACTCTGAGGACCATTAAATTTGCCTCCTCCTATGCTTCCCCAAGCCCCAAACCCAGCACCTGCCCACTGGGCAAGCCTGCAAGTGAAGGGAGGCTCTGTGCGCCGCCTCGGCCTCAGGCCCACACACATCCGAGGCATTGTTCTTGTTGGCTGCGAGAGCTCGTTAGGCTCTGGGCAGAGGCTGGCTGGACTCCAGGAGGCAGACATCAAGCCCCACAACTCAAAGAATGGAGGAGCCTGGGGCTTGGCATTAGATGATGCCAGTCCACTCCTCCGCATGCACTGGGGCTCTGATGCCCAGTGAGAACGTTGACTCTGGAGGAAGAGGGTAGAGATGATGTGTTATGCATCCCTGTGTCCCCCTAGCTCAAAGTGGTGCTCCATACAGGATTACAGGATGACTGGGAGCTGGGCTGCCGTGGGGTGAGATGGTGCAGGATGGGATAGATTGGGGTGGGGTAGGATGGGATAGAATAGAATAGAATAGACTCTGGACATTTTCTTCTTTTGTTGGAGATCCAAATTCTTCCTCAAGTGGACTGAGAAGTCAGCAGGTGTAGACCTGGCGTGGACAGAGTCACCTGAGAGAGCAGGGGCGATAAGCAGACACTATTTCTCCCTCCAAGTCCTGCAATTCTCAGCCATGGCCCCAAAAGAGAAATTGTACCTTAGGATCACCCATCCATAGAACACGAGATCTGGAAGGGTTATTAGAGAACTTTCTGTCCAGTGCTTTTCAGATTATGTTCAAGTCCCAGAACTGCCATCTATAATCTATATTGCTTTGAGCAAGTGACTAAAGTGATCTAAGCTTCAGTTTCCTCTTTTGTAAAATGTGGGTAATAACATTATCTACCTCCCAGAGATGTTGAGAGGAGCAAATGAAATGATCCATAAGTTTAAGACCATGGATATAGGACCTTGAATATAGGACCATGGATATAGGACCTTGGATATAGGACCTTGCATATAGAACCTTGGATATAGGACCTTGAATGTAGGACCTTGGATATAGGACCATGAATATAGGACCTGACATGTAACAAGCACTTATCACCATTGGCCTTCATCATCACCACCATCATCATCAAAGATGATTCGAGTAAGGGAAAAACTTAGGGAGCTGCTCTCAGACTCCTGCCCCCACTTCTGATTAAATCCATGTGCTCCTATTTTTTACTTATTATTAGGGTTCAGTGGTCCCCTGGACTACTTCAGCTTCAATAATTCACTAGAAGGACTCAGAACTTAGAAAAGCCATCATACCCAGCCATAACCATAAGGTTTATTACAGGGAGAGGACACAGACTGAAATCAGCAAAGGGAAGAGGTACATGAGGCAGAGTCCTAGAAACCAGGCACAGCTTCCAGCTTTCCTCTCCGTGTGGGGCCCCATGGACAGCACTTCTGCCAGCAATGGTGTTGTGGCGACACCCACAGAGTATTGCAAACTAGGGAAACTCACCCGACCTTCAGTGCCCAGGGTTTTATCTGGGGTTGGTCACACAGGCATGATTGACCACTCATGTGGCTACCGTTAGTCTCCAGCCTCTCCAGAGGTCAAGCTAATACCAAGGCCAAGGCCCCCACCATCAATCACAATGTTAGCATGGAGTATCTTGCTAACACTGGCATTGCCCAAGGACCCCAGGTACACGAAGACTCTAATCAAGCAGGATATTCCAAGGACTTAGCGGTTACCTCTCTGGAGCCAAGCTCAAGGGCCAAACCTTTTTTCAGACTGTGCAGGGTGTGGACAACCCAGACCTGCTGAGTTAATCCTTTACTGCACAGCAGTATACAGATGGTCCCCAACTTACGATGGTTTGACTTTTTTTTATTTTGAATTTACAACGTTGCAAAAGAGATACGTATTCAGTACTTCTAACTTTGAATTTTGATTCAAAATTCTTTATAGCAATTTCATTATAAAATAGGATTTGTGTTAGATGATTTTGCCTAACTGTAGGCCTATGTAAGTGTTCTGAGTATGTTTAAGGTAGGCTAGGCTAAGCTAGGATGTTCAGTAGGTTAGGTGTATTAAATGCATTTTCAACTTAAGATGTTTTCAATTTACAGTGGGTTAGTCAGGATGTAACCCCATCATAAGTCAAAGAGCACCTATATTGTCATTCCTCTTAAGGTTTTATTTGAAGGAATGATTCCATTATACAGAGGGTAAGTTGAGGCCCAGAAATGACAAGGGACTTCCCAAAGGCTGCAGAGTGAGTTAATAAGGCTTTCTGACTGTCCTAGCCCAGAGCTTTCTCTGTCATACCACAGGCCTCAGTTTGCCCATCTGTAAAATGACGGTGCTAGGCCAGCACCCCCACCTCCTAGGTGCCTTTTGGTTCTGCCTTTACAGAAGTTATTCTCCCACCTTTTTCTGCAGTCTAGTCCTCAGTTGGAGCATCTGGCTGTCAGCTACCTTTGGGGCCACGAAGTGTCCTCCTTCATCCCCAGGACTCCTACCCTGAGGAGTCACTGGGGACCTTTTAGCTGGAGCAGATCCCCTGCTGATTTGTTTGTAATAGGTGGTGCTCACTCTGGACACAGCCAGGCCAGGATTCAGAGGCTGGCTGGAGGAGAGACATGGAGCAAATACAGCCCCTTCCCTCACCTCACTGGGGCATAAGTGTGTGGTCAACCAGCCCGGCTTCAAATCCTGGCCTTGCCACTTACCAGCTGTGACACCTCTCTCTCAGAGCCCCAGTTTGCTCACCATTAAAACGAAGTTAACAATCACAAAGTCACTGCTGTCCCTGTTGTGTCTAAAGAGAGTACAGTTCCCGCCTCTTAAATGAGACCAATTAAGCCTTGCATTTGTAAAACTGCTTTCAACATCTAAAACCCAACCCTTGCTTTACCCCAGTGTTTCTTTAAGGTTAACCAGTCAAAGATCACTGTCCAAACTTTACAAAGCAGGAAACTTGAGGTTTTGAGAGATGGAATTTGCTCAAGGTCACATGGCAACTTGGGGGCAAAGCCAGTGCTAGAACCCAGGTCTCCTGATTTCCTGGATCTTTTCTACCTCCAAGCACATCCTTGTAAGTACCTGGGAAGGTCAAGCTACTCTTTATTCTTGTCTGGGAATCTGAGCAAACAGGTGGAGAGAAATTGTTAACTTACTCATGATGGCTTTTAAACTCACTTGGCAAACTGGATTCATTTCCAAGTATTATAATTCTCTACATAGGTAATTGAAGTATAGCATATAGGTAATTGAATGCAGATCGATTTCCCACCCTGAGCTTCCTCTCTGTGCTGACTGGTGTGTCTGTCTCCCTCCCTCAATGACTCACTGATTTTTTGTGTGTGTACACACATAAATCACACTGCATTCCTCTCCCCCTTGCTGGCTACCTGCAAGAATTCACAAAGCCGTACCATGAGATGCGAAAGCAGTGGGGGTTCATGGGGTGTGAGGGGAGGTGGTTATGAAGGAGGGAAGGAAGAGGAGTGTTTAAATGCTAATCAGTTGGCATTGATGTCAGCCACAGTTAATCAGATTGCTAAAGATACAAGGGTAAGATCGTGCGCCTGTGCCAGACTCTCTGGGCTCATTCACGAGGAAGATGGATGCAGGGCCCAGCCAACGCTCTAATGAGATGTAACTGGACATAAAAGAATGTTCAAGGCTTTCTGAACCCAACATGAATTACAAAGGAGGCCCATTCGTGGGGGAGAAGCCAGCTCACAGAAGACGATTATCCGATAATTACTCTTGTAGCCGAAACACTGAGTCTTTTTTTTTTTTTTTAATATAGCCTCTCTCTCAGCCAGGCTGGAGTACAGTGGTGGGATCATGTCTCACTGCAGCCTCTATCTCCTGGGCTCAAGCAATCCTCCCACCTTGGTCTCCCAAAGCACTAGGATTACAGGTGTGAGCCACTGCACCCAGACTGAAAGAATCTTTTCTTGCCTGCACAAGCTTTCCCACTTAACACCTGCTACAAGTCCCCCAAAGGCCCCTAGGTTTCTGCAGCAGACTCAGGAGGTATCCAGGGTGTGAGTTCACGTGTGCAGTTTGGTGTGTTGTTTAGGGTGGCAAAAATCCCTGCTCCATCTGTACGACCGTGGCATATGCCAGAAAATGAAGAGAACAGCAAGAAATTAATCAGTTGGGCTTCTGTTTGACCTCCTAATGCTAAAGCAAACCATGCGAGTTATGTGGATGAGTTGCCTTCATGTTCTTTGCTTGTAAGTCAAAGCACGTTTATCTAGGATTAATTTTACCAAGGATTAACCTTTGTGATAACCAGTAGCATACACCATCTACAAATCTACAATCCGTCACTTAAAGAGATTGACTTTGTCATACACACCAAGTCTTGTTCTCAGCACTGCAGGCACACTTGTGATTCATTAAATAGATGCTGACTGGGGGCCTACTATGTGTCAGAACCATGGCCACAGAATGGGCTCTGGGGAGACAGTGATGAATAGGGTACACATGATCTCTGTCCTCGAGAAACTTCCTCCTAGTAGGGAAGACAGGAAAGAAGCCAGGTAATTATGAGTGTGTGATTAATGCTTTGGCTTATTTCTTTGGTGGAGTTAAGAATTAAGGAAAGGAGAGTAAATCCAAGTAACGATAATAGCCTATGAAAATGCTGGGTATCTTAGAAGAGAGGGAAAGAGAGAGGCATTGATTGATTGAACTCAGGAGAACTGAAATAATTTAGTTGCCATGAGGCAGGCAGTGAGAAATGAGGATGGGGAAATTTGCTGGGACAGATCACCAGGAACCTTCCAGGGAAAGGTAAGGAGTTTGAAGTTTACCAGGCAGGGAAGGGGCGGTTTAGAACGATCTCTCTGGCTGCTGCGGAGGCCAGCAAGGAGGTTGTGGAGTGAGGGCCACGCAAGAAGCAGGGCTTTCCTAACAGTTGCTCTGGGAATAATAGGATATCTAAAAAGAAATATCTTTCTTTAAAAATTTAATTTTAGATTCAGGGGGTCCAGGTGCAATGTGTTACATGAATATATTGCATAACGATGAAGTTTGGGCTTCTAGTGTACCCATTACCAAAATAGTAAACATGGTGCCTGATAGGTAAGTTTTCAACCCTCACCCGTCTTCCACCCTCCCCACCTTTGGAGTCTCCAGTGTCTACTATTTCCATCTTTATGTCCATGTGTGCCCATTGTTTAGCTTCCACTTCTAAGTGAGAACATGCAGTATTTGGTTTTGTGTTTCTGAGTTAGTTCACTTAGGATATGCCTCCAGCTCCATTCATGTTGCTGCAAAGGACATGATTTCATTCCTAAAAATGTCTTTTTAAGAGACAGTTTGCTCTCCTGGCTTCTCTTGTGGTGGGACCCAGGTTCTTTGGTGTATTGTAACAATGAAATGTGTTCCATCATTAAAAGGAATGAATTTTTTAAAAAAGAAAAGAAGGGGAAAGAAAGAAGGAAAGAAGGAAGGAAGGAAGGGAGGGAGGAAGGAAGGAATGAAGGAGAGAAAGAAACAGAAAAAGAAAAGGAAAGAAAGAAGAAAAGAAAAGAAAGAGAAAGAAAGAAAAGGAAGAAAGAAAGAAGGAGAGGAAGGAAGGAGAGAGGAAGGGAAGAAGAAGAAAGAAAGAAAGAAAAAGAAAGAAAGAGGAGAGAGGAAGGGAGGGAGGGAGGGAGGAAGGAAGGAAGGAAGGAAGGGAAGGAAGGAAAGAAGGAAAAAATGAAAAGTGGAGCTCATCCAACTTCCCCCCCAACCACGTTGAATGACTCCCCAGTGCCTCGACTTCCCATGGAAAGTTAGGCATTCCCCTTGGGCATTTCCCATGCTCTGTCTGTGACTGCACAACACCACTGCAAGTAATCACCTTAGGCAAGTTTTTTGAGTGTTGAGCAGAACCTAAGGGATGACCATTGGATGGCTTCCTGGTTTAGGCAGACCCAGTATTGAGATTTTCTTTGTCTCTCCTCCCACGGAGGGTGAACTGCCTGTGGGAGAATGTGATGGGTTTGCTTCCAGCCTCGTTTTCCCACCCAGCCACCGACTCTGAGAGGAAGAGGAGGGCTGGGGATCTTGGGATTTTCCTGTGCCGTGACATTGGAGGTGTTGAATCACAGAGAGTCAATCTGTGACCCCATCCTCCTTCTCTTCTTTCCTGCCTTTCCTGTCTCACTGCCAATAAATTCATCTCCAGTTAGAGGAAGAACATGGAATAGAGATCTGTCCATGTTCATCCTGAGGAAAAAATTGGGCGAAAAGAAAGGAAGTTAGAACAACTGATCTTTGAGAAGGCCAAGGACCAGGCCGTAGCAGTTTCCATCAGGATGGGGCCAGGGCACTTGGTCTTGTGTGAGTAATGTCTACACCCCGCTTCCTGTCACCCTTGCACAGCTACGTTCAGAATTATAGAACTTCTGGAAACGTCATCAGCTCCTCAGCATTTGCTAAACGCCCCCAAACATCCCTCCTCCCCCTGGAGAGGTAGAATACAAGTGTCTTTTCTTGGGGACTCCCTGCAGGAGAGAAGCTGATTTCCCTGCTCCCCACGGAAATGTGAGAGCAGTTAGAAAACCTGAGAAGGCTGGGGTTTGTTCTCTGCCCTCCTCTGAAATTGAGGTGACAAAGGGAGTTAATTATTTCGTTTTTAATTATTGCTATAAAAATAGCATGCATGTGGCAAAACAACCCAACTGTATACAATGATATACAATAAAAAAAATAAAAAGTGATTCTCTCTTTGAGCCCAAACCTCATTTCTACTCTGCTGAGGTAAAGCCCATTACCTGGTTCAAATGTTACACATGTGAGGGCTGGGATGCACACCCGCCTACCTTGATTGTTCTTGCTTCACACTGAGTTGTGTTGACATACAGCTGTGCCATTCTTTTTATTATTTTTCAATTTGTTACATAGTTTTTGAATAAGTAAGTCTCCCTATAAATACATACGTACATTTATACACATATATATATACATATATATGCATGTAAAAAAAGGTCTATAATGAAAATTCTCCTTTCCATCTTTATTCCTCATCATTCTACTTCCAATGCCCCACCTCCCCTGTAACCAACATAGTTCATTTCTTGTGTATTCTTTCAAAGTTCCTTTATGCACAGGTAAACAAATGCAAATATATGTAGCCTTGTTTTATCTCCCTGTTTTTGCACGAAAGGTAGCATACTCTGCACATCATTCTGCACCTTGGTTTTTGTTTTCTTTTTAGAAGGAAGAAGACTTCTTTATTGCTAGTAGGACTAAGCAGCCAATTTGTCTATACAGTCTGAAAACATTCCTAAAACTGCACCCTACACCTCCACCTCTCCCCACCCCACCCTTATGAGCAAAGAGCTATCATAGTTCAATTCTGAGCTGCTCACCTCCCCTGAATCTATATTGACATAGGGTTGAACCCAAGGGAAACCTGGTGTTCAGAGAACTCATTTTTCAAAATTTATCTATTTTTAATTGACTAATAAAATTGTATGTATTTATCACATACAACATGATGTTTTGAAATATGCAGGCATCGTGGAATGGCTAAGTCAAGCTAATTAACACATGCCCTACTTCACACATTTATTAATTTTGGGGTAAGAACACTTATAATCTAATCTCTTAGCCATTTTTAAGGATATAATACATTGTTATTCACTGTAGTCATCATGTCATACAATAGATCCCTTGAACTTATCTCTCCTATGCTTTGGCTTAAATTATTGTCCCTTCTAAGACTCATGTTGGAATTTAATCCCCAGGGTGACAGTATTGAGAGGTGGTGACTCAAAAAGGCTGTTGGATAAGGAGGGCTCTGCCCTCACAAATGGATTAACTACTCCTGAATTAATGGATTAATGGATTAATGGGTTATCATGGGAGTACAATTAGTGGCTTTATAAGAAGCAGGAGAGAGATATGAGCATATTAGTATGCTCCGCCCTGCAGCCACGTAATGCACTGCGTCACTATGAGACCCTGTAGATAGTCCCCACCAGGAGGAAGGCCTGAATTCTCAGCCTCCAGAATTGTAAGAAATAAGTTTCTTTTCTTTTCTTTCTTTCTTTCTTTTTTTTTTTTTTTTTTGAGACGGAGTCTCACTCTGCCGCCCAGGCTGGAGTGCAGTGGCGCCATCTCGGCTCACTGCAAGCTCCGCCTCCCGGGTTCACGCCATTCTCCTGCCTCAACCTCCCGAGTAGCTGGGAATACAGGCGCCCGCCACCATGGCCGGCTACTTTTTTTAAATTTTTTTTAGTAGAGACGGGGTTTCACCGTGTTAGCCAGGATGGTCTTGATCTCCTGACCTCGTGGTCCGCCCACCTCGGCCTTCCAAAGTGCTGGGATTACAGGCGTGAGCCACCGCACCTGGCCTTCTTTTCTTTAGAAATTACCCAGTTCCGATGTTCTGTGATAAGCAGTGGAAAACAAACTAAGAAATCCTAATTTAAATTATGTATCCTTTGACCAACATCTCCTTAATCCTTACCTACCCCTGCCCACCCCTCTGGTAAACACCATTCTACCCTCTGCTTCTGTGAGTTCAACCTTTTGGATTCCACCACATCTTACTTTTTAACATTACGGAATCCTTGGTCATCTCTCCTCTTCCGTGCATAGATAGCTTCATCATTCTCTTCTCTCAGCTGCATGGCATTCCACCTGGATATTCTGTAATTGATTTAACCTTATTGATGTATTCTTGATTTATCTTCTAGCCTTTTGCTGCTACAAATGGGGCCGCATTGCTTAACTCGTCTGCATAGCATTTTGCACATGGGCAAACATCTCTCTGTAGGATAAATTCCCAGAAGCAGACTCATGAGTCAAAGGGAAGATGTACAAATAATTCTGAAAGCTCTTGCCGTGTTACACTCTATGTTATTCACCAGTGACTTCATCTCATTCCTTTAAACCCTGCAGATATTTTACTGTGTTCTACAATCACGTAACTAGTCCCCTATGGATGGGTATGTATGTTGTTTCCAGATTTTTGCTACTATAAACAATGCTTTGTATTGTGAACACTTTGCAACACCCTAGTACGTGTCAATGACCACAAAGGTCTCTCAGCTTTGGGACATGACCAGGCAGCCTGTTTACCTAAAAATCTATTGCTGTTTCAGTGAAGCCTCTTTTGTTCTCAGGCCATTGAACCCAGACTGTCTTCCTAGCCCTCATTTACCATGGATCTCCAGTCTGACCTGTTACATAAACTCTGGTTGATGTGGAGCATGTCTGCAAAGCACCCTAGAATAGGCTCCCTGGATGCTCTTGAGAAAAAAGTGTGGTGAGGCAGGTGAAAGGTTGGGACCAACCGTAGGCACAGCTTCAGGTAGAAAGCGGCATCTAGAGAAAGCTCGAGAGTACCTCAAAAATCATCAAGGGGGCTTTTTAGAAGCCTACCGTGCCAGTATCCAGCTGCCCCAGATTCCATTTTAGATGGTCTAGTTAAAATCTTCAGAAAAGAAATGCTGACTTCACTGCTGAAGAGCAGCAGCACTCTCAAATAGAGTTGGTGGCAGGGTAAATAGGTTCAGATTATTCTGAAGGTGATTTTTTTTCTATGTCAATCAAAATTTAAAATGTGTAAATCTTTTGGCTGAGCAATGAGCAATGCAATTTCTTTTTTTTTGAGTTGGAGTCTCTCCCTGTCGCCCAGGCTGGAGTACAGTGGCGCGATTTTGGCTCACTGCAACCTCCACCTCCCGGGTTCAAGCGATTCTTCTGCCTCAGCCTCCTGAGTAGCTGGGACTACTACAGGTGTGCCGCCACACCTGGCTAATTTTTGTATTTTTAGTAGAGATGGGGTTTCACCATATTGGCCAGGCTGGTCTTCAACTCCTGACCTCATGATCTACCCACCTCAGCCTCCCAAAGTGCTGGGATTACAGGCGTGAGCCACTGCATCCGGCTGCAATACGACTTCTAGTATGCCCTCCTTAAGAAATTATGTGAATGTAATCCCCAAAGATGCGTATTAATTGCAGTACTAATTGGAGGAAGGTAGGGGAATGGCAATAATTTGAATATTAATCAATAGGAGACTGGTTCAGTGAGGTATATGTTTATATTTTAATGTAATCATTTAAAAAGAGTAAAGTGACTATGTGTGTTCTAGTCGAAAGCCCACGGCTTCTAAGTACAAAGTTGGTGGTAGAATACTAATGTAATGGAATACTATACAGCAGTGAAAAATGAATCCATCACAGCTGCACTTATCAACATGGATGAATTCTATAAAGTGTTGATCAACAACAACAATAAAAACAGAGAAAAAAGCAGTTTTCAGGATAATTCCTATGGTATGACAGCATTTATATAATATTTTTAAATGTGCCATACAATGCCATACATTGTTCACAGATATTTATATCTGTAACAAATAAGTGCATACAATAAATAATAGCAGTAAAATAAGAACAAGTGCACATAATAAACGAGAATGCTAAATGCCACATTCAGGGCAGTAGTTCATTCCAGGGGGTGGAGAAGGAGATGGAGAATATTATGGGGGAGGAAAGGCAGGGGTTTCAACTATACTAGGAGTATTCTATTCTTTAAGATGAAGGTGCACATATGTGGGTATTTACTGCGTTAGCCTTTAACTCTTTTTGATTGACTGAAATATTTCAAAATGTGTTACTCAGTAAGTTACAGAACAATATATGCCATGTGATAACTTTGTAAATGTTCAGACAGATAGAAAATGACAACTGTGTTCATGATGGCTGGCAGGCTGCTGTGTGAGCTCTGCATTTTACTGGCATGATTTCATTTTACTCTCTAAAACTCCAAAAGACAAGGCTGATGAAACCCCACCATACAGATGAGAACAGTGAGCCCCAGAGGAGGGGAATGGCTGTCCAGTGTCTTACCGGCAGTAACAGTGAGCTAAGTCCAGAACACAAACAGTTCTGACTCCCAATCTCACACTCCTAGGTGCTATTTTGCCTTTTAAAGTGAAAATATGTAAGTGTTTTTATATCAATACATTTTATTTAGAGATGAAACAAGACTTGGCCGGGTGCGGTGGCTCATGCCTATAATCCCAGCACTTTGGGAGGCCAAGGCACATGGATCACTTGAGTTCAGAAGTTCAAGGCCAGCCTGGCCAACATGGTACAACCCTGTCTCTACTAAAAATATAAAAAATATTAGCCGGGCATGTTGGCTCATGCCTGTAACCCTAACTATTCTGGAGATTGAAATGGGAGGATCGCTTTAACCCAGGAGGCGGAGGTTGCAGTGAGCTGAGATTGCACCGCTGCACTCCAGCCTTGATGACAGATCAGGACTCCAAAAAAAAAAAAAAAAAAAAAAAAAAAACCCTAATGACGGTTTAAACAAGATTACAATTAACACTGATACCCTGTAGAAAGCAGGATTGGTGAACAGAACGTAGGAGAGAAGTGCTTGTACTTTTGATTTCTTACCTCTCAGGTGTTCTTTAATTTTTTGAATAAACTATTTCACAGGAAATAATTATTTGAAGATGTGGGAAAGAGGAAAAGTGCACAGGAAACAAAGTCAGAAAGTGTCTAACTCTACCCCAGTTTTCTCTCTATGATCTTGAACAAGTCACTTCCCCCATAGGAGTCTTTATTTTTTTTTTCACCTATAAAATGGGAAAAACAAAATGTCAACTTTACAGTATTGTTTGGAGATCGGAATGAGATCCTAAGAGGGAATGAACTCTATGGAGTATAAATCGCCACTTGAATATCAGTATTGTTAGCATGGGCATACAGGCAGAGGGTTGCAACTGACTGATAGGGAAGACCCCTGCTGCCCCCAAGGCCACCACCACCTCTGCCTTTTGTTCCAGAAGGTCTTCTCAAAGTGCAAATGGGATCAATACTATGAATCTATCCTTCCAAGTGGACCACAGGGGGCCGGCAGCTGTTGCCTGGGCCAGTGACGAGCATGTAATAAGTGCAGAATGAATGAATGAATGAACGATAAATGGATAAATGAAGTGATGATCAAATGTGCCCGAGACGGAAACTCGGCTCTTGCTAAATCCAACTTCTTTATTTATAAAATAGACATTAAACTAAGACCTTCTCCAACCCTCAAATTCAATGATACAAGCAACACAAAGCTGATCAGTTCCAGGAATTGGGAAGGAAGTCTTTCTCAGTCCTGAGGGCAGTGCCAGATCACCTCTGTGTTGTGTTCACTGTGATTAATCCAGTGGTCTTCAACCAGAGGCAATCTTGCCACCCAGGAAACATCTGGCAGTGTTTGGAATCATTTTTGGTTGTCACAACTGGGCAGGTGATGGGAGGGTAGGGCATGCAGGTTGGGGGAGGTTTGCTGCTGGCATCTAGTGGGTAGAAGCTAGGGATGCTGCTCCGTTTCCTACAACGCATAGAGCAGCTTCTGTCACCCAGCAAAAATGATCCAGCCTAGATGTCAAAGGCATAAAAGTAACTGGCAGTACAGTTGGTTCTATGCCTTCAACTATCCAGATGTTCCTGGCTTTGTTTTTAATTTTGTGTGATGTGCTCTGCTGTGGTTTTTCAAGCCTCAAACAGCCTTGTTCTTTCACTGCTGCTGATATGCTGTGTTGACTCTGGACAACCGCTTCCCCTCTTTGAACCTCACACTCCTTTACTGGGCAGTTTGTAACCGTGATCTCCAGGAGCCTTTTGATCTTTAAGATGTGATATTTATTTTCAGTTTTGTCCCCAGTGGGGCCAAACAATCAAGGCAGGTTGGGCGAGTCTTTATAGTGGAGTCTGAAGTATAAGAAATAACCACTGGAATGGGTATTAATGAGGATTAGAATAGTGACTAACAGTTTTGCAGTACCTTTTACCAAAAGTACATCCATTGATTCACCTGTCAGTCCTGCGTCCTAAAGGTAGTTACTGTAAATAGTGCCATGAGGGAATAATGATCATCATCTCTACCAGGAAACTGCATTCCAAAGAGGCTCAATGATTCCATCTGTGAAGTGCTTCTGTGATTACAACCTTGTGTGTGCATTCCTAGACCTCTCAATCACCAGGGGCTAGAGACAGCATCTTAAAATCAGCTCGTTCTGTAAATATTTATTTCATTTAAGAAAGTCTTTTACGTACTTATTATACGTATTTTGGAAAATGCCAAAAAGTAGGAAGGAGAAAATACACCCAGAGGCCACCAGGGCCTCCATCTTAGTGCCATTCTTCAAGTCAAAACATGATTCTCTGCATTGCAATTTGTTTTACTTCGTTGCTTCTAGCCATTTTCATACATACCATAGAATTTTATGTCTCATTCTTTTCACTGAACATTATAGCAGTAGCATCTCCCAGCTCTCGTTTCTTCACTCACATCACCTTGTACCTGCATGATGATATGTTACGCTACTGCTTGGAATTCCGTGCCTCTCCCAGGCATTCTGCTGCGGCTGGGGATTTAAGATACAAACCTTCAGCTTCAGAGCTTGTGCTTTTTTTTTTTTTTTTTTTGAGATGGAATTTTTGCTCTGTTGCCCAGGCTGGTGTGCAGTGGCACAATCTCGGCTCACTGCCACCTCCACCTTCTGGGTTTGAGTGATTCTCCCGCCTCAGCTTCCCAAGTAGCTGGGATTACAGGCCCCTGCCACCATGCCTGACTAATTTTTGTATTTTTAGTAGAGACAGGATTTCACAATATTGGCCAAGCTGGTTTCCAACTCCTGACCTCAAGTGATCTGCCCACCTCAGCCTCCCAAAGTGCTGGGATTACAGGTGTGATCCACCATGCCCGGTCGAGCTTGTGCTTTTTTTTTTTTTTTCACTTTAATAGGATGTTCCCAGTCTAATCTCCCATCTCCCCATCAAAGTTAGAAAAATGGGAGAGAAAGAGAGATACGCTGCTGCCCCAACTTGGATGGCAGAACAAATGTTCAATTGCCTTCTACGTGGCATGGCTCTGTCCTTTGGGGGAAGAGCAACATCAGCGTGCATTTAAGGAAAGCTCCATCTCTTCTGTTTGATCTCTGTAGTTGATTATCAGTGTGTGTGTGTTTTCCTAACTCCTTGAGGGCAGGGGCCAAATCTTAGAATGTTCACTCTCTTGTGTCGGGTGTCAACCATAGGAGAAAGTGAACACCCAACACTTTGATTGATTGACCGCTTTTGAGTAGAGCACCGACTGTACGTGATAAAGGAAGAATCAGATAAATGTGACTATCATGATAGAAAATTTTAAATGTTCTGAAAAAAAATGAGTTAATTTAACTCAGCGGTCATCGGACACCAAGAAAAACAAGGCTATTGGGGCAAGTTATAAAGTTGCTGGATAAGCAGTTTTGTCCCCATGATGTAAGTCTTCTCTATCTGGACATCATCATGGGGATATTCTGATTGCTCCAGTTTCCTGCTGAGGCCCTGAAGTACAATTTTCGCTAATTCCCAGTGGGACTTGGTTTTGCATGGCACTAATCTGGCCAACATCCTGGCTAAGAATGAGGCCTGTGGGCTGCCTATGTTGCAGACCACAGATGCATATCATCTGTGTTGGACTTGGCCTTAAGTTTGGAGCCAGCTGGCAAGATCCAAGCTTGTGTATGATTAAGGAAAAGGGGATAGTAGGGACTGAGAGATGAATTTATCTGGTGGATACAAAACTCTCCTTGATGGTCAGGTTTTCAGTGGGAAAGGGCTGACTCTGAACCCAGCTGGGTTTCCTTCTTAGAGTGGTTTATAGCTGCTGCGGTTAGCACCCTTGTACCCTGGGGGACCCAGAGAGTAAGAACAGCAGCTGTGAAGAGGAAGCCAGTTGGGGAATCTGTTTTCTTGCATTTCCTTCTGTTCTTTTGACTGTATTTGGGTCTTGGAGGACTGGGATTGCTAGGGGAGATCACAAGCCTTGGAAAGAGTCAAAGAGTCACCATCTGCTGCACAAACCCACACTTTGTTTTCTGCCAACTGCATCCTTAGGCACTTGGAAGACAAAACAGATGAGGAACACATAGTAAGTCAGGTGGGTTCACGTGTTCCCAAACTTCCCTGGCAACTCTGATAATAAAAGTCACCAGAGGAGTTTTTCAATCATCAGCTTCCCAAGACCCACCCCTGGAGATTCAGATGTGATGGGTCTGAATTCTGTGGAGTTGGGGTTGGAGATTAGAAAAACACTCTAGCCCACCCAGCAGAGACAAACAAAATGAGAGGGAAAGGGAAGAGGCTGATTCAAGCTGAGGAGGAGGATGCCAAGTGACATCAATACCCCATATTTCTTAAAAGAGCTAGTAGCATGATCTTTGGGGTCATAAAAACCAAGATTTGAAACCCAGCTTTGCTGTGTGACCTCAAAAAGTGATTTAACATCCCAAAACTTCACTTTGATCATTCATAAAATAGGAACAATAATTTCTGCCTGATACGGTTGAGAAGGAATTAAAAAGGAGGCAATGGATGCAAAGCCCTCTTCATTACTCAACAAAGCAATCACAATTAAAACATTATAAATATCACTGTTATTTTGGCCAAGGTGAATTGATGTGCTTTTTGTCACCTCCTTGTGTGCAGATGACACAACTTGTTTTTCCAATCTTGCTCTCTCTCTCCTCTCTCTCATCCCCACTTATAATTAAGGGGTAATGTTTGCAAAGGAGCTGGCTGGCCAGATAACCCAAAAAAAAACCCCCAACATCCGCCAGTGTTGGGATTTAGCAGTCACCTTTTCCAATTTAGCAGGGTTAACAAATGGCTCTAAGAATAATTGTCAATTCCCTGGTCATTTCAAAAACCCAACAATGTCTGAGCTAGAAAGGCCCTTCTTTCATATGCAGTCTGGCTGCCCATTTGACACATAGAGAAGATGCAGAGAAGAGGAGACCCATGCAAAGTCATGCTAGTGAATAGTGGCCAAGATGGGACACCACCCAGATCCCTCAGCTCCTGGTTGTATCCAAGTACTTTGTGTTGTACCACAGCTGGGTCTTGGAAGCTGGGTGTCCTGACCCCTCCCCCCTGCTCTTTTTGTCCCTATGCCCTCTTTTCACTCCACAGTCTACAAAGATGGTCAACATCAATCATTTTAGAAAAGCGACAGTGAGCATAAAAGCCATTGTTTTGAGGCAGATCCACGTCTGGTCTAATCCAACAAGGTAGATAGAATACCTCCATTATACAAAAGAGGCTGCTGAACCTCAGCAAGGTTCAAGGACTTGCCCAGACTCACTCAGCTCATAACTGTAACAGGCAGGATTTGAACCCTAACTCTGAAGCTTCACTACTCCCCACCTTGGACTAGGAAATCTGCCTGATGCCTGAATGACCTTGACCTGCCCTCATGCCATCCACTCACGCTGCTCCCAGATACCCATTCCTGGCCCAGCATCACTGGCGGCCTGGAAGGAACACTGGCTGGTAATCAATGTTACACAACAGGAACATTTGTTGATGCCAGTTGCAAACTGTTGCAGTCTATATAGATTAAGCCACCGCCGCCAACTCCATGAAAGTAAATGAGCCTCTCCAACGACTGCTGAAATAAATTTAAATGACAGCACTGGAGGGCCTGGAGACTGTAGCTGAGTGAGTGTCTCCCTGCAGAAAATCGACAAGGACAGCTATCAGTCCGAGGGCCTTTGTCCCCGTGATGTAATTCCTCTCTATCTAGACATCTTCACGGGGATGTTCTGATTGCTCCAGTTTCCTGCCGAGGGGCTGTGATTGCAATGACAAGAGTAAAAACCATGACGGCAGCTGGCATTTGCTAAGCACTCACTACGGGTGAGGCGCTGTCCTAAGTGCTTTGCATACATCAACTCGCTGAATGATGGCAACCCCAGGAAATAGGAAATAATAGCCCCATTTGACAGCTGAGGGAACTGAGGCTTGGAGAGTGAAGTCATTAACCAGCAATTGGCAGAACTGGGTCTTTAAAAAGCAAACAAAGCTGGTTTCCAGCACCATTCTGCCAGACAGCTGCCTGGGCCAGCCCTTCTTTAAAATGACTATTGGGCCGGGCGCGGTGGCTCACGCCTGTAATCCCAGCACTTTGGGAGGCCGAGGCGGGTGGATCACGAGGTCAGGAGATCGAGACCATCCTGGCTAACATGGTGAAACCCTGTCTCTACTAAAAAATACAAAAAATTAGCTGGGCATGGTGGCACGCACCTGTGGTCCCAGCTGCTCAGGAGGCTGAGGCAGGAGAATGGCGTGAACCCGGGAGGCGGAGCTTGCAGTGAGCCGAGATCGCGCCACTGCACTCCAGCCTGGGCGACAGAGTGAGACTCCGTCTCAAAAAAATAAATAAAATAAAATAAAATAAAATGACTAAATGGTTTTACCTTCCAGACAAAAATAAATCGCAAGGATGGGGACCAAGGTGGGAGGATCACTTGATCCCAGGAGTTTGCAACCAGCCATAGTGAGATCCGTCTCAAGAAAAAACAAAATGAATTACAAGAAGTTAGCAAGGTATACAAGGCCCTCCAGGGCCTGGCCCCTGCCTCCCTACCTTACCAGCTTTATCCCCCGTACTCTCCACTTGTGCTCCAAAACCCCTTGCAATTCTTTTGTGCCCACCTCTGCCCAGCCTCCAAGCCTCCATGGGTCTTCACACAGTCCTCTGTTCTGAATCTGCCTCGTGACTCTGAATCCTAAAACATTTCTGTGTCTCCCACAAGGTCACTCTTACATTCCTTCAGTTTAAAATGTACCTCCCCCAACCCTGCTTTTACACTGTTGGTGGGAATGTAAATTAATTCAACCATTGTGGAAGATGGTGCTGAGATTCCTCAAAGATCTGGAACCAGAAATAGCATTTGACTCAGCAATCCCATTACTGGGTCCCATTACATATATACCCAAAGGAATATAAATCATTCTGTTACAAAGATACATGCATGCACATGTTCATTGCTGCACTATTCACAATAGCAAAGACGTGGAATCAACCTAATGCCCATCAATGATAGACTGGATAAAGAAAATGTGGTACATGTACACCATGGAATACTATGCAGCCATAAAGACAAACAAAATCATGTCCTTTGCAGGGACATAGATGGAGCTGGAAGACATTATCCCTAGCAAACTAAGGCAGGAACAGAAAACCAAACACCACATGTTCTCACTTATAAGTGGGAGTTGAACAATGAGAACACATGGACACAGGGAGGGGAGTAACACACACTGGGGCCTGTTGCGGGGTGGAGTTGGGGGAGGGGAGAGCATTAGGAAAAATAGGTAATGCATGCTGGGCTTAATACCTAGCGTGGGTTGATAGGTGCAGCAAACCACCATGGCACATGTTTACCTACATAACAAACCTGCACATCCTGCACATAGGCCCCAGAACTTAAAATTAAAATTTAAATTTAAAAAAACTCTCCTCCCCCATCCCCCAAGCCCAGCCAGAGCACACAGCTTAGAAAAGAGAGTGTGGCCTGGTGTCCATCCCCACTCATCCTCTTAGCTGCATGTCTTTGTACAGGGAACAATCTGCCCAACTGTACATGGCATGCCTGTCCTGCAGACGGGGTTAGGGCCCGTCCTCTCTGCTCTCTTAGCACACAAGCTTTTCTCTTTCCAAGCATTCATCATATCAAATATGATTGTGTCTACTTTCCCATCCCCCTTCCCAGTACATATACAACCAGGCAGTGAGGCCCCTGTGCTTTTTGTTTCTATACTCCTAATGCTTAGCTCAGTCCTGGCATGATCAAGCCCAAGTCTTCAGGAAAAGGAAGGAAGGAAGGAAGGAAGGAAGGAAGGAAGGAAGGAAGGAAGGAAGGAAGGAAGGATGGATGGAAGGAAAGAAGGAAGGAAATGAAGGAAGAAAATGAAGGAGGAAGGAAGAAAGAAAAAAATGGAAGGGGAAAGGAAGGAGGGAGGGAGGAAAGAAAGAAAGAAAGGAAGGAAGGAAGGAAGGAGGAAGGAAAGAAGGAAGGAGGGAGGGTGGGAGGAAAAGAAGGAAGAAAAGAGAAAGAGGGAGAGAGGGAAGGAGGAGAAAAAAGAAAGGAAGGGAGGGAGGGAGAAAGGAGAAGTTGGTTTAGAGGCCAGCCGGACGAGCTTTGGGCACCGCCCTTAGGAGGGCCACCCTCAGAGTCTGACAGCAGGTGAAGGTCCTAAATCTCCCCAAACTAACTGGTGTCTTTTCTCCTCTTCCAAGATGCTCTTCCCGAGGGAGATGCTAGCCCTTTGGGTCCTTACCTCCTGCCCTCAGGAGCCCCGGAGAGAGGCAGTCCTGGCAAAGAGCACCCTGAAGAGAGAGTGGTAACAGCGCCCCCCAGTTCCTCACAGTCGGCGGAAGTGCTGGGCGAGCTGGTGCTGGATGGGACCGCACCCTCTGCACATCACGACATCCCAGCCCTGTCACCGCTGCTTCCAGAGGAGGCCCGCCCCAAGCACGCCTTGCCCCCCAAGAAGAAACTGCCTTCGCTCAAGCAGGTGAACTCTGCCAGGAAGCAGCTGAGGCCCAAGGCCACCTCCGCAGCCACTGTCCAAAGGGCAGGGTCCCAGCCAGCGTCCCAGGGCCTAGATCTCCTCTCCTCCTCCACGGAGAAGCCTGGCCCACCGGGGGACCCGGACCCCATCGTGGCCTCCGAGGAGGCATCAGAAGTGCCCCTTTGGCTGGACCGAAAGGAGAGTGCGGTCCCTACAACACCCGCACCCCTGCAAATCTCCCCCTTCACTTCGCAGCCCTATGTGGCCCACACACTCCCCCAGAGGCCAGAACCCGGGGAGCCTGGGCCTGACATGGCCCAGGAGGCCCCCCAGGAGGACACCAGCCCCATGGCCCTGATGGACAAAGGTGAGAATGAGCTGACTGGGTCAGCCTCAGAGGAGAGCCAGGAGACCACTACCTCCACCATTATCACCACCACGGTCATCACCACCGAGCAGGCACCAGGTATGCAGCCCCCAACTCCTGAAGCCATCCTGAAACAGCCATGAGGCACTCACTATGTTCAGGGCATGTGGGTAGAGGAATCTCAAGAAGCCCCGGCCCCACCATCAGTTACCGTCCATTGAGCACTGACTATGAGCTTCGCCCTGTGGCTCAGAATTAATAGCCTCATTTCATTTGTTTGTTGTTTTGGGGGGTTGTTTTAGCAAAGGGGTCTTGATCTTTCGCCCAGGCTGGAGTGCCATGGCACGATCATAGCTCACTGCAGCCTCAAACTCCTGTGCTCAAGTGATCCTCTTGCCTCAGCCTCTTGAGTAGCTGGGACTACAAGCATGCACTATGATGTCCAGCTAATTTTTTTGTTTTTTGTAGAAAGGGGGTCTTGCTTATTGTCCAGGCTGGGGAACTCCTGGGCTCAAGCAATCCTCCCACCTCAGCCTCCCAAAGCACTGGGATTACAGGCATGAGCCAGGACACTCAGCCAACATCCCCATTTTAAAGATGAGACAACTGAAACCCTGAGACCCCCAAGCAACCTGCCAAAGGTCACACAGCTAATGAGCAAGATTCAAAACCTTTTCATCTTGGAACGGAATTCTTCATTTAACCTGCTTCAAAGCCACTAGCCTTTTCAAAGCACATTTGCTTTTAGCATTACATGTATTTTCTAGACTTGATAAAATGCTCTTCTGTGTTCCAGTCTTCTCTACCATCTTTAAAATGGGAGAAGGACCCCCAATTGTCAAGCATACATGGATTTTGGACAAGTGCAATGTGGCCACCCTTCAAAGCACGTGAGCTCTGGGTCCAAATCCTGCTTGCTGTTTGAGCTCGGCCCCTCTCTGAGCTTTTGTTTACTTCCCTCTAAACTGGGGATGAAATATTATCAGTCCCTATGAGAATAAGTGGGGTCACCCCTGTTGACTAGCTAAAATGGTGCCTAGCAGGATATAGTAAGTGATCATTCTGTGTCAATTATTGCTATTTTTATTATCATGTCAATTCTGGAGCTGAGGAATTAACAGCAGAAGGACAGATGGGAACAGCAAAATGCAGGTTCCCCTAAAGCCCCCATTCCACCCCACAGCCCATGGTTGAGCTTACATCCAAGTTGTCTTTGGTGTCCTAATTAAAGTCCTTCCTTCCAGCTCTCTGCAGTGTGAGCTTCTCCAATCCTGAGGGGTACATTGACTCCAGCGACTACCCACTGCTGCCCCTCAACAACTTTCTGGAGTGCACATACAACGTGACAGTCTACACTGGCTATGGGGTGGAGCTCCAGGTAACCCCAGGAGAGTACCTCACAGAGGCTGCCTCGTCTAGCAGGAAGTCTCAGGAGGATTGTCTGAGTCAGGCTTACTGTTATGCTAACTAGTTTGGTTCTGTCTTTGCCCAACCAGGCCAACTTTAGCTGGGTTTTGGCGAATGAGTAGGAGTTCTTAACTCAATGCTTTGCTAAAATAGCTTGTGGGGATAGAGGGAACATGCTGACAAATTCTGAGGTATTTCCCAGAAGGAAAATCCCTTGATACTCTGCTTATCTCACACACACATACACACACGCATGCACGTGCATAAACACACACACACACACACACACACACACACACACACGGAAGCTCCACCTGATTCATTTGATTCTTTCTTGCTTGCTTGCTTCCTTATTTCTCTTTCTCTTTCTTTCTTGCTTGCTTGCTTGCTTCCTGCTTTCTTGCTTCTTTCTCTTTCTCTTTCTTTCTTTCTTTCTTGCTTGCTTGCTTGCTTCCTGCTTTCTTGCTTCTTTCTCTTTCTCTTTCTTTCTTTCTTTCTTTCTTTCTTGCTTGCTTGCTTGCTTTCCTTCATTTTCTGGTTATTAGGACATTTTATTCTTAAACTTTTGCCCATACAGTAAGAAAGGAAAAGCAGGGTGGCATAATGCTCAAACATCTGGGTTTTAAGTCCTACCTCTTCCAGTTAAAACTGCGTGACTTTGAACAAGGAACTTCACCTCTCTGAGCCTCAGTTTCCCGATCAATAAAATAGGAATAATGTTACTGCTTTGTAAAGTTTGGGGGAGCAGTAAATATGACAATGCAGAGATCATTTGGCCACAGCCCAGCAGAGAGAGAGGGAGGAGAGAGAGAGAAATCATTTGGTCAGAGCCCAGCAGAAATCGCGACCATGCAGTGCATGTTATCCATTATCTTCAGTATGCTAATCACCCTGAATGTGTTCCTTTTTCTCATGGGAAATAAAGAGCCATCAAAAGTTTCTGAGCTGGGGCAGGTGTATGACCTTACCTTAGGAAGGTTTTTTGTTTTTGTTTTTGTTTTACTTGTATAAGAGAGACAAAAGGTAAGCCCCTCAGCAGTAGAACCTGTAGTCTTTGCAGTCCCCAGAGCTTTGCACAAGTGTGTGGCACATTGTAGGTCCTTAATAATTGTTCATGGAATTAAAATAAACTGGAGAAAACCTGCAGTCCAGATTATTATAGTGCTTAAGAACCCTTTCCTCCATGTCATGAAGAGTATTGGACCCAGTATGTGTCCAGTACTGTGTGGAGCCTTTTACCAGGCACAGTAGAGTTCATTCATTGAGCAATTAGAATGCACCAGGCAAAGCTGTTGACACAGGAGAATATGTTGATGTAAAAAACTGATGCAATGCCTGCCCTAAAAGAGAAATACGTAGGATGCCATTTAGTAGGGACTCTAATTGGTGTTTTAGAGGTTGTTGTAGAATCGCAGCAAAGGAACAGGCAAACTCCTTGGCAATCAGGGAAGGTCTCATAGAGGAGGGCAATTTTAATGGGGCTTTGGTGAATGAGTAGGAGTTCATCAAAGAGAAAAGAGGATAAGATATAGGGCCTGAAGGAAGAAGAGCTTGTGGGTAAGGCCTGCCCTGTTTAGAGGAGAGGCAGAGAAACTAAAGTTCCAAGCCCTACTCATAAAAGCGTAAGTCTTCAAATTAGGCATTGAGACCTGACTAAATTCTCCCTTACACACACACGCGCACATACCATTTGTTCAGCCTCCCTGCGTACAACTAAAGTATCTCGCTTCTTTCTTCTCAAATCCCACAGAGTGTAAATGGCAAAGCAAGTGTCTGATTCTTTGAGATAGGGGTTGATTGTCCTGCAGTTGTAGCCACCACTGGGGAGAATAAGAGAATGGGCCAGAGAGTGCCCTAGAAATGAGGCCCCCACCCCTCACTTACCAATTTATGCAGAAAATGGAAGAATATATTCAATCTTTTTTAAATATTTTCTGAGCACTTAATATGTGCCAGGTACTATTCTAGGCACTGGAAACATTGAACAGCATGGAGAAATCCCTAACCTTGCAGAGTATACATTCTGGTAGAATGCTTCTCCCGGCTCCCTGGAGATTGGATCTCAAGCACAAGCTGATCCAACTGCTGCCTCCACTCACCAGCTCCAGGATAATCTATCCCACCCACTAGCATCCAGGGCCTGTGCCAAAGGCCCCTCTTACAGGACACAGCAATGGGGGCCTCACATTGCAAGTCCCTTGCAATGCCTCTGCCTTGCAGTTTGGTTTCACTCTATCCCCTTGGCTTTTGGGGAAATTAGGGGGACCTTGATATTCCCAGGGCTCCTGTGGGCTCGGCATGGGGCCCAGGGGTCCCGTTGACCAGGGGCTAGCAGTACCTGGGCCACTTTTCACTGACTTCTTTGCAACCTTAGAAGGCTCTGTCTCAAACACAACTCAGAGTTCCTCTCTGTCTGCTTCTGCCTGTTCCCAGGTGAAGAGTGTGAACCTGTCCGATGGGGAACTGCTCTCCATCCGCGGGGTGGACGGCCCTACCCTGACCGTCCTGGCCAACCAGACACTCCTGGTGGAGGGGCAGGTAATCCGAAGCCCCACCAACACCATCTCCGTCTACTTCCGGACCTTCCAGGACGACGGCCTTGGGACCTTCCAGCTTCACTACCAGGGTAGGGTCAGGCCAAGGCTGATGAAACATAGGCGTTTGCCTCAGTTTCCCTCTGGAGAAAAGGATTTTAAAACTTTTTGTGCCAGGGACCTCTCTGACAGTTTGGTAAAACCTACAAACCCCTTCTCAGAATAATGTTTTTAAAAGTATAAAATAAAATATATACAATTTTAAAGAAAACGGTATTACTGAGCTGCAGTTATCAAAATACTGTTATAATCTATGATGCCTTAATCTATGTGCTTTTTATTAATTCATTAAACAATGTCTTCTAGTAGTTCTTATAATTGCTGACATTTCAAAGTACTAAGGAGCATAAGAAATAGGTTGAGATATCCATTATGATATGAAAAATATCTGTGGTTTCTCTTGGTGTCAAAGTCACAGGTTCTACTACAATGTTTCAGTTTGTTGCCAGGAAAATAGCACAGCTAAGGTAGAGGTTAATGAAAATAAGCAAGCAGCTTTCCTTCATTCAAGTTCACAGGCCCTGAATTCAATATATAGATCCACTGTGCGTCCACAGACTCCTGATAAAGAGCCTTAACAGGGTACTTCTCTCTTTTCTTCTTCCTCTACTGGTTTTCCTTTTTGTCTGTTCCTGTCTTCTCTGTTTTGCTCTCTGTTCATTCCTCTCTTCTCTTACTTCCTTTCTCCTTCCTTCTCTTCTCCTCCCTCTTTGCTTGCTTGTTTTATTTCTTCATTTCCTCCTCTCTTTCTCTTCCTTTCCACCCTCTATTTTCCCTCCCTTCTCTCTCTCTCTCCTTTCCTAGTCCCCCTTTTCTTCCCCTCTCCTCCACCCCGATTTCCTCCTATGCAGCTCCCATGACCTCAGGTCTCCTTTGCCTCACCCAGGAACTTTCCCTTGGATACTTACCAACTGCTGAAACATCTGAATGGAAAGTGGATTCGTGAACCATGCAACCAGATATTGAGAGCCATCATGTGTTATATCAAATTGTCCAGACATTTGAAAACAACAACAACTCATTTTCAACTTTTCTCTCACCTGTTTCTGAAACAGGTGGATGACTGCAAAGGGGAGTGTCCACTTCATCACAACTTTTCATTGTGGGATACTGCCCTTTGCTGTTGTTGTGAATTTAAAAGCAACAACAAAAAAGAATGTGAATCATGAACTTGAATGTATTCCTCCTCATCAGTACTGAGAATAAAGATATTCTGTGCTGCAGGAGAGGTCAGACCATGGTCTAGGGTGAAGAAGCTAGGATGAATTTGACATCCTCTTATGAAAACTGAGGAATTCAGTATGTCCCCATGCACCCTTTTACTACCCCCATCTACTGACTGCGAAGGAGGCTCTTTCTCTGTATTATCTCATTTAATCCCCACCACCACCTGTAAGGTGGAGGCACTGAGTCCTTGTCTCAAGGTGACATCGTTTTGTAAACTCACATTAGTTTTCTTTCTAAAGCCCAAGCTCCTGTCTCGCAGGCCAGTAGTTCTCGAGCTTTCATATCCTTGGGCAATTCCCAAAGACCTGGTTCAAGCATCTGCATTTTTAACAAGCACTCAAGATGTGCACGCAGGTGGGACTAAACTTCCTGGGTGGTCTTGCCCCTCCCAGTCCCAGAGAGAAGGCCAATCTGTCTCTACATAGATAGAGATAGGCTCAAAGGAGGTATGGAAACTCATTTTTCATCCCAAACCTGCTGTCTCTGTTTAGGCAGGGTGGCGATTTTTAAGTCCCAAGAAAGTGCTAACCTGGCAGTTTCAGCCTGATATGATCAAAGAGAGTCACAAAAATACCATTCTCCAGAGCTCTGGAGTCCCCAGGGGCCTCATCTTCTCTCCCCAGCACAAACTGGCTCCCAGGATGTGGGTCAGGTTCTTGATCTGCCACTCCAAGTGATGACTGAGTCTGCCTCTGCATTTCTTCCCAGCCTTCATGCTGAGCTGCAACTTTCCCCGCCGGCCTGACTCTGGGGATGTCACGGTGATGGACCTGCACTCAGGTGGGGTGGCCCACTTTCACTGCCACCTGGGCTATGAGCTCCAGGGCGCTAAGATGCTGACATGCATCAATGCCTCCAAGCCGCACTGGAGCAGCCAGGAGCCCATCTGCTCAGGTATGCTCCAGCCTCAGCCGGACCAAACCTGATGGTCCAACTAAGAGGGGAAAGACCAACCTGTAGGACACCGAGAGTGACCTCAGGGAATGGCTTTCAGCCCAGGGGAAGAAACTGCTCCAAATATGGATGACTATTGTTATTTATGTTTTTATTGGAGTAAAATACACATAATATGAAATTTACCATTGGAGACATTTTAGTATGTTCACGCTATTGTGCAACCATCACCACTACCTAGCTCCAAAACATCTTTAACACCCCAAATGGAAACACTGTACAGAAAGCAGTCACTCCCCATCCCTCCCTCCTCCCCACACTCGCTGGCAACCATCCGGCTGCATTCTGTCTCTGTGGATTTATCTATTGTGGATATTTTATGTAAATGGAATCATATAATATGTGACTTTCATGTCTGACTTCTTTCACTTAGCGCTTGGCACTGTGTTTTCAAAGTTCGTGTATGTTGTAGCATGTATCAGTACTTCATTTCTTTTTACAGCTGAATAATATTCCATTGTATGGATGTCCCACATTTTGTTGACCTGTTTATTCGTTAGTAGACATTTGAGTTGTTTCTACTTTTCAGCTATTATGAACAATGCTGCTGTGAACATTTGTATGCCAGTTTTTTGTGTGGATATGGCTTTCATTTCTCTTAGATATATACTCAAGAGTGGAATTGCTGGGTCATAGGGTCATTGTATGTATAACTTTTTGAGGAACCATCAAACGATTTTCCACAGCAGCTGCACCATTTTACTTTCCCCTCAGCAATGTGACAGTACCAGTGTCTCCACATCCTTGCCCACATATGTTCTTTTCCATGTTGTTGTTTTTATTGTAGCCATCCTTATGGGTATGAAGGTATCTCATGGTTTTAGTTTCCATTTCCCTGATGATTAATGATGTCAAGCATCTTTTCATGTATGTGTTGGCCATTTGTAGATCTTCTTTGGGGAGATGTCTAGTCAGGTCCTTTGCCCATTTTTTTTTAATTATACTTTAAGTTTTAGGGTACATGTGCACAACGTGCAGGTTTGTTACATATGTATACATGTGCCATGTTGGTGTGCTGCACCCATTAACTCATCATTTAACATTAGGTATATCTCCTGATGCTATCCCTCCCCCCTCTCCCCACCCCACAACAGGCCCCGGTGTGTGATGTTCCCCTTCCTGTGTCCATGTGTTCTCATTGTTCAATTCCCACCTATGAGTGAGAACATGCGGTGTTTGGTTTTTTGTCCTTGCGACAGTTTGCTGAGAATGATGGTTTCCAGCTTCATCCATATCCCTACAAAGGACATGAACTCATCATTTTTTATGGCTGCATAGTATTCCATGGTGTATATGTGCCACATTTTCTTAAACCAGTCTATCATTGTTGGACATTTGGCTTGGTTCCAAGTCTTTGCTATTGTGAATAGTGCTGCAGTAAACATACGTGTGCATGTGTCTTTATAGCAGCATGATTTATAATCCTTTGGGTATATACCCAGTAATGGGATTGCTGGGTCAAATGGTATTTCTAGTTCTAGATCCCTGAGGAATCGCCACACTGACTTCCACAATGGTTGAACTAGTTTACAGTCCCACCAACAGTGTAAAAGTGTTCTTATTTCCATTTTTTAATCAGGTTGTTTGTCTTTTTGTTATTGAGTTGTAAGCAATCATTATATATTCTGATCACTAGACCCTTATCAGATAAGTGGTTTGCAAATATTTTCTCCCATTTCATGGGTTGTCTTTTCACTTACTGACAGTGTTATTTGATGCACAAAGCTTTTACATTTGGCAAAATTAAATATTTTTTTCTTTTCTTTCTTGTGCTCTGAGTGTAACTACTGCCATTTTTCAAGCCAAGCCAATATGTGTTGCACACCGTGCCAGAGGCTGCATTTAATCCTCACAGCAATGCCATAGGATGGGAGCCATTATCCCCATTTTGCAGATGAGGCTCATGTAGGTGAAGTCACTTACTCAAAGCCTCCATGTAGAAATTGTTGGAGGTAGCCTGCTGACACAGTCTGGTGCCCTCTAGTAAAAAGAAGTGGGCTTTCTGAGCCAGCAGACAGAATCTGAGACTTCGAGGACAGAAGGAATTTTAAGCACCTGTTGGGCGTTGTTTGTCATTCAGAGCCTTTCCTATCTAGGTACTCATTCGACAAACATCCGCCGAGCGCCCACTGTGTGGTAGGCATTGCACCTGTTGCTAGAGCTATTGCAGGGACCCTGACCCAGTTCCTGCTCTCACAGAGTTTCCAGTCAAGGTGAGGCTGTAGTATGTAAATGAGTAAACAAGGATGCAAACATGCTGGTAACAGATTGTGTTAAGGACCAGGAAAGAAATTCACATGGTGGAATGATGCAGAGTGAGGATGGAGAGGACATCAGTTATTGTGAGAGGCGTTGCAATGCAGAAAAGGTATACAGGAAGAAGCTGTGATAGAGGACCTCACCTGGGAGGAGGACAGTGATGAGCGAAGGGTCAGGGAAGGATTACCTGATAACACTCCAAGATTTGGAAGTTGAGTAGGAAATAGACTGAGGGTGGAAAATGGGGGGGAGAAGGGGGAAACATTCCAGGCAGATGCACTAGCACATGCTAAGGTTCAGAGGTCAGAAGGAACTCGATGAGTTTGAGAAAGCAAATAAATAAATAAGATCAATCTGACTAAACTGCAGAGAAAATATCAGGACAGGAGGCTGGGGCAGTGGTCAGAAACTGTATTGCTCAAGGTCATGAGAAGACAGGTGGACTAGGTAGGAGATATCTGGAAAAATTTAAGCATAAGGGTGATCATTCTGACTTCTATTTGGCAAAAATGATTGAGGATGGTCAGAGTGGATCCATGGAAATCAAGGTGGACAATATCTACTATTTCACTTGAACTCAGGGAGATAAGATTACCACTTTCATAGGCAAAGAGAATGAGGCTTAGAGAGATGAAGTAACATACTTGAAGTGGCGAACTTAGTCCAGATCCCTTCTCTCCTGAGCTCCTCCCCTTACAGCTTCCTTACTCAAAGTGTGGTCCTCGGACTAGCAAAATTATTAGAAATGCATAATCCTGAGCCCCATGCAAAACCAAATGAATCAAAATTTTCACTTTAACATGGCCCTTGGGTGACTCATATGCACATTACACCTGGAGAAGCACTGGTTTGTAACGCACTGTCCCTGCACCAGTGGGCACAGCCTTGGCCATCTTCAGCTATCAAGAGAGCAAAACCCTTTTAGAATTCTCAAAAGTCCTGATGGTGGTTGAGAGAGTATAGGTTGCCCTGCCACCTACTATGTGCCAGGCTATGAGCCATGTGTGAAGAGAATATTGGAACTAATGAGACATAATTCCTGCCCTCCAGTTATTCATAGCCAAGTGGAGCTCAAAAAGGAAATGAGAGCTAATGATAAATTCTGAGATTCAATTGTTACAGTATTGTTCCCCCAAGGCCCTTCAGAATTTTTCTTTCTTTTTTTTAAACAAAGATAAAATTCCAAACCATAGGGCAGTTGGTCTTCACGCCTCTCTCACATTAATTTTTATCTATGTGTGAAATCAGGGAGGAATTAAGCTTCCATTTGTGCTAAGAAAGATGGATGGGGAGCCACGGCTGGCAAATTGAAGCCAAACAGAGCCATCAGTTGGCTTAATCAGGCAAAGAAGGGAAGCAGAGAAGCCGCAAACGATCAGCAGCTTGGGAGGACAGATGGCCAGAGCCCCCCACCAGGGACAGTGTCCTCCATTTCTCAGCTCCTGAGCCACAGGGCAATAGAGCTGGCTATGTTTTGAGTGCCCACTCTGTGCCAGGGATGGCATGAAGCTCCCCATGCCCATCGTTTCATTGATTTCTCACTACTGTCCTATAAGGAGGGTGGACTTATCACCATTTTACAGTGGGTAAACATGTGACTTGTCTTAGATCCACAGCAGATGACTGGCAAGGTTTCAACCTAGGGCTGGCTTATTTCACAGAACAATCTCTCCTCTAGGACAGAAGGGCAGCCTGGAGAGAGAAATGAACCTAGCTTTCTGTCTGTGGTCCTGAAAGAAGTATGGAGCTTCTTGGCAATGTCTTTGCTGTAGGTCACAACACAGTCTGGAGCAGAGATAAGAGTTATCCACCGTTCTCTGCTACTGCAAGCCCCATTCAGTCATACTGTCATTCAACAAACATTTAATGGGTACCTGCTATGTATCAAGCTTTGAGCTGATATTAGAGATACAAAAAGGAAAAAATATTTATTCTTTCATTCAACAAACATTTTATAAAGCAACTACTATATGCCATATACCTTTCTGGATTAGCAGGTTATCATAAATAAGACAGACAGTGGAGTAGTGACTTCGATAAGAGATACTGGAGTGAGGCAGCCTGAGCTTGAGTCTCAACTGCTCCACTTATTATGTGTATGTCCTTGAGGAAGTGGCGTAATACCTTTGAACTTCTTTTTTCCTCTTTTGCAAAATTAATCGTGGTTATTCAGTAAATATTTACTGAGCACATTCTACATACCAGGAGCTCTTCTGGTTGCTGGTAGTGTGACTGAAAGCAAACAAACAAAAAGTAGTCCTAGCTTTTGTGGAACCTACAAACCCCTTAGCCATCTGTGAGATGGTTCCAAATAACCTGTCCCACTTTTGCTTCCTCTCCTATATCTCTGAAAATGAAGGGGGAACCAAGCGTCCTGTGCTTGGGAAGGAAATATTTTTCAAGCTCCTTTGATCCTCATAAAAGATAGAAATGGCTCCCAAGACTTGAAACCCTGGTCATGGTGTAGGGCTTTACTCAATCGTGGCCCTGGGCTATTCTTCACATCCCTTCCTCCTGGACTGACTGCCACGCTCTGTGAGAAGCATCTGCTACCCACCATCTCTCCTCAGAAAATTCAAAACTGGCTGAGTGCTGTGGCTGATGCCTCTAATCCTTACATTTTGGGAGGCCAAGGCAGGTGGATCACGAGGTCAGGAGTTCGAGACCAGCCTGGCCAAGATGGTGAAACCCCATCTCTACTAAAAATACAAAAATTAGCTGGGCGCGGTGGTGGGCACCTGTAATCCCAGCTACTCAGGAGGCTGAGGCAGGAGAATCACTTGAACCTGGGAGGCAGAGGTTGCAGTGAGCTGAGATCGTGCCATTGCACTCTAGCCTGGGTGACAGAGCAAGAGTTTGTCTCAAAAAAAAAAAAAGAAAGAAGAAAGAAAGAAAGAAAGAAAGAAAGAAAGAAAGAAAGAAAGAAAGAAAGAAAGAAAGAAAAAGAAAGGAAAGAAAATTCAAAACTGTTCTCTCATATAGTACGTGAGAAAACAATTTCCTAAGAACCAAATATCTCCTAAGAATTAGAGTAAAAATAAGAATACCTTCTCGCTTGAGAACTGGAAAGTGTTCTTTCCAGTGCACAAATCACTTTTTAATATTTTTCATTAGATTTTTATGATAAAAGTAATAGATGATTCTGGTAAGAAATTTTTCAAGAAATAGTGAAGTGTAAGAAATAGGAACAAATCACTTTTATATTCATGGTCTCAATTGATTCTTGAAAATAGCTTATTAAAATAGGTATGGCACACTATTTTCTAACTTGCTTTTTTTTTCACTTAAAAAATAGTGAGCATCTTCCTATATGCTGAAGTATTCTTTGAGAACATGGTATTTAGTTTCTGAATGGGTGGAGTGTATTTACAGTTATGCATCACTTAACAATGGGGATATGTTCTAGGAAATGCATCTTTAGATGATGTCATCATTGCGTGAACATCATAGAGTGTATGTACACGAGCCTTGATGGTATAGCCTACTACATACCCAGGCTATATGGTACAGCCTATTGCTTCTCCGCTACAAACCTGTACAGCATGTTACTGTGCTGAACACATTGTAACACAAAGGTATTTGTTTATCTAAACATAGAAAAGATACAATAAAAATATAATATTAAAATCTTATGGGACCACTGCCATATATACACTCTGTTGTAAATTGAAACACTGTTATGTGGCACATGATGTATTTCACTAAACATCTGTGAGTGGACATTCATCTTGGTGTTTTTTTTATTTTTCATTCCTAGAAACAAGATAGCCATGAATATCCTCATTCCTAACTCTTGGTGCAAATCTCTAAATCTTTTCTTATTATAATTATCCAGAACCGCATTTGGCGGATCAAAGTGTTTGAGCACGTTTTCTAGGCTTTTCACTAAATTGCCCTCCCGAAAGGTCATAACAGTTTGCATTCTAACCAGTCATGATGAAAGTGAGCATTTCCCATCACCCTTACCATCTCCAGATTTTATTGCTGCTTTTTATCTTGGCCGATTAGGTGGATGAAAGTAGAATACAGCTTAGATTTGCATTTCATTTGTTATTAGTGAGGCTGAATTTTTAGTGCTTACTGAGTACTAGAAATATATTTCTTCTTTTGTGAACTGCCTGTTTATATCCTTCTTGATTGCCATTTTGTAATTAAAAGTCAGGGCACAGCCAGCACCACAGAACTGTCGTTAAATTGCAGTCATTCCCTACCATGAAATACACATGTTGATGGTTCCAATTGTAGGGTGAAATCTCCTGTCAAACAGGATTCCCTCCCAGGAGAAGTCCCTTCCAAGCTTTCTCTCCCTGCCCGGTTTCCTCCCGCTCCAGGTCTCTGATGTTTCATCCTGGGCAAGGGGCAGGGGTGGGGATCAGGGGAGAATGAAACACTCACTTCCTTCTCTCTCTCTCTCTCTTTCTCTCTGTCTCTCTCCTCTCTCTCTCCCTCTCTGCTCTCTCCCATTGCCCACCCACCCCTTTCTGGATCAGCTCCTTGTGGAGGGGCAGTGCACAATGCCACCATCGGCCGCGTCCTCTCCCCAAGTTACCCTGAAAACACAAATGGGAGCCAATTCTGCATCTGGACGATTGAAGCTCCAGAGGGCCAGAAGCTGCACCTGCACTTTGAGAGGCTGTTGCTGCATGACAAGGACAGGTAAAGCTCTGAAGGTCCACACCCAACCCCGTTTCTTCCCAGAATATTAGAACATGGCTTGAGGACTTGGAGTCTTGAAATGGCTGAAGCTTTGACCCTCGGAATTCAAGAAAAGAAGAGCTGGGGTGGATGGCAAAGATCTTAGACACCATCAGCTTCAATCTCTTCCTTTTACAGATAAGGAAACCAGGGTATGCAGAAGGAAATGGACCTGCCCCAGCTCAATCAGCAGGCTAGGGGAAGAGGCAAAAAGGGAACTGCCCTATTCTTTCTCTTGCACACCCCTTTTTGCAGTTGAACAAAAAGAGAGTATGTATTGATCATCTGCTCAGTACCCAGCCATATATTAGGCTCCATGGAGAACATGAAAGAAGTAGAAAATATTAGTTTCTGACATGATAGGAAATTGAGATGGAAAAACTAGACGTATGCACATGAAAGAATGAAGGAGAAGTTACCAGGCAATATCTAAGCAAGAGTGTGTCTGTAGACTCTTAATAATATGCATAGAATCCAGAATATGCATAGAATCCAGAATTATAAAACTTTAATATTCTGCAGTATTATTCTAGAATATTTGGGGATCTTATTCTAGAAATTATGGAATCTTATTCTAGAATGTTCTGAAATATTCTGGTATCTTATTCTGGGATATTCTGGCGTCTTATTCTAGAATATTATGGGGTCTTGTTCTAGAATATTCTGGATTATTCTGAGATCTTATTCTAAGATAGTCTAGAAAACTAGGACTTTAGCTGCTTTGACTTGCTGTCTTGAGTTGGGTTTCCTTGGAATCAGACATGGTGATAAAGATGTGAGAGGAAGTAGTTCACTGGGGAGCTGATCCTAGTAAGCACTAGGAGGCACATGGGAAAGTGAGATTGTGAATACCAGCTGCGTTAATAAGCGGGTGACTGCTGGGAAAACCGGGATTCTGTCCACTGGAAACCTCTGGGCAATGTGTTGAGCATACCTCAGAGTGGTCCTGTTGGAAGGGTGAGGGAGCTAGGGTACTTATGCACCAGCTCCCATTCATCACTGGATGAGAGATGTGATGAGGAGCACTAACTATCCCCAACATCAGCTGCCACCCTTTGAGCTGGTTGAGTTGACTGATTCTCAGAGACTTGTGGTCAGAAGCCAGCAGAAAATGTGGGAGCAGTTGACTGCTGAGGGGTAGGAGAGGGTAGGGCACTGGCAGTGTTTACTGCACTTCCAGAATGCCCCCACCTTAGAATTTTGGAGTCCAAGAAACTTTGATCTAAGAATTCTAATGTTTTGGCTTCTTTGATGGATCAAACCTAGACTATGAGGTCTTTAGTTTGGAAAGACTTAAAAAAAAAAAAAAGACAACTGAATAATTTTCCCATACCTCTTGAGTCCACTTCCCTCTAGGCAGTTCAGCTTTATCCAGAACAACTCTATATCGATAAATTGCTGCTGTAAAGTGTAAGGTATCAAGCAGGGGCTCCCGAACGTGGCTTTTTAGCAGCACCAGAATAATAACCTGGGGAATTCTTTAAAAATCAGATTCCCTATCCTTTCTTCTGGAGACTCTGAAAATCTGGGCATGGGAACCCTTGGTGAAGGACCATTTCCAAATCTTAAACCTCAGATCTGCCTCTTCTGAGGGGTGCTTGAGATGAGCCAGGCTTAAGTTTATACTAGACAACAAGAATTAGCAGAGACAAAAGAATGCATCAAAATGAGTATTTTCTTATTTTCTGCAAGTTGTTTAAGTCCTGACAAATGGGCCCCCCACTGGCACTGGTCACTAGTAGTTTCTCTGGGGTCCTGCAAAGATCTGCATGAGCTGACACTTACCAGGAAAAAACCAGCTTTCAAGTGTATCAGTAGGAAGAGAAGTTTGTAGAGTTCATCAAGGTTAAAGGTCAACACACACACAAAAATGATGAAGACACTACTCTCTGGGCCAAGAAGAAAAGAGAAATCAATTATGTCTGTCCCATGTACTTTATTGAGGGGGAAATGGCTAAAATACCACAATATGTCAGTTGCAAGAACTCAGAGCTAGATAAGACTCTACATAAGAAATGGGACTTTGACCTAAAGTCAAAATGGAAGGAGATTGGATAATGGATCCAAAAATACAGAGGGAGGGGTATTCCAAGCATGGAGAATTGGAGGATGAGCACAAAGATGGAGGGGAAAGAATTAGCAAATTTGTTGGGGGGCTGCAGCAGAAGCTCTCATGAGAACAGGAGGAAAGAGATCTGGGAAGCTAGATTGGGGTTATATCCTGAAGGATTTTGAATGCCAGGCTACTTTTATAGGCAATAGAGAGCCTATAAAAGTCTTTTTAGTCGAGGAGGGACATGAATAAAGATTTTAAGATGATTTTCCTCAAAATGAACCCTTTCTAAACTCCAGTCTCATAATATGCCCCCAAAAAAGTGAGTTCTCTGGTCAAACATGTTTGGGAGACACTGCGCCCACCCTATCCTTGCCTTGAAAGGTCGTAATATGTACTAGCTAACAAAGGCACTGATAAGTCCTGCAGGGAAAAAAAAGTTTAATTTTTATTTAATTCAGCATTTTGCAAATCCATTTGACCATAGACTATTAAGAATTTGAGAGAAAATGTATTACTATTGCAGACATTCTAGAAAATATGGTTAGAAAATTGTTGGTTTTAAAAGATTAATAGACTACAGAGATTTTGAGATCTTGAAGCTTTCCTCCAGAGCAACCCTCTTTGCCAAAGGCTTCTGTTCTTTGAAAGAGGTGTCCCAACACACAGCCCCTAAGATATAACAGAGTCATCAGGAATCAGAAGACTATGTAGATGCCCCTTCCCACTCCTGGAATGCCCCCTGGACTCTACCACAGCCCCCATCCTTGCCTCAGCCATACTGGACACATGGCAAAATAAACAAACTGTGGCTGCAACATTTATACATCTTAGTGACATTAGAAATTCATCTGGGCAGCATAAAATAAACTATTTTTATGAGTCAGTAAAAACCTCAAAGGCTTAAAAATGTGTGTTTATGACTCCATAAAAGAAGCTTATCTAATTTGTATATGGTTTTCTTCACCATTTTTGCATAATTTCTTTAAAAAACCAAGGCTAGCAAGAAGTCAACTTCAAATAGCTTTAATAACAATAAAAATAAATACCCAACATTTTGTTTAACACATTTTATTTTTCAGGGCACTTTTTATTTTGCAATATTCTCAAAGCCCACCTGTAAGATGGGTCAGAACGACGTTATGGTTGGGTCTCTCCTTTCACAGTTGAGGACACTGAGGCTGAAAGGTGTTTTAAGACTTAATGTAAATCCAGATGGGGAATTGAGAAATGGGAATTATGACTCTTGACTTCCCACACAGTGCTCTTAGAAAATGGGGATCAGAGACAGAGCCTGGTGGGAGTCAAATGCTTAATAAACAAAACTTACCTACCGTGTCCTGTTAACTATTTTTTTTTTAAGACCGAGTCTTGCTCTGTCACCCAAGCTGGAGTGCAGTGGCTCGATCTCGGCTCACTGCAATCTCTGGCTTCCAGGTTCAAGCAATTCTCCTGCCTCAGCCTCCAGAGTAGCAGGGACTATAGGCACGCGCCACCATATCTGTCTGATTTTTGTATTTTTAGTAGAGACGGGGTTTCACCATGTTGGCCAGGCTACTATCTAACTCCTGACCTCAGGTGATCCACCCACCTTGGCCTCCCAAACTGCTGAGATTATAGACTTGAGCCACCATGCCCCACACTCTGATATAGGTGCAATTGTACCCATTTTACAGATGAGAAAACAGAGGCTCAGAGAAGTGAAGTGTTCTTGTGCAAAGTCACACAGCTGAGAAGTGACAGAGTCAGGACTCACACCCAGGTCTGCCTGACTTTACAAAAGCCACCATTTAGGCAATGAGATTAGTCCATTATTTCCAACTTCTCAGTTAATAATAATAGTCAACATCAATTCATTAGTTCGTCGTTTGGTTTATTACATCATATACATTACTCTCCCTACAACCTCAGAATAAATCCATAAGGAAGCCAGGACAGGCATTTAGTCCCATTGTACAGAAGAGGAAACAGGTTCGATAAGGTGATGCTTGTCTGAGCACATAAGAGGTAAAGTCAGGACTGGGCGTGGTGGCTCACGCCTGTAATCCCAGCACTTTGGGAGGCCAAGGCGGGTGGATCACCTGAGGTCAGGAGTTCGAGACCAGCCTGGCCAACATGGTGAAACCCCATCTCTACTAAAAGTACAAAAATGTGCTGGGCATGGTGGGACACACCTGTAATCTCAGCTACTCGGGAGGCTGAGGCAGGAGAATCACTTGAACCTGGGAGGCGGAGGTTGCAGTGAGCCAAGATCGCACCATTGAACTCCAGGCTGGGCAACAAGAGTGAAACTCTGTCAAAAAAAAAGAGGCAGAGTTAGGTTTGGGATCCGGTAATGAGGCTCCAGAGGCAGTCGTAGCACATCCCTTCCTCTGCCATGTCAGTGACCCAGGAAGATCTGTCAGTGTCCCTCCTCTCTGCTCCCACTGCCAGGATGACGGTTCACAGCGGGCAGACCAACAAGTCAGCTCTTCTCTACGACTCCCTTCAAACCGAGAGTGTCCCTTTTGAGGGCCTGCTGAGCGAAGGCAACACCATCCGCATCGAGTTCACGTCCGACCAGGCCCGGGCGGCCTCCACCTTCAACATCCGATTTGAAGGTGAGGGTCCCTGGGAGCTTCCCTTTCTCTTGTGGGGCTGGGGGTAGCCTGGGAGCAGGGAAAGCATGGGGAGATAGAAATCTGGGCTGCGAAGGATGTGGGAAATCCCATGGCCATGTGGATCCTTTGGTTTCCAAAGACAGGCTCTTGGTTTCATTAATAATAACAATGCCTATCATTAACTGTGCACTTACTACGTGCTCAGTGCCTTCTGTGCACTGTCTGATTGGATTTCAGCTTCTGCATCATGTTTGATCCTCATCACACTGAAACATTAGAACTGTTATTCTATCTGATTTTTGGTGAGGAAACTGAGGTTTAAGACACTTGGGTGACCGGCCCAAGACCACCAGTGAACAAGGGTGGAGTTAAGATTTCTGTCCATCCTGTGCTGGGGAGCCCTGAAGCTCTGCTCCACTCCACCTAGTAGACCTCTTAGAATTTAGCCACTTCTTCCTCCAAGAAGAATTTAGCAAGAGCCTCTCCTGCTGAGACCCTGACTCTTGAAGAAGGGGTTCGCTGGGCATTTCATGTACGCTGGGGGACTTTCTGTTCTGGCTTTGCCAAGAAAAGCTGGCTTTTATCATAGACAGCCCTACAGTTTCCAGTGGCAAAAAGTCAGGGCTCTGAAGTTACGGGCCATGGGAAGGATCCATATAGGATGTGGAAAGGCATTAAAACACAACAACTCCACAGGGTGGAGAAGACAGAGATTCTTACTCCTATTTTAGATTTTTTTAAATGAGGTCCCAAGGAGTCAACTGGGTGGCCCCAGGGTTCTCAACACGTCAGCTGGAACCAGGACACGTAATTTGGTACCTGTTTTCTTTGGGGCTTTTCTAAACAGCACAGGGGACCCATCTTCTGAAATATAGCACCGTGGGGTAGTCCCTGCATCATCTGAACTGCTGCCTCTCTTTCCCTTCCTCAGCGTTTGAGAAAGGCCACTGCTATGAGCCCTACATCCAGAATGGGAACTTCACTACATCCGACCCGACCTATAACATTGGGACTATAGTGGAGTTCACCTGCGACCCCGGCCACTCCCTGGAGCAGGGCCCGGCCATCATCGAATGCATCAATGTGCGGGACCCATACTGGAATGACACAGAGCCCCTGTGCAGAGGTGAGCGGATCCACAACGCTCTTCCCACGGCACCCCAGGGATCTCCACCCTTTGGATGAGAAGACCAAGGCCCCAGCTTAGAGGCCTGTCCCCAGTTTTCATACCAACTTTAGGATTAGAACCCTTTCCAGGGTTCACTGTCCTTTGGTTCAGGGTTGCTGCTGGTCTTGAGAAAATTACAAAATGGGTGAATTTTAGAAGGTGCACCTTCTTCCAGGCATAGGTCCCACAGTGCACAGCTTAGTGAGCTGAATACTGCATGGATTTCAGCTCCTAAATACTCCCTCTGCTACGCATGCTTGTGCAGTGCACAACCCACGCAATAACCTCATTAATAAGAACAATAATAGTTCTTAATTGGTGTGTAATAATTATGCTACCAGCACTTTGCTAAGAGTGTGTGTGCATTATCTGATTTCAACCTCACCATAGCCTTATAAAGTAGATTGTATCGGCCCCATTTGTAGGTGAGAAACTAATGCTGTGAAGTGACCTGCCTAAGAACACACAAGGGGAATTGGCAGGGACAGGAATGGAACTCATGTCTCTTTGTTCTCAGAGCACTGTGCTCTGAGCCCCACTGGACAGTGTTGTAGAACCCTCATCTACACAGGCTGCAGTGGACTGTCCTGCCAGTTTCCCCATATTCTTTTTGTTGTTGAGACAGAGACTCGCTCGGCTCACTGCAGCCTCCGCTTCCCGGGTTCAAGCGATTCTCCTGTCTCAGCCTCCTGAGTAGCTGGGACTACAGGCGTGTGCCACCACAGCCGGCTAATTTTGTATTTTTAGTAGAAACGGGGTTTCACCATATCAGCCAGGCTGGTCTCGAACTCCTGACCTCAAGTGATCCACCCACCTTGGCCTCCCAAAGTGCTGGCATTACAGGCATGAGCCATCGCACCTGGCCCGTTTCCCCATATTCAAGGCTGCTGAGCCACCCTGAGCCTGGGTCTCCTGCTGGCATGTGGAGTAATGAAAGGTGCCCTCACTCCTGGCAGCCACCGCCTCAATGGCAGTTGGTGTGAAATCACAGCCTTGCCATGGTGAGGGATTGATCCCTATATTAAATGTGCCGATTTAACAGAGCGGAATTTATTGGTGCTTTGGCCTCTGCCATGTTGAGACCTTTCCAAAGTGGTAAACACAGAGTAGAATTTAAAGGGCACCTGCCGCAGCCACATCTCTGCTTCCAGTTCAGGGCCGGGACCTGTCATAGCAACATTATCTAAATTATCGAGCAGCTACCATGTGCCAGACACTGTGCAGCATGTTTGACATTCATGAGCTTAAGCCTCAAAATAACCCAATGAGGTTGGCAGTGGTATTGCCCCCATTTTGTAGAGAAAGGGAGCTGAGGCTCTGGGAAATTACATACCTCCTCCTACAGCCTGTTAGCAGCAGAGGCAAGATTGGGACCCCGGGACCACCTAACTTGAGTGGGCGGTCTCTTAGCCACTACTCACCCCGCAAAAGAGCAGAGGCTGTTGAGGAGTCATTCTGACCACTGAGCTCTGTCCTTGGTCTTGAAAGAGCAATAGCACCTCTTAGCCCAACTTTTACCAACCCTCAGGTGCAAGGTAGGCAGCTGGCCAGCTCTCATTTAATCATTACACACACACACACACACACACACACACACACGCACACACACACACGTGCTGGCTGCCCGAGGTGAAGACACCTGTCCACAGTACACAGAGATTCACGGCTGTCTGACTTCATAGCCCACATGGTTAGCCGCTATGCCACATTGACTTCTTTACAAATAAAGTCCGTCTTCTTGCCTGTCTGTCTTTTACAGCCATGTGTGGTGGGGAGCTCTCTGCTGTGGCTGGGGTGGTATTGTCCCCAAACTGGCCCGAGCCCTACGTGGAAGGTGAAGATTGTATCTGGAAGATCCACGTGGGAGAAGAGAAACGGATCTTCTTAGATATCCAGTTGTGAGTGTTTAAAATGGGTGGCCCTCTAATTTGGCAAAATTTGGGAGATTGAGAAAGAAATTGCTCCTGCTTTATTCTTTCAACCAATATTAACTAAGCATCTACTATGTGCCGGGACTATGCAGAGAACAGGCATTCCCATAGTGAGACCAAGAACAGCATCACAAATACACACACACACACACACACACACAGAGAGAGAGAGAGAGGAGAGAGAGAGAGAGTCCCTATCTTTGGGAAATTCAGCCTAGGAAACAAATATGAAATGAGGACATACACAAATAATTGCATACTCTAACTTCAATATGTGATGTAAGGAGAGGTTAATGGTGCTATGAGATTCTTTAACTGGAATTTGATATAAAAAGGAAGGTCAGAGAAGTCTTCCCCGAGGATCTGATACTAAAGCTCAGAACTAAAAGATGAGTTGGAGTGATGCATCCCAAATGAACAGAATGTGCAAAGGCCCTGTGGCAAGCATCTCATTTTCAAAGGACCAAATGGCCAGTGTGGCCAGCAAGAAGGGGGCACTGTAACACCCATTTACTGGACTACAGTTGTTTATTTTCCTGTTTGTCTCCCTCAACTAGACCAGAAGGTCCTCTCCTCTGGGGCTGGGTCTGACTACCCTCTGTTTCCACAGTCTAACGCAGAGTCTGATACACAGTAGATGCTCAGGAAATGATTGCTGAATGAAAAAAAATGTTTTTAATGAACGGACTTACTTAGCTGTGCGGCTGGGTTTCCTGTATTCACAGGGGGTAACCATTAGATTCTCCATCCAGAATGTTCCCCGCTAGCTCCCCAAGAGGGTGACACTTGCAGGGAAGCAGCTACTCTGGGCCAGATGCAAAAGTGACTGCTCTAAGCATTTCTATCTTAGGTAATTCTCACAGAGAACCCCCCCTGGGAGGTCATTAACCCCACTGTCTGAGAAGGCAGCAGAGGTGCAGGGAGGCCACCCAGAAAGCCAGCGAGCAGCGGGGCTGAAATTCAGGCTTCTGTGGCTTCTCAGTCATGCTCTTTCCACTGCCCCATGTGAGATGGGGGTGAGAAGTGGACAAAGACAGACGGTGGTGCCTGGAGAAAGCAGAATACAGGGTTCCTGACAGACCCAGGTGGCAGACGGGAGGGTGGTTGGGGGCGGAGAGAGTGCTGAAACCCAGCAGCCTGGGGAAGCAGCACTCACAGTTCTCTGGCTCTACAGAGGAACCTTGCAAGAGAAAGAGAAATTATTTTCAAATTATTAGTGACCGGCTTTTGAGGCTGTTCCTTAGACACAGCAAGTGTCCTTAGTCTGGGTGCGGTGGCTCATGCCTACAACCCCAACACTTCGGGAGGTTGAGGCAGGAGGATTGCTTGAGACCAGGAGTTTGAGACCAGTCCCAACAACATAGAGGCATCCTGTCTCTTCAAAAAAATAAAAATTAGCTGGATGTGGTGGCACACGCCTGTGGTACCAGCTACTTGGGAGGCTGAGATGGGAGGATCTCTTGAGCCTGGGAAATTGAGGCTGCAGTGAGCCATGATCATGCCACTGCACTCCAGCCTGGGTGACAGAGTAAGACCTTGTCTCAAAAAAAAAAGAAGTGTCCCCAGAGGCTGTCCCAGAACCTCCTTCTCCAGTGGAGTCAGAGACTTACACAGCTTGAATAGCTGCCCCTTGTGGACTTGGGGCCAGGCCAATCTAAGAAAGAATTCCACCTCCTTCCCATGTGACTTTGGGCTGGGCTCACCTGTTCTCGCCTCTCTCTGGACCTCAATTTTTCTCTCCTGTAATGGGGGTCTTGGAACATCAGTGCTTTGTGGCTGCTGGAGGCAGATTTTACGCGTTCCTAGCCCATTGCCTCACTCCTCAATAAAGCTCATCCTCATCTGGGCACGGTAGCTCACACCTGTAATCTCAACACTTTGGGAGGCTGAGGTAGGAGAATCACTTGGGGCCAGGAGTTCGAGACCAGCCTAGGCAACATAGTGAGACCCCATCTTTACAAACAATTAAAAAAACTAGCCAGGCATGGTGGCACCTGTAGTCCCAGCTACTTGGGAGGCTCAGGTGGGACAATTACTTGAGCCCTGGAGTTCCAGGCTGCAGTGAGCCATGATTGCACCACTACTTCAGCCTGGGCAACAGAGTAAGACTCTGTCTCAAAAAAAAATAAAAATTCAAATTGAATTAAATAGACCTCATCCTCTTCCCCCCATTCCTTTCTCTCTGACTTCTAGAGTCTGGAATAAGATGCTTATTCATTCATTCCAACCGAACTGTTTGAGTGTCTACTATCAACCAAGCACAATTTTATGTGCTGGAAAGGTTCTAATGGTTGTTCCTTCAGTGGTAAAATTCATATTGGAAAGAATGGAATGGATTGTCTCTCTTAACTCTAGGGAAAAAATTATTGTGTACCTACCGTGTGCCAGCAGTAGGCTTAGCACTGAAGATACAGTTGTGAGAAAAACAGGGCAGTCCTCACCCTGCATGCCTAGCAGGTGAGGCAGGTAAGAAAGTAAATGCAGTGTGAAAGGAGCAGTGACAGGCAGGTGAGGGCACCTGAGTGAAATCAGGAGGGCTTCCAGGAGGAAGTAGCTTCTATAATAGCATGAAAGAGAAGGTAGGCAGGTGACGAGGGGAAAAGAAGAATGTCCTGGCCAGGCATGGTGGCTCAGGCTTGTAATCCCAGCACTTTGGGAGGCTGAGGTGGGTGGATCATTTGAGGTCAGGAGTTCAAGACCAGCCCAGCCAACATGGTGAAACACCGCCTCTACTAAAAATACAAAAATTAGCCAGGCGTGGTGGTGGGTGCCTGTAATCTCAGCTATTTGGGAGGCTGAGGCAAGAGAATCACCTGAACCCGGGAGGTGGAGATTGCAGTAAGCCAAGATCATGCCTCTACACTTAAGCCTGGGTGACAGAGTGAGACTCTGAAAAAAGAAAGAAAGAAAAGAAAGAGAGAGAGAGAAAGAAGAAGGAAAGAAAGAAAGAAAGAAAGAGAAAGAAAGAAGAAAGAAAGAAAGAAAGAAAAAGAAAGAAAGAAAAGAAAGAAAGGAAGAAAGAAGGAGGGAGGGAGGGAGGACAGGACAGGAAAGGAAGAAGAATGTCCTACCTACATGATGAGAACATCTGCAAAACATCTACAAAGCCTGGAAATGAAAGAGTGTGACCCACTTAATGACATAAAGTTTAATGTGGCTGGAGCAAAGCATGGCAGGTGGGTAGAGACTACAGAGGGAATGGATCAAAGGGAAGCTCTGGGGTCTTCTTAGCTGAAGCTTCACATAGAAAACTTTATTCTAAGGCTGCATCCTTTAGGAAGCCTTCTGTGTCGCCCCCTTGTCCTTGTCCATAAAAATAAATTTATGGTTCCAGCTTATGAATTCCTTCCCCCAGAAGTTACCAGGAAAACTACCTGTCTTCAGCCAAGAGAAGGTACGACCTACTCCTGAGTTCTTGGCTTCTCTGGCAGAAGATCCCACCCAGCCCCAGGCCCCATGAAGTCATCTATAATCCCCTCTCTTCTGCTTGGCTTGCCTCTTCTGGCCTCACAGGGAGCCTCCCAGATGGGTGGTTTTGCTTAAATAAGACGGGCCCACATCTCCCTTTGGTGCCAGAGGTCTAGAGGAGGAAACAAGAAAATGGGAATCTTTACTTTCATCATCTCTAGGCATCAAATATTCAATTAACCTTCAGCCTGACACCAGATTGGGTTTTATTTCTACCACTAAGCATGCATGCAATGGAGCAGCCGATCCGGGAACCTCATGCAATTAAAGCTTCCCCAAAGCCAAGCCACTGGCATTAGCATCAGGAAGGGAGCCCTTGCAGCGGGGGCAGGCTTTCTCTCTTCTGAACATTTTCACAATCGTAGATTGAGCATTGACCAGGAGAGAGGGCCCTCAGTTTCCTTCCTCCCTGCCCTGATACTCCATGCCCTCAGCAGCCCTGGACCCAGCACCTAGCATCTCTGGGCCTCAGATTCCTCCTCTGCAAGATGATGGGCTACCTTGAATCAAGGGTAGTTGCAAATCCAAAATCATGAAGGGCCAGGCAACACAAATACCGGAATTAGAGCTGTTGTGAGATTATATGGAGGGGAGGGGTCTGCGATGAATTAGGAAGTACATACCCTATCTAAAATCATTTAAATTCAATTTCCATTTTATTTTATTTTATTTTATTTTATTTTATTTTTTGTGATAGAGTCTCACTGTCACCCAGGCTGGAGTGCAGTGGTGCCATCTCAGCTCACTGCAACCTCCGATTCCTGGGTTCAAGCGATTCTCCTGCCTCAGCCTCATGAGTAGTTGGGATTGCAGGCGTGTGCCACCACACCCAGCTAATTTTTGTATTTTTAATAGAGATGGGGTTTCACCATGTTGGCCAGGCTAGTCTCAAACTCTTGACCTCAAGTGATCTGCCTGCCTCAGCCTCCCAAAGTGGTGGGATTACAGGTGTGAGCCACTGCCCCGGGCCATAATTTCAATTTTTAAAAATAGCATCCCCTCCTCCAAAAAAAAAAAAGTGCCTACTGGCTGAATCCAAACTGAGGACCACCAGTTTGCAACCCTTGCAAATGATTAAGGTGATTGAGGGTTTAAGCTCCCTTCTCATTGCAGCAATGAAGAAATTCATGTTTTTAAGCACTTACTATTTGTAAGGTCTTTACTAACATTAATTTTTACTTCATATAAGTTAAAAATAAATTGTATTATTTGTTCTTTGGATTAATCCCATGAAGTAGTTGCAACTATTACATTTAATTATATCCTCTTGCTTCCTCACCACTTCACTTGGATGTCTAAGAGGCATCTCAAATGAAATGTATTCAAAGACAAACTCCTGATTCTCCCTCCCTATATCTACTTATAGGGAGATATTTATTTATCTATTTATCTATTATACTTATTTTACCCCCATCTTTCTCATATGTGTAAGGTATGATCTATTCCATCAGTTGCTTGGGGGAAAGAATCAAACAACGACAAAACAGAAACCTTGGCGTTATTCTGGCCCAGTGGAGTGCTGGCTTTCTTAACAAGTTGGCGGCACAGTGGGCCACACCCTGATTTGTAGCATCTGTCAATTTCCACGGTGTAAATACTCCCACCATGACCCATTTTAATATACCAACATAATGACAACAGGCTCTCCAAATGCCTGGACCATTAGCTCTTACAAGCCCGTATGAGCCTGCCCCCAGCCCAGCACACTCACTGTGAACTGGACCTTTCTCTTTCTCCCACACCCTGTAGCCAAATCCTCAGGAAATTCCATTGCTTCTACTCAAAAGTCAAAGTCTTCCCAGAGTCCAAGCAGTTCTGACACCTCCACTGCCACCTGCAGGGTCCACGCCACCACTGCGTCTTCCCAGGGTTATTGCAACGGCCTTTGAGATATCCTTGTTCCCACTTCTGCCCCCTCTTTTTAACCAACACTCAGTGATCCTGTTACAACCGAAGTCATAGCACCCATGCTCTGCTCAAAGTTCTGCAATAGCTCCCTGTTTTATTTGGACTTAAAGCCAGTATTCTTACAAAAGGCCCTATGGGATCTAGCTCTGGTTACATCTCCAGCATCGCTTTATTCCTCTCTTCTCCTTTCTGTATGGTACATTTGACCATATTAGCCTTCTTGCCATTCCACACGCATACCTCAGGGCCTTTGCACTGCTGTCTCCCCTGCCATTGGGATGCTCTGCCCCAAATATCTGCAGAGCTTGCTCCCCATCTCTCCATCCTCTGACTTTGCTTCACTTCCATAGCCCTTGCCACCACCTAACACACTACGCATTGTGGTGTATCTTGAAGTATTTCAACTCCCACACCTCCACCTGGAATGTCACCTCCAGGAGAAGAGCAGGAGTTTATTTTTTGTCTTATTCACTGCCGTAACCCTAATATATAGACCAGTGCATGGCCCATAGTAGGTGCTTAATAAATAAAAGGCAAGGAAGTAAATGTAGCTTGTCAGGATCATACAGACATGAGGCTTCAAAGCGAGAATTTGAACCCAAATTTATGTTCAGCTGGCTATGATGCACGTGGAGGGAAAAAAGAGGGTCAGAAAAATATGGAAAGACCTTCTGGGGACATGGCCTCCATTTTTTAGTAAGTACAGGTTTATTACATGACAGGGAACCTGGTTGATAAGAAATAACATTTGGCTAAAAATTATCAGGTAAAGTATTAAATAATAGAAGTAGGAGGTCTCCCCAAGAGAATATTTTATAGGGTTATAGTTTCAAAGGATGTGTCATCATGGACCTTAGAATCAGAATATCTAGCGGGAGGGGGACTTCAAGGTCCCCCAATCCAGTGATGCTGAGATATGCTGGCAGAGTTCAGGGCCAAGTGCCGTGGGGCTTGGGGAGCCTGTATCATTCTCCCGGGTGTTCTGAGCACTGGACACTAAGCCAAGCAGAAAGTGATGACGGAACCACAGACAGGCTCAGAATGGGGCCAATAAGGGGGGGCATCGCCCTCCCCAAGGCAGCTGTCACGACTTGCGTTAGGACAAGCAGCCAGTGTCATCCCGGGGCCTTAGGATTTGCAGTGACATCAAAATCAATTCAGTCCCAGTTTTAATCATCATGGACATGTGAGGACTGTCATTTTTGTCACTGAGCAAGTTTAAATCGATTCCACATATATTTATTGAGCATCCACTATGTAGCAGGCATTGAGGCTGGGCCCTGGCAGTGAGCAAGACAGATGCAGCCCCGCCCCCGGGGAGCCATGTTGTAGGCTGATACAGCACCAGCAAGAGGAAATACAGCACTCTGGGGGCCCAGAGCGAGGGAAGGTGAGCCTGGCTGAGAATGTGAGGGAGAAGCTTTCCTGAGAACAGTAAAGTCTAAGTCAGTTTTTCTCAACCAGGGTCTATCTTGCCCCAGGGGACACTTGCCAATGTTTGGAGGCATTTCTAGTTGGGACAATGGGAGGGTGCGGGGGAGAGCACCCCCAGCATCTAGTGGGGACAGGCCAGGGATGCTGCTATGCATCCTACAATGCACAGGACAGTCCCCACCACAAAGAATGAGCTGACCCAAAATATCAACGGTGTTGAAGCAGAGAAACCCTGATCTATGCTAAGACCTGAAAGACAGAGAGAAGATGGGCAGAGATGGAGGGGAACAGTGTTCCAGCCAAAAGGAACAGCATGTGCTAAGGTCCAGAGGCAGGAAAGCACAGCTCCCTTCTTAATTGTCCATGATATTTAATATTTGCTGAGCACTTAGGACATCCCAAGCAGTTACATCCTAGACATCTTCACGACAAGCACATGCCTTGGGTTCTGTTATTATCTCCATTTTCCAGATGAGTAAACTGAGGCTCGGGGTGGTGGGAGAGTGCCTGTGATCGCACAGCTAGAAGCTGGCGGAGCTTGGACTTTAACCCCACTTGCCATGTCTCCAGGACCCTGTGTGTCTGGAGTTCAAGGGTGCGTCCATGAAGTAGGACAGCCTGGCGGTGAATGCGACTCAGCAGCGCCTTGAAGGCCACATTAGGGAGTCTGGGCTTCCCCAAATTGGGCAGCAGGAAAAGGGTTTAAGCACTTAAAGAGATTAAAGCTTTGCAGAAGGGAGCTGAGTCCTCTGGTCACCAGCCCGAGGCTCACGCCGACAAGCTTGGCACACACTTGGCAGAGTGGCATCTGGACTTGGCACCTCCTCCCTCCCACAGAGGGAGTGAAAATAGCATCTCAACAGCCAGGGTTACGTGAGGCCCAAGAGCTGCTGGGTTTAATTTATCTTGCTTGGTTTTCCACTGACAGTTTTAGTAAACCAATTTGGGTTTGATAGTAAAAATAATTCCATCCTCCGGGCCCCTCAGCCCTCCTAAGTGTTTGCAATTGTTATTTTTCACATCGACGATGGGGAGGGAGTGTGCACTGCAGACCGAGCTGGGTAGGTGGCCCATAGTAGGCGCATGACTTAGCTGTCTGCTGAGTCATGAATGAGGACGTAAGCCACATTTCCCAGGCGAGAGGGGATCTCTCTCCCTCTTCGTCTACTGGGCAGTCTGTTGATACCGTGGCCATGGCGGTTCTAATTAGTTACCATTTATTAAAAACCTACTATGTGCTAGGCAGGCCCTGAGCTGCATCGTTTAGGTCCGTGAGCAATAATAAATGTGAACATTATTATGCAGAGATAATAATTACATAAATGAGAGCTAATGTGGGTAGAGATAATTACAGAAGGGTAATTACCCAAATTAGAGATAATGTATGCCAAGCACATTGCATGGTATCTGGCACATAGTTGGTGCTTCATAAATGGAGACTACTATTATCAGGAATCCTCAGATAAGGCAGATATTATCATTACCACTTTATGGGTTGGGTATGACAGCACAGAGAGGTTACGTGGTTTCCTCAGGTCACACAGCTAGTAAAGACGGAGCACACACCGTAGCCTCCACTTCCACTGACTTGAACAGCTTTCGGGGCACCAGCTGTGTGTCTCGGCAATGTAGCAGCGACACGGGAAGGCTCCCAGGCCTGTAGGGACTCAAAGTTCAGGAAGGGACACATAGCCATAAACAGACAGCCTGGCAAAATGTAAGCAAAGTCCTGTGGCTTGGAGGGTGAGTTGAGGAGGTAGAGGGGAACTAGATTTATCTCCGTGAATTATGGAAATATCCCTGAGAAGGTGACATCCAGAAGGAATCTTGAAGAGTGCCAGTTGCCCGGAGTTAATGGGAGAAAAGTGTCGTGAGCAAAGGATTCAAGCAGTGATGACAGTGACCATTAGGCATGAAATGAATGCTCTGAATCACAGCATCAATTACAACCATCTGCCCCACATTGTTGGTGTTGGAGGAAAGAAGGAGGTTGCACCAACTTGGGATGAGTCAGGAGCCCTCAGGCTAAACCTTCTTCACACCCCAAATGCCTCCCTAACCCACCACGTATCCCTCCCAGCTCCATCAGAAATCTGCCTCTTCCTCTAAAAACACAACTGAACAGAAACTTTTAAACCCTAAGGGCCTTTTCATATTGCTCTCCTCTCACTCTCTCTCATTCATTCTCTCTCCACACCCCTTCCCCAACTCTCAAAATAAATTACGGAAAGGAGAATAAGGGAACTAACATTGGTGAAGGCATCGTAGAATAGAAGATCCGAGAGGGGCCCCAAGTGGGCAGGTAACTTAGCAAGTATCACACAGCAAGAGAGGACCAGAAAGACAACTTGCTTGTGGCCACAAGAGCTCAGCACGGGGGCCACAACCTTGAAGATGCCTTGCAGCCAAGGAGACATAAAAGCGCCTAGAGTCAAAAAGAGGTGCATGTAAGTGCATCCTGATGTTCACCAGCTCTGTGGCCTCAGGCAGATTATTGAAGGTGCTGGTGCCTGCACCCACAATGGGATATTTTGTTCACTTTATCCCCAGTGTCTGGCACAAAGAAAGTGCTTGATAAATATCTGTTGAATGAAAGAGACGGTAAGGCTGGGCACAGTGGCTCATGCGTGTAATCCCAGCACTTTTGGAAGCCAAGATGGGAGGATCGCTTGAGCCCAGGAGTTCAAGACCAGCCTGGGCAACAAAGCAAGACCCCGTCTCTACAAATAATTTAAAAATTAGCCAGGCATGGTGGCTTGCAGCTGTGGTCCCAGCTACTTGAGAGGCTGAGGTGGGAGAATCACCTGAGCTCAGGTGTTGAGACCAGCTTGGGCAACATAGTGAGACCCTGTTTCTAAAAAGAGAGAGACAGAGAAGGTGGGTGTGTAAATTAATTAAATAATGTAAAAATTAAAATAACAGATAACATAAGGTTTCTGACACAAGATAGGCAGATAACCATAGCTAACACTACTTTTACCCCTACTATATCCCAGACTTTATGCTAAATACTGGCACACATTATCTCATTGATGATGATGATGATGATGATGATAAAGACCAACAGCTGACATTCATTGAGTACTTACAATGTGCCAGTCTTTACATGCTTTTTTTACCTATAGTAACTCATTTCACTCTCCAATGCAATATCAGTACCCTATGCAATATCTACATCACGTCAGTGTGACTACTCCTTTGTACAGATGAAGAAACTGAGGCTGAGAGAGATGAAACTGCTTGCCCAAGGTCACACAATTAGGATGTGGCCAAGTCAGGACTTGAACCCAGGTCTCTAAGACCAAAGCCAGTTTTTAACCACACACACACACACACACACACACACACACACACACAAACACACACACACACACAAACGGTAGGGAAGTGCTCCACATGAGAGAAATTCCGAGCTCCATCTTACAGAAGAAGAAACTGAGGCTCAAAGTGTTTCCTGCTCCCCGTTTCCTGGACATCTACTGCGAACATACATCCATCTCTGCAGGGAAAAAGTCTCAATCAGGCTCCAGCGTGCCTTCCTTTGCTCCTCTGCAGAGTTCCCAACATTGCTCCCTGTTTATGAGCCCCAGCACAGTTCTCTAACCAGGAAATAAAAGGGCCTAATAACAAACCCAGGTAACCATATGATTGATAGCTGCAGAACAGTCCTCTTCAGCTGCTGCCAACCTGTTCTGTGCTAAGTTAATTCCAAGCCCTAAAAATTAAGTGCCTTGTCCAGAGGCACTTCAGTTCTTCAAACAGAGATATAGCTGCTTTGGACTGTAAGAATTCTACCTGAGAGCCAGGAAAGGAGGAGAGAGATTCAGGAGTTGAGGACAACGTTAGCCCTGGGAGAATAGATTTCCAGATATCAGCAAAAATCACAGGAGAAATGGCCACGACAAAAATAAAACTGGCTGAACTCAGATCTTCTGGCCCATTAGCAAGAGGAGACAGGATTTCCCTGGAGCCAAAAGTTCGAAGGAATTAGAGAAGGAGCAGAAAATTTCATAGAGCCCAAATTCCATTATGTTGCAAATGAGGAAACTGAGGCCCAGAGATGGGAAGAGATTGCCCCAAGACCACTCTATCAGTCAGCTATTGCTGTATAACAAACCACCCCAAATTCACTGGCATAAAACAGCAGGCATGTATTTCTGTTCACGAGTCTAGAGATCAGCGTTGTGCTTCTGGTCTTAGCTGGGCTCGCAGGTGGGTCTATGGGCAGCCACTGGCCTTCTTCATGTATTTGGGGATGGGTTGGCTGTCGTGGTCTAGGTGGGCATAGACTGGGATTGACATAGACACGCATCTCTGCTCCATGTGCCTCTCATCCTCCAATTGCTAGCTTGGGCTTGTTCCCATGGTGATTGGCCAGAGTTTCAAGAAAGGAAGAAGATGCATTCAAGGCCTCTTGAGCCCACACTAGGAAGTGGCACAGCCGCACGTCTGCCATATCCTATGGCAAGCTACAAAGCAAGGGCCAACCCAGAGGTATGGTGTGGATACAGAGAGGGGCCAAGCTTTGGGATCATTTTTGCCCTCAAGCTACCATGACCATAGAAGAGTGGAGATTAGAACTCAGGTCTCCTGGTCCCAGCCCAAAGCTCCAAATGATATTACTGTGTACAATGATCCTATGAGATCTGAGCATCATTATCCCCATTTTACAGACGAGGAAACCGAGGCTCAGAGAGCTGAAGGAACTTGTGTAAAATCTCACAGCTAGGAAGAATAAGAGACAAGATTTGCACCTAGGGCTTGGTGCCTGGCATATAGAAGACTCAGAAAATGTTTCTTTCCCTACATGATGCTTTCAGCATGTGGGAGACACTCTGGAAAGATCTTGAATTCCTTCAGGGACAGGAAAAAGCCTTCACCTACAGTAAGAAGTCTTGGGTTCTAGTCTCAATTCTTTCACTGAGTGGCTGTGTGACCTTGGATAAAGTCACCCCACTTCTCTGGACCTCGGTTTCTTTCATCTTTCAAATGAAAATAACAATGGTACCCATCTCTTCGAGTTCTGAGATGATGAAATCATACCATGTGCAGAAGCACTTGGCAAGGGCTTAGTACATTACACACACTCAACAATTTAATTGGCAGCTGTGATGACGATTAATCCCTTCCATGGCCCATGGTCCTGTGTACAAACTGAGCTCCTTTGCACGATCACACACACCACACACACACACACACACACACACACATTGATCCCTCTGAGCTTGCAGTTTGAGTGTTACAGTAGGAATGAAGAGAATCCATACACAGGTCCTACCCAGGTATCCCACCTGACTGATTAGCTTCCTCTCCCCCACGATTTGCAGGGGATTGTGGTGGTAACTTGGAAACACAAGCACCAGGGTTAGGTCCTCCACCAACACATGCCCATGTTCTGCTCCTTGGCCACGCCACGCTCTTCTCGCCTTGGTGACTGCAAGAGCCTACTTGGGAGGGGACCTGCTGTCTGTCTGAGCTGGACATTGCCTTGTCGGTGCACCCCTACAAGCTCAAGGCATTCGAATGCAATTAGACCTGACATCTTAGGGAGACACGACTGCTTGTTTTACGAGTCCCTGACATGCGCTGTCCTCCTGAACTTACTATTCGACAAGTGTTTATTGAGCGCATACCATGTGGCTAGAGTTGCATCCAATTATCAGAGGTCTGGAGATGACAATCATCACTCACATGGATTACTGTGGTGCCAAAATACTCACGTGCCCTTACCTTTGTGCCAAGCTCTGTTCTGAGCACGTTACCTCTTAGTTAATTCTCAAAGCAACCTAGGAGAGTCACACGATTTGTTCTCCATGTAATAGATGAGGACAGTGATCCTCCTCCGAGGGGTGAAATGGCTTGCCACTTAGACCCAGGAGTGCCAGCCTCACACCCCTCATCACCCCTCAACCCTGCTTCACAGAGTAGAATCGACTTCATCCTGAAGGCAGCCAGCCTCCCTTGAGAGCTGAGCAGGCAAGCAGTGTAGTCAGACCTGCTGTTTAGACAGCACCCCTGGGAGGAAGGCAGAGGTGGGCCGAGGTGGCAGGAAGCCAGGCAGGAGGCAGAGGGGCAGCAGCATTGGCTTGGCATGGTCCTGTGATGGCCGAGGCCTGGGGAAGCCCCTGCAAACCCCTCTGGGGCCTTCCGGGGAGAAGCTGGGACAAGCCCTCCAGGTTTCAAAGTTCGTTTTTCTTGGAGGAGTTCCCACGCCAGGCGGGGACGGCCCCTGTGTGGAGTTTCCTGGGGGTGTTCTGGCCGCTCGGATTGGCCACGCCAGGGCTTTCGCCAGGGGAGGCCTTCGAGAATATGTGCACGATGCGGACGCAGAATGGCAGGAAGCGGCGACCCCAGCCACTGCCAGCTTCTGCTGGGAGAAGCTCTGTCAACTCTTCCTCCAGCAATGCAGAGCCCCGGCCCACCGCCCTCTGCACACGTGCGTGTCTGTGTGTGTGTGGCAGTATATACCACACACCACACACACACCACACACGCTATACACACCACACACCCTCACACACACCACACACACACACCACCCCACACATACCACACACACATGACACTACACACACCACACACACCCCCACACACACACCACACACATGCCACACATGCCACACCACATGACACTACACACACCATACACACACCACATACACACCACACACACACACGCACAAACCACACATATGACACTACACACACCACACACCATACACACACACCCCTCACACACACCACATGACACTACACACACCACACACGCCACACACCCCACGACACTACACACACACACCACACACCATACACACACCCCACACACACACCACATGACACGACACATGCCACACATGCCACACACACCACATGACACTAAACACACACCACACGCACCACATGACACACCACGCCCACACCACATGACACTACACACACCACACACACCCACACACACCACACGCACATGCGCCACACACTACACAAACACACATACTGCCACATACACATCCGACCTCACCAGCTGATCAAGCTTCCCTCAAGGTGAGCTCTCGCACCCTGACTTAGATGTCCCGGAATGTAGAAGGCCCTGGGTTCCACTCCGTGTTTTATAAACCTGGGGAAGCTTACATCCAGAAAAAGGAAGCAATGTGGGCAGTGCCACAGAGGAAATTCATGGAAGGGCCACAGATGCCATCTGGGGTCACCCCTAAGTCTGGAAAACTCAGGCCTCAGCAGCCTATTTCTAAAGCCTTGTATTCCCCAGATCAACCCCTTCCTTGCTATTGAGTGGGGAAATGGGGAAAGTGTGTGGGTCCAACCTTCTCCACAGAGGGAAGCATGCAGTGGCTTGGTCATGGCCATTGTTAATGGACTTTTTTACAATTTGTGGATTCTGCGATTTGCATCTGGGGAAACTGAGACCCGGGTTGGGAAGCCTCTTGTCCAGTCACAGGTCAGAAAGGTGGCAGCATAAGTGCCCTTTACTGAGGTCTCGTCACACCAGGATTTGTTGCCACGCCGCCCTTGCCCCTCAGCAGGGTGCCTAGTTCCTTATAAATAGTTTTTGTAATAGAGGAAAAATGCTCTTGTAGTGGAATTCCTGGCATTAATTGTTATTTACAGCTGTCAACAATATTATCCCCATTTTACAGGTGGGAACACTGAGGCTCAGAGAGGCTAATCTGCTTCAAGGTCCTGCAGCTAGAATTTGAACCTGTTCTCTTAATGCTGCCTCTTGTGCTGGAGGTGAAACACCAGGGTAGTTAAGGACAGCCGTCTTTGTAGGCAAAGCAGCCGGGGAGCTGTTGGGTTTTCCTGGTCATGGTGCTAGGTGTAAAACGTTATCGGTGACCTTGCCAGAGCCTCGCCCACTGCCTTCGGAAATGGCTCAGTCCAGAGATGTGGAAATGAGAAACTGCTTGAGCTGCCCGTGGGGCAGGCCCAGGGGGACGGCAGGCCGAGAGCAGGAATCTCTTTCCTACTCTTTTTCTCTTTGGGAATAAGAGGGAAATTGAGAAAAGGGAGAAAGGAGGAGGAGATGGAGAAAAGGAAGAAAAGAAGAAAGGCCATGGAAACTGGGAGCCTCTCTGAAGTCAGGGCTGGGTCTCATTCAGGCTGCAAACTCCAGGTCTGTGGCTCTCAGTCCTGGCTGCCCAGGAGAACCCCCTGGGAATGGGAGTTTTAAGTGACACTAATTCCCAGTCTCCACCCCCAGGGTTTCTGATGGCCTGATTTGTCTGGAGTACAACCTGGGATCAGGAGTTTTTAAACCTCCGCGGGGATTCTGAGGTGCGGCCAGGATTGAGAACCACGGGGCAGTGGGTTCACAGCCTGGAGTGGACAAGCGTTTTGGTGAATATTTTTGGAGAGAAACAGAGAGGAAGAGAGGGTGGAAGGAAAGGAAGAGAGAAGGAACAAAGAAGAGACTAAGGAAACAGGCTGGGCACGGTGGCTCAAACCTGTAATCCCAGCACTCTGGGAGGCCAAGGCAGGTGGATCATCTGAGGTCAAGAGTTCAAGACCAACCTGGTCAACATGGTGAAACCCGGTCTCTACTAAAACTGCAAAAATTAGCTGGGCTTGGTGGTGGGTGCCTGTAGTTCCAGCTACTCTGGAGGCTAAGGCAGGAGAATAGCTTGAACCCAGGAGGCGGAGGTTGCAGTGAGCCAAGATCATGCCATTGCACTCCAGCCTGGATGACAGAGTGAAACACCATCTTTAAAAAAAAAGAAAAAGAAAACTCATCATTTTTGTGTGTTTTAAGGTGTCCTATTAGGGAGCCAAAGATACTGGTTTTCTGTGTCCTCCCTGGAGCTGACATGGTTTCTTGGCCTGTCTGCCATTTTATCAAATTAAATTGAAAGCAAATTTAATTGGGTTTCACTGGGCCAAAGGCCCCTCGACAATTCTGTGTTGCTGAGAGGTGCCTGGCAAGGTTGTGCTGCATCTGAAATGAGCACAGAGGCCTTAGGACCTGGGTCTTTGGGGCTCAGTTTACTCCTCTATGGGATTCATAATGTTTTTTCTCTGACCACCTGACTGTGTGGGTGAGGGGATCAGATGAGAAAATAGATACAAAACAACTTTAAACATGTCCCTTCTAAGGCCTTCAAAAAAAACTATAAATATTTTATCAAAGTTTTATTGCATACAACGGAATTTACAGGTTTTGATTCTTGTTTTTCCTTTCTTTAGATCCTATGATTTATTTCATCACTATCTCTACTGTTCCATAAAGATCTTGCCTGAAGGGCAAGATAGTGTTTTCTTAGGAAAGTCACTTAATTCCTCTGAGCCTCAGTTTCCTCATCTGGAAAATGGACATAAATTTGCCGTCATTCCTTCATTTAAGTGAACTTTATTTCACCTGTGCCAAGCCCTGGGTGGGCTCCAGGGATTGGGGTGAAGACATGTGCCTTCAGGGAGCCGACACAGGCAGATGAAGGTTGCTGGTCTGTTGCTCAGGCTTTGTCTTCCAACGACGTCTGTTTGGATTCCGGCTCTGCTATATAACCAGCTGCTTGAGCTTAAGCGTGTTTCCTCACCTCTGGGCACCTCAGTTGGCTTATCTGTGAAATGGGTGTGAAGAGTCGTACTTACAGGGTTAGTCCGAGGATAAGATGAAATGGTGCATGTAAAGTGCCTTGAAAAGCCACTTGAAAACCTTAGCTAGTTATTACATAGCTGTAAATGCAGGGTGGACAGAGGGATCCTGAGGAATTAGCAAGGTGTTTTCTAGCAGAGAAGAGAGGAGAGGGCTTTCCAGGTAGAGAGACTAGCATGAGCTAAGGCATGAAAGATGGAGGCTTTAAGGGTCTAGGAGCTGCAAGGGGCTTGGTGTACTGGATGTTTGAGACAGCAAGAGATGGGCTGAGACCCAGCTGTGGACTTCCTGGGAGGTCAGGCTGAGAAACTGGACTTTAGTCTGTGGGCTAATTTTTGCGGTTTCCACAGTCCAATTCTATTACCAGCTACTTCTTTTTGTGTTACCGTTTTTGTTTTCCCGAAACTGCGTGTAAATTGGCTTGCCTTTTTCACTTGGCTTACTCCAGCCAAAATAATGTCCATGAAATTAGAAGTTTAATGTGCAAACCATATATTTATATATTTTTCTAATTTGCATTTAAAGAAATGCATAAACATTAGACATTTCAAAGTATGTTTGCCTACCTAAAATTGTCCTGTGAATGAGGCTCGAAAAAGCCTTTTAAAGGCAAGATTTCTAAGCCAAGGGTCAAATGTTTGTTTAGAAAGGAATAAGGAAAAGAAAGGTGGCTTGCTCATCATGTCTTTCTATGCCCTCTCCGGAATATTGACTCTAGCTCAATAGTTACCAACCTCACCTACCACCTGCTCCCCACATCCAGGCTCCTGATTGGTTGGGGTAAAAAGGGCACCTGCTGGGGAAGTCAGCCCATTCCATGCTTAGGCATACACTGCCCTCTGCAGGTGAGCAGCAGGATTACATAACCAGAGATGGGTTCGCTGGTCTGTGTCAGATTCTAATTTGCATTCTATCCTCACCTCTTCCACTCTCTAGACCCCAGTGAAAGCAATGAGGGTCCCTTAGGCTGTTTTTATCCTTTTTGAAGAGGTACTACATTCATACGATTCAAAATTCAAAAGTACAAAAAGGTCTACTGTGAAAATTGAGTTTCCCATCCTTCCCCAGCAAACAGCCCCCTCTCTGGCTCTCCTCCCTAGAGGCAATTACTTTCTTATGTATCTTACATATCCTTCCCCAGATCTTTCTAAATATTTCAAAAACCATAACAGAAAGCTTTTATCTATCAAAATTAAGCCACCCAGACTAAGTAACTAGATTAACACTGATTTTATTGCAAACTCTGTTATACCTGATCGATAATAACCATGAACAAAACACAAAGAACATTCGTTACCAAGAAATGTAAAATGTTAGGGAGACAAAATCTTTTTAAAACAAGAAGTCTGGGCCAGGCGTGGTGGCTCAAGCCTGTATCCCAGAACTTTGGGAGGCCAAGGCAGGTGGATCACCTGAGGTCAGGAGTTTGAGAACAGCCCAGCCAACATGGTGAAATGCTGTCTCCACTAAAAACACAAAAATTAGCCAGGCATGGTGGCACGTGCCTGTAATCCCAGTTACTTGGGAGGCTGAGGCAGGAGAATGGCTTAAACCCGGGGAGGGTGGAGGTTGCAACGAGCTGAGATCGTGCCACTGCACTCCAGCCCGGGCAACAGAGCAAGACTGTGTCTCAAAAAAGAATTTAATTTAATTTTTAAAAAACGATGTCTGTAATACAAAAATCACAGCTATATAGGAGGAATAGCTTCTAGTGTTCTATAACACTGTAGGGTGACGATAGTTAACAATAATTTGTTGTTCATTTTCAAACAGCTGGAAGAGAGGATTTTCAATGTTTTTTTTTTTTTTTTTTTTGAGACAGGGTCTCGCTCTGTTGCCCAGGCTGGAGTGCAGTGGCGCGATCTCGGCTCACTGCAACCTCCTTCTCTCAGGTTCAAGCAATTCTCCTACCTCAGCCTCCCGAGTAGCTGGGACTACAAGTGCATGCCACCATGCCCAGCTTATTTTTGTACTTTTTGTAGAGATGGGATTTCACCATATTGGCCAAGCTGGTCTTGAACTCCTGACCTCAGGTTATTCACTCACCTCGGCCTCCCAAAGTGCTGGGATTAAAGGTGTGAGCCACTGCACCCAGTCCAGATTTTTTTTTTTTAGACAGCATCTCACTGTGTCACCCATGCTGGAGTACAGTGGTGCAATCAAAGCTTACTGCAGCCTCAACCTCCAGTGCTCAAGTGATCTTCCCACCTCAGCCTCCTGAGTAGCTGGGACCACAGGCATGTGCCACCGTGCCCGGCTAATGTTTTTATTTTTTATAGAGATGGGGGTTTCACTATATTGCCCAGGCAGGTCTTGAACTCCTGAACTCAAGTGATCCTCCAGCCTTGGCCTCCCAAAATGCTGGGATTACAAGCATGAACCATCATGCCCAGCTGTTCTGAATATTTAATTTGTGTTTTTTTATTCATGTTTTCTGACACAAGACTCAATCGGAACACACTTCTTGAAAACGTGTGTATGTGGCTTTCATGGGCTGTTGTATAAAATGGTGGTTCAGATCTCAAGCTTTGGCATCAAAAGACGTAGGTTTGAATCTTGACCTTCCTGGTTGAGCCTCAGTTTCCTTATCTGTATAATGGAGCAAGTCTTACTTTGTGAGGTTGTTTGAATGCTTGATACTTGGCGGACAGCACTGTTGTTATTCAAAAGCTAAATGTGGGTCCTGTGAAATGCTTTCCCATTCAAAAGCTATCCAATGGGACCAGTGTTTCCACTGCCCTGAGAAAGGGAGGATTTAAAGAAGCAGCCAGAAGTGGTAACACTAAATGGCATGTCCACAAATGGCTGCTCAGGCCCTTGAAGGGGCTGCAGAATGTGCCCAGAGCAGGGTCAAGGTGGGGAAGGAGAGGAGGCTAGACAAGCTGGACAAGCCAGCGGGTTGGCTTTGGAGTGGCCTCTCAGGCATGCAGGGTGTCAGGTGGCATTGGACTTGACTCTAGTGACCTACATATCCAAGAAGGATCAAGGCATGGCCAACAAGAAGCCCTAGAGGCAGGCGGGGCAGAAATCCCTTGAGGCAGCCTCCCTCTGATACCAAAGTTTTCAACTTAACCCTGGGGAGCATGCTGAAAGCAGCCAGGGCACTGGCTGAGAGGAGTCCCCTTCCCAAGGTTGGAGCAGGGAAGAGTCCAGTCGGGGTTAGGGTCCTAGGTAGGAATTGGGGTCAAAGCCACAGTCTACTCTGTGCAAGATCTGAGCCCGAAACCTGGCCCTATGCCCTGAGCTGGCACTGATTCACCCGAGACACACACTCAGCATGGTGCTGAGCACTAGGGATACAGCCAGCAGTGAGTGAGACATGGGAGGGCCTCAGGGAGCTCCTGATCTGCAGCAGATGAGCATCCCCAGACCAATGGGGCCCCAAGTAATGACTGAGCTCCATAAGGAGGGTGAGCACAAGGGCTGCAGGCCAGACCAGGAGGGGATGCTGGGGGCTCTGTGCAATAGTGAATCATGGAAGGCTGAAACTAAGGGGTGGGTAGGAGTTTCCCAGGTGGAGAATTCAGAGCACAGGGAAGGGAATGTGAAAAGTCCCAGAGGTCACCAAGAGCATCGTGCTTTGGAAAGACTGATGAGCAATGCAGTCTGGTTGGAGGTAAAACAATGGCTTGGAAGAGAGAGAGTCAGAAATGAGGCGGCAGGGACGGGGCAGGCGGCAATGCAAAAGATAGACCTATAGAGCCTTGAGACTAGGGTTAAAAGTTGGCACTCTATCCTAAGATGTTTCTTTTTTTTAATTGAGGTGAAATTCATACAACATACAATTAGTCATTTTAACATATACAATATATATATCTACATATGTGATACATTTACAATATTGTGCAACCAACACTTGTATCTAGTGCCAAAACATTTCCATCACCCCAAAAACAAATTCCATACCGATTAAGCAATTGTTCCGCATTCTTCTCCTCACCCCCTAACCCTTGATAACCACCCATCTGCCTTCTTTCTCTGTGGATTTCCCTATTCTGGATATTCCTTATAAATGGAGTGATTCAACAGGTGGCTTTTCGTGGCTGGCTTCTTTCACTGCATGTCATGTTTCCGAGGTTCACCTGTGCTGCGGCGTGGGCCAGTGCTGCATTCCTTTTTATGGCTGAATAATAACTCCGCTGCACAAATAGACCGTATTTTGCTTATTCATTGATCTGTTGAGGGAGCAGATCTGATTTACCTTCTGGAAAGATTCATCTGGCTGCTAAGGGGAGGAGTATCAGGGCCAGGTGAGGATGAAGTCAGGAAACCACCGAGGTGCTGTCCAACTGCCCAAGAGAAAGGTGATGATGGTCTGAGGATAGCCTGCGACAGTGACCAAGAAGAAAGAGGTGGATGTAGAGGGGGAGATGGGAGCTGAGATCTTCTGCCAGGAGCTCACACTTTGTGCCTGTGGAAAGCCTTTCACTCTGGCACCTGAGAAGGGCCAGAGTGGGCAGGGTCTGGTCTTGGGAAGCTTTGTGGTCCTACAGGATCCTCCCAGAAGGGATCCTGCCACTCCCAGTCACAGTCAGACCAAGCCTGCCTGCCTGCCAGCATCTCTCCATCTCCCCTTCATCCTGGAGTCAAACTGCCATCCCGTTTTCCTAGCGCCTCCTTGGATCGTATCTAGCTGACATCTCAATTCAGACCTCAGCGGAAAACCACACTCTGCCCTGTGGCTCTCCCTGCAGTGAACTCAACACATTTTCATCTCGGTTGCTTACAAAGGTCCGATTCCAGGGATGCTAGATGCACTTGGTAAATACATGGATGAGCAAGTGAAAATGTAAGCTCCTCTTTGCATTGAGGGGAAAAAACTAAATTGCCAAACTCTGTGTACATAATTGGAACCAGTCTGTCAAAAAAGATTCAGAAGAATGAGGCAGAGAGTAACTTGATTATTTCTCCCAGTGACCCTTCAGGCACATCCTATATTATTTTTTTCCTCTGGGTGAAAGCTGCGTTTTCATAGGTCTTCTGGTCACAATAAGTGCAGTCCAGTCTGAAAATCTTATAACCCTAAGTATCATTCATTTTGAAACTTCATCCCTCCCTCAACTGTGCTCCTCTGGCTGGGAATTTTGCAAAGGGCATGGGAGGTAAGGGAATAGGAGACTCTAACTTGGCTACACTGTTATGTTATAGAATATATAGAATGCTGATTTTTTTTCTGTCTTTAATAGGATATTAAATGTGTGAAAGTCTCCTGAGCACAGCTGCTCTTAACTTTCCCTTTTGCTGGGGTTCTATCACCCTTTCAGTAGGAAGCCACTTTTAAGGAGACCTATAGTTGGCTTCTGCCTGCAAGGTTCACAACTAGACCCAGGAAACATAGATCATATCCCTACTGTCATCAGTGATGGGATGCTCACTGTCAATATCTGCTTTTATTCTCCTTGCTCTGACCAGAGGCAGGCAGGCATCCCCAGTCTGATTTTATCATTTCTTTTGGTGAGCATCAAATCCAGCTACTGTTATCCAAGCCACAAAAGAAAGACACCTGCCAAGTCACCAAGAGTTCCCTTGAAGCCCTCCTCACTAGGCTTAATGTGAGGGTGATACACATTCGACCCTCCCTCCTATGATGCCCCACAGTGACCACTCCCCTCAAGGCAGTCCTTCCTGCCAGCCTCCTCAATGGCCAGTGCCTTCTTTTCCTTCTCTTATATAAGCTAGAGGTGGGAAGAAGGGCTCAGACTGGAATAGCTGCATCGATGTTAGTAGATGATGCCATTGGTACTCTGTCTAAGCCGTGCAATACTTGCCACCATGTGCCCATAATGACTTCCTACTGCAAGGCCCTTCCCACTTCTCCAGCATTTCTCTGATGCCATGTGGTCACATGGGCAAGCCAGAAGTTCTAGGGACTCAACACATCCAGGAGCATCCCTCAGTCAATAAAGGATGGAAACTGGAGGATAAATACCCCAGCTCCTTCTCCCTATGGATGTGTTCTGCACCATCTCTAAAATTCCTGCAGGACTGAACCCAAAATGCACAGTGAAACCTGCTCATCAATCCCCTCTTCGTTGAGTCCTTCCCTTCTTCTTGTCTCATTTCCCCACCAGTGCTGCCTAGGATGGCCTCCCAGACAAGCCAGACTTCAAAAGGCATTTGTATGTTTGCTTGATCTCTGCATCTGGAGAATCCAAATGCAATCAACAGCCAAGTATCTCTCTTTGGAAAGTGGAAATCCACTGCACCTATTGTCTTGTTCTTAGCTTAGGGAGACACTGCTAAAATTTCAGAACAACAGAAGAAATTGCATTTAATGGTCTGTTGCACACCGTTTACAATGTGCATTTATATAAGTCATGGTTTCTCGAGTTTAGCCCTGTTGACATTTTGGACTAGATACTTTTTTGGGTTGAGGGGCTGTCTTGTGCACTGTAGTATGTTTAACAGCATCCCTGGCCTCCACTCACCCATGGTACCCACCTAGTTAGGAAAAATATGTTTCCAGACATTGCCAAATGTCACCTGTGAGGAAAACTGCCCCTAGTTGAAAACCACTGACATAAATCATCTGATGTCATTTGGCATAAACAGAAATCCAAAGAAGGATGATGGTGGTGATGATGATGATGACGATAGTGATGATGGTGATGGTAACGATGATGATGCCAAAAATGAAAGTGGAATATAACAACATAACATTCAAATGACATCACCGAGCTTGCCCAGGTGCTAATGCTGAAGCTGGAATTTGAATCCAGACCTTCTGCCTGCCTCACCTCATCCCCAGAGCTCATGACATAGACGAGGAATATTAAGGCTGATTCACAGACAAGAAATTTCAGAAAAATCACATGCCTTCCATGAAAGTGACAAAGCTGAGAATCAAACCAAAGCTTTCTGATTTCCAAGCCAGTGTGCTCTTCCCTGCACATTGCTCCATCCTATTTTATGGAGAACAAAGAGTTGCCGTATGGTTTTAAAATGAAAGCTATTTTCACCCTTGAAGATGCTGCTACTGCGTTTTGGCCATTTAAGTGAAAGAATAAAGCCAAGATGTGCATTGTCTGTAAACTACTGTTACCAGCGGATCAGCTGTGAAGTCGGCTTAAGGAATATATCTGCCATCTACCATGTTTCACACTAGTCTAATCCGGCACTTTCATGAACAATTGATGTTTTCATGGTACGTAGAGCTAAAGAGGCCCTCCCCTACTACAGGTCCAAAGCTGACATCAGTCCCACTATTTTTGCTGTCAAGTAGACTCTCTGGGAGGCTCTTTCATACCTTAGCATTTATTGAGCACCTACTGTGTGCAAGAACAAGTGGCAACTCCAGAATTTCAATACAGCAGGGGTTTAGGGGCTTCAATCTGGTTAAAAACTGTCAGGGGGGTAGGAGGAGTCTGGGGATTTTGTCTTGAAGACATGTGTGCAAAGCAAGCAGGTAGCTTTTATTTGAAGATGTTTTGGGAGTAGCATAGGGGAAACTGGTGAAAATTATGGCGGCAATCAAAATCTTCCTAAGCCACCCCTTGGAGCAACTTTACATGAGGAACTACGAGAGGTATGGTGGAAGGTATTGGGGTGAATAAAATACAATCCCTGCCCTCCCAGAAGCAAACTTTCAATACCTTTCTTTGTGTTTCTGTTGTTTTGTTCTGACCACCTGAAACACCAACATGGGTAGTTGCCACCTCACCTCCCAACTCCCGGACTAGCAGCAAACACCACTGTTGGCCATTGGATGAAGCTATCAGCAGGGAGGGCCACTGTCAGTCTGCATCAGTTTCAGGAACTCTGCTCAGGGCCATTTCCCAGAACACCTCTCCTCTGGCATTGAATTGCTCAGTCATACAGTTCCCGTATAAAACCCTTCAGTGTCTCCCCGTCTCCTGCAAGATGATGTCCAAAAGTTGAAGCTTGGCTCTTTAAGCCCTTCATGATCTAATCCCTGCAGAACTCTGCAGGCTTCTATGCCTATCCCCATACCCCAGGCACACTGACCACTGGAAAAATTCTTTCAGGAACCATGGTCTTACTCCTTTCTTCCCTCTGCCTTCTCCCCATCATTCATTGTTTTCTTTTGTTTTGTTTTGTTTTGTGAGATGAGTTCTTGCTCTATTGCCCAGGCTGGAGTACAGTGGCACAATCATAGCTCACTGTAGCCTCAAACTTCTGGGCTCAAGCAATCCTCCTGCCTCAGCCTCCTGAGAAGCTAGGACTACAGAGGTGCACCACCACACCAAAAAAAAAAAATTTTTTTTGAGACAGGGTCTCGCTTCTTTGCCCAGGCTGGAGTGCAGTGGCACAATCTCAGCTCACTTCAACCTCCACCTCCCAGGTTCAAGCAATTCTCCTGCCTCAGCCTCCCGAGTAGCTGGAACTACAGGCATCTGCCACCACGCCCAGCTAATTTCTTTTTTTAGTAGAGACGGGGTTTCACCATGTTGGCCAGAATGGTTTCGATTTCTTGACCTCGTGATCCTCCTGCCTCGGCCTCCCAAAGTGCTGGGATTATAGGCGTGAGCCACCACGCCCGGACTTTTTTTTTTTCTTTTTTTTTTTTTTTTTGTAGAGACAGGGTCTCTCTTTGTTGCCCAGAATGGTCTTGAACTCCTGGCCTCAAGCAATCCTCCCACCTCAGCCTCCAAAAGTGCTGGGATTACAGGTGTAAGCCACTGCACCTGGACTCCCTACTCTGTGTTTATCTGCCTCGAGGTCTCCTACTCTTTCTTGAGGTTTCAGAGCAAGAAGCATCACCTACTGCAGGAATGCTTCCATGATGCCCCTAATCTGAGTTTGTCCTTACTTTCTCTGTCCTTACTTTGGTTATAACTCCTGCCACAATCCCTGGCTTACAAATCTAAATAGATCACTACTCTGTGACCCTTCTGAGCTCAGCACAGTGCCTGGCTCATAGTAGATGCTCAAAAAAACAAACAAAAAAGAACATTAAGGAGAAGGAGACAAGAAAAGGAGAAAGACATGAGAGAGAAAGAAGACAGAGAGAGGGAAAGAAGAAAGGAAAGAAAGAAATGTGAGTTTGTATCTGTCCATGATTGATGAAGCCAAAGGTGAATTATCTGGCATTCTTTCAATTAGAGATCAATTTTATCTAGCATGTCTGAGATGGCACATGTTTCTGTGGTATAGTGAAGTGATTTCTGGATTATTAACTATCCACTGTGGTTTAATTATTTAGTGTCAAGGTACTTTCTTGCATTGGAGTCTTTGAAAATGTGTCATCCTTTAACAGTATGAATGGTGACAGGTTTGAGCATATCTCATAAGTAAGGTGCCTCCATCCCACCTCTGCCCTACCCCTTAAACATAATGGATCATTCAGTTGACTCTGAGGAATTTGCCCCGTGATAAATGGAAAGATCATTTCACCTTATATAAAAATGCAAGTTGTAATTAGCAAGCTGTCAGCATGTTCTGCACTGAAGAAGAATGAAAGATGCAGGTCATAGCCCCAGCCTGTAGCCTGGTGCCTAACACAGAGATGTCACCTAAGAAATGGTTGCCAATAATGGGAGTTTTGAAGGTGATTCTTCTTACAATGCAGCATTTGACTTTGCAATGAGTCCCATGCAGCCAAGACCATTGCATCAATGTGTCTTCAAAAACCCAACTGACGGCCGGGCACAGTGACTCACGCCTGTAATCCTAGCACATTGGGAGGCCGAGGTGGGCAGATTGCCTGAGCTCAGGATTTGGAGACCAGCCTGGGCAACACGGTGAAACCCCATCTCTACTAAATACAAAAAAAATTAGCCAGACATAGCAGCATGCACCTGTAGTCCCAGCTACTCGGGAGGCTGAGACAGGAGAATTGCTTGAACCTGGAAGGCAGAGATTGCAGCGAGCTGAGAGTGCCACTGCACTCTAGCCTGGGTGACAGAGTGAGACTCTGTCTCAAAAAAAAAATGACTTACAAATCTTTGTGTCACATTTGCAGTCTATGTCAATCTTACCCTCAGCTTGGGGTTAAGACACATAGCCTGGAGCCTGACACATACACACTTAACAAATTTTGTATTGCCTGAAAAAGTTAATCAAGGGTTTATTGAATGCCCATTCTCTATTTCACATGACTCTCCCTCTTCTCTGCCCTCCAAGCCTGAATCTGAGCAACAGTGACATCTTGACCATCTACGATGGCGACGAGGTCATGCCCCACATCTTGGGGCAGTACCTTGGGAACAGTGGCCCCCAGAAACTGTACTCCTCCACGCCAGACTTAACCATCCAGTTCCATTCGGACCCTGCTGGCCTCATCTTTGGAAAGGGCCAGGGATTTATCATGAACTACATAGGTAGGTGTCTCATCTGGTCAATTTATTTTTTCTTTGTGTTTAGATACAGGTTAAGGTGGTTTCCTCTAGGTTATTTGGCAGTTTTGTACTACAGCGATTTTTCATTGTATTGTATTGAAATGTACTCATTTCATTTTTAAAAGCCTGGGCTCTCTAGTCATGAGGACCAGGGTTTGAGCCCTAGCACGGTCATCGATGTCTGTGTGGCTTTGGGAAAGTTACTGAACCTCTCTGAGCCTTCTTTTTGTCATCTGTAAGATGGGCATAGTGATACCTATTCCACAAGGTTGATATCAGGATGTAGTAGACAATGCCTCATAACTTATGTTTCATGTGTGGTCAGCTGAGAACCTGTTGTCCCCATGTTTCATTTGTGGTCAGCTGAGATCTTACATCAACATACTTCCTAATTTCTTCCCAATTTGTGCAACTTCTCAAACATCGTCTTCACCTTCTTGCCCGAACTGAAGCTCAGCTCTCCTCTAAGGCCTCTTCTTTTCCTGTAGCCTCGTTGAACAAGGACAGCCTTCCTTTCGCACTTCTTGTACTTTAGGAGCTATAGATGCAAAAGATGTCTTTCCTCATCCTCAATGTGGCCTCCAAACCATGTCTCTCCTGCTCCTCCTAAAACAAACAAAACAAAAAAAAAACCTGCTATCAAATTCAAGCTAAGCTCACACACTCCTATGACCCCTCGTGTGCTTTCATCCAATCACACTCTTCCCTTCTCATTCCCCACCCTGTAACTCTCCCTCATTCATTACTAGCTCTACGACCCACCCCTTTTCAACCTTTAAACCCTGGAGGGTCCCAGGCTCCATCCTGGACTGTATCCTCTCTTCCAGCTAGACTCACGCCCTCCATGCCTTCATTAGTTCCCATGGATTTAAACAGTACCAATATCCGTTGACCGGTTCATACTTACAACCTTGACCTTAAACTCCAAATCCATCTATCCAACTCCCTGCCAACTCCTCCCTTGCCTCCATCCAGTAGACATCTCAGATTTAACATGGCCAAACAGAATGATTTCTTTTCCTACCCACCACCACCACTACCCAACAGCATCCCCTGCTATCTGCCAATCCTAGGAAATGAGACAACAACTCTCCTGGTTTCTCAGGCTGCTTCCTCCTTCCTTGCCCCCATATCCAATCCATCCTCTCAACTCCACTTTTCAATATGTCTCAAATCCAAACACATGTCCCCGTCTTTCTACGGCCACCACTCTAGTCCGAACTACCAACATTCCCAGATGTCAGAGGACTGGGACACCATGAAGTCCCACTGATTCCAGTCCCAGAAGAGACTTGCACTAACAGAGGAACTGGTCCAGCCCTGTCGTGTTCCAGCAGAAGAAACCCTGGACAAGCAAGGATGAAGGGTTGCTCATCGGGGCAGAGCCGAGCTCCAATCCATGCTTCCTCATCCCTAGCTCCAAAGCTTCCTCCACCCCCAATATTTTGGGCAGCAGCGGAGAACCTGGGAGACACAGAGGGTAATTAAGACCTAACATCCTTTGACATCTAGAAGAATGGGTGAGTGGTTGCACCCCAAGAATTTCAATGGGCAGGATTCGGCCAGTGATTAGGAAACGTGCTTGCACTTCCCAGGAATTAGACTGGCATCTTGATTTCCAGGATGGAGCAGAGAAAAGGAGAATTCATCCTACCCAGCCCTCTGCCACCACCACTACCACAAAAGACCCTGTGGTTGGAGCAAGATTCCATGTCTTTGGTTCTTTCTCCCCGTTCACTTAAAGAATTGTCCATCTCGGCCGGGCGCAGTGGCTCATGCCTGTAATCCTAGCACTTTGGGAGGCTGAGGCGGGCAGATTACGAGGTCAGGAGATCGAGACCATCCTGGCTAACACAGTGAAACCCCGTCTCTACTAAAAATACAAAAAAAAAAACATTAGCTGGGTGTGGTGGCAGGCACCTGTAGTCCCAGCTACTCGGGAGGCTGAGGCAGGAGAATTGCTTGAGCCCAGGAAGCAGAGGTTGCAGTGAGCCAAGATTGCGCCACTGACTCCAGCCTGGGTGATAGAGCGAGACTCCGTCTCAAAGAAAAAAGAAAAAAGAAAAGAATTGTCCATCTCTAACTAGGTTGGTGCAGAAGTAATTATGATTTTTGGAGTTTTAATTTGCAAAAACTGCAATTACTTCTGCGCCAACCTAATAATATGAATTGTCCTCTCTGTACCAGCACTTGCACCTAAAAACAAGCTACCCCCTTGACCATGGGCTGTTTCAAGAAGCCTCATGCGTGCCAAAGTACATTCCTGGCATTTTTATTTCCAGATGGTGAACATTTTTCATCCCTGCCTGCTACATGTCCACCTCTCAGAGAGGCTAACACGAGTATTGATCTTCTTTTTTATGTTTCCCAGGGGCCTTTTACCTTTGATTGTGCTGCTAAATATTTTCAGAGTGTTATTGCTACAATTTCTTGTGGGTTCCCCGCTCTTTTCTGGGCAGTGCCCTGGGCTTCAGGGGATAACTCATGTTGGCTGTCCAGGCAATGTACCCTCCAGACTCAGCTGCCTTTGGAGGAAGTCTCTGGTCTCCTGGCTCCTGTCTCTCTCCTTAGACGTCCTCTCCCTCTCCACTGAAAGATGAGGTCATGGTTTTTGCTCATTTATCTCCCCTAGCGCCCAAGTCAGTATTCCAAACCTGCATTCAGCTTGATGGCCAAAAAAAAAAAAAAAAAACTGACTGACTCTATCCAAGGCTGGTCAAGGTTAACCAGAAAGTCTGGCCAGTGTTCAGTTTGGCAATATCTTGAAGAAGAAGTGTTTTTGTTCATTGAAGTTGAAACTTTTTGTGATTTGTGTGACAACTTACAGTTGGCAAGCACTTTAACATATATTATTTTATTTCACATCTTCAAATGCATTATCTCCATTTCCAGAGGATTTGGTTCATAAAAAATCCCTTGACACCTCCTATATGCTAGGCTCTGCACACCAGGATATAGAGATGAATAGAATATTCTCCCTACCCTTAAGACATTAGTGGAAATGCGAAAGGCAGTCCCATTAATAGACAATACCAGGATCACAAGCTGATGCTGTGGGAGAGGCAGAAAAAGGATTGCAGAGAATGTTTTTCAGGGATACACAGCTTGGCTAGTTTGGGTAACAAAAAAGAGAGAACAGTTCCTGATTGTTATTCCTGTTAAAGAAACACACAGTTAATTTCACAAGAATGGCAAATAGACCGTTCTAGCTAATTGCGATACCACTCAGTTGCTTACTACTTATGTTGAAGACCATGTTGAAAAGAACTCCAAGGAGGTCATGCCTAAAGTCTATGGCAAAGAATGCCATGATTGATTAGTGATGCCTGCCATGGGCATGAGAAGGGTATTTGTTATTCTGGCTCTAGATTTTACCATACATGGGAGTTACACAGATGTAACTCCCATTCAATGGATGCATCAGATAGTAGGTCAGGGGTTCCTGTGGTCACTAGGGAATTCTGAAGATCCTATATTGACCTAAATGCCTAAGCCCAGCTCTGGAAGGTGGCCAAAGTTTATCTGCTATGATTGCAATTAGAGCCTTCCACAGGAAGACTCTGGGCCTACGTGGTTCTAGAATGTGAATTCTACTCCCAGAATTCACCTTTGAACAGAGAGATGCAAAGACCCATTCACTGTTTCCTGTTCTTTGCCCACTGTCTATGGCCAAAGGCATGGGATGGAAGGGAATAAGAAACAGAGATAAGTAAGCAGTGCTTTTTGAGAAGACGTTGGTTATTTGTCGTGTGTTTATTCCTCCAAGTCTAGGATAATAACTAAGCTCCATATTGTAAGTCAACTCCAATCAAATGACAGTGGCTCCCTGGAGTGCTGTTTTGAGGACTGGGAGGTTTCCTCTTGATTCAAACAAATAGATGGCTGTGCTTGATTAGAGATGTCTGCCATGAGCATGAAATGGTAGATGGTGGTGTGCATTCAGTGCATTTGTGCATTTCTTTTGTGCAAAAATTGAACCTTGGTGCTAATCTTGTCCATGAGACCGAAACCATGACTTCAGATCCCTACATTTCTAGAGTCTAATAAGATGCTCATAATATCTCAGTCAAACAAACAAACGAATCCATCTAACTCATCTTAGTGTTCACACAACATCGTCATATCCTGCATGTTATTTAACTTTCACATTGCCTTTTGGAATAGACAATGTAATAATTCTTGACTCCACTCTGCAAATGAGAACAATGAGGCTTAGAGCAGTTAATTGGCATGACTGGAATCACACCATTTATTTAAAAAAGAAAGAAGAGTAGAAAAGAAGTCTTCCAACTCCTAGGACAGTTTTCTAATTCTTAGTAAAGTTAACAAGGGCCCATGGGAACAGACCATTCCAGAGCCTCCACTTAGGGTGCTTGGTAAAAAAATACATGTTCCTGAGTCAGGGTTTCTGGGGTACAAGCCCTGGAATCTGAAGAACAGGAAGGTTATAGGGTGGTTTTCTAATTATTAGCAAAGTTAACAAGGGCCCATGGGGACGGACCATTCTAGAAACCTCTACTTAGGGTGCTTGGTAAAAATGCATGTTCCTGAATCAGGGTCCCTGGGGTACAGGCCCTGGGATCTGAAGAACAGGAAGGTTAAGTGACTTAGCCAAGGCCACCCAGTTAGTAAACAGTGGGGACAAGATTTAAGCCAAGCTTCTACATCGTGGCAGCAACTGAGAAATTACAAATGCAGTGGGTGCCACCAAGGAGACAGGAGGTCCCACGGGAGCGTGCAGCCATGGTGGCCCATATTGAAGTCAGACAAGCAAACCTTTCTCCGTCTCAAAGCATTTGGCTCAAGGCAGACCACATTTCTGGTGTCTGCTCCCATTTCTCCCCTTTCATCCATAGTCTGAGCATCTGCAGCTGTGTCCCAAATCCAGGGCTTGGCTGATTTTTCAGAGGCCTAAAAATAGAGGCTCCTGTCCCCCCACCAAGCAATTCTCGAAGCTATTTTTTTACCCTTCTTCTTGCAGACACCCATGAGATCTCCTTTCCCCAAATAAAATCATGATGAAATCCCGGGAAAAGCCATTGCTTAGTTCTCAGAATGACTTTCCTGCAGACAGCGGAGGTGCTCTCCTTTCCCCAGAAGCACATAAGAACTGCAAATTAATTATACAACATAATTAGCTTGCTCCTCCAAATCTGTGCAGTGGGCACTTTGAAGCAAGAATAGTAATAGTTTGCCATGCATTGCTACCTTAGTAACAAGAGTTTGTAGGAGAAAAACAGAACAATTACAGAGAAAGACACAGTAATAAGCTGTGGGTAGCATTTTCTGGAGTATGGTTCATTTTCACTAATGATATGCAATTGGATTTGAAGAATATACCAACAGTTTATTTTTATTTATTTCTGTTCAAATTGTTTTTTTTTTCTTTTCTTTTGAGACAGGGTCTCTCTCTGTCACCGAGCCTGGAGTGCAGTGAAGCCTTCATGGCTCGCTGCAGTCTCGAACTCCCAGACTCAAGCAATCCTCCCACCTCAGCCTCCTGAGCAGCTGGGACTACAAACACGTGCCATCATACCTGGCTCATTTTTTTGGTTTTATTATTGTTTTTGTAGAGATGGGGAGGTCTCCCTACATTGTCCAAGCTGATCTCCAACTCCTGGGCTCAAGCAATCCTCCTACCTTGGCTTCCCAAAGTGCTGAGATTATAGGCATGAGCCACTGTGCCCACCTTCTTTTTATTTTGATAGCTAATTATTTCTCTTAATGCATATTAAAAATGCATATATTACTTATTCACCAAACTCATGGATTTACAGATATTCTTAGGATGAAGCTGAGCATATTAGTCACCTATTGCTGTGTCATAGATTATACCCCAAATTAGCAGTAAACATTTATCATCTTGCAGTTTCTCTGGGTTAAAAATTCAGGAGCAGCATGAGTTGGATGGCTTTGTCTTGGGGTCTCTCATGAGGCTCTGGTCAGGATGCCAGCCAGAGCTGCAGTCACCTGAAGGCTTGATAAGCACTGGATGATGAACTTCCAAATGGCTCACACATGTGGCTGGCAAGTCAATGCCAACTGTTGACAGGAGGCCTCAGTTTCTCTTCCCATGGGTCTCTCTGGAGGGCTGCTTGAGCATCCTCACAATATGGCAGCTGCTTCCTCTGAAGCAAGTGATTCAATAGAGAGCAAGAAGAGAAACTCAATGTTGTTATGACCTAACCTCGGAAGCCACCCAGGGCCACTTTTGCAACCTCCTATTCAGTGTTGGTAGGGACTACACAAGAGTGTAAATTCTGCTGGGCACAGTGGCTCATGCCTGCAATCTCAACACTTTGGGAGGCCCAGGCGGTAGGATTGCTTGAGCCTAAGACTTCAAGACTGGCCCAGGCAACATACAAGAGCTCATCTCTACAGAAAAAAAAAAAAAATTAGCCAGGCCATGGTGGTACATGACTGTGGTCCCAGCTACTTGAGAGGCTGAAGTGGGAGGATCACTTGAGCCCAGGAGTTTGAGGCTGTGGAGAGCTATGATCATACTCTTGCACTCCAGCCTGAGCAACAGAGACCCTGCCTGTAAAAATAATGATGATGATGATGATGATGATGATGATAAGAATAATAATAATAAATGAAAAGCAAAAGTAAAATAAAAAACAAAAATACAAAAATTTTTAAAAGAGTGTAAACCCTCGGAGGTGAGAGTCATCCAGTGACATCTGGTAAGCAGCGGCCACAGTGAGACAGGTGCCGTTGTAATTATTCCCTCATGAAAGGTCAAGGAACCTGAGCTGCAGAGTCAAAAAGTGATTGTCCCCCCGTCACACCGTTAATAAGTGGCAGAGATAGGATTCTGTCTGACTCGAAATCCTAAACTGGTTTTATCAAACCAAGAGAATGTTCAGTGAGTTCAGGGGCCCACAGAGAGAGGTAACCATAAAGCTTCACTATAGACGAGCTCTTGCCAGTTAAGCGATTTTGGAAGCGTGTTGCTCATTTCTAGAGGCTTTTTTTTCTCTTCGCTCATCCCTCTAGCCGTCATAAAAGGAGGCCCCGACAACAAGACTGCTTCCCCCATCTAAGACTGACGTTTCTCTTTTAAAGAGGTATCAAGGAATGACTCCTGCTCGGATTTACCCGAGATCCAGAATGGCTGGAAAACCACTTCTCACACGGAGTTGGTGCGGGGAGCCAGAATCACCTACCAGTGTGACCCCGGCTATGACATCGTGGGGAGTGACACCCTCACCTGCCAGTGGGACCTCAGCTGGAGCAGCGACCCCCCATTTTGTGAGAAAAGTAAGAGTGGTCTTGTTTCCTTCCTCTAGGTCCCTGGGTGGCAAATCCCTTCTAGGGATCTTTTTTTGGTGGGTGCAGTGGAGCTGTTTAATGTAGAATCTGGACTCCCCCTCCACCACCAATTCACGAGCATTGCTCACAAATGTCATTTTATAGCTGTCAGTGGAATTACAGACTCAGGTGCCTTCAGAAACCTGGACCATAATGTAAACGAGTGAGATAAGCTGGGTGTGAGACATTAGGGAGTGGTGTGAACTCCAGTGAATGGGAGCGTATGTAGCCTGGTGAAAAAGAACATTTGGCTGGGTGTAGTGGCTCATGCCTGTAATCCTAGTGCTTTGGGAGGCTGAGGTGGGAGGATCACTTGAGCCCATGAGTTTGATAGCAGCCTGGGCAATACAGTGAGACCCTATCTCTAAAAAATAATAATAAGCATAAAAATTAGCTGGGTGTGGTGGGACACACCTGTAGTCCTAGCTACTCAGGAGGCTGAGACAGAAGGATTGCTGGAACGCAGGTGTTTGAGCTATGATTATGCCTCTGCCCTTTAGCCTGGGTGACAGAGCAAAACCCTGTTGAGAGGGGTGGCTGGGAGAGAGAGAAGGAAGGAAGGAAGGAAGGAAGGAAGGAAGGAAGGAAGGAAGGAAGGGAGGAAAGAAAGAAAGAAAGAAAGAGAAAGAAAGAAAGAAAGAAAGAGAAAAAGAAAGAAAGAAAGAAAGAAAGAAAGAAAGAAAAAGAAAGAAAGAAAGAAAGAAAGAAAGAAAGAAAGAAAGAAAGAAAGAAAGAAAGAAGGCAAGGGAGGGAAGGGAGGGAAGGGAGGGAAGGGAAGAAGGGAGGAAGGGAGGGGGAGGGAAGGGGAGGGAAGGGGAGGGAAGGGGAGGGAAGGGGAGGGAAGGGGAGAGAAGAGAGGGAAGGGGGGAGGGAAGGGGAGAGAAGGGAGGGAGGGGAGGGTGAGGGAAGGGGAGTGAAGGGGAGGGAGGGGAGGGAAGGAATGAAAGAGGGGAGGGAGGGAAGGAAGGAAGGGAGGGAGGGAAGGAAAAAGAGAGAAGGGAGAGGAGAGGAGAGGAAGGGAGGGAAAAATCATTATTATTTAACCATTTTAAGGGATTGGAATGAACATGAACTAGTTCCCTATAGAAGTCTTCTTACCTGCCTCATTTTTTGCCAAGAAAAGGCCCAAAGTGGGCAAATAAATTTGAATTGGGCCCCTTCTATGTGGGACTGTTTGCATTTCCATGCTGGGTCTCTCACTTATCCTCCATCCAAGACAGTGGAGACCCACCAATCACCTCTGTTGTTCTCTCTTCTGATGAAATGAGGTCAGAAAAACCCCTTGGCACAATGGTCTCCCCATAGAAGTCACTGGATTTCATTAACCTTTCATTGGTTAATCTCCTGTCTTGACATTGAAAGACATATATAGCCATATCTTAAAATTACATTGGTAACGATGCTTACTTATAGTACCCAGGCAGTAGTAAAATGATAGAATAGAAAGTGAAAATCTTTGATGATGTTACTCTTTGGAAACAACGCTGCTGTTAAACATTTATTCTATATTGCTTCAATTGTGTGTGTGTGTACATGCACATCATACATACATTACATGTCACACATAGACATCTATATATGTGTCATCTGTCATATGTCAATCATAGCTCACTGCAACCTCAAGGTTTTGGGCTCAAGCAGTCCTCCCACCACAGCCCCCCAAAATGCTGGGGTTACAGATGTGAACAACCACACCCAGCTAATTTTTAAAAATTTTTTGTAGAGACAGGGGTCTTGCTATGTTGCCCAGGCTGGTCTCAAACTCCTGGCCTCAGCCTCCCAGAGAGCTGGGATTACAGGCATGAGCCACCGCACCCAGCAGATCCATTCTTACAAACTTCCTGCATCTGCTTTTTTTTCAGCTCAGAAATGTGGATATCTTTTCATATCATACATGTTGTCCAGTTTATTCTCTTTTAATTGGTTTATTGTTTTCCTTTTATCTATATTGATTTTTTAATGTGAAAAGTAATGAAAGTTTATTTTACTACATTCCAGCACTACAGAGAAAGCAGTGAAGGCTCCCCCTCACTTTGTTCTCTTTAGCAGTTGCTCAGAATTTCATGGGATGGCTATTCCATGATATTTAACTCTTTCCCTGTTAAACTATTTGCAATGTTTCCTTTTTAAAAAAATCGCAAATAATAATGCAATATGCAACCTTATACATAGGTCTTTGGACCCTGATGCAAATTATTTGGGCAAATTCATATATATGTGTGTGTGTGTGTATATATATATATACACATATATATATATATATATTTATATGTATTTTTTTGAGGCAAGGTCTCACTCTGTTGCCCAGGCTGGAGTGCAGTGGTGCCATAATGGCTCACTGCAGCCTTGACCTGCCAGGCTTAAGCGATCCTCTCACCTCAGCCTCCTGAGTAGCTGGAAAAACAGGTGTACCCCACCATGCCCCATTAATTTTTGTATTTTTTGTAGGGACCGGATCTTGCTGTGTTGCCCAGGCTGGTCTCAAACTCCTGAGCTCAAGCGATTCATCCACCTCTGTCTTCCCTTTCAAGTCCTAGGATTACAGGCATGAGCTACCGTGCCCCACCTCTTTGGGCAAATTCTTAAAAGAGGAATTAAATTCAAGGCTATTTTCTCCTGGCCTATTCTCCAGCCACCTATCAACAAAAGATACATTATCTTCCAAAAAGGAAAAGAACTGAGTTAGGAAACTTTTTTTTTTTTTTTTTTTGAGATGGAGTCTCGCTCTGTCGCCCAGGCTGGAGTGCAGTGGTGCGATCTCGGCTCACTTCAAGCTCCGCTTCCCGGGTTCACGCCATTCTCCTGCTTCAGCCTCCCGAGTAGCTGGGAGTACAGGCGCCCACCACCAGGCCAGGCTAATTTTTTGTGTTTTTAGTAGAGACGGGGTTTCACCATGTTAGCCAGGATGGTCTCGATCTCCTGACCTCGTGATCCACCCGCCTCGGCCTCCCAAATTGCTGGGACTACAGGCGTGAGCCACCGCACCCGGCCAAGTTAGGAAACTTTCTAGATCATTCTGTAATTCTCAGCAAACCCATGGTCATCCAGAGGTCTGACGTCCTCTTGGTCTGGTTTCATCCCGTGTAGTTATGTACTGCACCGACCCCGGAGAGGTGGATCACTCGACCCGCTTAATTTCGGATCCTGTGCTGCTGGTGGGGACCACCATCCAATACACCTGCAACCCCGGTTTTGTGCTTGAAGGGAGTTCTCTTCTGACCTGCTACAGCCGTGAAACAGGGACTCCCATCTGGACGTCTCGCCTGCCCCACTGCGTTTGTGAGTCCTGTTTAATGAATTGGGCCCCCAGTAGGTAGAAGCAGATTCACTTTCTCTTGTTCATGATGGAAGGCTGGGCTGCTAGGAGGCCTTCTGCTTTTCGACAGGGGCTTTTATTATCATTACTATGACAAAACAGTACCTAACACTGATTGGGAGCACACATACTATAACATTTACAGTAAATTTATCACGCGTTGCTCTAAGTCTTCTACCAAATTTCACTCTTTCTTCCTCAAGTAGCCCTGGGAGCATAGTATACTTTGTTTTTTTGTTTGTTTGTTTGTTTGTTTGTTTGTTTGTTGGTTGGTTGGTTGGTTTTAGATGGAATTCCACTATGTCACCCAGGCTGGAGTGCAGTGGCACCATCTTGGCTCACTGCAATCTCCGCCTCCTGGGTTCAAGCGATTCTCATGCCTCAGCCTCCCGAGTAGCTGGGATTACAGGCGCGTGCCACCATGCCTGGCTAATTTTTATATTTTTAGTAAAGATGGGGTTTCACCATGTTGGCCAGGCTGGTCTTGAACTCTTGATCTCAAATGATCCACCCGCCTCGGCCTCCCAAAGTGCTGGGATTACAGGCATGAGCCACCACCCTGGCTTCACTGATTTCATTTTAAGAAGAGGATACTGTGCTAGGTGTGGTGGCTCACACCTGTAATCCCAGCACTGTGGGAGGTCAAGGCAGGCAAACCACTCGAGCCCAAGAGTTTGAGACCAGTCTGGGCAACATGGCGAAACCCTGTCTCTACCAAAAAAATACAGAAATTAGCCAGGCATGGTGGTGTACACCTATTATCCCAGCTGCTCAGGAGGCTGAGGTGGGAGGATTGCTTGAGCCCAAGAGGTCAAGGCTGCAGTGAGCTGTGATTATGTCACTGTACCCTAGCTTGGGTGGCACAGCGAGACCCTGCCTCAAAAAAAAAAAAAAAAGAATACTACTTCAAGGCTCTCTAGGGATTCTGATATACAAACAATGTTCACAGTCATTGCATAAGGAAAGCATGAAGTTACACGGAAGGAGCAGAGCCTTACACAGTATTTTGGGGGTTAGAAACTCTCAGCTGCACTAATATTTTAAATTAGTGTGTTATGAACAACTCCATTAGGAATACAGCCAGTTCAAACTCCAGAAGCCACAGTGAGGTCTTGATAGTGTTGAAGAACCAAGAATTTAACTCTGGGGGGAAAAAAAGAAAAGAAAAAATAGAATTCCTGTGAGTTGATTATAAATTCCCCTACATCTGATGTGAGTAACACTGTGTACAATTTATAGACTTGGCCACCTCCTATAGTGGCTATGTTTTGTGACTTCTCACAAGTACCTAAAACAGGCTTCACAAATTTTGATGACCACACTAACAAGCAACTCTACGATTTAGACGAGCAAACTGCAGAAAGGCAACCAGAAAGCAGGAAAGTCCTTGTCCGTTTTCATTGGATAGGCTGATACTTACTGAGCACTTACTGTAGGCCAGGTGTCATTCTAAGAATGGCGCATGCATTAACTCTTTGATTCCTGGCAGGAAAACAAAAATGGAGATGTCTGTTGCCTGTCGTTGAAGACAGAGTATGGCCAAATTCACACTCACAAGAGACCTTCCTCTCTGCTCTATTCATGAGCCAGCCAAAGCCAAGTTCCCGTGTGCTAGTTCATAAATTCAGCTTCCCCAGCCCACAGAAGGGCTTTACTCTACAGATCCCAAAAGAATGAAGAGTTTTAGGCCCAAAGCGCTTGCTTCATAGATTTCCCTTAACATCTGATCCTTTTCTTGTGAGAGAAAAATTTCCATTTCTGTGTTCTTATTTTCTCTTCTCAAAAAGGGACACTTTATTATTCTGTTTCCACAAGTAACAGGGATTCTTGGACCACACAGCCCTGTGTCTCCATCTGTCTTTTTAGTCAGAGTCCCAGAATTTCAGAGCTGAAGGGAATCTGAGAGATAAAATACAACTGCAGGATGACTTAGAGATAAAATGCAACTGCCCCCATTGTACAGATAATAACAATAGTTACTTATTGAATGTAAAAGACACATTGCTAAGCACACTATACATATCTGTAAACATGTGTTTTTGTGTATGTGTGTGTATATATAGTGTGTGTACATATGTGCATATATATGCATATACACATATACTAAGGAAACTGATATTCAGAGGGAAGTACAAATAACAAGAATCATTGCTCATTGAATGTGTAAGACACATTTCTAGACACTATATATATGTGAATCTATGCATATGTGTGTATTTATACACACATACTAAACCTAGCCCCTTAACCACAACCACACTTGGTCCCCAAGCCCCAGAACCTTGGGCCAAATCCACATTGGTTGGTTCCTGTTATAGGTTGAATCTATCCCCAAAAGATATGTTAAAGTCCTAACCCACAGTATCTGTAACTGCGACCTTGATTGGACATAGCGTCTTCGCCATCCTAACCCATGGTATCTGTAATTGTGACCTTGATTAGAACTTCAAAGTTCTAACCCACAGTATCTGTAACTGTGACCTTGATTGGACCTAGCGTCTTTGACATCCTAACCCATGGTATCTGTAATTGTGATCTTGATTAGAACTTCAAAGTTCTAACCCACAGTATCTGTAACCGTGACCTTGATTGGACACAGTGTCTTCAACATCCTAACCCATGGTATCTGTAACTGTGACCTTGATTAGAACTTCAAAGTTCTAACCCACAGTATCTGTAACCATGACCTTGATTGGACACAGTGTCTTCGACATCCTAACCCACAGTATCTGTAACTGTGACCTTGATTGGACAGAGTGTCTTCGACATCCTAACCCATGGTATCTGTAACTGTGACCTTGATTGGACGTAGCGTCTTTGACATCCTAACCCATGGTATCTGTAACTGTGACCTTGATTAGAACTTCAAAGTTCTAACCCACAGTATCTGTAACTGTGGATTTGATTGGAAATAGAATCTTTGCAGATGTGGTCAAGTTAAGCTGAGGTCGCACTGGATTAAGATGGGTGTTGATCCAATGACTGGTGTCTTTGTAAGAAGAGGGAAATCTGGACACAGATGGGGACACAGATACAGAGAAGGCCACAGGGTGACAGAGGGAGAGATTAGAGTGATGCAGCTGCAAGCCAGGGAGCACGAAGGAAGGACCCCCCCCAACCGCCCACAGCATTCAGAGGGAGTGTGGCCCTGCTGACACCTTGATTTTGGACTTCCAGCCTCCCAGCCAAGAAGTTTCTGCTGTCCTAAGCCTCCCGGTTTGTGGTCCTTTGTCAAGGGCAGCCCTAGGACGTCAGTGTCATTCCCATTTCCTTCTAGTGACTGCAAGAGCGATCAGAAGCAGCCACTTTAGTAACTCCAGCTGCAGAGACCCAGAGATGAAAAGCTTAAAATAAAAGCTTCTATTAAAATACTGAAAGGTGGAGGCATCATTTTTTTAAAAAAGAAAAAGCACTTCACCAATGAGACCCAGTCTCTAAAGACCCTCTGAGCTGCGGCAGCTGCTGCTGGATTTCCAAGACGCAAGCCTCCCTCCCTCCCTTCGGGAATGCTTTTCCCTGAAATCTCAGCATTGGATCTGCAGTGCTGAGTAGAGACGGCTTCCCTTACACCCATGCTAATGAGTTCACGAGCCACGCGGGGTGTCAGGAGACACGCGGTACTCCCAAAAGCCTGAAGAAGAGCCCTGCGTGTGGTGGCAGCGACGTGACAAGCGGGTGAGGCTGATGGGAGATAACGCAGGAGGCGAGAGATGGTCCGATTCTGGCAGCGCGGCTCCTGAGTAAGAGGGAGGATGCAGTCTAGGTTCTGAAGGCATTTTTAAGGTTGAGGTTGTCAGACATAAAACAGCTTTGAAACGTTTTGTCGACTGAACAAAGGGAACAGCACCCATTTGATGGGCCCCTTCAGTAGGCTGACCTTTTCCCCAACACTAACACTCTTCACCCTCACGGAAATCGCACAGGTGAATGCCTGTCCACTTAAAAGCAGGCAAAGAAGGACTGGAGAGGGTGAGTAGCTTTCCTGAGGTCACACAACAGAAAGGAAGAACAGAATTCTAACTCAAGCCTGACTAAACCCAAAAGCATCTTCCCAACCTCATCACTCTGCAGTTCAGCTTTTGGGCAAACCTCTGGTGCTTAAGAGTGGACAAAGATCCACCAAGAAGTTAATGAAGCAGACAGAAAACTGCATAAGCCCCTGGGCCCAGTGGTGAGGTGGCTCACGCCTGTAATCCCAACACTTGTGGGAGGCTGAGGCAGGAGGATCACTTGCGGTCAGGAGTTCCAGACCAGTGTGGCCAACATGGTGAAACCCCCGTCTCTACTAAAAATACAAAAATTAGCCAGACTTGATGGTGAGCACCTGCAATCTGAGCTACTCAGGAGGCCGAGGCAGGAAAATCACTTGAGCTCAGGTGGCGGAGGTTGCAGTGAGCAGAGATCACGCCACTGCACTCCAGCCTGGGCAACAGAGGGAGACCCTGTCTCAACAACATAGAAACAGAAAAGAAAAGAAAAGAAAACTGTATAAGCTCTGGTTGTCTACAGCCTCTTGCCCAGTCACTTGCCCAAAGCCATAGTTTGGTCCCCTGGGACTGAAAGCCATATCTTTTTAATCCTAGTCCATTTACCCCAGGGCACTTTAAGAACAGACAGGTCAGGCAGAGATAAAGGGAAGAGTCTGGGTGTCAAAGTCAGACACACCCTCCAGCTCTGCTGAGTGACCTTGGGCAAGTAACTTGCCCTCTCTGGGCCTCAGAGCCCCCATCTGTGAAAGAAAATAATACCCTTTACCAAGAAGGATTGTTGGGAGCAACTCACTCAGTCATTCAGCTTACTCAGTTGTTCAGGCCTCCTATATGCAGGCACACGCTAGGACAGAGGTTCCCAAACTTTCTCAACTCATGACACCCTTGGTGTCTCAGGAATTTTTTCACAGATTTCCTAGGCCAAAATACCATTTCCATTTATTAAATACCAGTTCCATTTATTAAACAGTTAGGTACAAACAACTGAATGAGTAGTTATCTCTTCACAGCATAGTAGCCATTTGAAAAAGTAATGCACATACATTAAAAGAAAAACGGTTTTTTTTATTATTAAATAATGACAATTGCTGGCTGGGCGTGATGGCTTACACCTGTAATCCTAGCACTTTGGGAGGCTGAGGCGGGCAGATTACCTGAGGTCAGGGGTTCGAGACCAGCCTGGCCAACATAGTGAAACCCCGTCTCTACTAAAAATACAAAAATTAGCTGGGTGTGGTGGCACGTGCCTGTAATCCCAGCTACCTGGGAGGCTGAGGCGGGAGAATCGCTGGAACCCGGGAGGCGGAGGTTGCAGTGAGCTGAGATCATGCCACTGCACTCCAGGCTGGGAGACAGAGCAAGATTCTGTCTCAAATAATAATAATAATAATAATAATAATAATAATAATAATAATAATAATAATGACAATTGCTGCTACGAGGATGTGTATACCCGTTGGGCTGTGCAAATCTTCTTAAACGTTAGGATCAGATGGGACTTCGCCACCCTAATTTCCTGTTCCACATTGATTTTGTCACAGTTAGCACGAGCACCACAAAAAAATCCAGCTTTGCAATGATGAGTCATCACCAAAACAAAGGTGACGTGATCTAATGTTGAAACGGTGAACTATCTTGAGCTGGTAGTTCACAAGGGTCCAACACATCATTGTGTTTCCTCAGAACTTTTTTTTTTTTTTGAGACGGAGTCTGGCTCTGTTGCCCAGGCCGATGTGCAGTGGCGCAATCTTAGCCCACTGCAAGCTCCACCTCCCGGGTTCACGCCATTCTCCTGCCTCAGGCTCCAGAGTAGCTGGGACTACAGGTGCCCGCCACCACGCCTGGCTAATTTTTTGTATTTTTAGTAGAGATGGGGTTTCACCGTGTTAGCCAGGATGGTCTCCTGACCTTGTGATCCACCCGCCTTGACCTCTCAAAGTGCTGGGATTACAGCCATGCGCCACTGTGCCCGGCCCTCAGAACTTTTTTTAAAAATCCCACAGCACCCCCTGTGAGTTCCTGGTGGCATCCTGGGTCACCTTGGTGAAAGTTTGGGAACCCTGGCACTAGCCCCTGGAAAAACAGTAAGGTATAAACAGATATGACCCACATTCTCATGGAGCCTGGGGCCTATTTGGAAAGGAGGGTGGAGAGACAGGTCTATGAAGGAAATCACAATGAATCGTCAGCACCACCTCCTCCAGGAAGTCCTCCCTGATTTCCTAGGCCGGGTTGTGTTTCTGTCCTCAGAATTCCCATGGAACCTACAGTGACATCTGTCACCACAGCTGCTGCAGTTTATTGAAATGATCTGTTTATATGTTTGTAGAATCACATTCCCTAGAGTAAGAAAGAGAAAGAATTTTAAAATATATATATAGAATAAACACATAACTCACCTGCTAGGATTGTCTCCAGTTGATCCTTGAATCCCCCAAGCCCAGGAGGCTCGACAAATGATGTTACTATTACTGTCGTTGATATTGTTAGCAAAATGAATGTGGTCTTTATCACACCTCTGCTTTGTTGCAACTTCCCCTCTTTGATAAGGACGTGGTGGATGACTCCTGAGGTAACCATCCCAAAGACATAAACCACACCACCAAAACTAAAAAGAATCTGACAAATCCGGCAAGGGTTTTATGAGTGGCTCTCCAGGAGCCACTTAGCTTGCTTAAGAGACAGCGATTCCCCGGGAGGCCCTGGTTCTCACAGCCCTGAGCCCAGAACACCTGGGATACGAGACACAGGGATTTCCCAGCCTGGACAGAGCCCACAGGTGCTGTGGCCAGACTGTGGCCACCGTAGGAGCTTCCACTGTTGAGCCGTCTCCTGTGGCCACATCTTGGCCAGCATGTCCAGTGTTAGCTGAGTTCCCGTCCTCATTTAGAAATCTCTGTCTCTGGGAAAGCGGTCTCTCACAGAAATCCATGATAACCCTAGGGGATTTGGGTAAAAGAAGGGCCTTTGTTATAGCAGAACCATTAAATGGACAGCACTAAAAACCAGCACGTCCAGGTTTGTACCCCAGCCCTGCCTCTTACAAGCACCATGACTTTATACAAGCCAGCTTTCTCACCAAAAAGATTGAAAAACGAACATGCCAATCATAAATATAAAGGCTTTTAATGAATGGTGTGCTTGGCACATAGCAAGTCGTCAGTTAACATTGGCTGCTAATCACCACTCTGTTTCAAAGCTCCACTGCTTGTAGGGCATATTGCAAACCATTTGTAACTATTACTAGGGGACTTGATTTCGAGCTTTTTGTTCAAATGTGCTCCAGAAATGTACATTTTCTTCTATTGTTAAAGAGAGGGGAAAATAGAAAAAGAAAACAGAAACGAGAGTGGGTTCGTGAGTAGATCTATAAGGCCATCGGTCCAATTCATTTGCATTCCTGGGAGAGAACGGCTGGAGTTACACCAGTTGCAACCCGAATTGTTTAAAACATTCGACCAGTGGTTTTCAACCAGAGGCGATTTTGCTTTCCAGGGGACATGTGTAAATACAATTTCTAGAGAAATTATGAGTTGTCACAACTTGTCAGGGAAGAGGGGTGCTACCGGCTTCTAGCAGGTCAGGGCCCAGGATGCTGCTCAATATCCTCCAGTGCCCAGGACAGCCCCCACCACAAAGAATTATCCATTCCAAATGTAAAACCTGTCTAAGTTGAGAAAACCTGCCTTAGATGATCTTATTTCAAAGTGTGACTACATGTCACTGCCTAGCCATGTCTCGGCTAAGGTCCAGACTGTTTATGGGCAGAAAAAAATGGAGTATGGAGACATAAGCAACTCACTCAAGGTGGTGCAGCAGACACAGGCCTCCAGTTTCAAATTCAAGTTCCTATTCCTTTGACTCTTCTGCCATCTTCTAGGTGCTGAAGATACACACAAATGCCTTCCAAGAGCTGGTTCCTGCTGGGGAAAAATTCCATATGACATTGTTTTCAAACTCTTACTGAGGACTGGGTCAAAATTGAATCAGGCTGACTTGAAAGCTAGAGAATCCTCAGCTCAAATTGCAGCTCAGCCACTTCCTGCTTGAGGGGACTTTTCACCAGTGAGTTCCACCTGAGCCTCAGTTTTCTCATCTGTAAAATGGCTGCATGGTGCAGTGGTTAAGACCGGACTTGGACCACCTGGATTTGAATCTTATTTATACCACTAACTAGCTTGTGACCTTTAACACGTTACCCAACCGTTCTGCGCTGCATTCTCCTTGGATACAAAATGGAGATGATGACCAGGCATGATGGCTCATGCCTGTAATCTCAACACTTTGAAAGAACGAGACAGGAGGATCACTTGAGGTCAGGAGTTCAGGACCAGCCTGGGTAACCTCAGGGTCCTCAGGACCCTGTCTTCATAAAAAATTTTTAAATTAGCCAGGCATGATGGTGCACGCCAGTGGTCCCAGCGACTCGGGAGGCTAAGGTGGGAGGATCTCTTGAAAGGGAGGTCAAGGCTGAAGTGAGCTGTGTTCACGCCACTGCACTCCAGCCTGGGTGACAGAATGAGACCCTGTCTCAAAAATAAAAATAAAATAAAGTAGGAATAAAGATATAATATCTGTGTCTTAGGGTTGTTGTGATAACTAAATGAGTTCATAGATATAAAACACTCAGAATGGAATCTGGCTCAGAGAATGCCCTCAGTAAATATTGTAAATGTTGGCTGTTTTGGTCATGATTGTTATTACCTTCAAGGACTTTGCAGAAGGATTAGAAATAATATATGCAAATCATCTAATACAGAATGGTTGTGCAAATACTTTGGAAATTAATTAAATGATGAGTTAATATGTTAACCATGCCAGGACACCAAACCAGTGGTTCTGAGCCCTTGCCAAACTTTAAAATCTCCTGGAGAGTTTTAAAAAGAATACTCTGGGTGACTAATTAAATTAAAATACCATAGGGGCGGAGCCAGGGCACAGGATAACCCAAGGCCATTCTAGCACTTAGCCTGGGGGTCCTGCTCCTAGGTCGGCTGTCAATATCCTCCTTTACACCCAGGTCTAACGATTTATCCTTTATGCACCTTCCATCTCCCCAGGGCGAGGACAGTGTTTAGCACAGGTTTGGTATCAGGAAATACTTCTGGAATACATACAGGACTGAATTAGTGTTCAGTTACATGAAGGCAGGGACCATGTTCGCCTTGCTCATCATTGTATGCCCGGCGCATACAATGCCTGGCACACAGAAGGTGTCCAGTGAATATTTGTTGTATTAATTCATCTGTTAATTTATGAAAGAAAATTTCCGAGGAAAGGTTCATGGGGGAATTCTTTTGTGTCGCCACTGCCACCTGCTGGTCATTTTTCTGCACTGCAGGTAATACAGTAGGGATTTGTGTTCTCTGAAGGGAGCCACCAACGTCATCAAGAAAAAGCCTCCCCGACCAGGGGGCGGGAAAGTGAGGCTTCTCCTGTGCGCTTTCCCCAGCACAGCTGAGACCACACTGGGCTGTAATGACCCGGTAACTGTTCTCTGTTCCCCATTCGACTGAGTTTTGGGAGAACAGAAAACGTGATTCTCTAATTCACTGCTTCATACCCAGCTCCTAGCACAGGGATGGAACATTGGAGGAACAGAGTCTACGGGCTGAAAAAAAAACAAAAAACAAAAACAAAAACAAAAAAAACACGGAGAGTGTATTCTGGACTCTGGGAGTTCAAAAGCTATAAAGTGTTGTGCACCGGGCTGCACTTCCCGAGGAGTAGGAGTATTAGATACACTACGGGGATACCCACGCGGCTTTAAACAGTGTCCAGATGAACTTTTTGTGAGTCGTTTGGCTTAAGAAAATTAGAAAAATTAAAACTGACATGTGAAACCTCTGATTATAAGACTATTATTATTTAGAGTGAGGCTAAATTATACTGTGCAATCTAAATAGAAAAACAAGTCAATAGAAATTTTTAAAAATATATTACATAGGCCAGGTGTGGTGGCTCATGCCTGTAATCCCAGCACTTTGGGAGGCTGAGGCGGATGGATCACTTGAGGTCAGGAGTTCGAGACCAGCCTGGCCAAAATGGTGGAACCCCGTCTCTACTAAAAATACAAAAACAAAAAAAATCAGCTAGGCTTGGTGGCGCATGCCTGTGGTCCCAGCTACTCGGGAGGCTGAGGCAGGAAAATCGCTTGAACCCAGGAGGCTGAGGTTGCAGTGAGCTGAGATCACACCACTGCACTCCATCTTGAGTGACAGAGTGAGACTCTGTCTCAAAAAAAAAAAAAAATATATATATATATATATGTATTAAGTGAACAACAGTACAATTGGTATGAAAATATGACAAGAGTTTTAAAAGCCATAAAAATAATCAGTGTATATTGGGTGCTCACTATATGCTGCCCATCTCATGTGCGTGAGCTTGTTTTATTCTCATAACAACACCTTGAGACAGCCCATTTTAAAGATGAGGAAACTGAGGCTCAGAGAGGTCAGTTGTGCTCACAGACATACAACTAGGATGTGCATCCTGAGCCCTTGGACACTTGAACCCAAGCGCTCCTGCTCTGCAATTTGCCTTTAAATGAAATGATGTGAGGTCTTTCAAGAAATATTTACTGGGCACCTACCCTGTACCAGGTTGCCAAGGATGCAGCAGTGAGCTCAGCTGGGTTGAGGACCAAAGACTTCCTCAGGATATTTTCAGAGGAATCATTAGAATATGATTGGCACTGGGTTCTGTTCATTATACCATCTATGCTTATTGTAAAGTAATGCAGACCCACCCTGCATTAAAAAAAAATACATCAAAGCACAGGCTTTAAAAATAAAAATAAAATTCTCCCTTCCTACAGTCCATCCCCAAGGCACGCTCTGCAGGGTGAATGATTCCTTGCCAGCCCTCTTAGGTCTCATCCATAAACACATAATAGAGTGCTGCCTTGGAGGGAGCCCCATGATTGACTTAAGCAAGGCTTTGTGATTTGATTCTGGGCTCAAACACAGAAGCGTTGGCTGCATATCCATCCTGCTCTGGAATGCCAGGGGGCAAACTTCAAGTATACAGATGACCTTCAATTAGTGGAAGGATTAGCCTTGGCCAAGTGTCAGCTGAACCACTTACTGCCTCATCTCTGGGAGTCTTGTGGAAAGGGAGCTACATTCAAAATCTCTGCCTCTCTCGCTCAACTATTCCAACAGCCCCTTCCCTTGGCTACTTTAGGGGTCTTCTGCAGCCACCCAGGGTCTTCTGAGTTTCTCTCTTCTATGGCACCTGCCATTTTTAATTAAATTGTCCATTTACACATTTGCTTGGCCCCTTAGAGCATGCAGACCATGAGCTCTAGAGGACAGGAATGATGTCTGATTCACCTCCTCACCGCATTGCTGGACGCATTGCTGGGCATGAAGTAAGCACTCAAGATATATTTTCTGAATAAATGCATGGGTGCCCGCCAGAGCTATCTATGGTGTCATCCAAGATGCAACTCCAGCTGCACAGTGACCTGGGAAGTCTCTTCCCACAGGCTGACTTCTGGGCTAGATTTCAAGGGTGGGAAGGAAACAGTTCATAACTCCCAGGGAAGACTGCTATTGAAGTATAAAGGAAAACCCTTCAACCTCAAGAGTGAAGCCAGATTCCTACCCGTCCACCCACTGGAGGAGATCAAAGTCCCGATTCTTCATGTATGGTGATTACTGTGACTAAAACATACTCATCAATTGATTCATTCATCTTTTCATTGGAAAAGTGATACATTTAAATGCCTACAAGGCCAGGCAAGTACCACGTGAAAGACAATAGGGAGTGGCAGAGACTGGGGCTAAAGTAAAGAATATTCCTGGTCTAACAGGGAAAGCCATTACTCAACTCCAGCCAGTCATTGCCATGTAACAATGTGAACCCAGTATTGCCCAATCTTCTAATGTTTCAGAAGAATCCAGAAATCTAAATTATTATTTGAAATCTCCTAATCTGTGAAAGCTTGGTAACTATTGTTTCAGTTGACATTACTCAAGCTGAGTAGAGCCCAAATGTAAGTCATGTTCACAGAGAAAAGGGTTCTAGCTGGGACCTATACTGTACTGTGTGCCTTGAACCACAAGTGCCGTAGGACCAGGGATTATATCTGTTTTATTCACCTCTGTGTCCTCAGTACTATTTATGTTGTTGGCACATAATAATTGCTCAATAAACATTATCTGAGTAAATAAAGGAATGCTTCCTGTGAACCAGGCATTGTACTGGGTATGAGCATATATGAGTTTAAAGCCTGGGAAAGAAGTGCCAGAAAAGATTCTGAAGTTATGATGATGATAAGACAGAGTTCCAAGGACAGAATTCATGCCTTTGGGGAGCAATCTGGGTCTTGAAGGCATGCTTGAGATTCATCGTGCAAAATGAGACGCTTCAAACAACACGTTTATTATCTGACAGTTTCTGTGGGTCAGAAATCTGGGCATAGCTTAACATGTACACCCATGTTCATAGCAGTATTGTTCAGAGTAGCCAAAAGGGGAAGCGACACAAGTGTCCATCGATGGATGAACGAAAAACAAAGTGTGACACCTGCCTACGATGGAATATTAGCCTTGAAAAGGAAGAAAATTTTTGACACATCTTGCAACCTAGATGAACCTTGAGGACATTATGCTAAGAGAAAGAAGCCAGTCACAGAAGGCAAATACTATCTGATTCCACTTACATGCGATAACTAGAGCTGTGAACTTCATAGAGACAGAAAGTAGAATGGTGGATCCCAGGGGCTAGGGTAAGTTGTTTAACGCATATAGAGTTTAAGATTTGCAAGATGAAAAGAGTTCTGGACATAAGTTGCCCAACAATGTAAAAGTACACTAACCTACTGGACTGTACACTTAAAATGGTTAAGATGGTTAGTTTTATGTTATGTAGATTTTACTACAATTTAAAATTTTTTAAATAATAAAGTTTAGAATGTTTTAGGATTTGTAGTCCTGTGTGTGAAGCAATTTGCTGGCTGTCCATTCCATCCAGGTGCTGAAAAAGGACTAGATCTCACATGCGGCCTGGAATGGGTTAAACCTGCAGGTTCAACTCTCCAGTAAATACTGTGATCCTAACACCTTGGGAGGCTGTGGCAGGAGAATTGCTTGAGCCCAGGAGTTTGAGACCAGCTTGGGATGCATGGCAAGACCCTGTCTCTACTTTAAAAAAAAAAAAAAAAAAAAAGCCGAGTGTGGCGGGACACGCCTATAGTCCCAGCTACTCAGAAGGCTTAAGCAGGGGAATTGCTTGACCCTGGGAGGTTAAGGCTGCAGTGAGCCGTGCTGCACCACTGCACTCCAGCCTGGGTGTCTTAGGCTACCGGGTACTTTGTGTCTGCAGCTGAAGAGAGCAGTCACCAGATGGCAGTATGGGCTTATTTGTAATAGTTGAGGCCTTTTGTTGCCAGGCTCCCAGGCCCTGAGCTTCAGGCTTGCTCTGATAGGCTCATCTCCAATGAGGGAAACAGATAACTAATTCAGTACAGTACAGTGCATGCAGTGCTGGAGAAACTAAGAAGACTGACGACTCAATTCACGGTAGGAGGCATCAAGGAAGGCTTCCTGGAGAAGGAGAAATGAAGATTGAGTATTGAAAGACAAGACGTAGTCATAATGGATGCGCAGGTTAGGTGTCAGGTGAAAAGCAAGAAGAAGATTTCATAATTAAACACCACCACCGTCCATCATTTACTAAGTACGTATGACATGCCAAAAACAAAACATCTTAAGCATTTCCTTACTTACCTATTTTAGTCCTCCAAATTCCTAGGAGATAGATATTACTTTGATCGTCGTTATGCTAATGAGGAAACTAAGGATCAGAAAGGTTATGCCACTTGCTGGCGATCACACAGCTAACAAGTAACAGAACTCATATTTTAACCTTGATTCCTCAGCCAACTTCATTCTACCTTGCCTGTATGTAATCTGTGCCCAGAGGTGGAAGACAGAAAGAACAGTTTGAGAAATAGAAAACAGTCTGATGCAAGGTGGGGATGCAGAGAGAGGATGCTGGAGAGGCTGACCAAAGCTAGATCACACGGGTTCTGAGCAGGACTCCCCAAAGATTTGCATCATCTCATCAGAGCTCCTTCTGGCTTGCATTTCAGCGGAGGAGTCCCTGGCATGTGACAACCCAGGGCTGCCTGAAAATGGATACCAAATCCTGTACAAGCGACTCTACCTGCCAGGAGAGTCCCTCACCTTCATGTGCTACGAAGGCTTTGAGCTCATGGGTGAAGTGACCATCCGCTGCATCCTGGGACAGCCATCCCACTGGAACGGGCCCCTGCCCGTGTGTAAAGGTAAAGAAACCTACTCACCACACAGGGTCCACGGGGCCTGGAGATGTCAGGCTCCTGGCTCACAGGAGTTCTGAACTTGCTCTAAAAAATTGGACTAGGAGTTCGAGACCAGCCGAGGCAACATAGTGAGACCCCCATCTCTACCAAAAAAAAAAAAATTAGTCAGGCATGGCGGCACACACCTGTAGTCCCAGCTACTCGGGAGGCTGAGATGGGAGGATCACCTGAGCCTAGGAGGTCAAGGTTGCAGTGAGCCTTGATCATGCCACTGCACTCCAGCCCGGACAGAACGAGACTCTATCTCAAAAAAATTAAATTAAATTTTAAAATAATAGAGCTGAGCTGCTGTACTTCATTAAATCTAAGATGTCACCATGACTTTATGCACCACTAAAAAAGAAAAAAACATGCTGCCAATTATACTATGACACAATGTCTTCTCCTGGCTTAGCATTTTTATTTTTACTTACTAAAGGAGCTTTTGACCAGGCACAGTAGCTCACGCCTGTAATCCCAACACTTTGGGAGGCTGATGCAGGCATATCACTTGAGGTCAGGAGTTCAAGACCAGCCTGACCAACATGGTGAAACCCCATCTCTACTTAAAATACAAAAAAATTAGCTGGGCGTAGCGGTGCATGCCTGAAGTCCCAGCTACTCGGGAGGCTGAGGCAAGAGAATCACTTGAATCCAGGAGGCAGAGGTTGCAGTGAGCCGAGGTGGCTCCACTGCACTCCAGCCTGGGTGACACAGCGAGATTCTATCTAAAAAATGAAAACATAAAGGTCTTTAAGCTTTTTATCATATATCACAATTATGAAAATGTTCAAATGAAAATATAAGCAGCCCAGGTGCAGTGGCTCACACCTGTAATCCTAGCATTTTGGGAAGCTGAGGTGGGAGGATTGCTTGAGCCGGGGAGTTTGAGACCAGCCTGGGTAACATGGTGAAACTGTCTCTACAAAAACAAAATAATGATAATAATACAAAAATTAACCTGATGTGGTGACGTGTGCCTGTAGTCCCAGCTACTTGGGAGGCTAAGGTGGGAGGATCACTTGATCCCAGGAGACAGAGGTTGCAATGAGCTATGATCATGCTACTGCACTCCAGCCTGGGTGACAGAGTGAGACTCTGTCTCAAACAAACAAACAAACAAACAAACAAAATACAAGCAAAATAAACTGGTTCCAGTGTATTTAAAACTTCCCCACCTTCAAAGTCTGGCACTTTTGATTTTCTAAATTATTACTAAATTTTTTTGTAGAGACAGGGTCTTGCTATGTTGGCCAGGCTGGCCTAGAACTCCTGACCTCAAGCGATCCTCCCTCCTCTGCCTCTGAGTAGCTGGGATTGCAGGTATGAGCCACCACACCCAGCTGTAGAATCATTTTTTACTCCAAGTCTTCAACATCCTATTTTTCCACTCAATATCGCTCCTGTTGAATGTCATTGTGTACTAAAATATATATACATTTACATACATACATAGCTCCTGTCCCATTAAAGCATCAGGGATGCAGAATTCTGTAGGAACGTCCATAACGAACTAAAGTCTTTGATACAAGGGGCTTGCAGTTACATTGAGGCAGGGCTGGGACGAGTCTGAGGCAAAAGAGGTGCCTGAGGTGAAAAATGTAAGGAGGTGACCAAGCGTCCCGTAGAACAGCCTTAAAAAAAGAGTCTCCGTACACTTCTCGCCCTAGACAGCTCTCGCCTTGCCCTAGTCCCGGCCCTGTGATCCAGCCTGGTTTTTGTTGATTTGTTTGTTTGTTTTTGTTTGTTTGTTTGTTTGGAGACAGGGTCTTACTCTGTTGCACAGGCTGGAATGCAGTGGCGTGATCATTACTCACTGCAGCCTCAACCACCTGGGCTCAAGCTATCCTCCTACCTCAGCCTCGCGAGTGGCTGGGACCACAAGTGCACGCCACCACGCCCAGCTAAATTTTTTTATTTTTGTAGAGATGGGGGTCTCGCTATGTTGCCCAGGCTGGTCTCTACTCCTGGCCTCAAACGATCCTCCCACCTCGGCCTCCCAAAGTGCTGGGATTACCGCATCTGACCTCTGCCTGCTTTTGACCCCTGCTTAGAGAACCCTGCTTAATTATTTCCCACCTCTTGCACTGCCTCCTCACAACCAGTTAGTTCCCATGGGTTAGGAGTGTTCCTCCACTGCCTACAGGGTGATCTCCCAGGGCGTTACCTGGCGTTCTGCAAACCCTAATACTCTTAACGCCCCCAGTTTGTGCACACGGGGAATCGTGAGCGCCACCTGGTGGCAGCTATTATTACACATTATTGCTTTAAGCCTCGCCCCCACCTCCCAGATGGTGAAGTGAGAAAATTGCATCTTAGAATCCATTGAACACTCATCACTAAAATTAAGTTGTAACACACTAAGTAAAATTTGGATTCGTTTATCTGGACTTTTGAAGTGCACAATCAGTAATAGTAACGGAAATATGTTCAGTGTTTTAGGCCAGTGGATCTTAACCTTTATTGCTTTAGTGCCCCTTTGAGAATCAGGCAAAAGGCTCGAATTTGCCCTCCAGAAGGAACAGAAGCATGAAGTTTTATGTCTCTACTTGGGAACCCCTAACTTCAGTGGATCCCCAAATGCCTTATTCATGAACCCCAGCTCTGAGGCTTAAAACTACTTTCCCAGTTAGTTTGTCCACTCCGAGGTATATTTCCAAAAGAAGTGAAACAGGTATTTAAGCAAACCCTGTCTAAGAATGTTTATAGGAGCACTATTCACAATAGCCACGAGATGGAAACAACCCAAATGCCCACCAACTGATGAATGGATAAACAAAAGTGTGGCAGAAAAAAGGGAATATTATTCAGCCATTAAAAGGAACGAAATACTGACACATACCACAACATGGATGAACCTCAAAGCCGTTATGCTGAGTGAAGGAAGCCAGACACAAAAGGTCACATGTTTTAGGGTTCTGTTTCTAGGAAACATCTAGAATAGGTAAATCCATAGAGACAGAAAGCAGAGTCGTGGTTGTCTAGGGACTGCTTACTGAGTATGGGGCTTGTTTTGGAGATGAAGAACATGTTTTGGAACTAGGCAGAGGTCATGGTTGCGCACCATTGTGAATATGCTGAATGCCACTGAATTGTAACACTTTGAAATGGTTAATTTTATGTTATGTGAATTTTATCTACCTAAAAAAAAAAACAATTCCCCTGAATCACCTCTGTTAAGTCTTATGACCACTGTCTAAGATAGGTGAGCCATCTTACCTGTTTTACAGATGTGGAAGGAGAAGCTCAGAGAAGTTAAGTGATTTTCCCAAAGCCACACAGCTAGTACAAGACAAAGCTAGGACTTGAACCCGCATCTCATGACTGTAAATTTCCCGCCTTCAGGGCTACTAAGAAAGACCCCCAACCAGCCAGTCACCGCAGCATGGAAACCTAGGTGTGTTCACACATTCCCGAATCTAACCCAGATCTCCCAAAGCAAAATCATTGAGAGGCGGGCCTGGAATAAGCCTTTTAACAAGCTCTCAAATGCACTTTGAATGTGAGAACCATTTAAGGCCGTGATTTCCAAACATAAACGGAGTCCTGAGCCCTTTCCACGGAGATTCTGATTCACTGGGTCTAAAGCAGGACCCAGGGACCAGTTTAACTAACCACACAGGTGAATTGTATCATCAGCCAAGTATGGGAAACACTAGCATGAGGGTTGCAATTTAATCTTACCAGGTATCAAGCAGGGGCTCATCACGTGAATGACAATGACTTATATAAGCAGTTCTTTTGTTTTTTTTTTTGAGACAGATTCTCGCTCTGTCCCCCAGGCTGGAGTGCAGTGGCTGGATCTCGGCTCACTGCAAGCTCCGCCTCCCGCATTCACGCCATTTCTCCTGCCTCGGCCTCCCGAGTAGCTGGGACTACAGGCGCCCGCCACCACACCCGGCTAATTTTTTGTATTTTTAGTAGAGACGGGTTTTCACCGTGTTAGCCAGGATGGTCTCGATCTCCTGACCTCGTGATTCGCCCACCTCTGCCTCCCAAAGTGCTGGGATTACAGGCGGAGTCACTGCGCCCGGCCGTAAGCAGTTCCTAATAAGAGAACAAGGGGTCCTTTTGAAGAGCAGCGAACAGTAAGAAATCCACAATTAGCATTCAAGACAGCTGCCTTCCCTCATTCCCCCATAATTTTGACTAAGTCCAGCCCAGTGTTTGAATTTATTTTATTTGTGTATTTTTAATAGAGACGGAGTTTTGTCATTTTGCCCAAGCTGGTCTTGAACTCCTGGGCTCAAGGGATCTGTCCACCTCAGCCTCCCAAAGTGCTGGGATTACAGGCGTGAGCCATCATACCCGACCTGAATTTATTTTTGATAGCACAGGAAACCTGCTTTGCAGAGCTTAAGTATTGGGAAGTTCCTGAGTAAAGATTGCCTGTAAACCCTCTAACTGTCACATGGACATTAATAGAAATTAATTTGACATTGTTGATGAGTTTTCTGCAGGGAAGAAAAATTAGCAGGATTTGTTTTTTAAGAAACCTTGGCCGGCGCGGTGGCTCACGCCTGTAATCCCAGCACTTTGGGAGGCCAAGGCAGGTGGATCACGAGGTCAGGAGTTCGAGACCATCCTGGCTAACACGGTGAAACCTCGTCTCTACTAAAAATACAAAAAAAATTTAGCCGGGTGTGGTGGCGGGCGCCTGTAGTCCCAGCTACTCAGGAGGCTGAGGCAGGACAATGGCGTGAACGTGGGAGGCGGAGCTTGCGGTGAGCTGAGATCGAGCCACTGCACTCCAGCCTGGGTGACAGAACGACACTCCATCTCAAAAAAAAGAAAGAAAAAAAACCCTAAATAAGAAAACCATGAAAAGGGCCACTTTGGCCTGGACAACGTGTTTGTATCTGCCACGGTAGCTTTTTAAATTCTTCTTGGATTAATTGCAAAGGTATCTCATGGAACAAGTAGAAGAAATCAGAGCTTCAAATGGAAGGAGCAGTTTTCCTCTCTCCTCCATCCCTTTCTTTCTTCTCCAGAAGCCAGTGCTAATCACCTGAATTTCCAGTGTCACACCTTTCCCTAGTCTTATACACATAGACATATTTGGAAAGAGAGAGGGATGTTTGTTTTTGTTTTACAGAAAAAAAAAAAGAAAAGAAAAAAAGGCTGGGTGTGGTGGCTTACACCTGTAATCCCAGCACTTTGAGAGGCCGAGGTGGGAAGATCACTTGAGCCCAGGAGTTCGAGACCAGCCTAGGCAAAATAGTGGGACCTCATTTCTACAAAAAATCAAAAAATTAGCGGGGCATGGTGACACACTCCTGTAGTCCCAACTACTTGGGAAGCTGAGGCAGGAGCACTGCTTGAGCCCAGGAGGTTGAGGCTGCAGTGAGCCATGATTGCACCATTGCACTCCAGCCTGGGAAACAGAGCAAGACCCTGTATCACAAAAAAAAAAAAAAAAAAAGGGAGGGAGGTTCATATCATGCTGTATTCTGTGTTTTACTTATTACAAAAGTAGTGCCATGTTATTTTTTTTATTTGCCACCCGTCATTCCACACTTTGCTTGTTCCCCAGTGCATTCAGCCCTTCCTCTGTTGATGGAGACATCAGTTCTCTTCCAGTTTTTTGTTTGTTTTGTTTTGCCAAAAAAAATCTTGCCCATGAATCCTTGGATGCTGGCACTTTTCATCCTGCAGGACAGATTCCTCAAAGCAGGATTGATGGTGTGGGCAAAGATCTATGGATATCGAGTTGTCCTGGATGTCACCAAATCGTTTCCCACAATTGGAGCAATCCACGCTCACCAACAATGTGTAATATGTCCATTTCTCCACCTCCTCGCCAGCACTGTATGTTTTCAATTTTTTTTTAATGCTGCCAAACTGAAAAGAAAATAAAACTACCATCAGAATATACACAAATGTAGCTGGGCATGGTGGTGTGCACCTGTAATCCCAGCTACTTGGAGGCTGAAGTAGGAGAATCGCTTGAAACCGGGAGGCCGAGGTTGCAGTGGGCTGAGATTGCACCACTGCACTCCAGTCTAGGTGACAGAGCAAGACTCTGTCTTAAAAAATAATAATAATATACACAAATGACAAAAAAAGGAAAAAAAAAACACGAAAAGATAAAAAGAGGCTCCATTTTGCAGGTGATCCCTGAAACCTCTCTTTTCTATGGGCTAGTATCTCTAGAAGCCCCACAAGGTCAATCAGCTCACTGCCTTCTCCCACAACTGTGATGGAATTGCTAGCAAGAAAGGCTCTCAGGAGACCCCTGCACCTTTCTTCCCTCTCCATTTCCACTCCTGAGATCCGTCCCACCACCAACTCTGTAAGGAAATGAGAAATCACTTCCTCCTCAGAAAAAAACTGGGATGCATGACATTGTGGTATGCAGGAGGGGAAGCAACTCAGTGCCAATGTGAGGCCACCTGACTGGGACTTGGGGACCCCGGGCTCCAGTCCAGTTCTGCTGTGGACCACCTGTGTGACCTTGAGTGAGCCCCCCTCCCTCTCTGACCTTGGTTTCCCTTTTTGTGAAATAACTGGGGGAGTCCAGATCAGAGTTTCTGAAGAGGAGCCAGTGAGCCCACTGGATGCATCAGAACTGCTGAGGCATTGGTGAGACCTGCAGAGGTCCACCGCTGAGAATACCGCTCTGACAAGTCCCAGGAATGGCCCAGGAATCTGCATTTAACATGCCCTGTGGGGTTCATGAGCACAGGGCTCCAAGGAACACATGATTCAATGCCTCCTCCCAGTTCTAAGATTCCATGGACATTCACGCACTCTCACTCAACCACGGTGCAACTCACATCTTGGGGCAGGACCATCTGCTTCAATCTTTCCATTTTCTTGATGCCAAAGCTGCAGAGAAGTGTGCACTTAGTTAGCCAGCTAGCTTTTCAGCTGGTTTTGTCATCATGGTGTGATGATGGCGTAAACCAGAGAGTGACTTTAACCAAGGCATGGATTAGGGTGTCTTGGGATTGGGGACATCAGTATAGCTAAGCCTTTGGTGGCCACTCCCTCCTATCCCCTAATGCTGCAATTTTTTCATCAAAGTCCTTCATGCTGGGGTTTTGCATTCCTGTAATAAACATCCATCCTTGTTGGTATATTTTTGTGCTTAGCTACCATGATGACTGATGACAAAGATGGGGTGCCAGTCCCCATGATGTTGAACCTCCGGAGAAGTTTTACAAAAAACATAAATGATTAAAAATAGTTTCACATGGGATACAAAGCCTCATCAATATAAAAGGAATAAAAATGAAATTAGAGAGGTTTACATAGATAGTCTTCAAAACAGGAAAACAGTTCCACCTCTGGCTGGATTTTGTATGAAGGTCTGGGGCCTCGCAATTCATTCGTGCTTTGCCCCACATGAAAATGATGAAAAGACCCTAACCACATAATTGAGAGCAGAAACCAGAGAGCTTGAGCAGCCCAGACTGAAATCCTGCCTCCATCACTGAGAAGCTGTGTGATGTCAGAGAAGTCACTTCACTTCTCTGAACCTCTGTTTGCTCATCTGTAAAATGGGGATGATAATAGCATTGACCTAACAAGATTGTTATGAGGATTAACTGAGCAAATGTATGTAGAGTTCTTGGCACAATTTTGGACACGCGGTGAGTGTTCAGTAATTATTCACTATCACTGTTGTTGATCTTGGGTCTTATCTATCTCATCTTCTCTTGGTAACTTAGGAAGTGAATAGTCCAGGCACGTTCACTGATTATAGTGGCCCAAGATAAGTAAAAACATACCACTAACTTCACCAAAGCATGGCATGGGCTTTTGCATCAAATTTTTTGGCCTCATTTCATGCAAACGAAGTGAATTCACTTTACATTGACCAATGCTTCCTGATTTCTCTTTCAGTTAATCAAGACAGTTTTGAACATGCTTTAGAAGGTGAGTTCCAGAACGAAAAAAAAAAAAGTTCAATAAATCAAACTAATAGCACAAAACAAGGGCAGGTCTTTGAATATCTTTATTTAGACACTTAAAAAATAAATAAATTCTACCTTCAGACTGCCAAAGATAATCTTAAAATAATATTGTAGGGGAAAAAAAATTATGGGATTTGCAAGTCAGGACCCTAACAATAACCTGAAAGGGATTTGACAGCTGTTCTGTACATGGTAACAGCAATGAGATAAGGAAAGCTCAGAGCCCATAAGCCTGAGAAAGGCATAACCCTATTGTAAAACTTTTCATGATGCCATTCTAGAAGGGGAACTAAATCTAGTGACATGTCACCTTCCATGCTGAGAGTCCTCCTGGTTTCCAGAGGGAAGAGTTTGCCCTGGAAGCATTCAATGGTCCATTTTTCCCTGAGTCTTTTTTCCCCTCAGCATACCCACCCCTTCTCCCATCTCTCCTTACTTCAGCTCTCCTTTTATTAGAAATTCCCAAATGAGACTTATTAATGAGGAGCAGATGTTAAAATCTATCCAGGATTTTATTTCAGTTTTGTTTTCATTTTGTGGTTCCTTCCCTTTCCAACCCCTCCCGTGTGTAAAATGTCCAGCGTTCTATGTCACCGCTATTGAATTTGGTACAAAACCACTCACCGGGACTGTGATGTAAAATATATACTGTAATATATTACTGCATGTATATATATGTAAATACAAATGCAGTATATTATAGCATATATATTTAAAAATATATACTGTAATATATTGTTTCTTTTTTTTTTTTAATGTTTTTACCAAATCAAGCAGTTTTTATTATTCCTGGAGCCATCTTTAGCTTTCTGACAATAATGAGTTCACTTAGAATCTGGGGCTATGTAAATTACATTTCACTAGTGGCTGTTCCTTGTAACAGACAACACTTGAATCCAAGCAGGTGGAACTAGGGCTCATATATAAATGAAGGAGCATGAATTATACACTCCACTTGGAAAACAGAGGGCACTTCGTGTTAGTCTCCATTCAGAGTATCCTTTTTCTGCCTTTTGCCAACCAGTGAACCATGAGAACGTCTCAAAGGGCTGGGGTTGCTCGGAGCTTATGAGAGCCATTGTAACGTTTTGTGCTCATGCATTTATTCTGGGTATTAGGATTGATTTTTCAGACCCCATAAAGTGGTGGTTAATGGGTTATAGATTGGTGTACAGCCAAGCTCTATTAGATGTGACCGTGGAGAATGGCAGAGGAAACCTGGAGGCCAAGTTTCTAGAAGGAATGTAGGATCCCCCTTTAAGCTATGCTGGGAAAGCAGCCCTCTGCCCCAGGCGCCTGCAGCAGCTGTTATAGTTCTTGCAATTGCCACAGTGGGAGGTTGAGAGAGCAGCCGGGAAATGTGCAGGAGTAGCCTCTGGGAATCAAAACGGGCCTTCATATTTGGGGTGTCATTGGGGTGTGCAGGACAGAGAGCTGTCAGTCCCCAATGCTCAGAGCCCACTCGTGGACTGGAGAGTAGAACTCAAAAGGTCTAGGACGGGCCCGTCAGTCTGCATGCAACAAGCTCACCAGTCCACAGGTGAGCACCAGGTCTGAGAATCCCTTAGAAACCTTGCGGCTGACCACCAGCACCGTTCAACTCAACGACATACACAAACCCAGATTCGCCCACCACTCCTGCATCTGGGGTCCAGACCCATTCCTGTTTCTCTTCTCCACTCCATGGAATGTCCAGCAAATCTGCTTTCCCAGTTACTGAATTTGGGATTTTCTCCAAGTCTTCCTGTGAATTGGACTTTAATCAGATTTTAACTGTAGCTCCCAAAAAATGGGAATGGTACGATCAGGTTTCAAACAGTGTAATTCTCTATAGCTCCTATGGCCAACCCACCAAAGGATGAGTCTGGGACCCCTTGCAAAGGACCACCACCATTTCCTCTAGTCTTTGGAGATGGCTCTGCAAGGTCTAAGGCCCTCCCAGAGCCTTAGACCTTGGAAAGCCGTCTCCAAAGGGGTGGAGAACTGGGCAGTTGGGCACTCACTGGGAGTCAGCTACCTGGGAAATGAGGACCTCACTGGCTCCTGTGTTCAGTAGCAGAAGCGGCAGCAGAGACGTCGCTGGAAGGGGGGAACATGGCCCTGGCTATCTTCATCCCGGTCCTCATCATCTCCTTACTGCTGGGAGGAGCCTACATTTACATCACAAGGTAGGGAGCTGATGGGGGAGATGACTGCCAAGCACCCAGCCACCAGTACTCAGAGGGACTGGGCGGTTCACCTCTCTGAGCCTCAGGGTCTCCACCTGGAGCTCGGGCATAGTGGCATTTGTGTTATTGCAGAGATGCCCAGATTCAGCCCAACTCTGTGGGATAAATATTTACATTGGGCAATTATGAAGCCTCCAAGCAAGTAAGACAAATACTATTCCTGCCCTCAAGGAGGTTATGGTTTAGTGGGGCACACAGACATAACATATTGCCAGGCATGTTGATTTGTTCCTTCCATCACTCACTCATTCACTCATTTATTCAACAAATATGTACTGACAATCTGTTGTATATCAGACATTGTCCCAGGTGTTGAGGGTCTAGAAACTTGCATTTGATGCAGAAGGAAGATATTAAACCATGCACCAGAATAGCCACTCATTCATTCACATTCACAGTTGTTGAGCACTTACTAGGTGCCAGGCAGTTTTCTCGGTTCCAGAAACATCATTTGTGGAAAAAAAAAAATAGAAGGAAATATTTGCCCTCCTGGGGTTCAGGTTCTAACAAGGAAAGATAGACAATAAGCAAAGTATGTAAGAAAATATGTAGTGTTAGAAACTGATAAGTGCAGGAAGAGAAGGCTGGGAGGGGGCAAGAATTCTGGAAGAGAAGTGGTGGTTGACTTTTAAATAGTGTAGCTAGAGGAGGCCCCACTGAGAAATGACATTTGAGCAAGGACTTGAAAGTGATCATGAGAAACCTATGCAGTCCAGGCGTGGTGGCTCACACCTGTAATCCCAAGACTTTGGGAGGCCAACGCAGGTGAATCACTTGAGGTCAGGAGTTCGAGACTAGCCTGGCCAACGTGGTGGAACCCCGTCTCTACTAAAAAAATAAAAAATAAAATTAGCCTGGGCATGGTGGTGGGTGCCTGTAATCCCAGCTACTTGGGAAGCTGAGGCAGGAGAATCACTTGAACCTGGGAGGAGGAGGTTGCAGTGAGCCAAGATCATGACACTGCACTCCAGCCTGGGCAACAAAGCAAGACTCCATTTCAAAAACAAAAGAAACCTATGCAAATATGTGAAAAAGGAGGGTTTCATGCAGGGAAACAGCATGTGCAAAGGTCCTGAGGCAGGAACGTGACTAAAATAGATCATCCCTGCCCTTATGGAGCCCACAGTCTACTGGGGGCAGGGTAGAGTAAATACACAAATAAATTATAACACACTAAGATAAACACAATGAAGGAAATAGGTAGGTGTGGTGAGTAACAGAGAAATCACCTTTAAATAGATGGTCAGGGGCCAGGCATGGTGGTTCATCCCTATAATCCCAGCACTTTGGGAGGCCAAGGCTGGAGGATCGCGTGAGCCCAGGAGTTTGAGACCAGCTTGGGCAATGGGCAATATAGTGAGAGCTCGCCTCTTAAAAAATAAAAAAAATAAAACACTTAAAAAGTTAGCCAAGTGTGGTGGTGCACGCAGGTAGGAGAATCACTTGAGCCCAGGAGGCAGAGGTTGCAGTGAGCTGAGATGGCACCACTGCACTACAACCCGGGTGACAGAGCAAGACCCTGTCTCTAAATAAATAAATAGGTGGTCAAGGAAGGCTGATCTAAGGCAATATGGCATACAGTAGGTGCTCAATAAATGCTCATCCTTGTTCTTGTTTCCCTTTGCATTCAAGAGGGACTTGAATGACCTTCCAGGAGAAAACAAATTAAGCTCCGCCCCCTCCCTAGTAAGGAGAGATCACAAGGCTTTGGTTCTCGCTGCCTGGGTTGCAAGTTGAGAGCAATTATGATTTCTGCTTTCACCTCACTAGGATTCTCGCCTGCAAAAGGCTGTTTGCACACATCCTCGTCGTCATTCACAGAGGTGCCGCTGCTCAGGAAGTGGCACCAACTGTTCCCGTTCAATATTGTAATGTTTCTCCTAGCTGGGGAGAAGTAACTTCTCTCTCCTTTCTTTCCCCCAGATGTCGCTACTATTCCAACCTCCGCCTGCCTCTGATGTACTCCCACCCCTACAGCCAGATCACCGTGGAAACCGAGTTTGACAACCCCATTTACGAGACAGGGGTGAGTTGGTCTCTCTCGTCTCTTCCCAATTCCCTCCCTCTTTGCTCTGAATTCACCAACAATAAGACAAAACATTTCATTTCCTATTGCTCACAAGAGGCACAGCCAGTGGTCCTGTCTTATCCCCACCAAGAGCCCTAAAGAGATAAATGCTGGGAGAACCCAGCTCTCTTTGCAGGTGATTGGTGCTGAGGACGAGCCTAGGAGGCTGATTACTGTCAGCAGAACACCCACAGAAAAAAGAGGCTGCACCCAAGACCCACAGAGAGCAGACCAACGGTGGCCTGGTGGCAACGTGCTGCATTCCCACACATCCCACTGGGCTCCACCCTTTATTCAATGGCAGTGTGAAACATCCCTACACATTTGAGTATCAGGTCCTATTTTAGGTGCTAGGAACATAGTCATGAACCCCAATAGACACAGATTCCACCATTAATGAGCCTACCGTCTTGTGAATTATTATTATCAATAATAATACATGCCATCTGCTGGGCACTTTAAATGCATAATCTCCTTGAATCCTTGCAGCTCTCTGCAATAGGTTCCACAGTTATCTCTAATTGATTGATGAGGACATTGAGGTCCAGAGAGAGGAAAGAATAATTTGGCCAAAGTGGCACACAGCCAGGATGCACAGCCTGAAGCCAGGATGCAAATTCAACCTGACACTCTTAATCATGATGCTATCTTGCTTCCCTCGAACCTCTGACAATCCAATGTGCCCATGAATATTTTGATTACAACAAATAATACTTTTTAAGGACTATGAAAAAATTGAACAGGGCACTAGGAGAATGTATAATGGGGACACTTAGAGGGAGTTGGGGAAGGCATCATTGAGAAAGTGAGAGTAAAGCTGAGACATGGGAAGTGGGTAGAGCTTGGACAATGGGCTGAAGAAGATGCCAGACAGAAGGGAGAGCATGTGCAAAGGTCCAGGGCACATGCGAGGAAGCAAAAGGCTGGTTATGAGTTTGCAAAACCACCATCCTTCAAGTTCACTGTGTAATGATGTGCAGCCATCTCCCAACGTTTGGGGGGAATAAACCTGACTTGTTTCTTATCCTGCTAACCTTCCTTCACCTCCACTTCTCTGATCTCCTGTGTTAGTTATCCACTGATGTGTAACAATATTACTGCAAACTTAGGGGCCTAAATTAACAACATACATTTATTATCTCATAGTTTCTATAAGTCAGGAAGCCAGGCACAGCTTAGCCTGACCCCCTGCTTTATGGCTCACAGGCTACAAACAAGGCAGCAACTGGGCTGCAGTCTCATCTGAGGCTCAACCAGGGAAGGATCCACTTCCAAACTCACATGGTTGTTGACAGCATTCAGTTCCTTGCAGGTTGTTAGAATGAGGGCCTCAATTTCTTGCGGGCTGTCTTCTAGGGGCCACCCGCAGTTTCTTCCATGTGGGCCTCTCTATAGAGCAGCTCATGACATGGCAGCTGGCTTCTTCAGAGCCAGCAACAGAGAGAGAGTCATCTTGCAAGACAGAAGTCACAATCCTGTGTCATGCAAACATGGAAGTGACATCCTAGCACCTGTGTATTCTCCTAGTTAGAATCAAGTCACAGGCTTTACCCACCCTTAAAAGGAGGGGACCCCACAAAGGCATGAGCCCCAGAAGGTGGGGATCATGGGGACCACCTTGGGGCCTGCCCACCAAAATCCCATGTACCATGAAGCATAGATGTGATTGCATATCTGTGTTGGCTGAATGGGAGCTGGAGACTTTCATTAAAGCATGTGACAGTGTCAACTTCCAGGGCTGAGCCTTCTTCTATCTCCTTGCTCCTTGTCCCTGGAGCTTGGAATACATTACTCACACTCCATAAATATTGAAGAAATCAAACTACCCCCCATGTTGTAGTCGTTTCACATGGCAATGGTAGATCAGGGCATATGTTATTTTGCATTCTATGTAGCTTGCTTTGAAATCATGGGAAAAGGTCAGACTGAAATAAAGGAGAATTTTAGAGACTAGACATGAATGAATACTTATTAGTAGAGTGTATCAGTGACCTAGAACTATAGTAATGCTGAGTAACAAAGATCTCTGAACTCAATGGCTTAATGCAACAAGCATTCATTTGCTCATCAGTCTGTGGGACAGCGTTTTAGGCTTATTTCAGCTGGATGGTAATCCTGGCATTGGCTGGTTGATGGATGGGTGACTCAGCTCTGCTCTGTGTGTCCTTCATTTTCCTGAAGAGACTAAAGCCTACCAGGGCATGCCCTGTTCTTGGTGATGACAGATAGACAGGATGTGAGCAGAAACACACAAGCATGTTTCAAGCAGCTGTTGTACGCCATTTCCTTATAACCCATTGGCAAAAGCAAATCAGGGTCAGAGTGGGAGGGCACTGAAAAGTCACGACCAAGGGCATGGACATACAGAGGTGCAAAGAACTGCATCCCCCTATGTATATCACTCTACCACACAAGCGTTTGACAAATCCGTGCTTCTCTCTCTTGCAGGAAACCAGAGAGTATGAGGTTTCTATCTAAAGAGAGCTACACTTGAGAAGGGGACTTGTGAACTCAACCACAATCTCCTCGAGACATTCATCCAGAGACCATGTGGCACTTGATTGAAACCCCAGAATGTCGACTGTCTTTTGTTTAGACTCTTTATCAAAGGTTTACTGTTTTCTTCCCTGTATTTATTATATTTAAAAGTGAAATAGGTGTGGGTTTGGATGTTTCGCGGCCTCAGCCAAATTCATGTTACAGCCTCAATTCTGAAGGCAGGTGGAAGACTTGCAAAATGGCAAACCGCGGCAGCAAAAACACAAAACAGCAGATGGAGTTTCTCCCATCAGCAATGCCATGCTAAGGCTGCATTGAATTGCATGCATCTTTGGGAACCATGCCCATGATGTTTTCAGTACAAATCTAAGTCCCAAGATTAGGTTGGAAAGGGTATTTCTTGTTGGCTTAGTTTGGGTTGGAATTTAGCATGGGTACTTAAACCCATTTGGAGAGCTGTGCTCCTAAACAAATTCTGTGTCCTCTCTTCCCATTTTGCCAGCTTCTGAAAGGTTTTTCCACAGCCCCTCCCTCTCACGGTTCTTCTGAAGGTAGCAAAGGTGTTATATAAACATTGTCTTTTACCACTCTGGCCTCGCTGGACAGTGACAAAACAAGAAAACGTTTTCTTTCTAGAAAGGTGATAAACGACCAAAGGCAATTTTTCAGAGACAAATGAGAGATTTGAGAGTTCCAATGAAGAATTGGGTGAGGGGGATCATTGGGTAAGGGAATTGGGTTAAAATGTTCTTTTCTTTGACACTCTTTCAATGATGAAAGAGCGTGTAATTTATGCTACAAGTGCCAGAATCGATCACCATGTTCAGCAAGCCACTCTCAAGCTGTGGTAATAAACACACAGGCTTGGGAGGCACCAGCGGCCCCACTCATACAGTGACAAGGATTTGTGATGGGAAAAAGGAGGTGCCATGTTTGGAAATGCAGGGGTGAGCTCTGGTTTCTCCTGGGGTTCTGGAATATCTCAGCCCTCAAAATAGAGGAGACTCAAGTGCACTGATTCTCTAAAAGGTGTCATCTTCAGAATATACTTGCCATCAAGTATTTCAGGGGGCGGGAGGGTCCCATGAGAAGAAACTATTTTTCTATTCTCCAAAGCTGTCTGGATGTTGGAGGGTGGTGTGAATGCTGACTGAGGAGGTGCAGAGAACAGGGGCAGGGGATTTTAAATCACAGCAGACCATCCAGTGGAATCCTGTATCATCTGATCTGAACATCAATGAAGACAGAGAGAGGAATTTCATTCAGAAAGGATTCCATAGCCCCACATCTAGTCACACGGGCATTCCTCTTATTTTATCAGGGTCTGTTTTCCCCCAACCCAGTGAAACCGGTGAGTGTGTAACTCTTGGGAAGATTCTTTTCTAAATACAGGTATAAAGAGAAGGTGGAGGGTGCGGGTGCATGGAAGAAATACTATGTGTGAAGCAGATTCACCTTCCTGGGACCGGTGACATGGTGGTGACAGTCAATGGCTTGGACAGACAGACGGGCACAGTGGCATTTGGAACCCTCTTTGGTGCCCTCCCATTCTCTCTGGAATTGTTTCAAGTCTGCTGGTTTTCAAACAAGAAAAGACCTTTCTGGCCATAGGGAGAATAGCAGGGAGTCTATGTTTTGGTGGTTACATTGGAAACATCTTAAGCAAGATAGGGAAAGTTGATTTTAGGCACACATGTACCCTCCTTGACAGCAGGAACTCAGACTTCAATCTTGGGGGTCTAAGACCAGAATATTTTCCTTCTGCCAGAAAAGAATCTTGCACATATACTCCTGAAGGCATGAGTGTGTGGTCCATGGCAAGAAATAGCTAAAGGCTGCTTTCCAGGACCCAAAGCCCCATTTAATGCAAGAACCAGAGAAGTGTTCTAGGCCATTAGTGGACAATGTCATGTTTGGAGAAAGATAACAACACAAATAATGTAACCTTTCCTTAAAAGGCAGAACTCAATCCATTTTATTTGATGCTTATTCTAACCCTAACCCTGGGTCACCTGGAATGAAGAACTCTATGAATAATATTTGATTTTACAACGTGTTATGGTTATGTGAAAACTAAACATTTGCCTTTTATAAAGACTGACAAAATATAAATCTTTATTCTAACCCTATCCCCAAAACTAGCCAGGCCACACCCCAGATGTTCTTATTGACTATTGGAAAGATAGAAAAGGCGTTGTGTTTTTTGTTTTTTTGTTGTTGTTGTCATTGTTGTTTTTTTCAGAAGACCAGTGTCTCAGTTCTGTCTTAGTAGTACCACACCCGTAACCGTGTTTTAAAAGTTTGTTTTAGCCTAGAGACAGATCATACGAGTTCAACAATGTACAGTGTGATTGAAAAGACAGGTTGGTGTCTATTTTTCTTTTTAAAATATCTGAATGTGTATTTGTAATACGTAAAGGTAAAAAAAAATAGTGCCAAAAATGTGCAAGGCATCTCATTACAGCTCATGTACGTCTGTTTTTATAAGATCAATATTAAAACCCATTGGGATTAAATATTTTTGAATAGGATACACTCTTGAGAAACTCGAGAATGGACTGAGCCTTCCTACAAGCCACTCTTTGTTTTTAAAACAGTGGGGAAATACGTTTACAGAGATTGTGAGCTTCAGAGAATGCATGTGATGGTGTGTATTACATGCTAATTCATATAAGCTGTATCTGTCAGCTACCACCCTGTGCTTTAAAAATGCACACACTCAACCCTCTTTAGCTTGGAGCTCAGCTTTTTGCTTTTTTTTTTTTTTTTTTGTAGAATTATTTAGCTAACATAAGTATTCTGATTGCTACCTGATGGCCATTCTTACTTAGTTTCATAGATGTGCTTTAACTATGATCCTTTGAAGCTCACCCCTTGGAGAGCCTACAGAACCTCAGGCTGATAGCTTTGAAGACTGCCAAACAGCCCAGAAGGAAGCAAAGCATCTGCATAATCAGGAGGGTTGTATAACAAGTAGTGATTTGGCAAATATGTGGGTAGCTTTAGGCTGAGGCACGGGCCTCAGGCAAAAATGCCCTTCGAGTGAATCCGAAGGGCATGATCTTCCTATGTCCTTGACTAGGCATGACGAGTCATTTGAGGTCAGATATTATTTGAGTTGTTCAGCACCCCCAAAGGTAGGCATTCTCCTGGGAAATTTTCATTTCCATTTTATCGCCAAACAAAATAAAAAGCAAAACAAACTTTCTAAGCTAGAATAATGAAATTAAGTCATTTTCCACTTTGTATATATTGATGCTAATAAAACAGATGAAAAAGACTCAAGTGTGTAGAATTTTTGTTACAGACACTTCAGGATGGCACCAAGTGGAATGTTTCCAGTTTCTGGGGATTGGGTTGGGGTAACACCTACAGATACTTTGAATGCTAAGACAGGACATCCCACTCTGGAATGGTTCTGGGACCTTCAAGGGATGTTTGGGACAAGATGGGTTTGACGGCACTGCCATCTTCCAATGTTCCACCATCCTCCCTCTCTTAGCTCAGCCTGTCATAAGAAAATACCACAGACTAGATGAATTAAACAACAGAAACCTGTTTCTCAAAGTTCTAGAGGCTGAGAAGTCCAAGATCAGGGTACCAGCCAATTCAGTTCCTGGTGAGAGCTCTCTTCCTGGCTTATAGATGACCTTTTTGCTGTGTCTTCACACAGTGGAGGGAAGGGAAAAGGCAGGAAGGAGGGGAGGAGAGGAAGAGAAAGAGGGAGAGGCAGCTGTTCCTCTTCTTAAAAGGCCACAGTCTTATCAAATGAGGTCCAACCCTTATGACCTTATTTAGCCTTAATTACCTGCTAATGGCCTTATCTCCAACTACGGTCACATTGGGGGTTAGAGCTTTAACACATGAATTTTGGAGGGACGCAGCTGTCTATAGCATTGCACACCCGGCACCCCCAAAATGTATGTCCTTCTTGCACGCAAAATACATCCACTCCAACAGCCTCCAAAGTCTTAACTCATAACACCATCGACTCATCTAAAGTCTCATCTAAATATCATTTAAATCAGGTATGAGTGAGACTCAAGGTATGATTTATCCTGCGGCAAACTGCTCTCTATCTGTAAATCTATGACCCCATACAAGTTATGTGCTTCCAAAACACAATGGTGGGACAGGCATAGTATAGACATTGCTGTGCCAAAAGGGAGAAATAAGGAAAGAGGAAAGGAGTGTCGGGTTTCAAGCAAGTGCAAAACCTAGCAAGGCAAATTCCATTAGATCTCAAGGCTTGAGAATAAGCTTCTTTGGTTTGATGCTCTGCCCTAAAGGCCCACTAAGGTGGCAGCATCACCTCCACGGCTCTTTCAAGCTGCCCTGTTCACACAGCTTTCTTCAGAGAGCAGCCCACTCCTGAGGCACTGGATGGGATTGTCCTGGCTGAAACCAGAGACACAGCCCTGCCCTTGGAAACAGAGGAGAAAACACCTTGATTCTGGGACCTATGGTAGCAGTGGCACCTCTGATGATTCCTTAATCACCTTCTGGTTCATTCTTAGCACACATTCGCAGCTGATGGCTCTACTGTTTGGTTCTGTAGACTCCAAGAAGGTTGAGAATTATCCTTCATTCTGTCCTGCTTTCTCTACCCCCTTTAGTTCAAACTGGCAGTGTCTTCACTGGTATAATTCCATTCCTGGATTCTGCCAAGATAGCTGCTGAAGTCCATGAGTTGTACTCATGATCTCTATTACTTAAATTTTTATTTTTTTTTTATAGGGACAGGGTCTCACTATGTTGCCCAGGCTGGTCTCGAACTCCTGGGCTTAAGTGATCCCCTCACCTCAGCCTCCCAAAGTGCTGGGATTACAGGCATGAGCTGCCATTCCTGGCCTGGTGATCTCTTCACCAGTGATTGTTCAGACACATCCTCAGTGTTCTCTTCAGAACAAGCGTTCTATTTTTTTTTTTTTTTTTGCAATATGGATAGGCTGAAATTTTGCCACATCCTCAAGTTCTGCTTCCTTTTTGCTTAATTGTTTCTTTCTGACAATCAAGATGAGTGATGGAGGCAGGTGTCTCAATCAATCAAGCTTTATGGAGCCAGCTGAAGGGTGCACCCAGGAGAAATGTGAGCCACAGACACTTCTGTGGCTGTATTTTCCAGAGAGGTTCTTAAGAGGTTTAGTAGTTCTACATTTTCCTTAAAAGGAAGGAGGGGACAATGAAGTAAATGATTACATAGTTGTGAGAGACTTTAGTTAGTGCCCAACAAATTTATGTTTTACATAAGATACGATGAACGTTTGAAGAAAAAAGGAATAGAGGAAGCAGACATCTCAGGGAGGGGCGAAGAAATGATTAATCTCAATTTGTCTTTGTTCTGTACCTGGGGAAATAAGCTAGTTATCTACATTCTCAGCGTGGAGTCTTTTGAAAGGGCTGGTTTCTGTTTAGCCCTTAGAGAAGAAAGACTGATGGCAATTATTGAGGGCAAGGGGATAATGAGGTGTGTCTGACCTCCATCCCATCATGGCCAGACACTCAGCTTCAGTTTCTCTGGGGTCTTCTTGGCCAAGAGGAAATTCATTCTGTCAGTTGGGAGCTGAGAATTCTATTGTTATTTCTTACTTTTTTTTTTTTTTGAGACAGAGTCTTGATCTGTCACCCAGGCTGGAGTGCAGTGGCACAATCTAGGCTCACTGCAACCTCTGCCTCCCAGGTTCAAGCAATTCTCCTGCCTCAGCCTCCCAAGTAGCTGGGATTACAGGTGCATGCCACCACGCCCAGCTAATATTTGTATTTTAGTAGAGACAGGGTTTCAACATGTTGGCCAGGCTGGTCTCAAATTCCTGACCTCAGGTGATCCACCTGCCTCAGCCTCCAAAAGTGCTGGGATTATAGGCGTGACTTCTCACTTATTTAATTAATCTCTCTGCTTTCACATTTTACTATAAGCAGTCAGGAGGAACCAAGCCACTCCTTCAACACTTTGCTTTGGAATTTCCTCAGCTAAATATAGTAGTTCCCTCTTACCTGATGTAAGTGGATGCCTGAAACCACAGATAGTACTGAACTCTATATATACTATGTTTTCTCATATACATACATATCTATAATAAAGTCTAACTTATAAATTAGGTACATAAAGAGATGAAGAACAATATTAAAATAGAAAAATTGTAACAATATACCAGCATCACTACTCTTGAACTTTGGGGCTATTATTAAGTAAAGTAAAGGTTACTTGAACACAAACCCTGAAACACCACAATAGTCCATCTGACAACCAAGATGGCTACTAAGTGATGGGCAGGCAGGTAGCATAGACAACATGGATATGCTAAACAAAGGGGTGATTCATGTCCCAGGCAGGACAAAATGAGATAGTGCAAGATTTTATCATGCTACTCAGAAGAATGGGGCACAATGTAAAACTTACAAATTGTTTACTTCTGGAATTTTCTTTCTTTTTTTTTTTTTTTGAGACAGAGTTTTTGCTCTGTTGCCCAGGCTGGAGTGCAATGGTGTGATCTCAGCTCACTGCAACCTCTGCCTCCAGAGTTCAGGCGATTCTCCTGCCTTAGCCTCCCGAGTAGCTGGGATTACAGGTGCCTGCCACCATGCTCAGCTCATTTTTGTATGTTTAGTAGAGACGAGGCTTCAACTTGTTGGCCAGGTTGGTCTCAAACTCTTGACCTCAGGTGACCCACTGGCCTCAGCCTCCTAAAGTGCTAGGATTACGGGCGTGAGCCACTGAGGCCAGTCTATTTCTGGAATTTTTCATTTAAGATTTTCAGATGGCAGTTGACCTTGGGTAACTGAAATGCAGAAAGCAAAACCATGGATAAGGGGGGACTACCGTCTCCAGTTTCATTGTTCACAAATTGTACCTTCCATAAAACACTAGGACGAAGTTCAGCTAAGTTCTTTTTCACTTACAACTAAGACTGCCTTAATTCCAGTTTCAAATAACATGTTTCTAGTTTCTGTCTGAGATCTCAGCAGACCAGAATGACCTTTTTTTTTTTTTTTTGAGACAGGGTCTCACTCTGTCACCCAGGCTAGAGTGCAATGAAGTGATCACAGCTCACTGCAGCCTGGACCTCCTGGGCTCAATTGATCCTCCTACCTCAGCCTCCCAAATAGCTGGACCACAGGCATGTACCACCACACCCAGCTAAGTTTAGTATTTTTTGTAGAAATGGGGTTTCGTCACATTGTCCAGGCTGGTCTCGAACCCCTGGGCTCAAGTAATCCACTTGCCTCAGCCTCCCAAAGTGCAGAATGACCTTAAATGTTCATATCTCTACCAACATTCTGTTCATGGCAACGTAGGTTAGCATGCATCTCAAAACCCTTCCAGCCTCTACTCATTACGCAGTTCCAAAGCTACTTCCACAGGAAACAAAACTAATAAAGTGAGTGTGTGTGTGTGTGTGTGTGTGTGTGGTGTGTGTGTGTGTGTGTGTGTGGAGAGAGAGAGAGAGAGTATAAGGAATTGGGTCATGCTATTATGAAGAGTGAGAAGTCCCAAGATCTGGAGCCAGGAAGCTGGAAACCCAGGAAGCTGATATGTAGTTCCAGTCCAAGTCCTAAGGCCTGAGACCTAGAAGAACCAACGATGTAAGTTCTGGTCTGGAAGCCAGCAGGCATAAGACACAAGAAGAGCAGATACTTCCATTCAAATCCAAAGGTCATGAAAGAACAATGTCCTGGCTCAAAGCAGTCAGGCAGGAGGGGTTCCCTCTTACTGATGGGAGGGTCAGCCTTTGGGTTATATTCAGACCTTCAACTGATGGGATGAGGGTTCTACATTAGGAAGGGCAATCTGCTTTACTTAGTCTACCAATTCAAATGTTAATCTTATCCCAACACACCCTCATGAGGACACTCAGAATAATGTCTGACCAAATAGCTGGACATCCCATGGCTGAGTCAAATTGACAAAAATTAACTGACACACTCCCAAAGCCCTATAAATGCAAGGTGACCACTCTAATGAGCTATGGTGTCCATGCTAAAGTTTTGCAATGACGTTGCTATTTCTCAGAGAGAAACAGAAGAATGTTTTCACAACTCTTAAGATATAGGCATATTTGACTTACCACCATATCTTAGGTTGGGCTCCCCCAGAAGCAAACCTTCAGATAAAAATTCAAGAGCAAATAATGTATTTGCTAGGCAATTCCACAGAGTACCAGTAGAGGAGTGGTGAAGTGAGACTAGAAAGGAAAATAAGCCAATAAAAAGTGCATTGGTCAAGCAAGTTACTCCTGGGGACAACTGGGAATCCATCACGCTGGATAATTCTGTGAGATGGTGAAGAAAAAGCCTCAGGGTTGTTCTCTCTGAGCAGTGAGGGAGCTGGGGTATTTATCCACCAGTTCCCAACTGTCACTGATTGAGTTGTTTCTGGGAGGCATTAACTCCTAGGCACCTCTGGGATTCCCTGTGCTCAGAGAAAGAGAGTTATCTATGCCTGCAGGTAGAAAGCATCAAGTACAGTTCATGGGAAAGCAACTACCAAAGGAATATGGGCAAAGTACGTACAGCATCTTTTACACCTACTTATTGCCCAAGTCAATTGTTAATCAATTCATCAACAAATATTTTTAGCACCTAAAAATGCAGCTTATTGTGATGCCAACACCTTGGTAAGTTGGTCAAATGTGGGAAAGTCTAAAAATATAAGTAAATGTGGGATCAAAACTTAAAAGACTAAAGATGTCATTCAACCTGAGAAAGCTGACTGACCAAAAAAATAAAAAAAAGAAAGCCTAAGATTTCAAAGCAATTTCATTGAAAATTAACCCTTCCCCTTCTGACGATAATAGTGTCTTTCAATTAACATACAGATTTAAACAGTGTTTTCAGAAGAAAGCACGCTAGCTCATTTCTTTGTTTTTTTTTAATTCTTTTTTCTTTTGCCCATTTCTTTAAAAAAAAAAAAAAGTCCCTAACGTTTAGAAATTTTTCAATTGACATTTCTGAAACCAATGTTTCCATGTCAGTAATAATATTTGAGATGCAAAAAAAATATTACCACATCAGCAATTTGTGTTTTTAAGAGCTTGGATCTTTCCTCAAAAAAGAAAAAAATCTGAGTAACAAATTTCTGGTTAGTTTTGCTTTCACGATTCATTGTATCACCTCTAATACTAATGGGACCAAAACTATTAGCTAGGAGGGAATTGTAAGAGGATGAAAATGGGGCTATTAGAGACTAGGAAAGGATGGATGAAAGAACTCAACAAAAGGGAGTGGCAGTCTTCAGTCTTGATGAGGTTACATTTTGTCTTTGTCCTCTAAATGCTTACCCTTAAAATAAGCAAAATAGGTGTGTTAAGAAGGAAAGAGGCCGGGTGTGGTGGCTCGCACCTGTAATCCCAGCACTTTGGGAGGCCCAGGTGGGCGGGTCACCTGAGGTCAGGAATTCAAGACCAGCCTGGCTAACCCCATCTCTACTAAAAATACAAAAATTAGCCAGGCATAGTGGTGGGCGCCTATAATCCCAACTACTGGGGAGGCTGAGGCAGAAGAATCACTTGAACCCAGGAGGTGGAGGTTGCAGTGAGCCGAGATCACGCCATTGCACTCCAGCCTGGGCAACAAGAGTGAGACTGTCTCTCAAAAATAAATAAATAAATAAACAAATAAAAATAAAAAGGAAGGAAAGAAATTGATAGTGTACTTAATGCCAAAGTTTTGGAACATGACAGGGTGAAACAGTGGCCATTGGTGAGGTCAGCAAGGAGAAAAGATAGAATTACAAGGATTTTAATTGTGCTTAAAATTTTTTTGATTAAACCACTTCTACTCTGGGCAGAGAGAGTCTACCTTGTGCACTTCTTTTTTTGTTTTTTGTTTTGAGACAGGGTCTCACTCTGTCACCCAGGCGGGAGTGTAGTGGCGCAATCTCGGCTCACTGCAACCTCCGCCTCCAGGGTTCAAGTGATTCTCTTGCCTCAGCCTCCCAAGTAGCTGGACTCCAGGCACCTGCCACCATGCCCAGCTCAGCTAAGTTTTGTTTTGGGGGGGGGGGGTTGTTGTTGTTGTTGTTGTTTGTTTGTTTGTTTTGTAAAGATGGGGTTTCACCATATTGCCCAGGCTGATCTTGAACTCCTGAGCTCAAGTGATCCACATGCCTCAGCCTCCCAAAGTGCTGGGATTACGGGCATGAGCCACTGTACCCGGCCCCACATCTTTCTTGTATAGCTTCCTGTAGGAAAGAGAGTTTTTTTAAACGAGGGTTTGCAGGTAACCTAAGGGTTTTGTAACTGCTTCTTGATCTACGCTTTATACACTGGAAGTCTATTAACATGCAGACACAGATTGGCAGTGTAAGATAAGTGTGTGTGTTTTTGTTTTGTTTTTTCAAAAGCCTACAGCACTTGTAGGCTTTTGTACTCCTAGGCAGTCTCCCATCCAAGACACTAAGTAGGCCCGATCCTGCTTAGCTTCCAAGATCAGATAAGATCGGGCACATTTACAGTGGCAAGACCTTATGGACAATTATATGTTTTCATGCCATGATCCCGCATGAGAATTCATTCACCTTTGTTTGCTTCCTCACGGATTGTTTCCTAAATCGACAAAAAAGTTGAATTGACAGTATAAAACAAGGCTTTGATTACAGTAGTGTCCCCTACCATCCTTAAGCAACAGAGAAAATGCCTTTTGGGTGAGTTTCCTTGGCCCTAATATACCCAAATACCATCAAATGTTTCCTACACATTACATAGGATTTAGAGTCAGCCATCAAAAAGATCACATTACAGCCTTTCCAGAAAGTGATGTGAAGCGGGCAAAACTGGTGTCTTTTTAGTTGATGTTTTCTCCCAGGCCTGTATCCATTTGACAAACCAATTCTCCTGATGATGCCCAGAAGAAAGGACAGAAGACAAATATTGATGGGAATTAGAGCGACACAGCCCAAAGAAAACAATTTGGCCAAGCAGTGGCACCAAAATTGCTGTTCTTAAATCCTTAAGTTCAATCTGTTCCCCAGCAATTGGGCAGAGGACCAAGGGGTGAGAAATAAAAAAGACAGTTCCATCTGCAGTCTTTCCTCTGGTGTGAAATGCAACAAAATATTCAGCACACACACACATACACAAAGAATAGAAAAACTAGCTGTGATGTTTTGTGACTGTGTTGGTTATGAAATAGAGATCAGCAAAAATATCAGAATCTCTCTCCTGAGCCTGGTAATGCCAAGTTCCCGTAAGGAGGTCAGAATCATATTTATTCATTCAAAAATTGTTTATTGAACATTTGCCTCCAGTTGCAACATAAAAGGCTCAAGAAATCATTGCTTCCACCCAACCCTGAGAACAAGCCAGTTAAGCTTAAAAAAAAAAAAAGTTTTTTCAAAAACCCCAAAGCTGTCAGAGATCTGGGGATACAAACGCACCCAAATTACTTAAATTCCAGAAAGAGATGAGCCCTTCTTGAGAGACAAGAATTTCCATGGCTCTTAATCTCTGGGGGCACTGTGGAAGAGTAAGAAGACAAAGAGCTGACTTTTTTCAAATGTGTAATGGCCGCCTGGGAATTCCAAAAAGCCCCAGCCATAAAGGGAGTCAATGTCCATCCTTCAACTGTATCCCACAGTGCTCCCATTGAACATACTGGCCATGCCTGAAGCTCAGAGCAGGACAGGAGAGCTTGGAGAGATGCCCTCTGTACCCAGGAAGGCACAGTCACCATAGGGCCAATCAGAATCCATGCAATCCTAGGTGTCCTTCAAAGAATTCAGCCAGGCGCGGTGGCTCATGCCTGTAATCCCAGCACTTTGGGAGGCCGAGGTGGGTGGATCACTTGAGGCCAGGAGTTCGAGACCACCCTAGCCAACATGGTGAGACCCCATCTCTACTAAAAATTAGCTGGGCGTGGTGGCACACACCTGTAATCCCAGCACTTTGGGAAGCCGAGGTGGGTGGATCACCTGAGGTCAGGAGTTCGAGACCAGCTTGACCAATATGGTGAAATCCCATCTCTACTAAAAATACAAAAATTAGCCAGGCGTGGTGGCAGGTACCTGTAGTCCCAGCTACTTGGGAGGCTAAGACAGGAGAATTGCTTAAAACCGGGAGGTGGAGGTTGCAGTGAGCTGAGACCACGCCACTGCACTCCAGCTGGGCAACAGAGCAAAACTCCATCTCCAAAAACAAAAAAAAAAAAAAAAAAAAGAAGCCTCCCCTAGAAAGTCCAAAATACCAGCTGGAGATGTTCCTGTCACTCTTCTCCAGCCATCCCATCATCTCTCTCTATAGTTTAACTACAGATGTTTCTGAGACTGGGGGTTTATTCACACTGAAGCTCAACAGAATCATAATATATAGGCTAGGATTTTATAAGTACAGAGCACCCGTAACTTAGAATCTTATGAATAAATGCTCCCATGTTATTGTATTCTATAGTATCAGTGTCATATTTTTATTTGATTAACCAACTAATCACTTTGCATGATCTCTAGACATATTTGAAACTTCAAAGACCTTTTCTGTTTGCCAAGAACTGTATTGGCTATTGTTCTAAGATCATTGAGAAGGTAGCTAGAAGTTTTTTGGTATTTATTAATTAATTTATTTATTTGAGACAGAGTTTCGCTCTTGTTGCCCAGGCTGGAGTGCATTGCCGCGATCTCGGCTCACCGCAACCTCCACCTCCCAGGTTCAAGCAATTCTCCTGCCTCAGCCTCCCAAGTAGCTGGGATTACATGCATGCGCCACCACACCTGGCTAATTTTGTATTTTTAGTAGAGACGGGGTTTCTCCGTGTTGGTCAGGCTGGTCTCAAACTCCCGACCTCAGGTGATCTGCCCGCCTTGGCCTCCCAAAGTGCTGGGATTACAGGTGTGAGCCACCACACCGGGCCAGCTAGAAGTTTTTATATGTATGTGTGTGTGTATATATATATATATGTTAGGTATATATACATGCACATATATATACAGTCATGTACCATGTAACAATGTTTTAGTCAATGATGGACCACATATATGACAGTGGTACCATAAGATTATAATGCTTTATTTTTACTGTACCTTTTCTATGTTTAGACACAGAAAGATTTACCATTATGTTACAATTGCCTACAGTATGCAGTATAGTAACATGCTGTACAGGTTTGTAGCCTAGGAGCAATAGGCTATGCCATATAGCTTCGGTGTATAGTGTCCTATAGCAGCTAGGTTTATGTAAATACACTCTATTATGTTCACACAATGATTGAAATTGCCTAATGATACATTTCTCAGATCGTATCTCTGTCTTTAAGTGACACATGACTTGTAGTAGCACTGTAGTGTCCTCTGGTTAAGTACACGTGACTGTAGCAGACAGCAGCATGACTGACTGTAGCATGTGGCATGTAGCATGTAGTATGTAGCATGTAGTAGTATGCTGTGGCTGGCCATGCACAAGGATCTGAGGCTATAGCAGAGAATAAAACATGGTCCTTACTCGTTTAGATCTTATAATCTACTGGGAAGACAGACGCTAATCAATTACCTACGCAAATAAACATATGAGCACAAGCTAGGAAATGTGCCAAGGATGAAAGATACAGGGGTGCACCAGGGGGACTTGTGATTGGGGGTGAGTGGTCAAGGAAGTGATTGGTATTGAGACCTAAAGCAAGAGTGGAGCAGTAAAGGAATGTCAGAGAAAGTTTTCAGGGCAGATGGAGGATGTGGAGGGAGGACAACAGGTGCTTGGCACCTCCGAGGGACAACCAGTGTGGCTGGAGGCTGGAGAGAGGGGGGTCACATAGTGGGAGGGGCTGAAGAGGCTGCAGGGGCAGACCTCAACCCAGGGAAGTAGGGGAGAGACAAGAGTGGACCTCATGTGTGACACTCCCTCTGATGGCCACATGGGGACTCCAATAGTTTGAGTAGTTTCCAAGGAGGAGGATTTGGGGGCTCCATGCTCACCCTTTACCTTCATGGAGGATGCACAACACACAGAGAAGTGGGGGAGGCTTGTCAGGGAAGCATTCTAGGTGCATGTCGGGCTGCCCCTTTCCATTAGGGGTCCAATTTTTTCCCATTGGAAAACTGAGGGCTGCTAACCAGCCATGGTGGTATGCACCTGTACTTCCAGCTGCTCGAGAGGCTGAGGCAGGAGGATCGCTTGAGCCCAGGAGATTGAGGCTGCAGTGAGCTATGGCTGCACTACTGCACTCCAGCCTGGGCAATAGAGTGAGACACTGTTTCAAAAAACTTGAAAAAGGGCTGGGCGTGGTGGTTCACGCCTGTAATCCCAGCACTTTGGGAGTCTGAGGCGGGAGGACTCCCTGATGTCAGGAATTCGAGACCAGCATAGCCAACATGGTGAAACCCCATCTCTACTAAAAATACAAAAATTAGCCAGATGTGGTGGTGGGCACCTGTAGTCGCAGCTACTCAGGAGGCTGAGGCAGGAGAATCGCTTGAAACTGTGAGATGGAGGTCACAGTGAGCCGACACCATACCATTGCACTCCAGCCTGGGTGAGACAGTGAGACTCCATCTCAAAAAAAAAAAAAAATTGAAAAGAAAGAAAGGAAAAAGCAGACAGAGGGCTAGGCTTCTGACAGGCCCCATAGGGAGAAGCCTATTCAGTGAACCTGGGACAGCTGGCAGGGCCAGAGCTCAGCTGATCATTCATGGGCTTGTCAGTCAGTAAAAGAATGGGGATTCCGAGGAAGGACAAACAAAGGAAAGAAAAAAGATGGAAAGGTCACTCCATGACCCAGATGCCTCAGAAACCCAGATCCTGTTTCCCAGGCCTGGCTGTCCTCCAAGTTTAGAATAATAGTGAAGAGACAGAGCTTCTCCTGAGATCAGAACCTACCTCACTAGTAGATGTGCTTCAGACAAACAAAACAAGATAGAGAGACCTGGGCCAGGAGAGAGAAAGGACCCCAAAAAAGTGACCAAAGAGATCCCTGTCAGGATAACACAGTAACGACAATAATAATAATTGCTGGCATTTGTTGACTGCTAGCTAATTATTTTTTGTTTGTTTTGGTTTTTTTGTTTGTTTGTTATTGTTTGTTTGTTTTTTCTTTTTTGAGACAGAGTCTTGCTCTGTCACCCAGGTTGGACTGCAGTGGTGTGATCTCGGCTCACTGCAACCTCCGCCTCCTGGGTTCAAGCAATTCTCTTGCCTCTGCCTCTGGAGCAGCTGGGATTCCAGGCACCCGCCACCACACCCAGCTAATTTTTGCATTTTTAGTAGAGACGGGGTTTCACCATGTTGGCCAGGATGATCTCGAACTCCTGACCTCAGGTGATCCACCTGTCTCAGCCTCCCAAAGTGCTGGGATTACAGGCATGAGCCACCACACCCGGCTTGTTTTGCTTTTTGTATTTTATTTTATATATGTTTTTATTTTAGAGACACAGTCTGGCTCTGTCATCCAGGTTGGAGAGCAACGGTATAGTCACAAGCTCACTGCAACCTCAAACTCCTGCACTTACACCATCCTCCCACCTCAGTCTCCCACAGTGTTGGGATTACAAGTGTGACCCACCACACCTGGCTGTTTTTTACCTTTTAAATACACCTTTTAAATTCTATAATACTTTTTAGATTTCCTAGCTATTCGATGCACTTTAATATCTCATTTACTTTTGTGGGTAAAGAAATTAGCCGTCTTCTTTTATAGATGCAGTGTCTGAAGTGCAAATAGGCGAAGTCACTTACCCAGGTTCACACAGCTGGTACATAAGGGAACGGCACCCAGGAGGTCTGGCTACCCCGTGAATGCCAGGGTAGAAATCACTAAAGGCCAACCTTCAGAGAGCAGAGCTACTTCCTCCCAGGGTGCTCAGAACAAAGCAGGGCTCTTTCAGCCTGGGGATGCCCTGGATGCAGGAGCCCAGCCTTATTTGGCTCATATCCCGGGAGGTGTTAGGGATGGATTAGGCAGTGGCTAAGAGCTGGAACTTTGGGTTTGAATCTCAACTCCATCTGTGATTAGCCCCTTAGTGGGGTGAGGGACCCCGGAGGGGATAGATTTCCTCCTGCATCATTGTGGGACTCTCCAAGAGGGGGTTCCTACCTCCCCATGCAAAAGAAAGAGAAAAAGTTATACTAACTGTCATAGAATGTTGGGGCAGACACTCAAAAGTACCTAGCCATATCTGTTTCCTTTCCCTTTGCTAACAGAATCCCAATTTTGTTCGGAGCAACTATGAACCCGGCCACAGAAAATGCATCATGGTTGGCTTTACTTAGGATAATCCTGTCACTCATTTTTTTCAGCCTCCCCTGCTGCTAGGGTTGATCCTCTTGACTCCTTTTGGCCAATGAGCCTCAGCAGAAATTGGCTTGGGGTAGAGGGTCTGTTCTCAGAAAGTATTCGCTTTCCTGATAAAAGAGGGCAGACACAGTTGCAACAGCTCCAGCCCTAGGTCCCTGTCTTCCTACCCTGAACCCCATCATGATGTGACACAACTTCCACGGCCATCTCACAATGGAAGTGATCAGCTTGAAGACAAAAGCAATACACGAAGAATGATGGGGTGGACAAGCAGAAAACCCTGGGTCTCAGAAATCCTACTACTGGGCGTCTACCCAAAGAAAAAGAAATTATTGCATCAGAAAGACACCTGCACTCATGCATTTATCACGATACTATCCACAATAGCAAGTCGTGGAATCAACCCAAGTGTCTATCAGTAGATGATGGGATTAAAAAAAATTGATACATATGCCCCATGGAATACTATGCAGCCATTACAAAGAATAAACTCATGTCTTGCAGCAACATAGATGGAACTCAGGCCATTATTCTAAGTGAAATAACTCAAAAGGAGAAAATCAAATACCAAACATTCTCGCTTATCGGTGGGAGCTAAACAATGGGTACTCATGGACATAAAGATAAAAATAATGAACACTGGGGACTCCTAAAGGGAGAAAAGGTGGGAGGGGCAAAGGGAGGAAGGGTTGTGGTGGCTATAGCCTTAGAAGATGTATTTCTTAAACAAGACTTAAAAGTTAAAATTACTCCTTCATCCATGGGCTGTAGAATGGATTTTATGTTAGTAGGCATGAAAACAACAGTAATCTTCTGTACATCTCCATCAAAGCCCATGGCTGACCAGGTGCATTGTCAATGAGTAATAATATTTTGAACAGAATCTTTTTCTGAGCAGTAGGTCTCAAGAGTGGGTTTAAAATATGTAGTAAACTATGCCATAGACAGATGTGCTGTTATATATGCACAGGCAGAGTAGTAGATTGCATAATTCTTAAGGGCCCTGGGATTTTTGAAACAGTAAATGAGCACTGGCCTCAACTTAGAGTCACCAGCTGCATTAGCCCCTAACAAGAGAGTCAGCCTGTTCTTTGAAGCTTGAAAGCCAGGCATTGACTTCTCTCTAGCTATGAAAGTCCTAGATGGCATCTTCTTCCAATAGAAGGCTGTTTCATCTATGCTGAAAATCCATTATTTAATGTAGCTACCTTCCTCAATGATCTTAACTGGATCTTCTGGATAGTTTGATGCAGTTTCTACATCAGCACTTGCCACTTCACCTTGCACTTCGATGTTATAGAGACAGCTTCTTTCCTTCAACCTCATGAACCAACCTCTGTTAGATTCAACCTTTTCTTCTGCAGCTTCCTCATCTCTCTCAGCCTTCACAGAATTGAAGAGAGATAGGGCCTTGCTCTTAATTAGGCTTTGGCTTAAGGAGATGTGGTGGCTGGTTTCATCTTCTATCCAGACCTTTAAACTTTCTCCATATCAACAATAAGCCTATTCTGCTTTCTTTTCATTTGTGTTTTCACTGGAGTGGCACTTTTTAATTTTCTTTAATAACTTTTCCTTTCCATTCACAACTTGGCTAAGTTGCAAAAGAGGCCTAGCAAAAGGCCAGTCTTGGCTTCCAATGTACCTACTTCACTAAGCTTAATCATTTCTACCTCTTGATTCAAAGTGAGAGATGGCAACTCTTCCTTTCACTTGAACACTTAGAGGCCATTGCAGGATTATTAATTGGCCTAACTTCAATATTGTTGTGTCTTAAGGAACAGAGAGGCCCAAAGATTGGAAGAGAGATGGTGAAACAGCCAGTCTGTGCAGCAATCAGAACACACACAGCATTTATGGAATAAGTTTGCCATCTTCTATGGGTGCAGTTCATGACACCCCAAAACAGTTACAGTAGTAACATCAAAGATCTCCCATCATAGATCACTGTAATAGACATAACAATAATTAAAAAGTTGAAATATTGTGAGAACTAACAAAACATGACACAGAGACATAAAGTAAGCACATGCTGTTGGGAAACTGGCATCAGTAGACTTGTTCCATGCAGGGTTGCTACAAAACTTCAATCTGTAAAAAAATCAGTCTCTGCAAAGTGCAATAAAGCAAAGCCCAATGAAACAAGGTATGCCTGCATCATTCTAAAACTATGTCACTAATACTATTGTTGGTGGCGCTACCACAGTGCCCAGCACAGAGTAGGCACTCAAATATTTGGTGAAGAAATGACTATCAGCCAATAGAGAAGCCCAAAGCCGGGCCGGTGTCACTGGCAAGCTGGGTCCCTTTAAACCACCAGATGGCATCCTCAGCATGGGATTCTCAAGGAAGGCCTTGAGCATCCTACAGAAACTGAATCACACTTCTGTTTCCTCACAATGGTTATTTTCTTTGGACAAAGATAACTGATGAAATGGATTCTTTCTGGTAAAACAAAATATGATTTGGAGAATTAGCAGGCTGCCCTTCATTCTTGGCAGTAAAAGAAACCAGCATCATTGTTACTCATTCTTGCCCAGGCTGCGTGTTACAGATAAAAAATGGGGTGGCTTTGGACCCAGGGCTCATACAATGCTGCCCCCAACCAGAGAACCACACAAAAGACTTTCAAAGATTCTAACTTGTACTGATGTTCTCTAGAAGGGACTGAGTGGGAAGTATATTACCAGGCACATCACACAGAAAAACTTCCATAAAATCCTCTGTACCCATTTCTGTCCCCAAGAGTCTCACATTCCTGGGAACCTACTTGAATCTCTCTCCTTCCCCAAACTCAGGAATTCTCCCACCCCCTACCCATCTGACTTTCTTCCACGTAGGGTTACCAAATGTACAAAATAAAAATGCAAGACACCCAATTAAATTTGAAAATTAAATAAATCTGTAGTATTAATAATACAGTTCTGACTGTGGGACACCTGACCATGGTCTGGCCAATCAGAGGTTCCATGATTAGTGGAGAGATGGTCACATGAGCCAAGCTGGGCCAATGGGAAAGTGCAATATTTGGGACATATTTATACTTAAAAAAAAAGTGTTGTTTATCTGAAATTCAAATTTAACTGGGATCCTGCATTTTCTCTAGCAACCATACCACCACACCCTTCTTATATAAAAATAATGCATAAGATGAACAAGTTCTGCAATGCTATGTTGTACACTTAAAAATCTGTTCGGGGCCAGGTGCAGTGGTTCACGCCAGTAATCCTAGCACTTTGGGAGGCCAAGGTCGGAGGATTGCTTGAGGTCAGGAGTTTGAGACCTGCCTGGGCAACATGGCAAGACCCTGTCTTCACAAAAAAATTAAAAACTTAGCTTAGTGTGATGGTGCATGCTTGTAGTCCTAGCTACTGGAAAGGCTGAGGCAGCAGGATCCCTTGAGCCCAGGAGTCTGAAGTTACAGTAAGCTATTATCACACCACTGCATTCCAGCCTGGGCGACAAAGCGAGACTCTGTCTAATAAAAAAAAAAAAAAAAATTAATCTGTTAAAAGTTGAGATCTCATGTTAAGTGTTCTTGCCACAACCAATTTTTTAAAAAGAAAGAAAAATAAAATATGCTATTCATAGTGCATAATCAACATAATCCCACTAGCAAGTACAGTATCATACTAAATGAACCATTTGATTTGCAAATTTTCCAACGTCGTGAATCTCACAACTTTTGTGCCAGGTGAAACTGCTTGAGAGGACTTCCTTTACTAATAAAATCTCAGGCTGAATAAATTCATACATAGACACATACAAGCAAGGTCTGCCTTTTCAGTTCCCCATCCACCAACCTGCAGGACCCTCCTTGGTGTCCTTCCTTCTAAGAAGGCAGGGGTAGGGGCAAGTAGATATCCGTAGAGTTTAATATTGGGGGGCCGTTAACAAATACAGTAATTTTTTTTTCCTTTTCACATTTTGTTTCATGGCATGTGAAATATATACATGCTTTAAAATGTCACATGTGGCCGGGCATGGTGGCTCACGCATATAATCCCAACACTTTAAGAGGCTGAGGTGGGCAGATTGCTTGAGGGGGGTCAGGAGTTCGAGACTAGCCTGGCCAACATGGTGAAACCCCATCTCTACTAAAAATACAAAAATTAGCCAGGCATGGTGGTCCATGGCTTTAGTCCCAGCTACTCTGCTCAGGAGGCTGAGGCAGGAGAATCACTTGAACCCGGGAGGAGGAGGTTGCAGTGAGCCGAGATTGCACCACCTGGGCGACAGAAAGAGACTATGTCTCAATTAAAAAAAAAAAAAACAGACAGAAAGAAAAAGGTCACATGCGATTATAGGATTCAAGCAACACACAGGCCTAGTAAGCAAGCTAATAACCTTTCTCAACCCCTGTCGTCCCACATCTTTGAAACATCAATGTTTCCAGTACTCTTTGGTATAGTTCCTTCCACATCATTCTCTTTGCTCATAAGGATACATATAAGAGACTTTGTTTTCCTCAAAAGAAGTTATTATGTGCTTTGCTTCCCCCATGCCCCCGCCCTTGATATATCTATATCTTTATGTGTATCTCTCTCAACATAGATTCAGGGAGAAAGAACATATCTCGAATGGACATCTCTCCAGGTCATTACACAGAGCTCTAAAGCTGAGTTATGGGCCAGAGTGTGCTGCATCCTAATTTATTCCACGGATCCCACAGAAATGCTCAACACCTTGGGTCAGGATTTTTATACAAGGTTGTTTATCACAGCACAGTTTGTTCCATCGAAAGCTAAAAAGACTATGAAGGACAATCAGCAGGAGGGTGTGCTTTTTTGTCTCGAGAGGCTTTACTAGTGGCTCTAGAAGTCATCTTTTCTTATCAGTCTGGACCTGACCTTCAATACTCCAGGATCCCATCTGGAGGAAGATGGCTTCCACCTGGCCCTCCTCTCCAGTGACTATCTGAAGCCTCGCTCTGCTCTGCTTCCCCAGTTTCCCTCCCCATAGTCCTTCCTTCCTTTCTTTCAACTATTTTCTACTGGAGAATTTTCTGAGAGGTTATATAATCAAAAGGATTTCATCAAATGATGAAAGAGCAACCATACACCATGGCCAAACAATTGCATGTCTCTCTAGAAAGACCCTGGTACATTTTGGCCTAGAACTCAACATTTTCCAAAAGAAGGGTCCCTTTTTCACTTCAGGGACTCCATATGTCGGTTATAATGGAAATCCAGGCCCTCTTCTCATGGTAACAGTTCCTCAATTTTTCCTTTGAGGAAAGAGAGAGGGGCTCTGGGGCTACAGGCTTAAGTGGAACTGATCCTCCTTCCTGACACCATGAGGACCTAACCACAGCCTGGGCAATCAAAGATTCCACGGTAGCTCAGAGAAAGTCACGTGGTCCAAACTGGCCAATGGGAAACCGACTGGCTCTTTTGGCAGGAGCTCCCAGGCCTCTAGGAGGTGTGCCTGGATCCATTGGCAGCCATTTTATTGCCGCGCAGGGCAATCATGACTGCAAATGAAAACAAGAGAAAGTAAAACAGAGCCTAGAAAGAGAAAAAGACAGATCCCTGGTGATGTTGTTGGAGTTTCTAGATTCAGCTGGACTGAAAGTGAGACCCACCCACCTCTCACCTTTGTAATCATATGAACCAAACATTCTCTTTGGGATGAAGCCAGTTTGAGTTGGGTTTCTGTCCCTTGAAATTAAAAGAGGTCTTGGTAATAGAACACTATTTGTATTTCAAGTAATTAAGAAAATACATCCTATCGGCCAGGCGTTGTGGCCCCTACCTGTAATCCCAGCACTTTGGAAAGCTAAGGCAGGAGGATCCCTTGAGTTTGGGAGTTTGAGACCAGCCTGGGCAACATAGGGAGACCCCATCTGTATACATAATTTAAAAATTAGCCAAGTGTGGTGGTGTGCACCTGTGGTCTCAGCTGCTTGGGAGGCTGAGGCAGGAGGATCTCCCTAGCCCAGGAGGTCAAGCCTGCAGTGGGCCATGATCATGCCACTGCACTCCAGCCTGGGCCACAGAGCAAGATCTTGTCTCAAAAAAAAAAAAAAAAAGAAAGAAAGAAAATACATCCTGTGTCCCCACCCCACCCCAACTTCACACATACAGAGAGCTATTAAGAATTCAGTCATACTTGCAAAACACCTATACTTCATCTGCAAAGTTATCATATTGATGTAATGTACAAACAGTTTTCCTACTTCTAAAAATAAGTCTGAGATCCGTAAGGATTCAAGACCCACAGGTAAGAATCAAATACTCTATGTTGGTGGCTCATAAGGCATCTTGAACTGCCAGAGAGATATGCCTGGAAGCGGACCTCAGCTAAAGAGGGATGGGGTTGAGGGGTAAATACCCAGCTCCCCCTTTCCTTGGGAGGGACACCTTTGAGGCATGTTCTGCGCCGTCCCCAGAGTTCCCAGGGAGATCGGGGCCTCGGTTGTCCACAGCGCTCAGTAACATGCCTTTTATTGGCTTTCTTCCTTTCCAAGCCTCACTTCTCTGTTCCTTTTCTGGTGCATTCTGGTATCACCTCCAAATGAACCACTTCTAGAGGAATCCATGACTCAGGGTCGGCTTCCAGAGAACCAAACCAGGAAAGCTCTATCCTAACTCAGGAGACTCCCAACAAACCAGAGTCCACCCACATCCTCAGACTAAAAATCCCTGTTCTAAAGGACTCCACACACCAAGCAAGCGGTGCTCACTGCAAAGCCACCTGATATGGTGAGTTAGTGCCTTGTTAAAAAAAGAAACAAATTCCCAAGACCCTGTAGCTCCTTATACCTGATATTCTAATTGTCATCAGTTTGTGAATTTTTGAACTCTTCTAATCCTCGTGTTCCTAGGACACAGGCATGTTGTGCTTTTAGGGGCATGATTTACTGTTCCTTGCCAATTCTGCCCATCCCTCCACTGTGTTAAAAACCCTATGTTTATGTGGAACAGCCTTCTTACTGTTTTAATTCAGCTCCCCGTGATCTCCCTGCCCACAAGAAGAATTCCTGAAGCAGATGCTCCTTCCCTACCCGCTGAGCCTCACTTTCTGTCTCCTGTCCCATTTAGAAGAGCAATAGTGAGCTGGGAGCAGTGGCTCACGCCTGTAATCCCAGCACTTTGGGAGGCCGAGGCAGGTGGATCACCTGAGGTCAGGAGTTTGAGACCAGCCTGGCCAACATGGCAAAAACCCATCTCCACCAAAAATACAAAAAGTTAGCCGAGCGTGGTGGTGGGCGCCTGTAATCCCAGCTATGCGGGAGGCTGAGGCAGGAGAATTACTTTAGCCCAGGAGGCAGAGGTTGCAGTGAGCCAAAATCATACCATTGCACTCCAGCGTGAATGACAAAGTGAGACTCTGTGTCAAAAAAACAAAAAAAAAGATAAAGGAGGAGGAGGAGGAGAGGAGAAAGAAGAGGAGGAAGAAAGAAAGCAGAAGAAGGAGGAGGAGGAGGAAGGAGGAAGGAGGAAGGGTAATAGTGATTGGCCTAATGGCACAGTGAGAGATCTAGGCAGGCAGACCTGGCTCTATCACTTAATACCCCTGGGACTTTGGCCAGAGGTGTCAGTTTCCCAATCTGTAAAATGGATCTATAATAATAATAACTACTCTATATAGTTACTAGTGAGAACAAAGTGAGATAATACAGGTAAAATGTTTAGCACGGTGCCTGGCACATGGAAAATGCTTGAGAAATGGAGGCCTTTGTTGCCACTCAAGTCTAGCAGTCTTAAATATTTGTCGAATGAGTGAATGAAGTCAAGAGAAGGCCAAGCTGTGGGCAGTGCCTTTGGCTAAATCCCAGAGGACCTGAGGTCCTGCCTGTCTTAGCCACTCTCTCCTGATTCTCTGTCTCTTTGTCTTTCTGTCTCTGTCTCTTCTAGTTCCATCCCTGCCTCTCTCTGTGTGTTTTTCTTCTCCTATTCTCTTTTTTTATGGTCTATTTCTCTCTCTCTCTCTGTGTGTGTGTGTGTGTGTGTGTGTGTGTGTGTGTGTGTGTTTCTATGTGGCTCTGTTTTTTTCTCTCTGTCTCTTTTTCTCACTTTCTGTTTCTCTCCTGGTCTCTGTCTGTATCCCACCCCCGCCACATCACCCCCACACCAGCCTCCTCTTGCAGGGACCAAGTTGTCAGGCTGCTCACGTCGTGGGCTGCCTTGAAACCTGCCACGCACATTCTCATAGTTAGATTTCTCCTGCGTCCACCTCTACTTAAAAAAAAAAATATTTTGACATTTGAGATTCAAATAAAAAGACCATAGAATGGCCTCAGGGAATAGCAGTGCCTGGAAAAAACAAACCTCATTCCTAAACTTTGTGATTATTTTTTATTTTCTTTCTGTCTCTGCTGCCTGAAGCAGAATAAACTTTGTGTTTTTGAAAGACACATAGCACGAGGGTATGGGAACCCCTGCAAGCCCTCAGTGGGAGTTGCCCCACAACCAATCCTCCAAGTGAAGTGCTCCCCACTACCCCAGTGCTCACCATGAACACCAAAGTGAGTTGAGCTGGTAACAATTTTGTTTTCTGGAATCTGTCAACATGCGCAGCAGTTGCTTCCTAATCCTGCTGAGCCATTAGCCACAAGTTCCTCTTTTGTTACAATTTAGCTGCGAGCTTCAGAGAGTGACAAGAGTCAGGAGAAGGGAGAGCAGGGTAAGGCTGTGAAAAGATCCTGAAGAGGTGTTAAGAGCTCAGCAGTTGAGCCAGACATCCCTGGGTTCAAGCCTGGCCAGAACACTTAAGGGCTGGCTAACCTTGGGCAGACTGACATCTAACAAGTGTTCGGTAATTGCAATGTGTTTGGCATTGTGATAAGCTCCGTAAAGATGATCTCATTTCATCTTCCCTGCAATCCTGTAAATGACAAACTGGCTGCAGCTCAGAGAGGCTGGCTAACTCATCCAATGTTACGCAGCTTTGAATGTCTACTCTTTGAACAGTCCAATTCCTCGGCCCAATACCTGGAGACTTTGAGTGGGGGGAGTGCTGGTTCCTGGTACTCCCCACCTCACCTCTGAGTGCCCTAACCACCATGGTCACTCCCAGTGGAATTTTCACCCATCATACAGCTGCCTCTGGAAGCTGTGTAACTGCCTTTAGTGCTGGCCCCTCACTGGAGTGGAGTCCATGCAGTCCTACAAATTCAAAGAACCAGAACACCCTGGTTGTCAAGGCAGATGGGTAAGTGAGTGCAGGGCATTTTCAGCAAGCCTTTGGGGGTGGGGTCTGGGGGTCTGTTTCTTGAGCATCCAGAGCTCCAGCCAGTAGCTTCCTAGTGCATGACTGTGGGCCACTGAAGAAGGGGCAGGAAGGTGTGGAGGGTTAACCAGGAAGCTGGGCATGGGCCTGTAGCCTGTAGTCCCAGCTACTTGGGAAGCTGAAGTGGGAGAATCACTTGAGGCTAGGAATGTGAGGGTGAGTGTTCCATGATTAAGTCTGTGAATAGCCACTGCACTCTAGCCTAGGCAACACAGAGACCTCATCTCTTAAAAAAAAAAAAGGGGGGGTGGGGGTAAACACTACTCAACTCTTCAGGTAGACTCTCCTCCAGGGAGGGTGAGATGACCTACAGTCCAGCAATCTAAGACAGTTTCTTTCCTTTCACATATGAACATTTCTGAAATTAGGGTATATCTTACAATTGATGCTATTTTATAACTACTTGGCAGCACCGTCCTCAGCATATGTAAAAGAACAGTGAGTCCTACAAAGATTTACCTTCTATTCAATGATCTATGGTAGCTCAGAGGCTGGCTCTTATTGGCCCAACTTGGGTCACGTGCCTCTCCCTGGCCAATCATGGCGTCTCTAGTTGTAATGCCTCAGTCACATGCACCTCTGGGGTTGGAAGTTGAGGTCAGCCTCATCTGAGCAGCTGGATCAACAAAGGATGAGTGGTTTCTGGGACGAAAATCAAAATGTCATTACCAGGAGAGAGAGCTGTGGATTCTAGGGAGGTAGAAGCAACCACTGCATCCTCTACCCAGAATCATCATGAGATTCCATGAGAATATCTGTGTGAGACAATTGGCCCATAGAAAACGCTCAGTACTCTCGCCTGCTAATATTATTAAAGATGCCAAGTTGAAATGTTTTACCTGAACCTACTCAAGCCTCTACACAAAACTTCTAGTTTGCAGGAAATGCCCAATTAGAAGTGGAGGGTATACACAGGAGGTGTTCTGTGTCCTTTTTTTTTTTTTTTTAAACTTCTCAATGTGTTTGGAATTTTTCAAAATAAAAACAAATTAGTAAGACAGATGCCTAGGCTGGGTGTGATGGCTCACAACTATAATCCCAACACTTTGAGAGGCCAAGACAGGAAGATTACTTGAGCCCAGGAGTTTGAGACAAGCCGGGCAACATAGTGAGACCTTGTCTCTACCAAAAAAAAAAAAAATTAATTAAATTAGCAAGGTGTGGTGGTGCATGCCTGTAATCCCAGTTACTTAGGAGGCTGAGGTGGAAGGATCACTTGAGCCCAGGAGTTTGGGGCTGCAATGAGCTATGGTCATGTGCACTCCAGCCTAGGCGACAGAGCAAGACCTTGTCTATAAAAATAAAGAAAAAAGATGCTTACCATCACTAATAATTAGAGAAATGCAAACAGAAACAGAGATTGCCACTTCACACCCACTAGTATGCCATAATAAAAACAAAAACAGAAACAAGATGGCAAGCATTGGCAAAGATGGGGAGAAACTGCAATCCTTGTATAGCTGCTGTGGAAACAGTTGAGCGATTCTTCAAGAAGTTAATGGAATTGCCATGTGATGCTACAATTCCACTTTTAAGTATATGCTCAAAGGAATTTAAAAAACAGGTTCTTAAACAAATACTTGTATGTGGATGTTCAAAGCAGCACTCTTCAGCCAAGAGGTGGAAACAACCCAAATGTCCATTAATGGACAAAAGAATAAGTAAATTGTGGCCTATACAATGAAATATTATTCAGCCATAAAAAAGGATGAAATGGGCCGGGCGCAGTGGCTCACACCTGTAATCCCAGCACTTTGGGAGGCCGAGGCAGGCAGATCACAAGGTCAGGAGATCGAGACCATCCTGGCTAACACGGTGAAACCCCATCTCTACTAAAAATACAAAAAATTAGCCAGGCATGGTGGTGGGCGCCTGCAGTCCCAGCTACTCGGGAGGCTGAGGCAGGAGAATGGCATGAACCCGGGAGGCGGAGCTTGCAGTGAGCCGAGATCGTGCCACTGCACTCCAGCCTGGGCGACAGAGCGAGACTCCGTCAAAAAAAAAAAAAAAAGATGAAATACTGATACATGCGGTAACACAGATGAACCTTGAAAACATTATCCTAAGTGAAAGAAGCCAGACACAAAAGATCACATATTCTATGCTTCCATCAATATGAAATATCCAGAAGAGGCAAATCCACAGAGACAGGAAGCAGATTGGTGGTTGTCAGGGACTGGGGTAGGAAAGAAGGAGGAGTAACTGCTTGATGTGTATAGGGTATTCTTCTGAGGTGATGAAAATATTTTGGAATTAGCAGTGGGGTTGCACAACATTGCACCTATACTAAATGCCATTGAACTGTTTACTTTGCAAAGGTTCATTTTATGTTACGCGAATTTCACCTCAATAAAAAAAAGTTGATGGGAAAATGAAATAAAAATAAATACCTAAGAAGCCCTCCCAGGAAATATTTCTAGGAAAGTGGGGAAATAAGACAGGGAAGAGGCGACGGTTAGTAAAAAAGTACATTGAGCAAGTTAGTCCTGCGGGCGACTGGAGCTCCATCCCTCTGGGGACCCCAGGGGACCAGTGGAGAATACACACTTTGGTCTTCCTATTCCAAATGGTGAAGGAGTAGAGATATTTGTCTTCCAGCTCTCAGCAGTCATTGTATGAGGGCTGCTGTCAGAGGATGTTAATCCCTGATACTTTCAGGCCTGCCCCCTGTGTCAACAAACGGAGGTCTCCAGAGAAGGCCCTCAAGGCAAGGGACACAGGTGCACATAAGTGGTCAAGAACAAGGGCATATGTGGCATCTCCTGCAAGTTCTAAGATGAGAGTGTATGCTGAGACAAACAAGAGTGCCTCTTCTGCGGTCAAATGGCTTATAAAAGCCAGAGGAAATATATAAAACAGTTTCTCCTTTTGGGTTTGTGAGAGCAGTGAAGTGTTTTTGCTGAATCTTATTGAAAATTACATTTCTTTGCTTCTTTCCTTTCTTCCTTCTTTTCTTACTTCCTCCCTCCTCTCTCCCTCCCTTTCTCCCTCTTACTTCCCTCCCTCCCTTCCTTCCTTCCCTCCTTCCTACCTTCCTTCCTTCCTTCCTTCTTTCTTTCCTTCCTTCCTTTCTTCCTTCCTCCCTCCCTCCCTTCCTTCCTTTTTCTTTCTTGAGACACAGTCTCACTCTGTTGCCCAGGCTGGAGTGCAGTGGCACAATCACAGTTCACTACAGCTTCGACCTCCTGGACTCAAAGGATCCTCCTGCCTCAGCCTCCCGAGTAGCTGGGACTACAAGCACATACCACTATGCCCAGCTTATTTATTTATTTATTTATTTATTTATTTATTTATTTATTTTATTTTATTTTTTGAGACAGAGTCTCACTCTGTCGCCAGGCTGGAGTGCGGTGTCACAGTCTTGGCTCATTGCAGCCTCCATCTCCTGGGTTCAAGCGATTCTCCTGCCTCAGCCTCTCGAGTAGCTGGGACTATAGGTGCACACCACCATGCCTGGCTAATTTTTTGTATTTTTTTAGTAGAGACGGGGTTTCACCATGTTGCCCAGGCTGATCTCAAACTCTTGAGCTCAGGCAATCCTCCCACCTCGGCCTCCCAAACTGCTAGGATTACAGGCATGAGCCATCGCGCCTGGACTTTTTTTTTTTTTTTTTTTTTTTTTTTGTAGAGACAGGGTTTTGCTCTGCTGCCCAGGCTGGTCTCAAACTCCTGTATTCAAGCAATCCACTTGCTTGCCTCGGCCTCCCAAAACACTGGGATTACAGGCATGAGCCCCCACACCCACCCTACATATATTTGTTTCCATAAAAACGTATCATTACCAGCTGATTAGGAAGCTGGAGTGGAAGGTCAGTACTGCTCTCCTGTTGATAGTGCTCCATGCCTGGCTTACAAGTAATTGGATTTTTGCAGGTGGGTCCCGCCTCTACGGATCAATCAGGAATGTGTCCCCAAATCCAGAAGAATCCCAGGGTTTGTGAAAAATGCATGCTCCTCTCTCCCCCACACATGCATATGTGAAAACCATGAATTCTTAAAGCAAATGCCCCAACCTGAAATTTACTAGTAAGAAAAGCTAGGGTTCCTGGGAATGAATCCCACAAGCGAGGAAATACCAGCCAATGGAAAAGTAGCCTCCCCTTGCCAGAGCCATCTCCCTAGCACTGTGATCACAAGATTCACACAGGCGTCAGTCACCGCATCTGCCCCACTGGTGGCTTAAAAGTGGGAGTGCTGAAGATGAATTGGAACAATGACTTGGTGATGTAAAGAGGAACCAGTGTATAGGCTTGAAATGCTGGGGGGAAAAATGACTTCATCTTTATCATTCTGCTTCTCTTCCTTCGGAAGGTCAAATTGGGTGTGCCGTAGAAAGCCCCAGAACTGTGGGTATTTTGCCATTGACTTTAACTGATAGACTGACATGCACTCCCCATGGTAGCTCATATGTGCTCCACCTGTCACTGCCTCTTCAAAACATTGTTGGTTTCCATGGAGACAAAAAAGCACTTGCTGGAAGAGCTGCTGGAAATTTCAAGTCAAGATGTCCAGAACTACCCTGCCATATATTTTCTAAGACCTGATGTGAAAGAGAAACAATAGCACAACTTTGCAAAGAGGACAAAGGAAAACAAACCATCATAAGAATGGCTTGACACTGTTTCTAGATCCCAACATCCTGTCTGGATTTTTCTGTCCTTTTAAAAACAAGCTCTGGGCAGCTATCGGGTGAAGCAGACCTGCTGATCTGCAGGCTCCTGACTTCAGACATGATTTTATTATGGGCAAGAAACCAGTCTGCTCTTCTCAGAGTTTAAATCTTGACAGGTCAGTGCAATAACATGACTGTGAATACGCTTACAAAATGAACCCAGCATCTCTTGCATGCCAATCTACCTCCCACTCTCAGGGCTAAAAAAGAGCTCCTCGACTTGTGTGATTATACAGTATATCTATTTTTTAAATCTATTCTGTAAGGCAGTAATGCGAAATGAAAGATAATAGCATCTTCTAACAGCTGTCATATTAACATACCATAAGACGAAATTTTAAAAGAGAGCTTCTAAAGAGAACACTCAATTTATTTTTAAAAAATAGATTCAAAAAAAATAGAGAAACTAAAATTTTTGTTTCTCTGTTATGATATAAAAACTTAGCTATTCTGACAAAGGTCCCATTCTTGGCCTTTACTTTTCTGGTAAACTTCATTTGAGCCATTAGAAAACTATGACCTTAACCTTTTGGTTTTTATCCATGATTCCAGTAGTTAATGGAAAACTTCTGACTTCTCCATTTGAGTTGCTGGAATCACTATCCTTCTTCCAGTTACCCAAGGTAGAAAGCTGGGACTCAACCTGGATTCCTTCTTCTCCCTTAACCCCCACATCCATCAATCACCAAATTTTGTTCATCTCCTAAATGTTTCTCAAGCTCTCTTGCTCTTTTTCATTGCCACGATCATTGTCCCAGTTGATATGCTTGCTAAGACTATTGCAGTAGCATCCTAGCTAATCTCTCTGCTCCTGATCTTGCCCTCCTCAGATCCACCCTCCATGTAGTAGCCCTGTTTTCCAAAAATTGAGGCTAGATATTATAGTATGAAAGCTGGATATCATAAAAACACATAAGTATAGCTGAGGAGTTCCAGGGGTGGACTGTATCAGTCACAATTGATGCTCCCCCTCTTGGAAAGCCCAGACACCATTATCACAGCCAAAGCCTCCACTGCCCCAGTGCTGACCTTCTTGCCTTCTCTGAGATAAGGCCGGGGTCAGACACAATCTTCACTGCATTCACCATGGCGGGAGCCATAGCAGCTGGACACCCAAGTTCCTGACCACACCAGCCTCATGGAGACTTGACTCTGCTCATGATGTCTAGATTCAGACGAAGCACCACGCAACAGAGCCTGGAGTCTGGCCTTCCCAGCAGCTTCCCAGAAATGCTAGTTTAAGTGTGGAGACTGAATGCTCCGTGAAATAAACTTTAATTAATGAGAGTCAAGAGTCAAGAGGAAACAAGGGAAAAATTCATCTCTCTTCCTCTCTTTGATGAACTGTTCTGAGGCACAGTGTTTCTCTACAGCCTGCTCGGAGATGTCCCGCATGACTGAGCAACTGGCTGTGCCTCTTCTTGGAGCTGTGGCTTGCTCAGTATCCCATCCCTTTATGTTTGTTCCATCTCCATCTTTGGCTCATGCCTTGCCCTGCAATCTTCACCTAACTTTTGCTCACCCCTTAAGACTTGGCCCAAGTATCAACTTACCTATTCTCTTACCATTTCCATCCCACAAAAAGGTCTAAGTCAGGTGCCCCTTCTCAGTACTCCACAGAAATCTGAATCCTTGGAACTATCAGCTTTATTGAATTATCTGCTCTTCCGTCCCTCTTCCCTATCAGTCTGTGAACTCCTCCGAGAGCAGGGACCACGCTTTATTTATTTGCTTCCCTAGTACCTAGCACTGTGCCTAAAACTCAGTAAAGATTGGCTAAACCAAAGGGCTGATTTATAGGCACTTCATGAGGCTTCAAATGGTGAAAAAAGATTTTTACAGATGCACAACACCAAAGGAAGGCATTCCTGGACATAGACACAGCCTGAGCAAATACCTAAAGGAGGAAAATGTCCGTGTATAGGGGATATGCTTAGCCAGATAGGGGCTTTCTTGTGCAAGGTCTTGACAACCAGGCTGATGAGCTAGTATATCTTTTCCATTGGTTAACTGAGAGCCATTGAAACCAAGTTGTTCATTTAGGAGGCTTAAACCATGAATGATATGTAGGATGAATGGGGAAGAGGGTACAGATTGGGGAATTGTGCAGATTGGAATTACCATGATAGCAAAGAGAATGGGAAAGAGATGCTTGTGAGAAAGACAAGGGAGGTAGACTGTACGGGATGTGGCAAGCATTTATAAGTGAAAAGGATCAAAGTTGGCTTCTAATATTCAAAACAAGGGCTCTGGGAGAATGGCAGCGTTGGTAACTGAAAAGGAAAAGATGGAAGGATTTCAGATTTAGGGCTGGAAGTAAGGACTGAAGAATCGTCAGAAGCATTTTAATAAAAGATGAGACTGTTTACTGCCACATACATGCACAGATACACATTATCACTATCACCACCACCACCACCAGCAATAGGTGCCAATCAAGTGAGTCCCAGCCTTCATTCTCCCACCACTGCTTTTATCATCAGTGAGAGGCACAGGAGTAAAATAATATTTCCACAAATTCAGAGGGCAAGAGCCATCTGTCCTGCCAACATATGCCTCTTTATTAATTTTTTTGACAGAGTTTTGCTCTGTCATCCAGGCTGGAATACAGCGGCATGATTATGGCTCACTGCAGCCTGAAACTCCCAGGCTCAATCGATCCTTGCACCTCAGTCTCTTGAGCAGCTGGGACTACAGGTGCACACCACCATGCCTGGCTAATTTTTCTATTTTTTGTACAGATGGGGTCTCCCTATGTTGCTCAGGCTGATCTAGAACTCCTGGGCTCAAGCAGTCCTCCCATCTCAGCTTCTCAAAGTGCTAGGATTCCAGGCATGAGCCACAATTTATGCTTTAAATGTAAGGTGAGTCAGCAACAGCAAAATTGTTAGCATCCCCGTTTGTTCATACTGCAAAGTCCCATCTCTCGTGTTAACCTGGAAATCCATACTGTAAACATATTCTTGAGTCTACATGAATAATTTCCTTTAAAGCCAGATAATTTTGATGGGTTAGAAAAGAAAGCAAAAGAGTAGGGAAGAAAAAGTGAAAGTTACATAGCAATATAAAAATTCCTTTTTTGCCTGGCACAGTGACTCATGCCTGTAATTCCAGTACTTTAGGAGGCTGAAGTGGGAGGATAACTTCAGGCCAGGAGTTTGAAACCAGCCTGAGTGACATAGTGGGACCCCATCTCTACAAAACATACAAAAATTAGCCAGGCATTGTGGCATGTGCCTATAATCCCAGATACTTGAGAGGCTGAGGCAGGAGGATCACTTGAGCCCAGTTTAAGGCTGCAGGGAGCCATGATCATGCCACTGCACTCCAGCCTGGGTGGAGACTCTGTCTCAAAAAAAAGAGAAAAGGTAAATTCCTCTTTCCTTACATCAAGTCATTGGTGTTATGGAAAGGGAGAAACTTGGAAGCTGTTATTATTAGTATTGCACTTGTCCTCATTTTCATGTTTCAAGCCTCTACTCAGGGCCCTGCTGTGGCTGTTAATTGGTCCAGGAGTTAAGAGCATTAAGCGAGCATCCTCTTGAACAGCTGGCACTAAAAGAAGACAGAAAATAGAAGTTGCAATCTTCATTCTTTGAGGTTACTTTCTAAAATGAGCAATCCAAACACAAAGGATCATTTAGAAATAAGAGACTAGAGACTATTAGATAATGGACACTAACGGGCTAAAAGTAAAAATAAATAAATACATATCTTTATAATGTGAAAGCAAGTGGGGCATTTAGGAAGGAGTGTTTTGGGAGACCTGGAGCATCATTTTTGAATGGAGCGGTTTGGAGAAATCTGTCTCTTCCTTTTCATAAAGTTATTCTGGGTGGCCTTCACCAAGGCGATCTATAAAGCTGTGAAGAGCTATTAGATCAAGTGCCTGGATGTTGCAAAGTGATTCGGAGATAAGTAGAGAGGAAAAGTCTACTCCGGAAGGGAGATATATTGTTGGGGGAAATCCATCCATTTCTATGAGGCAAATATTTCTCAATGTGGTTCTCAAAACATCTGCATTCGAACTACTAGAGCAGCTGATAAATACAGGCCTCCATGTTCCTGATTCAGATTCTGATTGAGTAGGTCAGGAGTTTCAACCCAAACACAGGTGAGTCTCAGGCAACTGAGGTTTGAGAAGCACTGCAAGTCTTTCTCCCAGGCACTCTCATTCCCACCCACCTCTATAATAGCTCTCATGTCTACAATCACTTATTTAAATACACTTACTGAAGGTCGGGCATGGTGGCTCCTGCCTGTATGCTTAGCACTCTGGGAGGCGAAGGCAGGTGGATTGCTTGAGCCCAGAAGTTTACGACCATCCTGGGCAACGTGGTGAAACCCCATCTCTACAAATATTAGCCCTACTAATTTTTTTTATTAGCTGGGCTGCTCAGCTACTCAGGAGGCTGAGGTAAGAGGATCACTTGAGCCCAGGGAGGTAGAGGCTACAGTAAGCCATAAGTGCACCACTGCACTCCAGCCTGGGTTACAGAGTGAGACTGTCTCAAAATAAATAAATAAATAAACAAATTTACTGAGTCTCGGTGCCAAGCTTTACTCTAGTCACTGAAGATACAGGAGAGACCCAAAGAGACCGCATCCCTGCCCTCATAGGGCTTATATGCTAGTGGATATGACAAACAGTAAACAAATAAGAGTATAATAAATATGCAATATGGTTGGGCGTGGTGTCTCACACCTGTAATCCCAACAGTTTGGGAGGCCAAGGTGGGTGGATCACCTGAGGTCAGGAGTTTGAGACCAGCCTGGCCAATATGGCAAAACCCCATCTCTACTAAAAATACAAAAATTAGCCAGGCATGGTGGCATGTGCCTGTAGTCCCAGCTACTTGGGAGGCTGAGGCAGGAGAATCACTTGAACCTAGGAGGCAGCAGTTGCAGTGAGCTGAGATCATGCCATTGCACTGCAGCCTGGATGACAGAGTGAGACTCTGTCTCAAGAAAAAATAAATAAATAAATATGCAATATGATAATAAGCACTGTGAGAAAGGACTGATGGAGTGCTGTTGTGCTTGTCAAAGAGGGCTTCTCTGATAAGGGGCATTTAAGCAGGAACCCAATCTTCTAAGTTCCCTGAGACCACCAATGGTTTGCCCATTCAGCCAATCCTCCAAATGTATTCATTCACCAATATTAATTGAGGGCCTCTTGTGTGCCAGGCAAACCTGTCCAATATCCCCGCATGGCCCCATTAGGGAGGCTTACATTTCATTCCCTAGGATTCTCAGCAGTCCCACAGCTTTTCACAGCCCCTCTCAAGTCCCCTGAGTCCCTGGCACACCCTTCCATTCCATGACCCCTGACCACCCACCTTCTGCATTTCTAGTTCATTGCTCTGAATCTACCACTTCTCAAATCAACATCGTGCATCAAACATCACACTCTTCATATGACACAACCTAGCGGAAGGTTTGATGAGGGCACTGTGTTGCCCGGGTCAAGGGAGCTACAAGGGGTAATGAAAGCTGTGAGTAACAATACAGTTGTTCATGTTCATGCTAACTCTTCTTGTGGTCAAGCAAGATCCTGGAGTCAGTAGCTTGAATAAAAATGGTTAAAATGTGTGTGCTTTGGTGGATAAGGAGGCTGAGGACAGGAGAAAACTAAAAGTTGTTGGGTACTCCTAAGTCAGACTGTGTGTAAGTGGTTTGCTTATATTATCTTATTTGATTGCTATGACAATACTCTGAGGTTGGTAATAAGCCCATTGTTACAGATGGACAACTGAGGCTCTGAGAGCTTCAGTAACCCGTGTCTAAGGCTGCATAGCCAATGATGGGTAAAACGGGGATTCAAACCTACATTTGAGCCTAAAGCTCCTTGTTTTCTTCCACCAGGTGAAGTAAGAGTTTGTAAAGGCAAAAATTCTGAACAGTGCCTCCTAGGTTAACAGAAATCATGATGACTTTGCCAGCAAAAGACTCGGAGGAACATTGAGTACACAGCCTCTCAGTTCTAGGTAGGTCATATGTGTCAGCCAGTAGGTTGAGTTTATAACAGTCACGTCGTGACCTGAACACCCTCCCACTCCACTGCTGAATCAACTAGATAGAATCTGGCAGGGATGATATATAACTACCTTAGACAGGTGTAAGGGAGGGGAAAATACAGACAAAAAGACAACAAAAAGGAAGCTTGCAAGAAAAACGAAAAAAACTGAACTAACCCCTAATGCATCTGATTGAGGCTTCTGCAAAACTACCAGATGCATTCAGATCAAACTAACTATTAAGAAATGCAAAGAATTGGATGCTGTCTTAGGTTGAAACAAATCAAAACAAAAAAGAAATGCAAAGAAAACTTAGCTCCTTGGAGCTGTCCTAAATTCATATACCATGCTTGAGCTTGTAACATTGATCCAGGTGACTCCCAGTTACGGTGTTCACTTTGTTCCCTCTAGGTATGTGCCAGGTGATGAGGAGACATACTGTCTGGGCTCTTCAGACAGGCTTCTTTCTCCCTGGAACTCAGAAAATTCCAACTACCTAGAGTTTGCAAAGGCAGCCGGCCAGGGAAGGATGCTGGCTCCAGGTCCTGGGGCCCCTCCCTGGAGGGAACAAATGCCTCTCGGATTGCAGCTGCAGAAAGAGAGAGGAGAATCGGGGAATGGAATGGTGTGCTGCAGAGGCAGTGGTTTGGACAGCGACTGGGTGACTCATGCCCCAGGCAGCTTTTTACAGGAGTTGCAAATTCCAGTAATAGCAGATCAGGAACATCTCTCGAGGGACACCCTACCAATCGAAGGTGTCTCTTGCACCATCTTGGCAGCGCTGAATGGGCATCTGAATAGCTTATCTATTCAGATCCTTTGCCGGATCCCAAAGGTTCTCCTTGCTTTGGCCCCTGGGCTTCCTGAAACCGGGCGGTTATTCTCCCCGGAAGTTGGAGGAATTGGATAATATTGTCTACAGACACCACACCTGAATCTTATCCCTACTACTACAAATAGGGATGCTATTTTCTTGTCCTGTGTCCTGGATGGTGAATTGAGTATCTTGTGCCCTGCCAAAAGCCACTCTATGGCCACCTCCTCTCTGTCCTAGGTTCCTGGAGGCTAACTGTGTAGCTCCCATCAATGAGCGTCCTCTCTCTGGCTTTTAGTTAGGTATACTCTACAGGCAGCCCCGGCAGGAAATAAAAAGGTGGGAGGAGAGTGAGGTCATTTCTTCTGGCTTTCTCTTTGTGGAGTTACCACAAGCTGACTGTGTCCCTTATGAGAATAATCCAGCCCTCTCTAAACAATATGGGTCTCTCCAGGTTCTGGTAGCCACTCTCCAGGTTCTGGTAGCCTTCCTTTGTCCATTCAGGCCCAAGGGGATGACATCTCCCCTGTTCCTAGTCTCCGCCTGTTACTAGTCTGTTATTAGTCTGGGGTACCATATCCTTCTTGGAGTTTTCTTCAACCCTGTTCAATCCCTTTATTAAACCCTCTTCAGGCTGGGTGCAGTGGTTCATGCCTATAATCCCAACACTTTGGGAGGACAGGCAGGAGGATCACTTGAGGCTAGGAGTTCCAAGACCAGCCTGGGCAACATAGCAAGACTCCATCTCTACAAAATATTTTAAAACTTAGCCAGGTATGATAGCGCACACCTGTAGTCCCAGCTACTCAGGAGGCTGAGGCTGAAGAATCACTTGAGCCCGGGAGTTGAAGGCTGCAGTGGGCCATAATTGCACCACTGCATTCCAGCCTGGGTGGCAGAGCAAGACCTGATCTCTAAAAATAAATAAATAAATAAATAACTAGCAAGCCCTCTTCAAAGGACCCAATGTGGGAGCATATCATTTCCCCACTGCTGGACACCTGAGCGATACTAATAGTTTAGGTAGATGCAAACCTCACCCGCCTCTCCTGTCTCCTGCTATTGCTATTACCGTAGCTACATGAAGTAACAAGATCCAAGCCTTGTTAAGGAGAGGAGAGCAGAAACTATGTCATGCCACTTAGAATGAAACGCAAGTTCCTTACCATGGCTTAAAAGGTCTGAGCTGGCTCTCCAAATTCCTCTCCCTCCACACTCCCTCTCGTCTGTCCCAGCTACAGCAGGCCTTTTGCCATGCTTGAAGCCAAGCTTATTCACACATATAAGCCTTTGTACTTGCAGTTTCTTCCTTCCCTCTACTTGCTACTGGGTCCTGGGTGAGGGATTACCTTAGGTTGTCAAGTTTAATCCTTCCTCCTGCAAACTCCCTGAGGCAGACTCTTTTTTTGTTGTTTTGTTGTTTTGGTTTTTGGCATCATTGTGTTCCAGGAGCCGCAAACTCAAGTGTCTTTGGAACATGACAGGTAACAGAAACAAGAGAAGGGGCCAAGACTAATAAAAATCATTCAGCCCTCTTGGTCTGGCTTTTGTTTTTCCCCTTTTGACAGAGACGTGGGAGCAGAGAAATATTTCCTTACTATAAACACTCACACACACACACACACACACACACATTCATACACGTACTCATACATAGTGCAAAGAGGATGAGAATGGCAAGTGACAATTGTCACTGGAGCTGGAGAGCAAGAGGGATTGGGTGAGCACTGCAGCAAACCACACACCAGCCAATTTGCTGTTTTGCAGAAATCTGACCCAGGGTGACCAGATATTGCTGTTTTCCAAGAGAAACTGAAAATCTAGATTTTTATATGGTGTCTCCTAATTTTTAAATGTTGGCAATTTTTAAAACCCTGTGCAGGCCACATTAAGCATATCTTTGTGCTGGATTTAACGCAGAGGCTGCTGGTATACAATCACTGCTGTATGTTCAGTGGGCTTAGCATAGTATATGCTCAATAATTATATGTTGAATAAATGAATAGCCTTCCCAGTTGACTTCTCAGCATTTAGAAGTAGCTGACAGGTAGTTCACCTCCCCTCTGTTGGGAACATTTTTTAAAAGTAGATTCAGAACAGGAAGAAGCTTCTCCATTATAGCTGGAAGCTTTAAGGTATAGCTGCTCCTGGACTCAGACACAACCCATCAGAAATTTCTTGAAGATTACATTTCTGTATCACTCAGACTGGGGCTGGTGTATGAATCAGTAAGTAATGACATGGCCATGTCTGTTTTTTACAGCCAGCATCCGTTCTGATGGTTGGCACCATGGTGTACAGATTATTAAGTAATTTTAATATCACCCCCAACTGGGTGCAGAAATGGAAACCTATTACTGGTCATAGTCTGTTACCACCAAGAAAGGCTCATGGAGGTGGGAAATGATGCCTGTTGTCAAAACAAGATCTAGTTCACTTAGGTGTTGAATTCTATTCCAGATTTTATAGAGGGCTGCTTCTCTCAAATCTCTTATTGGAACCTGGCCACGCTTCTCATTTCTATTTTTCCATCTGGGAGACATACAGGCTCTCACACCTAGTTTCCATGCCCAGCCAAAGCTATTGCAAAGCTCCTAGAGAACATGGAATGACTGGAGACATCCGGATAAAGGTCACAAGGTGGAACAAGTGCAGGGTGACCCAGTGGAAAGCAGTGGTGGAAACAGGTGGATGGCTTTGGGAAGAGGTTCTAACTAATTCACTTTCCCCAGTGTATAAAAGCAAGCTTTTCCCCAGGCTTCACAAACAGCAGGCTCGTGTCTAGCTCTACCTACTTGCACGTAAGCAGGAAGTTCATCGTCTGTTCAAATGCTAAATAGATGTTAGCAGCACTTTATTGGATCAGCTCAAGGTGATTTCGATTTGTTCTGGGAACGCATTCATCATCTTATAACACATGTGTGTGGCTCTGCTTTCTGGACAGATAGAATTACTCATGTGTATGTGTCAACCAACCAAATTAAATCATCCAATGTGATAAACCCATTTGGAGGGCTATTCCCTTTCATTTATTCTAGGGAAATAATATTCTAGGCAAACTTATTTCCTAGAATTTGTGACTCAGGTTTAACTTCATATTTCCCAGAGCAAAGCTTCCCAACTTTTATTTGGGGCAGTGGTTTACAAAGTTATTTTAGTCCTGGGGTCTTTTATAATAGCTTCCAAATACAGAGGCCAATATATAAAGCTGAGAAAGGTCAAGCAGATCAGAGGGAAGAACTGGGAAACCTGGGCATTTCCTCTGCCCCTGTCTCTTGTTGCCGACGTGCGGGGACTACCAGGAACCTCTGGAAACACACTTGAAACAGCTGCACTTGCAAATCTCCAAATAGCTCAAGCTGTGTTGGAAACTCACAACTCAAACTTTCAAAAACAAAGGGTTAATTTTACCGTGTCAAATTGCCTTCTTATAATTTATAATCTCATAATATTTCCAACATTCCTAAAGAAAAATAGAACAAATGTTTATGTACCCATCACTCAACTTTATCAAATCTTAACATTTTGTTTTGGTTATTTTTAAAGGAGTAAAATATTACAAATATTGTTGAAGCCCCTTTATGTGCTCCTCCCAAATCTCATTCTCCTTTCCTCCTTCCTTCCTCCTCAGAAATAACCACTACACTGAACTCGTATTGATCATCCCCATGAAAGATTTTTCCTATAAATACATATTAATATATAGTTTCCCCTAGTGAGAATATGTATATATGCAGTGGCTCATGCCTATAATCCCAACACTTTTGGAGGCAGAGACAGGAGGATGTCTTGAGCCTAGGAGCTTAAGGCCAGCCTGAGCAACATAGCAAAATCCCATCTCTACAAAAGATCAAAAAATTAGCCAGGCATGGTAGCATGTGCCTATAGTTCCAGCTACTCAGGAGGCTGAGGTGAGCCCAGAAGGTTGAGGCTGCAATAAGCCAAGATCATGCCACTGCACTCCAGCCTAGGCAACGGAGCAAGACCCTATCAAACACTTACAAAAAATAATAATGTTGCAAACATCAATCTGCAATTTGCTCTTCTAGCTCAACATTGTGTTTTGGAGATTTATCCACCTTGATGCATTTAGCTCTGGCCCATGCACTTTAACTACTACATCATATTGTGTTGTATGAATTTTTTTTTTTTTGAGATGGAGTTTCACTCTTGTTGCCCAGGCTTGTGCAATGACATGATCTCGGCTCACCGCAACCTCCGCCTCCAGGTTCAAGCAATTCTCCTGCCTCAGCCTCCTGAGTAGTTGGGATTACAGGCATGTGCCACCATGCCCAGCTAATTTTGTATTTTTAGTAGAGATGGGGTTTCTCCATGTTGGTCAGGCTGGTCTCGAACTCCTGACCTCAGATGATCCGCCCACTTCGGCCTCCCAAAGTGCTGGGATTACAGGCGTGAGCCACCGTGCCTGGCCTGTTGTATGAATTTGTGTGTGCATTTTCCTTTTTATCAATGCTGCCTCAAATTTTTCACGAAATGTTGCAACGAACATTCTTGTGCATGTATCTACTCTGAAAACTTCTCTAGGACCCAGTGCAACACACACACACACACACACACACACACACAAACACAAAGTAAAACAAAGTTTCACAAAACAATTGTCTTACTACACTTTCAGAAACTTTGTCATAATGTATATCATAGTTCTTTTTATCAGGTTGACATTTCCCTTCCATTCCTAGTTTGCTGAGAGTTGTTAATCATGAATGGGTGTTGAATTTTGTCAAATTCTTCTTTTTTCACAAATAGGACTTTTTATTTCCCACTGATTATAAGTCCGAACTTTAAACAGATTCTTGGACTGGTGGTTCATATCCATCAGCTTGCTCATCTTTAGCACCTATCTTGTCCCCAGTGGCTTTTCCAGAACTACTTCCTTCACCATGAAGCTCCATGAGTAGTTTTTCCAATTCATACTTGGGCTTCTTCAGCATTTTTACTTTTCTTTTTCCTTTTCTTTTTTTTTATTTTTTATTTTTTGAGACAGAGTCTTGCTCTGTCACCACCTGCAGTGCAGTGGCATGATCTTGGCTCACTGCAACCTCTGCCTTCCGGGTTCAAGTGATTCTCCTGCCTCAGCCTCCCGAGTAGCTGGGACTATAGGTGTGCACCACCATGCCCAGCTAATTTTTGTATTTTTAGTACAGACAGGGTTTCACCATGTTGGCCAGGATAGTCTCGATCTCTTGACCTCGTGATCCACCCACCTCAGCCTCCCAAAGTGCTGAGATTACAGGCATGAGCCATTGTGCCCAGTCAGCATTTTTACTTTTCTAATGAAAACATCTGGAGAGGATAAATGGATTGGCAAGGCTTTTCTATGTCTTTTCCAATGCTGTCTGGAGTCAGTTTATTGACCACTTCTTTCAAGTCATTTGTCTGCACCTCTCAGTTCATGATTTCCATCATCTTCTTCCAGATTTGGCGGACCTGTTGATGCTAAGCATAAGAAGTCTTCCATATTTGATTGTTGCATTTTTTAGTAAAACCAACACAGAACAGACAAAGCAAGTAACCATTGGTAGTCTTGACATCAACATGAGCTTCGATCACTGTCTGCCATTTTTTGACCATGGAACACATTTTGTCATGGGTAAGATTCATGCCATGGAAGTTCGTCAGGTAGCTTTTGCCCTGAACATCTTCAATAATCAGCTTTAATTTTCTAAATGCAACTTCATCATTCTGCAAATCAGCAAAACTCACTTCAAACACATGACCCATGAGGACATCAGATGCAATTTTGGTTCATTGGGTCCTGGTGACTAGCATCTTTCCGATATTTCTTATATTGAACGTAGCAGGTGCTTTCACATTGTACAAGTCTTCCTTAGAAAATGGATCAACCACTTTCTTCTTGGCTCCCTTTTTGCCACCTTTCATAAGGTGCTTGTTCTTGCCAACCACCATGGTACTGCTCAGAAAGCCAAAAAGGGATTATAGGGGTTTTTAAAAGAAATTCTGTCAATAAGGTAAACTACAATAATTAATTTTCAAATGTTGAGCCAACCTTGCATTCCTGAGATAAGCCCCACTTGGCCATAGGATGTTGCAATGAGTGCCAAGCTGCAAATATGAGGGCAGAGTTCTCCACAAGACTGCCCTCACTTCAGACTTCAGATACCAGCAGCAAATCTAGGGGTCCCTAGGGCCATCCTTATTTCATACTAGCTGGCAACAAGTTTGAGCATCCCAAAAGACTTCCTCAGGTTTGATAATTCAGAAAAATGAGTCACAGAACTCAGGAAAGCAATATACTTACAATTACAGTTTCATTACAGCAAAGCATACAAATTGGAACCAGCCAAAAGAAGACATATATAGAACAAAGTCTGAGAGGGCTTGAAACATAAAGGACACATTGATCTCTGGGCATCAAAGTGTGGCAATACTCTAAAAGTATGGCCAACCAGGAAAGCTTACCCAAGCATCAGTGTCCAGAGTTTGTATTGTGGCTTCATTATGTAGATATGATTGATTGAATCACCACCTATATCATTGAACTCAATCTCCAGTCCCCCTCCCTTCCCTGGAGATGATACCATTTAGCTCAAAGTCTCCACCCTCTAATCACATGATTGGTCTTTCTGGTGTGGCCAACCCCCATCCTGAGTTATCGCATTAGCACAAACTATCGAGTAGGGCCTGAGGGGTCTACCACAAATGCACAGATAACAAAGACACACTTATTATTCAAGAAATTATAAAGGTTTAGGGGTTAAGAATTGGGGACAAAGACGAGCTAAATTCTTCATTATACACACATGTTATGTTTTCTAATGTTGCTTGACTTGATTAGTTATTATTTTGTTAATGATGCATGTGTCTGTGCTCATGAAGAATATTAACCTGTAGCATGGTAGGTTTTGACAGATACCTTTTATACAATTTTTTAAAGTTTTCTTTTTTCTTTTTCTTTCCTTTTTTTTGAGATGGAGTTTTGCTCTTGTTGCCCAGGCTGGAGTGCAATGGCATGATCTGGGCTCACTGCAGCCTCTGCCTCCCAGATTCAAGCAATTCTCCTGCCTCAGCCTCCTGAGTAGCTGGGATTACAGGCACCCACCACCATGCCCGATTAATTTTTTGTTGTTGTTGTATTTTTAGTAGAGATGGGGTTTCACCATGTTGGCCAGGCTGGTCTCAAACTCCTGGACTCAGGTGATCCACCCACCTTGGACTCCCAAAGTGCTATAGCGTGCACCACCACACCTGTAGTGTGAGCTACCGTGCCCGGCCTAAAATTTTCTTATATTCCCAGTTTTCTAGGAGTTTTAATCATAAATGGATGTTTGACTTCTGTCAAATGCTTTTTCTGCATCTGTTGAGATCATGGTGTCATTCTTCTCCTTTACTTTGTTAACAGAATGAATTCTATTAAAATACTTTCTGATGTTGAACAATTCTACATTCTTGAAAAATAATATTTAATGTGAATAAAATTTTTCTTTTATTTAAATTTTTTTGAGACAAGCTCTCATTATGTTGTCCAGGGTGGTCTTGAAATCCTGGTCTCAAATAATCCTCCCACCTCAGCCTCCCAAGTAGCTGAGATTACAGGTGTGAGCCACCATGCCCGGCTTTAAAAACCATTTTAATATCACAAATAACATACTAATACTTATTTGTTAAAAGTGAAACTTACTTTTTAAAAGTTAAAAGTTAAGCTATTTCCAAATATTTGCAAATGCAAAGCGTATTCCTGAAAAGATGAATAAGAAATTTGTTATAATGGCTGTCTTCACTAAAGAAAACCAACTGGTTGAGGGATAGGAGAGTGACGCGGTCCCAGTAACTTTCTGCATGTTGTTCCGGAGTATTTAAACACCTTTGAAAATATTAAATTAAAACATCACAAAAAATGCTGGAGTTTCCCTTGCCTACTGCTCCCAATTCCTTGTTCCTTCTTGGTCCCCCCTGAAGTTACAACTCTTAGGAATTTGGTGTGCTTCCTCTGAGGGATATTATCTGCATTTACAAACGTAATTATTTTGCATTTTATATAGGAGAACATACTAGTGTGTTCTTCTAGTGCTTTCCCTGCTTTTATATAAATACATGTGTATACCCACATGTGTACAGGTGCGTGTTATGTAGATAAAATCATACTACAATCATAATTCTGCTTTTTTTTTAATTTTCACCCTATTATTTTTCTAGGAGCTTTATCCACGTTGCTATATATACATCTAGCTCCTGCTTTTAGTAGCTTCACAGTATTACGTAATATGAAAAAACAACTAGTCTTCCATCTATCCCAGAATCCCTCTAGGTTAGATATAGCATAGCGAAATTGTTGGTTTCAGTGTATACATATTTGTTGTTGTTTTAAGGAATACTACCAAACTGCTCTCCAAAGTGATCATACCAGTTTCTTTAATGCACCAAGCAAGCACATCTCCCTCCCTCCCTCCCTTCTTTCTTTCCTTCCTTCCTTTCCTCCTTCCCTCTCTCCCTCCCTCCCTCTCTCTTTCTTTCTTTCTTCTTTCAGAGAGTTTTGCTCTGTTACCCAGGCTGGAATGCAGTAGTGCAATCTCAGCTCACTGCAACCTCTGCCTCCTGGGTTCAAGCAATTCTCCTGCCTCAGCCTCCAGAGTAGCTGGGACTACAGGCGTGCACCACCACACCTGTAGTTAATTAATACAAAAATTAATACAAAACTTTTTGTACTTTTAGTAGAGACAGGGTTTCAACATGTTGATCAGGATGGTCTAGGACTTCTGACTTCAGGTGATCCACTGGCCTCGGCCTCCCAAAGTGCTGGGATTACAGATGTGAGCCACCACGGCTGGCCGCAAGCACATTTTCCACTGACTTGCTGCAACCTTGATTGAGCAAGGCATGTTTTCTCTCTGGGCTTCCATCTGTAGGAGGAGGGAGTTGAGTGGACCCCGTGAGTGTATGAGACGGTGTAATGATAGGTTGTGTAGTCTCGGAGTGGGTAGGATGACTGCGCTAAAGAAGGCAGCGAGAGCAGGAGGATGCAGGTGGCAGCCAAGCTGAAGGCAGGCAATTCAGATGCCCTTGGTCCTCCTCTCCGCCTCTCCATGAGCACAGTAACAATTTATCTGGAGCTCTCACCCAAAATCCCCCTCTGAAAGGCATGGATATCCTTTTCTGCAGAATTCACCTAGTAGGGTCTCCAAGGGGTTGACAGAGGCCCAGGTCATTTCCATTTATTGAGACTCCCAGCTAATTAAAAAGATGAAGAAATGGTAAGCAGGGCTAACAAAATTGCGTGTATAGTAATATTGCCATTGAACAAATAAATACTAACAAATGCAGAGCAGTGGTCTACAGATATCATATAATTGCACTGGTCAAGGACACTTATAGGATTGATAGACAATATTAATTCATAATACAGTACAGATAAGATGGTGCAGGAATGGAACACATATTTACAATATAAAAATATCTTTTTTTTTTCAAACCTGCCAGGATAATGCTGTGATAGAATGTATGACTGCCTTTGGAGAATTCTAAGTTTGAGCAACTTTCTGAATGTGAGATGAGTCAAATACCCCCCACTCCATTTTCTCCACCCCACCCAGGCTCAACCACTCTTAGGCTGACAGTGAAGACAGACATCCCATTTAATGTTTCTAAATCTGATGCCTGTGTTGATTATCCACACTTTGAGCAAATCTGTGCATATTATGGTTTCCCAATGCAAGTGTTTTGGTTTATTTTAGTAGAATAAAAGAGAAAAAACATTCTTCCTCTTTTGGAGTTGAGAAAAGGAGAGAAATGACAGAGATGAAGAAGAGTCTAAGACATGGAAGAGGTGTATTCTGGGACATGGGAGAGGTGTACTCTGGGACATGGAAGAAGTGGGTTCTGGGACATGACAAACTGGGTTCTGGAACAGGGAGGAGGTGGATTTTAGGCTATCACAGTAGAGGCAGATTCTTAGGTCAGGGACCAGGTGGATTTTGGGACAGAGATGAGAGGTGGGTTCTGGGACATGGTGGAGGTGGGCTCTGGGACAGGGAGGAGGTACATTCTGGAACAGGGTGAAGGTGGCTTCTGGAACAGGGAGGAGGTGGGTACTGGGACAGGGTGGAGGTGGGTCTTGGAACAGGGAGGAGGTGAGTTCTGGAACAGGGTGGAAGTGAGTTCTGGAACAGAGAGGGGGTGGGTCCTGGAACAGGGAGGAGGTGGGTTCTGGCACAGGGTGGAGGTGGGTCCTGGGACAGGGAGGAGGTGGGTCCTGGGACAGGGAGGAGGTGAGTTCTGGAACAGGGTGGAGGTGAGTTCTGGAACAGAGAGGGGGTGGGTCCTGGAACAGGGAGGAGGTGGGTTCTGGCACAGGGTGGAGGTGGGTCCTGGGACAGGGAGGAGGTGGGTCCTGGGACAGGGAGGAGGTGAGTTCTGGAACAGGGTGGAGGTGAGTTCTGGAACAGAGAGGGGGTGGGTCCTGGAACAGGGAGGAGGTGGGTTCTGGCACAGGGTGGAGGTGGGTCCTGGGACAGGGAGGAGGTGGGTCCTGGGACAGGGAGGAAGTGCGTTCTGGAAGAGGGAGGAGGTGCGTTCTGGAAGAGGGAGGAGGTGGGTTCTGGAAGAGGGAGGAGGTGGGTTCTAGAAGAGAGAGGAGGTGGGTTCTGTAGCAGGAAGGAGGTAGGTTCTGGCACAGGGTGAAGGTGGGTCCTGGGACAGGGAGTAGGTGGGTTCTGGAACAGGAAGGAGGTATGTTCTGGAACAGGGTGAAGGTGGCTTCTGGAATAGGGAGGAGGTGGGCTCTGGGACAGGGTGGAGGTGGGTCCTGGGACAGGGAGGAGGTGGGTCCTGGGACAGGGTGGAAGTGGGTCCTGGGACAGAAAGAAGGTAGGTTCTGGAAGAGGGAGGAGGTGGGCTCTGGAAGAGGGAGGAGGTGGGTTCTGGAAGAGGGAGGAGGTGGGTTCTGTAACAGGAAGGAGGTGAGTTCTGGCACAGGGTGGAGGTGGGTCCTGGGACAGGGAGGGAGGTGGGTTCTGGAACAGGAAGGAGGTACGTTCTGGAACAGGGTGAAGGTGGCTTCTGGAATAGGGATGAGAAATGGATTCTGGGACAGACATGAGGTGGCTTCTGGGCCATGTTAGAGATAAATTCTGGGACACAAGAGAGGTGGGTCTGGGACAGAGACAGATGGATTGTGGGCGGGCCATCCTACTCTATGCTCCCAGAACCCACCCATGCAGTTTCCCTGGCGCCCCTAACACATCCCGTAGCCACTGTTAGTCTCCCCCAGGTCTTAGCTCAAACGTCACCTCCTCCAAGCAGCCTCCTTGGGGCCTCCATTCGCAGCTCATCAGTCCCCTGGTCAGACAACCGTCCTGCCTGTACTTCCCCTCCTAAACCCTACCCGGGGGTGAGGGTCCCCTCCCGCTAGACGGTGGCTCACTGAGGGCAGGGCGGGCCTGAGCGCTCACCGCGCACGCTCAGCGCAGCTGGCAGGGACGGGGACCCAGGCTGGCCCATCATTACTGTACTGAGCGAATGAGTTTTCCATGAGACTAAGAATCTGGTTTGATTTGCGGTTCCATTCCAAGTGCCTGAGGGCCTCAGAAGTCCGTGTTGAGTCCATCAATAAAGGAAAGAAGGCGTTAGGGCGAGAGGAAGTGAGGTGGGGGGGAAGTGAAAGAGAATGAAAAGGAGGAAATGGAGACGAGGGCGACTCAGAGAGGAACAGAGAGACAGAGGGAGGGAGAACTGAGAAAGACACAGAGCGAAAAACGAAAGAGCGAAGGAAGCGACGCGAGCCTTTCTTAATGAATGACTGCACGCCCGTCGCCGCCTGCGCGCAACCTCGGGCTGGGCGGGCGCTGCGTCTCGGGGCGCACTGCCAGGACCCTCCGGAGCGGCGGCGGGCGCGGCCTCGGGTCGCCTCCCGCACTGCGAGCGCAGGTGCCGGGTGCAGGGGGGTCCCCGGCCCCGCCCCGCAGGCCCCGCCCCCCCGTACCCCCTCCCCCGGCGGCCCAGCGCGCGCGGCATTGTGGGAGTTGTGGTCTTCGCGGCCCCGCGGAGCGCAGCGCGGCGTCGGCACCGGCAGGGGCACCGGCGCGGCTTAGGCTCGGGCTCGGGCTCCGGCTCGGGCTCCCGCGGCGTGGGCTGGGCAGCAGCCAGGCGGCGGCTCCGCGGCGCCGGGCAGGGGCCGTCCGCGGGTCCGCGCCCTCGGGCGGCGGCGTCTCCTGGGTCCCGGCAGCCGTCCGCGCGCCCGGGCGCAGGTAAGCTTCGTCTCCGGGGGCTGCCGGGGCGGGAGGGCGGCGCGGCTGGGCCGACCCCAGGACAGGGGTTGGAGGCGGGAGCCCGGCAGCTGCAGGCCCACGGCCCTCCCTTACCGGCGCCGCCGCCGCCGCCGCCCCCGCCGAGGATGCTCCGGGACCCGGGCGCCCGCATCCCGGCCCGGCCGAGGCCAGTGCTCGTACGTGCTAAGCGCCGCCGCCTCGGAGCCGGGCATCACCCTCCCTAGACCTCCTCCTACTCCTCTTCCCTGCCCCATCGTGGTCCCTTCCTCCATCTCCCTTCTCCCCTGTGACCCCTCTTTCCTCACCTCCTGTCCCCTCCCCCAGCCCTCAGCATCACCCACTTCCCATATTTCACGTGGTGACCCTCCTCCCCTGTCCCACGAATTATGAGGCGCCATAAACCTCCTTCCACAATCTTGAGCTGATCGTCCACTTTTCCGGGCAACACTCACCTTTCCATCGTCCCATCCCCCTCCTCCCCTGACCTCCTGGTGGTCACCATCTGTGCTAACCCATCTTCAGCCCTCCCCTCTTTCCCACTCTCCAGGGCAGGTGGGTGCTGAGAAGCTGGCCAAGAGAGGGAAGGTCCCCAGGTCTGCACCGGGAAGGGCTGGCCCCACGGCATCTCTCTGGCTCCTGAGTGGAGAGGGTGACAGGCATCACACACCTTGCCCAGTGCTGCTCACTGGGGGGCTTCCAGGGTGACTTGGCCTCATCCTGAGGGTGAGCAGACACTCTTTGGCATTAGGCAGCCTCTGGGAATGGACATCTGAACTAGGCTGACCAGGTCAGGCCTGACACCGGCTCTCCCAGGTGTTCATGGTGTGAGAAGTTGTCTTGGATTGGACTTGCTCTCCAACTGGCCATGGATTTGGACTCAATTCCCCAGAGCCAACTGAGCTGGAAGATCTGGGGTTGCTTATTATTAAAGTGCAGAGCTGCAATGAGATGTCCCCATCCCTGATGAGGACAGAAATAACACAGATGACAATGAACAGATGTGCGAAGGAAGCTGGAAGCTACTGTGGTCACTGGGCAAGGAGCTGTCGGGGGAGAGAGTCTCTCCTCTCCCCACTGGGTAGATGGGGAGTTGTCACTAGGTAGCTGTGAGGATCAAATGTTTGAAGCAGTGCTTAATAAACTGCCAGTCACTCTGCAAATGTGTTTCTTTTATTGTCATAGTTCAGCTTTGAGCTTGTAAATCCACCTCCGGGTGCAGGGGCCTGTTGGCATATTTTGGCTAAAAGTGACTGACAGGTATGAAAAGTCCTAACTTGAGCTCTCAGTGCTATTTATGATCTCGGGAGGAGGGTCTGAAGCTGGGGTTCAGAATCTTTTACATTCTTTTGCTTACAGCTCAGCCTTAGGGAGGGCTCATGGCTGGCTTAGTACAGAAGGAGGCTTTCCTGAGAAGAGTACAGGGCTGGGGTGTCCAGTGGAGAGGTTTCTCCATCATCCACCCTGTTTTCTGTGTCTGCATTTTGCTTGACTTAAGTGATCAGCAGGGCTGATGGGAACTAACACTTTACAGGTGCTTGTTAAATTATCACCGTCTCACTCTTAGAACATTTAAGAAAAAAACCTTTCCTCCTGACAGACTCAGTTGAAAAGTTCCAGTAGGGGTTTAGCTCAGTGATGGGGGAAATCCTTTTAGTAAAAGTGCTTGGTGTCACATAGATGATTGTTTCACACTGAATTTCAGGAACTCTGAGGTTCTGTTTGGGAGATGGCTTGCAAACAAAACATCTTTCATCTGGATTTTCTTTCCTTTTCCTAAAGAGTAACAGCTGCCAGTTTATGGTCTAACAAGGAGAGAAACAGGGGGCTGAAGGGGTTTCTTAACCTCCAGTGAGTCATAGCCTTTTCCTCTTCTCCTGAATCTGAGAAGAAATTGAGAATGTGTGGGAAAGAAAAAAAAAAAAAAACAAAAGAAAACAAAAAACAACTTAGCTTCTAACCTCCCCACTCTTGTATTTTTCCTAGAAACATAAAAAATTTCCATGAATATTCAGCATGTGTGTTTTTGACTTACTAAACATTATAGTCAAGTGATTATTCAACCGAAACTGGGAAAAAGCAAGTAGGCAGTTAATGAGCACCTAAGGTTTCCCTTTCATTTTTAGCTTAGCAAGTCTGGGGACAAAAAAGCCACTCAATACATGAGGCAACAAGAGTGTCCAGGATTTACCTTTAACTGTTGGAATTCCGAGTCTTGCTATACCTTTCTCTCGTGCCCCACCTTTGGAACGCTGGCTACTCATTATGGGATGCCACCCATCCTAGCCGTCGCCTGCATATATTGGGTGCTCATTATGACGTGGTCGTAAGTGCTGTCCATCCGCCATCATTCATCTTCATCCAGTGAGATGAACACGAACCCCATTTCATGGATAAAGAAACTGAGGCAGCCAGGCGCAGTGGCTCACGCCTGTAATCCCAACACTTTGGGAGGCTGAGGTGGACGGATCACCTGAGATTGGGATTTCAAGACCAGCCTGACCAACATGGAAAAACCCCATCTCTACTAAAAATACAAAATTAGCTGGGTGTGATGGCGCATGCCTGTAATCCCAGCTACTCAGGAGGCTGAGATAGGAGAATCACTTGAACCTGGAAGGTGGAGGTTGTGGTGAGCCAAGATTGCACCATTGCACCCCAGCCTGGGCGATAAGAGTGAAACTCCGTCTCAAAAGAAAAGAAACAGGCTTAGGAAAAGCGATCTGCCCAAGGTTGGGATGAATCCTCAACTGGGCCCATCTCTAATCTGGCTTCTCTCTGCTACGATGCTGCAAGAATTTTCAGGCCAAATTTCAGTCCCTGGGTAAAGGGAGGGTACAACTTTTCCATTTTTTAAGCTGTGAGAGGGTAGAGTACAAAAGGGATATTTGAAATTGTGCTCCCTGAGTATCAGACTTGTAGAAGCAGAGACCTGGCTGTTCTCATTGTATTAGAAGAAGCAGGATGAACAAAAGGTTTTGGAGAATGCTGGGAAACACGGCTGGGGTTTGAGAGACTTAGGCAGCATGACATTCAGGCCCTTTTAGGTTATTAGGACAATGAGAGTTCCGGGCTCTGTCCCTAACCCCCAGCTAGGTAAGTGGCAAAGCACTTCTGGCTGTTTTGGAGATGCTGTCAGCTGTGGGAAACTGAGGCAGAGGCCTGGAAGGGCTTTTATTTTCATTCTACCTCCCTCATTTTCCTTTCATGACCCTATGGGTGAGACCATAGGTAGTCTCCAGGTGGGTAGACAGAAAATGCCCTTTGCCGCAGGCATGACCTCAAGAGTGCCTACTTCCTCTTCCAACTTGGTATTAGCCCAACCTCTGTCAGAAGGGCAACAGAATGAAATAAGGATGATGAAATGCTTGCAAAGAGAAAGTGAAATGGAGAATATGCAGTTTTTAAGTCCCTTTGCCATTTTTAAGATGCTTTTGAATCCAGGATTCTTTTGAATTAAAGGTACAGCGATCACAGGAGTATAAGCATTGATTAAATACCTATGATGAAATAGCACAGCAAAATGGGTAGACATGGGCCTTGAAGTCAGATGGGGTTTGAGTCTCTGCCCTGGCTGTATAACTCTCGTGAGTTATGTAACTTCTCTGAGCCTCAGTTTTCTCATCTGTAAAATGGGGATAATAGCACCTCCTATGGAGGGCACAAAGCAGATGGGACCACTGTAATTATAAGCAGTACCTGATGCAGATGAAATACTACTGGCCTTTTGGGAAATGGGAGTGGCAGTAGAATGGGGAGGGAATACACAAGATTGCAAAGTGTGACCCCCACCAACTAGGATCCTACAGAACGATCTAACACTTTACATTTCAGTTGAGGACTTTTCCAGGTGTAAAATTTATGCTGATTTTTTTTTTCCATCCCAGGTTTGGTTTTCCTAAACAAATCCTTTCACAGGGACCGACGGCACTTGATAATGTGACAAAAACCAGCCTCTTCCACCCCACTGCAGTGACTTTTGCCGGAAAGTGGAGCAGTGGGCACGGCCAACCTTGTCGTTCATCAATGCCGCCCCTGGCAGTATCTGAGGATCGGTGGCAGCCATGCCTCCCCCTGCCCCAGCCGCTCCTTCCCCCCCACGCTAATCTGCATGGTGTGGGCGCCCTTGGGACCCCCGAGGACTGATTGTCTGACCTTGCTTCACACGCCCAGTAAGGACTCCCCCAAGATGTCGCTCGAGTGGCTGGTGGCCTGGAGCTGGTCGCTGGATGGCCTGAGGGACTGCATCGCCACCGGCATCCAGTCCGTGCGGGACTGCGACACCACCGCTGTCATCACTGTGGCCTGCCTCCTGGTCCTCTTCGTGTGGTACTGTTATCACGTGGGCAGGGAGCAGCCCCGGCCCTACGTCTCCGTCAACTCCCTCATGCAGGCTGCCGATGCCAACGGGCTGCAGAATGGCTACGTGTACTGCCAGTCCCCTGAGTGCGTGCGCTGCACCCACAACGAGGGCCTCAACCAGAAGCTGTACCACAACCTGCAGGAGTACGCCAAGCGCTACTCCTGGTCCGGCATGGGCCGCATCCACAAGGGCATCCGCGAGCAGGGCCGGTACCTCAACAGCCGGCCCTCCATCCAGAAGCCCGAGGTCTTCTTCCTGCCCGACCTGCCCACCACGCCCTATTTCTCCCGGGACGCACAGAAACATGATGTGGAAGTGCTGGAACGGAACTTCCAGACCATCCTGTGTGAGTTTGAGACCCTCTACAAAGCTTTCTCAAACTGCAGCCTCCCGCAAGGATGGAAAATGAACAGCACCCCCAGCGGGGAGTGGTTCACCTTTTACTTGGTCAATCAGGGGGTTTGTGTTCCCAGGAACTGTAGGAAGTGCCCACGGACGTACCGCTTGCTCGGAAGCCTTCGGACCTGTATTGGGAACAATGTTTTTGGGAACGCGTGCATCTCTGTGCTGAGCCCTGGGACTGTGATAACGGAGCACTATGGACCCACCAACATCCGCATCCGATGCCATTTAGGTATGTTGCAAGGACAGGGGTCTCCCGGCATGCACATTTGCAAGCTCAGCCCCTCTCCATCAAAACATCGCGAAAGCTCAAATGGTCAGAATTGCGCCTTTTCGCATTGTTCACTTTTAGCAAAAACTGATGAATTGCATGTAAACAATTTGACAGCAGAGATTGAGTCAAAAAGAAATCTTGTGATCAGTGCAAACCTAATTTCTGACAGCAGCTCTGTGCAAAGAACTTTCTGCAGTGACAGAAATGTTCTCCATCTTCATTGTCCAAAATGGTAGCCACTAGACACATGTGACTAATTGAGTGCTTGAAACTTGTCTCCTGTAACTGAGGAACTAAATTTTAATTTAATTTAAATAGCAGTGACACATACGGCTAGTGGCTACCGTATGGGGACAGTGTCGTTCTAGAGCCAAAGACTTGTTAAAATGATTACCGAGCTTCATAATGATGTCCAGGAGGCTGTGAAAGATACTTAAGCATCTTTGCAGTCATCAAGGATGAAATGATCCTTGGTGATAAGCTTGTTTTACTCCGATTCTGAGAAAATTGGTCGTATGCGTACTGTGTGTGCGGCTGTGGTTTTGCAAACAAAGACTGGAGTTAGACAGCCTTTGTTTGCATCTTGGCCCCACCACGAGCTGTGCTACTGTAGGCAAGTCATTTCACCTCTCTGAGCCTCAATTTCACTATTTGGGAAGTGGAGGTAAAAAGATCTTCTCCTAAAGAGTTATTCTGAGGATCCAATCAGATAATGTGTATTGTATGTATGCACACAGAGCCTAAAATAGAGCAAGTATTCAATAAAAGTAGGCTTAAAACAACTTAATCATGGAGGTATTAGTTCCCCAGAATGCCTTATTCCTGGTGAGTGGCGATAAAAAGCTCGTCTCTGGGATGGTGGCATCACCGGTTAGTATCTCAGATTAGAGTGTGCAGAGACAGCCTTGGCAGCGTCCAGCTTTACAAAGTTCACAACGCTGCTTCAGCTTCAGTAGGGAGGAAGGAAGAGCAGCAGGAGGAACCTGGTGCATGGGTTGGAGTGGGAGTTTCATAACCACGTTCTGCAGAGGAGCCTCAGGGCTGCCTGGGAAGGAGCCGGAGCTGGGGGCCCCCGAGCCCTCTTCACCCTCAGCAGCTCTGCTTCTCCTGCTGTCTGTGTGGGGGTTCTGAGTAAGATGTGGTTTGGATGGAGGATATCACTGCACTAAAAGAAAAGAAAAGAAAAGAAAAGAAAAGAAAAGAAAAGAAAAGAAAAGAAAAATATAATGAGATTTGAGCAATTGACATGGTAGGAATTTCAAGAGTAAAGGGCGGACTGGGTGGAGGCTTTGGGGGAGGTGGCCTGAATTCCTGGTCAGCAGTCAGCCGTGAGACTTTGAGCAGGTCACTGAGTCTCTCTCTGCCTCAGTTCTTCATCTGTAAAATGGGGAGATGGTACTTACTTCACAGGATTGTTGAGAGGATTCAATGAGTGGCATCTTACATGGCCCCTTGGCAGGATTCCTGGCACGTGACAGCATTTGATGAATGGGAGCTAGTAGCTATTATCAAGGACTGTGTTGGACCATGTGAAAAATGATCCATAAGACATAGACCCTGCCCCCAGGAAACAGTGGGAAAGGAACAGGCTTCGGAAGCAAACAGATCTGGACTCAGGTCCTGGCCTCGCCCCATTTGCTGAGTGACCTTGGGCAGGGCTCTGAACCTCCTTAAGCCTCCGTTTTATCTTCTCTAAAACAGAGATGACGATTCCCACTTGCTGGCTGTTTTGAGGAGTGGGAAGTAATATGTGTAAAATGCTTGGCAGGTAGAGGGCAGTGGACAGTAAGCTAATCTAAGTGATGGGATGATAATCCAGGTGATGGTCATTAGCAAAACTGCTGTGCGAGGCCCCAAGCCTCACTTGGCTGCAGACGGGGTGCCCTGGGGAGGTGGGTCTGACACTGGAGGATCCCCACACAGAAATCAGGTGCCGCCAGGGTGGAGCGAGGGAGCGGAATCATCCCCTGGGGCTTGGGGAAGCCGGGTCTAGGCTTGCTGGGGAGGCCAGTAGTGTGGGCTGAGGTTGGACAGGTCAGGTGGGAGCAAACCTCAGAGGCCCTTGATGCCAGGCTTGAGAATGGAGGCCGTGGGCAATGGGGAGTGATGCTCTTCTTTTGAAAGGTTTGCCTTTATGTATTGTTTTAAAACTTCAGAATGACATCTGGGGAAGGGCATTTGAGGACTGATGTGGTAGAATTTCAAAGAGGTGTGAGTAGGAAGTGATGGTAGCAAGGAAAATCTGGGGTTTGCTTTCTGTAGATTAACACTTGTTGTTCATCTGTATGATATGCATGCATGTGTGTGTGTGTGTGTGTGTGTGTAAAACATGCCCACGCTGGCTCACACTGTGGCCTGTGGCCTGTCATTCCTTTCTCAGCCCAGCTAGGTACTTGCCAGAAAAAGTAGGCCCTCCATGTTCCTGTAGATAGCAGGAAACCTTCTTGGAAGACGTCCCACTGTGGCGTGGCTTGTTCTCCACGGCCAAGGCGAGCTCCCTGGTTGGGTTTTCTCAGCGTTTCCTTCTTTACACTATCATGCCCACATTAATATCCACCCAGGAAGGAAACAAAGGTGTGTCGGATTTATGTGACCTTGTGTGTTGACAGAGAGGGAGTCCAGAGAATGAGGTCAGAAGCAGGATAAGCCTGGTGCGTACCTGGTGGCCACACCTCTGCTGGTTACCTGGCTGAAGGTAGAGGCACCTGCAGTTCCAGAACCGTGCTCTTGAAATGCCAATGCTTGCTTTTCTTCTGCCTTCTGCCTGAGCTGTGACTGATGGAATTGTCCCTGTGGACCACTGAAGACCCAGCCACTGCTCCTCACTAACACAGCCCATTTGTTCGAGACATATTTGCTGAGCCCTGCTGTGAGCTACTTCTAGAGGTGGCATCACCTAGTCCCGACTTCATATGGGACCACAGGACAGCTTCAGGCCCACCCCCCACTCAGCATCGTACACAATGCTGGGATATTCCAGATGCACTGCCACAAACTTCCAGAAAACCACCTCTGAAACTCACCAGGCAGATGTTACCAGGGAGGCAGATACTTCATGAAAATGCATGAATATGTTCAGCAAATTCTAGCTAAAGAAGCACAGTTAGACTCTTGTTTTTCTTTTCTGCATGTCATCAGATTTCTAGGTGGTCTAGCCGGGTGGTAACAGTAGATCAGCTCATGTTCCCCTTGCCCACCCTGAGTGCCCGGTTGCCAGCCGCCTGAAGTGGGGGCCACTGGTGGACACAGCCCTTTCTCTACCCTCCTTCCTGCCTCTTTCAGGGCTCGGTAGGGACAGAGCAGCAAAGCTTGAGCCATAGAGGAGCATATGGGACTATCTGAGGCCATGTGTGGGACCTGTCACTGTCCTCAAGAGCCACTGGAATGATCTGTTTAGGGAAGAATTGAGCTCTTCTGCCAACTAAGCTGGTTTGTGGGCAACAGGCAGGAATGGGGGCAGGAGCAGAATGAAGGGGAGGCGGAGAACAAGAAGCAGGGGGGTGTCAAGCCAGCAGGCCAGGCCATTTTTCTATCGCACCGTGGCACGTGGCGATGAATCATTTAGTGGCCCAGAGAAAGGGGAGCTTCTTTCTGAAACCCCGGGGTGGCTGTCCCTGCAGAGAACTGCCCATTCCTAAAGGCCTTCGCCACCTGAACCAGCCAGTAGGGGCACACGCCAAAGGAAAACGTAGCCTCTGAGTCCCTCCATCTGGGCGTCTTTACAGCCCTGACTCCCCCAGCTGCTGTTAACCATAGTGGGAAATCATGGCTTCTGTCAGGATGAGCAGTCTCAGCTGATTTAATGAAATGTACTATTGAGAGTTGAAACATATTAGGGTCCTCTTAGAGGGACAGAACTAATAGGATATATATATACACACAGATATATACACACATACATATATATACATATATATACACACACACATATATATACATATATATAGATACACACATACATATATATACATACATATATATACATACATATATACACATACATATATACACATACATATATACACATACATATATATACATACATATATATACACACATATATACATATATATATACACACATATATATACATATATATATACACATACATATATATATATACACATACATACATACACACACACACACACATATATATATAAAGGGGAGTTTATTAAGTATTAACCCACATGATCACAAGGTCCCACAATAGGCTGTCTGCAAACTGAGGAGCAAGGAAAGCCAGTCAGTTTCCAAAGCTGAAGAACCTGGAGTCCGATGTTTGAGGGCAGGAAGCTTCGAGCACTGGAGAAAGATACAGGCTGGGAGGCTAGGCCAGTCTCACTTTTTTATGTTTTTCTGCCTGCTTTATATTTGCTGGAAGCTGATTAGATTGTGCCTGCCAGATTAAGGGTGGATCTGCCTTCCCCAGCCCACTGACTCAGATGTTAATCTCTTTTGGCAACACCCACATAGACACACCCAGGATTAATACTTTGTATCCCTCAATCTAATCAAGTTGAAACTCAGTATTAACTATCAGACATGTTAACTACAAGAAAATCAGCAATCAGGCCAGGCACAGTGGCTCAAGCCTGTAATCCCAGCACTTTGGGAGGCCGAGTCAGGTGGATCTCTTGAGGCTAGAAGTTCGAGACCAGCCTGGCCAACATGGTGAAGCCCCATCTCTACTAAAAATACAAAAATTAGCTGGGCACGGTAGTGCACACTTGTAATCCCAGCTACTCGGGAGGCTGAGGCAGGAGAATTGCTTGAACCCAAGAGGCAGAGGCTGCAGTGAGCTGAGATCATGGCACTGCACTCCAGCCTGGGCGACAGAGCACGATTCTGTCTCAAAAAAAATAATAATAAATAAAGAAAAATCGAAAACTCCACAATCACTTTAATTCCTCTGTTAATAGTATAACAACTAGCATTTATATCATCATGTCCAGTTTTATAACAGCCTGTTCTTTGGAGTCAGGCTGACTCAGCAACACTAAATGGTAACTTTTTAGCAGGTCATTTAACTTCTTAGTTACCCCATCTGGAAAGTGGGTGAAGTGATACCTGTTAAGTGTGTATTTAGCACAAAGCTGAGTAGGAAGACACAGTAGGTCTTCAGTTATTGGTAACAAGGATAGAAGTCCCATAGCAGCCCTGGAAGGTTCAGTATGCTAATGTCCCCTCTTTACAGGTGAGGGTATGGCTCAGAGAGGCTGAGTGACTTGCCCAAAGTCACACAGCACATAAGAGTCACAACCAGTCGTCTGTCCCCAAGTCCTCCGTCCTTCTGTCTCCTCCATGTGGCCTCTTTATTTGAATTATTACTGTGAACGTACTTCCTGGAACCATTATTTCTGGTTCAAAGAATACATTAAAATACTCTGGCTGCTGGAAGGAAAGCTATTTCATTTTTATGCTAAAGGACATTAAATCAGAGGGGAATGCCAACTGGCCCAGGGTCATTGTGGTCACAGTGAGTCACTGAAGACAGATGAGACCACCACCCATCCCAGCTCCTCTTCCAGGACTCTGCTTCCCCCTGGGTGGGCCTTCCTGAGAGCTGTTGGGCTGACCCAACCCCTTCTGAAATCATTAGATGGCCACGGTGGCCCCTTCTTTTCTGGACATCAAGGTAGTGATGGGGGCCAAGTGTTTCTGCAGACCCTTGTGTTGGAAAGGGCGACTGAGGGTCACACATGGCAGTGTTCCAACCGGACCCCACTGGCCGGTTGAAGCATACGGCTTATTTTTTATTTTTTATTTTTATTTTTGAGACAGAGTCTCACTCTGTTGCCCAGGCTGGAGTGCAGTGGTGCGATTCGCCCAGGCTGGAGTGCGGTGATGCAATCTCGGCTCACTGCAACCTTCGCCTCCTGGGTTCAAGCAATTCTCATGCCTCAGCCTCCCGAGTAGCTGGGATTACAGGCGTCTGCCACCATGCCTGGCTCATTTTGGATAATTAGTAGAGAGAGGGTTTCACCATGTTTGAGACCAGGCTGGTCTCGAACTCTTGGCCTCACGCGATCTGCCCACCCCTCAGCCTCCCAAAGTGCTGGGATTACAGGTGTGAGCCACTGTGCCCAGCCAAGCATACGGCTTCTTACAAAGCTGCCAGTCTATTTCCTCTTGAACCTAAGCCATTACCTTAGAAGTGTCCTCCAGTTTCCCAGAATGAGGGCAGACGAAGAGCACGCCATTCTCCAGCCTCAAAACGGATTAAAAGGCTAGAACCCAAGGAGGAGAACACTGTGTGAGCCTTTGATTTTTTAATCGCAACTGAGATAGTCCTAGAGGGGAGACTACAGTAAACACAGTTACTGGGTAAGGCAAGGTTCTAAACCCAACCTCCCTGGATTTCTGGGGGTCCCCTGGTTAGGCTTCAGAGTGTAGTGCAAATGTCAGTCTGTGACTTTCATAAAAGGAATCCATGACCCAGAATAGATGAAGCCAATGAAGGAATGAATTTTTGCCAAGAGTGCAGTGAAGATCTAGATGGTGGCTTATAAACAACAAAAATGTAGAACTCACAGTTCTGAGGCTGGAAGCCCAAGATCAAGGTGCCAGCAGATTTGGCGTCTGGTGAAGGCCTGCTTCTTGTTCATAAATGACACCTTCTCACTGTGACTTCACATGGTGAAAGGAGGTGGCCAGGAGCAGTGGCTCTTGCCTGTAATCCCAACACTTTGGGAGGCCAAGGTGGGAGGATAGCTTGAGGCCAGGAGTTCGAGACCAGCCCGGTCAACATAGCAAGACCCCATCTTTACAAAAAAAAGTTTAAATTAGCTGGGCATGATGGTGCACACCTATAGTCTCAGCTACTCAAGAGGGTGAGGCTGGAGCATCTCTAGAGCCTAGGAGGTGAAGGCTGCAGTGAACTATGGTGGAGCCACTGCATTTCAGCCTGGGCAACAGAACAAGACCTTGTATCTAAAAAAAAAAAAAAAAAAAAAAGATGTCAGGCCAGGTGCTGTGGCTCATGCCTGTAATCCCAGCACTTTGGGAGGCTGAGGCAAGCAAATCTCTTGAGGTCAGGAGTTCGAGATCAGCTTGGCCAACATGGTGGAACCCCATTTCTATTAAAAATACAAAAATTCGGCCAGGTGCAGTGGCTCACGCCTGTAATCCCAGCACTTTGGGAGGCTGAGGCGGGTGGACACGAGGTCAGGAGTTCAAGACCCGCCTGGCCAAGATGGTGAAACCCCATCTCTACTAAAAATACAAAAATTAGCCTGGCACAGTGGCAGGTGCCTGTAATCCCAGCTACTCGGGAGGCTGAGGCAGGAGAATCGCTTGAACCCAGGTGGCAGAGGTTCCAGTGAGCCAGGATCGCGCCACTGCACTCCAGCCTGGGCGACAGAGTGAGACTCTGTCTCAAACAAAACAAACAAAAAAATTAGCCGGGTGAGGTGGTGGGTGCCTGTAAGCTACTCCAGTGCCTCCCAGCTACTCCGGAGGCTGAGGTAGGAGTATCATTTGAACCTGGGAGGTGGAGGTTGCGGTGAGCCGAGATCACACCACTGCATTCCAGCCTGGGCAACAGAGAGAGACTCCATTTCAAAAAAAAAAAAAAAAAAAGGGAAAAGAAAAAAAGATGCAAAAGGAGGTAAAGAAGCTCCCTTGGGCCTGTTTTATAAGGATGCTGCTCCCATTAGGACCCCACCTTCATGATCTGATCACTTTCCAAAGGCCCCACCTCCTAACACCATCACCTTGGGGTCAGGTTTCAACATGGGAATTTGCAGGGACACAAGCCCACAAGCCTTCAGACCATAGCACGGGCTCCAGAGGTGTGAGGCAGGTCAGGTGCTTTAGAAGTCAAAAACTCTCAGTAAGGCAAATCACCCCCTATCTCCTGGCCTTCCCTGAATCTTGCCTGCCTTCACTCTCCTTTCTCTGGTTTTCCTACAAGGTCTGAAAACTCCAAATGGCTGTGAGCTGGTGGTGGGGGGAGAGCCCCAGTGCTGGGCAGAAGGGCGCTGCCTTCTCTTTGATGACTCTTTCCTGCATGCTGCGTTCCATGAAGGTGAGTGGCTGCCTTTCCCACTTCCTTTTTTTCAATGAATAGACTTTTATTTTTTTAGAGAAGTTTTAGGTTTCCAGAAAAATCAGGCAGAAAGTACCAAGGAGGCCCCTTCATATCACCCCATAACACATATACACACACAGTATTGATGCGTTATTATTACCTAAAGTTCATGGTTGACATTAAGGTTCACTCTTGGTGTTGTCCATCCATTCTGTGGGTTTCGCCAAATGGATAATGACACGGACCTACCATGACAGTATCATACAGAATAGTTTCACTGCCGTAAAAATTCCCACTTAAAGATCCCTCCATCTCCCCATTTCCTTTTGTCCACCCTGCTCAGAAGCCCATGAAGCCAGGTTTATGCTCTCAGTGAGAGAGGAGGTGGTCCGATCCGAGCCGAGGGACAGGATGGGGTCCCTGCCCCGAAGCTGAGCACGTAGGGTCCAGCCCTGCCTGGATCCTGGGTCCTGACTCCAGGGTGGTTTGAACCTGTCCTCTCACCCCTCCTTCCCCCCCAGGTTCAGCAGAGGATGGCCCACGGGTGGTTTTCATGGTGGATTTGTGGCATCCAAACGTCGCAGCGGCCGAACGGCAGGCTCTTGATTTCATCTTTGCTCCGGGACGATGAGAGTATTTCCCATGCTGGAGTCGGCGAGAAGGGCCGAGGCGGGGCCTGGGCAGACTGTGGTCCGGTCCAGTCCCTACCGGTGTTGTTTCCATGCTCAGAAACCTGCCTCAGCGGAAAGCTCTTATTTGGGATTTTATATCATGTCGGGTCCCTCTTTCCCTTGGTTATTGTAAATGGAAACTTTTCGGCTTGTATTTCCTTAGATTTTTTTTTTTTCCTTCCAATCATTTGCTTCAGAGACTCCTTTCTGGCCTAACAGCGCATTCCTTTGATTGGTCCTTGAGTGACCAGAGACTTAGTGCCCTTGTAAGTCTGTCTTCTGTTGCTACTTGTTTTTTTCAGTGCTCTGAAATAGAGTAACTAAATGGTTATTTGTCTGAATATAATAATGTAAAACTTCTTGTGGTCATCTTAAAAAAAAAAAAAAAAAACTAAAAACTGCAAACCAGAGAGCTAGAGAACTTGGCCTCTGATGCTGGCACACTGGGGACCCTTCAGCCACCTGACGGCAGGGGGACAGTCTGCAGCCCCCACACCTGACTGGCTTCAGTAGCCAGGTGGAGGGGCTGCCAGACACAGTCAGGGTGGCACACAGTGTCCAGGCCCAGGGATACTGTCACCATCGCTCACCTCATTCTAAACCTTGTCAGGTCCCTGATGGCAAAAGCATTGGGCCAGTAGGACTGGAGGCTACTCTTTAAACATGGCTTTCCTGCAAAGCTGAAGCTGGTGTCCCCCAGCACCAAGCTGCGGCTCACACAGATCAGCCACGGAACGTGTGATCCGCTTACCTCACTGCCTACAGAAGCCCTACTGCCAAACTGGGCCTGGAAAATTCCCAGTTTTAGGTGTTTTGAGTCCACAGTGATGAACGTTAAGGCCACCAGGTTGGCTGATAGGAGCTGTAGGGGGATAGGACCGCGCTCACCCAGCGACATTTGGGGAAAGCCTTTCTCTGGCAAAACTGGAATAATAGATCTGACCAAAGTTTCTGTTTTGCTTTGGAGTTCTGTTGCCTATGTTTTTTTTTTTTTCATTTATTTGTCTGTACATAAATGTTCAAACACTAGACTTGGAGATAGTGGAAGAGTTGGCCCTGTGTCTTTGTCATGGCACAAAGGTGTGCACTGCGTGACAATGACCCAAGCCAGTGTGTGCTAGTGAGGAGACAGAGAAGACCTACATGCCCAGAGGACCCGTGGCCGTTGTGCTGGTTTTCTGGTCTCCTGTGAAGAACATGTGGATCTCTTCCCGAAGGAAAAGGTCCCAGGAGACCAGTTTGAGGCACTCACTCTAGAAATAGCCTGTGTTAGCTGATGTGTGAAAGCGTAGCCGGCCAGCCACACTAGAGATGCCTTTTCTGAATAATGTATTATGAGCAGTGTCAGATTTATAAAGCCGAGGAGTGGTTTGGAATATACAGCTGGTCGCAGGTGCAGGTCCAGTGTTTAGATCCAAATGGAAAACAGCAGCTTCTAAGAGGTACAACTGTTGGAAGAAAACACAGTTGAAATGCACCAGGCAGGTACTAGCAAGTGTGCAAAGAGCACGTCTACATTTGAGTAAAATGTCTACACAGATATTTGTCAGTGATGAGAATGCAGGAAAAGGCAGACATTTCAAACATACCTGAAGTCTTTTTACTCATTATCTTGTTAAAGAATCACTGAGGTGCATGATTTCTACACATCGTGACTGCTCTGCTCTGCGTTTACAAAACCAACAGCCCGCGCAGGTACCTAGCTACCTGCATTCATGTGACATGTCTGGGGAACAGAAGATAAATAAAGGATCTTGCTGAAAACCAGAGTGAAGTGGTGAGGTCATCTGTTGTAAAGAAAGACTTAGGCCAGGCTCGGTGGCTCACGCCTGTAATCCTAGCACTTTGGGAAGCTGAGCGGGGAGGATTGCTTGAGCCAAGGAGTTTGAGACCAGCCTGAGTAATATAGTGAGGCGTTGTCTCTACCAAACAAACAAACTAGCTGAGTGTGGTGGTGCACACCTGTAGTCCCAGCTATTTGAGAGGCTGAGGTGGGAGGATCACTTGAACCTGGGAGGCGGGGGCTGCAGTGAGCCTAGGTCGCGCCAGTGCACTCCAGCCAAGACGACAGAACAAGACCCTGTCCAAAAAAAAAGACTTGCTAGGCAGAAGGGGGCAAGTGACTTTGAGGCTCTTGTGTTTTGAGTGATGTCACAGAGACAGGCGGGTCACTAGAATTGATCGTGGATAGTGAATGAAGCAAAATGTCCCAAAGCAATGGGACTAGTGGGGTGGGGACAAGAGCACATCTAGGATATGTTAAGGAGCAATAGATGTCTAACTGGGCAAAGAAGAACAAGGACCCTGGCTTCAGAAAAGCTGAGGATTTAGGACTCCGTGCCAGGAGTTTGCACCCTCGGGACCTTGGGCAAGTCCCTTAGCCTCTCATAGCCTCAGTTTCTCCTCTGTGGGTATGTGCAGTATCTGGCACATGAAGGGCACTCAACAACCTTGTTTCCCTTTCTGCCACAGCTGAGTAGAGAAACAGGTGAAGAGGAAGGCCGCCAAATGGAAGAGATGGGAAAACACATCGGGACAGCAGTGGGTGTGGCCAGAGAAGCCAGTGGCTACTTTCAATTGCCTGTGTCTAATCACAGAGGAAGAAACATGTCCCTCAGTAGCTGTGTTTTTCATGTTTTTCCCTTTAGAAGAGAGGGAGACAGGGGGGTCTCCCAGCCAGGAGCCCTAGAAGCAGCCGGGCTGCCGCATGTTTCCACCTGCAAGCGAGGTTCCAGCCAGCTGTCCGGGCTGGGCTGCCACAACAAGCGGAAGGGAAGAGCGCCACTCACCTGGGATCGCGATGTTTCTCACCCTCCTCAAGTGTGCATTGCCAGCTAGGCATTGCTAAGCTAATTTACGTGTTGTAGCTCTGGAGGCTCAAGGTGAGAAAGGGGAGCCAGCCGGCTGCAAATGGGAATCCTGCCTTCCACCCGAGACAGGCTGGACTGGCCTCAAGCTCCCTCTGTTCCCATGTACTCAAGGCCAGACCAATTACTATTTGTAGAAGGTCACACCCCAGGTCTTCTGATCCCAAACCCTTTCTCCCAGGCACCTGTTCATCAGCCCCTAGAGTCACCCAGATTGTCTGGGTTCTGTCCTTGGTGACAGCGATTAAACTTGTAACACTGAGTGCTCCGTAGCATACTGTGGGGGAGAGGAGTGATCCTGGTGTGCTGGTCCTTGACTGTGGCTGCACGATGCAGTCACCCGGGAACTTGTCGGAAACCCCAAAGCACACACCCCACTCCCAAAGCATCTTTTTTCATTGTTCCGAGAGTGGGGTCCAGGCACGGGTCTTTGTTTTAAACTCATTTCCGGTCATGATTCTAACGTGTAGCTCAGGCTGAGGGGGTCGCTGCTGTGAGTAGCAAGAATGATAAGGCCTTTGAAACCATTCAGCCTGGACATTAAAGTCTGAGCTATGGCCCTGTGTAACACCGGGCAGGCCACCTAAGCTTGGTCTCTAGAGGACAGTCACTGTTTTTTGTTATCTGTTTTTGTTTTTTTGAGACAGAGTCTCCTCTGTTGCCCAGGCTGGAGTGCAGTGGCGCAATCTCGGCTCACTGCAACCTCCACCTTCTGGTGATTCTCCTGCCTCAGCCTCGTGACTAGCTGGACTTACAGGTGCCCGCTTCCACGCCTGGCTAATTCTTGTATTTTTAGTAGAGACAGTTTCACTATGTTGGCCAGGCTGATCTCGAACTCCTAACCTCAAGTGATCAGCCTGCCTCTGCCCCGCAAAGTGCTGGTATTACAGGCATTAGCCACCACGCCTGGCCAGCAGCCACTGCTTTTAAACCTATCCTGCCAACAGTATGAGCCTCTTGCAAGACCATAACATCCCCATGCTCAGTCCTTGGGTCTCCAGGGCTGGGCCCATGATCCAGATCTGACCAATCAGTCTTCCAAACTCTGGGCCACTGAGAGATTGGGTCAGGGCTGGACACGTGATCCAAGTTCTTTTTCTGGGACGACTGTGAAAGAGAGGCCACTTTTTATTAGGTGGGGTGGTGGGGGGAGGTGAAGGGAAAGAAGCTGAGAGAGAAACCCACGGAGGCAAGCGGGGCCTGCGCTGTGGAGATCACGTGAGTCCTGAACGCAGCTCTGCCGAAAACCAGCTCTACCTCTGGACTTTTCTGTTACATGAGCCAATAAGTGCGCCTTTTATTCGTAAGCCAAGTTTGAGTTGTGGTTTCTATCCTTGCCACCAAAAGTCCTAATCCACTCTGTGAGTGTCAAGTGAGGTTTTGGTAAGATGCTATTATGTCGTGGTCTGGGTGGATGGGAGAGGTGCTCCATACACATTGTCAGGATGTAAATATGAGTAGCAGAGGCTAAGCACAGAATGAGGTTTTTGAGGACCGTCATGCCTGCTGCCAGCAACCTTCCATAACATTTAACTCCCCAGCCGAATCTTGCTAACCAGATGTAAACACAGGGAACAGGACAGAATAAGGCCACATATTTTAGAACTGCTGACAGATGGCAGGGAAAACACTCAAGCAGATTGCAGCATTAGGAGGCAGGAGGGAGCACACACAGGGATTGGTTTACTTTCCGCCTCTTTCCCAGGCACACACGTTGCTTCTAACTTCTGGGTACCTGCCCTTCCCCATATCTCCCCGCTTCCCATACATTAGCCACCCCCACGTTCGAGGTGAGGGCACCTGCTTCTTTGAGCATGGAGAGCACTGTGCACCCTACGAGGTTCCTTCCCCTACCTCATCCTTGTCAATTGCACATTTAACACATGAGGAAACAGGCTCAGAGCGGGCAGCTGACATGAACAAGGTCACGCAGCCAGCTGCAGGGCGAGCTGGAATTGGAAGCCGAGTATCCAGGCTCGCAGCACAGCGCATCTTCTGAAGTCTGGACACACATCCAGGACTCACTTCCTCAACATGCAGAAGGACCACACCCCTCCGGCCCCCAGGTCCTTCTCCCTGTGCTGGGAGGCCATTTGCCTTCTCAGAACACTCAACAGGACCCTCCATTTGCTGAGGGCCCATGATAGGCCAAGTCCTTACATCCATTTCCTTCTCCTGTCCATTTTAAAGAAAAGGACACTGAGGCTCAGAGACAGAAAAGCAACTTGCCCTGATTTCCAGCAATAAGTGGCAGAGCTGCGATTTGAACCCAGCTGTCTGACACCAAAGCCCATGTGCTCCTGCCACAGCCACACAAGCCAGTCCAGCCTGGGTGGGGAGGAAGGATGCACAAGGTGTCTTTGAACAGCACACTCGGTAGAGGACTTGTCTCCCTCTCCTCCCCATGGGTTTGGCAGCCTGGGCCTCAAGCCCTTTCCTCAGGGTGCTTGGCCCAGCTGACAGCGAGGCAGGGCAGGGGAGAAGGGTTGCAACTTTTCGGCTTATACCTCGGCATGCACAGGCAATCATAAAACACCTCCCAGCTCTTGACAGGATTCCAAAGCACTCTCTGGGTTTTATTCTCAGGGGAAGTACAGCTAATTTCAGGTTTGGACATTTAAATACTGGATCAACAGAGAAGGTGTCCTATTTTCACCTTGAAGCCCTTAGAATCTTCACTGTAAGCTTCTCAAACTCAACAAATATGTTGAAGAAAGATCTAGAGTATGTTTTATTTCTAAGCTAGGATGCTGAGAGTGGGTCTGACACCTGCCCTCCCCTGTCTCCTCACAGAGAGCCGGGTGGCAGTCAGAATCAAGAAGCAAAGCAGGAGACAAGTGCTTTCCCACACCCACTGCCCTTTTCCCAGGAGCAGCGGTGGGTTCAGGGGTTGGGAGAGGAGTGTGTGTGTCGGGAGCACAGGCTGAGAGTATTAGTGTGGGTTTCCTGCTCACTCCGTCCGCCAGCTCCTTCAGGGCAGGAATCTATCTCCTTGGCTGCCTTCTCCACTGGGGCTGTCCCTCCCCGCCCCAAACCTCATCAGTGCCCAGGCTCGTCTGCCCATTATCTGGCCTCCTCTCTGCTTCAGCCATTCCACTTCCCACCTGGACAACCATAGCCTCCTGGTGGTTTCCACTGTTGCCCAGCTTATCCCCTACTCAGGAGCTAGTGACCTTCCTCATGAGAACCAGCTCCAGTCACTCCCCTGCATTTTTTTTTTTTTTTTTTTTTTTTGAGACAGAGTCTCACTCTGTCACCCAGGCTGGAGTGCAATGAATCTCAGCTCGGCTCACTGCAACCTCCGCCTCCTGGGTTTAAGCAATTCTCCGGCTTCGGCCTCCCGAGTAGCTGGGATTACAGGCATGCGCCACCCCACCTGGTTAATTTTTGTATTTTTAGTAGAGACAGGGTTTCATCACGTTGGCCAGGCTGGTCTTGAACTCCTGAGCTCAAGTGATCCACCCGCCTCGGCCTCCCAAAGTGCTGGGATTATACAGGCGTCACACCGCGCCCATCCCACTCCCCTGCTTAAAGGCTCCCCTGTGCCCCGCGCCATGGCAACCTCATGTGGGGCCCCAGCTCTTCTCACGCCCTCCGTGCTCTGTGGCTCGGCGCTACTGAGAGAGAGGGAACTGGGCATCACAAGGAGAAAGCAAGTTGGCAGGAGGATGGATTTGTTTCCTCTGGCTGCTGTAACAAATGAGCATATACCCAGAGGCTTACAACACAAACCCATGCTCTCACGGTTCTGGAGGCCGAAGTCTGAAATCAGTTTCACGGGACCGAATTCAGTACGTTGACAGTCACAGTCCCTCCGCACACTCTAGGGCAGAATCCACTTCTTGCCTTTTCTGGCACCTGGTGGCTGCTGGCATTCCTTGACTGGCGGCCACATCACTCCAGTCTTTGCCATCTTCACGTGGCCTTCTCCACGTGAGTAACCTCCCCCTGCCCCTCTCCTAAAAGCACATTTGTGAGGGCATTTAGGGACCACGGGATAAGCCAGGATCATCTCTTCGTCTCAAGATCCTTCACTCAACCACATCTGCAAACATCCGATCCAACAAGGCAACATTCACAGGTTCTGGGGATTGGGACCTGATCTTTGGGGGCCACCATTCAGCTCACTGCACACACAGGGAAGTGGCCTGTGGCAGGGAGGCTCACACCAGAGAAAGGTCTGCTGCTACTCACCCACCCCGAGCAGGGCGGGGTGTTAAGAACGCAGTAACTGGGCGGCATGGGAAGTACATCTTAGCCACATTGGAAAAGACCACCAAATATGCAAGACAGACACCATGGAGGGCGACTTCAACAAAGCCCCTGGGCTCCACTTGCTACCACCCTCTGTCGGTTGAAGTGACAACGGCCCAGAAGTCTAGATGCTTCCCTCCAGGGGAGGAGACAGTTTGATCAGGCTCAAACATCCCCTCTAGGGGTCCTTTCCCAGTAGGAATCTGATTGCCACTTGATATGGTTTGGCTGTGTTCCCACCCAAATCTCATTTTGTAGTTCTCATAGTCCCCACATGTCGTGGGAGGGACCTGGTGGGAGGTAATTGAATTATGGGTGTGGTTACTTCCATGCTGTTCTTGTGACAGTTCTCGTGAGATCTGATGGTTGTATAAGGGGCTTTTCCCCCCTTTCACTCTGCACTTCTCTTTGCTGCCACCATGTGAAGAAGGATGTGTTTGGTTCCCCTTCTGCCATGATCATAAGTTTCCCAAGGTCTCTCCAGCCCTGCAGAACTGTGAGTCAGTTAAACCTCTTTCCTTTATAAAGTACCCAGTCTCGGGTATGTCTTTATTAGAACCGTGAGAACGGACTAACACACCACTATTAATCACTCATGCGACCTTTATCCTTACAGTTCACAGGTGGCAGATGGCTGGCACAGAGGAAGCCAAAACAGAGGCTTTTCTGCCCTGAAGAGTCACTAGAATCTGTGGTCCTGGATCACTGACAGTGGCACTCGGTGTCAACTAGGAGTCCAGGGTGGGCAGGCTGTCCTGCACACTGCCTTCCCTTGGGAAACATGGCCATAAGAGGTTGTGGTGCCCATTCCAGCAAGAACATGCTGCTTGGCTGTCCGTCGCTTGGCCCGTACTCTGGGGGCGCTAATTTTGAGGGGATGGGCCTGGGGCTGTGGGATTAACCGTGTCCTGAGTGACCCCCTGAAACCTCTGAAATATTAAAAAACGGGAAAACAGCGGGTTAAGTGTTTCTTCTCTGCAGCCTCTGGGCCACAGTTACCAAGCTTTAGAGATGACGGCTGCAGCTGCCAGTGCCCTGGGGCTCTGAGCAGAACCTCCACTGCAGAAACTAAGCAGGATCAAAGGAGGAAAGAAAGGGGCACACCTGCAAAGTGAAGTTTCAGGACTTTACTTTTTCTGAGTTAATCCAGGTGCATGAGACTTTTCCATATACACGGATAGGCTTTGTACGGTTCCATTTTGGGTCAGTGGAAGAATTTTCACAACACAAATGACATTATAAAGTTGTCTTCGCTGGCCTGGTACTGGGGACCACTGGTCAAAGACAACGTGAGACATTGCGGGGACTTCCTGGAGCTGCAGCAACCACAGCAGAGAACTTGTAATCAATTTTTTCTGGGAGAACATAGCAGAGGAGTAAGACAACATTTATCCTAGCTTCGGATAGGATCCTCTTCCATCTAGGCAGATGGGATCCAAGAGACAGCAGAGATCCTGGAGAGAGGTGATAGAAGAGGGAGACACAGGCTTGGTGTATTGGATCAGCTGCAGCTGGTGCTCCCTGGAGCAGCAGGCTGCAGCCTGGCAGCCCTACAAACAGACGGTCCTTACCCAGCCACACTGAACCCAGGGAAGGAAAAGAGGGATGCGCCCACGTTACGCGCGCGCGCGCGCGCGCACACACACACACACACACACACACACACACACACACACTGTCTTAACCCTTACCTTTGTCACAAAAAAATGCTGCCATTTAATTACTCAGAACTCCAGCATTTTTTGGCTATTTTATTTCTAGCCCTTGGAAGCTTGTTTCAAGAAAAAGACACCATATCATAAACATCAGATATCAGTTCACTGACATGAAATTATTAACAATACAACTCTCAAATGGAATCTCAAGTACTTCCAGTAAACATTCAGTTAAGATTTTGACAAATATTTTCATCCTGCAGTCTGTCTCATACTGTCAAAAAAATGTCTGACTATAACGTAATAGAACTGAGGTTCTAAGTACCACACAAGCCCAGGAACACACAGCTGAGTGTCGCTCCCTTTCACGCAGCCACCACTGAAAAGCACAGTGCTTTTACCCCCAGACATCTTGTAAACTCCTATTTAGGGACACTCGCTCGAGAGGAACCAGCTGCACGGCCCACTTGTAGTCAAAGGCAGCGCAGGTTGGTCCTGTTGTCACTGAATTCTCAGGGCTCAGCCCCCAGAGCTTTTATAAAGGGATCTCTAAAGCCCAAACTCCCTTCCATATTATTAAGGCTTGCCCCCATTGTGGGTCCAAAGAAGACGCCCCTAGATTTGAGTAGAGTTCCAACAGAATTCAACCAAGTGGTCTCCGTGTGCTGCCGCTTCCCTGCAGGAACGATCCGGACCTCCCAGCAAGAGCGCACTGGAGAAACCTACCTGCGGCGTGGGAGTGGAGTCGGCCTGCTCACAGATCCGGCACCTCGCTGTGCAGTCACACCGCCTACCACCACCTGGTGTGGGGGTTGAACACACACACTCTGGGCTAGTGGACGATCAGGTTCTAGAAAAAATGCCAACTTGGAAGCTTGTGGCACCAATTCAAGCTGGGATGGAACAGCAGGAGATATGAAATACCTCAGGCTCAGTATGGCAGAGAGGGAGCCAAGCCCGTCCCGGCCCCAACACTACCGATTAAATACAGTTCTTTATCAAGTGCTCTGGGTCTGCCGACCTGAAGAACTAACCCCTGCCCCCAAAACACATCCCAATCTGCAAAAGGAATAACAAAAACTCAAATATCATTTGGTTCCTAAAAAAGGGAATGTTTTCAAGAAAAATAAAATAGAGGGGCCTTTTCAATTATAAAAGGCAGAGCTTCCTTTGCTGGTTTTCTCCTTCCCAGTCACCTCCTGGGTGCAGTTCAGAGCAAGTTCACCCCGTGCTTCAGCAGCTTCTGCTTTGCTTTGCCGGAGAGGCTGAAGGCGCCATCCTGAGGGTTTGGGAAGCCGGAGCTCCGTGCTGCAGGTGCCAGCTGCTGGAAATATGTCTCCTGGATGGGGTTGCAACAGGCGTACACAGCCGTGGAGGCATTTCTGTTGGAGGAAGAAAGAAGGCAACGGTCCAATGCTGCTGGTGCTAATCTCAGACCACACAGAGACCTCAGTAAGGTTCTTGTCACAGAGGACCCAGGACACCCAATGTGGCATGTGCAGCTGTCATGGCACGGAATTCTATTTCTTCAGCTGAGTTTCAGGCTTCAGTGCCAATACCATCTTTCCTTCCTTTCAGCTCACTAGATGCTGGAAGAGTCCGTGGCGGGACCATCCACAGTGGCAGCAGCCACAGATCCTGGAGTTATAAGTATTGCATAAAGGAACTGTGGAGTGCTGGCTTTTTTGACATACTGGCAGCTATGCAATGTGCTCTGCATACAGTCTCTGCTTTGCCCCTCACATAAGCTCTGCAGTGGTGGTATGGTCCCATTTCACAGACAAGGACCCTGAGGCTCAGAGTGAGTAGCTGGGGCTGCCCTGCCTCTATGACGAGGCAATGGCAGTGTCCGAGAAAGGAGTCTAGTCTGCTCTCCACACTGGGGGTGGCTGGATAGACTGAGAGGGAGTGAAGGACAGGAGTGGGATGTGACACGAAGTGACAGGAAGCCTGTGGACACAGAGAGGGAGGGATGAGGGCACTACACAGAGGCGGAGCCACCTGGGAGGAGCCAACTCCAGGCCAAGGTAAACAAACCCCCCTGGTTTCTGGATCCTGCCTCTCCAACTATTATGGGCCTCAGTTTCCCCCAAATCTAGTGAGAAAGGGTGGAGTCAGGGACTGCTAAGGCTCCCCTCACTCAATTCTCTCCTTCCCTGTAAGGGAGAAAAATCCCACCCTATTCCAAGCTTCAGTGTCTCCTGCACCCACTGGCCCAGCAAGACAATCTCTTCTCACAGCCCTGTGGGAGGGCTCCGAGGCCAGATGGTTATGAGCATGGATCTGGAGTCACACACACTCAGGTGCTAATCCCAGCCCTATTACTTCCTAGTGTGTGTCCTGGGCTGCTATTCAACATTTCTGAGTCCCAGCTTTTTCATCTGTACAGTGTTTGTTGCAACAGTATGTGTCCTCATTGGTGTTTTTGTTTTGTTTTGTTTTAAAGAATGAGATTAAGTGAGTGCTTAACACATTGTGAGTGGTTAAGAAATGGTAGCTGTTCATATGTAGAAAGCTGAAACTGGATCCCTTCCTTACACCTTACACAAAAATTAATTCAAGATGGATTAAAGACTTACATGTTAGACCTAAAACCATAAAAACCCTAGAAGAAAACCTAGGCAATACCATTCAGGACATAGGCATGGCCAAGGACTTCACATCTAAAACACCAAAAGCAATGGCAACAAAAGCCAAAATTGACAAATGGGATCTAATTAAACTAAAGAGCTTCTGCACAGCAAAAGAAACTACCATCAGAGTGAACAGGCAACCTACAGAACGGGAGAAAATTTTCGCAACCTACTCATCTGACAAAGGGCTAATATCCAGAATCTACAATGAACTCAAACAAATTTACAAGAAAAAAACAAACAACCCCATCAAAAAGTGGGCGAAGGATATGAACAGACACTTCTCAAAAGAAGACATTTATGCAGCCAAAAAACACATGAAAAAATGCTCATCATCACTGGCCATCAGAGCAATGCAAATCAAAACCACAATGAGATACCATCTCACATCAGTTAGAATGGCGATCATTAAAAAGTCAGGAAACAACAGGTGCTGGAGAGGATGTGGAGAAATAGGAACACTTTTACACTGTTGGTGGGACTGTAAACTAGTTCAACCATTGTGGAAGTCAGTGTGGCGATTCCTCAGGGATCTAGAACTAGAAATACCATTTGACCCAGCCAACCCATTACTGGGTATATACCCAAAGGATTATAAATCATGCTGCTATAAAGACACATGCACACGTATGTTTATAGCGGCACTATTCACAATAGCAAAGATTTGGAACCAACCTAAATGTCCAACAACGATAGACTGGATTAAGAAAATGTGGCACATATACACCATGGAATACTATGCAGCCATAAAAAATGATGAGTTCATGTCCTTTGTAGGGACATGGATGAAACTGGAAACCATCATTCTCAGCAAACTATTGCAAGGACAAAAAACCAAACACCACATGTTCTCACTCATAGGTGGGAATTGAACAATGAGAATACATGGACACAGGAAGGGGAACATCACACACTGGGGCCTGTTGTAGGGTGGGGGGAGGGGGGAGGGATAGCATTAGGAGATATACCTAATGCTAAATGACGAGTTAATGGGTGCAGCACACCAACATGGCAAATGTATACATATGTAACACACCTCACGTTGTGCACAGCACATGTACCCTAAAACTTATAATAATAATAAAATTAAAAAAAAAAAGAAATGGTAGCTGTTGTTTCTATTACTGTTATTGAAATAATCTCTCAACAAATGCCTTGAGCTATGTGTCTCAACACTAAACCCCTCTCAGCTCTAAGGAAGGTGACATACTGCAGGGCCACAAGGTGGTTGGTGGAGCAGATGCTGACATTTTACTTGTTTCCACCTCCCACAAAACAGACACACACACCCCCAACACAGCCAGTTCCCAAACCAGTGACTGTAGATGCAAGTTGCCTCTGGGTTGCCAGCCTGGGGCAGCTGTGAATTAAAGCCAGAGAAGACACATTTCTGACAGAAAGATCTATTGGAATATTGGCTGGAGACGCTGAGAGGCAGCAGAACACCTGGCGCTCAAGTGTGGCGGGTGACAGGGAATCAGAACCATCCTAATCACCCACCCAGGCTCCCTGTCAGTCCACCACCCATGCCCCTCACACTGGACCACACTGCCCCGACACTGAAATGTGTGTGGAAAGGTCATACATGTGCTTAACAGTTGGAGAAAATGCTTCAAATCCTGGCCCTGCCACTTAAGAAGAATATAACCCTGGGCAAGCTGCTTATCCTATTTGTGCTTCAATTTTCTCATCTGTAAAATGAGGATTTAAAAAATGCCCTTGAAGCCGGGCGTGGTGGCTCACGCCTGTAATCCCAGCACTTTGGAAGGCCAAGGTGGGCAGATCACTAGGTCAAAACATTGAGACTATCCTGGCCAACATGGTGAAACCCTATCTCTACTAAAAATACAAAAATTAGCTGGGCATGGTGGCAGGTGCCTGTAGTCCCAGCTACTCAGGAGGCTGAGGCAGAAGAATTGCTTGAAACCAGGAGACAGAGGTTGCAATGAGCCGAGACTGAGCCCCTGCACTCCAGCCTGGCGAGAGTGAGACTCCATCTCAAAATAAATAAATAAAAAATAATGCCCTTGACCAGATGGTTCCAAGGACTACGTGGACTAATATACACATTGCCAGCACTGCCCTTGACCTGCTAACTTGCTTTATTTTCTGTTACCAGTTGTCAACCAAATTCTCAGGTCCCAGTCTCCTCGGGCTTTTATAAAGTGATCTTTAAAGCCCAAACTCCCTTTCTGGTTTCATAAGAGAAGCATATAGAAAGAAAAAAACAAATTCGGTTGGTTAAATACTGTAAATTACAATAATCATAATATTTCTTCTGGCATGGAGGTGTTCAAGCTATGACATAATGTGAAAAAAGACAACTGTAAAATTGTACATTAGTAGAATCCTATTTTCTAGAAGACTTAAAATAATTAAAAATACAATTTATATGTGCAAAAAATAAAAACCAAAAACCAATAAAACCTGGAGCAATATATACCAAACTGTAAAATGTGGTTATTTCCTGGTGTGTGATGGAGATGAGAGAGGAAAATGTTTTACTTGATACATTTCCAAGCATTCTGCATGACTGTATGATCAGCACGTATTACTTTTTTTTTTTTTTTTTTTTTTCTGAGACGCAGTCTCACTCTGTTGCCCAGGCTGGAGTGCAATGGTGTGATCTCAGCTCACTATAACCTCTGCCACCCGGGTTCAAGTGATTCTCCTGCCTCAGCCTCCTGAGTAGCTGGGACTACAGGCACCCACCACCCTGCCCAGCTAATTTTTTGTATTTTTAGTAGAGACAGGGTTTCACCAGGTTGGCCAGGCTGGTCTTGAACCCTGACCTCAAGTGATCCCCCTGCCTCGCAAAGTGCTGAGATTACAGGTGTGAGCCACTGTGCCCAGCCATATTACTTTGTAATTAGAAAGACAACAATATTTCAACACTGTTTCTAGCAAGGAGACGGAGCCACCGTCCCTAGTAATGGATGTAGCTCCATGATGGTGAGGACCTCAGGTTCCTTCACTGCTGGACCCCAAGCGTCTAAAGTAGGAAGGGAACCAGAAAGTCCATGGCACGTGACTGCACAACAGTGGATGATGGCGGCAATAGGAACCGACAAAGGAAGGCCTTAAGGAGAGTAACTAGAATGTTTTTCATCTACTTAGGAATAAGGCGCTGCCTGGGCCCCACAGGTGGTTCCCATGAGCAGGACCGTGGAGAGTAGGTTGGGGAGCGACTCAGGGAGGCTCACCTGACAGTCATTTCATAAAGCGCGGGCAGCTGGGCAAATTCGCTATGCATCAGGCTGACGGCCTGGAGGAAGCGGCGATCCTGCGGGGTGGCCACCTGCGGCAGGTTTGCTTCCAGAAGAGGACACAGAGTTGTGAAGAGCAGACAGTTACCTTCTGCCCTCCCACCCCATGAAGCCCAGTACTGAACACGGGGACTGAGCACGGCTCAAGGCCATGAGTTGGCTGCCCGGGGCAGAGACAAAGGCCCGGGGCATTGGGCTTCGGCTGCCGCCGCTGTGCGATGCAGCACCCGGTTTCTGCGTGTGGATCTCAACATTCTGAGACAAACCCTATCACAGATATGTGAACATGAACTTCTCTCAAAACACTGGGAAACGCCAAAAACAGACACATGAGCAGAGAAGCGTCTGCCCAGTGAACGCCACACTCAGTGGGACTGGGCTCCCGGTGAGAAGAGAGCCCTGAACGCAGGTCAGACAACTCTGTGCACAGCCGTGTCATCATGATGCTGGGGCTCAAGTTCTCATCTCCACCCATCTAGAATCTGGCATCCCCGTCGCCCCAGGCCCCTTGGCTGGTTCTTACCCATCAGCAAGCTCTGAATGCGGTCGTAATGTGTGAAGTTGTAGGTGCTGCTCGTGGAGGCTGCCTCATCCCTGGGCAGCGTCTCTTTCAGGTGGACTTCCAGCCCATTCAGTGAAGCCAGGCTGCTGTGGTACTGCAAAGGGGGAGAGGGTCATGGGCTTGTAGGGCTGACCTCAGCAAGCCTTCTGAGGGCTAGTTAACCACAGACTTAGTTAAAAAAAAAATCCTCCAGCCAGGCACGGTGGCTCACACCTGTAATCCCAGTGCTTTGTGAGACCGAGGCAGGAGGATCACTTAAGCCAGGAGTTTAAGGCTGCAGTGAGCCGAGACCGCACCACCACACTCCAGCCTGGGTGATAGAGTGAGACTCTGTCTCGAAAAAAAAAAAAAAAAATCATTCATGGAGTATCTTACTGCCTACTTGATCCAGCAAAATGGACTCTCACCAACATTTTTCTTTCACCCTTATGTTCTAATGTTTTTAAAAATAATGATTATATTGTAGGAGATTTAGAAAAGAGATGAGCAAAAAAATAACAAGAAAACAACCCATCATTTCACCATCCAGTAATAGCCACTGTCACCACTGTGGTGTATCTTATTTTAACCATGGCTTTCCTACCCAGGCTGCATGATTTCACAATACAAACAGCCTGGGACCATCCCGCATTGTTTCTCACTGGCCCTGGGTACAGAAGTCCCTCACTGGATGTAACACGGTAACTTCTCTCTGCTACACCTAGCACGGTCCTGGCTTTCTTGGAAGGACTGAGTGTCAGTCAAACAGCTTTCTGCACTTGATGGTTCAGAAGAGGAATACAGTTGAGGACGACTGTCAAGGAGATGGGTTCAAGTACCTGTATTTTTACAAACCTCCAAGGAGATAAAGTTTAAGTACAATTGAAAAGACTGGACTAAACTGTTTTGTGTAACTCTTTTTCTGTAAAATAAAAATGAGATCAAATCATAAATAATGACTGATAGTTTTTTAACCTAACAACACAGCATGAACTGCTTTTCTCGTCTTTAAATATTCTATCATATAATTCTTTAATGGCTGTGCAGTGTTCCTCAAGCTCCACTGAGGGCTTGACTCAGTAGGCCAGGCCTGTCATAATAGGCTTGGTCTGAAATGGGGTTTCCTGGGCCTGCTTCAGCCACAAGAAAGAAGGTCACTGTCCCCAAACATTTGCAGTTCCCAGGTAAAAAACATCCCAAGTTCAGCCTCTTTTTAGTCAAATGACCAGGAGCAAGTTACCAAGTTTTCTGTGCCTCATTTTTCTAGTCAACTGCAAAATGGGAACAGTACGGGACTATTGAGTGACTTAAATGAAATGACACATCCAAAAGTCCTTTGTAAACTCTAAAGTGCTATCCTGAGGCAGAGTCTTTTTATAAAGTCAAGGAAATGAAAATAATCATATAAAAGAAATGGTGTCTCTTTAGAGATCACAGATAATTTGTGGACTATTTTTCAACAGCTATGTAAGAAAAATAAGTGCATATAAAAAGTACAGAGATGCAAACAGAATGCTTCTGAAGTAAATGTCATGAAGCTTACATGTTATTTTGGGAGTATATTGGTGTTAAATCAGTTTTCCTGTATGAAAGTCTCAGAAATGATATTTCAAGTCAATAGGTGTGACATACAAAGTTATTTTCTATGCGCTCAGTTTTGTATCCTCAATGCTTAGTAGAGTGTCTGACTCCTAGTAGGTGCTCAATAAATGAATCCACTAAATGAATGAATAAATGAACACATCCAATGCCAAGCACTGCCAATTTATGAGCTATTTGGTTTAAACCAAGGTTGCAGAGCTATGTAAAAAGATATGTGCTCAGGAAAGACAATCATAATATCTCATGTTCAGATCACTGAGAGAGCCTGACCAACACTGCGTTTAACACTGAGCCTCTTATTTGAACAGATGTGTGTGTGTGCATGTGCCGACACGCACACGGGCACACATAAGCATTCACCTGATGAAGTCAAACCACAGCCTCACTGAAAGTTTTTGGACCTCAAGAACGTGCTAACAGTCATCCCTTCCATGCTGAGCTGGTGTCCAGAGGAAGAAACAATAAGAACAGAGAGTGAGCCATGCCAAAAACTGTTTCCCCACAGGCACGGAGCTTTGCTTCCAAAATCTTCTGCCTAACTTGCACTCAAGATAGGATCACTTAACCATAAAAACACAGTTAATCACAAGATGCTATGTCAGATGACATGTGGATAATTTTTACTGATAACCAAGTGCTTTCATACATACCAGGGGTCAGCAAACTCTAGCCTATAAACTAAATCCAGCCTGTTGCCTATCTTTGTACAGTCTGAGACCTAAGAATGGTTTTTATATTTTTTTACTTGGTTGGGGAAAAAAGTCAAAAGAATAATATTGTAACATGTGCAAATTATATGAAGTTCCAATTCCATGTCCATAAATAATTACTGGAATACAGTCATACCATTTATATACTGTCTATGGCTGTTTTTGTACTGCAACAGCAGAGCTGAAAAGCTGTGCAAAGCTGAAAATATTTGCTTTCTGGTCCTTTACATAAAATGTTTGCCAGCCACCGATATATACTGCTACATAATGTGATCCTCACAACAGCCCTAGGCAACACAGAGCTGAGGCTAATTCCCGGGTCCTCTGACTTCTAGTGCACACGAAAGCAAGTGGCACAAATGTCAGTGTGTGACACAGCGTGCAGCAGGAGCAATGCATGGAACACACATTCACTTAGAGATACCGGTTTCCCAGTTGGGGGAAGGTGTTTTTTCATAAAATGTTTTATGGCAACACTCTCACACTAACTTCAAGCCTCATGTACTGTACACAGAAGCTCCATGTCCTATTGTAGTGATAAATAATTAATCTGATCACTGTGTTTGAAGGTCAAGGAGATTATCTTGGGGTCTGAGTAATGGACTATCAGCGGCTCTATGCTGCCCCCTGGTGTGAGCCTATTCCACTCCCTCTGAGGGAATTCCAGCCCCAATCCCAACCCTCCTGGCTGCTCCACCCAGGGCTCCTTTCACCAATCCCAACCCCTGCTGCCCCTCACCCTACCCCTACTCCCTGTGGAAGCTGATCCACCCAAAGACAAGACAGCCAAATGACACAAGGGCAGCTTGGCAGTATGTAACATCATTAAGGAGCCCTTGCAAAAGGGGTGTGCTCACCGTAACTGGGGGTATTTGGTTTTTCTAGACAGTAGCAGAGGGGCTGCAGGGAAATCAGATAAAGTATTTTCAAGGCTAGTCTGGGACAAAAAGGCAATCAAACACCTCTTCCTGATTATAAAACAGAAATCCTTTGGGTCTGATTAACAAACCCACTCTCAAACCAGTGGGCTGATCAAAGTTAGTCACTCCATACTAGAAAAGATTAGCTTTTCAGGGATGGGTGCAATCATGCCTGTAATCCCAGCACTTTGGGAGGCCGAGGCGGGCAGATTACCTGAGGTCAGGAGTTCGAGACCAGCCTGACCAACATGGAGAAACCCCGTCTCTACTAAAAATACAAAATTAGCCGGGCCTGGTGGCACATGCCTGTAATCCCAGCTACTCAGGAGGTTGAGGTAGGAGAACCGCTTGAACCGGGGAGGCGGAGGTTGCAGTGAGCTCAGATCACACCATTGTACTCCAGCCTGGGCAACAAGAGCGGAACTCCATCTCAAAAAAAAAAAAAAAAAAGAAGAAAAGATTAGCTTTTTCTCTTCCATAAAACTGCAGTCTATTTCCCGGGGCCTAGCCAGCATCAAACCCTGCTTTCCACAGAAGCCCATGGAGGCTGATGTCGTAACAGCATGGATAGACCTTGACAAACCAGGGGATATGGCCATAGAGCACGAGCCACAGAAGGCAGGACACTGACCCCCTTTCTTCAGCTTCCCAGCTATCACTGCAAGGGCAGGGCAGTGGGGGGACAGAGAGGCTGGGGTGGGGAACCAGAAACAAGCAAGAATTCTGGACCTGCCACTTGCAGGAAGTCTTTTCATCTCAATGAGGCTGTTTTCTTACTGGTAAAATGGGAGTTACAATGCCTCCTTCCCAGAACTGTTCTAAGGCTTGGCTAAAACGAGAGATGCGAAGTATTTCACATATAGTTGGTGCAGAATACATCTCAAAGAGCAGCCTGGGCTATTTTTTCCTTTTTGTGGGGGAAGGTAAAAAGAGAGGTATTATATCCACTTTATTGCATTCAAACACTGGGCCCTTCAAAATGACACTTCCAAGGCTCGACACTGTGCAGAACAGACCATGAAAACCAAGGCATTGGCAGGGAGATGAGGCATTTAACACTGCAGCCACAACTCCCCGCACTGCTATAAGAAGGAGATGGATAGTCACTCCTAGCTATGGTGAATGGGGATACAGGAAGCAAATGAGCCATAACTCAGTGATCCAGCGTCTGTGGAAAGGGCACAGAGAAGCCTGACAGCTCCAGAGAGCATTCTCTTGCTAGGAGCTCTGTGCAAGGAAGCTGCTGTGCAGTCTTATCTCTTCTTCTGTATTTCAAGGTGACTAGCTCATTTATGGAGGGTCACAAGCCCTGCATGATAGTAAGATCAGCTTAGAATAATACACATTTAAGAATAAAAACAAGGAAAGCCCCAAGACACCATTTGCCCTGCAGCAATTTCAACCTGCTGTTCTTACTGCTACCACTTTCCCTGCCTACTAAAGCAAGGCTGTTACTATAGCAACGAATCTCCAGCGTGGGCCCCAGGGAAGGTCAGTTTACCACTCTAAGCCTCTAAGCGGGGAAGGGGCTGCAATAGTTTAAGAGCCCTCCAGAGCCAGGCAGGATTTCAGACATCCCAGCCTTCTAGGAAGGAGCTTCAGATCAGGTACGATGCTGGGGCTATGGAGGGAAACACTGGGTTTCTAGGGAACTCCCAACCCAGGCTGTGACACACTGCGGAGGAGTTTCCAGCTGACACAGAACCTAGAGCTGTCCAGGCTAGGAAATGAGGCCATGAGCAGGGGCGGCACAACACATGCACGTACGTGTGCAGTCTCTGCCTGCATTATCTCACTGCATCTGGAACAGGAAGGTCTACCACCATCCCTACGTGACTGAGGAGTTAGCCAAGGCTCAAGGGGACAAAGGTCTGTGGGCAAGTTCACACAGCTAGAGGACAAGGGCCAGGATTCCATCTCAGGCCTTCCCTTTCTCCAAGGCCTGCGCTCTGCAAAACTAGAAACAGCGGAAGAAGAGAACCAACACTTGTTGGATGCCAATGCACCACCAGTGCTATGCGCTTGACTCACTCTTACCCCCCACAAAAACCCACAGAGGCAGGTAATACCTCCATCGTCTAAACAAGAACGTCTTGCCCAGGGTCACACAACTGAGGGCTGAGCCTTTATCTCTTCCCTGGGTGTTGGCACAGTGCTGTGAGGGAAGCACAGGAGATCGGCAGAGGCCGCAGAGGGGCAGGAGAAGGTCTGAGGACACTCACCACTTCCTCTATGGCTGCGCTGTCTCCCAGCAGCGGCTCCTCAGCCAGCAGGGACAGCACCAGCCCTTTGACGCAGTGAGTGTAGAGATTCATCCTCACGAGCCCCATGCAGGACTCTGCTGGTGTCAGCCTGGAGCTGATTCCATCTGCAGAGGGGCCAGCACCCTGACAGTTTGCTGAGCCTGAACTGCATTCCAGACCAGGGGCTGCGTGGCTTTCACAGACCCCATCAACATCCTCATCCAGGCCTTGTTCCCCCGTGGGAAGCTTGTTTCCTCTCTGTCCTGGATCTAAGCGAGGCAATAACAAGGGCCTGCGGGTCCTTCTGGGGAGAGGGTCTGCTCTGGGAATGGGGGCTTGGCTGCTATGGCCAGGATGGTCTTCGAGCTGCTCTTGGGCTCCATGCTGGGTCAGCATCTCAGGAGCAGAGGGAGGGCGCAAGCTGCTGATGGCTGTGTCCTCAGGAGGCGTGGGTTCCAGGCTGCTGGAGGCGCTGAGAGATGCCTTGCAGTAAGGAGCCCTGCCATCTGGAACAGGCACATGTAGGAAGGCAAAATGACCTGAGGCCATTTCCACTTCCTGAGCCTCTGGAATGTGGATTTCAGACAAGTCGAGTTCTTCTTGGAGAAAGACTAGTTCCTTCCCCAGGGAGGAGCTGAGGCCAAGAACCTCACCCCTGGCAGAGTTGTGCAGTCCTGCGGGCCTGATGCTCTCCAGATCATGGCCAGACAAGCATCCGTTCTCCTTCCTGCCATCTGGACAAGCTTCGTCAGGGGATGTGGGATCTGGGGTGGTCCAGGCCATGGATTCCACATGGCCAGTGGCGTTTTCTTTCAGGGCAGATGTGCTCCCACCCTTTGGATGGTGCTGGGCTGAACCATCCTGGAGTCCTGCTGGAGATGCTAGAGACCTGGCAAACAAGAGAGATGTAAGGAAGGGGCACGTTGACAGACTGCAGGGCAAGTGCCCTTCCACAGTGAAGACTAAAGCACAGGCATCAAGGACAAGGGGGTGCCTGAGGCCACAGAGCCTAAGAGGCCACCAGAGTTAAATCACAAGAGTAAAAATACACCAACATCTGGCCCTTGGGGCTTTACGTAGTGACACCAGACTCACCTACTGAAAATGGCAGAGCCCACTGAATAAGACTGACCCACATCTGGAAGGTCTCCTACGCATCAGGCCCTATACTAGGTGCTGTACCTATACTATTTTCAAGTGTCACAATGAACTCATGAAAGGGATACTATTTTGTCTACTTTTCAGATGAAAAAACTGAGGCTCAGGCAGGGAATGGACTTGCCCAAGGTCCCATAGCTGGTATAAGTAAGAGAGCTGGGATATGAAAGCCAATGTCATCTCTCTATGCCACTCTGTTTCTTAACAAACTCAAGATTCAGATGCTCCTTTACAAGACAGGGCATGGGGAAGATGGAATTAAGGAACGATGGGATGTATCAGAGGTTTGTTTTTTAACCAATCACGCGATGGGGTCCCTCAGGTGTGGTGCAAGGTTAACTCTCTGTGCACTCCATTACCTTGTCATCTGTTCCACCGGGAACTCGTGGAGACTAATGGCTTCCTCTTTGGTCACAAAAACAGGGATAATCTGGACATTCGGGGGCAATGCCGCTCCTGGAATTGCAAAGCAATATGAACAGGACTTTCCCCTGAGCCAGAGAGGGCAGCGGGGCAATAGCTGCACTGGCGTGATGCATCCAACCCACACGTGGGCTCGGAAAGGGGTGCTGTGAGTGCATTCCTCAGCCAGGACACAGGTTGCCAAACTGCACCTCGAACTCCTGGGCCCAGTAAGGAAAGAGTCCCTGCAGGCAACATGACTCCCAGCTTTGGAGAAGGAAGATGTTCGGGAGAGAAAGGTTGAAAAGCACTTTTACAAGAAGAAGATATAAGCTAAGAAAGGGATCTGCTCCAACTCAGGCTTCAGAATAAATCGAAATAACTCTCCTGAGGACGCCTCCACATCCTGCAAAAGGTCTTTCTGGCAGTCGCTGTTTGCCTTACCCTCTCCCAATCACAATCTCCTGGCACTTGACCGAGCAGTCTCACAATATGAAGTTAAGGAGGGTCTGAAAGCAGGGATTTGACAGCATGCCTAAAATCATAGCTTTACCATTAGGGTTCTGGTGGGTAACTCGATTCTTGAAGCTCCATAACATCCATTTTCCTATTATGAGCAGAGGAAATAAACATGCAGATGGCTTGGTTTCCTTCGCATAACTTGTACAGGGGTAGGTAGCATAAAAGACCGCCGTTCTCAAGAGGCAACCATGCGCCTCACTACTTACCATGTTCCTGCGGGGCATCCTCTCCCGTAGGGAGTCTCTGAAAACAAACACACACAGAAGTTGGCGCTGGGCACCACATTCTCCTCTTGACCTAACCATCAGGAATTTGCTGTGCCATCTGTTCATAAAACTTAGCCAGGCCCAGAAAGCTTGTCCCAACCACATGCTAAGAGCCAAGCAGATGGAACAGAAGCTCCCCCAAGCTGCTGGCTCCCACTATGGCTGGGATGAAGCAAGAACCTGGGCCCACACAGGCTGCAAGGCAGCAGCTCCACCCAAACTCACATCACACTCTACGTTCTGATTTTCTCAGTCTCTCTCCCTTCTGGGAATAAAATTGAGGATTCCTGTTCTCTTTTACACCTTTGGGGAACTCATATTCTAGAATACAGTCACATCTGCCACAGCCCTGATGTAGAATTCACATAAATTCCATTATAATAAAAATGTCAAAATACTGTGACTCTCACGATAAAGGATTTGACTTAAACAAAATGCTATACCCAATCTCTCGTTTGTTCTGGTTCACAATCAGGGCCTAAAACCTGATGATTTTCTCAAAAATGAAAACATCTCTCGTTTCAATCTGAGGGTTCCAAAAGAACCCACCAAAACAAAACCAAACCAAACAAGAACTGCTCTTCTAGCCAAAATGACTTTCAATCTTAGAATGATATGGTGTTCTTCCTTTTTTGGTGATTTTTAAAAAACTATGTTTTAGATTACTAAGCCTAACCTCAATTTACTCTAGACAAAGCGTTGAAAAAAAAAATCACATACAATCCCTCATCCCCAAGCTAGTACTATTAATATTGGGTATTTTTTCCTTAAGCCTATGCAGTTTTTATACTTTTGAGGCCACACTATATAAAATTTCATATTTCTGCTTAAAACAGTAACACGCATTTCCTGCCACTAAAACATCTTTGGCCATTTTAAACGGCTGATTAAAATTTTATGAAGGTTTAAGTGATATGAGTAAATTAATCATTTACCTACCTTAGACCAGTAATTAGTAAACTTTCTGTGCAAAAGACAAGACAGTAAATATTTTTGGCTTTGCAGGGCATATGGTCTCTGTCCCACCTACTTGGTTCTGCTATTATAGCTCAAAAGCAGCCAAATAAAACTTCATTTGTAGGCAGGTGGCCCACAGGCCATAATTTGCCACCTCCTACTTTAAGCATTCAAGTTTTGTCTGATTTTTCACTTTCATAAAGCTTGTTGTGATCAAGTTTTGAGTATAAATTTTTTTCAGCAGTTACATTATTTCCTTAAGATATATTCCTAGAAGTCAAATTATTAGGAAAAAAATAAAGGGCATCCTTAACGTTCTCATTATCAAAGTGTTTCCCAGAAAGGCTACTTGAATTGACACCCATAGCCACAGTGGCTGAGGAGGCTGAATAGAGCCCTACCAGCATTTTACATGCCTGTTCACTAATACATGTAAAAAGACAGCCTCATGATACGCTGGAAACCACAGCTTCATACACAAAACAAAAAAAGGACTGGAAGGAGATATGCCAGATGCTGGCAGTGGCTATCCCTGTACAGTTCAAAGATGGGCAATTTTATTCTCAATGAGCATGCATGGCTTTTTTTTCAATATAAAAACAATTAAATAAATATAAAATGGAAGTATTTTAGAAGAGTTTGTTTTCCTTATTTTTTTATTTTTATTTTTATTTTTTGAGACAGAGTCTCACTCTTGCTACCCAGGCTGGAGTGCAGTGGCGCGATCTCAGCTCACCTCAACCTCTGCCTGCCAGGTTCAAGCGATTCTCCTGCCTCAGCCTCCCAAGTAGCTGGGATTTACAGGTGTGCACCACCACACCCAGCTAATTTTTGTATTTTAAATAGAGATGGGTTTCATCATGTTGGCCAGGCTGGTCTTGAACTCCTCACCTCAAGTGATCTGCCCACCTCAGCCACCCAAAGTGCTGGGATTACAGGTGTGAACCACCGTGCCCAACCCCCTAAATCTTTCTAAAGACACATCCTTTACAGTCTGTCTCTGAAAAGTCTAACATCTCTTTGACATAAAGAGACATCAAATTCTTATGGGAAGTCGAATTCAACCAAGATTTCCTTGGTTTGAAGAAAAAACAACTATCCAGGCCTAGCTCGTGGAAGAAAACATTTTCTTTCAGCCTCACCAATGGCTTCACTACTGAGGAGAATGACATTGGAGGACTTGGGGTCCTGACAAGACCAAGTGAAACAACTGCTCCACGGCCTCTGCTCCTGATCCCTCCAGCCTCAGGCTCAGTGACCAGTGCTCTGGGGGATGCTGTCCAGCCAGGTGGGTGGACTTTACAATACCTGCTCCTGAGGTGCTGTTCGGTGAAGCAGGACCTTGGCGGTGAGGGAGGGCGGGAGTTGGGTGCTGACAATCCTAGGAGGTCACACACAGAACAAGAACACCATGAGACGAAATACACCAAAACACTCCAAATTTTAAAGATGCCTAACAGCCCGTGTTGACGAGGATCTTGGGGACTTGGCTGGTGGGAGTTTCAACTGGTAAAACCCTTACAGAGGGCACTCTGGCAGTTCCTACCAACATTTAAAATATCCAAACCCTTTGACTCAGCTTGTACCAAGATGTATGCGTAAGAATATTCATTACAGGGAGAATGGTAAAAACAATTAAAAAATGAGTAAACCACCAAAATGTTCATCAACAAGACAGTAAAGCACAACACAGCCAGAATCCCAAAAAGTATGCAGTCCTCATAAGAATGAGGTAGACCCATATGAACCGGTAAGGAAATCTTCACTGTATGCGTTGAGAAACCATGTGATCCTATTTAAGGAGATAGCAAAAATAAACAAAAGCAATATATGCATACATGTACCAGTGGGGACAAACACACAGAAAGAGCAAGATGCCCACCAAACTGCCAATGGTGAGGACAGGTTAAGAGTGAGGGAGAGGCTGGGCACAGTGGCTTACTCCTGCAATCACAGCACTTTGGGAGGCTGAGGTGGGAGAATAACTTGAGCTTAGGAGTTTGAGACCTCCATGAGCAACATAGTGAGATCCCATCTCTACAAAAAAAAAAAAAAAAAAAATCAAAAGCTTGGCCAGGTGTGGTAGCAAGTGCTTGTTGTTCCAGCTACGTGGGAGGATCACTTGAGTCCAAGAGGTCGAGGCTGTAGTAAGCTGTGTTTATGCCACTACACTACAGCCTGGGCAACAAAGCAAGACTGTGTCTCAAAAACAAACAAACAAAAATGGTGAAGAAAGAAGGGGGGCTTTTAAATTGTGCTCTGTGTGTTCCTCTATTGATTGATTTGTTTACAGTGAAAATGTATTCATGTATTAGCCGTATAATGTAAATACAGGCTGGGTGCAGTGGCTTATGTCTATAATCCAAGCAGTTTGGGAAGCTGAGGATCGCTTGAAGCCAGGTGTTTGAGACCAGCCTGGGCAACATAGCAAGACCTCGTCCCTACAAAAAAAAAAAAAAGAAAAAAAAATATATATATATACATTTAAGAAATGCAAAATGAGAAAAGGGGAAAAAAAATACTGTCTTTGGTGGGTATGTCACTGACGAACTTGGAAATCCCACAGCTGATTCAGAACCATCATGATAAGAACCGGGGCAAGGAAGAAGAGTGCAAAGCCCACCAGGGTCTATGCTCGGTTCTTCCGCATCTGTCATCTCATTTCATTCTTCACAAGGGATGTCTATTTCCCAGAAGAGAAAATTGAGGCTAAGCAACTTGCCCAAGGCCGCATGGCTGGCGAAAGAAGGGAGGATCTGGGGCCGAGCCTGTCTGGCCCAAGGGCCCCTGCGAGAGCCTCAGTGCTTCTCCATTTACACAGTAGTTGCCTGCTCCTCAGGAAGCTCCGGGCACAGCGCAATGGCCCTGCCTGCCCTGGGCTGTGACAGCAAACCCTCCATGAGGAGAGAGGCCTTAGATGACCTAGAGTGGCTCTTGGGCACTCAGATTCACCAAGAAGCCCTCCAACTACATGAAGAAGTGAAGTGAATTCTCAGAGGCCAACCAAGACACTGGCCCAGCCAAGAGGCTTGAAGGCAGCTGGATAAGGGCCTGTAAGGCTGCTTTGCAGAGCTGAGCTGAGGCAAGCACACCAGGGTCTCTGGGCAGCAGGAGGAGGGTCACAGCAGGCCCCTTCCATGCCTCTTGACTACAGTGCTGGCTGCTGGCAACGCTCGGGACTCTGCATTAGCATTTTGCAGACTGACAACTATTCCAGCATGCCCCATACTGAGAATTATAGGGACATTCTTAACTCTTTTCTGAACACAACTATTTCCAATTTCTCAGCTTTGCTCAAAGACAGGTACACACCTGTCTTTCTAAACTGAGTCAAATCTAAACTACCTGATATTTGCCGAACCAGCCCACTTGGAACTGGCCAGAGACTGGGCTCCCCACTGTGATCTGGAGGTGGCTGATGGTCAGTTGTGCAGCAAGGGAATGGGGCTGGAAGAAAGGGGTCTGGAGTTACTCACAGTCCTTTATAGAGGATGCAGCCAGCGAGAATGTGAGGCGAGCGCTGGCAGGTCTGCAGAATGCGGGCTGCCTTCAGCAACAACAGGGGCTCCACCTGTGCAGGGCAAGAGGCATCATGCCCACCCATCAGCATGCTCACAATCAGGAAGGGAGAAAAGGGGAAAGGGTTGTACAGAACAGCTGGACAGGGTGTAGCTCAAAGCCTGGAAAAGGAGAATGTGTCACACAGTGAAAGCTGTGCCATGGCTTGGGACTATTCTACCTCTCTATACTCAGAACTGCTGACACCACTAAATGCCAAATTCTTAGAACAAGGAGGCCTGTCCAGAAGCTAGAAGGTGCAGCAAATATGGCATATGGCTATTCAAAGGGGTCAAAGTAGATGGCCTGGGAGACCGACTGTCTACCCTGACAATGCTAAGACCTCACGGCAGCAGAAGAGGAGGGTGTATCCTATAAATACATGTCATGGTACCAGGTGAAACCCACCTACCCTATCCTCCACTTTCCTTCTGAAGCACAATCCCCATGGTGATACAGGTGGCTTGATGTCTGACCAGGTTCCATGACTCTATTCCATCACATAAAATGAAAACATCATGCTCTTTCACTCGGGGAAATATGCCTCAGTTCCACATTCCTTGTATGGAGTCAGGGGCCTAGAAGTCCCTAAAAATACAAGAAAAGCATCTGGACCTGGTCAGGAAGAGCCAGCAATAACCAGCAGCCTCCTCAGACTTCCACCTGCCAGCTAGAACCAGCAAGTATCCACCAGCTGTTAGAACTAGTGTTAATGGAGCCTCCGGAGCTGCTGACACATTAAGAAGTTTATTCTTCATAGCCTCAAGACTGTGCCATCCCAGCCAGCCATTCTATAAAGCTCTGGGGCCAGCTACAGGAAGTTTTCCAGACTGGAGCAGGGAAAACCCTTCCCCATGTCTGGTGGAGTCATGCTCTGTGAAGGCTGAGCCACAGTGCTACACCCCTGCTACAGGGACATTATTTACTATCGCAGTGAGACACAGGAGAGGGCTGTGAGTCAGGGCTCAGGTAGCTGGCTCTTAATGGGGCAGCACAGGTGGTCAGGCCAGCCACACAAGCAGCCTAGGTTTCACTGAGTGCCAACCGCAAACGGAGCGGCTCAGAGATACAAAAACAGTTCCCAACCATTCTCTCTCAAAGACAGCAACCTTGTTTTTGAAATGTTCATGCTGGGCATTTTTGATGCTGAGAATAACTAGATCATATGATATGAATATCAAGAGAGGCGGCCTTCAGATTACTGAGTTCAACACTTCTGAGGCATGAACAAAATACTAATTCCCTTTACTGAGCATTTACTTGGTGTCATTTGAGGTACTGCTTCACTTGATCATCAAAACAGTTCAAGAAGGCAGGTATGCTGACACCATTCTTTGGATAAGGGAAATGAGGCTGAGAGGTGACCTGCCGTGTCATGGCCCTGCCTGAGAAGTGACATTCTACTCACTTTTCCAGATATAGTTCACTTCAGGAATATTAAAAAAGTATCCAGAAGCCCTAGTCTTACATATAAAATGAATAAGGAGGATGAAAATGTTACTTTAGTTTGGTCCAAGTTCCAGAGGGAATTGAAAATCTTATGCAGATCACTGGTGTTTTTCAGAATTTGCTCGATGAAGGTGTCCCACTCCGTGCTCAGTTCTTCCTGAGAACAGTTCTAAAACAGAAAGAGCCTCAGGTCAATATCTGAGATTTTGAGGGACAGATTCTTTGGCCAGAGTCCCAACTACCTCAAAAATTGTTCCTCACACAGGAAACTGACCGGAAGGGAGGACCTGTTTTAAACCTATCCCATCACAGATCCACGGCGCCTGCCGCGTGGGGGTGGCAAGCAGGGCCTGCGCTTTCTAAACATCCCAGGGAGGAGATGGGGATAAACATTTGGAATAAATGTGACCTATGCCACTAGGCCCAAAGGCATATGAGGGGCCTCCAAGAGCTCCTGACCTTGTCCCCAGACACAATGTGTTTATATGAAGTATACAAGACCCCAGAGTAAGTGCTGCATTCTGGCAATACCGGTTTTTATAAAGAGGCCCAATGTAAGACTCCTCAACCCCATACTTGTACCTCATAAGCTAGGGAAACAGGTCCATTGTAAAAATTAAAGAATCCAACTAGCTGATCCAGAAACCGCTTGCAGCTGACATCAGGGAGCTCCACAGCACAGCCCAGCACCTGTAAAGAGAGAAACCAGGAAGACAAGCATCTTCCTTCTCTTTGAGTCCAAGCCCAGAATCCTGGCATCCAGGGCTCTCAATTACCTGACTTCACTGGCCCATCGAAATTGATCTTCTATTGTCCCTGAGTCCACACCCTTCATTCTGGCCAAGTTAATCTCCATGGACAAGTAAGTTCTGTACCTCAATTCATGTTTTCCAATCTCAAATGTCCTTTTCCTTATTGTTCATTTCCCCAGAACTTACAACCTTCAGTGCCCACCACCAATTTCAGTATCTCCATGAGGTCTGTTCTATTACCTCGAGCCAATAATGCTGACCTTTTTTCTGACCCTTGCATTGTTAGGACTGTTATTTGGACAGTAGATGTTTAATCTGGATTCCATTACAAACAATGGACAGGACTCAAACTCCTTCATGAATGGCCATCATGTTTCTCCAGCTGGATAGAGTGCTTTAAGAGCAAGAACTGACCGCAATCTTCCCAGTCCTAGATCTCCAAAATGCTGAGCGTAGTGGTTAGTTCCACAGAAGATAAATACTTGGCCGGGCACGGTGGCTCATGCCTGTAATCCCAGCACTTTGAGTGGATCACGAGGTCAAGAGATCGAGACCATCCTGACCAACATGGTGAAACCCCGTCTCTACTAAAAATACTGGGCGTGGTGGTGTGTGCCTGTAGTCCCAGCTACTCAGGAGGCTGAGGCAGGGGAATCGCTTGAACCTGGGAGGCAGAGGTTGCAGCGAGCCGAGATTGCGCTACTGCACTCCAGCCTGGCAACAGAGCGAGACACCGTCTCAAAAAAAAAAAAGTACTTGCTGAGTTAGAAAGTTATCTGGTCATATGTTTAAAGAGCCTGAAAAAGTTCCTATTACTTGATGTAGTAATTCTACCTCTAGGAATCTGTCCTAAGGGAATCATCAGATATTTAAACTAATAAACCCTGACAGAAAACAAATAAACAAAAATTCCCTCTGAATGTAAGCTACAGTAGCACAAGGATCTTTGCTTTGTTCCCAGATGTAATCCAAGAGCTTACAACAGTCTGGCATGTAAGAAGTGTTCAATTCTTCCAATTGATGAACAGACTGAATGCAATTGCAATCATAATCCCACCAGCTTTTCTTCAGAAACCACAAACTGATTGTACAATGAAAACACAAAGAACCTGAAATATCCAAAGCTATCTTGAGAAAGAATAAGGTTGGAGAACTTATACTATCTGGTTTCAAGACTTACTATAAAGCTATAGAAATCAAGACAGTGTGGTACTCACACAGAATCTTCAAACAGATCTGTGGAAAAGCCGAAAAGAGTCCAGAAATAGACCCACGCTTAAATGGTCATCTGATCTTTGGCAAAGGAACCAAAGGGAAATCCAATAGGGAAAGGAAAATGTTTTCAACAATGATGCTGGAAGAACTGGTTATCCAGGTGGAAAAAAAAAAAAAGATCCTTGACCTCTATTCACACCATTCACAAATATTAACCCAAAGTGGATTACAGATCTAAATTTAAAAGCTAAAACTATCAAATTCTTACAAAAAATAAAAAAGGGAGACTATCTCCTCCAATGGAGTAGGCAGTGGTTTTTTTCAGGCAAGACACAGAAAGCAATAACCATAAAAAGATAAAATTTATAAGTTAGACTTCATTAAAATGAAAAACTTCTGCTCATCAAAAGACAACAAGAAAATTAACAGGCATGCCACAAACTGGGAGAAATTATTTTAAAAAGATGTATCTGACAAAGAACTGGTATCTAGGATATAAAAAGAACTACAATTCAATTAAAAAAATAAAACCCAATTTAAAAAATGGGCAGGGCTTTGAATGGACACTTCACAAAGGAAGATATTCAAGTGGTCATTAAGCACATGAAAAGGCCTCACTATCATTAGTCATCAGGGAAGTGAAGACTAAAACCACAATAACACACCACTGCACATCCAGCAGAATGGCTAAGATGAACAGACTGTCAATCTCAATGCTGATGAGCAGGTGGAGTAACTGGAATTCTCATACATTCTTGGTAGGAATGTAAAATGGTACAACCACTGAAGGAAAAGTTCTAACAGTTTCCTATAAAATCCAACATACACCTACTCTATGACCCAGCAATTCCAGGACTGGATATTTACCCAGGAGAGATGAAAACACGTGTTCACCAAAATACTTGTATAGGAATGTTCCCAGAAGCCTTATCCTTAATATCCCCAACTGGACACAGTTCAGATGTCCATCAAAAGAAGAACAGATTGTGATATATTCAGACAACGGAATACTGTTTGATAATAAAATGGAACGAACGCTGATAGATGCAACAACATGAACGAATTTCACAAGTGTTAAGTGGCAAGACAGACGCCTGTAAAGCATGTAACCACAAACAAGCATTAAATTTCTTTTTTTTTTTTTTTTTTTTTTGAGATGGAGTTTCGCTTTTGTTGCCCAGGCTGGAGTGCAATGGCGCGATCTCAGCTCACTGTAACCTCTGCCTCCCAGGTTCAAGAGAGTCTCCTGCCTCAGCCTCCCGAGTAGCTGGGATTACAGGCATGTGCCACCACACCTGGCTAATTTTGTATTTTTAGTACAGACAGGGTTTCTCCATGTTGGTCAGGCTGGTCTTGAATTCCTGACCTCAGGTGATCCGACTGTCTTGGCCTCCCAAAGTGCTGGGATTACAGGCCTGAGCCACAGCGCTCAGCCCCAAACATTAAATTTTAGTTGATGATATGCATGATAGAGAGAGTATCTGTGTGGAGAGTACACTAATGTGTGCAACTTACTTTGAAAACTGTAACAAAATAATTTGGGGCTGGGTTACAGTGTCTCGCGCCTGTAATCCCAGCACTTTGGGAGGCCAAGGCGGGAGGATTCCTTGAGCTGAGGAGTTCAAGACCAGCCTGAGCAACATGGTGAAACCCTGCCTCTAGAAAAAGTTTAAAAAATTAGCCGGGCATGGTGGTGCATGCCTGTGGTCCTAGCAACTCAGGAGGCTGAGATGGGAGGATCGTTTGAGCCTGGGAGGCGGAGGTTGCAGTAAACCAAGGTCACACCTCAGCACTCCAGCCTGAGCAACAGATTGAGACCCTGTCTCAATAAAATAAAATAAAAATAATTTGAATTAATGGGAGGATAAAGGAATGAATAGATAGGTAATAAAACAACTATAATAAAATGCTAACTGTAGAATTGAGGAGGTATATGAGTATTCACTGTAAAATTCAACTGTTCAGTACTTTAAAAAATTTTCGTAATAAAATGTTGGAAATAATACCTACAAAGTTGAATATAGCATCCCACACTTAAGCATCCCTTTACCTCAGGAAGCCTTAAAATAAATGTAGCCATGGGAAACAGCACTTTAGATTATATGCTACTATTAGAATGTAAAGGAATGATTTTTATTCTTTTTTTTTTTTTAAGACAGGGTGTCACTCTGTTGCCTAGGCTAGCGTGCAGTGGCAATCATGGCTCACTGCAGCCTGAAACTCCTAAGCTCAAGCAATCCTCCCCTCAGCCTCCCCAGTAGCTAAGACCACAGACATGAGCCACCACACCCGGTTAATTTTTAAATTTTTTATAGAGACGGGGGTCTTACTATGTTGCCCAGGCTGATATCGAACTCCTGGACTCAAGCAATATTCTTTTTTTTTTTTTAATGGGTTCTCTAAAACCTAACATATATCTATCATTTTTTTCTGGGTCACTTACCCAGTAAGTGTAGAGAGCATGGAGAAGAAAAGATGATGATAAAAACTCAATTTACAACACAGAGTAAACAGAATTTCCACAAGTTGGCCTAAGTCTTTGAAAGGAAAGGAGAAACCAGCTGTGTGCAATGCAGAATATGTTAGAAATGTTTTGGAAAGCACTTGATGATGAAAACCTGCAGAGAGTACCACAGGAAGCGAGGGTGATTACTAAACACAGTACATGGATGAGGTTGGTGGGGGCAGATAATTCTAAATTCAAGACTCAGAAACAACATAACTTCCTAAACTTATCATTGCAACACTTCAGCACTGATTCTGCCATTCAACTTACCCAAAGGTAATCTCCATCAACTTTTATGGCAAACTTCAGTTTTCTCAGACGAACAAGAGTAGGAGGAGAGTCAGAAATGTCAGAAACACAGCGGACAACTCCAGCAATCTGTCCACAAAGCAACTCCTGTTGGTCTAGCAGGGTCTGTGGGAAAGGAGCACATTCCAGATAGGAAGCTGAAATTCTTGAACTCTTAAGTCATTTCTTACAGCATACTAAAGCCTGCAAGCCAAATCCAGTCTGTTACCCGTTTTCCTATGGCCTGTAAGCTAAGAATGGTTCTTATACTTTTTAAAGGTTACAACAAAGAAGAACATGTGATTGAAACCTTATGTGCCTTGCAAAGCCTAAAATATTTACTTTCTGGCCCTTTACAAAGTTTGCCAACCCCTACCTGAGATGACTGAACCCTAAGAGAACACCCAGCAGGAACACATGCGATGACTGCACAGAACCGCATTTCTGTTGCTAGGATTATAGGCATATGCTTAGCAGAAGCATGAGCCTTTCACTCCTACTCAAATCCCCCATACGGAGTGGCCAGAGGGATGCAGATTAACCCCAACTATCCATGTCAGAGCACAGTCACAGGAGGGAATGTACAGAATCTCCTAATCAACCTTAGCCTTAACTAACGCACAGGACAGCCAGACAGTATGGGATACACAGGAAATGTATACACCACCCATGAAGAATTCTTACCTAGAAAACTGAGCTTGAACCTCACCAAGACTCTAGATCTTACTACTAATGTAAAGGAAATACAGTGGATAGGAGACATTAAATGACACCACCATGAGGAACAAATCAGCCAAATCTAGAGTGTGGGACATTCTAACACTCTACTACACATATGACCTGGTTTCTTCAATAATTCAATGGCATAGAGGAGGGGGAAAAAGATGAGTGGCTGGGTGAGGACTGTTATTAAAAGGACTTAAAATACAAAATAACCAAATAGAATATGTGGATGCTGTTTGGATCCTTATTAGGAAAAAGAAAAAGAAATGGAAGGATGGAAGTATGGGTGCATGGAAGGAAGGAAGAGCAGAATAAGTAATATCCAAGACAATAAGGCAAAATTTGAATACAGTCTGGGTATCAGGTAATATTAAGGAATTACTGTTACTAATTACTGTAACTTTCGTTAGGTGTGGTAATGTTCAAAATAATGCCCTTTTCAGTTAGAGATGTTGCTTGATACTGGTGAGATGACGCAACATCTAGAATTTGCTCCAGGAAAAAAAAAAGAGAGAGAAGAAGAGGTTCAGATAGGTCACATAAAATTGGCAAAGTATTGCCGGGCGTGGTGGCTCACGCCTGTAATCCCTGCACTTTGGGAGGCTGAGGTGGGTGGATCACGAGGTCAGGAGATCGAGACCATCCTGGCTAACATGGTAAAACCCCGTCCCTACTAAAAATACAAAAATTAGCCGGGCGTGGTAGCGGGCGACTGTAGTCCCAACTACTCGGGAGGTTGAGGCAGGAGAATGGCATGAACCCGGGAGGTGGAGCATGCAGTGAGCAGAGATCATGCCACTGCACTCCACCCTGGGTGACAGAGTGAGCCTCCATCACAAAAAAAAAAAAAAAAAAATCGGCAAAGTATTGATAATTGTTGAAGCTACTGATGGCATATGAGGGTTCATGATACTTGCCTCTCTGTTTTTGTATATGTTTGAATACAAACTTATTTATTTATTTTTTTTGAGATGGAGTTTCACTCTTATTGCCCAGGCTGGTGTGCAATGGCGCAGTCTCTGCTCACTGCAACTCTGCCTCCTGGATTCAAGCGATTCTCGTGCCTCAGCCTCCCAAGTAGCTGGGATTACAGGAGCGTGCCACCACGCCCAGCTAATTTTGGGATTTTTAGTAGAGACAGGGTTTCATCATGCTGGCCAGGCTGGTCTCAAACTCCTGACCTCAGGTGATCCATCCACCTCAGCCTGCCAAAGAGCTGGGACTGCAGGCATAAACTACCGTGCCCAGCAGAATAATAACTTTTAAAAACCAAGCTGATCAAAAAATTGGGGGTAGAGGGAGGCAGACAAAAATCATGATGGAAATAGAAAGCTAAAGACGATGAAAGTGCCGAGCTGCCTGGAAATTTTAAGACCAGAACAACAAGAAATAGTACAACTAAGAATAAGACAGTAGAAATGTCATTGTCTGGATTAGCCAAACTGTCCTAATGTAAACCCCATACTTTTGAAAAGTCACCACTTGGAGGCACTGGGATCCTCACTGAACAATAAAATGCTGTGTGGCTTACCTGGGAAGGATAAAAGTAACAAATGCCAGCTCTTGTTGGATCGCCTTCTTCCTTTACCTTGGAACCATCATAAAGAAAAAAATAATTCCACCTGGCAAGAGAACAGAGTGGAGCCATGTTTCCTTTAATCCAGTGATCACGGCATTTAAAACACAGCTTCCTGTTTCCCAGCCCGAGGAGGGCTTATTACTGTGTTTGAAAGCCTTCAGGTGGCCCCAGAGAATAAAGAACCCCAGTAGCTACAAATTAGATAAAACCATTCTGTAAGCGCAGGAAATTCAAACTAAAAATATGCCTCTATCCAGCCGTTAGACCATCTGCCGGAGAAGACACGAGTAGCTAGAAAAAAAAACGAGGCGCCCACAATGACTGCTCTTATTTGAAACACTGAACCTTAACTATACAACCACATGGTCTGATACGCTGTCTTTTAAGGCTCTGATAACAAAATAAGTTAGGGATGTATTAGATGCACTCCTCATAAGTGCTGAGCACAAAGATTTCCAGAAACAGCCCTTCTACCAGGAATTCATGCATTCACTTAAACATTTACTGAGGGCCCACAGTGTGCTCCGCGGTTGCTGAGCAAACACGCAGTTTCAATGCAGGATAGTGAGTCCAAAAGTTCGTAACAGGGAAAAAACAGGGGCCTATGAGAATTTACAGAGAAACTCTGAACTCCTCTCTACCATGCCAAACCTCACCAAGTATCATTCAAGCACACTTCCTCATTAACCGTCTCCTGATTCCCTCGGCCCAGAGATATCTCTTTGTTCTGAATTTCCATGACCCTCTGTTCTTCCTCAAAGACTCTTACAGACTACACTGCAGTATAACTATATTACGTAATGTTATTATCTGATTACCTCTTTAAGACCATAAAACAAACACCTCAAAGGCCAGGCCTCAATTTTGTTTTGTTTTTACAGGGTCTCACTTTGTAGCCCTGTAGGCTGGAGTGCAGTGGTGCGATTGCGGTTCAGTGCAAACTCAATCTCCCAGGCTCAAGCCATCCTCCCGCCTCAGCCTCCCAAGTAGATGGGACTACAGGAGTGTGCCATCATGCTCGGCTATTTTTTTTTAAATTTTTTATAGAAACGAGTCTCACTATATTGCCCAGGCTGGTCTCAAATTCCTGGACTCAAATAATCCTGCCCTGGCCTCCCAAAGTGCTGGAATTACAGGTGTGAGCTACTGAGCCTGGCTGGACCTGTTTTACTTCTAAGTCTCTGAGAACACATTTATGAGGCTATAGCATAAACAAGCAATGGGACCAATGTGTCATCTGCTCTCTTCCCTGGATCTATGCCCTCTCTGAAGCCTCCCTCCATGGCTCCCACCCTGCCTTCCTGATGAAAAAGCACCAACTTGGCTGGGCACAGTGGCTCACACCTATAATCCCAGCACTTTGAGAGGCCTAGGTAGGAGGACTGCTTGAGCTTAGGAGTTCGAGATTAGCCTGGGCAACACCGTGAAACCCCATCTCCACAAAAAACAGACAAAATTAGCCAGGCATGGTGGGGTGTGCCTCTGGTTCCAGTTACTTGGGATGCTGAGGTAGGAGGATCACTTGAGCCTGGGGGATTGAGGCTACAGTGACCTGAGATCATGCCACTGCACTCTGGCCTGGAGGATAGAGCAAGACCCTGTCTCAAAAACAAACAAACAAATAAATAAAGCACCAACTTGGTCTCTTGGCACTGTCCTCTTTCCCAATACCTAAGGCTGGATGTACAACTGGCTGCAGGGTAAGCTCAGATCAAAAAGCCTCAAAAAAGTTTCAAAGCCAACTCAGAAACTCCATGTGCACCCCATCCTCCCCTGTCCCCACGTTCTCTTGATGAAAGCATCCCTGCTTGTGCGGGCACACGAAAGAAAACTTGGGTGTCATTTTGAACTGCTCCATCTTTTTGACTTCCACATAAATAATCAGTCACTAAATCCTGCTAATTCTAGCTAAACCTGCTTTTCACCTTCATCTCCTCTATGACTGATGTTTGCTAAACCTAATTATGGGAAAGGATTAACGCATTTAGGGTTGAGAAGGGAACTGGGTTTCAGACAGACATTGAGTAATACCCCTTGATACCCAGTCTGGCCAGACCTCTCCTCATGCTGTAATTCTCAAATGCAACCATACCTCATCTCTGCAAATTGAAGACTACAATATTCACATTATCATCAAAGCTCGCTGCATGATCAGGCTGTGGCTATCTTTTCTACAATCTCCCAGCAATGCCAGACTCATTCAAACATTGGGAGAGGCTTGCAAGGTTAAAACATGTTAGCTTTGGAGAGCGATGGCTCACGTGCTTGATTCAGCTGCTCTGAGGAAAATGGCATTTTTATTGTTATGTTAATAAAATTAACACAATCTGGCTGGGGATTTTCAATTAACCCCAAAACTCTAACCAACAGCCCAGCAAAAGCTATGCCATGGCAGGCCTTGTTACTCACCACGAGGCTGACTTTGCCTCTGTGGAGGTAGAGGTGGCCATCTACTGTGCAGTCATCCTCATTCTCTTCATTTAGGTTTTCTTTTCCGGTATCACTTCTTTCTCCCTAGCTGTGACCGTTCCTCTATCCCCCAATCCAGTGAATCTGGACGTGGTAGGTTTCAGTGTTTTCAGTCACAACTGCCACTTGGTTAGTTTTCACTCAGCATGGAAAGTTCCACTTCCCTTCCTTGCAGGTTCTTCAGTTTCATGTATATTTCCATGCCTCTTACAACTCAGGGAGAAACTATAACAGAGAATCCTAGCAGAAAAGTCAAATCCATTCCTCTGGTTTCCTAAGTATCACTGTGGCTGTCTGCAGAACCACCTCTTCAAGCTCCTCTCCAGGAAAGCCAAAAGTGGGAGATGCATGCTAGAGCTGGTGTTCTAAAGAAATTTCTAGCTTGTCTAGTTCAAACCCATCCTGAAGACTCTTATTAAACGTTTTGAAGTTTCCAGTTCAAACATCAGTGCCTTGGCTCTGAAATAAACACAAGGAATAGATATTTCAGCAACTCGTGAGAGAGCATGTGACCCAGCAGGATTAAACGAATGGTATATTTCAAAAGAGCTTTCTGTGAGGGTGACAATCATGCTTCAAAATCAAAGAGGGAGGCTTGCAGAGACTTCAGAGTAAGGGCTTTAGTTTCTCGAACAGTTAAGGGAAACACACCACAAGCTTCACGGAAGATAAAATCAAATGACAGGGTGAAAATGCTCTAGGTGTGGACAGCTATACAAATAAACCAGTTGCTGTGGTAATAATGGAACCCAAATTAAGGAACTGTCATCTTGACAGTCCAAAAGTAACCTGAACATGCAGAATTCCAGAGCAGGGCAAATTTCTAAAAAATGAAGAGAACTTTATCAAATGGCTTTCAAACTTCCACAAGAGAAAGACAGCTCAGTGTATCACGGAATTTCAGAGTCGGAAGGAACCCTGGCATCGTTTACTCTACTCTCCTGCACTCTTTTCCAAAAATTACCTTGGCTGTCTCTGCTTTACACCCTCCAGAGATGCGTGGTTCACTATGTTACATTTCTCCTTCCAACAAACTAAAATCTGCGTTCCAGATTTTACATCTGCCTCCCACTCGCTAGTCTGGATAACGCTCTGCAGGAAAACACAAAACAAGGTCTAATTCTTCCATGTGACAACCTCTTGGTCACTTCAAAACTATTGTCTAATTCTTACTGTCACTTTCTCCAAGCTTAATGCTTTAGCAACATGGTCTCAAATGTTTGCTCACCATTCTGCAATCTGTGGGTACACAATACAGTTTGTTAAAAGTCTCTAGAGACGACCCCCATTGAATATTTGACGGCCTGTAAAATCTCTATCTCTTCTCAGCTCTAGATATTTTGGATTGGGCCTCCACAGGACCACACTCATTGTATTCTATGGAGCATATTTGGGTGCCTGTGGAGGGGGTATCTCTGTTACTGGAACCAAGGACAGCAGCCTAAAACTCCCCATCCCTTGTTCCCAGAGGACTGGGCCCTACACTACCGAGGTCCTCTCTTATCTCTGAAAGGTCCAGAAGAGACCAATAATGGCCCTGGAGTAGGAAGAGACGTCGGAACATGAGCAGAAAAGGATCTGGTAGCCTGGGAAGTAATAGTAACAACGCGGGGCTGGGGCTGGTGATACTGCTGTGGGAAGGGGCCTCAGTGGGGCAGCAGGGCTGGAAAACGGACGCTAATGGCTGGAAAAGGGCCAGGAAGCTGCTGGGCGCAGCCCCCGGGGCGCAGGCAGCGACTGGTAACAGCACTAGGGCTGTGCGGTGTCTGGCCCCAGCTCTACGGGACTGGGAAATGGTGGGCGAACGCCTAAGGATTAGGCGGGGTCGGGTCACGCTCTAAGCTGGGGGCCCGCCCCTCGGTATCCCCGCGCTCCGAGCGCCGCCCACCCACCGGAGTAGCCAGGCATCCCAGTGCTCGGGGTTCGGGACTCTGGACCAGAAATGTGGGCAGCAGCTGGGTACCTGCGACTTCTGCCCCGTACCTGCGCGCGCGGCAGAGAGGCCTTAGGTCACGCGCCGCCCCGCCTACCTCCCCCTCCAGCTCCTGGCAAGCCGGCGCGCGGCGATGACGTGCCGAGTGCGCCGCACGCCGCTGACGTCAGAGACCAATGGCTGCGGCCGCAGCTGCGGCGCTGGAATCCTGGCAGGCGGCGGCTCCGCGGAAGAGGCGCTCCGCGGCTCGACGGCCGCGGCGGAGGGAGGCGGCGCCCCGGGGGAGAGAGGCGGCGCCCCGGGGGAGAGAGGCGGCGCCCCGGGGCCCCGAGGCGGAGTTCGAGTCTGACAGCGGAGTCGTGCTTCGTCGCATCTGGGAGGCTGAGTGAGTGCAGGCTCGGCCCTGATGGAATCTTTGCGCCCATGGGCAATTCTGAGCCACAGTCTCCCCATCTGTAGAGTGGAGATATAATGCACACCCTTTAAGGAGTTATTGTGAAGAGTTAACGTAGGTAACGAGCTCATTAAAGATGTGGATTATAGTAAGCGCTCAGTTAAAGGTCGTCTTTCCTTTTATTACGGTTACAGCTGCGTGACCTTGGACAATTTATAATCTCTGTGCCTCAGTTTTCTCATCTGTGAGATGGGGATGAAAATAGTACATACGTAGGTTTGTTTTGAGGATTCAATGAATTAGTAAACGGAAACCATTTTCTGGCACGTGGTAAGCACTGTGCCAGTGTTTGCTATTAATATTATGCCGATGTTGATATTATTGGTGGTGGTGACACGAGGGAAGCAACATGAACACGTGACTGCTATCATCAGGCAGCTGCTATGTGCCTGACATTAGCTTAATCATTCTACACACTTTATGTTAAACATTGCAGGCATACTAGGACCCTGGTAGCTCACTGATTCTCAAAGAGACAAAGAAAATGTGTGGAACCAGATTTCAAACCCAGGTCTTTGTGACAAAAACCAGTGCTTCCAGCTTTCCATTATGCTTGTTGCTTATCCCAGCCCAGATTCTCACATACCTTGCTCTGTACCTTAGAAAGTACATAGAGAGTGCCTAATACAGAGGAAACACTCAATAAATGTTACTTATTATTGTTATTTAGTATTATTATCTTTATTCGCAGTTTTGTTTAGGCTCAATAAATAACAGCTTTAGTTAGCACTTAAGATCAGCATCCGAAGGGCCGTCACAAGGGGAGAAATTAGATTAATTTTGTGTGCTCCTCTCCCCTAGAATTAGGGTCAAGAGGCAGTAATGTCCCAGAGTTTACCTCTGAAGAGAAAGTTGCTGACCATTTGGCTCAGCCTGAATAAAAAGCACCTGCGATTATTTTTAAGCTCTCAGAGGATGCCAGTGAGAGTGAATGTGCCTAGGGGTTTGGAAAACTCAAGGCATTTTTCATATCCCTTGACACTGTCACGATCTCCTCAACTGCTTCAGTATTCCCCAGGAGCTCCTTGCTTCTCCCAACACCCAAGTGTGGTGCAATCACCATCGCTCTGAGTAGAGATTGAGCCAGCATTTTACACGCATATCTGTGTACGCATTTACCAGTTCATAAAGCATTCCTGTGTACATCAGAACTCTCTACCCTCTGTGAGAAACGTGCAGCAGCCTCTGGGCCGACTTTCAATTCTCTGTACTCCTTTCTGAACCCCATAATCACTGTCTCTGGCTGTGGCTTGTCAGTTTAAATCCAGTTCATTTTAATTCACTGTTGACTTTCTTTTGCTCTGGGTCTGTAAAACCAGTTGACTTGAATAAAGAAAGCCCAGACACTTGGTTTTGTCTCTTTACTTTCCCCTTAAAACTATTTATAATAACAAATACCATTTGTTGAGTACCTGCTATGTGCCAGACACTGGGCTAAGAATGTTAACCCATTTTATGCCTCTAAACTCCTCCGTGTTGGGAATGATTTTTATCCCCATTTTAGAGATGAGGAAACTAAAGCTCAGAAAGGCTAATTCTGAGCACTTAACAACCATTTATTGAGCTGCAATTCTATGCTAGGCTCTGTTGTAGACTGAGAATAGACCCAGATCTCTCTCTGGGAATCAAGGACCTCCTCCAGCATACTCTCTCCTGCAGTCTCTGAGCCCCAGCAGTATGTGCTCTGGCTCTGGACATATTCAACATATATCCCCCTCCTATCACTTGGTAAGGGTGGGCCCTGCATTGCAGGGCACCTCATTCTGTAAGCATTCAGGTCATGATCAGGAAAGTTACTGTTGGGGCAGCCCTGAGATGGGTGGGACATGACTGTGCCATTTTTTTTCTCAACAGGAAGGACCTGTTTATCTCTGATTTCTGGAGTTCAGCACTAGGTGGGTACCACTTGGCCAATGGTAGGGATTGTGGGGCAGAAAAGAGAATCAGTCCTCATTTGAGGACATTTTGCTTCACAGAGGGATAACTTGCTGGGTTCTAACGCCGCCCGCCCCTTACAGCTGTATGTCTTTTGGCACTTAATTCTGATCCTCAGTTTCTTTATCTGTGAAATGGAGATAATGTGTATATCCTATAGTTTTGAGAATTGAAGCTGTTTAGTTAAATGCTTGCCTGCTGTATACAAGGCAATAAATGTTGTCATTATTATTGCTGAAATTTATATTTATCCTGTTCCTTTTCCATGATATTACAATGTAGCCTTTTCCTCGTGCAGTGATAATCTCTTCCTAAACATAGTGTGTGGGTGGCGACATAATATTTATGCATGGAGTGGACATACCATAGGTATCATTTTTATTGTGGGACATTTAGTTTTCTTCTGTTGTTTTTCAGTTATTATTTTAGGACAGTGTCTTACTCTTCGCCTAGGCTGGAGTACAATGATGCAATCATAGTTCACTGCAACCTGTACCTCCTGAGCTCAAGTGATCCTCCCACCTACAGCTTCCCAAAGCGCTGGGATTATAGGCATGAGCCACCACAACCAGCCTTTTTAAGTTATTATACATAATTTTGCAATGAGTAACTTTATGCATAAAGCTTTTACCAAACTTAGGATGATCTTCTTAGGATATATTCCCAGAAGTAGAATTAAATGAAAGGCGGTGACCAACTTGATATCTATTGTCAAGTTATCCAGAAAATTTTCACCAATTCTTTTATCAAAATTGACCTGAAGAGCCAGTTTTTCCTGGCTTGGGGTCTTGTTTAAAGATGTCTTTGCTGCTTTTTTTTTTTTTTTTTTTTCTTTTGAGACGGAGTCTCACTGTGTCACCCAGGCTGGAGTGTAGGGGTGTGATCTCTGCTCACTGCAATTTCCACCTCCTGGGTTCAAACAATCCTCCTGCCTCAGTCTCCTGAGTAGCTGGGACTACAGGTGTGTGCCACTACCCCTGGCTAATTTTTGTATTTTTGTAGAGATGGGGTTTCACCATGTTGGCCAGACTGGTCTCGAACTCCTGACCTCAAGTGATCTGCCCACCTCGGTCTCCCAAGGTACTGGGATTACAGGTGTGAGCCACCATGCCTGGCCCTTTGCTGGTATCTTAAGTGAAAAGTTGGTATCTTATTGGAATGCACGGCTTTTTTTGTTTTGCTAAATTCAGTACCAGTACAATAAAAGGAGAGACAAGAGAACCTACCTCTACATGAGAAGACTTAAACAGAGTATAACTTTATTTTATTTTTTTGAGATGGAGTCTTGCTCTGTTGCCCAGGCTGGAATGCAGCGGTGTGATCTCGGCTAACTGCAACCTCCACCTCCCTGGTTCAAGTGATTCTTCTGCTTCAGCCTCCCAAGTAGCTGGGACTACAGCTGTGCGCCAGTACGCCTGACTAATTTTTTGTATTTTTAGTAGAGATGGGGTTTTGCCATGTTGGCCAGGCTGGTCTTGAATTCCTGACCTCAGGCGATCCACTCACCTAGGCCTCCCAAAGTGCTAGGATTACAGGCGTGAGCACCTGGTTTGTTACAACTTTAAAAGTACGCATTTCAGAGCATAGTCTACATTTACTAGGAGGGTCTTGTTAAATTAGAATGAGTTCACATTAGAGTTTTAGATGGAAACTGCCCTTGAGTGAAACCCAATTTCTGCTTGCAACATGCTCTTGGGTTTTGGGAGTCCAGGGGCCGGGACAGTTTGTCAATTGGTGGTGAATGTGACTGTATGTCCAGGCATGTTTGGGAATGAGGCTGGCAGCTTCTCTCTCTCTCTGAAGAATTGAAACCTTTTACTGCCCTGATCTCTTTCTCCCCAAATATGTGAACTTCTTTTGTGGATGATTTGGTTCACAGGGTCAGAACATGCCCTCTAACTGCATTTGGGGGCCTGCTCTTTCAGAAACCATCAATAGATGTCTCACAAAACATCTGGAACAACTGAAGGCCCCTGTGGGGACTCTTTCAGACATCTTTGGAAACCTGCATCTTGACTCATTGCCAGAGGAGTCAGATGTGGCCACTGATTCTATCCCAAGAGAGATCTTGGTCACAGGAACCTGCCATTTGAAGTGTGTGTGTTACGGCATTGGGAACTTTGCCACCTGCATCGTAGCTAGAAACCAGCTAACGTTTTTGCTGCTTTTGTTGGAAAAGTGCCAGGTACATTTTTGGATTCATTTTCATCTCCTCCTCCTCTGGTCCTATACATGGGTGCACACAGATGTTTGGGTTGAAGTAAACAACTCATTCTTCCCTTCTAGATTCCCAGAAGTCACTGTTGGGTATATGACCCTCTGTTTAGCCAACTTGAAATTGAAGTCCTTAACACCCTTGGTGTGACTGTTCTCAGTGAGAACGAGGTAAGTGGTTTAAAGGGGAGCAGACAGAACTGTAAAAATCCTGACCAGACTCACCCCAGGCCCTGCCTGTGGACACCAGCATTCTTTGCAGTGGCAGCCATTCCTCTCTTACCGCCTGCTCACTTTTGTAGTGCCTGAACGATGTAACCAGCCAATCAGTTACCTACATTTTGGCTTGTGTTGTGCCCATCAGAAAAAAATTACACAGATAGCATGAACCAGAACATGTTAGGTCTGCACCACTTTTTTGAGAATTATTTGTCTGGAAATTATGCTAACTTGGTATTTGCTGTTGCTACTGAAACATAAAAGTCTAGGTGCCTCAAGTGAGGTCTTTGTGGTTGGATTTTATCCTGTCCCAGGGAGGTAATAAAAGGGGATGCAGCATTCCTCTTTGATGCTATAACCCAGTCAAACCCATAGCACCTGGCTGTGAGTTGTGGATTAATTCTCTGCCCATGTTTGCACCCCCCAAAATAGCTGGGATTTGACATTTCTGAGACCTGTGGAATAAAGAAATGCATCCCTAAAGCACAGGGCCAAAGCCAGTATGAGCAAATCCCTCCGATTTCGGTTTTGTATTGTCTTGGGGATTAGAATCTTTTGATTCCTGTGTGTGTGCTGAAACTGCCATCTTATTGCTTATTATGTATGAAAATTTGGCTCAGTTGAGAGAAGAGTCATTCCCTGATATTGGCAAGGTCCTAAAACACTGTCACTCAGTTCAGATCATCTTTCTGGGTGCCTGTTCTGTGCTAGGCAGGGAGCTTTGGGGAGACCAAGAAAAATGGGAGCCAGTCCCTGTGTTCAGGGAGCCCATGGTCAACAAGTGAATGAGGAATGAAATACTGAGGCAGAACCTTGTACTACGACAGGTGTTCGGAGGGATGGAGGAAGGATTCCTGGGTCTGAGCTGGGCTTTGAAGGTCTACCAGGAGTTTGCTAGTGGGACAGAACCAGGATTGAAGGTAGCTGTGCAGTGCTGGCTGTTCAGGAAACCACTGCCAGTTTGTTATTAACACAAGGGAAGCTGCAAGGAGAGGAGAGGCAGGCCAGAGGTGGGCAAGGGTCAGACAAAGGGCCTTATGTTCCCTGCTGGAGTTTGGCCAGAGAGCAGTGGTTCTCAGGAGGGGTGATTGTGCCTCAGGGACATTGGAAGAGGACTTAGTTATGCAGATCTGCAGGAAGTGACATAGGAAGTGTGGATTACTGAACACAGGGGAAATACATGGGGTAAGTAACATCACTATCCCTCCTGTTCTTGCCGTCATAGACCCAGGAAGCCCCTCCATCAGTGCAGGGCTTTGTGTTCATGAGAACACAATGTGTACATTTGTTAAGTAAACATGAGTTCTTTCGGGACATCATGATTTCCTGACTCTTTAGTCCTGTAACTATAGATTTCATATACGAGTGTAACTGTTCCACAAAATGAGCTTTTTTCCTTTTGATCCTTTAGTTTGTCTCATGATTATCCCCATCCTTACCTCTCCCTCACCTTGCTGTAAAGAATAGGTTGTGGGCATGTTTACACCTGTGAATATCGTATCCCCAGGAAGGGAAACGGAGTATTCGCGGGGAGCCTACCATCTTTTACATGCTCCATTGTGGGACGGCCTTGTACAACAATCTTTTATGGAGTAACTGGTCAGTAGATGCCCTTTCTAAGATGGTCATCATTGGGAACAGTTTCAAAGGACTTGAGGAGAGGTAAGTCTGAGAATGCTGAGATTCTGTCAGGCCCTGAGGTGAAGCCCATACCTCAGATTGACCCACATGCAGAAAACATTTCCTTGACGATTCCATACTGGGGAAATGCTTTTCCACAGGGAACTGGATGAAGGCTTAAAGACAGATGTCAAATCCTGATTCGAACTATGAAGCAAGTTAAGGAGTCTTTTTGCCACGAATTCCTCCCTTCCATTATGATACACAGAAATGGTTTTGAAAACAGGGAAAAGCTATTTGATTCCTCTGCCTACAGCTCCACGTCCTCATTCTGTTTCACGTGCTTAGGAGTCTGCTCAGTCATTTCTCTTGATGAAATGGGCACAATTACTGGAATATTTGCTTTTTTTTTTTTTTTTTTTTTTGAGATGGAGTCTCACTCTGTCCCCCCGGCTGGAGTGCAGTGGTATGATCTCAGCTCACTGCAACCTCTGTCTCCTGGGTTCAAGCGATACTCCTACCTCAGCCTAATGAGTAGCTGGGATTACAGATGCACACCAGGACGCCCGGCTGATTTTTTTATTTTTAGTAGAGATGGGGTTTTACCATGTTGGCCATGCTGGTCTTGAACTCCTGACCTCAAATGATCCGCCCGCCTCAGTCTCCTGAAGTGCTGGGATTACCTGCGCCTGGCCCACATTTTCAACTATTTAACTGGTTTACTCCACATCTTGAGTTTTTTCCTGAATTCTTACTATGCTTCAATCATCTTGCCCTTCTATGTGTCTTAAAAGTTGAATGAAACTATCCTCATACCTCCTAATCATGGTGTTTTTTTTTTGTTTTTTTGGTTTTTTTTAATTTCTAGGTTGTTGGCAAGGATTCTGCAGAAAAATTATCCCTACATTGCAAAGGTATCTATCTGAATAAAGGGGCTGGGATGGAAAAGGGTGTGAAACTGTGAAGAATTCTATCTTTCTTTACAGGCGTAGGAGGAAACTCATGGGCTAAGTGGCGCTAGTGTACTGTCAGCTCTCTCCATGGGTCTGTGTTCCAGAAAGCTATGACTCTTTAATGCATCTCTTAGTTTTTTCCTTATTTCCTTTATTCTTAGTATCACAGTCCATGATATCCACTGTCCTTGGGGCGCCCAATTCATTGTGCAAAAGCATTTAAATCAAAATACCCTATTTGTTATTTTTTTAAAAAGTAAAGTGGGGATGACAAGTAAAGTGGAAATTTATCCCAGAAGAGTGGGGATTACTGTGACTATCTGAAGTTTTTATACTTGAATTTTTCTGCTCAGATTTTAAAAGGACTGGAGGAGCTTGAGTTTCCTCAGACTTCACAATACATGGACATATTTAATGATACCTCTGTCCACTGGTTCCCTGTGCAAAAGCTAGAACAGCTCTCCATAGATATTTGGGAGTTTCGGGAAGAACCAGATTATCAGGACTGTGAGGACCTTGAAATCATCAGGAACAAGAGAGAAGATCCTTCTGCTACTGACTGAACTCGTTGTGAGGTACTCAGTGTTGGCTGAGGTAGAAGCTGCCACCAGAGACTAAAGGGAAGGCTGCTATGGAGGAACTACAGAGAACTCCTTTGCCAGGAAAGAACATCAACTTGGCTGTCCTGTTTTGAGGACGATACCCCACATGAGGACTTGGTATAAAGATTCCTGCCCTACGTGGCATTGTCCCATTTTACATCCTTCCCTCATGACCTGGCCTGATGTGGAGTAGCTCCTGAGTAAAGAAGTTACCCTTTTGAAGGTGATCTAAAAATACTGTTTATTTACAGTACATCCCTCTTAGGGGCAAGTCTCTGACTGGTTCTGGACCTGCCACAGTTCACTTGGCCATGTCGATCAGGCTCTGCAGTGAGGTGGGCACCCACGTCTTCTCGCCCTGGACAAAGACCACTCCCCGGTCGATGTAGATCACAATGCGGCCAAAGGTGTAGAGCTGCTTCCCTTCGTGTCGCTTCCCAATGACGGGCATGAAGACAATGTTGTGCTCCTCAGCCTTGGTCTCAATGAGGTCCTTAAAGTTCATGGGCACAGAGCTAGCGGCCACGCCAATGCCCCTCTGAGCCATGTTCTCAGCCTCCCGCCTCTCCTGCATGGCCTCGTACTGGAAGTCCTTCCTCCGCTCCGTGTGGGTGAGATAGGCAATGTTCTCCCGTGCTCCTGGCTGCATGTAGGCACCTAAGATACAGGAGGACAGGGCGGTGAGGAGAGGTGTTTCCAGGTGTATGGAAGTTGACACTGTGGCTTGGCCCAGGTCTTGGGTGTGCCAGAGTGCTTGTGACTCACTGAAGGGCAGCTCTGCCTCAAAGATACAACTTTGGAGGAAGTTTAGACGACTGGCCAGTATCACATAAAAACTGTTCAGAAGGTTCCTGGCTAGTATCTAGTAACCAGATTATTAATATTCAACATTTTAAAATGAAGTATCTGCAAGGGATTTCTTCCTTCAGAGCTGGAAACATTAACAGAGAGTCCTCAGCCACTCTTCTGTTCCCACCTTGCTCTGTAGAGTTTCCATTTCCCACCACCAAAGAGGCAGCTTTTAGTACCTTGAAAACATAGGGCCCATACTGGCTTTATTTTTAACCTACCCACACAGGGCCCCCATCCTGAAAGAAGTTCACATATATTTAGGGAGCTGAAATGAGTGTTTAAAGGATAATACCAAGACCATAAATGCTAAGTGCTAATTGAGGGGTATATTCAGGGAACAGTTTTGGAAACATGAGGCCAAGGGTAGCTAAGGAAGAGTTTTTAGAAAAAACTTGATAATTACAGAAGCAGAGAAGTATATTTGCCTTATTACTTAATCTCTGTTTTCACAGAATAGGCTATTTTTCTTTTTTTTTTTTTGAGACCGAGTCTCGCTCTTGTCACCTAGGCTGGAGTGCAGTGCTTGCAATCTCGGCTCACTACAACCTCTGCCTCCCAGGTTTAAGCGATTCTTCTGCCTCAGCCTCCTAAGTAGCTGGCATTACAGGCATGTGCCACCGCGCCCGGCTAATTTTTGCATTTTTAGTAGAGACGGGGTTTCACCATGTTGGTCAGGCTGGTCTCGAACTCCTGACCTCGTGATCTACCCGCCTCGGCCTCCCAAAGTGCTAGGATTACAGGCGTGAGCCACCGTGCCTGGCCTAGGCTATTAAATAACAAGAATTAAAGACTCAGGAAATAGAAATTCCAGTTCTAACTGCCACCCTTTAACTATGTGACCTTGAACAGGCTCTCAGCCTCGCTGGGCTTATCTGTAAAACACAGACTAGACGATCCCATTTCAATGCTGCGAATCGGCTAATGAGCAACACTGGAGCACAGGACTGGTTGAAATAGGCTCCCAAATGTAGAAACATAAATATACTCTCACTTACTTATGATCTAGGCAGAATGACTTACCTAGAACTTGGGAACAGATATAGTACACGAACAGTGAACTGCCTGTTTTTGACAACACAGACACCACCTATTGAAGGCTATACACAAGCATGAACTCACTCTCCCTTTTAGCCTATAAAGTAGATCTTACTGTTTAACAGGTAAAATGGGGCTGATTAAGGCTGAGCAATCACCAAGTGTCAGACCGCGTGCCAAACTCCACACTGTAAGATGCGTCACCTAAGCAGCATGCTCAGGCATGAATGAGCCTTAAAAGGCCACACAGCACAGTGGTTAAGAGGGCGGGGCCTGGGGTTAGACTGACATCATCTGAATCCAGCTTAAGTCAGTCTCCACTCAGGGAAGATGCCCCTCTCAGTCATGGTAGACCTGGGCAGTGGGTGCCAGCTGACCATGTACCCCAGTCAGCAGGGTGAGAGTCTGTTGCTATGTGCAAAAGTGTGACCTAAGGTTTAGGCTGCCTACAGGAACCAGAAAACTCTGATTCTGTGTCATTTACATGTGTAAAATCTGAAACTTGGGGCCAGGACATCCAAAATGGGAATCCTCACTTACCAACGTTGGAGGACACCGCCCGGTTCATGATATCAAGTGCCTCATTAAATTTGTCCTTGACAGATGGATGTGCCAGCACTTGGTCTGAGAACATCGACTTCCAACCCAGGTACCACTTGGTGATCTCCTCATAATTTGGGCTGTTACTGAGCCAAGAGCACAGCACCTGCCAAAAAGAAAAATTACTTGCATCCATCGTGGCAACAAATGAAGGCAAGATTTCTGAAGTGGCCATTTGTTTTGTTTTGATCCTGGTCCTACAGGCTAGTGACACTACTTTACAGGGATTTATAGTAGCTAAACAGTCTAGCACTTATGAATATGGATTTTGGAGTCAGCCTGGTAGCTAAAGTGCCCTTGCATGTAAACTCTCTGAGCCTCAGCTTCCATGTCTACACAACAGGGATACCATATCCCCTACCCCATAGGGTTGCTGAGAGGAGCTGAGATAAAGCAAATAAAGTGCTTGGAACAGCTTCTGATACATGGCAAATGTCCAATAAATGGTGCCCACTATGAAGATGACCTAACTCATTCCTACCCTACCATGTAATTTATTTTCATTATGGAATTGTACCTACAGTCAGGCCTTGGCAGAAAATTAACTTAATCCCCACCCAGTTCCCTCCCCCAGAAATCCAAGCAAAACAAAGTGTACCTGAAGCCACTTGGGGAAGAAGTGCTTTTCAAGAAGTCCCACCAGGCTAGAGACAGAGATCATCCCTTCCCAGTCAATCACCCAATAGAATGCATCCATGTGCTGCTGGTGGGGGTTAATGACTAGCTCACCAAGACACATCCCTGGAAGAGAAACCCGGTCTGTAAGGCACAGCTTTAGTACTGGCAAAGCCAAAGAAGCACAAAGAGCAAAGACAATGTCCGTTTTCATCTCAGCTTACAGCAACCTCCGCCTCCCGGGTTCAAGTGACTCTTGTGCCTCAGCCTCCCGAGTAGCTGGGAGTACAGGTGTGCACCACCGTGGCCAACTAATTTTTGTGTTTTTATTAGAGACAGCGTTTTGGCATGTTGCCCAGGCTGGTCTCAAACTCCTGGTCTCAGGTGATCTGCCCACCTCAGCCTCCCAAAGGGCTGGGATTACAGGCATAAGTCACAACTCCTGGCTTTTTTTTTTTTTTTTTTTTTTTTTTTTTTTTTTTGTTGAGACAGGGTCTCACTGTTGCCCAGGCTGAAGTGCAATGGCAGATCTTGGCTCACTGCAACCTCTGCCTCCGAGGTTCAAGCCATCCTCCCGCCTCAGCCTCCCTAGTAGCTGGGACGACAGGCGCCCGCCACCACACCTGGCTGGTTTGTATTTTTGGTAGAGATGGGGTTTCACCATGTTGCTCAGGCTGTAATCTGCTTTTAAAGGTCAAATTTAAGCTCCCGACATAGCGATTCTTAAAATATATATGTGTATATATATACACATATATATATGTGTGTGTGTGTATACATATATACATATATATGTGTGTATATACATATATGTGTATATACATGTGTATATATACATGTATATGCATGTGTGTATATATATACATATATGTGTGTGTGTGTGTGTGTATGTATATATATTTTTTTTGCTAACCTGGAAATAACTCCCTAATAATTTAGAGTAAAATACCACAAAAATTTTAGAACTCCAATGGCTGTCCTATTACCAGAAGCCAAAACCAATCGGGAAAACCACAAGGCACAGAGTCCGATATTGTCACTGTCGACTATTAGTGACTGTTGTAAATAAACAGCGGAAAGGACCCAAGTTACATTTATGTTCAGCCTCTGAACAAAATGTTACCTTTTTCACAGCAAGGAATATTGTGTACTAAGCACTTTCATGAACATAAAGGCGATGCTTTAAATCATCACTGCTAACCACAGAAACCAGGGCACCAAAGCTGCTGGGCTTGGAATGCATTTCCCCTTATCCTTACCCAGCTTGGGCACTATGTTTTTGACCATGAATGCTTCCCAGGAGCCAGGAGTGAAGACATCCTTCCAGGGCTGGAGGATGAGCTTGGCAGAGGAGTCGCTGGGGTGCCACTTCTGCAGGGCGCTGGACAGCTTACTACGGATGGGGGAATAGAGTGGCTCCAGCCGTGCCTGCATAAGGGGCAGCCATGGGTGGATCCAAGAGTGGATGGGAACAGTGTCTGTGAGCGGGTTCCAGTTTTCCACCTGCGAAGTGGGGAGGAGAAACAGTTCATGTCGCCTGTGGGGCAGTCACATAACACCCCTGTGTGGCTAAAGGCAAGAGCTGCCCCTGGAGGAGGCCCTGTGCTCTCTGAGGCCCACAGTCCTTTGTACATTGCCAAACAAATATGCCCATCCATTTGATTACATCTCAGAAACAGCACAATTCTAATTTTAGTGACAAAATCAAGAAAATGAATTCCCTCCTGAGGGTGGCTTGGGGGAAAAAGTGCTGAGAAAAAGGCTGGAATTAACACTATAGGTCAATAGTTGTGTTGACAAATTCCGTTAATTCCAGGCGTTTTAACAGCACTGAGATAATGAAGCCACAGACTGAACAAGTCCCTGTGATTAGTGATGACGACTGTTTCCCATGACTCTCATCCCACCTCCTTTTGCAGCTTGGGGAAGATGAGTTGGTCCAGTATGTTATCTAAGATCCACACAGGAATAATGTGCACCCAACTATCCAAAAAGTCCACCATCGGGTCACAGTTCCTTGGCTGCCACTGGGTGACAATATTTCGAACAAAAGGCATCCAGACTTCCCATATCAACCTATGGGAGAAAGGCAGAGGACAGGCTGGTTAATTACACTGACTGGTTTCAAAGTACACCACCACCACCTGCCTCTCTAGAATCAGGAATAAAAATGCAACAGCATGGAAATCCAATCAGAGGAAACCATCAGGCCAGTCACCATACTGGCCAGACTGAGCCTGCCTCTTCCTTGTTCTCTTGACTCTCCTCTCAATCTGAGGCCTCAGTCTCCTAGGTAGTGCCCATCCACCTGGCAGAGCTGCTTTAGGGTCACAAGGGCCTCTTCCCAGGTATCAAGTGCTTTCCCACCTATAGGCTTCTATTCATGAGCTGATGCCTCTCACCCTCTTATCACAATTTCAACGTCACCTCCCCTAAGACCTCTGTGCCAACCCCCGTTCCAAGTAGGTTGCTCCTGCAGTTCTCTATCGCTGTACCTGGTGTGCATCCTGCCTTTATTTGTTCACTACCTTACTTCCCATCTGCTTTTTTTGCTGTACTGTAGACAGAGGCTGTCTGCTGTGCTCCTAGGGTAAGCCCAGCACCTAGCACAAGCATGATACGCAACAGACATTTGACAAGTGTCAGCTGAATTCATGGCCAAATGTAATTGTACAACCACTATGGAAAACAGTGTGGAGATTCCTTAGAGAACTAAAAGTACAACTACCATTTGATCCAGCAATCCCACTACTGGGTATCTACCCAGAGGAAAAGAAGTCATGGCTGGGCACGGAGGCTCACGCCTGTAATTCCAGCACTCTGGGAGGCCAAGGCAGGCGGATCACGAGGTCAAGAGATCGAGACCATCCTGGCCAACATGGTGAAACCCTGTCTCTACTAAAAATACAAAAATTAGCTGGGCATGGTGGCGAGCGCCTGTAGTCCCAGCTACTCGAGAGGCTGAGGCAGGAGAATCGCTTGAACCCGGGAGGCAGAGGTTGCAGTGAGCCGAGATCGTGCCACTGCACTCCAGCCTGGCGACAAAGCAAGACTTCATCTCAAAAAAAAAAAAAAAAAAAAGTCATATACGAGAAAGATACTTGCTCACACAAATTTACAGCAGCACAATTCGCAGTTGCAAATATGTGGAACCAACCCAAATGCCCACCAATCAACAAGTGGATAAAGAAACTGTGGTATAAATATAATGGAATATGACTCAGCCATAAAAAGGAATGAAATAATGGCATTCGCAGCAAGTTGGTTGGAATTGGAGACTATTATTCTAAGTGAAGTAACTCAAGAATGGAAAACCAAACATCTTATGTTCTCACTTATAAGTGGAAGCTAAGTTATGAGGATGCAAAGGCATAAGAATGACACAATGGACTTTGGGGACTCGGGGAAAGGATGGGAAGGGGGTGAGGGATAAAAGACTACAAATTGAACCAGGCACGGTGGCTCACGCCTGGAATCCCAGCATTTTTTTGGAGGCCAAGGCGGGTGGATCACGAGGTCAGGAGATTGAGATCATTCTGGCCAACATGGTGAAACCCTGTCTCTACTAAAAATACAAAAATTAGCTGGGCGTGGTGGCGTGTGCCTGTGATCCCAGCTACTTGGGAGGCTGAGGCAGGAGAATCGCTTGAACCAGGCAGTTGGCGGTTGCAGTGAGCTGCGATCACGCCACTGCACTCCAGCCTGGTGACAGAGTGAGACTCCATCTCAAAAAAAAAAAAAAAAAAAAGACTACAAATTGGATTCAATGTATACTTCTCAGGAGATGGGTACACCAAAATCTCACAAATCACCACTAAAGAACTTACTCATGTAACCAAATACTACCTGTTCCCCAAACCCTATGGAAATAAAACATTTCAAAAAAATTAAAAAAAAAAAATTCATAGCCAAATGAATTTAAATTCCTAAAGCACTGTCAGCATGAGCAGAGAATTAATCAAGGCCAGCACTGCTGCCTTCCCCCACCTTCAGCAATCCTTCCCAACCCCCCAGGAGAAAGGAGCTGGGGTACAGAGCCCTGCTCTGTGGTGTACCTGTGAAAGGCATCTGCTGAGAGGTCCTGTCCGCCATGGGACAAGAGCTGGTCATTCTCTAGGAGGCTTTTCCACTTAGAGATGATCTCGGTGCCATAAGTGCAGTCCTGAGGAGAAAGGTGAGCAGTTGAGGGGCAGCGGGCTCTCCAGCCCTCCCTGCCCATTGAACCAACTCATCAAGCAAGGGTAAGCCCAACCGAGAGGCAGGGATAGGTTGATTTTCCCAGCAACTCACTTTGAGGGGATCCCACTCCTTGAAGTACTCCTTCATGAGTGGATAGACGATGGCCACAGCAAGGTCCACACGGTCGGACATCCTGTACTCCTCATAGTACTTGTCCTGCAGGGTTTCGAAGATGCGGGCACACTCGTCCAGGGTGAGGGGGTTGCTGCAGTCGGGCTGCATCCGCCGCTCGCACTCCTCCACCATCTCCAGGACCTTGCTGAGGTTCGAGATGACCCGCTCCTCGTGGTCCAGGACCTCGGTCATCTTCTCCAGCTCGTGGAAGAGGTTGACCACCATGTCCCGCTCATACTGTAGCTGCCGGTCATTCTGGATGATCTCCTGCTCCGTGAGGTCGATGAGCAGCTGCAGGTTGTGCTCCAGCTCGGGCAGCGCGAAGCCGGGGGCCTTGGCCTCTTTGCCAGACTGTGGCAGCTGTTGGGACTGTAGCGGCAGCCCATCATCGGGAACGTTGTGCTTGTGGCTGATCTGACTGTAGCTGTAGTAGACCTTCTGCTCCCGGCCTGTCATGTCTATGACCTTGGAAAACATAGAGGGATGAAGGTTAACACCGCTGCAGCCCTGTTAAACACACAGCTAAGCCCAGGGGAAGGCCCCATGACAGGGGAAGTGTGTAGAAACCACATTATTCAACAGAGCTGGAGAAGGGCAGTGTTGTAAAGTGGGAACCATACTGTCCTAGCCTAAAGGAGACTCCAGGGACAAAATCAGATGCAGCAAGCAGTTCTAGGTTGGATCACTGTGAACAAGCCAGATGGAGAAGACTTTTTAGGGAAACATGAAATTTAAATAGGGACTGAGTATTAGTAGATGTGAAAATTTATTTTAATGGAAAGGTAGAAGCTGTACTGATCAAAGAAGGTAACATACAATCAGAATATCACATTTTGATTTAAAAAATGCACATAAGCATAGAAAAAGATCTAGGATGTATAACAAGATGTTAACATTTGGTAATCTTGGAAGGATGGAAAATATTTTCTACATTTTTGCCTATTTCCTAATTTTCTAAAATGTACTACACACTGCTGTGTAATAACAAAGTTTTTTTAAATTTAATTTATTTATTTATTTTGAGACAGAATCTCGCTCTGTTGCCCAGGCTGGAATGCAGTGGCACGATCTCAGCTCACTGCAAGCTCCGCCTCCTGGGTTTAAGCCATTCTCCTGCCTCAGCCTCCCAAGTAGCTGGGACTACAGGCGCCCGTCACTACACTTGGCTAATTTTTTGTATTTTTAGTAGGGATGGGGTTTCACTGTGTTAGCCAGGAAGGTCTCAATCTCCTGACCTTGTGATCCGCCTGCCTCAGCCTCCCAAAATGCTGGGATTACAGGCATGAGCCACTGCGCCCAGCCTTTTAATTTTAAAACAAAATAAAATATACAAAAGGCTAACTGAACAAAGGCAACCTAGACAATGAGCTAATTCCAATATTTTAGGAAAACAGGAAATGTGAATACGGACTACACTTCTGAAACAGAATGATTCATCACCACTTTTTAAGTAAGAGTGTGATCCATGAACCACCAGCTTTAGACTCACTGGAGGAAAAAAAAAAAAAGAGTCCTGAGGTTCAGTCTAGACTCAATTCCTGGGAGGCACCTAGACACTCTTATTTCTTATCAGGTCGTCCAGATAACAGCACGTTTGAGAACCCCACTAAAGGCTTTCTTTGAGGTCTATGACACACTACATATCCTACAGCAAATGACAACAGGCAACTGTCACCACTGTTCTTTGACTACTTGGAAAAGTAACGGAAAACTTTTTTTTTTTTTTTTTTTTTTTGAGACGGAGTCTCGCTCTGTCCCCCAGGCTGGAGTGCAGTGGCACGATTTCCGCTCACTGCAAGCTCCGCCTCCTGAGTAAATGCCATTCTCCTGCCTCAGCCTCCCGAGTAGCTGGGACTACAGGCGCCCACCATCACATCCGGCTAATTTTTTGTATTTTTAGTAGAGACGGGGTTTCACCATGTTACAGGACGGTCTCGATCTCCTGACCTTGTGATCTGCCCGCCTAGGCCTCCCAAAGTGCTGGGATTACAGGCGTGAGCCACCATCCCCAGCCAAGTAATGGAAAACTTAATACACTACATGGACGTAACAGTGGCTGAAAATTTAATCTATCTTAAAAAAAGAAAATACTCAATGCTGGCTAAGGAGCCCTGGGGACTCTCTCCTGCCCTCCTGGTCAGAGAGAGTTAATACAACCTTCTGAGTATTTAAATGCCTTAAGTACTTTTGTATTCAACATGGTGATTGCACATGTACATGTCTATCCTTAAAAAATGTCTGAAACAAAGACAAAGTTTTATATACAAACTAACCAGCCAAAAACCCAAACTAAACCAGATAAAAGCTAAATGTCTAACAACGGAGGTAGGATCAAATAATACAGCACAGCCACTCTCTGGAATTACGTGCTCATTATAAACACTTTGCACTGAGTTTTTAATAACAAGAATGTTATTAAATTCACTGATGTAAGCTCCAGAAACACAGGAACATCATTTGGTTTACCAGTGTAGTGCCGTGAAGAGTGCCTAGCAGAGAAGGAACTTGGTAACTATTACTAAATATGGGAGTGTAATGAATAGGAACATGATATTAATACTATGTGAGCATGTTCCTATTCATTACACTCCTATAAATAAGTGAGAAAAGCAAGGTACCAAAAAAAAAAAAAAAAAAAAAAGCCTAGCTAAAAGATCCAAAAAACCCTCGAACATGTTCAGTGATTATTTCTGGGGTGTGGATCCTGTACCAGGTGTCCAAGGGCCCCTGTACCTTGACTTGAGAAAGTTCCTTCTGGGGAGCAGTGAGCTTCTTGCTAATCCTGCCCTTGGCCTTCAACTCTTCCACGGTCTTGTAAGAGTATTTGGGCTTCTTCTTGCTTCCACTTGGGTCTTTCCTCCACTGGCTCAGCTCCTTCTGAAACTCCTGAACCAGAAGAATACAGTCAGATGCAGCAAGGAACAACCACTTTTTACCACAGGTGAGGTAGCTGAGACCATTAGCAGATGTCACCATTCACTGTCTTAGATTTATTTACAAGCTCTATATGAAGGAAGGAAAGGATGCACCTGCAAGACACCAAAACTATCTAATGATACTCCTTGACCCCATTCGCCCTCTTACAAATAATGAGGTTCAGAAGGCAGGTACACCAGATGGGAGGGAGAAACAAAAATAAAGATAAACGAAACAACATTTATTGAGCATCTACTATGGGCAGGCACTATACTACTTTTAAATGTACCTCATGTAAAACTTAGAAATGCAATGTAAAGGATTTTTTAAGCACACAAAACCTTGTTTCTAACTTTAAAATGAAGATAAATAAGCAGGCCCTAACTCTCAAAGCAAAGGTGTCTCTTACAATCAGGGTCTGCAAAACCTTTCTAGAGGAGGAGCTAAGGCAAGCTTGTCCAACCCGCAGCCCAGGACGGCTCTGAATACGGCCTGTTTACGAACACAAATTTGTAAACTTTCTTAGTGTGACGGTAGTAAAGTCCAGCCCACAGAAGTTGGTTTTGGGGTTGTCACTATGTTTTTCTCATACTGGTTAAGACTTGTCATTTTTTCTCTAAAAGTATCTAGACATCTGGCTACTTTGGGAAAATCAGAGGATCAGGCAATACTGAGCCCACATCCTCATAAGCAACAATCACCTAGAGCTGAATAAAGATTTACCTTCTAGACAGACTACAGCCTCACCTCTGTGCCACAGTCCCCACCACTCTTTATTGTCTAGCACCTGGCTCATCTTACTTGCTTCTGTGGTGTGCCTGGCACCTGTAGGCTTCTGAGAACACCTGACTCACAGTGGTCAATCCCACATTTATCAAATAACTCTTTCATGAAAAGGTCAGTGACATGAAGAGTAACATGTCTCTTTGCAGCATCCTGCTTTCCCCCATAAATTCAAACAGGAAAAGAGTAATACTTCAATCAAGAGAGCTGGCCCTTTCTATCACTGGGGAAAAGGGACACACAGCTGCCAGCAGATGGCTCCCTGCTGCACTTGGGATGAAACCTGAGCACCTAAAAATGGCTGTCATGGCTGTCTTGTGGACCACCCACCCCTCTGAATGCACTTCCTTCCCCTCTGCTTTGTGTACCGCCCTCCCACCGCAAGGGCTTCCTTTATGGTTTCTTAACCACCAAGCTCAGAGCCTCTCAGTGTCCTCTGGCTTGTCAGCTCACCCTTCTGCCAAGTCTCAACTGAAATGTTTCCTTTCCCAAAAGGTTTCCCTGACCAGCCTATTTATAAAAGTAGGTCAACACCACCTCCCAACCCCCAGCCTTATTTTCTGTCTAGGCAGCTCCTGGCACCTTCTGCCATTTCAACTGCCACTTCCACACCACAGCTGCTTGTTTACTCTCTGTCCACCCTAGCCCTCTCATCATGGTGCACCTAGCCTTCAGCCCAGTACCTGGCATACGGTACATGTACAATAAACATCTGAGGACTAACAGAATGAAGGGATAAATGAACAGCCATTAGAAATGGACAGGACACCATCCACCCATGTCTCCTGACTTCCAGTTACCTCTTCAGCTTCTTCCTCTGAGTCAACCACAGGGAAGTCTTGCATGGACTGAGTGGTGCGCTCGGATCCATAAGCCCCCACAGCACCTTTTCCCTTTCTCTGCTTGGCTTCAATTGGGTTAATGATACCTGAGGAATTTCAGCAAAAAAAAAAGAGAGTCTTACGATCACAGCAATTCATGTATGTGAATCAGCCACTCAGTGAAATGACAGTTTCTTGCTCCTTCCACAAAATAACATGCTACTCAGGAAGGAGAGCTATTCTCTGCCCTCAGAACACTACTCTTGTCCCTTGTGATTTGAAACTTATGAGCATTTATGCTACCACAGAACAGTCTGCTGACTAGTTTATTTATATCCCAAATAGATTTCCATTTCCACTTGGATTGTTTAGTGGACAGGAAGAAAACAGAACACTACATTTATAACTGAGAACTCCAGCACACTAAATTCTATGCTTCACTTCTTTGGGAGCCTCTATTAGGGAAAATGCAATAATTCCAATACTATACTGATTCTGACTGAAGTGAAGCTGCAATTTAATATAAGACTCCTCACATATTTTACTTAGGAGTTCCTATCTCCTGTGTTTAACTTTTTTATAACAAGTTTAAGCCCTGGAAATAAACGTTGTTTTTCTCATAAAAGAGTTTACGAATAGGACCACAACATTTCAATGAAGACGTTCCCCTGACTCCAAATTTTCCATCCCTGCCCCCCTTCCATTTAGTTCCACTGAAGTCTTAAATAAGAGCTATCCCTGGGCCAGATGTGGTGGCTATGCTTGTAATCCTAGCACTTTGGGAGGCCAAGGTCTTGAACCAGCCTGGGCAACATAGTAAGACCCCATCTACAAAAAAAGAAAAAATTAGCCAGGCACAGCAGAGTGTGCCTGTGGTCCCAGCTACTTGGCAGGGTTGAGCCCAGGAGGTTGAGGCTGCAGTGAGCTATGATCATGCCATGCCATTGCACTCTACCCTAGGTAACAGAGTGAGACTTTGTATCAAAAAAAAGCAAAAAAACTGTCCCCTCATTCTCATTCAGTGTATCTTTACTCAAGTTCATGTATTTTTCATGTACCTAATGTTTTCAACACATAACCTGGATTTCACTTTAATAATTATTTAGAGGCCAGGCGCAGTGGCTCACACCTATAATCCCAGCACTTTGGGAGGCCGAGGAGGATGGATCACTTGAGGTCAGGAGTTCGAGACCAGCCTGGCCAACACAGTAAAACCCTGTCTCTACCAAAAATACAAAAATTAGCTGGGCGTGGTGGCGGGTGCCTGTAATCCCTGCTACTCGGGAGGCTGAGGCAGGAGAATCACTTGAACCCAGGAGGTGGAAGTTGCAGATGAGTTGAGATCGTGCCACTGCACTCCAGTCTGGGTGACAAGAGTGAAATTCTGTCTCAAAAAATAATAATGTTATTATTATTATTTAGAGACTGGAATTTGAATATGTAGGATACATTTGATTATATCTACTTGGCAATCATGCATAGGAAATAGCTCAAGAAGAGGGGGAAATGTTCCTGTAGGAAGAATCCAACTGTTTGGTTTGAGAGGCTTTGGTCTCAAGAAGGTAAGAGTGTGACAGGGGCTGTGTCTCAATGGGGCTGGCCATGAGAAGACAGGAGGAGACTGGGCTACTAGAGGAAGATGGAAGTAACCAATGCAGGATTTGCTCAGCCAGTTTTATAGCCATATGGCTCTAGCTATTACAAAAACTATGCACGATGTTTTACTGATATTCCTGAAGGACAAATAGGGTTATTTCCACAAAATTAAAACCCTTGTGAGTAGGGATGGCAAACTCAAATGACTCTGGGACCAAGAAAAGTTCCTGTGGGTTGGGGTGGAAGACAACAGGGGGTAATGGAGACTGCCTCCAAGAGAAGGCCATGTCCATCGTCCCAGGAGCAGTTCTCACTTGCCTCAACTAACTACTGCCAGGCAAAATCTAGAATTTTAGGTGAAATTGTCTGTTTTTTAAATATTAGCAACTAATTCATTTTTGTTTTTATTTATTCTATTTATTTATTTATTTATTTATTTATTTATTTATTTATTCAGGGATGGAGTCTCGCTCTGTTGCCCAGGCTGGAGTGATCTCGGCTCACTGCAACCCCCACTTCCTGGGTTCAAGCGATTCTCCTGCCTCAGCCTCCTGAGTAGCTGGGATTACAGGCACATGCCTCCACACCCAACTGATTTTTGTATTTTTAGTAGAGACGGGGTTTCACCATGTTCATCAGGCTGGTCTTGAACTCCTGACCTCAAGCGATCCACCACCCGCCTTGGCCTCCCAAAGTGCTGGGATTACAGGTATGAGCCACCACACCCAGCCTCATTTTTGTTTTTAGAAGCACTGGTCAGGACCAGAAAAAAAGCCTGTTTTCAACCTGTTTGCAGCCTGTTTTAGACCCTAACCCTTTCCTTGCTGTTGAAACAATTACTTATTTAACTTGAGCTTTGATAAAGCAAGGTAGCTTAGGAACGCAAATGTCTTGTGCTGGCAAACCAGGCTGGAGAGATAAAGTGCTTTTAAAAGGGAAAAGCAAACCTCCTCTCCCAACGCCCCTCTCCTTCCCTATGCCTGCCCTCCTCCATCATGCAAGACGACAAAGGTGCAATACCTTGTGCATTCTTCCCGAGGCCCCGTCCAGGGACGTAGCCCATCTTCTGAAGAAGCTTCTGTCCAATTCCTTTTGTGTGTCTTTCCCAGCTGCCGAAGTCCATGAAAGATTTGGTTCCTCCTGCAAAACCTTTCTGGCTGGGCTTAAAATTGCCACCCTGCAAAAAAGAAAAATCAAAGCTTAGTTAATGGAAAAACAAAATGAAGAAAAATCTAAGAAAGCTTGGCCAACAGGAAAATGGCCTAAGTTATACAGCACTATGAAAAGTGTCATATGAACCAAAAATGTGTGTGATAACGTGTCAGGAAGGAAGAGACTGCACTACACACTTCACAACTCACAGAAACCTGCCACCAAAAGGAGACACTCACGAAATTCATTCCAGATGAGTTTCTCCCTGGCTAGAAAATGCTTGGGCCACAATGACCTTTGAAGGATATTCCTAGGGTCACAATCCTGCAATAGAGACTACCGTTTTTAGCTTCCTTGGTCCAAAATCCTTAGGAAAGTCGTCCTGCTTAACAGGTTTCTCTTCGTCATCAGAATCTTCCAACTCTGCCTCCTCCGCTGCCCCTTTCTTGAGCCCTGCGCTGATGAAGTTGACTGGCGCAGAGTAGTCACGGGCCCTGTAGGCACAGAAACAAAGCCCCACCAGGTCGGTAAAGAACTCTTTTCTCTGCAGCGATCCTTTTGCAGAAACTACGTGCTTGAAGACTCCTTAGAGTGAATCTCATGGGAGGTTTTTTAAAAAAGTAACACATTTTTTAATGTGTCAAAAAATCCAAAGGACCCCAGATTTGGCTTCCTGTAGTCACATTTAACATTTTACCTGACATATCCCTCTACGGCTGAAGAGTTATCACATCAATGTAGGGTTGATTACAAATTCAAAATATGATGTGATAATACAATTTTCCTACATTTTAAAAAATTAATTTATCATAAAAAGCAATTGTTTTGAAAACTATTTCAAGTACAAAAATCCAACAGGAGCAGAAATTTTGATGGAAAATCATAAATAAAACCCATTGAAAGATTATATGAATGTAAAGCATGTAACAATTATATTAATCAAACTTAGAAAAAGCTCCTAGCCATTAAATTTATTTGAATGTGAAAATTTCCAGCCAGGGCAACATGGTGAGACTTCGTCTCTATAAAAAAAAAATAAATAAAAATTAGCCAGGCATGGTTGTGCAAGCCTGTGGTCCTAACTACATGGGAAGCTGAGATGGGAGGATTGCTTGAGCCCAGGAAGTTGAAGCTGCGGTGAACTATAATCATGTCACTGCACCCCAGCCTGGGCAAAAGAGTGAGACCTTATCTCCAAAAAAAAAAAAAAAAGAAAAGAAAATTACACTAAAGTCCCCTAAGAAATAAGAAATTAACTCTATAAAATGAAATATATTGATTTAAACTCTGACTGCTTCAAGTACTTACATTAAGCCATTAACCTCAGGTCTTTTTTGTATAAAATAAAATTGATATATTTGTACTGTGTGGTTTAAAAAAGAAAAAATTACAATAAAAAACCCTGGAGCCAGGTACAGCGGCTCATGCCCATAATCTCAGCACTTTGGGAGGCTTGAGGCCAGGAGTTCAAGACCAGCTGGGCCAACATAGCAAAATCCTATCTCTAATAAAAATACAAAAAACTAGCTGAGTGTGGTGGCACACGCCTGTAATCCCACGCCACTCAGGAGGCTGACGCATGAGAAACGCTTGAACCCAGGAGACAGAGGGTGCAGTGAGCTAAGGTCACGCCACTGCACACTCCAGCTTGGGTAATAGAGACTGTGTTTCAAAGAAAAAAAGAAAACCTGGGAATACAGCAAATAAAGGGATGCCTTGTAAAATGACCAACCTAGTAATTCAACACCCTCAGGGCAACAACAGAATTTAGGGAGTTTTTTCCTAAAATTGTAATATAACTTAGTGATTTAGATCCCAAACTCTAGAGTCAGATAGGTCCAGGTTCCAATTCTAGCTTAGCCTCTGCCTAGTTGTATGACCATTAGCCTCAGTCTCTTAATCTGTAAAATGGGGACAATAATGGTACCTTTCTCATAAGGAAAATTAATCCAGGTTTATGAAATAGCCAGGACAAGTAAGCAGCCAAGAGATGTTAGCTATTATTATTATCTTATGATTATGCAATTCTTGTTCCCTGATCTATTTGTCATCCACTTTCAGACTTCCTTGTGGATGAGAAGTTTGGACTAATCTCTATACTCTTTCTCCCCCAGCCTCCTTTGAAAAAGGCACATTCTCAGCTGGGTGTGGTGGCTCACGCCTGTAATCCCAGCACTTTCGGAGGCCGAGGCAGGCGGATGACAAGGTCAAGAGATCCTGGCCAACATGGTGAAACCCCGTCTCTACTAAAAATACAAAAATTAGCTGGGTGTGATGGCACATGCCTGTAGTCCCAGCTACTCGGGAGGCTGAGGCAGGAGAATCACTTGAATCCAGGAGGCAGAGGTTGCAGTGAGCCAAGATTGCACCACTGTACTCCAGCCTGGCGACAGAGCAAGACTTCATCTCAAAAAAAAAAAAAAGAAAAAGAAAAAGGCACACTCTCAATAGGATAGAGCCTAGAGGCCACAGGTGAGGCCATGGAGGAAAAAACCCCCAACCTGGCACACCCTGGTTGAGTGAGGTTCAGCCAGGGCACACATAACCTTGTGCTGGGGAGAAGACGTGCAGCCTGAATCCTCATTGCCCACCACTATCCTAGACCAGTCCTCCACTACCTGTGCAGGGACCACTGGCTTGGCCTCCTCACAGTCTTCCACTGTGGCTCCATGCCTATTGAGCACACCAGCAAAAGGGTCTTCTCAAAACATAACCCAGCCCCACATCACACCCTCTCTATCACACACACTATGCTACCCTTCCCCCTCTCTGCTCCAGCCCCCAAGCCTTTCATATCCTTGTGGATACCGTGATGCTTCCCATCAAGGGCCTTTGCATATTGGGACCTCTTCTACCACCCTAGTTACCTTCTACTGTCAGTCATATCAGCTTAAGGGTCACTTTTCTCCACAGAAATCTTCCTTGACCTCTCAGAATAGATGAAATGCCCTAAAATGTGTTCTCCCTCATGTCCTCATGTCCCTCATGTCCTGCATCACAGTCACAAGTTTGATCGTCTGAGTTGTTAATGCCTATTTCCATCTTCTAATGTCTGGGCTCTAGGAAGGCAAGAATGGGTCTATAGCACAGGCCTAATACATAGCAATCGCTCAATAAACACTGATAATTAAATCAGTGAGGCCAGGCGTGGTGGCTCACGCCTGTAATCCCAGCACTTTGGGAGGCTGAGGTGGGTGGATCACTTGAGGTCAGGAGTTCAAGACCAGCCTGGCCAACATGGCAAAACCCCGTCTCTACTAATAATACAAACATTAGCTGGAGGTGGTGGCGTTTGCTTGTAATCCCACCTACTCGGGAGGCTGAGGCACGGGAATCACTTAAACCTGGAAGGTGGAGGTTGCAGCTAGCCAAGAGCACGTCACTGCACTCCAACCTGGGCAACAAAGTGAAACCGTGTCTCAAAAAAAATAATAATAAATAGAATAAATCAGTGAAAGAGCAGCACTCTAGCCTAAAGAGGAAACCAGACCTCTCGAGATGATGTCACAGCTAACAGTCTCAACAAGGCCAGGTGAGAAGTATACTTATCAGGGTATCTCCTCCACTCCCTGTCCATCTTCCCCCTCTTCCCTAAAGCAAGGTGAAGCAGCCCCCATGCCAGGCAATACCGTTTGCCTCCAAAGCTGGGCCTCTCATCATCCGAGTCTCGCTCTGCCCACACCCCGTAGGTGGCTTCTTCCTTGGTCTGCCAGTGGCGCTGTCGGTTGGGGTTGAACTCATTCTGGAGATCCCAGTCAGTGATCTCAAAGTTCTCCCGCTCGTCATCATCATCATCAATGCGGCCTTCCCCATCCCGGTATAAGTGGGACAATGACATGGCCAGTCACTAAAGGAAGAGACAAAAAGAGCACAGGCCGTAAGTCCTGGGGGCAGCAGTCGAAGGATTCCTTGTGAGTCTCTATTCCTTGCTGCTTTCAGAACTTTCTCCAAATTCAAAGTCCATTAAAGTCAGCATTACTATTCAATAAAAAAGATATTAAAAACCTACTTTTAGATAACAATCAGTACTAAAACAGGTGAACAAAATACTACTCCTAACAGTCTATGATTCTTTAAAAGTACATATCTCCTTGTCCTAGTCAATATCATAAATATCACACATATTCACACATACACAAACCACACAAAAATAACTAAGTAGGTTATTTTGTACATTATTACCTTAGAAAATGAGTAGGTATCTTCTTAGATCCCAGATTCTTTTTTCTATTACTGAGGAAAGAATTATATCTGGATCCTTGGTGGTCCTAGGAGAGTGATTTTTTTTAGAATATGCTTTTTGAAATACATTACTTGATGAAACAAAATTTTCAGTTTTCCTCACAAAACATGAATTTCTTCTGATGAACTGAAAGACTGTAGTAATTATGAACACTATTTTAATAGTCAGATGTCCAGAGATTGATATAGAGAATCTACCTCACAGTAGCTGGGTGACCAGATTCAGTTGTCTTTCTTAAATTGGGATTAACTACCATACCAACCTTAGAGAAGGCTTACAAAGCAAATTCAATGAGTTCAAAATAAGTGCTCAAGAAACGATAGCTTCTACTTTAGTCCCATGATTAGGTTAATCATTGTATTAGTCAGGGTTCTCTAGAGCGACATAACTAATGGAATAGACATACATATATAAAGGGGAGCTTATTAACTATTAACTCACACGATCAAAAGGTCCCACAATAGGCTGTCTGCAGGCTGAGGAGCAAGGAGAGCCAGTCAAGTTCCAAAGCTGAAGAACTTGAAGTCCAATGTTCGAGGGCAGGAAGCATCCAGCACAGGAGAAAGATATAGGCTGGGAGGCTAGGCCAGTCTCTCTTTTCACATTTTTCTGCCTGCTTATATTCTTGCCGTGCTGGCAGCTGATTAGATTATGCCCACACAGATTGAATTGAGGGTGGGTCTGCCTTTCCCCACCCACAGACTCAAATGTTAATCTCCTTTGGCAACACCCACATAGTCACACCCAGGATCAATACTTCGTATCCTTCAATCCAATCAAGTTGACACTCAGTATTTACCATCACAATCATCATTATTATTATGGGACTAGGGAGTAAACTTAGCAAAGTGACTGTAAAATCAGGCAGGCTAAAATCGAAGCCTGAGTTCAAATTCAACTCTATCAGATACCCAGTGTATGAGAATTAAATATGCACGTGAAGCGCCAAGCATGGTGCACTACACAATAATACACTCCATAGGTGACAGCAATTGTGATTCTTGTCTTGCTGAAAGCGGCCTTAAGGCACACGGAGTTCACTACTTCCACAGGCAGTGTCAAACTCTGGTCACCTCTGGCAAAACGTTATCTCTGCCTTCTTCTACTCACTGGTGCACCGGTTGGGTGCAACGGGTCCCAACCTCTTCCAGGAGTGTTTAGGACAGAAGGATTTTCAGAAAAGACGGGGAATCTCAAATACATAAAGTTAAATAATACCACTGCCTGCGTGGGCATAGTAAATGGTAATAAGCCCCGAGTAGTCACAAGTTATGAAGCCTTTATCAGTAGATGCTAGGTACATGCTGGTCGCTTGAGACCGATTATCAACTGTCTGCATCAAGACACTTCTGCAAGGTAGGTACCGTTAGTTTTCATGCTTCAGATAAGAAAAAGGAGGTTCAGAGAAGTTAGTAACTTACCCTAGGTTCCACTGCTCATAGGGCTCAAACTCAGGAGTGCTAGAAGTCAGGCCTCGGGCTTGTCTCTCTCTTGCTGTCTAGGTTTGGTGAAGGAAGCTCAGGTTCTTAAATGAATCCAAGCCCTAAATCCCAGTTGACCCCAAGCAGCACCGCCCCTCTCCGTGCCTCGGCAGAGCTGTCTACGAAATGGATTCCCCTCCCCACACCCCAACGGCTTGGACCGAAGCTCGCCTTCCCTGAGCCTTCGTCCCTACTCTCACTGGCGCTGAGTCCCCTTGTGGCCAGCCGTGCTCACCTGTCCGAGGGTCCAGCGTACCAAATTCAGCTTCACCATCCGCGCGAGAAGACGCCGCTCCTACACCAGAACCCGGAAGCACCGTGGCCGGCGCGCCGGAAATGACGTTAGTCGACAGCGGATGTCCTGCTGGCTGCCAGGGCAGCGTGGGACGCTACGGCGGATATGGCTGCAGAGCGGCCGGCTGGGATCTTAGATAGGAGGGGTGGATTTGCAAGGCCTAGAATAGCTGGGGAGTGGTTTCCCCGCGGAATCGGCCTCCCTGCCGCTCCTGCTTTGTACTGTGACGCTCAGCCTGTGATGACTGGTGTGGAATCCGCTGAGCCACCTTGGCCTAAGGAGACTTTACCACTCTGAGATTGTAAATCTGTAAAATAGAGATGTAGGATTAGCCCATACGGTAGTTGTGGTAAATACTGTGAGACAATAAGGGGCCTGGGACACAGCATTCAAATGGGAATAATGAAGGTCAAGACTGTGATTCCTGTATCTTTGACGCTCTCGGTATAAGCACCGTCGTGGGCACAGGGCAGTGGCCTTTATGCAGGAGTTTAAGAGGGAATGAAGGAATGAATGGGCAAACTCTGGAGTTCCCAAGTATTCTCTCCAGGAGCTGTTTCCATTCTTTTCGTTTCCAGCAGGTTGGTAAATTCATTAATTTATTCATTGATCTAATTAAAATATACTAAGTGCCCCTCACCTGTGCTAGGCCAATGTGATACAATGAGCAGAACAGTCATGGGCCCTCCCTGGGAAGCCCTCACTAGCCCAAGGACTCCTTGTAGACATTTAAGTGTCCACAGGCTCTGGAGTTCCAACCTTGAGTGCAATTTAGCAGCTGTGGACCTTGGGCAAGTCATTACATCTAAGCCTGTTTTCTCTTCTGCAAAATGGTTAAGGATTCAATAAGATAAAACTGTAGGCAATGAAAACCGTACCTGGTAACAGTAGGTGCTGAAGAAGTGTTAGCTATTAATTTTTGCTTAATTTTTCTCTCTCTGCTCTATGTGATGAAAAGATTCAAGAGGCAATTGTTGGAATGTAAAAAGAGCACGGGACTTGGAGTCAAATACTTAAGTCTACCATCAAGTAGTTGTTAAGAATTAAACAACAATTTTTGTGTACCCAGTTAAATGTGGGCTGCTTAGGAATGATGACTGTGTCTTAATGATCTCTGTATTCTTAGTGACATGTAGAATCATTGTGCCTGACACATAGTATGTACTCAGGAAAGAAATGGAAAATGTGGTTTTAGCATTGAAGGCCGGGAGAGAGGGTCTAACAGACTACAAGCCCTGCCAGGAGCAGAGTAAGGGAAACAGAGGAGAAAAGTGTTTTTAGTCTGTGCCTGAATGTATTTACATCTGTTTGTAGCCCAAAAGCCAAAAGCATACATACGCTTGGCTTTTCTGTAGCTATGTTTATGGCTTTACAGCAGATTTTATGGAGCTGCAATTACTTTGATCATGAGGGACTGATGCTAGTGGATTTACTTCACCAAATGGAACTCACTTTGTGGCTTCTGAAGAAGGGACCTTTGTGGACTGTCATGGAGTAGTTAAGAGTGCAGGCTCTGATTTAGTGATCAGAGTCTGCATTGTCAGGAATGGGACAAAGTGAAGTTATGTGGCACTTGATAGGATGCCCTGAGAAGATTGCAACATCACCCCTGTGATATTCCTGCTGAAGATCCATAACCTGGATGTAATCATGAGGATATATCAGACAAACCCACGTAAAGAGACATGCTGTATACAAAACTGTAATCTTAGAAAGTGCCAAGGTCATGAAAATCAAAGATAGACCCTGGAACTGTTCCAAACTGGAGGGGACCAAAGAGGCATGACAACTAAACACAACACATGATTCTGAACTGGATCTTTTTGCTTGAAAGGAAGTTACAGGGACAGTTGGAAAAGTTTAAATGGGGCCTACAATGCCGTGGTAATGATGTGTCCGTGTTAATTTCCTGATTTTCATGGTTGCCTGTTAAGTTACATCAGAGGATGTTCTTGTTTGCTGGAAAGTAAATCAATGTATTTGGCAGGGGATAAGGCATCAAATGGTCACCTTAATTTCAAATTATTACAGGGAAAATGTTTCTCTCTGTACTTAATAACTTTTTTGCAATTTCTTAAAATGAAAGCTCTGGAGTAAAAACTTCAAGGATCCAAATCTCGACTTTGCTACTTCTTAGGTATGGGCCCGAGGGCAGGTTGCTTCACCTCTCTACACCTCAATTTTTCCATCTGTAGATTGGGGATAGTGACAGTACTGATCTAAGAGAGTTGTTTAGAGAAAAACAAAAACAGAAAGTGATAATTAGTGCATGTAAAGCTCCTGGCATGGTAAGAGCTTTCTAAAGGATTGTGGCTATATTCTTATTTATTTATTTATTTATTTATTGAGACAGAGTCTCACTCTGTCGCCCAGGCTAGAGTGCAGCAGCACAATCTTCGCTCATTTGCAACCTCTACCTCCCAGATTCAAGTGATTCTCATGCCTCAGCCTCCCGAGTAGCTGTCATTACAGGCGCAGCTGTAGTGATTCTCATGCCTCAGCCTCTCGAGTAGCTGGCGTTACGCCGCCACGCCCAGCTAATTTTTGTTTTTTTATTTGTTTTAATTTTTTTTTCCCCCAGACAGAGTCTCACTGTGTCACCCAGGCTGGAGTGCAGTGGCACGATCTCAGCTCACTGCAACATATGCTTCCTGGGTTCAAGCAATTCTCCTGTCTCAGCCTCCTGAGTAGCTGGGATTACAGGTGTGCGCCACCACGCCTGGCTACTTTTTGTATTTTTATTAGAGATGGGGTTTCAACATGTTGGCCAAGCTGGTTTCGAACTCCTGACCTCGTGATCCACCTGCCTTGGCCTCCCAAAGTGCTGGGATTACAGGCGTGAGCCACTGCGCCAGCCTTCATTTTTAAAAACCCAATGTCATACCCCTTTCAGTCTCAAAAATCCATGGTTTTTCAGGATTTCTGGGATCAAATGCCCAGCCTTTGAAAAACAAGGAAAAGTTTTACAAGGCAACCAGAGCTTTAGGTTCAAGGTCTCATATCTATCGTGATCTCCTGTCATTTCCTAGAGGGGAAAAAAAAAAACAAAAACATTGCTTTGAGATTTGGGAACATCCACACTCATTTCTACATTCCCAATGAGGTGCTCAGACATGTGGCCTTCGCAGAAGGGGTTGCCAAAGCAACAAGGCTCCTTGGGCAGAAGGAGTCTGGCAGGGCCCTCCAGCACTCATGGGTCTATACCTCTCTTTTCGCAGCTGAGGCGGTGGGGGAGCCCCTGGCAGAGTGGAGGTGCCAGCACCACACAGTGAGTTTAAGGACAGGGCCAGGCCTGAAACCCAGGAGCTCAAACTCCCAGGCAGGTGCTTTCTTTGCAAAACCATGCATGGGGTCCCACATCATGATTCCTGTGTGTTCAGGGCCACAGAGCCAAACTCTGCAGACATCATCTCTTTGATTCTTCAGCCTTCTAAGGTAGTTTGTTATAACCCCAGAGTCCACATTCCTAACCTCTTATTTCTACAGCCTATGCCATACAGCACACTTTCCATATTGCCTACAAAAGATTTCGGGAAAAAAATATCGTCACTTAGTTACAACTTTAAATAGGTTGGTACCATAGAAACAATCCATAAGTGGCATTTCAAAGCTGATATATTTAAAGACTAGCACATGTACTTTTTCTAGGACAGTGACATTATACAGTTGCACATGGCTTATTCTTATTTTGCATTTTGTCCCAAAAATATATATGGTGTCCTTAACTTGGCAGAATTGAGAACCCAGATCAGCTGAGATTAGCAATTTGATTTCCCTCTAAATGTTTCTTACAGATGGTTTCTACCCTACTTATCTTTCAAGAATTCGTGAAGACTCTATCCTTATATGGAAAGCTGGAACATGAGGTTCCTTAGGCTCGGGGTGTTTATCTGGAAATTAAATATCCGCAAAACACAGTAAGGGGAGAAACCACAGCCTTCATCATTCATTTATTCATTTGTCATTAACAAATAATTAATGAGTACCTACATGTTATCTATTGCAGTATAACAATTACCTCCAAACGTAGCAGCTTGCAACACCAGTAAACATTATCTCACATAATTTCTTTTGGTAGGAATTTGAGAGTGGCTTAGCTGGGTGGTTCTGACTCAGGGTCTTTCATGGGGTTGCAGCCATCTGAAGGCTTGACCAGGGCTGGATGACCAACTTCCAAGGTGCTTCTCTCACATAGCTGGCAAACTGGTGCTGGTTGTTGGCAGGTTTCAGTTTCTTGCCATGTGAGCCTCTACACATGGTTACCAAGTGTCGTTATGACATAGTGGCTAGCTTCCCTCAAAATGAGCAAAGCAAGAGAGAGCAAGGCAGAAGCCACAAGGTCTTTTATGGCCTAGTCTTGGAGTCACACTGTCATTTCTGCAATATCTTTTTTTTTTTTTTTTTTTGAGACTGAGTTTTGCTCTGTCACCTAGGCTGTAGTACAGTGGCGTGATCTCGGCTCACTGCAACTTCTGCCTCCCAGGTTCAGGCAATTCTCCTGTCTCAGCCTCCTGAGTAGGTGGGACTACAGGCGCATGCCACCACACCCGGCTAATTTTTGTATTTTTATTAGAGACGGGGTTTCACCATATTGGTCAGGCTGGTCTTGAACTCCTGACCTCAGGCAATCCACCTGCCTCAGCCTCCCAAAGTGCTGGGATTACAGGCATGGGGCACCACGCCTGGCCCATTTTTTTATTTTCTTTATTTTTTATTTTTATTTATTTATTTATTTATTGAGATGGAGTCTCGCTCTGTCACCGGGCTGGAGTGCAGAGGCACAATCTCAGCTCACTGCAACCTCCACCTCCCAGGTTCAAGCAATTCTTCTGCCTCAGCCTCCCGAGTAGCTGGGACTACAGGTGTGCGTCACCATGCCCAGCTAATTTTTATATTTTTAGTAGAGATGGGGGTTTCACCATGTTGGCCAGGATGGTCTTGATCTCTTGACCTCGTGATGGACCCGCCTCGGCCTCCCAAAGTGCTGGGATTGCAGGGGTGAGCCACCGTGCCCGGCTGCGCCTGGCCCATTTTTGCAATATCTTATTGGTTACACATTCAGCCCTATATAGGGTTGCCAGATGTAGTAAATAAAAATACAGGATGCCCAATTAAACTTGAAGTTTAGATAAAACAATGAATAATAGTATATGTATGTCTCGTAAAATATTGCGAAATACTAAAAAATTATCTGAAATTCAAATTTAACCACCATCCTGTATGGAACCCTAACCCTATTCAGTGCACAAAGGAAAAACATGCCAAAGTGGGTGTGAATACCAGGAGGCCAGGTTCACTGGGGGCCATCTTGGAAGCTGGCTTCTACAACCTTAACATGCTGGGCATGGTAGACTATGGGGATAAATGGTAAACAATGAAAAATAATGATTCCTGTTCTCATGCAGTTTGTAGCCTGTTGAATAAAATCAACTTGAATCAACCCAGCAGGAAAATAAATACAAAACCTTAACGATTATAAAAGTGCTTCAGAGAGAAATAGCTGATGCTTGGGACAGTGATGGGGTCCTCATCAAAATAGCCACTTTTTTTTTTTTTTTTTTTTTTTTGAGACAGGGTCTTGCTCTGTCTCCCAGGCTGGAGTGCAGTGGCATAATCATAGCTCACTGCAGCCTCAACCTCCTGGGCTCAAGTAATCCTCCTGCCTCAGCCTTTCGAGTAGCTTGGACTACAGGCTGCAGTAGCCAAACTCAGCTAATTTTTTAAGATCTTTTTGTAGCGATGAGGGCTCACTATGTTGCCCAGGCTGGTCTTGAACTCCTGGCTTCAAGTGATCCACCTTGGCCTCCCAAAGTGTTGGGATTATAGGCGTGAGACACCTCACCTAGCCCACTTTTGCTTTATAGATTTGAGTTTTTACATGTGATTTGATTTGTCTCTATGGGCGTATAAGGAGTATATGGAGGGATCTGTTGCTAAAACAAGGAAATAAAACCCTGAAATGCAAGGTTTTGAATCTTAGCAAAATCCGTAAGCACACACAAATGAATGCACATAAACATGGCGAAAACTGAATAAGGTCTGTAGTCCAGTTAACAGTTTTTACTAATGCTAATTTCCTGGTTTTGCTATTGCACTACAGTTGCATCAGATATCAGCATTGGGGGAAGCCAGGTGAAGGACACATGGAACCCTTTGCACCACTTTTTCCACTTCACATGAGTCTACAATTATTTCAAAATAAAAAGTTAATAAACAACCCATTTAAAAAAAAGCAGCTGTTGTTTGGAAATGGAAACAAGGTTAGATCAAAATAATCCAGACTTGGCGGGGTGCGGTGGCTCATGCCTGTAATCCCAGCACTTTGGGAGGCCGAGGTGGGTGGATCACCTGCGGTCAGGAGTTCAAGACCAGCCTGACCAATATGGCAAAACCCCATCTCTACCAAAAATACAAAAATTAACTGGGCGTCGTGGCATGTGCCTGTAGTCCCAGCTCCTTGGGGGGCTGAGACTGGTAAGTTGCTTGAATCCAGGAGGCGGCGGTTGCAGTGACCCGAGATCTCGCCACCGCACTCCAGCCATGATAGAGCAAGACTCAGTATCAAAAAAAAAAAAAAAAAAAAAAATCCAAATTCATGAAAGGACTGGAGGAGGGCCTGATGTGGTGGAGCCAGGGATTCTGTCTGAAGAAAAAGAATTCTTTTTTTTTTTGAGATGGAGTTTCGCTCTCGTTGCCCAGGCTGGAGTGCAATGGTACAATCTCGGCTCACTGCAACCTCCACTTCCCGGGTTCAAGCCATTCTCCTGCCTCAGCCTCCCGAGTAGCTGGGATTACAGGCATGGGCCACCATGGCCAGCTAATTTTGTGTTTTTAGCAGAGATGGGGTTTCTCCATGTTGGTCAGGCTGTTCTTGAACTCCCTACCTCAGGTGATCCGCCCACCTAGGTCTCCCAAAGTGCTGGCATTACAGGTGTGAGCCACCATGCCCAGCAGGAATGGAATGCTTATTGTTAATTATCCTGAGCAGTGTGGGTTTAGAACACAGAATGAGGCCAACTTTGAGGACAGGGGTAAGAGGTGTCTTTCTGGTTCTGGGCCCAGATGTGGGGTCCGGAGAGGCCTGGAACACTTCCATTGGTAGGACCAGTTGTCTCTGGTCCCAAGGAACAGGCTGGGGAAACCCTCAAAGAAGCCTGGGTTTTTTGGTGACCTAGCCTCTTAATTTAAATAGTAGACGAAAGAAATGTTTTCATTTTCTACCCCAAAATGAAGAAAGGGAATATTCTGGTGACATTGGTGTATCCCAGAGATCTGAAAGCCATTTGCTGACCCACAATTGAGGCTGATCAATTGTTTTTTAAGGATAACTGTGGCCAATTGTTGATGGGTTTTCTGTTGTTGTTGTGGTTTGTTTTTTGTTTTTTGAGACAGGGTCTCGCTCTGTCAACCCAGGCTGGAGTGCAGGCAGTGGCACAGTCAAGGCTCACTGCAGCCTTGTCCTGCTGGGCTTAAGTGGTCCTCCCACCTCAGCCACCCAAGTAGCTGGGACTACAGGTGCTTGCCACCATGCCCAGCTAATATATTTTTTTGAGACGGAGTCTCACTCTGTCGCCCAGGCCGGAGAGCAGTGGCACCATCTCGGCTCACTGCAACCTTTGCCTCTCAGGCTCAAGTGATTCTCCTGCCTCAGCCTCCTGAATAGCTGGGATACAGGCGTGAGCCACCACGCCCGGCTAATTTTTTTGTTTTGTTTTCTTTTGAGACAGGGTCTCACTCTGTCACCCAGATTGGAGTGCAATGCCTCAATCTTGGCTCACCACCACAACCTCTGCCTCCCAGGCTCAAGCGATTCTCCTGTCTCAGCCTCCTGAGTAGCTGGGATTACAGGCGTGCGCCACTACCACCCAGCTAATTTTTTTGTATTTTTAGTAGAGAGGAGATTTCACCATGTTGGCCAGGCTGGTCCTGAACTCCTGACCTCAAGATGATCCACCCGCCTTGGTCTCCCAAAGTGCTGCGATTACAGGTGTGAGCCACCACACCCAGCTTCCCGCTAATTTTTTTTTTTTTTTTGTATTTTTAGTAGAGACGGGTTTTTACCATGTTGGCCAGGCTGATCTCAAACTCCTGACCTCAGGTGATCCGCCCGCCTCAGCCTCCCAAAGTGCTGGGATTATAGGCATGAGCCACCACACCCAGCTCGAGCTAATTTTTTAAACTTTTTGTAGAGACAAGGTCTCATTATTTTGCCCAGGCTGGTCTCGAACTCCTGGACTCTTGTGACATTTGTTCAGGGGGAAGCCAACACCATGTATGAAGTTTAACCACCCTGAGATGGCCACGTCCTGAAGAAGCCCAGTCTAGCCATGCGGAGAGACTACATGCATAAGAGGTACCCCACTAAGCCTCTAGATGCTCCAACCATCCCAGCCGAGGTACCAGACAAATGAATGAAGAAATCTTCAGCTGCCATCTGACTAGAGAACCACCAGCTCACTCTAGTTAATTCCCAAAACTGAGCGGTTTTTTTTTTTTTTTTTTTTTCAGACAGGGTTTCACTCTGTCCCCCGGGCTGGACTGCAGTGGTGTAATCACAGCTCACTGCAACCTCCACTTCCAAGGCTCAAGTGATTCTACCTCAGCCTCCCCAGTAGCTGGGACTACAGGCACAAGCCACCGTGCCTTTTTTTTTTTTTCTTTTTTTTCTAGAGACCAGGGTTTCACCATGTTGCGCAGGCTGGTCTTGAATTTCTGGGCTCAAGTGATCCTCCTGCCTTGGCCTCCCAACTTACTGGGATTACAGGCCACTGGGATTACAGTTCTAGCCACTGCACCTGGCTAGAACTGAGAGATTTAACAAGTTGTGGCCAGGCGCGGTGGCTCACGCATGTAATGCCAGCACTTTGGGAGGCCAAGGCAGGTGAATCACCTGAGGTCAGGAGTTCGAGACCAGCCTGGCCAACATGATGAAACCCCATCTTTACTAAAAATACAAAAATTAGCCAGGTGTGGTGGCGGGTGCCTGTAATCCCAGCTACTCTGGAGGCTGAGGCAGGAGAATTGCTTGAACCCAGGAGGCGGAGGTTGCAGTGAGCCAAGATCACACCATTGCACTCCAGCCTGGGCGACAAGAGTGAAACGCTCTCAAAAAAACATACAAACAAACAAAAAAACAAGTTGTTTTAAGTCACTCAGTTTGGGGCTGCTTGGTTGGGCCGCAAGAGATGAGTGGAACAATGAATGAGACTGGATGTCCTCTGCTACCCAATGACTGGCAACCATGAGCTTCCTGGGTCTGTAATTCCATCAGCTGTCCATCCCTTACCCTGGAAGGGTAGAGGATTTATTCTTTGGGTAGACATAGTTTAAGAGTTTTTTTGTTTTTGTTTTTTGTTTTCAATGAAAAATTGCCAAGCCCTTTGGAGGCCCTGATGGCTCAACCAGGTTGGTGGCTGCTAACGAGAGTGAAGATCTATATTCAGTCCATCTGGCACATGTGCAGAAGACCCTTCTCCAACCCCAGATCATGACTACAAATGGCTATCAGTTGGACAAACATACATCCTGATGAGAAGATATGGTTGGTTCATCACAACCTTTTATTTCACAATATTAATAGTAATCATTATAGCTACCATGTATTAAGCCTTCACCATGGGGCTGTTAAGTCTTCATTGCTTAGCTTTACTAAACTAGATAATGTGTTTGCTTATCTCATGGATTTCTCTTAACCATCCCCTGAGATCCCCCTATAGTTCTTATCCCTTTACCCCCATTTTACAGAAGAGGAAAACTGAGGCTCAGAGAAGGGGAGTCACTTGGCCACAGTCGCACAGTTGGAAAGTGGTAGAGCCAGGATGAGACGCTAATTCTGACTCCAAAGCTAGTTATATATAATAATAGCACCCAAGTAATGTATAGATTACCATGTTTTCACATATGGCAAATTAAGGAATCAGAATGAATGATGCATGCTGCCCAAGCTGGACAGAGGATGGGCCAGGGCACAAGTGACGGCTGACCCACTGATCCATGGAACCCCCAAGAAAGGCTCTAGAACAAAGCTCTGATTTCACAGTGAGATTAAAATTCTGCCCAAATCAGGGTACATGGGTGGAATTAATCAAAAAAGTTAGTATGTATGCCTTTCACCCCAGCAATTCTACTTCTCATTTTGCAGAGACTCACTCATACAGTGGCATCAAGAGGTTATATGTGCAGGAGAACGTCCACTGCAGCTTTGCCAGTAGCGATGAAAACTGCTAACAGCCTAAGGGCCTAGCCAAAGTGGAATGCTCAAAAAAGATGGTTTGCTCTAGAACAGGCAGCTGGTAAAAGGAGTGGTGTTAGATCAGCACATGTTCACATCAGAAATGCTCCAGGAGCCAGGTGCGGTGGCTCACGCCTGTAAACCCAACTCTTTGAGAGGCTGAGGAAGGATTGCTTGAGCCCAGGAGTTTGAGACCAGCCTGGGCAACATAGTGATTCCCCTCTTTACAAAAAATAAAAAGTTAGGTAGGTGTCATGGTCCAGCTACTCAGGAGGCTGAGGTGAAAGGACTGCTTGAGCCCAGGAGTTAGAGGTTGCAGTGAGCTGTGTTTGCAGGAGTTAGAGGTTGCAGTGAGCTGTGTTTGCAGGAGTTAGAGGTTGCAGTGAGCTGTGTTTGCAGGAGTTAGAGGTTGCAGTGAGCTGTGTTTGCAGGAGTTAGAGGTTGCAGTGAGCTGTGTTTGTGCCACTGCACTGCAGCCTGAGCAACCAAGCGGGACTCTGTCTCCAAAACAAACAAACAAACAATCCTCCAGAGCAATCTGTTAAATTACATTTTGGAATAACCTATTCAAAATGGTTTTTTCCATACGTCTTTAAGATGATAATATTTATATGTTCAAAAATTTAAAGTCTGGAAGACTATGTACAAACAGAAAATGGTAGCATTACCTTTAGGAGCTATTGAGAGGAAGTACAAATAGAGCCACTTGCCTTCTTACTATCAATTCTGATTGTCCCATGTTTTATAATATATTCATGTAGTACTCTAAACAAAATCTTTTCAGATCAAATCAGGGGAGATGAAATGAGAGTGGATTCTGAGCCTAGTTTTTTTCAGGGAACAAGACCCAGTGCTACCACTTAGGGGCTAGAAACAGAAATTGTATTTATTTTATTTTGTTTTATTTATTTTATTTTTGAGATGGAGTCTCACTCTGTTGCCCAGGCTGGAGTGTACTAGCATGATCTTGGTTCACTGCAACCTCTGCCTCCTGGGTTCAAGCAATTCTCCTGCCTCAGCCTCCCAAGTAGCTGCAACTACAGGCATGCGCCACGACGCCCAGCTAATTTTTGTATTTTTAGTAGATGGGGTTTCGCCACGTTGGCCAGGCTGGTCTGGAACTCCTGACCTCAGCTTATCTGCCCACCTCAGCCTCCCAAAGTGCTGGGATTACAAGCATGAGCCACCGGGCCCGGCCTCTTTATTTTCTTTCAGTGTTTTCCCAGGAAGTTCTCTGAACATCCAGGGTCTTCACAGATGGACTTCTCATAAAAGGTAACTCCTGGAACCAGACATAAATTTTTTTTTTGGGGTGTGTGGTGATGGGATACATAGCTGTCGCCAGATTCTCAAAGGGACAGTGTCACACTTAACAGAGCAAGGAGAGTAATCGGTGATTGGTGAATGATCATTTATCAGAGACTGTGTGTCAAACATTTAAAAAATAAAAAGTAACTGCTGAAGAAATGAACAAAAAGGGTCACACCTTCAAAAAAGCCTAATTTCCATTCCAGAGCAATCTCAAGACAAGGAAAAATAAGAGCTGCTTCACACTGAGGGCTTATCTGGTATCAAGGACCACCGCCAATGTCATCCATTAGCCATCCCCAATAAACCCATGAAGTTCAGCCTGAACAGCATAGAAAGACCTCGTCTCTACAGAAAAAAAAAAATTTAAAAAGTAGCCAGGTGTGGTGGCACATGCCCAGCTACTCAGGAGGCTAAGATGGGAGGATCACCTGACCCTAGGAGACCGAGGCTGCAGTGAGCTATGATCACGCCACTGTACTCTAGCCTGAGTGACAGAGCGAGATTCTGTCTAAACACACACATACACACATACACACCATGAAGTTTTAACTTCCCCATTTTACAGATGAAGAGACAAAGTCTCAAGCCATACAGCCAGTAGGTCAGCCTGACTCCAAAAACCCATGCCCCAAGCCACAATAAGTCACTGCCTTCCAAAAGCCTCATATTATCATGAGATATAAGGCAAGGAGGTATGGGTAAAACACCTTAACCCTTAAAGATACAAACTTATTGTAGGCCCAGTTGGTCCCTCAGCATTTGGGGACTGTGCTATAAGGGTTAACTCAGCAGGCTTGAAGTGTCCAAACCCAGCACATCTCAAAGAAAAAACTGGCCTTAATGGGCTCCTGGGAGATAACCTCTAAGTCCTTGGAATATCCTCCCAAGTAGGGGTGTCTTTGTATACCTCAGGCCTTGGGCCATACCAGGCCAGATAGTTTGTGCTAATAATGTGATTTATGGTGGGGACCTTGGGCCATGCTGTATCATTTTGACCTCTGGAGCAGCTGGTGATTAAGTAACTAAAGTCGGTCATGTGATTGCCCTATGTGACTGACATGCAATAAAAACCTAGACCCCAAGGCTAGGGTGAGCTTTCTGGCTGGTAATATTTAGTACGTGTTGTCACATATCATTGCTGGGAAAATTAAGTGTGTCTGTAAGACTCTACCAGGAGATGACAACTGGAAGCTTGAGGCCGGTCTCTCCCGGACTCTGCCCTATGCACCTTTTTCTTTTGTTGATTTTATTTTGAGATGGAGTCTTGCTCTGTCACCCAGGCTGGAGTATAATGGCACGATCTCCGCTCACTGCAACCTCCGCCTCCCAGGTTCAAGCCTCCTGAGTAGCTGGGATTACAGGTGCACACCACCACGCCCAGGTAATTTTTGTATTTTTAGTAGAGACGGGGTTTCACCATGTTGGCCAGGCTGGTCTCGAACTCCTGACCTCAGGCGATCTGCCTGCCTTGGCCTCCCAAAGTGCTGGGATTACAGGCGTGAGCCACTCCACCCGGCCTCTTTTGCTGATTTTAATGTTTATCCTTTTGCTGTAATAAACCATAACCATAAGGATAATAGCTCTTCTGAATTCTGAGTTCTTCTAGCCAATCATCGATCCTGGGGGTGGCCCTGGGGACCCTGACACAGGAATTCAGCTGTGCCTTACATGCACCTATATTCTCCAGCTTTTTGCTCATCACAAATCTACCTGACAAAATCCAGTATGGAAAGAAAAAAAAAACCCTATTCATTCAGTAAAGTAAGGCACAAACAAATGAGCCTCTGTTCACTTTATTCAAAGAGTATTTTTTTCCTCTGTGAAACTAGGTAGAACTGAGGAGGAATCAAAGAAAGCCTCATATATTAAACTCTTAAATAGATTCTTTGAATTCAAAGTAAGGGTCAATAGGAGAGGCACAGGTTGTGGGCCTTGTCCCAGCAAACAAAGCCACCAAGGCAGTCCTGCAAATTAAGGAGGATGGCAAATCTGTCTCTTAAAAAAAAGTTCTTGAGGGGAAAAATATAAAATACCTAAGTTTCAAAAGCCGGACTACTTCCATACCCTTCATTCTCTACCCTGGAGTGTCCAGAGATAGAGAGTTTCAAGGTACGTTTTCAATGATTCAGCTTTTGCAAACATATGCAAATACATTCCTCATCAGCAGTCCTGTTTTGGCGATTAATAGCAAGCAATATGCTTGGATTAGAGGTCCGATTTCCACTTAAATGCATTTTCTTCTCTTCTTGGCAATGAAGTCATTTGCGGAGATCTGAAAGTGGGGAAGACTGTGTTAGGCTCAGAGTAACAATTCTGAAATAGATCATTTATATTTATACATGTGATTGCAGAACATACTGTCTTCATCCATTCGCATAAGCATGTAATGTTTTAAGAATGCATCCCAGATGGCCAGAGAGAGTTTAAATTTAAAAACGTTTCCTGGGTTCTTCCCCACATCTCATCTTGCATCCACTTGACCTCAAATATACACTTTTCTTATGGACACAGAGCAAATGACAGTGATTATGTGATAAATACTGATGAATTCTTGGAGGCAAGAGAAGGACTCATGTTTGTTCAAGGCCAACTCTGTACCCAGGATTCAGCTAAAGCACCTCTATATGGTATCTCATTTAAACAGTAAAACAAGTAACAAATCTGCTTTTGTCAATGAGAAGGTCCAGGATTCTACTAATGATCTGCAGAAAGGCAGCGAGGGAACAGTTAGTGAGGAACAGGGAGGAAAGCTGTTTTTCATGAGAGGGTTCTTTTCTTTGGAATAGAACTATGGGATCTTGGGTAGGTGTGGTGGCTCATGCCTGTAATCCCAGCACTTTGGGAGGCTGAGGTGGGCAGATCACTTGAGGCCAGGAGTTTGAGACCAGCCTGGCCAACATGGTGAAACCCCGTCTCTACTAAAAATACAAAAATTAGCTGGGTGTGGTAGCGCACACTTGTAACCCCAGCTACTTGGAAGGCTGAGGCACGAGAGTCACTTGAACCCCAGAAGGTGGAGATTGCTGTGAGCTGAGATCGTGCCACTGCACTCCAGCCTGGGGAACAGGGTGAGACTCTGTCTCAAAAACAAAAACTCTGGGATCTTAGTGCAACTCAAGATGGGAACCCTAATAATGACAGAGTCCTTGCAGGTTGGAGCAAAGTAAATTGAAAGAAAAACTAAAACATATGCTGATTGTTTAAAAATAGATACAGAGACTAAAAATAAGAGTCCAAGCTGGAAGGTGTTTCCATGTAAAATAACCTCTCTTGAGGTTTCCTTTAACCTGATCATAGAGGCTGGGGGACAGAAGGAAGTGAGCTCACTCATGCAGCCTTAACTCCAGTGCCCAAGTCCACAGCGAGGGCCCAGCACTTCACGGTTTCCAAGCACTCCCACCTGGGCCAGCTCACGCCATCTCATGGCCAACCTCAGAGGTGGGCAATGATGAATCCCCATTCTCCAGATGAAGAAAACAGGGGCTGAAGGGAGTTAAACCTGGAGATCTTAAATCTTTGAATTACCAAGTTCAAAAAAATCCCTTTCCCCACCCCTTAGTAGAATATGGATGGATAAATGTGCACTTAAAATCATTCACTAAAAGCAAACCTGGGAGGAATTCTGTCCCTTGGTGGCTGTGTAGCCTTGGGCAAGTCAAAGCCCTTCCTTCTCTGTGCTTTGGTTTTCTCTTCTGTAAAATGGAATGATCATGTCATCCGCCTCCCAAGGATGCTGAGGGTTAAATGAGTAACACAGGACCAGTACCTGGCCCAACGGCCATGGGGGTTATTCTTAGAACAGAACGACTTGTGACTGTTATTAGAACATTAATTGCTCTGGCCCAACGCTGATGCTGTTTTTAGAAGCCAGACTGGCAGACAGCATTCTGTGCAAAAATGGTTCCAGAATCTCCCCCTCCCCCATCATAGTGGTGCTTCCTGCCCTGTCCCCAGTGTCAGACAAACCTTTTTCTGGTTGGTTCAGCGTTAATCCCTCTCCCTGTCCTTGATCCAGAGCTAGAAAACTAAGCCTTGATTCTATAAATAGCACCCCCAGTCTGTCACCATGGAAACCTCTGATGGGGCTGGGTCAGCCCACCCTAGTGGACATGTCTACCCCAGGGAGGCTCTGGAAGGACAGAAAAGTGGCTTTTCAGAAAAGTGGCTCCGGGGCCACCCAGAAGCAGCGGGAACCCCCAGTGAAGTCCACAGGCTTACCTGGAAATCACGAGCTTCCTAAGTGGGAGGAGGTGCTGTTCTGGTTCACCTGGAGAAAGACAATACACAGAAGAAGGGGTCACGGCCAGGTGAGGGATGCCTTGCTGTATTGAGGGTCACCCCTCAGCATCACTGAGTCATGCACATGCTTATTCACGTAGTATTTACTGTACATCTACTATGTGCCAGGTGCTGGGATAGCGTGGTGAGCGGGACAGACCCAAACCTAGGATCACGGAACTTACGTTCGAGTTGAAGAAAAAGCCTACTGAACACGCACAGATGCAAGAAAATGTCAAACTTGGGCAATATGACAGGCTGCTATGAGTGATCAGTATCTGTGCTACTTCAAAAACGGTGGCCAGGAAAGGACTCTACAAGATGGCATTTCAGCTGTGGTATAATAATAAATATTTGTTCATTGTCCCCAGTTCCTGGCACATAGCTCCCCAAACTCTTGGAATCTCTGAAGGAATAAGGGTATCTTGGCCGGGCGCCATGGCTCATGGCTGTAATCCCAGCGCTTTGGGAGGCCGAGGAGGGTGGATCACCTGAGGTCAGGAGTTTGAGACCAGCCTGGCCAACATGGCAAAACTCTGTCTCTACTAAAATACAAAAATTAGCCGGGTGTGGTGGCGGGCACCTGTAATCCTAGCTACTCAGGAGGCTGAGGCAGGAGAATCGCTTGAACCCGGGAGGCAGAGGTTGCAGTGAGCCAAGATCATGCCACTGCACTCCAGCCTGGGTGACAGAGGGAGACTAGGTATCAAAAAAACAAAAACAAAAACAAAAAAAAAACAAAACGTATCTTTTGCATGCTAATGACATGACTAATGGCTGGGGGTCCCTAGATAGCTTCAGGATTAGGGGAAGGGGTCTCAGAAAGACCAAGGCATGATTAGAGGGTTGGAACTTTTTTTGTTGTTTGAGACGGAGTCTCACTGTGTTGCCCAGGCTGGATGGAGTGCGGTGGTGCAATCTTGGTTCACTGCAACCTCCGCGTCCTGAGCTCAAGCAATTCTCCTGCCTCAGCCTTCCAAGTAGCTGGGACTACAGACGTGTGCCACCACGAATGGCTAATATTTTTTGTATTTTTAGTAGAGACAGGGTTTCACCATGTTGGCCCGGCTGGTTTTGAACTGCTGACCTCAAGTGATCTGCCTGCCTCAGCCTCCCAAAGTGCTAGGATTACAGGCATGAGCCACCACACCCAGCCAGAAGGTTGGAACTTTAAGCCCCACCTGCCTTCTCCCCTCCCTGACCTCCTGGGAGGGGAGAGGGGAGAGGGTCTAGGGGCTAGGAGCTGGAGATTGGGCAATCACCCATGACCCATGATTTAATCAGTCATGCCTCTATGATGAAATCTCTAAATGACAGAATTTGGAAAGCTTCCTGGTTGGTAAACACATTGAGAGGCTGGGAGGGTGTCATGCCGGGAAAGGGCATGGATGTTCTGTGACCCATCCCCCATACCTCACCCTACGCTTCTTGCATTTGACTGTACCTGAGTTGTATTCTTTTTTATGAGACAGGGTCTCACTCTGCCACCCAGGCCAGAGTGCAGTGGCACGAACATGTGCCACATGTGCCATACCCAGCTAAGGCTTTCTCTTTTTTGTAGGGAGATGGGGTCTCACTGTGTTGGCCTTGAATTTAAAAAAAAAAAATTAATGCGATCTGAGAGCTAGGGACCATGGCTTTTGAGCATTTCCTGGTTGTTTGGGGAGAGGTCCCACTCCCTTTGTGGGAATCAGAGATCTATCTTTTGCTGACGTCAAGAAAGTAGCCAGAATTAGTGAGCACTAATTTAGTATTTGTTTTAACCAAAAAGATGATGTAGGCAGAACAACACAGTGGGGATGAGGAGAATTATCCACAAACTGAAACTTCTCATTTTTGCACGTTGCCTTCGTTTTTGTTGTTGTTGTTGCTGCTGTTGTTTTTAAGAGACAGGGGCTCCAGCGATCCTCCCACCTCAGCCTCCTGAGAACCTGGGACTGCAGGCATGCCACTGCACCCAACTCCTGCGTGTTGCCTTTTTTTGTCCACCTGAATATGCATTTTTACATTAGTTGCAATTGTATAGTATGAGCTGCTTTGTTTTGCTTTCTTACTATTTTTTCATCATTTGGGTTTCACTAGCACCATTTTGGATGGCTACAGATATTCTGTGGAGTGCATGTACCACCGTTTACTGACTGCTTACCTAAGAATGGTTCCAATTTTTGCAGTATTTTAAATGACATCACATCCTGATTCTGCCTCTCTTCTGTTGGGTACTGAAGCTCTACTGAATCATTCCCTTAGAATTCACTTCTAAAAAATGGAATCATGCTTGAACCCGGGAGGTGGAGGTTGCAGTGGGCTGAGATGGCGCCACTGCACTCCAGCCTGGGTGACACAGTGAAACCCCATCTCAAAAAAAAAAAGGAATCAGCAGGAGCAGGTGGAAGGGTTCAGATCTTTTGAAGACTCTTGAACAACAAGGCTAAAAGTGTTTTACAAAAGGGTTGGGGTCAGGAGCAGTGGCTCACGCCTGTAATCCCAGCATTTTGGGAGGCCGAGGTGGGTGGATCACTTGAGGTCAGGAGTTCGAGACCAGCCTGGCCAACATGGCGAAACCCCTTTCTACTAAAAATACAAAAATTAGCCAGGCGTGGTGGCCGGTGCCTGTAATCCCAGCTACTTGAGAGGCTGAGGCAGGAGAATTGCTTGAACCTGGGAGGCAGAAGCCGCAGTGAGCCGAGATCACCGCATTGCACTCCAGCCTGGGCAACAAGAGGAAAACTCCATCTCAAAAACAAAAACAAAAACAAAAACAAAAGGGTTGGGCCAGTTTATACTTCCTGCCGTGTATGACATATGCAAGATGTCTAGCTGACCTGGGACTGGTTTTTGTTGCTTTTAGGAACAAAATATGAAGGAATGGCATACCCCCACGCTCAGGAGGGCTGCCCTGCAGATAAGTTTTGTCAAGCCTCTATTTCCAACCCTCATCTCCCTACTGTCCTCCACTGTGCACATAATGTCATTCTGGATGTTGTAAAAACTGGAAATGGTCTTGAAGAAGCTGTTTAGTAAATGGTAGCACATGCATTCCACAGAACACTACGTAGCCATCCAAAATGGTGCCGGTGAAACTCAAAAGATAGGAAAATATTAAGAAAGCAAAACAAGGCAGTTTGAACATGAAAATTGCAATGAACATTCCTGTAAATCACATTGGGGTAGAAACAAAGAAAAATATAATTGCAACGAATGCAAAAGTGCATACGCACTCCAGAGGTTTCGGCCACACTCCCCACTTTCAGGCGTTTACAGTTCCCTCTGCCGGGAAGCCTTTTCTATCCAGATCTTTGTGTGGCAGACCTAGTTTTAATCCTTCAGATATTGGCTTATGGGTGCTTTCCAATATCAGTGACCAATTCTCTGATTATCTGGATACCAACTGGGTGTTCAACAATTCAGTTCAGTTCTGACACCAGCTCCCAGACTTACTTAGCATCAGCTGCCACAGATTAAGGGCCCAGTTCCACGACTGCCCCACTTTAGATGCCAGCTGCAATGGGGTGCGCAGGCTATCCACACTTCTTCCCAGCCAACTTCAAATCTGGAGGTTCCCACAACCCCCACTCTGGTTTGATAATTCACTAGAACAGCTCACAAGACACTAGGGAAAACACTTTACTAACTGCTACCTGTTTATTATAAATAATACAACTCAAGCTTGGACAACATGCCAAAACCCTGTCTCTACAAAAAACACAAAAATTAGCCGGGCATGATGGTGTGTGTCTGTAGTCTCAGCTTCTTGAGGGGCTGAGGTGAGAGGATTGCTTGAGCCCAGGAGATTGAGGCTGCAGTGAGCCATGATCACACCACTGCACTCCAGTCTCAACAAGAAAGAAAGCCCAAGAAAAAGTCCCCACGAAGTCCCTCCAACTGCATTCAAGCCGGAAGACGAAGTGAGAGGCTGCTTCCTGGCAGAAGGGCCACTGAGATGTGGCCCCAGCTGGATCAGTGCTTAGAGACCCTCTGGTCCAGCACGCATCCCCACAGCCCTTTATTTTTTATTTTTATTTTTTGAGATGGAGTCTCGCTCTGTCGCTCGGGCTACAGTGCAACGGCGTGATCTCAGCTCACTGCGACCTCTGCCTCCCAGGGTCAAGCGATTCTCCTGCCTCAGCCTCCCAAGTAGCTGGGATTACAGGTGTGTGCCACTACGCCCGGATAATTTTTGTATTTTTAGTAGAGACGGGGTTTCACCGTTTTGGTCAGGCTGGTCTTGAACTCCTGACCTCGTGATCTGCCTGCCTTGGCCTCCCAAAGTGCTGGGATTACAGGCAGCCAGCTCACATCCCCCTTTTTATAATGGGAAAACCATCAACCAGAGTGGAGAAGTGACACATCTAAGGGCATACAGCCAGATGGTGGTATAGCTGAGAAAGACAGAATTCGGAATTCCCCTTGGGGTTTCTAACCTGAAAATATCCTTTCAGATTGGCTGGTGTTTTATAGTCCCCTTTCAAGACCTAAGGAAGAGAAAAAGAAATATCACTATTATGAAAATGGCCAAAAAATAAAATTTAGTCATTCCCAACACATCCAGTCATCCACCCATCCACCTCGCCACCCACCCATCCCTCCATCCAACAAACATTGCTTAAGCTCCTCTTCTTCTAGGCATTATTCTAAGCATTGTGTCTGGTTGACATGATGTTAACCAGATAATGGAAATTCCTGTTCCCCTGGAGCTACCATTCTAGAGGGGGCACCAGATAACATACAAGAAAAATAAACACAGATAAACAAGGACATAGCAAACCATGGGAACTGTTGTGAAAAAAGTACAGTAAAGAGGTGGGATTAGGAGTAACCAGGGGGCTTCTTTTGAGTGGGTGGTCAAGAGGGGACTCTTGGGCCAGGCGCAGTGACTCATGCCTGTAATCTCAGCACTTCTGGAGGCCAAGGCAGGAGGATCACTTGAGTCCAGCAGTTTGAGATCAGCCTGGGAAACACACTGAAACCCCATTTCTAAAAAATTAAAAATTAGCTGGGCATGGTGGCATGCACTTATCGTCCCAGCTGCTCTGGAGCTACTCCAGCCTCAGCTGGAGGATTGGTTGAGCCCGGGAGGTTGAGGCTGCAGTGAAGTATGATCACATCACTCCACTCTAGCCTGAGTGACAGAGCGAGACCCTGTCTCTAAGAAAGTGAATAAATAAAAATAAAAAGGGCCTCTTGAAATAGATAACCTTTGAGCTGAGACCCAAACGACAAGGAAAAATAGGTAGGCTAAGCTCAGAAGAAAAAGCACTCCAGGCAGAGGCAACAGAGCAAAGGCCCTGAAGTTAGAACCACAACATTTCAGGCCTTTCCGCTAGTAGTCACATTTTAAAATAAAATGAAACAAGGGAGATTAATTCTAACAATATCTTTTATTTAACCTGATATAGCTAATTTTTTTTTTTTTCTATTGAGACATGGTCTCACTCCCATAGCCCAAGCTGGAGTGCAGTGGTGCGATCACGGCTCACTGCAGCCTCCACTTCCCAGCCTCAGGTGATTCTCCCACCTCAGCCTTCTGAGTAGCTGGGACTATAGGCACGTGCCACCATGCCTGGCTAATATTCAATATTTTTAGTAGAGATGAGGTTTCACCATGTTACCCAGGCTGGTCTCAAACTCCTAGGCTAAGCAGTCTGCCTGCCTTGGCCTCCAAAAGTGCTAGGATTATAGACATGAGCCATCATGTCCAGCCTATGTAAAATATTAACATTTCAATATGTAATTTATATAAAAGTGACTAATAAGAAACGTTACATACTTTTTTGTCCTAAGCCTTCAAAATCTAGTGTGTATTTTACACCTAACAGGACCTCTCACTTTGGACTAGCCTCCTGTTACAGAATCAGGGGCCACACATGGCTAGTGGCTACCGTATGGGACACTGCAGGCAGAGACGATTTCATCAGCATAGATGTCCTTTTAGCCACTGTGTTTACTGAGCCCCAGGATCCATTATTGGAACACACAGGGTCCACAGCACTCACAGAAGCACACAGGCATGCATGCAAACTCACAGGGCTTAGTGAGAGGACTTTTCTTTGCAGTAACAGCCAAGCTATGGCAAAAACTAAACCAGGGATCTAGCACTTGCCAAGACTTGTTGACCGCCCCAGGGAAGAAATCTCTTTGGATGAAAATGAGAGACAGCTTCCATTTTAAATAAACAAACACAAAAAGCTCCAAAGAGTTGATGTTAACCACCAGTGCTCATGAAAATTATTTGTGTTTTATAAAATACATAAAGTCAGGCTTTACTCCAGGAACGTCCGACCCATAGCCTGGGGCAAGCCAGGGGCAGCGAGCCACCTTTTAAGGAGACCCCAGAGGAGCCACTGCTGGGCCCTTGGCTGAGAACAGTGAAGTAAGCAACATCCAGCCCACTACTGCAGTGTCCCCAGCCGGCCCTCGCCTCTGCTTCTGAGAAGCACCTGGGGCTGGATTGTGAGATCACTACCATCTTTTTAATCCAGTTAATTAATTTTTTATTTTGATAATACATGTACAACCCACAGGCAGATAAAAGTATGTAAAACACATAAGTAGGGTTTAAAGATTACTATTATTAAAGAATAATAAAATAAAAATTAATAATATTTATAATAAAAATAACAAACCACATCTGGGTTGCAGCCATTCACCTGTCAATGTCGGCTGGTATGTACGTTGAATCTCTGAGTATTTCCATAAATAGATGTCTGCAAAATCAACTAATGTCAAGAGGAAGAGGAACTCACGAGACCCACAGACAAAGCTTACACTTCAATTACAAGGGCACAGCCCCCAAAGCTCAGCGTTAGTAAATTCTCTTTGTTAAAGAGAGATCAGTGAGTGCTAGAGAGGTGGTAATGACTTTTTAGCACCAAATGGAAACTTTCTTCTTGAGCCAACTGAAGAGTTACGGAACTAAGAGACGATTAACTTTTTTCCGTTGTGATTCAATACGATAACTGTTTATTTCCTAAAATCAGCACACGCTCAGAAATGCTGAGCTTAGCTTAAATTAAAGACTCTGGGTCTTAATGAAGTAAGGGCTGTGAAAGCTCTTCCTCAGGCCTGGGTCCCATTTTCAAATATTTGCCTATAAGGAAGTTAGAACACAGCACTTAAAGTAAACTAGAAGCTGTAATGGAAACGTATAAATAAGGCCATCAACTTGTTAACTGTTCTTTTACCCAGTGGGTGTTAGCCTACTTTAACACTTCAAAAGCATTTTGTCAGTCACTGGAGGCTCACACCTGTAATCTCAGCACTTTGGGAAGAGTGAAGCAGGGGCATCCCTTACGGCCAGGAGTTCTAGACCAGCCTGGGCAACGTAGCGAGACCCCGCCTTTATAAAAATTAAAATTAGCTGTGCATGGTGGCGTGCACCTGCAGTCCTAGCTACTCAGGAGCCTGGGGTGAGAGGATGGCTTAAGCCGAGAAGTATCAGGCTGCAGTAGCTATGACTGCACCAGTGCACCCAGCTTGGGCAACAGAGCAAGACCATGCCTCAAACAAAACAGTACAAAACAAAAAAGTCATTTCCCTTCACCATCTTAACTAAGGAGAATTTTAAGCATAATTTAAACAGCCCTAAACTCACATTTGTCTGAGAAATCCACATTAAACCTTATAAGACAAGAAAGGGACCAATAGTTTATTTATTTATACCCCCTCTCAACAAAGACTTGAGGTGCCTTACAAACAGATAAACAAATAGCCAGGGAAATAGGGGTAAAAATGTAAATAAAATTAGAGAAATAAGATGAAATTAGTGTACAAGCTGGCCTGCTGTTAGATGTTAGAGTATGAGAGACAGGCTACCAGTTGGCTTTGAGCTTCCCTGCAGCCCAAGCAAAATGGAAATACAAGCAATCATGTAGTTCACTGTGTCCATCAGACAGGAACAAATCAGATGACCAGGAATTGAGAGACTGAACATTTCCTCAGGTGGCTGGAGTTTCCACATCTGCAGAAGCCCCATATCCCCAAGAGTACACTTCCACAAGTACAGGTGCACACTCACCCGCTGTGTGTTGTTGATGACGAAGGGGTCAGGGTTGCCATAGTTGGGGGGGTTTGCATAAGGGTCATAGCCGAGCTGAGCCAGCATGGGGGCGATCTGGGCCATGTCCCGCACCACATCCCCAGGGATGTGGCCAGTCCACTTGGAGAGCGCTTCCAGGTTAACAGGCTTGATGACCTGGTCCGTGGACCGCTCGATCCTGGGGAGAGAGGAGACGCTGGAGAGGGTAGGGCAGACCCAGATGGCGCCTGAGCGGATTCCCTGCTCAGCCACTCTGGGGCAGCAGGAAAGACTGGAGAAACCTGGCCTCCACCCAGCTCTGCCCCATCAACTGTGAGATGGCAGGTGAGTCATTTTTGCCTCCTCATACCTCCTTTGTACAATGGGAACACAGCATGCAGTGAGAAGTCAGAAGAAAGTACTAGCAGTATACACCATTGGTACATACATTCTGCTTTCTTCTCCAGCTTAAAAAATAACAACAGTTTAGGTCAGGCACAGTGGCTCACACCTGTAATCCCAGCACTTCAGAAAGCCAAGGCAGAAGGATCACTTGAGCTCAGGAGTTTGACACCAACTTGGGCAACATGGTGAAACCCCATTACAAAAATAAGCTGGGCATGGTAACAAGCGCCTGTAGTCCCAGCAGCTGCGCAGGAGGCTGAGATGGGAGAATTGCTTGAGCCCGGGAGGTTGAAGAAGCAGTGAGCCTGAGCTGTGATTGCACCACTGCACTCCAGACTGGGCAACAGAGCAAGACCCTGTCTCAAAAAAAAAAGAAACACTTTTTAATGTGTATGACTAACATGAATATTTTGTCCCTAAAAAAAGTTATAAAACACTAATGATAAAGCTGAAAGCCACTGTGTTCATCACTGCCAGCCCATCGGCTTCCTACAGGCACTCAGTCTTTGCACTGTGGAGCACACCACCTTCTCTAACCTTTTCTTGTAGAGTAGTTAAGAGCAAACCAGGGAGCCAGATTGCCTGGGTTCAGACGCCAGCTGTTCCCCAGCTGTGTGGCCTTGGGAAAGTTACTTCACCTCTCTGGGCCTCAGTTTCCTCTTCTGTAATTGGCAATGATAGTAGTACCTACCTCACTGGGGTTGTCTGAAGAGTAAATGAGTTAATACAAAGAAAGTGCTTAGAAGAGCGTAGGCACATTGTAAGTTTTTTCTTTTTGGAGATGGAGTCTCACTCTGTTGCCCAGGCTGGAGTGCAGTGGCACAATCTTGGCTCACTGCAACCTCCACCTCCTGGGTTCAAACGATTCTCATGCCTCAGCCTCCCAAGTAGCTGGAACTACAGGCATGTACCACCACGCCCAGCTAATTTTTGTATTTTTAGAAGAGACGGGGTTTCACCATGTTGGCCAGGCTGGTCTCGAACTCCTGACCTCAAGTGATCTGCCCGCCTCGGCCTCCCAAAGTGCTGGGATTCCAGACATAAGCCACTGTGCCTGGCCAACACATTGTAAATTTTTAATAAGGGTTAGCATGCTCTCTCTCCTGTGCACACGCTCTCTCTCTCACACACACACACAAACGCGCGTCTGCAGCTGTAAAACAAATACGCTAGTTTTTTTTCCCCACTCAATACCTCACTCTTTTTGCCAGCTATGTAGCCTTCCTCCATCACTTATTTTTCCATTCCCCTGAAGACAGACATTTAGGTTGTTTCCAACTTTTCACAGCTACCATGGAATAACCATCATCTTCAACCTGCTTCCTAACTCTCCCTGTAACAGGCTTCCCAAGCCACCTGAATGATGCAGATCTTACCAATTATAACTCAGGGGCCTGACAGGATGAATGGTGGGGAACCCCCAGGATCAAGGGCCTAGTTCTAAATGTTTTCATCCCAACTAAGAGGTGACTTGGGAAAGAACAGAAAGAGGCAGCAAAAGGAAGACAAGACCGGGCGTGAGGTGAGGAGAACAGGGGAAGGTGAAAGGGTGTGGACTGGTGGGTAGAACACAGATTCAGAGGCTGCAAACCTGGATTTAAATCTTAACTCTACCCAATATGTCAAAAATCTTGAGTATGTGCATGGCTTTTGCCAAAATCCTTGTGTCTCTAGGACTTTATGGTGCAGAAATGAGGTGGACACATCCCAGAACATGAATGAGGGCAATGCTTGATACATATCAGTAAAACTGGAAATAACCGAAGTGTCCAACAATAGGGAATGTGAAGTCGAATATGGCAATCCGTGTAGCAGCCTGTCGCACAGCTATTCAAAATGATGCTGCAGGTCAGGCGCGGTGGCTCATGCCTGTAATCCCAGCACTTGGGGAGGCTGAGGCGGGCAGATCACCTGAGGTCACGAGTTCGAGACCAGCCTGGCCAACATGGCAAAACCCCATCTCTACTAAAAATATAAAAATTAGCAGAGCGTGGTGGCGGGTGCCTGTAATCCCAGCTATTTGGGAGGCTGAGGCAGGGAGAACTGCTTGAACCCGGGAGGCGGAGGTTGCAGTGAGCCGAGATCACACCACTACACTCCAGCCTGGGTGACAGAGCGAGACTCCGTCTCAACAACAAAACAACAACAAAAATGCTGCTACCAAAGAGTGCTGGCTGCCACTGGCAAGGGCTCCCACACCACCGTGGAAAAAGGCTACAGAGGAGTATGTTTCGTTGGACTCCAGTTTCATCAACAGGCCCTGAAAATGGTGCAGTAGGCCACACATCAAGATCTGGGTGGTGAGATCATGGGTTGTTTCTCCGTTCTTCTTTGGTGTATCTTTTCTAATTTTCTATAGTCAAGATGTATTACTTTGGTAATCTAATATTTTTGTCATAATAATTTATAAAATCCTAGCTCCAGCACCAACTGGCTGGGGTACCCGGCATGTAGGAACTTTGTTGCTAGCGGAGAGCAGCTGCGAGCCTCTAGCTCTGCTCTGGGCCTGGGAAGGGGCCCAGCAGGGACCAGCCATGGGAAGGACCAGCCATGGGAAGGACCACCCTTTCACTGAGCTCTCAGGCTATCCAGAGCCTGATCAGGATGGGAAAGCGTGGAAACTGCATATTCTGCTCCAGCATTGTTCAAAGTGCTCTGGGTCTCAGGATAGGGACAGCAGCTTTTCCAATGGAAGAAGGCAGGGAGCAAGGGACAGAGGGAGGAAGGAAAGGAAAGGATGAGGGGGAGTGAAGGGGAGGATGGGAGGAGTTCTGGACATGGGGAGTTTAAGAACACAATAGGCCAGGGGCCTGTAATCCCAGCACTTTGGGAGGCCAAGGCAGGAGGAAGGCTTGAGCTCAGGGGTTGGAGACCAGCCTGGAAGACATACTGAGATCTCATCTCTACTAGGAAAAAAAAAAAAAAAATGAGCTGGGTGTGGAGATGCTCGCCTGTAGTCCCAACTACTCGGGAGACTGAGGTGGGAGAATTGCTTGAGCCCAAGAGGTCGAGGCTGCAGTTAGCTGGGATCGTGCCACTGCACTCCAGCCTGGGCAACAGAGTGAAACCCTGTCTCAAAAAAACAAAAACAAAAACAAGAAAAACCCCAAAAAACAGACCTGGGTTCCAATCCCAGCACCATGCTTTGTTAGCTGTGTAGCCTGAGGCCAGTAACTTCTCCTCTGTGAGATTCAGTTTTTTGGTCTATAAAATGTGGATAAGAGGTGTTCCTATGTCCTCAGGTTGCTGTGAGGATTAAAGGAGATAAACTTGTTGGGGGCTTAACCCAATACTTGCCATACAGTAGGCACTCATTAAATGACAATGGTGAGGATGGGTACTCCATCAATAAAAGCAGTATCAACACTAAAATAGTAATAATAGCACCTAACATTTATTAACCTATTTGATGCCCACAGGTATCTATAAGGTAGGCAAATTATATTTCCATGTTACAGATGAAGCAATGGAAGCACAGGGGTTGAGTCGCTTTGCCCAGGGTCACACAGCTAAGAAGTGGCAGAGCTGAGGTTTGAACCCAGACATCCTTGTTCTGGAATCTGTGCTCTTAACCTTTACCCACTATTGCCTTACTACAAAGCATATTCAAAGTTTGCAGATTCTAGGCTGGGTGTGGTGGCTCATGCCTGTAATCCCAGGACTCTGGGAGGCTGAGGTGGAAGAACTGCTTGAGGCCAGGAGTTTGAGACCAGCCTGGGCAACAGGGCAAACCCCATCTCTACCAAAAATACAAAAATTAGCCCAGCTTGGTGGCGCATGCCTATAGTCCCAGCTACTCAGGAAGATGAGGTGGGAGGATCACTTGAACAGGGAGGTGGCGGCTGTTACTCCAGCCGGGCAACAGACCGAGACACTGCCTCAAAAAACAAACAAACAGCCCACGAAGTTTGCAGATTCTCTCAGAAAGGAGAGGAGTAATTGTTGTCATTTTTTGGGATAATGAAACGGAGGCTCAGAGAGATATAGTGACTTGCCCAAGGCCACACAGCTCAAGAAAGGCAGTGCTGATTTTCTTGCCTGGCGCCTCTGACTCCAGGGCCAGAGTCTGAGTGGAAGCATCAGGGGCTCCACTCACTTGGACAGGGAGACACCACCGGGCTTGCCAATGAGGTCTTCATGGTGGAGGACAGCGTCGCTCCAGGCGATGCCGAGGAAGTCGAGGATGAGCTTGAGTGAGCGCCTGGGGTGCAGCACCAGCTGCTCGTAGTACACAGGCAGGCACTTCTCCTTGCCTACCTCCATGCACTGGGCGTACATCACCTCGATGGCCTTGTTCCACTTGGTGAGGCAGTCACGGTAGCTGCTGAGGTCAAAGCCCGCAATGGTGACTTTGCGCGTGATCATGGAGTGCACGGAGGCCCGGCCGTCCCGCACCATCAGCAGGAACTTGGAGTTGGGGAACAGGCGCGACAGGTAGACCGAGGACTTGAGCGTAAATGGGTCCTTGTTGCAGAGCACGCGGGCCGGCTCTCCGTGCTTGGCAATCACCTCCAGGATGAAGGCCTGCATGGCGGCGTCCAGCACCTCATCCGTCACCCCCGCCTCATCCAGCCGCAGCTTCTCACGGCCAGACTTGGACCAGGCCTGGCGCATGGCCAGCACGCGCGGGATGATGCGGGTCTCCTCGCCGCAGCGCACCTCGGGGTGCGCGTCCAGCATGGCGCGCATCAACGTGGTGCCACTGCGAGGCACGCCACCCACGAAGATGAGCGGCATGGCCTTGCCATAGCGGTATTCCACGTGGTTGGTGCCCACCATCACCAGCTCCTCCTGCTCAGGCCGCATGGCCCCCCGGGGGCTCCGCAGGCCCGCCAGCACCGCCCGGCACTCTAGCACCTGCTGTCCCAGCTGAACCGCCAGCACCAGGACCAGGGCGCAGCCGGCTGCCAGCAGCACCCTCCGCACCGACAGGCGCATGCTGGGCCGGAGGCAGGGTAGGCCTGGCCTGAGGGCCCGCTTCTGGGGCTTCAGCGACAGGTTAGCGGGCAGCCCGCCAGGCTCACATCTGGGGAGAGAGGGGGACATGCATAGTCAGGGAGGTCTGTGAGCTGTGAGCTCTCCAATAACTGCAAAGCCCTATAACTGCAAACAAGAGGCTGCTGACATGAATGCAGAGGGCACCTTTCATAAGCACTAGCTGTGTGCCTGGCACCCTGCTGGGCACTTTTTTCAATTTTTTTTGTTTTTTTAAAGAGATGGGGTCTCACCATGTTTCCCAGGCTGCTCTTGAACTCGTGGGCCTGGGTGATCCTCCTACCTGTCTCCCAAAGTGATGGGATTACAGGCATGAGCCACCCGGTCCAGCGGATCATGAGGTCAGGAGATCGAGACCATCCTGGCTAACACGGTGATATCCCATCTCTACTAAAATACAAAAAATTAGCTGGGCATGGTGGCGGGCGCCTGTAGTCCCAGCTACTCGGGAGGCTGCGGCAGGAGAATGGCGTGAACCTGGGAGGCAGAGCTTGCAGTGAGCCTAGACTGCGCCACTGCACTCCAGCGTGGGCGACAGAGCGAGACTCCGTCTAAAAAAAAAAAAAAAAAAGGCTGGAGTGCATTGAGTGGTGAGAGATCATAGCTCACTGCGGCCTCGGACTCCTGGGCTCAAGCAATCCTCTGCCTCAGCCTCCCAAGTACCTGGGACTACAGGCACACACCACCGCACCTGGCTAATTTTTAGAAACAGGGTCTCGCTTCAAGTGATCCTCCCGCCTCAGCCTCCCAAAATGATGGGATTACAGGCATGAGTTACCCCATCTGGCCCAAGAATATTAGTGATTTCTATCATAATCATTGGTTATTTACTTATTCCAACATTTAATGAGCACCTGCTATGTGCTGGGAGCCTCAGCCTCCAAAGTCTACTCTTACCATGGACCTGTGCCTGAGAGAGATTGATGGGTTCTACCTGCGTAGGTGAGGGAAGGCCTCCTGCAGGAGGTAGCCTTCATGCAGAATTTTCAGTGGTGGGTAGGAAACAGGCAGGTGGAGAAGGGAAACAAGGATGTTACCAGCAAAGGGAATAGCCAGCGCAGAGCCACAGGCAGGAAAGGATGCAGCACGACTGGGGAACTGCAAGTGACTTAGTGAACGGAGGGTTTGGTGGAAGCCAGTGGGAAGACAGCATGCCTCTTTGGATGTGAGGTTCCACCCAAAACCACCCAAGGGCCCAGTCTGCAGCTGGGCCTATCCACCTGCAAGGGCTTGGGCTGCCTGGGCCTTCTTAGGCTATAGCAAGTGGAAAATAAACATCAAAGCGGAGGGAACACAGTCTCAGGCCTGGGGTGGAAACTGCTAAGAGGCTAGGACTTCCTGGCCATGTGGCTTGGGAGAGTCACTTCCCTCATCTTAGCCACAGTCTCTTCAGCTGCAAAATCAGGGTGGATCCACTGACCTCAGAGGCTGCTGTGAAAATATGAGAAGCAGCTGACAAACCAGAGATGGATCTCAGGCTGGGGTCACCGGCCTCTCTGTGCATTGGATAATTTCCCTCTCTTCAGAAAAACGTGCTGATGAAGTTCTGCTGAAGAGGTTGGGGCTTCATTTGTACCCTCGATTCAGGGTCTGTGATGGAGAAAGCTAATTCAGAGCTACTTCCTGCGGGGAGGCAGGCTGAACAGGACATGAAGCCATTCCGAAATCCCTGCAACGACCCTTTGTCTTCATCAGGTGCTCAGTGAAATTCTCCCCTGAGACCTGTGACCAGAATCCTGTCAGTTATTAGGATTTCAGTGACAGCATCCCCACCTTGGCTGATTTTTTTGTGTGTTTTTAGTAGAGATGGGGTTTCACCATGTTAGCCAGGCTGGTCTCGAACTCCTGACCTAAGGTGATCTGCCCGCCTCAGCCTCCCAAAGTGCTGGGATTACAGGTGTGAGCCACCGCACCCGGCCAGCTTCAGCATTTTATGTTCAGCAAAGGTGTTCGAAATTATGGAGCATAAACTCTGCTAAAGCATTTTCCCTGCAGTATCTAAGCTCAAAGAGATGAAGCAGCTTGCCCAAGGTTGCATGGCCAGGGCAGGAATCCTGGATCAGACCAGGCCAAGGCTGAAGAAAACAGCTCAAAGCAGGCAAGTCAGAAGTGAGCAGAAGACAGCAATGACCTGCACGATGGCTTAAGAAGAAAAAGCAGGGTGACTTGGGACACAGAAAGCAGCCTGGAACCCACAAAGCAGAAAGTAGCTTCCTGGTTACCCAGAGCTAGGGACCCCACTGTGGAAGGAGCTAGAGGGCCCAGCCCAGGGAACTAGGCCTGCCCAACACCCTCATCACCCTGCTGGACCCTGGCAAGGGAGGTATCCTGGCATCCTCGCAGTGAGGATGATAGGTGAGGGCTTCTAACTTGGAGTACTACACTCCAAGGTTCAAATCTCACTTCTGCTGCCACTTGCCAGCTGGTGATCTGGACAAAAGGTATCACTTCTCTGAGCTTCTACTTTCTTCTCCAAAAAAGGAATAATAATACCCTTTTCTCAAGGAAGCTATTCAGAAGGCCAAGGAACTCCTGTGGGGTACTGAGAAAGCATACCTAAAACACTAACATTAGGAGAACGGGACACAACAGCGTTTGGGTTCTGGCTTGAATCTGCTCCGTGACACTGGGCAAGTCCCCCGCCCACTTTGGGACTCAGCCTTCTCTCTCCTATCACCTGGAGAATCGTCTTCCTAATAGACAAGGAAGATGCTCATCTCTCTATGATGCTTGCTGGGATGCAGCTTTTTCTAGTACCAGATTTCCAACCTGCTGGCTGAACAGAAAGGTGAAAACCAGCCAGGGGAGTTTGCCCAGGCACCCAATCATGGAGGCTGGGGGCATGGAGGGGACTTTTGGAGGGCGGTCTCAGGAGGGGCCAGGACTCCAGGGGAAGTTCCTTCTAGGTGCACTTACCTCCCTTGGGCACTCTCATCTCTGGGCTCCAGCCCTTGTGCCTGTGTGCCAAGGCTGTCTGCTGGCAGAGCCCTGGAGAGGCAAAGGAGATATTGCATCAGGGATGGGCACTGTGGAGAGGGGCCAAGCCTTCAAAGAGGCAGAGTGAGGGTTTAGGCTCCCAAGAGCACTGGACAGTGACATTTGGGAGAAGGACTCTGGAATGCAGGGGAGGCTGCTTCAGCTCAAGATACCACAGCTGGAGTCTCAACTTATCTACTCCTACAGGGAATGAACTGGCTCACTTCTTAGGCAGAGAGGTGTGAGCTGAAGTCTGAGCTAAGGCGCCGCTGCCTTAGGGAGCCCCTGGTTTATGCCAACCAGGCCTCTCCCCTCCTCTTGGCCTAGGGACCTTGGACTCCAGGAAAAGTAAATATAACAATAAGCAACAACAACCACCACTACACACCACTATTGCCACCTGAGATGGCTGGGTATGGTTGATCAGGTTGTGGACTGCACAATTCCAAATGGTACCACAGGCCCAGCCTACAAGGAATATGCTGCTTCCTGGAATTGAACACAACATCCTACTGTCACCACCTAACACTGACCAAATGCTGACCACGCAAATACCTGTGTCATTTAAACCCCAATAAAAGGAAAGTGTGATGATCCCAATTTTACAGATGAGAAAGCATGACACCAAGAGGAAGAGCAACTTACCCAAGGAATGGATGGAAAGAGTTTCACCATCCAGATCTGTAAGACCTTCCTAACACTTAATCTCCCATGGTTACAGGAACGAGGCTGTGTCCACGATGAGTCCTGGCATGTAGCCAGAACCAGGCCAAAGTGGAATCAAGGGGATCCTTATAGCTTTAGGGCAGGGAGTATATATCTCCCAGTGCTGTGTCCTTACCATTTAGGGTAGGGAAGATTTTTAGTCCAATTCAAACCTTCCCCCATTTTACAGATGGGACAACTGAGGCCCACAAGGAAAAATCATTTTACAGACTCACATACTGAGTCTGAAGCTAAACCTCCCACCTGTCAGTCCTGTTTCAGGAGGTGGGTAGTTTGGAATGCAGCTCTGGAGTTGGCCAACTCCTTGAGTATACATATCACTCCTCTCAGACTTTTCCTATTCTGTAAACAGGAGATTTTAACCAGGGTAACAACACTTTAAAATGTCAGCTTTTTAAATCTCAGCCAGGCCTGGGGTGGTGGCTCACGCCTGTGATCCCAGCACTTTGGGAGGCAGAGGCAGGAGGATCACTTGAGCCCAGGAGTTAGAGACCAGCCTGGGCAATATGGGGAGACCCAGTCTCTACAAAAAATAAAAAGTTATCCAGGTGATGGTACCTGCCTATAGTCCCGGCTACTTGGGAGGCTTAGATGGGAGGATTGCTGAAGCCCAGGAGGTCGAGGCTGCAGCGAGCTGTGATTGCATCACTGCACTACAGTCTGGGCAACAGAGCAAGACCACGTCTCAAAAAAAAAAAAAAAGAAAAAAAAAACTCAGCTTTTATTATTTGTGCCATGATGGCAATAAACCGGCTGCAGGGTGTTGACTGCATTTCTTGGTCCTCCATTCCTTCCTATTCACTCACTCCTTTTCTCCATACCATTTTCCTATTCCTGAAATATCAGGCCAATTAGGACATCTAAACCCAGATGGAAAAGGGAACCAAGGTGTAACCACAGCAACTAGACCCCCCCACAGCAGGCCACCCCCAAACTATAGATACTCAAGCCCCGGCACTCCTGGGACATGGGCGGTCAATGATGTGAGGCCTGCTCTCTTGGAATAAACAAAACCAATTAGGAACCAGGCACTTGAAGCTCTTCCAGAGGCAGGATGGCTCGCCCAGCTGCCCTCAGACAGCTCTTGAAATGCCAGCGAGCCCAAGAGGCCTGCCAGCCAGGCAGCTCCCATGGCCCACGAGCCCAGCCATCCCCCTCCAGGGAACACAGGCCCTTTCAGAGCAATGGAACAGGGCTGTCAGGGCTGTCAGTCATTTGGAGCTGTGCATCCAACATGCAGCTACCAGCCACATGTAACTATTTGAACTCACCTTATGCAACATTAAATACAATTAAGAATCCAGCTTCTCATTTGCACTAGCCACACTGCAAGTGCCCAGAAGCCACATGTGACCAGTGGCTACTGTACTGGACAGTGCACATTTAGGATGGGGTAGGCCAATGATGGCCCAATCCAACCCAGGGCCTGTTTTCAAATCACTCTTGAACTAAGAATGATTTGTAAATTTTATCAAGGGAAGAGGGTGAAGGGAAGAGGAAGAGGAGAGAGAGGAGGAGGAGCAATGGCAATAGAAACCACATGAACACCACAAAATTGGAAACATTTACTATCTGGACATTTATAGAAATTTGCTGACCTCTGCACTAGAACATTCCCATCACTGCAGAGTGTTCTGCTGGGCAGTGCTGATTAGAGGGCAAATGAGAGGGAGAGGTAGGAGTCAAAGAGCTCTCCTTTTTTTCTTTTTTTGTTGAGATGGGGTCTCACTCTGTCCAGCCCAGGCTGGAGTGCAGTGGCATGATCTTCGTTCACTGCAGCCTTGACTTCCTCGAGCTCAAGCGATCCTCCCAGATCCTCCCATCTCAGCCTCCCAGGTATCCAGGACTACAGGTGCATGCCACCATGCCTGGCTAATATTTGTATTTTTGTGTAGAGATGGAGTCCCGCTATGTTGCCCAGGCTGGTCTCAAACTCCTGGACTCAAGCAATACTCTTGCCTGTGCCTCCCAAAGTGCTGGGATTTCAGGTGTGGGCCACTTCACCCAGCCCCTCCTTTTCTTGTAGGAGGAATATATTAAATACACAGCACCCCTGTGTATTTAACACCAAAGCAAGGGCTTTCCATGCCCTACCTGGTTTCATACTCACATCAGCCCAGTCAGGCAGGTGGTGGCATGTTCTCCATTTTAAGCTAAGAAAGGCCCACGTGGGTGCAGGGTGAGCACGACTCTACCACACAGCAAAATCGCCAACAAATAGAAACCACACTTAAGAAAAAAGACAAGAAGGAAATATGACTCAACTGCTACCAGTTAACCAAGCAGGGGGTGGTGCACGCCTGTAGTCCCAGCTACTCGGGAGGCCGAGGTTGGGGGATTGCTTGAGCCCAGGAGATCAAGGCTGCAGTGAACTATGATCGAGCCACTGTACTCCAGCTTGGATGACAGAATGAGACTGCCTCAAAACAAAGAAACAAAAAACATTGCTACCAGGGGTGGTACTCGGGTGGTAGGTGATATTTTTCTCCTAAAAACATAACTTGATGGTGTCATCTTATTGTCTTTCCATATGATAAAATAATAAAGTGACTAGTAATTTTTGAATTGTATGCCATACATGTTATGGGCCCAGACTGCTTGGGTTCAACATTCTGCTGCACCAGCTACTGGCTGAAGGACCTTGGCAAGTCACTTAGCCTCTCTGAGACTTGGTTTTCTCGTCTGTAAAATGGGGATGATAATACAGGTCAAGTAGCCCTAATCCAAAATTTCAAAATCTGAAATGCTCCAAAATCCAAAACTTGTTGAGTGCCAACATGATGCTCACAGAAAACGCTCATCGGATGTGGGGCATGGTGGTTTACACCTGTAATCCCAGCACTTTGGGAAGCCGAGGTGGGAGAATCACTTAAGCTTGGGAGTTCAAGACCAGCCTGGGCTGTTAATACAGCGAGACCCCATCTTGAAAGGAAAGGGAAGGGGAGGGGAGAGGGAGGGGGAAAGGAGGCGGGGGAGGGGAAGGGGGAGGACATGGCACCACCCGCCTGATTGGGCTGATGTGAGTATGAAACCAGGTAGGGCATGGGAAAGGAAAGGGGAAAGGTAAGGAAAGGAGAAAGAAAAGGAAAAAGAAAGAAAGAAGAAAGGAAGGAAGGAAAAAAGGAAGAAAAAGAAGAAAAGCAAGGAAGGAGAAAGAAAAAAGAGAAAGAGAGAAGAAAGAGAAAGAAAAAGGAAGGAAGGAAGCAAGCAAGCAAGCTCATCAGACATTTTGGAGTATGGATGCTGAACTGATTAGTATGATGCAAATATTCCAAACTCGGAAAAAATTCAAGCTAGGTGTGGTAGCTCATGCCTGTAATCCCAGCACTTTGAGGGCTGAGGCAGGAGGCTCGCTTGAGCCCAGGAGTTTGAGACCAGCCTGGGCAACAAAGTGAGACCCCATCACTACAAAAAAAAATTTTTTTTTAATTAGCCAGGTGTGGTGGTGCTTGCCTGTAGTCCCAGCTAATTGGGATGCTGAGGCAGGAGGATCACTTGAACCCCAGAGGTCAAGGCTAAAGTGAGCCATGATCATGCCACTGCACTCCAGCCTCGGTGTCAGAGGGAGCCCCTGCCTCAAAAGAAAAAAAAATCTGAAATCCAAAACCTTTCTAGTCCCAAGAATTTCAGATAAAGGGATACGCAGCCTGTAACACCTCCTAGAAGGGCACTTTGAAATGTGCCTAGCGCAAATGAGAAACTAGTCTTGCAGGAGTGCTGGGAGGTATAAATAAATTAGGGCATGTCGGAACAGCACCTGGCCCAGAGCAAGTGCTACCTGCCTGCTGGCTCTTGTTTTCAGCAAATCCTTGTATGGTGGAGATTTTTATCCCCATCTGAGAAGTGAAGAAATTGAAGCTCCAAGAGATGGAGTGATTAGCAGAAGCCAAACAACAAGTAAGAGGAAAGGCCAGTTTCCAAATGCGGTTCTGCCTCCAAGGTGCCAACCCTAGCGTGGTGTCATGCGGCTCATAAAACAGGGGCAGCAGCCAGGCACAGGGGCTCACGCCTGTAATCCCGGCACTTTGTGAGGCCAAGGTGGACAGATCACGAGGTTAGGAGATCGAGACCATCCTGGCCAACACAGTGAAATCTCCTCCGTACTAAAATACAAAAAATTAGCCAGGCATGGTGGCGCGTGGCTGTAATCCCAGCTACTCAGGAGGCTGAGGCAGAGGAATCGCTTGAACCTGGGAGGCAGAGGTTGCAGTGAGCCGAGATCATGCCACTGCACTCCAGCCTGGGCGACAGAGCAAGACTCCGTCTCAAAAAAAAAAAAAAAAAAAGAAAAAGAAAAAAGAAAAAAAAAATAATCAGATTAAGCCAGAATCGGTTGTTGGAAACAGCGGGGTTTCATTTCAGCAGGTGTGGTGACTCACACCTATAATCCCAGCACTTTGGGAGGCCGAGGCAGGTGGATCACGAAGTCAGGAGATCGAGACCATCCTGGCTAACACGGTGAAACCCCCCTCTCTACTAAAAAAAAAAAAAAAAAAAAATTAGCCGGGTGTGGGGGATCGCGCTTGGGAGCTCCCAGCTACTCAGGAGGCTAAGGCAGGAGAATTGCTTGAACCTGAGAGGCAGAGGTTGCAGTGAGCCGAGATCATGCCACTGCACTTCAGCCTGGGTGATGGAGCAAGACTCCATCTCAAAAAAAAAAACAAAAAAAACAAATGGGCAGCAGGAGACCATGGGAGGAAACTTTGCTCCCTCTTTCCATTGACCCTGAAATGTCCCTGGAAGGGAGGGGCTAATCAATCTAAGAGATCCCCTTAGACTCAGATTCATTCATTCCACCAATGTTTACTGAGCAAGTACCATGTGCGGGGCCCTGCTCAAGATACTGGGATACATCAAGGGCAACAGACAAAGGTTCCTGCCTTCATAGAGCTGACATTCCAGTGGGGAGCCAAGAAACCAGTATGTGAGACAATGACACCAGTGATAAAGGCTCAGAAGCAAATGCCCATGATGAGAGGTGGAGGCATTCCCCAGGGGTTAAAGAAGGAAAGAAGGGAGTGACATTTGCATTGAGACCACACTGAATTTTGGCTCAAATCTATAGGAACTTTCTAAATCATCATTTCTCCAAGCTCAGCAGATCAGGAGGTTCCCAAGAGAAAAGCGGCAGGGGGGCAGGGAGGGGACAACAGCGGGGAGCTGGCAGTGCACAAAGCCAGCTCAGGAGGTCACTGCACTTACAGAGTGGCCCTGGAGCAGGGCCCAGTGCCCACGTGCTCAGGCTCAGCCATCAGCCCTGCAATTCCTCCCCATGGGAACCAGCTCCCAACATTCCATTGCCATGGCTATTCCCAACCCTACCAGACCACGCTGACCACACCAACTCCCACCCACCACGCCTCAACCTTCTGCAGAGCTGGGGAGACGCAGGTCTCTTGGGCAGGGTCCCTGGGAATCAGGGACCTCTGACCTATTGCGGGGGGAAGCCAGCCAAGAAAGCCCTCCAGATTCCAATGGGGTGTGAGTAAGGGAAAAATAATTCTGAAGCTCTGGACACTGCTTGAGCATAAAAAGCATGAAGAGTGGTTCAAGAGGGAAAAAGGGCAGGGAGGCTGGCATGCAGCCTTAAAAATATTAGCTCAGGCCAGGCACAGTGGCTCACGCCAGGCATGGTGGCTCATGCCTATAATCCCGGCACTTTGGGAGGCTGAGGGGGATGGATTGCTACAGCAAAGGAGTTTGCGACCAGCCTGGAAAATAAGACAAAACCCTCTCTTTACAAAAATTAGCTGGGCTTGATGATAATACACCCATAGTCCCAGCTACTTGGGAGGCTGAAGTGGGAGGATGGCTTGAGCCTGGGAGGCAGAGGTTGCAGTGAGCCAAGATCACACCACTGCACTCCAATCTGGGTGACAGGGAGAGATTCTGCCTAAAAAACAAACAAACAAACAAACAAAAAAACATTAGTTCAGACTTAGAGCCCTTATTATATACCAGGCACTGAACTAAGGGTTTTACATATATCATTGCATTTTGTCTTAACCATTGACCCTATTTGACCCTCCCTTATTAACCATCCATTTCCTGGGGCTCAGAGACGTAAAGGAACCTGCCGAAGGCCATGCAGCTGGGAGGCAGGGGAGCTAGAAGGAAAACTCAAGTCTCTCTCTTTCCAGAGCCTGTGTTCTCCTCCCTGTCTTGCTTTGCATTTTTTTTTACCTAAAACCATCAAAGCAGGGTCCCACACACTGTCCCAGTCTCCCGTTCAGAGGCCCAGTTCAGCACTCTGTTAGGGACTAGCCAGGGGTGGGGACTGATGAGGCTGGGGGTCACATCCTGGCTCCCCCACTCAAAGGCTGGGTGTCCTGGGTCAATCTTGGGCAGCTCTCTGAGCCTCAGTGTTCTCATCTGAGAAATGGGAATAACACCTGGAAGAGTGTCATGGGAACTATGTAACTTCCATCAAGCCAGGCAGAGCCAGCATAAGAAAACTATTACCATTTAATTCTTTTCCTTTTCTTTTCTTTTTCTTTTTTTTTTTTTTTTTTTTTTTGAGACAGTTTCTTGCTCTGTTGCTCAGGCTAGAATACAGCGGTGCAATCATGGCTCACTGCAGCCTCAAACACCTGGGCTCAAGCACATTCTCCCATCTCAGCCTCCCAAGTAGCTAGTGCACCACCATGCCCGGCTAATATTTTATTTTTTGTAGAAATGGGGTCTTAATACATTGTCCAGGCTGGTCTCAAACTCCTGGGCTCAAGTAATCCTCCTGCCTAGGCCTCTCAAAGTGCTGGGATTGCAGGCATGGGCCACTACGCCTGGCCGCCTTTTGATGTTAGGATCAGTCATTACAGCACATGGATAAAGACTGGCAGGGACATACACACAAACTAAGGAACGCGTGGTCCGGTCAGGTGGGATCAGGGGTGACTTCTTCTCCCTGTTCGTTGTCATTTAGAGTCAAAATGTACAGGGCCAACTGTGCATTTTTACTCTAATGACAACCCTGGAGGGTGGGCGCTATTATTAGCCACGTTTTACCGAAGGGGAAACTGAGGCTTAGAGCGGTGAAATGCTTTGTTGGAGGTCACACAGATGGTAATTGGTTGAGCCTGAACTGAAACTCAGGCTATCTGATGCCAGAACCCAAACTGTTTCCCCAACTTTCGACGACCCTGCTTTATCATCTCTCTTGGGGGTAGGCAAGCTTCTGTGAAGTCATAAAACCCATGTTTTTGGCTCTGTGGGCCACAAGAGCTCCACTGCGAGTTTGCAACTGTAATGCAAACAACCAAGATGACACATACATGAAGGCAAGTGGCTGCGTTTCCATAAGACTAGTTACGAAAACAGGCGGTCAGCTAGATTTGTCCCGTGGGCATAGTTTGCCAACCCCCTGGTCTATATCACGAAAAGACACTATCAGCCAGGAGCAGTGGTTCACGCCTATAATCCCAGCACTTTGGGAGGCCAAGGCAGGAGGATCACCTGAGGTCAGGAGTTCGAGACCAGCCTGGCCAACATGGTGATACCCCATCTCTACTAAAAATACAAAAATTAGCCGCGCATGGTGGCGGGCGCCTGTAGTCCCAGCTACTCGAGAGCCTGAGGCAGGAGAACTGCTTGAACCCGGGAGGCGGAGGTTGCAGTGAGCTGAGATTGTGCCATTGTACTCCAGCCTGGGTGACAACAGCGAAACTCCATCTCAAAAAAAAAAAAAAAAAAAAAAAAAAGACACTATCAGCAGCACCTGCCCTCAGTGCAACCTGGGCAAACTCACAAAGCACAAATACAGTGAGCCGAGGTGGAAGCCAGTTTTGGTTCTGGGACTTTTCTCAGTAGGGACTGTGGGAGGACCCAGGTGGCCAGCCTTTGGTAAGAGAAAAATGTACAATTCGGGAAAACAAATAGTTGATTGAAAAGAAAAAGAAGTGCACACTCATGCATAGGGAATCATCCAGCATCCTGTCTGTTGCCACGTAAGGACTAGCAGAGAGGCTTGTGCATGCCTGGCAGTTTTTTTTTTTTTTTTTAAAGAGACAGGGTCTCCTTCTGTCTCAAAGGCTGGAGTGCAGTGGAGTGATCACTGTTCACTGCAGCCTTGAAACTCCTGGTCTCAAATGATCTGTCTGCCCCAGCCTGCCAAGTAGCTGGGACTACAGGCAAGTGCCACCATGCCCAGTTAATTTTTTATTTTTGTGGAGACGGGGTCTCACTATGTTGCCCAGGCCAGTCTGAGTTTAATCCTCCCACCTCAGCCTCCCAAAGTGCTAGGATTATAGGCATGAGCTACTGCACCTGGCTGGCAGTTTTATATACAGTCGCCCCTCGGTATCATAAGGGACTGATTACAGAATATCCCTCGAATACCAGTATACATCAAGTCCCTTATATAAAATGATGTAATATTTGCATAAAACCTACACGTATCCTCCCATATACTTTAAATCAGTGCTAGATCAATTATACTACCTAATACAATCTAAATGCTATGTAGGTAGTTGTTACACTGTATTGTTTAGAGAACAATCACAGGACAAAAAAGCTCTGTTCATGTTCAGTACAGATGCAACCACCCATTTTTTCCCGAATATTTTTGATCCACTGTCGGCTGAATCCCCGCATGCAGAACCCAAGAAGACGGACAGCCAACAATATATTTTGACCCTCATGACAGGCTTGGAGGGTAGGCACTATTATTATTAGCCACGTTTTACAGAAGGGGAAACTGAGGCTTAGAGAGGTGAAGTGCTTTGTTGGAGATCACACAGATGATAAGTGGCTGAGTTTGATCTGGAACTCAGGTCTATCTGATGCCGGAACCCAAGCTCTTAACTACCTCTTCCAAATCTCGACCCCACCCCATACACAGATGGGGAAGCTATGTGCCCCAGGTCAGACAGCTGCTCAGAGTAGTGCCCGGCTCAGACTCCTGGACCATCTCCCAGTCTTGCCCCTGACACCTGGCACAGCCCCTGCTCAGGACTTCCTGCCCAGAAACACAGAGGGCCCCTGCCTGGTAAACAAGGCAAACAGGAAAGGGCCAGCGTGATCTTGTAGGGACCAGTGCTTCCTGAGCCCTCACCCCCACCCACCATGGGATCCCGTCTCTACTCCTCTGTCCAGAAGCTGTCAGAGGTAGGGGACTGAGCATAGGGGCAGGAATCCTCCACACCTGGCTGATTCCTAGCAATGCAGCCCTGGGTTGGGGGTCAGTGGGGAGGTGTTATCTAACTACTTTGTGCCTCACTTTCCTCATCTGTGAAATGGGGAGGCCATTAACACTTGTGAAGACTAAATAAATAAACTTGCAGTGGCTCATGCCTGTAATCCCAGCACTTTGGGAGGCCAAGGTGGGCGGATCACCTGGGGTCAGGAGTTCAAGACCAGCATGGCCAACATGGTGAAACCCCGTCTCTGCCAAAAATACAGAAATTAGCCAGGCGTGGTGGTGAATGCCTGTAATCCCAGCTACTTGGGAGGCTGAAGCACAAGAATTGCTTGAACCCAGGAGGAGGAGGTTGCAGTGAGCCAAGATGGCGCCACTGCACTCCAGCCTGGGTGACACAGCAAGACTCTGTCTCACAATAAATAAACTCACATAAAGCACTCAGAACAGAGCTTTGTTACTACCTGACTGTTATTCCTTCCCTTTAGGGTAGTGGTTAAACTTTGGTGTGCTTCTGAATAGCCCAAAACTTTAAAAGGCAGATTTCCTGGGGCCTGCCCTCAAATATTCTGATTTGGAAGAGGCAAGGTGGAGCTGAGGGAATTTGCATTTTAACGTGGAGCTGAGGGAATTTGCATTTTAACAAGCGCTGCCCCTTGCTCCCTCTCTGTGAAACACCGCTTAAGGCACTGAACTCAGCGTTCTAGTAGGCTGGTGCAAAAGTAATGCAGTTTTTGCCACTGAAAGTAATACCAAAGACCGCAATTACTTTTGCACCAGCTAACTATTCACTGGCTGCCCACCTGGGCCAGGCTCAGGAATGCAATCATCGTGGAGTGCAGGGGTCAGGAGTGTAGACCTAAAGTTGGACAGACCCAGGCGATCTTGGTGTGGCCACTCACCAGTGGCCTTGAGCCAGTGACTTCTTGTCTCTGAGCCTCACTCACCTGTTATAACGTTTAACATTTCCAAAATAAGTCTGAAAACGGCACCTACCTTGTGGAGCTGTTGTGAAGCTGGCAAAGAGTGTGAGCTCAGAGGCATCAGCTACAATTCTGTACCATTATTTATTAGGACGGACACAGTCCTGCCCATAATGAGTGTCACGGCCATTGAGCCGGCAGACAATCAACCCAGTGGGATGGATGCCCAGACAGACTGGGGTGTGCAGGAGGCGGTGGGAACACGTTCAGGGCACGCTGGAGCACCCAGTGTCACGTCCTGCCCAGAAGACCTAATAACACCCAACAGACAGGCACCACAACAAAGTGGCATCGACTCCCACTGCAGGCCTCCCACGGCAACCCTGTGGGGGAGACAGCCCCTCTCTGGCTGGATCATGAATAAGAAATCCAGAGGCGGAATGGGCTGCTCACACTCTGCTCACACTCACACAGCAGGTGCAGGGCAGCATGAGGACTCAAACCCAGGTCTAATGGGTTCTTCCACCATTTTGTGCCATGGATCTCTTCAACCATCTGGTGAAATCTATGGGCCCCTTCCCAGAATAATGCTTTTAAATGGAATACAATAAAATATACAGGATGAAAAGGAAACCAACATAGTAAACTTTGGCTAAGAATGTGATTACAAAAATTGCTGTGAAATATTATCTGTAACCTATCTGCTCCTTTATTAAAGCAATCAATAACAAGATCTAGTAGCAGACAGAATAATCACTGTCATCTGCAAGCAGACACATCTGTGGCACCTAAAATGTGATATAAAAATATGGGCCAGGAGCAGTGGCTCATGTCTATAATCCCAGCACCTTGGGAGGCCGAGGTGGGCGGATCACCTGAGGTCAGGAGTTCAAGACCAGCCTGGCCAACATGGTGAAACCCCGTCTCTACTAAAATACAAAAAAATTAGCCAGGCGTGGTGGCAGCCACCTGTAATCCCAGCTACTTGGGAGGCTGAAGCAGGTGAATCACTTGAATCTGGGAGGCAGAGGTTGCAGTGAGCCGAGATCGCGTCATTGCACCCTAGCCTGGGCGACAAGAGCGAAACTCCATCTCAAAAAAAAAGTGTGGTTTCTACTGGTGATGCGAGTGCTGCCACTACTACTGTGATTTATCACCTATGTTGTCACCTGGAGGAAATGTTAAACTAGGGTCAATAAAGATGTAATTTTCCCCTCATCCAAATTCCTAGGCCCCCGAATGCAGCCTGGAACCCCAATTAAGAATCGCTGCCAGCATCTGGCTCCGTTATGGACACAAAATCTATGGCTGTTAGGGCCAGGGAGCCATGGTCCTGCCTCAGGAGTCTAGATTCACCTTCCTTCCCATTCCTGCCCGTTTCCTCGCCCCACCATCAAACACAAGAGCAGTAGGGATTTGCACCAGAAACACTTGATGGCATATTGTGGAGCATGGTTTGCATGTTCTGATTTTATTTTAAGAAGTAAAAGTGGCCAGGAGCAGCGGCTCATGCCTGTGATCCCAGCTGCTCACAAAGCTGAGGCAGGAAGACAGCTTGAGCCCAGGAATTTGAGACCCAGCCTGCGGCTATCAACATAGCAAGCCCCAAATATAAGTAGGTAGGAGATGGCAACTGTTATAAAAGAACCATGGCTCCTCTCCACGCTGGCATCACACACTGGCATGTGACCTTGGCTACTAAGTTAGCAGTGTGAAGGCCAACAGGGACCAAAGTGGGGGTGACCCTGGCAGAGGCACTGTACACATGGCCCTGAGGGAAAGCAAACATCCGCAGTGGATGAGGGGAGGCACAGGCAGGTGGTCAGAGTCCCATGCTGCCAGCCAGACTGGGCGTGCACCTGCATCTACCCCAGACCCTTGGCAGCATCACCTCCACTCTCTGGGCCTGAGTTTCCTCATCTGTAAAATGGGCCCAATAATTCTTACTAGCGATGCTGCTGTGAGGATTAAGTGAGATAGGGGCTTAATAAGGGAAAGACCAGAGGGGTGTGGCTAATGCCTTGCAGCTCTTCAATAACTGTGAGTCCCATCTGAATCTACCGATGAGAAATCAGCAGTGGTGAGCAGGAAAAGTGGGGAAAGGAGATTGGCAAGCTCTAGACTGTGCCAGGCTTTGAATGCCAGGTAAGGAGCTTGGAGTTATCCTGGGGACGGTGGGAAATTGTGAGCATTGGTCTGGTTGTGACCTGGGAGGGGACACAGGCTCTCTCTGGTGTAGGATGCCTGAAAAGACAAGGGCTGGAGGCCAAGTGATAGCTGCTGGGGGACCCAGGGAGCCATCTCAAAGAAGAGAGATGGGGTCAGACGTGGTGGCCCATGTCTGTAATCTCAGCACTTCAGGAGGCCGAGGAGGGAGGATTGCTTGAGCTCTGGAGTTCAAGACCAGCCTGGGCAATGTAGTAAAGCTCCATCTCTACAAAAAAATTAAAAATTAGCCGGGTGTGGTGGCATGCTCCTGTAGTCCCAACTACTTGGGAGGCTGAGGCCAGAGGATCACTTGAGCCCAGGAGGTCAAGACTGCAGTGAGCTGTGATCACACCACTGTACTCTGGCCTGGTTGACAGAGGGAGACTCCGTCTCAAAAAAATATATATTTTATATAAAATTTATATATATATATTGTATAAAAATTATTATATAAAAATATATATAATACACACACACACACACACACACACACACACACACACACACACACACATATATATGTCGCCCAGGCTGGAGTGCAATGGAGCAATCACAGCTCACTGCAACCACCATCTCCCAGGTTCAAGTGATTCTCCTGCCTCAGCCTCCTGAGTAGCTGGGATTACAGGCACTGGGCCACAACACTGGCTAATTTTTTTGTATTTTTAGTAAAGACAGGGTTTCATCATGCTGACCAGGCTGGTCTCCAACTCCTGACCTTAAGTGATCTGCCTGCCTCGGCCTCCCAAAGTGCTGCGACTACAGGCATGAGCCACTGTGCTTGGCCTTAAACAAAACAAAACAAAAAAATTAAAAAGGAGGGAGATGGGAGAGAAGGGAGAAAGCAGCAAAGGAGACACTGTGGGCAGGAGGAGGATGTGATGTGGAGAGAGCCCCCTACTGTGGTCCTCACACATGACTCACTGGCTGGACAGACAAATCATAGCTTCTCTTGGGGTGGGCTTGCTGGTCTCAGCCGTCAGATGGGGAGACAGAGAGAAGGAAGGGACAGAGTGGTGGGGGAGACCCTGGCCACCCTAGGGAGAGCAAAAGGCTTGCCTGGCAGGGCAGGAACAGGGTGAGGCAAGCAGGGCATTGTCCTTGAGCACAAAAACTCAAGGGGGTGCCAAAAAACTCAGTAACCAAGATCAATAATGTTTCAATGCAATCTTTTTTAGATCAGTGGAAAAAAATCCATGACAAACAAAAAATATAAAGTGTTTAAATAGGACAAGTGATGTTGCGCTGTGCTAAGCCACACTGGAGCCAAGGCAGAAAGAAAAAAATCAGTAATACTGATCCTGACATTATTTACAATTTTTATATGTTGTTTTTCATGGATATTTTTGCATTTAGATTGTTTCATAACAGCTTTACTGAGGGACAATGCACATATCATATAACTCACCTATTTAAAGTGTACAGTTCATGGGCCCGGCGCGGTGGCCCACGCCTGTAATCCCAACACTACGGGAGGCCGAGGCAGGCGATCACCTGAGGTCAGGAGTTCGTGACCAGCCTGGCCAACATGGTGAAACCCTGTCTCTACTAAAAATACACAAATTAGCAGGGTGCAGTGGCAGATGCCTGTAATCCCAGCTGCTCAAGAGGCTGAGGCAGGAGAATCGCTTGAACTTGGGAGGCAGAGGCTGCAGTGAGCCAAAATTGCGCCACTGCGCTCCAGCCTGGACAACAGAGCGAAACTCCATCTCAAAAAAAATAAAAAAATAAAGTGTACAGTTCAATGGTCTTTAGTATAATCACAGGGTTTAATATATTCACAGGTTTCTAGTATGTGCAGAGTAGTACACTCACAGAGTTTTCGTATAGTCATAGTCAATTTTGCTACATTTTCATCACCCAAAGAGAAACCTCGTACCCTTACGTATCAAACTGTAACCCCCTTCTCCTCCCAGCCCCAGGAGACCACTACTCTACTTTCCGTCTCTATGAGTTCGCCTATTCTGAACATTTCATAAAAATGGAATCACACAAAGCATGTTCTTTAATGACCAGCTTTTTCCACTTAGCACACTCTGTTCAAGGTTCATCCGTTAGTTTTGATTTTTCAAATTTTGCATTAAAATATTATCTTGATCACTTGATCATCCCCTGCTGCCTAGGGCTCTCCCAGGTCAAACCCTGGTTTCTGCAAACCCCCACTTAACAGCATGGTTCTATTCACACCTTCACGCAGAAGCCAGGGAGCTTGGGGCTGCCAGAAACCTCCTAGCCTGGACAGCAGGGCCTTCTAGGAGCCTCTGAGGAAATCCACACGGTGTGACAGACCGGGTATAGAAGCATATCATATCAATGTATATGTATCATATACATATCAATGCTGTAATACGATATAAAATAAGAGAAGATGATTTCTAGATTTGATGCATAACTTTGGGTCCTTGAGCTCGGGAATGCAGAGCCAGCAGTGGCCTCGGAGAAAGCCTGGGCGAGCTCAGAAAGGAGAGTGTGGCCAAGGTCACACAGCAAGTTAATGGCACGGCCAGGCCTGAACACCTGGCTGGGTTCTTCCCATGTACCCAGAGGCCTTCTCTGCTGGCATCATGCTGGCTTGCTCTCCTAACAAGATACGGTAGGATGGTCTCCTGGTTAAAGTGTGGCTCCGGAGTCAGGCTACAGATGCTGGCTACAGAGCTACATGACTTTGGGCAAGACACTTAACCTCTGTGGTCATCAGGTTCCTCATTTGTAAAATGAGAATCATATTGCAGCAGTGCCATATGACTTTTGTAAGGATTAAATAAGATATTGTGCATTGCAGTACACTGAGCTCCACAGAGACAGCGCCGGGGCAAGTGAGAGCCGGACGGGCACTGGGCGACTGTGCCTCGCTGAGGAAAAATAACTAAACATGAGCAAAGGAGATCCTAAGAAGCTGAGAGGCAAAATGTCATCACATGCATTTTTTGGGCAAACTTGTCGGGAGGCGCATAAGAAGAAGCACCCAGATGCTTCAGTCAACCTCTCAGAGTTTTCTAAGAAGTGCTCAGAGAGGTGGAAGACCATGTCTGCTAAAGAGAAAGGAAAATTTGAAGATATGGCAAAGGCGGACAAGGCCCATTACGAAAGAGAAATGAAAACCTATATCCCTCCCAAAGGGGAGACAAAAAAGAAGTTCAAGGATCCGAATGCACCCAAGAGGACTCCTTCGGCCTTCTTCCTGTTCTGCTCTGCGTATCGCCCAAAAATCAAAGGAGAACATCCTGGCCTGTCCATTGGTGATGTTGCGAAGAAACTGGGAGAGATGTGGAATAACACTGCCGCAGATGACAAGCAGCCTTATGAAAAGAAGGCTGCGAAGCTGAAGGAAAAATACGAAAAGGATATTGCTGCATATCGAGCTAAAGGAAAGCCTGATGCAGCAAAAAAGGGAGTTGTCAAGGCTGAAAAAAGCAAGAAAAAGAAGGAAGAGGAGGAAGATGAGGAAGATGAAGAGGATGAGGAGGAGGAAGATGAAGAAGATGAAGATGAAGAAGATGATGAATAAGTTGGTTCTAGCGCAGTTTTTTTTTTCTTGTCTATAAAGCATTTAACCCCCCTGTACACAACTCACTCCTTTTAAAGAAAAAAATTGAAATGTAAGGCTGTGTAAGATTTGTTTTTAAACTGTACAGTGTCTTTTTTTGTATAGTTAACACACTACCGAATGTGTCTTTAGATAGCCCTGTCCTGATGGTATTTTCAATAGCCGCTAACCTTGCCTGGTACAGTATGGGGGCTGTAAATTGGCATGGAAATTTAAAGCGGGTTCTTGTTGGTGCACAGCACAAATTAGTTATATATGGGGATGATAGTTTTTTCATCTTCAGTTGTCTCTGATGCAGCTTATACGAAATAATTATTCTGTTAACTGAATACCACTCTGTAATTGCAAAAAGAAAAAGTTGCAGCTGTTTTGTTGACATTCTGAATGCTTCTAAGTAAATACAATTTTTTTATTAGAAAAAAAAGATATTGCATGTGAAGCACTTAGTTCCACACCTAGCAAACAGCAGGTGCTCTAGGTCTTATCATCATTATTACTATTATTAGTATCTGGAATCTAGCATCTCACGGAGAGTCCTTTGTAGGACATGGAATGCTATCCCAGCAGGCACAGGAAGGAAAATTTAGGCTTAGGTACTAGGGAGCCATGGCAGATGTTTGAGCAGTGGGTGAGCAGCATGACTTTGAAGCTGCATAGGGCTGGCCGCCAGTCCAGTACCCACCTACAGGGAACATCTTTGCCAAGGTCCTTCCTCGCAGGCTCCAAATCCCTGGCAGTCCTCCCAGTGCTGCTGGGCAAAGCCAGAGCACAACTCCCACAGGCTACACCCCGTGACATTTCCAGCCTTGTTTGCTTCCTGGGTGCCAGCCGGGCTGGTGAACACCAAGCAGTCAACAAGCTGGGGGACTTGAAGCAGCCCACACAGCCTCAATCCACAGATACAAAGACCAGGAGGCCCAGCGGCCCGGCGGGGGCCACAGGGTGGCAGAGGAGAAACTGTCCTTATTTTGGAGTCATGAAGGCAAGCCTAGCTCCTCCTTTGCTGTGTGACCTTGGGAGAGTCCCTTTCCCTCTCTGAGCTCCAGTCTGCCCATATGCGAGAAGGACTTATCTGCTTCTGTATGCTTAGGGGCTGCTGGAGAGATGCAACACAATAAAACAACAATGGTGTCCTTTGGCAGCACCCCCACCATGAGCCAGACACTGTGCTGAACGTTCCAGGTGTGTAACTTCACTAAACCCTCACAGCTCTACAAGCCAGTCCATGTGCCATTTCTACTTTTAAGATGCACCTAATTGCTCAACTCATTGGTACAACCTCTATATTACAAACTGGAGGGAGAAGGCATAAGTCTCTTTGGAGTAAAAGATCCAATCCTATGTTCTTCCCCCTTTTCTAAGATGTAACTGCTGTTGATTAGTTTGGAGGGGAGCCATCTACACTTGCTTTTTCTTTTCTTTTCTTTTCTTTTTTTTTTTTGAGACTGACTCTCACTATGTCACCCAGGCTGGAGTGCAATGGAGCGATCTCAGCTCACTGCAACCTCCGCCTCCCAGGTTCAAGCGATTCTCCTGCCTCAGTTTCCTAAGTAGCTGGGATTACAGACATGTGCCATCATGTCCAGCTAATTTTGTACTTTTAGTACAGACAAGGTTTCACCACGTTGGTCAGGCTGGTCTCAAACTCTCGACCTCAAGTGATCTGCCCGCCTCGGCCTCCCAAAGTGCTGGGACCAGGGGCGATTTTGCCATTCAGGGAACCATCGGTAATGTCCAGAGATAGTTTTGGTGTTACAATTAGGGATCATCTCATGGGTAGAGCCCACGGATGCTGCTAAACATCTTACAATGCCCAGGTAATCCCCAGCACAAAGAATCATCCAGTCCCAAATGTCACTAGTGCCAAGGTTAAGAAGTCCTGGATTCTACATAGCCTCCTGAAACTGACTGGGTTCACTGAACACGAGGTCTTTCCGTGTCAGCATGTTTGTTCTATCATCCAGTAAACATTGCTTGAGCACCTACTGGGTGCCAGGCCTTGTTCTAGCACCGGGGCCAAATCAGTAAACAAGACAAAGCCCCAGCCTCCAGAGGGCACTGATATCCTTCCAGAAGAAAAGACACATCAACATGCAACACCTTGATGGACCTCCTTCCCTCCCTCTTCTTCTTTTTTTTTTTTTTTTTAAGACAGAGTCTCACTCCAGCCCAGGCTGGAGTGCAGTGGCGTGATCTCAGCTCACTGCAAGCTCCGTCTCCCGGGTTCACACCATTCTCCTGCCTCAGCCTCCCAAGTAGCTGGGACTACAGGCACCCGCCTCCACGCCCGGCTAATTTTTTTGTATTTTTAGTAGAGATGGGGTTTCACCGTGTTAGCCAGGATGGTCTCAATCTCCTGACCTTGTGATCCACCCGCCTCGGCCTCCTAAAATGCTGGGATTACAGGCGTGAGCCACCACGCCCGGCCCTCCCTCCCTCTTCTTAATTGTTCCAGAGCATCCCAGCAGGAACAACACACCATTCAGTTAGCCAAGGCCTTCTGACAGACATGTAAGCTGCTTTCATCTTCTTGCAATGACATACCATCACAAAGGACCATGCCTCCTTGTGCCCATGCATGAAAGGTGCCCTAGGGCCTCACTAGGGTCTTGCAAGCAGTAAGGCCACCTGGGAGGCTGCTAGTCCCATGCCTTAGAAGGTACTTAACCGGCTTTTTAACCAGACCCCAGGCGTTTCCATGCACAATACGATTTGAGAAGCACAGCTCTAGGTAGCTACCTGTAGGGGGTCGGCGGGCTCAGGGGCCACTCTCCCTTTATATTTCAGCAGATACTGCAAGTGCCCTCCCAAAGACCCTCCTGCCAGCAGTCTGCATGTTCCCCTTCTGCACCAACTTTGTGTTGCCGGAGGTTGCCGTTTTTGCCAAGCTGACGATTCCTCCCATTTTCCAACTATGGAGACTGAGGCTGAACGAGGTGTCTAGACAACCAGCGCCAGGGGCCAATGACCTCTAAGGCCTCTCCCAGTTCTGACATTTAGGATCTGGCCACAGCCTAGGTGTCTTCGTACCAGCCTCCTGATCAACCACTCTCACTCTCAGTAGCTGCTTGGAGCAGGAAGGAGGAAAGGTTACAGCTCACCCAGCAAAGGAAGCAGAGTTCCTGAGGGAGGGAGCAGGCTTAGTGGGCTGGACATCTGTGAGCGCCACTGGCAAGGCTGCTGCTATGCCCCTTCATGTCCAGTCATGCAGGACGGAGGACCAGGCTGGGGACAGCGCAAGCCTTGCCCCGTCATGAATAACAGGTAACGCCGGAGGGCCGAGCAGAGGAGGGAAAGTGCTCCAGGGCCAAGAAGCCAGATGAGTCCCCAACTTTGCTCTCACCAGTTGCACATCTTAGCCTCAGTTTCCTCCCCTAAAAATGGGCTCCTACCACTCACTGCAGAAGGCTGCAGTGAACACTTATGCACAGATCAGTCAACAAACAGCAGCCACCACCTGAAGCCTTGCCTTGGGCCGGTGCTCTGTTACTTTTATTCAACTTACTATAGCCTCACAGCAGCTGACTGGCACTGTTATTCTCCCCATTTGACAAATGGGGAAATTGAGGCCCAGAGAGGTGCAGTGCTCTGCCCTTGATCGAACACTGAGTTATAGCCATGGAAGGGGTATCCTTGGACCTGCAAAGTCAGCATTACTCATCTGAATTCTGCCTCTGTGGAGCTGTGTGGCCCTGGGCAAACTGCTTCACCTCTCTGAGCCTCCACTTTCTCAGCAGTGAAATGAGGACGTAACACACAGAGTGGAGAGGGGAAGCCATCTGCAAACAGAGAATACTGTCTGCAGACCCCCCACTGAGACTTCATAATGCCACCTCCAAAACACCCAGCCCAGGAAGACCTGTCACCTGTGGGCATCTCTGATCTTTCCTGAGCTCTAGCTGCAACATGGGCCAGGCCATGCAAAGCTGGTAGCCCCCAGAGAGGGAAAGCCACTTGCTCTAGTTGACACAGCTGGTAAGTAGTAGAGAGCAGAGCCAAGCAGCAAGAGATGAGGTTTCAAACCTGAGAGCGGTACAGGCAGCAGCCAGGGTGGAGGCGAGGGTCAGGCTCGAGCTGGCAGGTGGCTGGAGTGGGGACCACCAGGAGCTGGCAGACCCTTGGTGGCCAAGGTCTCTCTCCTGCTGGCTTTTAGCTGGGAGGCTCCTTTGAAGGATCAGTCAGCCTTGCGATGGGCCTGCCTCTCCTAAAGGCTCCTCCCTCTTCTGGATCCAGTCTTGTTGCTCACCTGTGGACTGGCAGCGGGCACCTCCTCTCTGGGGAATCAGGGCTTCTCTTGGCGGCTGTGGCTCAGGTCTCCTAGGCCATGCAGTCTCCCTGTGGCCAGACTTGCCCTGGTCTCTGGAATTCCCTCTTGTCATTTTGGCCAGAGGATGTCAGCCCCTGCCTAAAACCTTCCACAGAATTCTAGCTCCTTCCTGTAGTTTGTAACAGCGCCACCCAATAGAAATGCAGTGTGAGACACACTTCAAATTCTCAGTTTTCCAGTAGCTATGTTACAGAAGTAAATTTAATAACATTTTATTTAACTCAATATATATAAAATATTATCATCAATCAATATAAACATTACTGAGATAGTTTATAGTCTTTTTTTTTTAATTACTTAGTCCTTGAAACCCAGGGTAAAACTACTTTCAGCACATCTCAATTTGGATGCTAAATTCTCAGTAGAAATGGCTAATCTGTACAGAGATTTCATAAAATTGATAGTTGAACAAAGTATATCCACACACCCAAACTGTTGTACACACACTTAAAAGTTTTCCAAGAATGGGAATGAGTATCTGTTCTGAAATTAAAATAGATAAAGACTTGAAATTCAGTTCCTCAGCCACAGCAGCCACATTTCGAGGGCTCTGCAGCCACACGTGGTTTGTGGTTGACGTGGTGGGCATGAAGGTTAATAAACTCCTGGCCAGGCACGGTGGCTCATGCCTGTAATCCCAGCACGTCGGGAGGCTGAGGCAGGCAGATTACCTGAGGTCAGGAGTTAGAGACCAGCCTGGACAACGTGGTGAAACCCTGTCTCTATTAAAAATACAAAAATTAGGCTGGGTGCGGTGGCTCACGCCTGTAATCCCAGCACTTTGGGGGGCCGAGGAAGGCGGATCACAAGGTCAAGAGATCGAGACCATCCTGGCCAACATAGTGAAACCCCGTCTCTATTAAAAATACAAAAATCAGCCAGGCGTAGTGACACGCACCTGTAGTCCCAGCTACTCCCGGGAGGCTGAGGCAGGAGAATCACTTGAACCTGGGAGGCAGAGGTTGCAGTAAGCTGAGATCGCGCCACTGAACTCCAACTTGGTGACAGAGCAAGACTCTGTCTCAAAAAAAAAGAAAAAGACAAAGAAAAAGAAAAAGAAAAAAAAATACAAAAATCAGCTGGGCATGGTAGCAGGCGCCTGTAATCCCAGCTGCTCAGGAGGCTGAGGCAGAAGAATCACTTGAACCCAGGAGGCGGAGTTTGCAGTGAGCCGAGATTGAGCCACTGCACTCCGGCCTAGATGACAGAGTAAGACTCTGTCTCAAAGTCAGTAAATAAACAAACAAACAAACAAACAAACTCCTTAAGGCCAGGACAACACTCCCAATCCCTCTGCTCTCCTCTCTTCCCCCGCTCATATCGTATTGTAATTGTCCATCTTGGAGTTTCTCAGTCTCTGCACTATAGACATTTGGACCAGATCATTCTTTGTGGTAGTATGGGGTGGGGCTGTCCCATGCATTGTAGGATGTTTAGCCGCATCCCCGGCCTCTACCAAGGAGATGCCAGTAGCATCCCCTCCCTGAGTCCTGACAACCAAAAATGTCCCCAGGCATTGCTGACTGCCCCCTGGGGGTGCAGTCATCCCCATCAAGAACACTGGTCTATTGCGGGGTAAGAGGGGGTGAGACTAAGCCGATTCTTTCCATCTCCCAGGTACCTGTCCAGTGCCTGATGCACAAAGGTGCCCAAGCCTGTACCTGAACAGAAGAGGCTTACTCCACCCTGAGACTCACCTCTTCCAGGAAGCTTTCCACAATGCCTTAGCCCAGTTAGTGTTTCTGCTGGGATCCCACAGCCCCCTGCGCTCACCACTGGTGCAGTCCCCTCCAAGGGTAGGAAATGGGCCTTGCTCACTGTTTATTTTCAAGGCCTAGCCTGGAAGTTGGTATACAGACCTGAGAAACAGGGATGACTTAGGTTGAAAGCCATGCAAGGCCAGTTTTGCCCATTTTAATTCAGGGCTTCCTCATCCCAGCAAAAGATGCTAATATCAGTCACAGTTCCATCTATACACCAGTCAATGAGCTAATATCCACAGGATTTAGAGAGGGAAACTGAGGCTCACACATGTGAAGCTTGTCCTGGATTCCAATGACCTTGAGGCTTAAAATTCCCGGTTCCTCCTCTTATGGATCAAATGAAGTCATGCATGAAAAAAGATATTTATAATACATCTCAAACAAATATTTATACTGAGAACATATAAAGAGTTCTGTGAAATCAATTTAAAAAAGGACAGGCAACACAACAGAAAAATGGGAACGTCTGAAGACATACTTCATAAAAGAGGTTATCTAAGTGGTCAATAAGCATATGAAAGGTGCTCAAACTCATATCCATCGGGGAAACAAATGCAAATTTAAAGTACATTGTGGGATCATTACATAACTAAATAACTAAAAAAAGAAAAGGATACCAAGTGTTGGCAAGGATGTAATGCAACCAGAACTTTCATACTCTGCTGGCAGGAGGGAAACCTGGTTCAACCCCTTTGGAAAACTCTGGCTTAACTGAGACAAAGCCTGAATGTGCACCTTCTCTACAACCCAGCATTTCTACTGCTGATTATACATCCATGAGAAATGCATTCAACTGTTCACCGAAGGGCACATATCAAAATGTTCCCGGTGGCATGATCGTAATTGCCCCCAACTGGACACTATCCAAATGCCCATTGGCAATAGAATGGATAAACAAGTAAATACAAATAAACAGATATATACTAAACAGCCAGGAGAAAGAACAAGCCAGAACCTTACGCAATAACAACACCTGTGATGAGCGAAACAAGTCAGCACAAGAAAGACCATAACGCGTGGTTCTGTCAGAGGCACTGGAACCACAGCAACTCCATCTCTCCAGTACGGGCTGGGTAAATGAGGCTGAGACCTGCTGGGTTGCATTCCCAAGAGGTCAGGCATTCTTTGTCACAGAGACAGGAAGTCAGCAGGACTGCTTTCACAAGATACAGGTCGTAAAGACCCCATTAATAAAACATGATGCAATAAAGAAGCCGGACAAAACCGCCAAAACCAAGATGGCAACAAAAGTGACCTCTGGTCATCCTCACTGCTCATTATAGGCCAATTATAATGCATGAGCGTGCTAAAAGACACTCCCACCACCAGCGCCATGACGTTTACAAATGCCATAGCAATGCCAGAAGTTACCCTATATGGTCTAAAAAGGTGAGGAACCCTCAGTTCTGGGAACTGCCCACACCTTTCCCCTTATTTAGCATATGATCAAGAAATAACCATAAATATAGCCAACCAGCAGTCCTCTGGGAGGCTCTGTCTATGCAGTAGCCATTCTATTGTTTGTTTACTTCCTTAGTAAACTTGCTTTCACTTTATGAACTCACCCTGAATTCTTTTTTTTTTTTTTTTTTGAGACGGATCTCGCTCTGTCTCCCAGGCTGGAGTGCAGTGGCCCGATCTCGGCTCACTGCAAGCTCCGCCTCCTGGGTTCACGCCATTCTCCTGCCTCAGCCTCCCGAGTAGCTGGGACTACAGGCGCCCACCACCACGCTCAGCTAATTTTTCGTATTTTCAGTAGAGACGGGCTTTCACTGTGTTAGCCAGGATGGTCTCGATCTCCTGACTTCGTGATCCGCCCGCCTCAGCCTCCCAAAGCGCTGGGATTACAGGTGTGAGCCACCGCGCCCAGCCTCACCCTGAATTCTTTCTTGCACAACGTCTAAGAACCCTCTCTTGGGGTCTGGATCGGGACCCCGTTCCAGTAACAGTTCCATGGATACAAAGTACAAAAACAGGTGAAATTCTAGGGGGAGATGTCAGGATGGTGGTTACCCCGGTGGGGCAAGGGGTAACTGCAGGGGGAGCAAGGTGTCCTGGGGCAGGGAGGGGTGCTATGTACGTTCAGCTATTGATCCAGGTGCTGGTCACACAGACACATTCGTCTTTTGAAAATTCATTGAGCTGTATGCGTATGAAATATGCATTTTTCTGTATACACGTTAGACTTGAATAAAAATAGTCTTAACGAATCACACTTTCAGCAAGCTTGGTGGCTCACACCAACACTTTGGGAGGCTGAGGCAAGAGGATCACTTCAAGGCCAAGAGCTGGAGGCTGCAATGAGCCATGGTTACACCACTGCACTCCAGCCTGGGCAACAGAGAGACTTTGTCTCCTAAAAAAAAAGAAAATTAATGGCCTGGCACGGTGGCTCATGCCTGTAATCCCAGCACTTTGGGAGGCTGAGGCAGGAGGATCACCTGAGGTCAGGAGTTCAAGACCAGCCTGGCCAACATGGTAAAACCCTGTTTCTACTAAAAAATACAAAAATTAGCCGGGCGTGGTCGCAGGCACCTGTAATCCCAGCTACTCGGGAGACTGAAGCAGGGAGAACTGCTTGAACCTGGGAGGTGGAGGTTGCAGTGGGCCGAGATCATGCCACTGCACTCCAGCCTGGGTGTCAGAGCAAGACTCTGTCAAAAAAAAAAAAAAAAAAGGAAGAAAGAAAGAAAAGAAAGAAAAAGAAAGAAAGAAAGAAAGAAAGAAAGAAAGAAAGAAAGAAAGAAAGAAAGACAGAAAGAAAGAAAGAAAGAAGGAAAGAAAGAAAGAAAGAAAAGAAAGAGAGAAAAAAATTAATTAATCACACTTTGTCAAATGCTGAGGAATGGTGTTGCTGGCTGGGGTATGCTACCCGCCCCACTCCACCCCACACACTTTTTTTTCCCGGCTGCTGCAGAGGAACACACAAGACTCTTTGCATTCATTCAATCAACACTTGCAGGACGGCGCTCTCCCAGGGCTAGTCGGTCCTGGGCGCCAGGAACTTCAAGGACAATTGAGCTTCAGCCTCTGATCATGCCACCCACACCCCGGCTCCTGGCATGGACACCTCCCAGACCCACACTCAATAAATGAGCAGCCAGGCCACGGTGGCTTTTGATCAGATGCCAAGGAGGTTATGTCTGCTTGTCTTCCTCTTTCTCTACAGCCCCATGAAAACGTTTACAGGGTTTTTCCTTATGCGGGGCCAAACCCAGCCATTCTGGCACAGGTATCAGGAGGTCACACTTGGCTACTGTGGCCCTCTCTCCTCCCTCCAGTTCAGGAGATACTAGCGCCCCTGGATGCTCCCCACAGGCTGACATCTCCTGAATTGTCATCTTGAACCCAAATCTCTCTCCTCACTTGGACACAGTTGCCCACTCTCTTCCTCCCTGCACCTGGGTGTTGAGCCTGGTCCTTTCCCCAGCATACCCCACCTGCAGCTGGTAGCAGCAGCATACCCCACCTGCAGCTGGTAGCAGCTCCATCCTTTCATGCTGGTGCCAAAAACCTTGAAGGCAGCTTTGATTCTTCTTTCTCACCCTAATCCAATCCAGCAGCAACTCCTGTTAACTTCACCTTTAAAACAGAGCCAGAATCCGCCATTTCTCACCACCCGCACTGCCAGACGTTTGTTTCAGGCGTTCACTTCTTACCACTCTGGTCCAAGCCACCTCATCACTAGCTTCCCTGATTCTGCCCTTGTCTCATCAGTTGATTTTCAGCAAGCAGCCACAGTGACCTTAGGAAAACGGAAGTCAGGCTATGGCCCTCCTCTGCTCCGCATCCTCCCATGGCTCCCACTTTACTCAGGAAAAACCAGTCCTCATTTGCCTTACAGGTTTGACCCCACCCCTTACCTTTCTGCCCCCAACCCCACTGGCCCTTGCCTCTTCTCCAGCCACGCTGGCCCCCTTGCTGTCACTCAAACACACAAGCACCCTCCCTCCTCTGGGCCAGTGCCCTGGCTGTGCCCGCTGCCCGGATGCCCTTTCCCCAAACATCCACTTGGCTCACTCTCTCACCCTCCTGTCCTCTCTCACATCGCACTTCTTCAAGGCCTCTTCTGATCAACCAGTTAGTGCTGCAACCTGCCCCGCCAACACGGCACTCCAGAAGCCCTCACCCTGCGTGATTTTTTTTTTCCCCCAGCACTCACCACCTTCTAACACATCATATGATTGACTTACATATTCTGCATTCATTGTCTGGGAGCCTTGAATGCTCTGTTTCCGGAGCATTGCAGCTCAGTAGGTGGTCAATTAATATTTACTAGATAGAGTTGTCACTCTGCACCCCTTCTCCTAAGGCCACAGAATCCTGACCGGCCCCTCTCAGCATAGCAACCGTGAAATGGCCAATTCTCCACTAGTCTGTCACTTGGATGCTTGACAGCATTTCAAACTCAACACAATCAACCTAAACTCCTAATAGGATCTCCTGAGCTTGGTTTCTCTTCCAGGCTTGCCTGTTGGAACAAGCCAGAAACCCAAGATCATGAACCTCTTCCTCCCCATGAACCCCTGATCCAATCACCACTGAGTCCTGTGCATTACACTCAACACCCCCAGGATCCAACTGTTTCTCTCCATCACCAGCAGCCCAGTCCAAGTCCCCACTGTCCGCCACCTGATCATGCTTCCACCCCTGCCTGTCCCCATATGGTGGCATGTCACCCCCGCCTTCACTATACTTTCAAAGCTTCCCACTGTCTTCAGTATGCAATTTCTTCACGTGGCTTAGAGGGGTGTCATGATCAGACCCCTTCTCCAGCCCCATGGACCTTCTATCAGCCCCAAGGGTGCCATGCATCCCTGGCTTTCTTATTTTCATTCTCAGTCCACCTTCGACCCCTGGTGCAGACACATAACCTAGGCCTGGCCAATCACAGCATTTCATTCCCAGACTGCAGTGTTGGTTCAAAGATGGACGTTTGACCCAATCTAGGTCAATGAAACTCAACTGGAGACTTTTACAGAATTCTGCGGGGAGGCTAAGCAAGTAGGGTATAGGGCTGGAGGTGTGGGGCCATCTCTAGTCACCACCTGCAAAGCTGGCATGAGAGCAAAGCCAACCTAGGAAGGTGGAGCCGAGATGGAGACACAAATCCCTAAAATTACTTGAGTCCTTGGATCTAGCCATACCTGAGGCTCACCTCTTACATAATCCAATAAATTTACCTTTTTGCTCAATGCTATGGAAGCTGGGTTTCTGTCTCTGTTTATCAAGAGTCCTAGCTAATAGATGGGTCCATACCCTCTTCCCACCTTATCTTGGGCTGCTTATCTCCTCAGCTAAAGTATCTCCTTCTTCAGGAAGCCTTCCCTGAATACCCCGACTAGATTAAGCTCTACCCTCCTATGTCTCACAGTCCCCTCTGCCTACCACTCACCATTCTGTATGGTAAATGCTGTTTGCCCTTCTGTTTCCCATATTCCACTGTGAGTGCTCACGGGCTGGGAGGCATTGCAGTCTGGTGGGTTTTTTTTCTTCTTCTTCTTTTTCTTTTTTTCCTACACTTATCACAGAGCCTGACACTGAGAGGCATTCACATTTTATTTTTTTCAGGTCATTTTGCTCATCAATAAGTTTCCTCAGATATCAGGGAGTAGTGAAAAAAGAATGCGTTTTGCAGAAAGATGCGCCTGAGTTTGAATTCCCCACCTATTAGTTTTGTGACCTCAGGTAAATCACTTAACCTCTCTGGGCCTCATTTTTCTCATCTGTGAATCGGGAGAGCAGCTAAATACACATAAGGGCTTTACTACCATATTAGAGCTGGTTAAGTGTTTAATTAATGATAGTTCCTGGCTCTACCTTCTTCCTCCAGGGACTGCTCAAGCAATCTTCCCACCTCAGCCCCTCGAGTAGAGAGGACCACAGGTACACACCACCACACCTGGCTAATTTTATTTTTTGTCGAGATGAGGTCTCACTATGTTGTCCAGGCTGGTCTCAAACTCCTGGGCTAAAGTGATCCACCCTCCTTGGCCTCCCAAAGTGCTAAGATGACAGGCGTGAGCCACGGCGCCCTGCCTAGTTCCACCGTCTTATCTGAAGGCTCGGGGTGACAGCTGGGGCCAGTCACTGACTCCGACTTCCGCCCCAACAATGCGGATTTGAGTTTCCACACAAGATGTGACTCTAGAGTATCTTTATTAACATGTCAGAAGGTTTCCTGATGTTTCTGCTTACAAAGTCTTCAGCTAACTTCCCTCTTCCCCTGGCCCCAGCTGTAGTTTATGGCTTTTCTGATTGCATGACTTTCCACTTCTTTGTTGTGGAGGTTTTGCAATGGCTGATGGCCAAAAAGTGAAAAGGCTTGACCAAGAACAAAGCAAGCAATAAATAAATACTTGCTGGATGTAATGTTCCTCAACAAGATGGCCTCAACCTTTTTTTTTGTGGTTCATCCAGGAAGCATGAGGCCTTCGTCCTGGTAATATTTTGGGCATATTATTAGGGGCAGCAGTTGGCTCTAGGTGGGGGTTTTAAGAGCAGAATTTGCCAGCCCCAATTCTGGGGTAGTGCATACTACGAATCCGGTTTCCTGAGCATTCACCTGCTCCTCTGTTTCCTTCCTGGACAGACTGTGATATCTTCTTCGTTTTCACTCACTCCTAGAAGCAGGAAGAACCGGAAGAATTGCAAAGGCTTTAAGAGCTGCTCAGAGTATGAACACTTAAAACATCACAGGGAGAAACCCACGAGAGAGAAGGGGCATGATCTCATGGTTCACTGTTTTGGGGGACAGATTTACAATTGGGGAACAGCCTTTTCCTAATGGTGCAGGGCTTTGGGGGACCTGGGTTTTATGGAAAGTATTTCCATCTGCAAACTTGCCTGGCCATTACCAGGAAGCAAAATGCCATGGGGAGAGTCCCTTAACTTCTCTGAGCCTCAGTTTCCTTATCTGTAAAATGGGTGAAGAACAACAAAATTTTCGTTGCTATGAATTACTGAGCACTTCTATGCATTAGATGCCATATAACTATTATCTGTCACCCACAAAATAATCATTATTATGATCCCTGTTGCACAGATGAGGAAACTGAGGACCAGAGAAGTGTCTGGAGCAAGGTCTCAAAGCTCATGCATAAGCCAGCTGGAGTTCTAACTCAAGTGTGTCTGACTTGAGAGTTGCTATCATCCCACAACAACAGGCCTTCTCTTGATGCCTGCCTCACGGGTCACTGTGAGGTTCCAATGGCATCACACACACAAAAGATAAAGATACTGCCTGAGGCACCTGTTTGCCCAGGAACGAGCAAGCCATAGGTATTTGGGAGGCGACTGGCTGGAGACAAATACAAGTCCCTTGGATCCTCATTATCTGCTTTTCTCCTGGGCTCCCCTCATGCCCAGTCCTAAGTAGAGAGGGTCTCAGAGAGCAGAAACGAGGAAAAGGCGACAGTGAGCAACTGCATCCTTGCAATGAAGGAGCACTCACCAGCATCCTCACCACCCAGAATGTAGGCTCCCAACCATGGGCTGCACTGTGCCTATCACCTCCCACAACTCCAGCCCCGCCAGGGACTTGCCACCAACCAGGAGAACCCAACTAGAAGGGGTCCAGGAGGAGCCATCCTTTCCTACCCACTCTTGGAGGGGCTGCATGCCACTGGCTTTCTGGACCATAAAATGAGATGTGCCATGAACTTCCCCACCCTGTCCATCCCGGGACCATCTAAGGGACTCCAGCAGGAGGACAGTCAAGATTTGAGCCCTCCCTATGAGGACCTGTCCCCACTCAGTCTCATTTCCCATCACACACCCTAGATGCAGGGGTAAGAATCTAGGTTTGACTCCCGCCCCTCCACTTCCCCAGACAAGTGGTTCAGTTCCCCCGTGCCCTATGTCTTTCATCTGGAAAATGGGGATAACACAGCACTTCCCTGGAGGTTGAGATGAATTTGCACCTAGGAAGTCCTTAGCAGAGTACCTGACACACACTAGGGCATCCATAAACATTGGCTGTGAATATTACGACTTTGACACCGAATGCCTTCTTGACCCTGTACTGAAACTATTCCCTCTTCCCACAATGCCTCCCTTCCCCTTTTGCCTCCTCTCCCAAATAATTACGGCAATAACAGTAATCATCACACTTACCAATTGCTAAGGGCCTCCTACTTGCAAGACCACGCACAGAACACTTCTCAAAGACCATCTCCTTCCTGCTGCATCCTCCGGAGACAGCGACACTATCATTTCTATACCTCCCCTTGTGTCCATCTAAAATATCAGCTCTCCCAGGGCAGGAACAGGGTCTCTCCTGCTCACTGCTGGATTCCCGGCATCCGGCATAGAGCAGGCACACAGGAGGTGCTCATATTTGCTGCAGAAATGAGACCCCACTGAATCCTCACAAAAACCCGCTGCTGTAAATGATGATGGCATCCTTTTAAAATGAAGATGCAGGCCGGGCGCAGTGGCTCACGCCTGTCATCCCAGCACTTTGGGAGGCCAAGGTGGGCGGATCATGAGGTCAGGAGTTCCAGACCAGCCTGACCACCATGGTGAAACCCCGTATCTACTAAAAATACAAAAAAATTAGCCGGGCCTGGTGATGTGTGCTTGTAATCCCAGCTACTGAGGAGGCTGAGGCAGGAAAATTGCTTGAACCTGGGAGGCGGAGGTTGCAGTGAGCCGAGATCGTGCCACCGCACTCCAGCCTGGGTGACAGAGCGAGACTCCATCTCAAAATAAATAAATAAGTAAATAAATAAAAAATAAATAAATAAAATAAAATAAAATAAAATGAAGATGCAAAGGACACACAAAAAAATTTAAGGAAATTATCCGAGGCTGCATCACACTAAATGGCAAAACACAGACATGAACCTGGGACTGTGGAGTGCTAAGTTCACACTCTTACTAATTAAGGAAATCCCACGTCCCAATGGGGCTCCACCCCATATGCCTTGGAAGGCTTCTCTGACAGCTGCCACTGACAACGATGGAGCTGGTCTTCTTGAAACACCATCAAAGCTGGACTTTGAAAGTAACATTCCTGGGAGACTCTCTGTACCAGCAAAGCCCCAAGTCAGATCTACAGGAGCCTGAGGGTCAGCACAGGAGATTGACACCCAAGTAACAGGATAATTCACAGAATGAAATAAGAGCTTGGTTAGGGGAAGCAAGTCATGTCATCACAGACATCAGAGGAAGGAATCTGAGCTGAGTCGAAAAGAATGCCAGCATTTTAACACGTGCAGAAGTTAGAGGAAGCGTCCCAAGTAGAAGGAACAGCTCGAGCAGCGGGTAGAAGTGTGAAAGCACACTGGAAATTTGGAGAATGGCAAGGAATTCACTGTGAACAGAATTGTCTTTGTGGAGGAGGGGAAGGTAAATAATCATGGCAATAAGAATAACAACAATAATAGTAAGACAAAGCCGGGCACAGTAGCTCATGCCTATAATCCCAAGCATTTTGGGAGGCTGAGGTGGGAGAATCACTTGAGACAAGGAGTTCAAGACCAGCCTGGGCAACATAGCAAGACCCTGTCTCTAAAAAAAAAGGCCGGGCGCGGTGGCTCACACCTGTAATCCCAGTACTTTGGGAGGCCGAGGCGGGTGGATCACAAGGTCAGGAGATTGAGACCATCCTGGCTAACACAGTGAAACCCCGTCTCTACTAAAAATACAAAAAATTAGCCGGGCGTGGTGGCAGATGCCTGTAGTCCCAGCTACTCGGGAGGCTGAAGCAGGAGAATGGTGTGAACCCGGGAGGCGGAGCTTGCAGTGAGCTGAGATTGCGCCACTGCACTCCAGCCTGGGCGACAGAACGAGACTCTGTTGCAAAAAAAAAAAAAAAAAAGAAAATTAAATTAGCCAAGCGTGGTGGTGCATACTTGTAGTCCCTGCTACTTGGGAGGGTGAGATCACTTGAGCCCAGGAATTCAAGGCTGCAGCAAGCTATGATCATGCCACCGCAATCCAGCCTGGGTGACAGGGCAAAACCCTGTCTTTAAAAAAAAAAAAAAAAAAAGTGAACATGCATATAGTGCTTACTGTGTGCCTGGGGGGTTTTCTACACACTTTACAAATATTTGCTCTTTTTTTTTTTGAGACAAGGTCTCGCTCTGTCGCCCAGGCTGAAGTGTAGTGGCACTATCTTGGCTCACTGTAACTTCCACCTCCCAGGTTCAAGCGATTCTCCTGCCTCATCCTCCCGAGTAGTAGCTGGGACTACAAGTGTGTGCCACCATGCCCAGCTAATTTTTTGTATTTTTTTAGTAGAGATGGGGTTTCACCGTGTTAGCCAGGATGGTCTCGAACTCCTGACCTTGTAATCTGCCCGCCTTGGCCTCCCAAAGTGCTGGGATTACAGGTGTGAGCCACTGCACCCGGCCATTTTTTTTTTTTTTTTTTTTTTTGAGACAGAGTCTCACTCTGTCTGCCACCCAGGCTGGAATGCAGTGGCACAAGCTCGGCTCACTGCAACCTCCATCTCCCAGGTTCAAGTGATTCTCCTGCCTCAGCCTCCTGAGTAGCTGGGATTACAGGCTTGAGCCACCATGCCTGGCTAATTTTTGTATTTTTAGTAGAAATGGGGTTTCACCATGTTGGCCAGGCTGGTCTCAAACTCCTGACCTCAGGAGGAGGTCTAGACCTCCTAAAGTGCTAGGATTACAGGCATTAGCCACCATGCCTGGCCGAGTTTCATTTCTTAGATCTCACCCACAGGAGAGAAAACATTATCATGTAGCTGGAGGAAGGAATATCAGTAATGTTCATGAGTAAACATCAAAATGTATTATTATCTTTAAGAATTACCAAAAGGAATTTCAATTAAAATCAATTATATAGGCTGGTCTTGAACTCCTGACCTCAGGTGATCCGCGCATCTCCGCCTCCCAATCGCTCATTTAATCCTCACAACTAATCTATGAGGACAGTGCTCTGTCATTCCATTTTACAGCTGAGGAAGCCAAGGCACAGAAAGGTGAAGTCGTTGCCTGAGATCTCACAGCAGGTTTTAGCGCCCGTGTGCTTCGTCTGCTGCACCTCTACTACCCCAGCTCTCAACGTGGGTTCTCTGACCAGCAGGAACAGCGCTTAGGAACCTACACAAAATGCAGATTATCAGGGCTCAAGGAGACCACGCTGAATGGGAACTCTGGAAGTGGGGTACAGCAACCTGTGTTGAAGAAGCCCTCCATCCACGGTGAGGTCAGCAACCTCCGACCCTGCAAACCTGACCACGCTCTGCGATCCTCAGGACTGTGCCATGGGGACTATGCCTGGGGACCCCAAGGTCCTCAGAGAAGGAAGATTTTGCCCAGAGTCCCGCAGTAGGTAGAGGAGAGCAAACCAGGCCTCGAACCAGAATCTCCCATCTCTCAGAAGTCGGTGTCTACACAACAACCGCTGAGGGATGTCAAAGCAGCCACCAGCTCAACACAGGGGTGCACTGTTCCCAGTTTCTGAGGCATGGAAGACCCAGACCCCATTATTTCCAAGCTATTTGCATGATCCAGAACAAGTTACCTCAACTCTCTGGGCCTCAGTTTCCCCATCTGTGAAAAGAAAAAGCTGGACCCTATTTCTTTCTTTCTTTTTTTTTTTTTTTTGAGACGGGGTCTCACTCTGTCACCCAGGCTAGAGTGCAGTGGCGTGATCTTGGCTCACTGCAGCCTTGACCTCCCAGGCTCAAGCAATCCTCCCACCTCAGCCTCCAAAGTAGCTGGGAATAAAGCATGCACCACCATGCCCGGCTGATTTTTGTACTTTTTTGTAGAGACAGGGTTTCGCCATGTTGCTCAGGCTGGTCTTGAACCCCTGAGCTCACGCAAGTGATCCGCCCGCATTGGCCTCCCAGAGTGCTGGGATTATGGGTGTGAGCCACTGTGCCCAGCCTGGAGGCAAGACTCAGTTTCTAACCTTGTTTTTCTTCCCAAAACTCTTAGCCATCAAATATGCACTGCTGGTCTACTGTGCACTTGAGCAAGGAATGACCACGTAGCAGAATGAAGGGCAAAGGCACCTACTGCATGCAGCTTCCAGCAGTGCTCAGAGGAAGGGTAGCCGACACTCCCCCAGTACCCCAAACCAAATCAAACCAAAAACAGCATCTGCCGTCCTGCTGCTAGCCCAGGCTTCCTCTTCTTCCCCACAGCCCTGGGGCCCGGTGGGGAAGGGAGGGCCCTGGGGGCGTGGAAAGGGTGTGGGTTGAGAGGAAACCATGGCCTTGTAGGGCGGCCTTGCCAGGTGCCTGACTCCACAGGGCCTCTGTCTTCCACCTGGGAAGTAGCTACTACCACTTTCTCACACCTCCAAAGGTTTCTGGCTGAGCCCCCGGGCTCTGCAAGGGTCCGGATGGTTCTGTGGCAGGATGTCAGCCACCAGCCAAAGCAAGTGGGATGAAAAGTTTTTAATGAGAGAAAGGAAGGGCCGTGCTGGCACCTGTGTGGGCTTGGGGTCGGCAGCGGGAAGGAAGGGGGAAGTGGTGCAGATTGGGGCGGAAGAAGACAGAGAGAGAAAAAAACAGACAGAGGCAGAGACAGAGGGAGATAGAGACAGAGGATGTAGATGGGGAGAGAGAGTCAGAGGAGAGGCAAAGATGGGAGTAAGACAGAAAGAGTGACAGAGACAGGGAAAGACGTGAGTTGGGGGGATGGGTGGGAGGGAGAGAGAGGCAGGGAGACAAAAATAGAAACCAAGACAAGTTGGGTACAGAGGCTTACGTCTGTAATCCCAGTACTTTGGGAGGCTGAGGCAGGTGGATTGCTTGAGCCCAGGAGTTCAAGACCAGCCTGAACAACATAGTGAGACCCCATTTCTACAAAAAATAAAAAATGAACCAGGTGTGGTGGTCTGTACCTGTAGTCCCAGCTACTCGAGAGGCTGAGGCAGGAGAATTGCTTGAGCCCAGGAGTTCAAGGCTGCAATGCTGCCCCTGCACTCCAGCTTGGGCAACAGAGCAAGACCATCTCAAAAAAAGAAAGAAAGAAAAGAAGAATAAGAAAATCACCAGACAGAGAAGGAGAGAGATGAGCACTAGCAGCAGCCTGGAACAGGAACCTCAGCTCCTACACCATCAACGGGCACCTACATCCCTGCACCCACATCTTAGCTACACAGCCATCCCGCCCTTCAGTCAAGGCCCCTGGGTATCCAGGGAAGAAGGGGAATGTTGAGAGAGAGGTGACTACTGGCCCAGCCCCCTCCAGCCCTCTCACCTGTTGTGGGGCTCTCCAAATTCCAAGCTTCTGAACACTACCTTCCCAATGTTAATTACATCCAGAACCCCCTTTAATCGTATTCATTTTTGTTCAATGGATCCAATATTTTTAAAACATATTTTCAAGGGAAACTATAATCCACTGGATTAAATTTAAAACATGCCCTAATTAAAAAATTAATGCAAAAATAAAATCGAAGGAAGCAATGTTTTTTTATGCCTTCTGGCTAGAGACGGCCGCCAGCCTAAGGAAGGATCCCCAAAGGAGCCGGTTGTGTCCGATCTTTGTTAAACAAGAGGAGTCTGGGGAGAAGCACTAAAGACGCGTTAGCACCTAATGGAGGCTTTCTCCGGAAAGTCATCAGAGGGTGGGGAGGAAGACTTTCGCTCTGTGATTTAGCACTTCATACTAGGCAACAGCAGCCTCCAGGGCAAAATTCAAGTCCTTTGGCATCGCACTGAGGCTCTGTTGTGACTTAACTCCTGCTGACCTCCAATTTTATTATAACACCACCGATTCCCCCAACCCTCAACATACATACACACACACACACACACACACACACACACACACGCACACACACACACACTATAGTCTTTGTGCCCTGAACTCTACCAAACATACCAGGCCACAGAGTCTCACACCTCCAAACTTTTGCACTTGTGATTCTCTCTCCTTGGAAAACCTTTCCTGACCTCCTCTACAAAGCTAACTCCTACTGGCATCATTTGCACCCCTTCCTCCAGGAAGTCTTCCCTGACTGCCTCCTGTCCCTGTACCAGTATCCCCCAAGGTGCTTAGCATCCTGTGTGGCTTCTGGTGTTGCTTCCCTGCCAACCCCATGGAATGTGCAGGGCTGGGACCCCATCCTAGTCCCCACATCCTCTCAGAACCCAGCATGGTCCCCAAACTTCCAGCACAGGGTGCACAGGTATTTGTTGAGTAAACAGAAGGATGGATTGAGAAAGAAATGAAGGCACCAGAACACTCTGGGACAGAAGGAAATCTAAACTAAACCCTCTCTGTGCTCTGGGAAAAAGTTCTAGGCAGAAGCTCCTGTCCAATAAGAATCAGTCAACTTGACTCAAATTGGCCTCACCTACTCATTGGTCCACAAACTCTGGGCCAATGGCCCAGCCTCTATTCAGTTTTCTCGCCTGTAAAGTGGAGACAGTAGTATTGCCTATGATAGAATTGAGCTAAGAAAAATAAACGTAAAGAGCTAAGTACCCAGAAAGCACCCAAGTCTTAACTGCAATCATTACTATTTTTATCAGCATCTAACACTCACCAAATCAAAGTTTTATAACTTGTAGGGACTCAAAAGATGATTAGAAAAGCAACTGGCAGACTTTCTCTTCAAAGGCCAGCAATGTGGGCTCTCTGGTCTCTATCACAACTACTCCACTCTGCTTTTGTTACACAACAGCAGCCACAGACAAAATGTCAATAAATAAGCATAGCTGTGTTCCGATAAAACTTTATTTACAAATACAGGTAGCGGGCCGGATGTGGCCTATGAGTGGTAATCTGCCAATTTCTGATCCAGACCCTCACTATTCCAAATGTGGTCTTTAGACAAACACCATCAGAGGCCCCTGGAAACTGGTTAGAAACACAGTCTTAGTCTCTGCCCCAAACCTGCTAATCAGAATGTGCACTTTAGCCGGGCGCTGTGGCTCACGCCTGTAATCCCAGCATTTTGGGAGGTGGAGGCAGGCAGATCACTTGAGGTCAGGAGTTTGAGACCAGGCTGGCCAACACAGTGAAATCCCGTCTCCACTAAAAATACAAAAATTAGCCGGGCATGGTGGCAGGTGTCTGTAATCCCAGCTACTTGGGAGGCTGGGGCAGGAGAATCGCTTGAACCCGGGAGGCAGAGGTTGCAGTGAGCCGAGGTTGTACCATTGCACTCCAGCCTGGGCAACAAGATCGAAACTCCATCTAAACAGAAACAAAAACAAAAACAACCAAAAACACAGAATCTGCACTTTAACAAGTTCCCCAAGGGGATCATATGCATGTTAAGATCTGAGAGGCCTGGGTACTCAACTTCATAGGCTGACATCTCACGTCAGAGATGTGGGTTACTTTTTCTTGCCTGATGCCTCCACCAGAACGTAAACTCCAGGACAACTAGGACCTCGTTGCTTCTTAAATCTTGCACCCCAACATCCAGTTGAGGGTTCTCATGTGTCCTTATTCTAGTGGAAGACGTCACTCAGTGGCTATCCGTGCAGTGCTGGGATCAAGGCATGACTTCCACTGACAGCCTCTGAAGTTGGGCAGATGGGCTTTGAGTCCTGGTGCTGAATCTCAGGCCTGTGTGACCTCGGGAAAGTGACTATTTCCAAGCCTTGGCTTCTGGGAAATGGCGTGGTCAATAACAAATATCTCACTGTGGGGAACAACAGTTAGGTAGGGGCCTGTACCAGGTAAGGTGGCACGGCACCCTAGCGCCCAGAGACAGGAACTCCCCACACAGGGAGTATGCAATGGGGACAACCTCCAGTCCCAGCACTCTGGGAGGCTGAGGTGGGAGGATCGCTTGAGCCTGGGAGGCAGAGGTTGCAGTGAGCCGAGATCACACCACTGCACTCTAGCTTGGGCAACAGAGCGAGACTCCATCTCAAAAAGGAAAAAAAAAAAAAAAAAGAACAAAACAAATAAAAGGCCAGGCACAGTGGCTCACACCTGTAATCCCAGTACTTTGGGAGGCTGACACGGGCAGATCACTTGAGGTGAGGAGTTCAAGACCAGCCTGGCCAACAGGGTGAAACCCCGTCTCTACCAAAAAAATACAAAAATTAGCTGGGCATGGTAGTAGGCACCTGTAATCCCAGCTACTCAGGAGGCTGAGGCAGGAGAATCACTTGAACCGAGGAGGCAGGGGTTGCAGTGAGCCAAGATCATACCACTGCACTCCAGCCTGGGCGACAGAAGGAAACTCCATCTCAAAAAAAAAAAAAAAAAAAATGCCTTGAGGGCTTAAAATGGCAGACAGGGTATCAGGAGGCCTCAGACAACCTCCAATATCCTAGAAACACAGAGCTGGAAGGGCTCTTGGAGCGTGTCAAAAAAAAAAAAAAATTGTGCCATGCGCGATGGCTCACACCTGTAATCCCAGCACTTTGGGAGGCCAAGGCAGGCGGAGTTCGAGACCAGCCTGGCCAATATGGTGAAACCCTGTCTCTACTAAAAATACAAAAATTAGCTGGGCGTGGTGGCATGCGACTGTAATCCCAGCTACTTGGGAGGCTGAGGCAGAAGAATAGCTTGAACCCAGGAGACGGAGGTTGCAAGGAACCAAGATCATGCCATTGCACTCCAGCCTGGGCGACAAGAGCGAGACTTCGTCTCAAAAAAAAAAAATTGTTTTTAAAGCAATGGAACTGCTTATTCAGGTGGCACGAGGCAGGCCTAAGGCATCCTCAGATCCCCTGAAAAGCCGCACTTACGTGACAATGGGGAGTAGGGGGAACCACAGTGACTGGGAGAGTCCAGGCCACCTAAGGGGCAGCTTCAGGCCACTCCAGTTTGGCCTAAGCTCCTGGGTTTCCAAGAGAAATGAGAAATCAGAATTTTTCTCTAGAAATGTTTGAATGTTGACTCAATTTTAAAAACACACACGTAGCATGGGAGCTCAACAAAAAACATGCAGCAGGGTGAACTCACCCATTTAACATGTACGGAAACTGGGGCTCAGAGAGGGGAAGCTCCTTGCCCAATGTCACACAGCAATTTGGAGGAAGAGTTGGGACTTGGCTGCTTCCAAGCTCTGCTGTGCATGAGAGTGTGGGAGTGGGAGGAACAGAGCGAGTAGGGAGGAGTGGGTGGGAATCTGGACTTTACAGGCCAAGAGCCCTGCATGTTCTGATCATCAGGGAAGGAGTGTGGACAGAGGGATGGAGAGCGGATCAATATTTATTCAGAATAGTTATAACAACACCTGATGTTTTCTGTGTGTTTTCTATGTGCTAGGCCTTAAGATGGGATATCAAGGAGGAGTAAGAATGAGAATTCAGAGTGTAGAGTCTGGGCTGGGTGTGGTGGCTCACGCCTGTAACCCCAGCACTTGAGAGGCCAAGGTGGGATGATCGCTTGAGCCCAGAAGTTCAAGGTTATAGTGAGCTATGATTGTGCCACAGCACTCCAGCCTAGGCAACAGAGCAAGACCCTGTCTCAAAACAAACAAACAAAAAAACCCAAAACAAAAAAAAAAGAAAGATTCTGGATCCAAATCCTATGTCTCCCACTTCCTAGCTGGGTGACCTTGTGCAAATTACTTCACCTCTCTGAGCCTCAGCCTGTTCACATCATATGGCTGTTGGGGGAATTAAATGAGTTAAACCACATACAGTGCCTAGAACAGTGTCTGGCACCCAGTAAGCCCTGTTGATATTGGCTGTATTTATAATTGTTGCCTTTTGACAGACGGAGGAACTAAGGTTCACAAACGAACATGTTCAAAATTCCAAAGAGCCTGTTTAACCCCAGGGCCTCAGCTTTTGCCTGGTACCAAGATAAGTGCTTTACCACCATTCCCTTCCATCCAGCACCCCTGGAAGATAGGTCCTACTTATACCTGCATTCAACAGATGAGAAAACCAAAGCATAGAGAAACAGCCAACAGCCCCAGAAAGATGTGGAGCACCTGGATTCTAATACAGGCCAGTGCCCCCTAGCTCCCTATCACACTGCCTGCTTTCTGGGCTGCCTGCCTGCTTTCTGGCTGCAGAAGCCCCAGTCAAAAGTCTTACTGATACAAAGTCACTCGGCAGACGGGCTGGCTGCCCGCCATCTGAGCACATAGGATAAGAAGTTTCTCCCTGGGCCATCAGCCCCAGACGTTCCCTAGGGCCTGTGGGCACTGCCTCTGAGGTCCTTCCCTGCAATTTCTGGGGGCTGGCCAAGATCTCAAGCAGCTCTGAATGAATCATTCCCACAAATCCTCCTCTGGCTGCAGTAAAGGGTGGGGGAGACCTGAGAAGTGACGGGAGGGGACAGTCATCCCAGATCTCTGGAGGGGCCCCAGACCGGGTACATGCAGGTCCTCAGAGGGCACGGGGACTTGCAAGCAATCGGAATAGGCAGCAAGTCGGGGAGCAGGAGCTGCTGCTACCCAGAGAAGCTTCCCTGGTGCCACGTGGGGCATCAAAGCCACACAAGCCACATGCATTTTTCCAAGAAAGTACATTCTGGTCACCAACCCCAGGCTGTGAAGCTACATCTGATCTGCCACTCTTACTACAAATACACCCACAAAGTCACATCAATAATACATTTCAGGCCAGGCGTGGTGGCTCACACCTGTAATCCTAGCACTTTGAGAGGCCGAGGCGGGCGGATCACAAGGTCAGGAGATCGAGACCATCCTGGCTAACACGGGGAAACCCTGTCTCCACTAAAAATACAAAAAAATTAGTCAGGCATATGCCTGTAGTTCCAGCTACTCGGGAGGCTGAGGCAGGAGAATGGCGTGAACCCGGGAGGTAGAGCTTGGAGTGAGCCGAGATCACGCCACTGCACTCCAGCCTGGACAACACAGCGAAACTCCGTCTCAAAAATAATAATAATAATAATCATAATAATACATTTCAACAGCCTAACCGATCCCAAGGCACCACCACATCTTAGTTCTGAATGGTCTATGCCCATTCCTCAGTAGGGTACACTGACACCCAGAGAGCGGCAGTTCCTTGCCTAGGGAGCCTTCCCACCCCGTCTCCATGTCCCTAGGCTGCTTTCTTTCTTTCTTTTTTTAATATTTAATTGATTTTTATGTACTGACCTAATACCCTACAATCTCGCCCTGTTGCCCAGGCTGGAGTGCAGTGGTGCAATCTCAGCTCTCTGCAACCTCTACTCAAGCGATCCTTCCACCTCAGCCTCCCGGCTATCTGGGAATACAGGCGCGCACCACCACGCCTGGCTAATTTTTGTATTTTTTGTAGAGATGGAGTTTCACTATGTTATTCAGGCTGGTCTCAAACTCCTAGGTTCAACCAATCCATCCACCTCAGCCTCCAAAAGTGCTGGGATTACAAGCATGAGCCATGCACCCGGCCTAGGCTGCTTTCTTAATGCACAGGAACTCAGGATTTTAAAAGGACAAGGAAAGGCAAGTATGCAAAAAAGAATAAAGTCACGAGGTGCCAGATACAGCGGCTGGGAGGCGTGGTCTTAACACCATTCCCAAACAGCAGCTGCCCAGATGAACCAAGTTGTCAGGAAACTGGAACACGCAGATAAGTGCTGGTCTAAGTTCCTGAACCAGCAGAGTACAGGTTCAAGCTGGGGTGAACTACCTACCTTCTCAAGGAACTCTTCCTCTGTGAAAACGCTGGGTTCTGACCTGAGTTCTTCCGGTGCAGCCTCTTGCTGAAGCAAAGAGTGTGAAGGAAGAAACACAGGGTCCTAGGGGTGGGGAAGGTGCTGAGAGGAGGGGGAAGATGTCTGTGTGTGCAGAATGTTCACAGATGAAGCGTCTGTAACTCAGGACTGCTCATCTCAGGCCTGGGGGGTGGCCCCTCTTGAAATAAGCAGCAACTCACATAGGACACTCCGGTGGCCACCCAGAGAAGTCACCTTCAGAGTAGCGTGGGGGGTTCCAGATAGGGTGTGGGCAGGACCAGACTTAATTTTGGGGTCAAGGGACAAGTCTTCCCCTTCAGTTATGGTCTAGGAGAGCCATGGAGGGTCTCCCTGGCCTCCACAAAGCCTCAGCTGGCAAGGGGGCTCCAGGCTGGCCCGGGATGGGAAGATCCGAGCAGCTTCCACCTTCCTTTCACCCCCTCCTAATACTGTGTGCCAGCTCCTGGGGTGGGCTCTGTAAGCCACTGGGTCCTACACTGCCTCTCCTTGCTTCGGTATTTTCACAGAGTCTTGCTCTGTCACTTAGACCGGAGTGCAGTGGTGTGATTGATCTTGGCTTACTGCAACCTCTGCCTCCTGGGTTCAAGCGATTCCCCTGCCTCAGCCTCCCAAGTAGCTGGGGTTACAGGCACGCACCACCACACCTGGCTAATTTTTGTATTTTTAGTAGAGACGGGGTTTCACCATATTGGATAGGCTGGTCTCGAACTCCTGACCTCAGGTGACCTGCCCACCTTAGCTCCCAAAGTGCTGGGATTACAGGTGTGAGCCTCCGTGCCCGGCCTGAAAATAGTTTACAACTAACACATCAAAGCCAGTGATTTCAAGGGTTATGACTGCTTCAGAGAACACTAAATGTATTTAAGATTATTGGAACCCTCATACACTGGTGGTAGGAATATAAAATGGTACAGCTGTTCTGGAAAAATAGTCTGGCAGGTCCTCAACAGGTTAAACCTGGGTGCAGTGGCTCACACCTATAATCCCAGCACTTTGGGAGCCTGAGGTAGGAGGATCGCTTGAGACCAGGAGTTCAAGACCAGCCTGGGCAACATAGTGGGACCCCTATCTCTACAAAATAAATAAATAATAAAATAAATTAAAAAAATATTTAAAGGTGAAACCTAAAGTTACCTTACGACCCAATCATTCCACTCCTAGAAATATACCTGAGAGAACTGAAAATGTATGTCCAAAGACCTGTACATGAATGTTCATAGCAGTATTATTCATAATAGTCAAAAGTTAGAAACAACCCAAACATCCATCAGCTGACAAATGGATAGAATGTGGTATATCCACATAATAGAATATTATGCAGCCATAAAAAGGAACGAAGTACTTAAAAAAAAAAAAAGGAATGAAGTACTGATACAGGCTGCAAGGGGCTGAACCTTAGAAACATTCTCTGAAGTGAAAAGCATCAGATACCAAAGGCCACATAGTATATGACTGCATTTATATGAAATGTCCAGCACAGGCAAATTCATAGAGAATTTGAGAGTCAGTAAGTGGTTGCCAAGGGATAGGGGAAGAAAGGATTGGGGAGTGACCATGAAACAGCCTTTCTTTTGGGCATGATAAAAATGTTCTAAAATTAGACAGTGGTGATGACTATGCAACTCTGAACATCCTAAAAATTACGGAAACATATACTTTAAAAGGGTGAATTGTACGGCATGTGAACTGTATCTCAACAAAGCTGTTATAAAAAAAGTTTGCATGAGATTTTTAAAAATCAGGTGATACAAAGATGTATATTAAGTAAACAACAGTACAATTGGGGTTCAGTGGGGTGGGGGGATTCAGAAATGACCCAACAGTTCCTTTAGGACAATGAAATAAACCCAGCTTTACAGTTATGGAAACTGAGACTAGATCGGAAGGAAAATGCGTCGCCCGGGCCACATCACTACTAAATCCGGTGTGTCACAGATCTGTTCAAATCCAGAAGCCTACCCTCGCCAGCAGACCACCCTGCTGAGATGAAAGGGTTATCACATGGAGGCTAGGGAGAGGTGTCCACCCACAGCCCAGTCTGGCAGACAGACATGCAAGGGAATGTCTGTTGGGAAGTGAGAAAAAGGGCTGGCTAACTCTGTGGGGTTCAAAACAGGAAGCACCCAACAATACCAGGAGAATGCCAGGGAAGGCTTCCCGGAGGAGGTGCTGCTTGAGGGGGCTTCTGTAGGATAAGTAGGAGTTCAACAGCCCGCCTCCTCAACATCCCCAAGGACATTAAGTCAGGAGGCCTGTGAGTGAGTTTCAGCTCTGCCACATCCTAGCTGTGAATCCTAGGGTCACGGGCAGGTGACCTCTCCAAGCCTCAGTCTCCCCATCTGTAAAAGGGGAAGGGGGCAAGAGGTTAGGCACGGTTCTTTCTAATGACTCTGCTGAGGTGGATGGTTCCTTCCCTAGGGAACGGGCCTTTGAGTGGGAATGCCAGACCTCGACCTCTGTCCCATCTAACAACGACTCTGCCAGGTCAGGCGTGCTCAGCCTCTGAGCCCATGCTCCCAGTCCCCTGCTACCAGTCCCAGTCCCGGCTTTCCGGGCACCTCCCATCCAGCTCACACCGAGAAGCGGAGTTTACGGAGGGAGGTTGGGGGTTGGGGTGGGATCCTCGGGTCAAATTCCTCTCCACTCCTCACCAGTGACCTCCAAGTTCACTAGGGCTCCCCAACCCAGTGCTCCCAGCGCCCACCTCCCCAGCCGACGATTTCCGCCCCCAACGCCTCCACTTCTGACGCTCCTCGCAACTCCACGGCTGCTGCAAGTTAACTTCCACGCGCCCTGGCGCCCGCCTGGGGGTCCCCGCGCGCCTGGGCGAGGTTGGGGACTCCGGAGGCGGGGACGCGCCGCCCTCCCCCCCAGTCCCCCCGCCAACAGACGCTGAGCGTCTCCCAGGCGCTGGGTCCGAAGCGGGAAGCGTGGTAACGGGGGCCCGGTGGATGCCGCACCCCGCGGAAAGCGCTCGGGACGCCGAGCGGGTGCGGATCCCAGAACCGCGCGCCCGCGCCGCCTGCCTGCCTCCCAGATCCCAGCTCCCAGCCCCGGAGCCCGAGCAGTCGCGCCGGGCCCGGAGGCAGCCGCCAGGACGGAGGGCTGCCAGGCGCCCGAGGCCGACCCGCACGGCCCCCAGCCCGCGCCCCCGGTTGCAACCCGAGGCCACCCCCTGCCGCCCCAGGGCCACCTACCGTGGCGAGACGCGGCGAGGCAGCCCCACGCACCCAGCGACTCCCGGCTCTCCAGCCGCCCCAGCCGGGGAAGGGGGAGGTGCCCGCGCGGGGGCGGGGCCGCGGCGACGTGACGTACGGGGGCGGGCCCGATACGCGGCCCCGCCCCGCCCCGCCCCATCCCCTCCACTGCGCCTCGGGACCGCGAGGTGAGCAGAGGCTGGTCGGGAAGTTTCCCGGAGGCTCGCCCCGGGAACCCCGCCCCGCCGCCCTGGAAGCCCCTGTCTGCTCGCTGGCTTACCCCTAGGACGGGCAGCTCACCACTTCTCCCGGTCAGTTCTGTTTAAGAGAAGTTCCTTTCTGCCTGTAAGCAATGAAGTGGAATGATCACCAAAAAGTGGTGTAAGAAAAGAAAAGTAGACCCGCAGCGGGGTGTATTCGTGCTACTGTTTGTGTAAAACACAGAAAAAAGAAAGGGGTGGTCTGATGTATAGTCATACACACCAGTGGTTTTGGAGGGAGTTTTTGTGGATATACCACATTCTCTCCATTTATCAGGGATTTTGCCCTGACATCCCTCCACCACCACGACATTTGGCAATCTCTGAAGACATTTTTGGTTGTCATAACTGGGGAAGTGGAGAGGCGATACTGGCATCTAGTGAGTAGAGGCCTGGAATGCTGCTAAACATTCTGCGGTGCATAGGACACCCTTTCCACCCCCAGCCCTGCCACTACCCCCCCAAAAAAAACCCTGCAAAAAATGCCGAATAGCGTAAAGGTTGTGAAGCCCTGATATACACAAATGAAACAAAACTCCTGACTGATAAATCTTAGCACAGTCTAAGTTCTATAACCTTTCAGTGCTTCTGCTTCTTCATGTGTAAAATTGGAAAAATAATAGAGCTATCTATGCATCGTATGCTTGTGCATTGAATACCTGAAGAAAAGGTAGGGTAGGCATGCAGGCTTACTTTTCATTGTGAACTTTGGTTCTTTGTTCTCTTTTAACTTTCTATTTGCCATATGTATATATTATCTGTTTAAAATAAATTTCTGGGTCAGGTGCATGGCTCACACCTGTGATTCTAGCACTTTGGGAGGCGAGGCGGGCGGATCACTTGAGGCTAGGAGTTCAAGACCAGCCTGGCCAAAATGGTGAAACCTCGTTTCTAATAAAAATACGAAAATGACTTTGGGAGGCCAAGGTGGGTGGATCACATGAGGTCAGGAGTTCGAGACCAGCCAGGCCAACATGGCGAAACCCTGTCTCTACTAAAAATACAAAAATTAGCCGGGTGTGGTGGTACATGCCTGTAGTCCCAGCTACTCAGGAGGCTGAGACAGGAGAATCGCTTGAACCTGGGAGGCAAGGGTTGCAGTGAGCTGAGATTGCACTGCACTCCAGCCTGGGCAACAAGTGAGACTCTGTCTCAAAAAAAAAAAAAAAAATGCAATCCCAGCACTTTGGGAGGCCGATGCGGGTGGATCACCAGGTCAGGAATCCAAGACCAGCCTGACCAATATGGTGAAACCCTGTTTCTACTAAAAATACAAAAATTAGCTGGGCATGGTGGTGCATGCCTGTAGTCCCAGCTACTCAGGAGGCTGAGGCAGAAGAATCGCTTGAACCCAGGAGGTGGAGGTTGCAGTGAGCCAAGATCGCACCACTGCACTCCCACCTGGGCGACAGAGTGAGACTCCGTCTCAAAAAAAAAAAAAAAAAATGAGCAGGGCATGGTGCTGCTCACCTGTAATTCCCCCTACTTGGGAGGCTGAGGCACGAGAATTGCTTGAACCCAGGAGGCAGAGGTTACAGTGAGTGTAGATCGCACCACTGCACTCCATCCTGGGTGAGTACACACACACACACACACACACACACACACACACACACAGAAACTAGGGCACACAGATATTAAGTAATTTGCCCATGGCCAGCCACATGTTCATTCATTGGTCATTCATTAATTCATTCATGTGTCCAATAAATAGTTAGTGCTTGCCTTATGGAAAATGCTGGGACTGATAAAGCTGCCTCCATGGAGCCAGCCATTACTGGTCTGGAAACAATACAACAACATTACATAGTGTTTATTGCGTGCATGTTAGAGACTTCATATGACTGATTTGATAGACACATAGATTAAACACCAGCAGGGTGTTTTATAATGTCCTTTTGTGGATGAAAAAAATGGAGTTCAGAGGAAGAGGTGTGAATGGGGGCATTTGTTTAATAACATTCTAGCAATGGCATTTCCTGAGCTCTCTATGCTAGGCACAGATTCAGCAGCTAACAGGGGGACAAAGGTCCAAGTTGGGGAAGCTAGATCCTTCAACAAGCCTTCACAGTAAAGTGAGCACCTGTAACTGATGAGGCAGGAGCAGCAGAGATTAACCTGGTCCAGGGAGGGAGGGCCAGGCGTGTGTATACATGCCAGAGGCATGGGTGGGGATCCTTGGAAGAGTGCACTGGTCACAGAATCTAGCAGGTGCAAAGGCCTAGCAGGAAGGAAGCGAGCCTGGGGCCTTGCATGAAGTGCAGAGTGGACAGGATGTGGTGGAGGTGAGAGAAGAGATCAGAGGTGTCTGCAGGGCTGGATGCTGCAGAGCTTTGTGGGCTGTGGGAAGGAGTCGGGGCTTTTCTCTTGCAGTGATGGAGAGACAGGGAAGGTGTTCAACAGGGGAAGGGCATGGGGAGCCTGACTTTCTGCAAAGATCCCTCTGGTGCTGTGTGAAGAAGAAACAGGCAGAAACTGGTTTGGAGGGTGTTGAAATAATTCAGGAACCCAGAGAGGGGATGTGGGCATGGAGGGGGTGTTTTGGTTCCGGAGAGGTTTGGAAGACAGAATTGGCAGATCTCAGTTGAGAGGCTAAGGAGGAGGATCAGAATGATCGTCTTGTTGTCTAGGTTGGGACTTCTCTCAGTACCCCTAGCTCAGTGAACCTTTCCAGGTCTCAATCTGTCTGTCACCTCCTTGAGGAAGGCTAATTGCCCCTCAGGACATCGTGGTGGACCAGACACCAGACTGTGCAGCCCAGGAATTTGATGTGACTTTGAAGGCAGACAAAATAATTCATTCCTCCTGTCTGCATCTTCAGCCGGGAACACCTAGAGCAGATACCTCTTCTGTCTTCCTCCCCAACCTATCTTCCCAGCATCTAGGCAAAACCCAGTACTTAAGAGGTTTTATCAAAAGCAGGAAGAATATTTATCAAAAGCAGGAAGAATAGATGTAGCATAATACACATTGATCCAAAAATTCTTTCCAGCTCTGACATTCAAGAGGATGAGGTTGATGTTATGTCAATAATTACACTTTAGGCCAGGCTCAATGGCTCACTCCTGTAATTCCAGCACTGTGGGAGGCTGAAGAGGGAGGATAGCTTGAACCCAGGAGATTGAGACCAGCCTGGGCAACATGGTGAGACCTTGTCTCTACTTTTTTTTTTTAATTAAAATTTTTTTAAAAACCATTTTATTTATTTTTATTTTATTTATTTATTTCTTTGAGACAGAGTCTCACTCTGTTGCCCAGGCTGGAGTACAGTGGTGTGATCTCGGCTCACTGCAACCTCCGCCTCCTGGGTCCAAGCAGTCCTCCTGCTTCAGCCTATTGAGTATCTGGGATTACAAGCATGCGCCAATATGCCTGGCTAATTTTTGTATTTGGAGTAGAGATGGGATTTCTTCATGTTGGCCAGGCTCGTCTCCAACTCCTGACCTCAAGTGATCCACCTGTCTTGGACTCCCAAAGTGCTGGGATTACAAGTGTGAGCCACCATGCCCAACCACAGAAAACACTTTATTCAGGTGCTTGCTATGTGCTAAACACCTTATAATTATTATATTCAAGCTGATCATTTACCCTCTCCAAGCTTTTGGTGTTTTATTATCATTACTCCCATTTTACAGATGTGGAAACAGAGGCTCCAGCAGGTAATTTGATTTGGCCAAGGATAATAGCTGGTAATTGTCAGAGCTGGAATGCAAACTCAGGTCTCTCTCACCCTTTCTAGTACACTGATAGAAGGCAGTGGCTCGGCAGTGGGCAGGAAGTAAAAGTAAGTGGGCAGGTTTTCTTCTCCTGCTGGAAGGGTGTAGTATTATTGTTCCTAGCTGGGGATCCAGGCTTCACAAAGCATTCGTTGATCCTAAGTATCTGACCCAGGCTATTGGCTGTCGTGGCAGTTTGGCTCTAAGAAGGCTCATCTCTTTAGAACCTCTGCAGGGCACCCTGGAACCATGTCTTTTCCCCAGAGCCCAGTTGCTGTGTATTTATCAGCATCTCATGCTGGCACAAAAGCATTCAATGCCTCTGGGTGATCCTCCTGCCTCCACCCCACATATACACACTGCCGGCGTTGGGCTTATGCTCCAATGTCTAAAAGATTACGGGTTGCCTCTTGTCGATGAGAATGAGAGCCGCTCTCTCATAATCAAGATGCTTTGCCTTTCCAAAGGCCTGAGACTCAAAGATTCACAAGCTGGGATCTATCTAGCTTTGAAACAATATGAAGTCCCCAGTTTCCTCAGGCATTGTATTTTAAAGCCAGTGCTTAGGGACACTCCTGCTTGAACCCGGGAGGTGGAGGTTGTGGTGGGCTGAGATTGCGCCACTGCACTCCAGCCTGGGCGATAGAGTGAGACTCTAGCTAAAACAAAAAACAAAAAACAAAAACCAAAACAAACAAACAAAAAGCCAGCATTTAGAGCCAAACCCATGCAGTCAAAATTGCCTTGGAGAAGCCCCCGAAAAGGCTGAAGGCAACATAGCCCCTTGGAAGTCCAGCTTCACTGGTTTCCGTCAATATTAAACTTGGACTCATCATGATTTCTGGGGTTGAGCACCTGATGAAATGAAACCTTAGTTTTAGTTTGAAGGCAAAAGTGTGGCTTATCTTTAAGCTCTGAAATTCTGCTCCAGGTGGTGAGATGCTCATGTTTTGAGAGATATGTTGAAACTAGGACCCATGGAAGGAACACCAGGTTTATGGTTCCTAAGTCACACTCACTCTCAGCCTTACTACATGTTATTTTCTTTAACTTGCTTCTTTTAGTCTCTATTCTTTATTTTTTGCTTATAATTTTATATGTCCTCCTTTGTTATTACAAGGCATTTTGTTTATTCATAAATTCATTAGCAAACAATACATTAAATATAAAATGACTTTAATTGTTATTTTCTTCTGGTGTTTATTCTGCCAAGTGTACATATCTTGTTTCAGTGATGCTAATATGCACATTTTAAAATGCCTGTGAGGCCAGGCGCAGTGGCTTACGCCTGTAATCCCAGCACTTTGGGAGGCCGAGGCAGGAGGATCAAGTAAGGTTGGGAGTTCGAGACCAGCCTGACCAACATGGAAAAACCCCCGTCTCTACTAAAAATACAAAAAATTAGCCAGGCATGGTGGCGCATGCCTATAATCCCAGCTACTCGGGAGGCTGAGGCAGGAAAATCGCTTGAACCTGGGAGGCGGAGGTTGCAGTGAGCCAAGATCGGGCCATTGCACTCCAGCCTGGACAACAAGAGCAAAACTCCGTCTCAAAAAAAAAAAAAAAAATGCCTGTGAGATGAAAGTGATCCAGAAGACCTGGACTCTGTGTTTTGTTTTTAATTTTTTGTAGAGATGGGGTCTCCCTGTGTTGCCCAGGCTGGTCTCAAACTCCTGGGCTCAAGTGATCCTCCCACCTCAGCCTCCCAAAGTGCTGGGATTGCAGGCGTGAGCCACCATGTATGGCCTTGTTTTTGTTTTTAGAGACAGGGTCTTGCTCTGTTCCCCAGACTGGAGTGCAGTGGCACATTCATAGCTTACTGCTGCCTGGAACTCCTGGGCTCAAGGGATCCTCCTGCCTCAGCCTCCACAGTAGCTGGGACTACAGGCATGCACCACTGCACCCAGCTTATTTTTTATTTTTTGTAGAGGTAAGGTCTCACCATCTTGCCCAGGCTGATCTCAAATTCCTGGGCTCAAGTGATCCTCCCACCTTAGCCTTCCAAAATACTGGGATTATAGGTATAAGCCACTGTGCCAGGCCAGAATCTGGACCATCAATGCAAAGAGTTTTTATTTTATTTTATTTTTGAGATGGAAGCTTGTTCTGTCGCCCAAGCTGACATGCAGTGGCACGATCTCACTGCAACCTCCACCTCCTGGGTTCAAGCTATTCTGCTGCCTCAGCCTCCAGAGCAGCTGGGATTACAGGTGTGCACCACCATGTCCGGCTAATTTTTTATATTTTTAATAGAGATGGGGCTTCACCATGTTGACCAGGCTGGTCTCAAACTCCTGACCTTAAGTGATCCACCTGCCTCAGACTCCCAAAGTGCTGGGATTACAGGCATGAACCACTGTGCCTGGCCGCAAAGAGGTTTTAGAACTGACTTAACTGATGAATTTCTAGTATGTTTACCTTTTATAGGACTTATCAGATTGATACACTGAAAAAAAATCTGTTAAATCTAAATAAGTTGAAAATAATTCTTTCAATAAGTATAAAAATTCTGAGTGATCAGAAAACAATTGTGTTATGTTTTGATTGGTATTATTTCTCTTTTTCCTCCTGGAATTATAAAATCATAGTGCATCTTACCAACAATAAGACCTTGAAGGTAAAGAACTATGGAAGTCAATTTCAGGGGGCTCATATGACTGTGAAGATGGACTCCACTGCAGTAGAATTTTAGAGCTTTACTCACAGACCTTAAGAACTTAGAATGGGGATCCATGTGGCTTGGCTTTGGAATCAGAGAATCACAGAAGCTTAGAGATAAATATCAGAACCTTAGAGAGTCATAGAACTTTGGAACCTCAGAATCTTGGGGCTGGATGGGTATTTGAGCTGTCGTTTTATAGAAGAGAAAAACAAGTCCCAGGGAATGGATGCAATTTGCCTAGTTCTTTCCAACTTCTAACAGTACAGCAGGGTTAATACCCTTTTATTCCCGATTTCTGTCCAGGAATCCTGGTCCGCAGACAGCCCTGTCTTCTAGTCCAAGATGCTGGCCAAGAGTGTTGAGGTGGGGAGAATGAAAGTGAGATGAGGGAAGGTGAGTGAGACCTGTCCAAGATTATGTGAGGTGGTGTCTCAACTTTGAAGCTCAGCAAAACCACAGGGTGGGGTGTCATGAGGCCCTATCTTTCTTGCCAGCTTTATCTCCTGACGTACAAGTGTATCCGTCCCACCCTGTGCTTCTGCCCACACAACCACCAAGCTAATGTTCCCACCTCAATAAGCTTCACCGGGGCCCACCACAACTCTCTCAACCTCTATGCCTTTGTTCATGGTGCTCCAGGGCTGCCAAGTTCAGCTGAGCATGTTGGGCACAGCACAAGGGTATCACATTTACATGGTAGACGTCCCAGATTTATACCAATAATTTCTAACAGATGGCAGTAAAATGTCTTGAGGAAGAGACATCTTTTTATCATTTGCACAAAGGTGCCATATGGGGTAGCGGGGACACTGCTGTTTGCTCTGCCTGGAATATCATCTCCCCTATTCTCCATCAAGCAAGCTCCTGCTCCATCTTTCAAGGCCCCCTTCAGATATTCCCTCCTCCAGGAAGATATCCATAGCAACCCCGACACCCCGTTCCACCAGGCTGTCTGCATAGATTAATGATTAATAACATCAATCAATATTAACTGTTGATATGGGAAACAATAGTGTCTGGCACAGATTTCCAAATGAGATGATTCCTGATGTACCCCAGCTCCAGGATTGAGTAACACTGAATCAGATACAAGAAAACGATGCTCTTTTCAACCTTTATTGATTAAATCAAGGAGGAAAAAAGTCTCAGTTTGGTGCAAACATCTTTCACACTTTTCTTTGTTTTGTTGGTTTTTTTTCTTCTTTTTTTTTGAGGTGGAGTCTCACTCTGTCACCCAGGCTGGAGTACAGTGGCGCAATCTTGGCTCACTGCAACCTCTGCCTCCCGGTTCAAGCGATTTTCCTGCCTCAGCCTCCCAAGTAGCTGGGATTACAGGCACCCGCCACCACAGCCGGCTAATTTTTTATATTTTTGTAGAGACGGGGTTTCACCATGTTGGCCAGGCTGGTCTCGAACTCCTGACCTCAAGTGATCTGCCTGCCTCGGCCTCCCGAAGTGCTGGGATTACAGGCGTGAGCCACCGCACCCGGTCCTCTTTCACACTTTTCAACACTGGCTAATCTCCCATTTTGTCGAAGAGTGAACAGGTTGCAGGCAGTGGTATCTGCTGGAAATTTGATACTTGGCCTTCTTTAAATTGTATTTGATTTATTTATACGACTGCCTGCTTCCTTCCTTCCTTTCTCTCTCTCTCCTTTCCTTCCTTCTCTCTTTCTCTTTCTCGCTCTCTCTCTCTTTCTTTCTTTGACAGGATCTCACTCTGTTGCCCAGGCTGGAGTCCAGTGGCATGATCACGACTCACTGTAGCCTCAAATTCCCAGGCTAAAGCCTCAAGTGATCCTGCCACCTCAGTCTCCCGAATAGCTGGGATTACAGGCGCACGCCACCATGCTGGGTTAACTTTTGGAATTTTTGTAGAGATGGGGTTTCGCGATGTTGGCCAGGCTGGTCTCCAACTCCTGACTTCAAGTGATCTACCCACCTCAGCCTCCCAAAGTGTTGGGATTACAGGGGTGAGCCACCACGCCCAGCCTGTGTGATTGCTTTCTATGTATATGATGCTGATTTTCCACTTCTTGGAGCATTATAAGGATTTATTTACAAATCAGTGCATTTAAGGACAAAAAATAAGTCTATTTAAATAAAAATATGTCAAAAGTAGACCAGGTGGCATGCAGACAGTGCAAAAAATCCTGAGGGGGGATGCTCAACTGGCTACAGTTTGAAAAAAATTTATAGATTTGTCTTGAAGAGTACAGGCTCTGGAGCCAGACAGCCTGAATTCAAGTCTTGACTTGCTAACTGTGTGACCTTGGGAAAATCACTTCCCCTCTCTGAACCTCAATTTCCTCATACCAACCTCCTGGAGCAGTCTTCATAATGAGTAAGGCCAAGTACTTGTCCTCCACCCCAACACATCCATTCAGGACCCAGAAACCAACCTGCCTCCTCTGACCTGCTGCACGAATGCCCTGGCTGGACCATCTCTTACCTAGTATCCTTGGACAGCATCTCACAGGTGTATCTGGGTTTCCCCTGCTAGGTGGAGCAAACTCCTTGACGGCAGGAACTTGGCCTTATTCATTTCTGCCTACACATTTGGTAGACTCACATAACAGGCAGAAAGAACTTTTCAGTGTTTGCTGCTTTTATTATCGTTGTAATTATTAAGAGCGAGGAAGTCACATCCCAGTAACTATGGGGGACCTCAAGGCACACATCTGTTTACAGATCCAGGAGAAATTTTGGCTTTAGGGAATTTTATTTGCCTGGGAAAAATGGGGGAAATAATTGAACATGAAGAAGGGTTGGGGCAAGGTAGCAGAGTGAGGTGTGGACTCACTTGGGGGGCTCTGTGGCCAGGACAGGGAAGGACCCCTCGAGGTGCCACTGCTTGTCACGCAGGCGACGCAGGGACTGCATCTGTGGCTGGAAGGCTCCCCACTCATTCCAGTGCCGGAAGTCACCAGGCTCTAGGAGGTACTGGTACCCGCGGTAGCCAGGATACTGATAGCCAACCCATCTGAGAGAAAAGTGAGAAGGACAGAGTGGAGACAGCCTGTCTCGTTGCCTGGCACCCAGACCCCTGCCAGACCAGCCTGTCCTTCATTGATCCCTGCAGTCGGCTGCTCTCTCACTTCTGTCCTGGCTATATCCCTTCCTGCTCTGTGCCCTGGGGCAAGGACTTTGCCTCTCTGATAGGCCTCGGTTTCCTTTTCTAGGAAGTGAGCATGGTCACGGTGCCTGGTTTTATTAAGAGTGCTGGGGGGGACCAAATGGAGAATGCACCTCAAGTGTTTGCTAAGCATGTTGCCTGTGCATGGTAGGAATATGAATACACATCCCATTAAACGTGATGATGCAGGGCTCAGAGAACAAATCCAAGGAAGCAAGAATAGGACTTAGGGACTGGTTAACAATGAAGCAAATGAAAGAGAGGAAGTGTTATTTCAAAAAATTGGTTTTCTTGGCTGGGCGCGGTGGCTCAAGCCTGTAATCCCAGCACTTAGGGAGGCTGAGGCGGGCAAATCACAAGGTCAGGAGATCGAGACCATCCTGGTTAATGCAGTGAAACCCCGTCTCTACTAAAAATACAAAAAAATTAGCAGGGTGTGGTGGTGGGCACCTGTAGTCCCAGCTACTCGGGAGACTGAAGCAGGAGAACGGCGTGAACCCAGGAGGCGGAGCTTGCAGTGAGCTGAGATTGCACCACTGTACTCCAGCCTGAGGGACAGAGCGAGACTCCATCTCAAAAAAAAAAAAATTGGTTTTCTTTGTAGGTAAGTGCATCAGTGCGTAGCAGCTGGGAACACATACTCTGGTATCAAATATATGTGGGTTCAAATCCTAGCTCTGCCATTGATTTACTAGCTGTGAGAATCTAGGTGGATAAGGTATCAGAACCTCAATGTACTGTCTGTACAGTGGGGATGATAATGCACCCACCTCCTTGGTTTGTTATGAAGATTTAATAGTTATTCATTTAAAGTGGTTAGCACAGTCCTTGGTACATAGTAAGCACTCAATAGAAGTTATCATCAGTGATTAATTTCTAACTTCTCTCATTGTCTTTGCTGAGAGGGTCTTTCCAGGCTTCTGCCAGACCCCCTCCCTATATTGTAAAGCCTGGTTTAAGTTCCATCCTCTGCAGATAAACCTTTGACCTGCCCTCTGCCCTAACATACACAGCCAAATCCTAGAAACCTCTCCTCCTCTGACCTCCTACAACACAGTTGCCCTGGCTGGCCCATTCTTTACCTAGTATTGTTGGACACCATCTCACAGGTATATCTGGGTTTCCCTGCTAGGCCAAGTAAGTTCCTTGAAGGTAGGAACTTGGCTGTATTCATCGCTGCTTTCCCCAGTGTACCTAGCACAGTGCCTGGCTCACAGACAAGGCTCCGTATATTTCAGATGGCTTGAATGGCAGGGATATAGGTTTCAGGGAGGCAGAAAGGAACAAGAAAAAGGCCATAGCCATGATGGTGTTACAGGAGCTCAGAACAAGTCTGGGAATGGAGAGACAGAGCCTTACGTTTACCTAGAGGAGATCAAGGGTGTCTGGCATGGTCATTTGGAGGCAGGGGGATGGATAAAGTGACTCCTTTGATCTGGCCCTTCCATGTATTCTCATGACATAAGGTCATGGGGCTCCGTTTTGATAGCTTCAGATCCTGAGCGTTCAGAGCAGGAAGGGCACTCTTGGATCAGGGAATTTTGTGTGCCCATTGCCTAGCTGGCAAGACTGAGAGGCAGAGAGGTGTTTAGGCTCACTCGAGTTCCTCAGCATGTCAGTAGCAGGGTCAGGGCCATCTTATGATGCAAATTCACTGCTCAGAACTCATTCTGTTCATTCTCCCAGAAGCTTCTGATTTCCCTGAATATTCCCTGCTCCTGGATGCATCCAGCCTCATCTATCCACATCAGCGCCGGCCCTTTTAGTTGATTACTCCTTCAACCCCAACTAGGCTTAGCAGCTCCTATTTTCTCCATCTAACAGCTTTTTAGAGCTGATTTGTTTACACTGACCTGGAATTCCTCAAAGTGTGACTCTATTCCCCAGAGGAATAGAGCTCTGTTGGCTGATCCCAGGAACCAGCACTGGGAGACTGTGGAAGGGGCCATGGCCTTCTCTAGGAATCTGATGTTATAACCTGTAAGGGGAGCAGCCTCTGATTCTGCCTGTGCTTGAAGCAGGGGACGCGGACCTGGCAGGAGGGATGCTTACGTTCCACTGGAGACCTTCACGCTGCCCACGCGGTCACTGAAGCCGTAGACCCAGAGACTGGGTGCGTCGTCCCCCTGGATCTCTATGGTGTTGCCCTTGAAGTTGGCCCCTTCAAACAGGGAGATTTTGTGCTCCTGGGCATCCTGGGGAAAGAGAGGCCGGGTCAGGTGTGTGAAGTACAAATGGGACAAAGAGAAGAAACTTAGCGGGGCCTTCTGGGTGTGGAGCGAGAGAGATGAGCCTGTTCAGGCTGCTGGGGGACTCTCCAGGGACCACTGCTGTCTAGTCTGGAAGGAGACATAAGGAAAATGGGATGACAACTCCCACGTCATAGGGTCCTCGTGAGGATGAAATGAGTGTATCCATATAGAGCACTGAGCACGATGCCTGGCATACATCAAGTGCTCAATAAATGCATTTATTGGCCGGGTGCCATGGCTCATGTCTGTAATTCCAGCACTTTGAGAGGCCCAGGTGGGAGGACTGCTTGAGGCCAAGGGTTCAAGACCAGCCTGGGCAACATAGCAAGATCCTGTCTCTCAAAAAAATAATTTTTTTTTTAATTTGCCAGGCATGGTGGTGCATGCCTGTAGTCTCAGCTACTTGGAAGGCTGAGGCAGGAGGATTGCTTGAGCCCAGGAAGTTGAGGCTGCAGCGAGATATGATTACACCACTGCACTCCAGCCTGGGTGACAGAGCAAGACCCTGTCTCAAAAAAAAAAAAAGTATTTATTATTTTTAAAATTATGATCAGGGACAAAAAGGCTCAGAGAGGTCAAGCTTATTGATCAACATCACACAGCCAGGGAGGGGCAGAACCTTTCAGAGAAACACTTCATTCCTAAGCAGTGTCCCTGTGCCATCAGGAGTTTAACCAATTGCCCTTTTGTAAATGCTTCTTACAAACCAGGTGAAACGTGGAACATTGGTGGAACACAGATCTAGGTTCAAATCCTGCCTCTAGGCCGGGTGCGATGGCTCACTCCTATAATCCCAGCACTTTGGGAGGCCGAGGCGGGCAGATCATGTGGTCAGGAGATCAAGACCATCCTGGCTAACACGATGAAACCCCGTCTCTACTAAAAATACAAAAAAAATTAGCCGGGCGTGGTGGTGGGAGCCTGTAGTCCCAGCTACTTGGGAGGCTGAGGCAGGAGAATGGCGTGAACCCAGGAGGCAGAGCTTGCAGTGAGCCGAGATCGTGCCACTTGCACACCAACCTGGGCAACAGAGCGAGACTCCGTCTCAAAAAAAAAAAAAAAAAAACAAAAAACAAATCCTGCCTCTGACATTTATGCACTGGTGATCTTGGACATTTTACTCTGCCTCCTTCAGAGCCTCAGTTTGTTCATCTGTAGAATGGGGTTATTGCCAGGCATGGTGGCTCACATCTGTAATCCCAGCACTTTGGGAGGCCGAGACAGGTAGATCACCTGAGGTCAGGAGTCCAAGACCAGCCTGGCCAACATGGTGAAACCCCATCTCTACTAAAAATGCAAAAATTAGCCAGGTGCAATCACATGTGCCTGTAATCCCAGCTACTCGGGAGGCTGAGGCAGGAGAGTCACTTGAACCTGGGAGGTGGAGGTTGCAGTGAGGCGAGATCACACCACTGCACTCCAGCCTGGGCGACAGAGCAAGACTGTCTCAAACAACAACAACAAAAAAGAATGGGGTTACTATTGCTTCGTGGGATTGTCATGGCTACTCAACTCACGGTTCAGTCCAACTATAAAACAGGCCTGGCCGGGCGCGGTGGCTCACGCCTGTAATCCCAGCACTTTAGGAGGCCAAGATGGGTGGGATCACAAGGTCAGGAGTTCGAGACCAGCCTGACTAACATGGAGAAACCCCATCTCTACTAAAAATACAAAATAATAATAATAATAATAATAATTAGCTGGGCGTGGTGGCACGCACCTGTAGTCCCAGCTACTCAGGAGGCTGAGGCAGGAGAATCACTTGAACCTGGGAGGCAGAGGTTGCAGTGAGCCAAGATTGTGTCACTGCACTCCAGCCTGGGTGACAGAGCAAGACTCTGTCTCAAAAAACAAACAAACAAACAACCAGGCCCACCCTTGAATGTGGGCACATGATTCAGTTCTGGCTTGCACTTATTTTTAATGCTTTCATGACCCTGTATCTTGTTTTTAAAGTTCGTCTGTTATTTCTGAGGGCAGGGATCATCCATCTTTTCAAAAGTCATCATGCACTGTTTTAGGCCCAAGGGTTTGAAGAGCCAAAGAGATGAACAGGAAATAGCAGAGTGATGCCGGACCTCAGTGTCTAGGTTCAAACCCACAGACCTTGGTTCAAATCCCAGCCCCAGCAACTCCCAGCTGTGTGGCCTTAGGCCAGTCATTTTCTACTTCTGAGTCTCAGTTTCCTTGCTTTTAAAATGCATGTTATCATAGCCTGTAGCATAGGACAGTTGTAGGGATTATGTAAAAGGCAGGTAATATACCCAGTACGTAGTTGGTGCTTAAAAATGGATGCTGTGATTATCTACTGTTATTATCTACTGTTATTCACCACCACTAGGAGGAAGAGGAGCCCAGAACGTAAGTGCATCCTTCTGTGAAAGACTCCAGTAGGAGATTATAGATGAAGAAAGAACTGGTTAATTCTTCCAGAGAAAAGCAGAGCAGATCAGGGAAGGCTTCATGGAAGAAGTGACACTAGAGAGGGACCTTGGAGGTTAAGGAGGAGTGCACAAAGCTGAGAAGGGAAGGAGGGTTGAGGGAAGGCACTGAGGCAGAGAAGGCATAGGCAAAAGCTGGGAGGTGGGAATGTGCAAGACAATATCTGTGTGGCCAGGGTGCAGGAAGGCAAGTGCAAGGTGCCAGGCAGGGATGTAAGCACAGGGGACCCTTTGGGGCATGGCAAGACAAATGCCCTTAGTGCAATTACCAGCCAGTGGTAAAAGTACAACAATGATTACTTATTACTGTTACGGTCTTGAGGGCCTTGGGAAGGTTGTTAGTCAATGGCTCCCCACTGCTAGAGGGGTCAAGACTGAACTTGCCACCACCTATGAGACCCTACAAGACCCTGGTCTCCACCACCACCTCCCCTCCCATCTTGCCTCCCTCTTTCCTCCACTCCCTCTGCTGCAGCTTTGTTGGCCACCTTTAATTTTCTTGGTCCCACCAGTCCATCGTTGCTCTAGGAGTTTTGCACACACTGTTCCCTGGAAGGCTTTACCATCTGCTCTTCACGTGGCTGAGTTGGTTTCCAAACTTTGGGAGCTGGCTTCCCTGATGACCCCCTGACCACTCCCACCTCTAACAATATCTGAGCCCCCAGTTCCTGCTTCTGCTTTCCTAGTTAGATTGCATGGCCTTTGTGTAACACCTACCACAGTTTGCAATTGTAGATGGATTTTTATGATTAGCTTTTTGATAGCTGCCTCCCTGGGTAGCTTAAGTCCCATGAAGACAGGGACCTAGTCTGTTTGATGCACAGTTTTGCACTCAGAGCCTAGAACCAGAGCCTGGCAGAAACAGGCCAACTGGTTGGGCGCACTGGCTCATGCCTGTAATCCCAGCACTTTGGGAGGCCCAGGCGGGTAGATCACTTGAGATCAGGAGTTTGAGACCATCCTGGCCAACATGATGAAACCCTGTCTCTATAAAAAATACAAAAATTATCTGGGCGTGGCGGTGCACACCTATAATCCCAGCTACTTGGGAGGCTGAGGCAGGAGAATTGCTTGCCCCAGGGAGGTGAAGGTTGCAGTGAGCCAGAACGTGCCACTACACTCCAGCCTGGGCAACAGAGTTAGATGTGTCTCAAAAAAAAAAAAAAAAAAAAAGGAAAATAGAAACAGGCCAACCAAAATGTCTGGGTTCAAGTAGAAGATGGTCAGGTTTATTTTTTTTTTTTATTTTGAAAAGATCCCTCTAACTTCCCACGACAGGGGGCTGGAAAGGAGTCAGGGAACCCAGCAGGGAGAGAGCTGAAGATGACCAGGTCAGAGATGATGGTGGCCTGGACCAGGACTGTGGCAGGGCAGAGAGAGGAAGGGTTAGACCAAGCTTATTTAACCTGCGGCCTGCAGGCCACATGTGGCTCAGGATGGCTTTGAATGTGGCCCAACACAAATTTGTGAACTTTCTTAAAACATTATGAGATTTTTTTTGCAATTGTTTTAAAGCTCATCCGCTATCGTTAGTGATAGTGTATTTTATGTGTAGCCCAAGACAATTCTTCCAGCGTGGGCCAGGGAAGCCAAAATATTGGGCACCCCTGAATTAGATGGTTGGATCTCAGCCCTGGCTGCACAGACGGACTACTTAGAGGGCATAGAAAAGATAGCAGTGCCGGAGTTCCAGCCCTAGAGATTCAGAATTAATTGGTCTGGGGTGGGGTCTAGGCTTTGAGATTTCTAAACATTTCTAATAACATATTTTATTTAAACAAATATACCTAAAATATTATAATTTCAATATGTAACCAATATAATGATATCAATGCATTGTTGACATTCTTTAAAATTTTTTTTACTATGTATTCAAAACCTAATATGTATTTTACACTTATGACACATCTCCATTTAGCCAAAATTCAAGTGTCCAATGGCCACATATGGCTACTGCCTATTATGTTGAATAGCAAGCTTCTAGAAGCTACTGGAAATGCCCTGGTTGATCACTCTTCCAAACAAACCCCTTAACATAGGTTGGCATATAAGAACCATTCAATGATTGAGAGAGACATCTGTGAATTCTTACAGAGAGTGCATCATGAAGGCAAATAATTCAGTCTTACATTCTGCGAAAAGTGTTGGGAATGATCTGTTTGAATAATCCATTAAGATAAATTTGGTGATGTCAAAACAGCTGGTGGTTGGCACTTGATAGCCTCAAATGCACATTCATGAAAATTCTTATAAATGTTCCCATCATGGAAGACAAAAGTCGGTTACCATCAGCAACTAACATTGGTGAGTAAGATGTAGCTGGTTCATGACTCATCATCAACTTAATTCTGGAAAAAACTGTGAATCACTTGGAGATATCGCCACCATTTTGACCTTGAATCTTCTGGAAGTTGACTTAGTTAAATATTATAAGAAACTAATTCAGTATATTGTCTTATTATTAAGAGGTTCAAGCTGCGTTTCTACAGTATCCCTCTCCTTTTTTTTTTTTTTTTTTTTTGAGATGGAGTCTGGCACCGTCACCCCGGCTGGAGTGCAATGGCATGATCTCGGCTCACTGCAACCTCTGGCTCCCGGGTTCAAGTAATTCTCCTGCCTCAGCCTTGCTAGTAGCTGGGATTACAGGCATGCGCCACCACGCCCGGCTAATTTTTGTATTTTTAGTAAAGACGGGGTTTCGTCATGTTGATCAGGCTGGTCTTGAACTCCTGACCTTGGGTAACCACCCACCTCAGCCTCCCAAAGTGCTGGGATTACAGGCATGGGCCACCATGCCCGGCTACAATATCCCTCTTCTTAGCCATTGCATGATCTGCAACCAGCATGTTTGGTGTTTCGAATGGGCACTGAAATTTGAAAAGTTTTCCCAGGCCTGGCATGGTGGCTCACGGCTGTAATCCTAGCACTTTAGGAGGCCCAGGCGGGAGGATCACTTGAGGCCAGGAGTTCAAGGCTGCAGTGAGCTATGATCACACTACTGTACACCAGGCTGGGGGACACAGCAAAACCCCATCTTTGGGAAAAAAAAAAAAAAAAAAAGCTCCCAGTAAGGTCTAAATGTGCAGCCAGGGATATCAAGAGAATCAAGGAAGATGCTGAAGTTTTTAGCTCTAACTTGGAAGCTTTTGTGCTTATCATTTGCCCAGGGTTCCTAGCTGGGTATGTAGTGAGTGTGTTAAGGACACTGATGAATTGATGAGCTCAAGAATCCACGGTCCTTTGACAACTCGGAGGCTGCCACGCCTCCCTACCCACCATCATCTCCTTCTTGCCCTTGTCAGATCTCAGACTTACACCTGCCCTGCCCCGCCTGGCTGATTCTCCAGCCCCAGCCGGAGAGCCACTCACCATTTTGATGGGCCGGAAGGACATGAGCCGATCACTGCGGTAGCTGCTCGACCATGTGTTCCAGCGAGGGTACTCGCCCTTCTCCAGGATGAACATCTCCCCGCGGAAGTTGGACTGCTCAAAGGCGACCCAGCTGGATACAAGAAGGACCATGAGGCAGACAGGAGACATATGGTTAGTAGAAGCCCCCACTCCCTACTTGCCTTTCTCTCTCCCCTGGCAAGGCAGCCCTGAGGACAGTAGGAAAGTCCAAAGGGGGCTGAACATGTCTGGGTTTGATTTTAGGCTCTGACACTTACAGGCTGTGTGACTATGGGCAAGTGACTTTACCTCTCTGAGCCTTTGTTTCTCATCTACACTCATATGCCTGTTTCCTTGGAGTTGGTGAAGGATTAAGTGAGATAAATGTGTGTGATTATCTGAGCACACTGTTTCTCTAGATGTAAGGTTCATACATGCTTCAAGTACTATCAGGACTTGGAGCCAAGGAACACATAGACATTTGAAACTTGACGCCAGCTAGGAGAAAGGCTCGTTTGATGTTAATGTGCCTTTAACACTTACTAATCTCTCCTTTTTTTCTTTTGTAACAAAGAGAGAAAAGACCACTAGCCCAGAACCTCCAGCAGACAATGGTGTAATAGCAACATAATAATACCACTTTTGTGTTTATTGTTAATTTTGTATGGATACCTTTTACTTATAGGAAATAATACTAGCCTTCCATTTGTAAAAAGTGGTGTCAGGGTTCTTTTAAAATGTGTTTATTTGTGGTTAGCAGGATCATTTTAAATGAAATATATTAAATGAACGACAGTCTCGGAGGTACAGGGGTAAGGGAAAAATTGATACAGGTGTTTGCATCCTTGCTGGGTAAATACTGGCCTGGTATTCGGGAGATACTCAGTAACTAGTATGAGGCAATGGGAAGGGAATGATGGTAATATCTACCCTCAGATACCTATGGTAATATAATGTGATAGCGCTTATGAAGATGCTAGGTTCCTTACATGGACTAATTAGAAGTTTGAAATTAGATGGAAGATTTTCCTGGCTTTCCCAGTGAAGATTGATTAAGGACAAGAAGTGAGCTTGTGTTACAGGGACCAGGGATTGTGGCAGTGCAGGTGGGGTAGATAAGACAATCCCCATTCCGTAGATGAGAAAGCTGAGACTAAGGAACTCCTTGACCTTTGCTCCCCGTGTGTTCAAGAGTTCTTAGGAAAAAAGAGACGGATGAGGGGACACTGACACTAGCATCTTCTCCCAGGGGGCTGCTGGGACCCTGCTCTCCCCAGAAGGAGACAAGGATGATGGGCTATCACCATGGGCTGAGACAGAATGCATCACAGGAGCCTCAGGTCTTTGTCTGAGAGATGAGTTAACCACACTGGAGTAAATTAAAGATATGTTTGTCTTCCCAGAATAGAGTTGCATTTGCCTCAGCCCTGTCTGGTCTGGAGTAGAAGAGAAATAAATGGGAGAATAGATGGATGGATGGACAGATGAATGGGTGGATGGATGGGTGGATGAAAGGATGGTTGAATAGATGGATAGGTGGATGGGTAGATGGACAGATGAATGGATGCATGGATAAAGGGATGGATGAAGGGATGGTTGAATTGATGGATAGCTAGATGGGTAGATGGATGGGTGGGTAGATGGATAGATTTATAGATGGATGGGTGGGTGATGGAGAACACATGGTGGGTACGTGTGTATAAATGGAGAATGGATGTATGTATGGATAGATCAATAGACGAATGGGTAGATGCATGGGTAAGTAGATGGATGATGAATAAATGGGTGGATAGACGCATGGGTGAATAAGAAGGGAGCCTTGGAAGGTGGTTTCATGTAGGAGTTAAGAGGACAGACCCTGGAAACAGACAGACCTGAATTCTAATCCAAGCTTTGCCATTTGCTGCATGCATTTGGGCAGCACTTACACCTGCTAAGCTTTAGTAACAGAGAAGAAATGATACATCTACTTTGTTGCATCTACCTTGTTGGGAGATTATGAGGGCCTAAAAGAGGGAATGCATGGAACAGATACAGCACAGAGTAAGCCTCCAAATTAATACTGTTCCTGATTAAAGGGAGAAGGAAACTGGAGGTCTAGGCTTCTGGAAAAACAGACACTGATGTGGTCTTGCCACCATGCCCAAGTCCCCCTAAAATCTCCCCTATCTTCTTCAGCAGGACCAGTGAGGATCTAAATTTTAAATGTTTATATCTATGCCTTTTCTTATCTCCCATGGCTCATTTCAACCCGCAAGCAGGGAGAGAGGGTAGGGCAGGAATTTTAATTTATAAGATATGGAAACTGAGGCTAAGAGGGGTTAAGTCCCCAGCCTAAGGTCACATGATGGTGTTGGGTGTCAGGCTGCAGTCTCCTGGGTTTCAGGCAGGCAGGCCTCCTCACTTTCCCCATGCCTACCTCACCCTCTTCATTCTTTTTTTCCCATGGCCCTGCCAGCGCCCACACAGACCCAGGCCCCCGGACCACAGGCCCGTTTCCATGCCCATCAGGCACGGCTCCAAGGCACACGTCAGACACCAGCTGCATCTTTGTTTGAGGAGAAATACTCTGGGTTTGAGTCACTGGTACCAAAAAAAGCCTGAAAACCCATGCTGGCCACATCCGGTAGCTTCTGCTTCCAGCTGGGTTTTGGGGCTGAGGGTGGAGCTGAGGCTGCGTTGACCACACTGAGGGTGCAGGAGGTAGAAATGGTCCCGGGTAGCCTCCAGGATAAGTTGGCTAAATTCACCGGGCAGGGAGGTGGGTACGTGACCATCAGAGTCACCTGCCATGTTTGGGTGCCCACAAGGTAACAGGCCCATGCTGTATGATCTCCCTCAGACCTCAGCATAATCCTGTGAGGAGTGGTGAGGGCCATCCTTCTCCCCATTTCAAAGATGGGGAAACTGAGGCTTGCACACTGAACAAGGCAAACAGGGGAAGTCAGGACTCAAACCCAGGCTTGTCTGACCTCAAAGCTCATCTCGGAATGGGCTCAGAATACAGGATGACTGGAACCCTTGCAGGCTTTCAAAGTGGGGGAGACAAGAGCAAACGAGCTGCGTGGATCTTGTCCTGGGGCTGCCCCTCCACCCTGACCTCAGCACACACAGGCTGGACATAGGGCAACCACTCTGCCCAAGGATGACTATCCCTGTTTTATATGGGAGTCACTAAGGCCCAGAGACACCCACAGAGACAGGAACAGGCAGTGAAGCATGGTGATTAAGAGCTTTAGGAATGAACTCAATCAACCTGAGTTGAATCCTGGCTGTGCCACTTACCAATAGGTGACCTTGGGTAAGAGACTCACCCCCTCTGAGCCTCAGTCTTTCCATCTGTCAAGTGGGCATAAGAATAGCCTCTGCCTCCTACAGCACTGTGAATCATCTAGGTGTGGTCCCGAGTCAGTGCCTGGCACCTGGTGGGTGTGCCACAGATGCTTATCATTACTCCCAGGCAGCTGGACGCCCAGGAGAGGGGACAGCGAGTGGACACTTCACTCTTTGACCTCTCTCAGCCCTCGGTAATGGGCTAGAGTTTGTTTTTTTTTTTTTTGTTTTTTTTTTTTTTTTGAGACGGAGTCTCGCTCTGTCGCCCAGGCCGGACTGCAGACTGCAGTGGCGCAATCTCGGCTCACTGCAAGCTCCGCTTCCCGGGTTCACGCCATTCTCCTGCCTCAGCCTCCCGAGTAGCTGGGACTACAGGCGCCCGCCACCACGCCCGGCTAATTTTTTGTATTTTTAGTAGAGACGGGGTTTCACCTTGTTAGCCAGGATGGTCTCGATCTCCTGACCTCGTGATCCACCCGCCTCGGCCTCCCAAAGTGCTGGGATTACAGGCGTGAGCCACCGCGCCCGGCCGGGCTAGAGTTTTTGCTATAGTAGAAGCAGCATTTCTCCAGAGCCCAGAACCATGGCTTACTGCCAGTGTGATCTTATGCTAATTGGATCACCTCTCCGAGCCTCAGTTTCCTCATCCGTAAAATGAGATTGAGAACAATTCCTCCCTCTTCAGTTTGATATGAGGATTGGACATAATGTATGTGCCAGGAGTACGAACGGCCGCAGGCACAGAGCAGATGCTGGAGAAATGGCAGCTACTGTTGTGTGGTCATTTTACTGTGGCAGAGAGTGTGCCCCTCCGCCGCCCAGTACTCACGGTCCCGCGGAGACAATGATGCTGCGCACACGGTCGAAGCCACGGTCTGCCAGATTTGAGCACTCCCCCGAGAATTCTGCTCGACGGCCCTGGAAGTTTTCCAGTTCGAAGACCACCAGCTGCAGGAGAGAAGCCCCCATGCCAAGGGCAGAGTGAGGGGGGAGTCAAAAATTCATTAAGTATCTACATAAATAAAAGCCAGCAGTGCAGGAGTCACATAAAAGTGTGATGAGCCACAGTTTGTGAAATGATCCTGTCCTCCCATCCCCCAATTCTTTACTGATTTTTGTTTTTTGTTTGTTTGTTTGTTTTTCTGAGTCTCACTCTGTCGCCCCAGCTGAAGTTCAGTGGCGCAATCATGGCTCACTGCAACCTCCGCCTCCCAGGCTCAAGCGATCCTCCCACCTCAGCCTCCGAGTAGTTGAGATTACAGGCACCCACCACCATGCCTGGCTATTTTTTGTAGAGACAGGATTTTGCCATGTTGCTCAGGCTGGTCTCGAATTCCTGAGCTCAAATGATTGGCCTGCCTTGGCTTCCCAAAGTGTTGGGATTACAGGCATGAGCCATTGCACCTGGCCTCATGCCCTAATTCTGAAGCTAAGATCTGCGCCATCATTAGGAACTTATGAACCTCCCTTTCAGGCCTTTCTTTGTGCTATTCCTCCTGCCTGGAATGCCTTCTCCACCACACATATCCAGCTTGGAGCTCCCACTGCCTAACTGAAGTTCCCTAATACGCATTCCAGCTCGTTATTCTGTTTTAGGCTCAGGTGCCACCTTCTCCAGGAAGCCTTCTCTGATTGCCCCTTCCTCCATCGGCCTTGGTTGAGCATCCCCCACTGTCCTCTCCCCATTAGCAGCACAACTAACCCACCACACAGTCACTGCTGTTTTGCTTTGGGGTCTCCCTCTCTCTCTGCACTCCCTCTCTCCCATTACCCAGCCCCTCCAAAGACCAAGGACTCCTCCAGGGCAGGGCCTGAGGTTGATCAATTTCTGTATCTCCAGCCCCAGCCCCAGTACCTGCCACAGAGCTGATGCTCAGGAGACACTTGCAAATCCAACCCTCCACAACATAGGGGAAAACTTGAGCTAATCTTCTCTCCTCACTAAGCCTCATGTTTGGTTCCTTGTCCACTTGCTGTTCCAAGTTGGGACAACGTTGCCATTCACATGGACCAAGGCACAATTTTCTGCCTTCTTTGAGCCTCAGTTTCCCCAGCTGTAAGAGGAGGGGAGGTTCATATAACCATGACCCAGCACTTCCACTTCTACCTTTGGTTGCCCAAGAGAAACTCCTGTATGTGTGCCCCGGGATGTTGCGGGAAGTCAGGGACCCCAAACGGAGGAACTGGCTGAAGCCATGGCAGAAGAACGTGGATTGTGAAGATTTCATGGACATTTATTAGTTCCCCAAATTAATACTTTTGTAATTTCTTATGCCTGTCTTTACTGCAATCTGTAAACATAAATTGTAAAGATTTCATGGACACTTATCACTTCCCCAATCAATACCCTTGTGCTTTCCTATGCCTGTCTTTACTTTAATCTCTTAATCCTGTCAGCTGAGGAGGATGTATGTCGCCTCAGGACCGTGTGATAATTGCATTAACTGCACAAATTGTACAGCATGTGTGTTTGAGCAATATGAAATGTGGGCACCTTAAAAAAGAACAGGATAACAGCAATTGTTCAGGGAATAAGAGAGATAACCTTAAACTCTGACCGCCAGTGAGCCGGGCAGAACAGAGCCATATTTCTCTTCTTTCAAAAGCAAATGGGAGAAATATCGCTGAATTCTTTTTCTCAGCATGGAACATCCCTGAGAAAGAGAATGCGCACCTGGGGTTAGGTCTCTAAACTGGCCCCCCTGGGCGTGGTCGTCTCTTATGGTCGACGCTGCAGAGATGAGATAGACTCCAGTCTCCCATAGCTCTCCCAGGCTTATTAGGAAGAGGAAATTCCTGCCTAATAAATTTTGGCCAGACCGGTTGATCTCAAAACCCTGTCTCCTGATAAGATGTTATCAATGACAATGGTGCCCAAAACTTCATTAGCAATTTTAATTTTGCCCCGGTCCTGTGATCCTGTGATCTCTCCCTGCCTCCACTTGCCCTGTGATATTCTATTACCTTGTAAAGTACTTGATGTCTGTGACCCACACCTATTCTCACACTCCCTCCCCTTTTGAAACTCCCTAATAAAAACTTGCTGGTTTTTGCAGCTTGTGGGGCATCACGGAACCTACTGACATGTGATGTCTCCCCCGGACGCCCAGCTTTACAATTTTTCTCTTTTGTACTCTGTCCCTTTATTTCTCAAGCTGGCCGACGCTTAGGAAAAATAGAAAAGAATCTATGTGAATATCGGGGCAGGTTCCCCGATACCAGGAGACAGGGATAAGAACGTCCAAGCCATGCTGTTCACGAGAGCAAAGCTAGCAACCACTGAAATCGTGCTTAGCAGGAAAGAGATGGTCACGCTCTGAAATATCAGGCAGCAGCCAGAATGAATGGCCGGCAGTCATGCGCAACAATATGGATGGATATTAGGGATCTCATAGTAAGTGAAAAGTACAAAGAAAAGCCCAGAATAATCACATTGCATATTTCAATAAATTAAAAACAAGTAAATCGGCCAGTTGCGGTGGCTCACACCTATAATTCCAGCACTTGGGGAGGCGGAGGCTAGGAGTTCGAGACCAGCCTGGATAATATGGCAAAACCCGTCTCATAATTCGGTCTCAAAATAAATGAATAAATAAAACAAGTAAATAAATATACATGTGTATGTGTGTATACATTTTTAAAGGAATAATGCATAAAATTGTATACAAAAGCAAGCAAGCAGATTACAGACACAGGTTGAGGATAGGACAGTATTTCCTGGAGTTGGGGAGGAAAATGATGGACTCAAGGGAGACACCTTAGAGTTAGGTAGAAAGTTTTTAACCAAGTCCTGGCTTTTATATGGGTGGTGGGTTTGTAGGTGCATATTGCATTATTAGAAATTAAATAAAACTAATGATTAAATAGGTACATAAATAAAAACCTGCCACGCACTGACCACATGAGAGCGTGTCATGAACTAGGGGTTGCAAAATGGCCTACTTCTGTGACCTGAGGTTGAAACCACACCAAACCAAATCCCAGGGGACTGGACACCTTGCTCCACAGGATGCCTTTCAGCCCAGACCACCTCGAGCAATTTTGAGGGTCTGAGGCCATCCTGCTGCCCCAGTGAGCCTCCAAGGACAGCTGGTTCCCTGCTGCTAAGCCAGCCCACTTCCTTTTCTTCTTTTTTTTTCTTGCTTTCGATAAACTCTAAGCATGTGCGTGTGCAGGTGTAGCCTGATTGCCAGGTGTCCCTTCAGCTGTGAAGCGGTATGGTTTGGTTGTTGTTATTGCACAACTCAACTATAGGTCCCCTTTTTCTTTCTATTCTTTTCTTTTTTTTTTTGATGGAGTCTCCCTCTGTTGCCCAGGCTGGAGTGCAGTGGCATGATCTCAGCTCACTGCAACCTCCGCCTCCTGGGTTCAAGTGATTCTCCTGCCTCAGCCTCCCAAGTAGCTGGGATTACAGGCGCCCACCACTACGCCTGGCTAATTTTTGTATTTTTAGTAGAGACAGGGTTTCACCATGTTGGCCAGGCTGGTCTCGAACTCCTGACCTCAGGTGATCCACCTGCCTCGGCCTCCCAAAGTGCTGGGATTACAGGCATGAGCCACTGCGCCCGGCCCCACTTTCTCCAAGTGTGTCAGAACCCCTGGCTATTTTATGGGCTCCCAGATTGGCTGGGCCACACTTGTGTCCCAGAAGGAGGAGGGAGGAGGAGGCCAAGGTGAGGGAAAAAGAGAATAGGGACAGAGGATAAGAGTCTGGGGAGGTGGAGAAGAAGAAAAGGGAGAGTAAATAGAAAGGAGAGAAAATAAGCCAAGAAAAAGGAGGAGAAAGAGGTGCGGAGGAGTAAGAGGTGAAAGAGGAAGAGGAGGAGGAGAAGAAGGAGGAGGAGGGAAGGAAGGAAAGAAGGCATGGCACCCAGCCACTGCACCCCCAGGTCCTTACCCTGTAGTTCCCAGGAGGCAGTTCCGCCGCCTTGGCGCTGGTAATAGGCACGGTTGTTGGGGCCAGGGTAGTGCCGGGACTAGGGGATGTTCCTGCAGGTGGGGCCCCCTTCCCCTTGGTGTCAGGCCCTGGGTTCACCGCCACTGTGGCCGAGGCCGAGGCCTTTGCAGCCTGAGACATGGTTCCCGCCTGCAAAAGTCTGTAAAGAAACTCTGGCCTTCAGGGATGACACCCCCAAACTGCCTCCTGCCCTCATAGCCCCACATCCTGTGCTTTCAGCCTCCTTGGAGCTCGTTTCCTCTCTATCTCCTTCTGAAACGGTTAAGCCTGGAAGTTTTTCTTTCATCCCTACTTCCCAGCCAAGACCTTCCCGTCTGGGGGCCACTCATCCCACATATATCCTTCCTCCAGGCTTTTGACCATGCGGTTCCCTCCACTAGCTGTTCCACCCTCCATTACCCCGCTAGGTCCTTCCTTAGCCCCCTGCAATTTTCCACACTGCTTATCACACTGATTTGCTTGTGCAACTCCAATTTGCCTCCCTAGACTAATAACAAGAAGTCCCATTTGGGAGTACTTAAGGTGTGCCAGGCACTGTGACATACATTAATTAACCCATCTGACCATGAACCTCACCCGATGGAGTAGCTGCTATCATGATCCCCTCTGAGCAGCAGGGGGCTGGAGAAGGAAGGGGCCCAGCTCAGGCCCAAACAGCTACTAAGTGGTAGGGCTCTGATTTCAACTCAAGGAAATGGAGCCAGCAACTGGGCTTTTAAAGTATTCTGCCATTTGCTTAATCTGATTTATTCACCGTCCATCCCTAACACTTGCTCTGCACCTGGCACATAGGAGATGCCCAATTAACATTTGTTCAGAGAATGAATGAATGCATGCTCCCAGCTCCTTTCCCCGTCTGCTTCCTCTGAGGGGTTGGTGTATGGGTGCAAATACAGGCCGGGGACTGAGGCTTATGGGAGGACCCAAGAGGATGTATTTACTGCATGTGGAGGGTTCTGAAAATGAGGACTGGGGCTGGGTAGGCTTTGGGTGGAGAGGGCTTTGGTCAATTCCAGTGGTTCCTTGTTGCTTTGGGGTCGTGGACTCCTTTGAATGTTTGATGAATACCTCAACTTTGTCCCCGGACAAAAATAATGCTCTCTTTAACTTTGGAGACAATGTTAAGGGATTTGAGGACCCCCTGCTAGCACAGATTAAGACCCTCTGGTCAAGCTGATTCCCGAACACATTCTGTAAGGCGGAGCTAGTTGGGATAAGCACATCCCTCCCCCAGCCTCCTCCAGGAAGGCTGTGCATATTCTGGGGTGCCCCCTGTTCACCAGGGGTGAGGCCAGACATCTGGACCACATCTGTGGCTTTAAACACTCCCCCAGGGCTGGCAGCTGGACTCATGCCTTCCTGGAGATATTCTCATTCTCTCTCTCTCCCTGCTTCACCCTCTCCCTCTGTTCCTCCTCTCTTCCCTGTCTTTGCCTCTCTATCTGTTTCTTACTTCTCTCCCTCTTTCTGCCTATCTGCCTGTCTGTTTCTCTCCCTCTCTGTTCCTCTCTCCCCCACTATCTCTCCCTCATTGTATCTTTGCTTATCTCTCTATCTGTCCTTTTTAATTATATTTACTTCTCTCTCTATTTCTGTCTTTTCTCACTCTCTCCCCTCTCCCTCTCCCTCCCTTTCTTCCTCTCTCCACTTCCGTCTTTATCTCCATGGCCCTGCTCTCTGACTCTCATGGCACTGCTATCTCTGCCTCCCTCTCTCTGTCTCCCTTTTCTCTTCCCCTCCCCTTCAGCTCTCAGCTGGGCTGTGGGTTCCCTCTTACCTGGGGACTTGCTACTTCCTGCTGGAGGACAGGCAGGCGGGCAGGTGCTATGGGTGACTAGAGTCCGACCCCCCATTTTATAGTCTGGCAGACATCAGGCCCTATAGTCTGTGGCACAAAGGGGAAGCTGGCTCAGCAGGCCTGGGCAGGGAGTGGGGGACTGGGGCCCTGACCTCGCCTGGATCACTGCAGACAGCAGCACTTTCCTTTGTGAGACCAGCACACACAGCAGAAACCCTGGCCACAGCAGCTTCACCTTCCAACCCTACCCTGACTCCTTTCTCAACAACCCCAGCCAGGGATGGGCCCCCAAAAGGGTCCCTGCTGGCTGCCAACATGGGGCAGGGAAAAGGGGAGACCCTGGGAGGCAGGAGACCAGAGTTTGAATCCTGACTCAGCCACTGCGCGCTGTGTGGCTTTTGGTAGGTCTCTACCCCTAGGGGGGCCTCTGTGTCTGCAATTATAAGGTGGGCACGTGTCCCTGTTGGATGCCATATAGAAAAGAAGGTGACAATGAGCACAGAAGCGTTTTGTAAAGGCAGATGTGGGTTTGATATGGACAGCCTTTTTTACGGAGTGCTTACTGTGTGCCGAACCCGTGTTATCTCGGTCAGTCCCCGGGACAATCTGCCTTATTTGGTACTTTCATTATGCCCATTTCACAGAAGAGGAAAGTGAAGGCACAGAGAGGTCAGAGCCAGCCCAGGCCAGCCAGCTCTGGGCCTGTGTGCTTTCTTCTCCTGCTGTCCAGCCTTGACCTTGGCCTGAGGCCCCCTGGCCTGACTTCCTCTTTGTAGGTTGGGGTGGGAATGGGAGAGTCGCACTGTGCTCAGCTGGGTTGGATATCGGAGACCTGGGTCTTTTTCTTTTCCCCACATTGGGCCCCATCCTTTCCTGACCTATCGACAGTGATCCCTCTCGCCACCCCAGTTCCCCGCCTCTACCCAGGCCACGTTATCTGACCTGGAGGACAGTGCTGGTGGCCAGAAATATGACTGCCTGTCCCAGAGCCTCCTGCCCTGGCAAGCCCCAGATGCCCACCACATCTTGTTCACCACTGGCCCCAGCACCTAGCTGGGCCTGGCTAGGTAGAGCTTGGCACATCATGGGTTCTCAGTCAATAACTGGTGACTCAATGGTGGTTCCAATGGATCGGAACAGAAGGTAGGGTACGGAGGAGATAGGGAAACCAAGGCAAGGAGAGAGAAGTAAGGAGGCAGATAGAAGTAACAGACAAAGAGAGAGGTGGAGACAGAGACACAGAGAGGCACAGGGGACATGGACAGTGAAGGAGCGAGAGACGGAGAGACAGAGGTCAAGTTGGGGTGATCAAGCCTCAGGACGGAGGAACAGACGCCAGAAATCACAGGGCCCAATCCTCCCATTTCACAAATGGAGAAACCGAGGCCCAGGTGGAACAAATGACTTCAACATAGTCACATGGCGGGAACTCACAGTACAGCTGGGGTCAGAAGGAGCCTGGGGAGCTGCTCAGCTAGGTCACCTGCAGTCGGCTCCCCAGTCCCAGGCAGGGTATATTGCGGGGGCATCTGGATAGGCTCCTGTCTCTTCTTTTTCGGGGTTCTAGGCTCCCCGTGGAGCCCAGCTCTGTCTTGAACTCTCCCTGGCCTGGAGCCAGCTTTGCCTCTGTCCCTCCACCACCCAGCACCCCCTCGCTTCCTAGCCTCTCCTTGGCCTTTCATCCTGGGCCAAGACTTGGTGGGTGGGGTGTGGGCAGGAACTGCAAGATGGGGTAGCCACTGGAACTGGGGCCAAGACGCCTGTGGTGAGGGCCCACCCACCAGTCTAGGCTTCAAAGCCAGGTCATCTGGGGCAGTTCCGTGCCCCCCCTAAAGCCCCAGGAATGGGCTGTCTGCCAGAGGGTGGGGGCAGAGAAGGGGGATGGCCCACCATGTTGGTGGCTCCACTCTGAGCATTTATTATTATTATTGTATCCTTCATTATATCTTTTTCTTTTTTGCCCTGTCTTATGGAGCCAATTTATTTTCTTTTCTTTTTTTCTTTTCTTTTTTTTTTTTTGCATTGTCCTGTACTCCTCAGTATAAGGATGAAGTCTCTGGGATTAACCCCAATTACGGATAAGGAAACTGAAGCAACTCCCTTTCCTTCCTCTCTCTCAGCCACTTTCTCATAAAAATGGAAATGTAAGATAAAATTGGAACTCACATCTTCTTTACTCATGAACCCAGGCTCTTAAAAACTATGCACCCCTGCTTTTTGATCAACAATTAATAATAATCATCTTTCTTATTAGCAATGGTGATGATGAAGATGATGGAAATACCACAATATTTTTTATGTTGCAGGAGCAATTCCAGCTGCTGTTCATGTGCTATTCACATTTATCCTCACAATCCCCCTGTTTCTTAGACTAATCCCAACTTACCTTGTTACACCCATTTTACACACAAGTAAACTGAGGCTCAGAGTGCGTAAGTAACATGCTTAAAAGTTACCCAGCCAGCACCAGTGGGATGCAAACCCAGGCAGTCTGGCTGTAGAGGGTGCATTGTTAACCTTTCATTTTCATGCCAACCCTTCATCAAAGTCATGCATTCCTTTTTTTTTTTTTTTTTTTTTTTTTTGAGACGGGGTCTTGCTCTGTCACCCAGGGTCAAGAGAAATGGCATGATCTTGGCTCACTGAAACCCCTGCCTCCAGGTTCAAGCAATTCTCCTGCCTCAGCCTCCCTAGTAGCTGGGATTACAGGCGCCCGCGCTACTCCCGGCTAATTTTTGTGTTTTTAGTAGAGACGGGGTTTCACCATGTTGGCCAGCCTGGTCTTGAACTCCTGACCTCAGGTGATCCACCCACCTCGGCCTCCCAAAGTGCTGAGATTACAGGCGTGAGCCATTGCGCCCAGCCTAAAGTCATGCGTTTGATAGAGCTGCATTTCACCCTCTTAAAAGGAAACTGGTGTGGCCACTTTACAGGTCATGAGCAGGACTCAGGTGTCCTCCAGGTCACACGGATGGTAAGAAAGAAGCAGGGCTGGATTTCATCTCAGATGATCTGGTTTCCAGTCATGCTGTTTTCCTATGCTTGTTACACCCATTTTACACACAAGTATGTATGTATGAGGGACCTCTTAGGTCCCTCATACGCCAATTCAGAGGGCAGGGTTTCGGGACAAGAGGCACACAGCAAATTGTACAAGTCCTGGATATTTGGCAAGTGTGCCACAGTTTGCAAAGCATGTTTGCAACTAACAGCTCCTCTATGCTGCCCACAGTGCCATCCGGATTCATCTTCAGGCTTTGTGGACCCAGCAGGCCCTGGCCTAGCCCTCTTCTCCTGCCTCACTTCCCTTCAGGTCCCCTGAGCTCCAGGCCAATTGGGCTACCAGCTCTTTCTTGTACATGTGCCCCAAGTTCCCACCTCTGAACTTTTTCTTAGAATGCCTCTCCTTCCATCTCACTCTGTACATATCTTCCTCATCCTTCAGAGTCTAGTTCAAATGCCTCCTCTAACGGCAAGCCTATCTGGATTGCTTCAACTGGAAGAGAAAGGGGAAAGAGAGAAGGAAAGGAATAGGCATTTCCTGAATGTTTACTCTGTACCAGGCATGTTATGTAACCTCACAACAACTCTGTGATATGGTTTGTTTCTGCCCCATTTTATAGGCAGAAATTGAGGGGAAATGACTCGCTGGAGCTCACATAGCTAGGAAGGATGCTTCTGGACTCCTCATCTAGTGCTCATTCTCCTGCTCTAGTCAGGAACCTTGTGGGGCTGATGAGGGCCAATATTCCACCTCTCTCCTTCTTCGTGGCTGATCCCTGGGGGTGGTGATCTGGTCCTTTCCCTCCCTGCTAAAGCCAGAGCTGCTGACGGCTTGCCATTGGCTCTTCAGCCAGGGCTGGCTTTTGTTTCTGTGGCCCAGTTGCTGAGTCGGGGCTTTGTCTCCCAGGGGCCCCTCTTCCCTCCCTGCCTATAAGAGCCCGACCTCGGCTGGTCTCAGATCTGACATGTTCCCTGGGCCTATCTCGGTAAGTCCCAGGTTTGGAGGAGGGGTGGGATCAGAGTTCTGAGTGAGCATTCTGGGAGGCGAGGAACCCAGGTCCCCAGTCCTAGGGATGTCACTGTGTCATCCTGAATGCCATCCTCATCCTAACCAAGGATGAGCCCCAACCATCAAGACCAGCACCTGCTTCCCTCATTTAAAAACAAATTATTCCTGTAGCCCTATTGCCTAAATTTCCACCATCAGAGCTACCTCTTTGAGCTAGGTGCTGTCTTTGGAAGGGCTCTCTTATGCTGAGCATTTCAGCACTCGCTGGGGTGATGCACCCACCCACCAGCAGCCACAAAAATTTTCCCATAACAAGCAGATAAGAGAATACAGAGTGGGGCTCAGAGTCAATGAGACCCAGCAAGGGTGAGTTTTGAGATGGGGATAGGATGGAAGATGGCATTGGTGACAGATGGAAAGGACAGGAGAGGGACAGGCCAAAGCCATGCATTGCCCCTAGCCCAGTCACTCCTGGACTCCCTATGTGGATCCTGACCAGGTCCAAGCCAGCCATCTGCATAAAGAGGAGAGCAGAGGGTCAGGGTGGAAGATTATAATGTTCTTCTCTTCTGCAGGAAGGGGCCACAATGACCCTGCAATGCACAAAGTCAGCGGGACCCTGGAAGGTAGGAAGAGGCATGGGGAGGGGGTGTTCAGGGGGTATGGGGAGGGTTCAGGTCCCCATGAATCCTAGGAGGGGGGCATTATAAATGCCTATTTCACAGAGGTGCAATCAAGGCTCAGAGTTGAGAAGGGACTTGTATGTCACATACAGGGAGGTTGAATGTGAATTTGGGTCTTCTGGTTCCCAAAGTTGACCTGTTACACTCTTTGGCAGAGGTTGCAGTCTTTGGGCATGATTTCTTTGACCATCTCTGTGTGTGTTTGTTTGTTTTATAAAGCTTTTGGATTTATCATCAGCCTTTAAAAGCCTGGAAGAACCACATAAAAGTCCAGATCTAGTGATTGTCTTGAGAAATTGGAAGGTCTGGCCTGCATTCCCACTTGGCAACCATTGGTGGCACTGGGAAGAGGCCACCCATTTACCTGGCACCTGTGCTGTCTAGTGTCTCACATTTATCACTGCTCTTGCCTTCCTGGCTCCTGGAGGAATCTGAGTTTGCAATCCCTGCTTTACCTGCCAGATCCTGGGGCGAGCCCCCAACCTCTCACCCTTCACGGGACTCTGATGCGGATCTCCACCTTTTTTTTTTCCTGGCACAGATGGTGGTGTGGGATGAGGACGGCTTCCAGGGCCGGCGGCACGAGTTCACGGCCGAGTGCCCCAGCGTGCTGGAGCTTGGCTTCGAGACTGTGCGATCTTTGAAAGTGCTGAGTGGAGCGTGAGTCTAGGGGGACACTGAGTTGGGGTAGAGGGTGGACAGGAAGGGACCTAGAGACGGGTGCTAGGACTTTTAGATATTCTAGGTCCCCTCTCCCTAGGCTCTTACTGTTGTGCCCTCCTGAAGTACTGAGGAGTGTGCAGGACTGCCATGTAAGATTATGCAGGTTGCGCACTGCCCAACAGTAGGAGGGTGCCATTTACACAGACCCTGCCCACTGGATGAGGCAGTTCTGCAGGAGATCCTTAGAATCCAGTGTTGGATCTAAAAATGTCCCTCCCAGCCGTAAATTGAAAGCCAACATCACCCGCCTAAAGTAGAAGGTAACTGTAAAAATAAACATAATGTTTTAATGCTATTAATTTTTAGCTAAATAGTCTTGCTGCTAAGCATGTGGCCTGATCATTTTTTGTAAAAAAAAAAAAAATTAAAAAACAAAAAAGAGAGTGAGAGAGAGAGATTAGTGAGACACAGAGAGGTGTTAAGGACACACTAATAACACACCAAGACTTTCTAGACCAGTGTCATTCAGTGGACCTGTCTGCAATGATGGAGATGTTCTACATCTACACCATCCATTTCAGAGCCACTGGCCAGATGTGACCATTGAGGATTTGAAAGGTAGCCAGCATGAGTAGAGAACTGAATCTTGTTTAATCTTAATTTATTTAAGTTTAAATTTAATTAGCTACATATGGCCAGTGGCTACCATATTAGATAGAAGGTTCTAGAAGGTTGGAAAGCAGGTAGAAAGGAGATGTGGCCAGTAGCTACCATATTGGATAGAAGGCTCTAGAAGTTTGGAAAGTAGTTGGAAAGATGTGGCCAGTAGCTACCATATTGGATAGAAGTTTCTAGAAGGCAGGAAAGTAAATAGAAAGGAGGTGTGGCCAGTAGCTACCATACTGGATAAAAGTTCTAGAAGTTTGGAAAGTAGATCGAAAGGAGATGTGGCCAGTAGCTTCCATATTGGATAGAAGGTTCTAGAAGGTTGGAAAGTAGCTAGAAAGGCAATGTGGCCAGTAGCTACCATATTGGATAGAAGGTTCTAGAAAGTTGGAAAGTAGATAGACAGGAGATGTGGCCAGTAGCTACCATATTGGATAGAAGGTTGTAGAAGTTTGGAAAGTAGATAGGAGATTTGGAGTCACTTAATGCTACACCTGTGAGTGCCACCTGAGGTCATCTTGGGTGATTTTTGCACATCTCATGCTTTAGTAAATACTCTTTTAGCTTCTGATTTGTGCAGGTGGGGAATGGGGGTCAGATGGGAACAGAGGCTTTCTAGGGGTATGTCCAGCAGGCTGACAGACTCAGCCAGTAAGCAGACAATGAGCTTGGATAGATTCAGACAGTTTATTACTTATACAGACAGTAAAGGCAAGGTGCAGCCTCCTGTGTCCCTTGTCCTACTGGACGACACCAAAACAAAGGGGGCTGAATGACAGGCATTAGGAATGGTAGGAACCCCGTGGCTGAAGAGCTGCTTCCATGCTTCAACGATAGCTTGCTGCTGTCGCCTGTGGGGAGGCGAGGTGGAAAGCCCCACATCTCAGAGTGGCCAGAGAGGCAGATGAGGGGCTGCCTCGTGGCAGCCTCCCACAAGAGAGGGAGGAAAATGAGAGATGGCCATGCGGTCGCTCCTTGCAAGACTGCCCGTCTCCCACACCCTGGCAGGATCACGGGGAATTCCACCAAGGTGAGATCAGTCTGTGATCAGCTTTGCCTCCTTGGCCTCTGTGGACACGGACGGAGGAGCAAGGTTGTCAGGGCACCTGTGTGAAGCAGTTTCCCTACCTATGGGACACACAGCAAGTGAGGTCTAGAGCTGGGTTCCTCAACTCTGGCGCTACTGATGTTTCGGGCTGGATCATCCTTTGCAGGGAAGGCTGGCCTGTGCATTATGGGATGTTTAGTGGTATCCCTGGCCTCTACCCGATAGATGGCCTTCGCAGTCCCTCCCCTAGTCGTGACAACCAAAAATGTCTCCAGCCATCGTCAAGTGTTTCCTGGGGGCACAGTCACCCCTGAATGGTTGTGACTGTGACCGTTCTAGACCCAATTGCTGGTCTAGAATGCAGGGTGAGGGGGACGCTTACCTCCTGCACACTCTACCCTCTGTCTGCAGGTGGGTGGGCTTTGAGCATGCTGGCTTCCAAGGGCAGCAGTACATTCTGGAACGAGGCGAATATCCAAGCTGGGATGCCTGGGGCGGCAACACGGCCTACCCCGCCGAGAGGCTCACCTCCTTCCGGCCTGCGGCCTGTGCTGTAAGTTCTACCACTGCTGCATCCCGGGGAGGCCCAAGCCCCTCATGTGGGCACTTCGGAATCAAAGGTTCCAGAGTTGAAATTCTCATGTCGCCACTTCAAGCTGTGTGACAAGGGCTGTTCAGTCTCTTTCCTCTCCAAGCCTCGGTTTCTTCATCTTGAAATGGGGCAATAGTACCAATGTTCTTGGGAAGAAGAACGTATAACATCTGACCAGAGCCTGCCTTAAACTCTCTGCTCACAGCAACCCTGGTTGTGATAGGAGCCCCTGCCAGTTTTGTGCCCTTTTTTTTTTGTGATTCAGGGACCCTGAGAGAATCTGGGTACCAGGGATGGTAGGGCCAAGTGGAGAGGAAAGGTTTCATTTCTTGCTCCTAATTCAGCATCAGTGCTCCTGATCTTACATTTTACTGCTGTTTTTGGAGTGTGGGTGGAGGTGGGCATTATTATTCCCATCTCACCAATGAAAACATTGAGGCTCAGAAAGGTGTATTTTAGGCTGGGCATGGTGGCTCACACCTGTAATCCCAGCACTTTGGGAGGCCAAGGCGGGTAGATCACTTGAGGCCAGGAGTTCAAGATCAGCTTGGCCAACATGGTGAAACCCTGTCTCTACTGAAAATACAAAAAAATTAGTTGAGTGTGGTGGCACATGCCTGTAGTCCCAGCTACTCAGGAGGCTGAGGCAGGAGAATCACTTGAACCCGGGAGACAGAGGTTGCAGTGAGCCAAGATCGCACCACTGCATTCCAGCCTGGGCGCCAGAGCAAGACTCTGTCTCAAAACAAAACAAAACAAAAAAACAAAAACAAACAAACAAACACAAAAACAACAAAGTGTGTTTTATTTTTCAATTCTTATTGATTTAAAATGACATAAGTCACCATATTTACCATCCAAAATTCTGAAGGAAAATCCTGCTATGGTCAGGGTTGAGTATCCCTTACCTGAAATGCTTGGGACCAGAAGTGTTTTGGATTTTGAATATTTTCCCCAGATTTTGCAATATTTGTAATACTTACAGTTGAGCAGCCTGAATCCAAAAATCCAAAATCTGAAATACTGCAGTGAGCATTCTTTGAGTGTCATGTCGTCACTCAAAAAGTTTTAGATTTTGGAGCATTTTGGATTTCGGATTTTTAGGTTAGGGATGTTCAACCTATACATTTGTGTCTCTATGTATATACACATCCAAATCAACATCTACATCTATATCTGTATAATCTATATATCTTATCTATATTGCACACATAATTTTGTCATAAAATTGGAATCATAATGAATCTAAGGCTTGGAAACTAGCTTTTCTCACTGAGCAAATGTGTCGCAATCATCAGTCCAGGTGATTAAATCTCACTTCCATCGTTTTTCATAGCTCCCTAGTATTCTGTTTTGTGAATAAGTCCATTTGTTCATTTATTCTGCAAACAGTCTAGATATTGTGCTAATATAGGGACCCGTGGCGGGCTGCAACAGAAACAATCCCTCATTCCCAGCAGTTTGCAACTCCTGATTTCATTTAGTCCTCAAAAGAACCCTGAAAAATGGGTAGGGTTAGTTTCATTTTATAGATACAGGAACAGAGGCTCAGAAATCCTGTCTAACCTCAGTCAGTTGGTAAGTGGCAGCTGCCTCCTAGCAGGAAGGATTTGAGATGATATCTCTACACCTCCTTTCTTTCCTTCTTTTTTCTTTTCTTTTCTTTTCCTTTCCCCTCCCTCCCTCCCTCCCTCCCTCCTTTCTTTCTTTCTTTCTTTCTTTCTTTCTTTCTTTCTTTCTTTCTTTCTTTCTTTCTTTCTTTCTTTTTCTTTCTTTCTTTCTTTCCTTCTTTCTTTTTCTTTCTTTCTTTCTTTCTCTTTCTTTCCTTTTCTTTCTTTCTTTCTTTCTTTCTTTCTTTCTTTCTCTTTCTTTCCTTTTCTTTCTTTCTTTCCTTCTTTCATTCTCTGTCTTTCTTTTTCTTTCTTTTTCTCTTTCTTTCTTTCTCTTTCTCTCTCTCTCCTTCCTTCCTTCCTTCTCTCTCTCTCTTTCTTTCTTTCTTTCTTTTGATGGAGTTTTTGCTTTTGTTGTCCAGGCTGGAGTGCAATGCCACAATCTCGGCTCACTGCAACCTCTGCCTCCCAGGTTCAAGCGATTCTCCTGCCTCAGTCTCCCAAGTAGCTGAGATTACAGGCATGTGCCACCACGCTTGGCTAATTTTTTGTATTTAGTAGAGACAGGGTTTCACCATGTTCGTCGGGCTGGTCTTGAACTCCTGACCTCAGGTGATCCACCCTCCTCGGCCTCCCAAAATGCTGGGATTATAGGCGTGAGCCACCGCGCCGGGCCTCTACACCCTTTTTCTTAACCACAGTGTAATGCCTCAGCTTACCACTGGATCCCCAATTTTGGACATAAAAGTTGACTCCTTTTTTTGTTTGTTTGTTTTTGAAAAAACTGTTATGATGAACATTCTTGCAGCCTATTTATTCCATGATTATTTTCTTTGTGGAAATTTCTGGAAGGGCAAATGGCAAGGTTTCTGGTACCTGTTGCCTTATTGCCCTTCCAAAAGGTTTGCAAGGAAGGCTGATTTGGGAGACAAGGGCAGGGAGTGTGGAGGCCAGGAGAGGCTCCTGGGTTTCCAACTGGGAGCCTGCTGGTCTGACTGTGTTCCCTGTTCCTGTAGAACCACCGTGACTCGAGGCTGACAATCTTCGAGCAAGAGAACTTCCTGGGCAAGAAAGGAGAGCTGAGCGATGACTATCCTTCCCTCCAGGCCATGGGATGGGAAGGCAATGAAGTAGGGTCCTTCCACGTCCACTCTGGGGCGTAAGTGTATTCAAGGCTCTACCTGGCAGGGGAGGGGCTACTGGGAGGGGTAGGTGTACCTCCTGTGAAAACTGTGTGCTGGGGACTTTTGTGCTCTGATGCCCACATTCCAGAGGAGAACACTGAGGCACAGGGAGGTATCAGGCAGAATTTGAGGGACTGAAACCCAGATCAAACTGGTTTGAGCCCAGAAGATATTTATCAGCCCCTGTAATTAGCTTCAAGCATAGCTGGATCCAGGTACTACAGCAGGTATCTCTCTCCCCCCACAACCCCCAACCTGTTGCCCTGCCTGCCTCTGTGTGACTATATTCTTAGACAAGCTCTTCCTGTGTGAAGGCAAAGGTGGCGGCTTCATCGTTACATCCAGCCCTAGGGAAAGACAGTGTCCAGGCTCAGTGATTCTATTAAAGGTTCCAAGAAAGGTGCTCATTGGTCCAGCTGGGTCCTGTGCTCAACTCTGAACCAATCATCATGCCCATAGGAATGGGGTGTTCTGATTGGCTAGGTTTGGTCATGTGGTCCATTGCTAGATTCAGCCTCATTTTCTCACCTTGGCTGAGAGTGAGAGGCCACAGGCTCTTTGGCTAGAAGAGGGGAGAATGAATGCCCCTAGCCATAAAACACAGGTGTGGCTCCAGCAACCTGCTCAAAGTCCATCAGCAGGTAGGTAACAATCCAGCTTCAAACTCAGCACTGACTGGCCCTTTCCTTTCCACCCAGGAGGTGGCAGGTGAAGGCTAAGGTGTGAGATTCTTATTTAGGGAGGACATCAGAACCACTTTCTGAGGTGCCCCTTGGCTCCTGGTAGGCAGGGGGCAAAGATGGGAGGTAGGGTTTTTCATCTTTTTTTTTTTTCTTTTTTTGGCTTTAGTTTTCTCAGGAACCACCAAAGAATCATGTTGTTTTAGAGTAAGAGGGACCCCTTGTGATTCTTGAGTTCACTTCCTCTTTTACAGAAAGGGAAATGGAGGCTTGGAAAACCAGACACCAATCCTTGTCCTGAACAGAGTAGAAATCAATGAGTTGGGCCAGACACGGTGGCTCACGCCTGTAATCCCAGCCCTTTGGGAGGCTGAGGTGGGCGGATCACCTGAGGTCAGGAGTTCGAGACCAGCCTGGCCAACATGGTGAAAGCCCGTCTCTACTAAAAATACAAAAAATTAGCTGGGTGTCGTGGCTATGCCTCTAGTCCCAGCCACTCGGATGAGGCAGAATTACTTGAACCCAGGAGGCAGAGGTTGCAGTGAGCCGAGGTCATGCCACGGCACTCCAGTCTGGGCAACAGAGTGAGACTCTGTCTCAAAAAAAAAAAAAAAAAAAAAATCAATGAATTGAAATGATAGCTTTTTTTCTTGGAAGTGCCTCTGGATAAGGAAGGAGGGAGAAAGGGGAAAGAACAAGACTTCCCATTCCTTCACTTGTTCACTTATTCAGCAAATATTTAGGAACCCCTTCTTCCTTGCTAGACTTTTATATATTTATGCAGGTGGTGATAACGATGAACAAAACATACACGTTCCTACACTCAGGAGCTTGCCTGCTGGCAGGGGAGGCTGATATTTTACAAATAATTTGAAAACTATCGAATTACATGAGTGCTACAAAGGTATAATAAGGGACTGTGGCCTGATTTGGGGAACGAGTCAGATTGCCCTCATAATTAAGATGAGCCATGAAGGACAAATACAACTTGTCTAGGAAAAGAAAGGCTGGGATGGTGCTTCTGGCAAAGGGAATGGCATGATCAAAGGCCCTGTGGTAGGGGAGAGAGCATGGCACATTGTGAGCACTGAAGAAAGGCCAGGATGGCTGGAATTGTGTGCGTGTGCATAGATCCCTTTGCCCCTGTGTTGATCACCATGCTGGTGTCTCTGTAGAGTAACTGTCTGCCTTTTCTCTTTTCCAGCTGGGTTTGCTCCCAGTTTCCGGGCTACCGAGGATTTCAGTATGTGCTGGAATGCGATCACCATTCCGGTGACTACAAACATTTCCGGGAGTGGGGCTCTCATGCCCCGACCTTCCAGGTGCAGAGCATCCGCAGGATCCAGCAGTGAACAGGGGTGCGGCACGGAGGAGCGCATGCGTGCTTATCTGCAATGGAGGCGCTCTGGAGGCTGTGGTGTGTTCTCTCCTTCTGCCTCCCCCTGTAACCTGTGTGAACCCAGCACCCATGTGAACTGGTCCGTGCACAGTCAGCACAAAAAACTCAAACGAATAAAAAAGAGAAAGTCTGGTATTAGTTGTGCTTTTCAATTTTATTAATCTTTTCAAAGAACCGGTTTTTAGCCTTGTTTTCTCTATCATTATTCCACTGATTTTTACTCTTAACTTCAGTATTTCCTTTCTTCTATTTACTTCAGGCCTACTTTGTTCTTAGTTTTTCTAGCTTTTTTTTAAGGCAGACTTCTGGGTCATTAATTTTAGGCCTCTCTTTCCCCCACCCAGTACGGTCATTTAGCTATAAATTTCCCTCCAAGTATGGCTTTAGCTGCTTCCCACAAATATTAATTTGATGTGTTTTCATTGTCATTCAGTTTGATATTTTCTAGTTTCACTTGTGGTTTTTTTTTTTTCTTTTGACCTATGGGCTATTTAAAGGGATGTTATTTAAATTCCAAATACTTTAGGATTTTCTAGGTGTTTATTGTTATTGGTGTGTTTTTAAAGACCAATGTGGTCGGAGAACATATTCCTTAAGATTTAAGTCTTCTGCAATGAATTAAGACTTATTTTATGGCCCAGCACATGGTTTTTGTATTTTAATTTTATTTTTTGTTTGTTTGTTTGTTTTGTTTTTAATGAGTCAAGGTTTCACTCGTCACCCAGGCTGGAGTGCAGTGGTGCAATCTTGTCTCACTGCAGCCTCGACCTCCCAGGTTCAAGCAATTCTGCCTTAGCCCCACAAGCAGCTGAGATTACAGGTGTGTGCCACCACACCTGGTAATTTTTGTATTTGGTAGTGACAGCGTTCGCCATGTTGCCCAAGCTTGTCTTGAACTCCTGAGCTCAGGACATCTGCCTGCCTCAGCCTACCAAAGTGCCAGGATTACAGGCCTGAGCCACTGCTCCTGGCCACATGGTCTATCTTTGAAAGGCTTGGTAGTACACTTGAAAACTATTTATATTCTGCAGTTATTGGGTACAGTGTTCTGTAAATGTCAGATCAAATTTGTTAACAGTGTTGATGCGATTTTTCTATACCCTTGCTGATTTTTTTTTTTTTTTTTGAGACAGGATCTCATTCTGTCACCCAGGCAGGAGTATAATGGCACAATCATAGTTCACCGCAGCTTGTTTTTAAAAAATCAATTTTAGTGAATTACATAGAAAGAATCATTGATTATTTGGATTTATCTGTTTCTTACCTTAGTTTTGTCTATTTTTGCTTCCTGATTTTTTTTTTCCTTCAGGAATTGTGATGCTCTGTTGTTAGGTGTACATATATTTATGATTGCTATGTCTTCTTGATAAATTGTTCCTAGCTTGTGGTTTTCAAAGCCACGCATGGAGAGTCAGTTCTCTCCCCTAGCAAAACTTCTTTTCACGCGCGTCCGTGTGAAGAGACCACCAAACAGGCTTTGTGTGAGCAATATGGCTGTTTATTTCACCTGGGTGCAGGCGGGCTGAGTCCAAAAAGAGAGTCAGCGAAGGGAGATAGGGGTGGGGCCATTTTATAGGATTTGGGAAGGTAATGGAAAATTACAGTCAAAGGGGGTTGTTCTCTGGTGGGCAGGGGTGGATCTCACAAAGTACTTTCTCAAGGGTGGGGAGAATTACAAAGAACCTTCTTAAGGGTGGGGGAGACTACAAAGTACCTTCTTAAGGGTGGGGGAGATTACAAAGTACATTGATCAGTTAGGGTGGGGCAGGAACAAATCACAATGGTGGAATGTCATCAGTTAAGGCTGTTTTTACTTCTTTTGTGGATCTTCAGTTACTTCAGGCCATCTGGATGTATACGTGCAAGTCACAGGGGATGCGATGGCTTGGGCTCAGAGGCCTGACACTTCTCATACCTTTTTTCTCTCTTCCCAATTCTCTCTCTCACACACACTACCCTGGAGTTTCTCATTTAACACCCTCCATGCTCCAAAGAAAGCCTATAAAACAAAGAAACCCCTGTTTCACTTGAAGACTAAGTGGCAGGATTGGTCTCTTCTATCTCTCTTTTTCTCCTCCCCTCCTTACTTTCTCCTGGTTCTGCATTTTATAGGTTGTCTAAACCTCTCTCATGAGCCCTCTAGCTCTTGTTTCAGGCTCTCTTGGCCCATCTTCCTCTGCCCACAAATGTCCCTGATCAGTCTGATAGGGACAGGAAGGGGTGGGGACCAGAACATTCTGCTGGAAAAGATAACATTATCTGGCTCAGGAAGGGGAGGGGAATGTTTAGGAACATTTGCGCCTCAGTAAATTTTAACTCCTCATTGTATCGTACCATTTATTCAACAGATCATTTGCCTGGGACATACAATGGTAAACATGACACCTAAAGTTTTTTCTCTCACTCAGTTTAATGGGGAATGAATGCGGAAAAGTACAGAGCTGTTTGCAAATATTCTATGATAGGGGCTGTGGGGGCGGGAAGCATGGGGTTGGGGGGCGGACCCTTCTTGTGCCTACCTCTACTCAGACCGTCCCAGAACATCTGACCACTGCTTGACACCTTGATGTGAACGTCTAATACACATCTCAAACAAAACCGGACCAAACATAACTGAAGCTACACTTTTCAAGTTGTTCAGGCTAAATGTCTGGAATGATCCATAACCCTTCTCTTTCTCTCACACCTCACATTCTAATCCATTGGCAATTCCTACTAGCTCTACTCTTTTTTTTTTTTTTTAGATGGCATCTTGCTTTGTCCCCAGGCTGGAGTGCAGTGGCGCGATCTCAGCTCACTGCAACCTCTGCCTCCCAGGTTCAAGTGATTCTCCTGCCTCAGCCCCCCAAGTAGCTAGGATTACAGGCATGTGCATCACACCCAGCTAATTTTTGCGTTTTTTGTAGAGACAGGGTTTCACCATGTTGACCAGGCTGGTCTCGAACTCCTGACCTCAAGTGATTTGCCTGCCTCGGCCTCCCAAAGTGCTGAGATTATAGGCATGAGCCACGGCACCCAGCCACTAGCTCTACTCTTAATATGTATTAGAATCCAACCCACTCATCATGCCCACTGCTGCCATTCTGGTCCCAGCCACCCTCTTCTCTCTCCTTCTCATAGTCCCTCTGCTTTTGTCTTTGCCCATGAGTGATCTGCTCTCTGCCCAGCATTCAGAGTGGTCCTGCTAGAAACGTAAGGCAGATCTTGTCACACTCCTGCTTAAAATCCTCCCATGCTCCCCACCATGCCAAGAAAACAACAATAAAAAAACCCAGTATTATTCCCAGTCCTGTGAAGCTTGTCATCATCTGCATCTCCCCACTCTCCCCACAACCTATTTTGATCTCATGTCCCTGTATTGGTTGTTCTTTAAAGATGCCAGGTGGCTAACATCTGTAATCCCAACATTTTGGGAGGCCAAGGTGGTAGGATCCTTTGAGCCCAGGAGTTCAAGACCAGCCTGGGCAACATACTGAGATCCCATCTCTACATAAAAAATTTTAAAAAGTTAGCCAGGTCTGGTGGCGTGCACCTGTGGCCCTAGCTACTTGGGAGGCTGAGGTGGGAGGATCACTTAAGCCTGGGAGGTTGAGGCTGAAGTGAGCCGTGATCGTGCCACTGCATTCCAGCCTGGGCGAGGAGAGACACTGTATCAAAAAAAAAAAAAAAAAAAAAGCACCCCGAAAGAACAACAACAACAAAAAGTCAGGTGCCGTGGCTCATGCTTGTAATCCCAGCACTTTGGGAGGCTGAGGTGGGAGAATCACTTGAGCCCAGGAGTTTGAGACCAGCCTGGGCAACATAGCAAGACCCTGTCTCTGTATTTAAAAAAACAAAGAAGAAGAAGAAGAGGGCAAGTGTATGAGTCTGCTCCAGTTGCTATAACACAATACCACAGCCTGGGTGACTTAAACCACAGAAATATTTCTCATAGTTCTTGAGACTGGATCCCAAGATAGAGGTGTCGGCAAGGCTGGTTTTTCCTGAGACCTCTCTCCATGGCTAGTAGATGGCCCCTTTCTCCCTGCATCTTCTTTTATTATTATTATTGTTATTATTATTATTATTATTATTATTATTAAGACAGAGTCTCACTCTGTTGCCCAGGCTGGAGTGCAGTGGTGAGATCTTGGCTCGCTGCAGTCTCCGCCTCCCAGGTTCAAGAGTTTCTCCTGCTTCAGCCTCTCGAGTAGCTAGAATTACAGGCGTGTGCCACCATGCCTGGCTAATTTTTGTGTTTTTAGTAGAGACAGGGTTTTGCCATGTTGGCCAGGCTGATCTTGAACTCCTGACTTCAGGTGATCTGCCTGCCTTCGCCTCCCAAAGTGCTGGGATTACAGTTGTGAGCCACCTTGCCCAGCCTCTTCCTGAATCTTCACATGGTCTTGTCGCTATGCACATGCATCCCAGCTGCCTCTTCCTCCAACAGGACACCAGTCCTGTTGGATTAGGGCCCCGCCCTAATGGTCTCATTTAAACTTCATCACCTCTTTCAACACTTTACCTTCAAATACAGTCACATTCCGAGGTACTGGGGGTTTGGGACTTCAACATATGAATTTTAGGGGGACATAGTTCGGTCAAACACTCTCCCATCTGAGCTATTTCAGCTGCTAGAGGGGCACACAGTCCAGCCCATAACCCAGGCTCATTCCCATCTGAGGTTTTCAGCTTGTGCTGTTCCCTCTTCCTAGAACACTCTTCCCTCTGCTATTTCCCATCAACACTCTCCCGTAGAGCCAGATTCATAGACTGTCAGACCTTCTAGATCTGGATCTAGAACAAGGACGCTTCTAGATCATCAAGTCTAGCATTTCCCAACATTTTGTCTTTCCTTGTCATCCCCCTAGAGAGTCTTTTTAGATGTTATTTTCCTACACCTCCCCCCATGAAGTTTTGTTTTTAGAGATGGGGTCTCATCATTTTGCCCAGGCTGGTCTTGAACTCCTGGGCTCAAGTGATCTTCCCACCCTGGCTTCCCAAAGTGCTGGGATTACAGGTGTGAGCCACCACACCTGACCCCACCCCATGAAGTTTTAATATCACAAATATAAAGTATGTAATATACGTCTGTACAAACTCTGTATATATATCTGTGTTTTATACATAAAGAGTAAGATGGTTTTTTTGCTTCCCAAGATCAATTTTCACCTCTTGGGGGTCCTACTGAAGTACTGGGGGTTGGGGCTTCAACAACATTCTTAACAATATTGAGAATGCATAATTTTATCTCATCGTGTGTGTGTGTGTGTGTGTGTGTGTGAGAGACAGCATCTCACTCTGTCACCCAGGCTGGAGTGCAGTGGCACAATCTCGGCTCACTGCAACCTCTGCCTCCCGGGCTCCAGCAGTCCTCCCACCTCAGCCTCCCAAGCAGCTGGGACTAAACTATAGGCCTATGACACCATGCCCAGGTTTTTTGTTTTTTGCAGAGACTGGGTTTTGCCATGTTGCCCAGGCTGGTCTCGCACACCTTGGCTCAAGCAATCCGCCTGCTTCACCCTCCCAAATTGTTAGGATTACAGGCATGAGCCACCACACCTGGCCTTCATCCCTTTTTAACACGTAGGGAAATGGAAACCCAGGGAAGTGTGGGGACTTGATCAAGGCCATACAGCAAGTTAAAGGCAAAGCCAGGATTCAGACACAGACTTGTTCATTCATTCGTTCATTCATTCATTAAACATGTATCAAATGTCTGCTATGTACCAAACACTGTTACAGGTTCCAGGATCTAACAGGGAACAAAGATAAAATCCCTTGCCTTGGGGAATTTATATAATTGTCCAGGGATACAGATATTTCCCCTATACCTCCATGGCTGCTCAGTCAGGATTTTTCAGACTGTTACACAGATGTTGTAACATTGTTCTTTGAAAAAAAAAATCATGTGCTTTAGTTTTGGGTATTGTTGGTGTCCACACTGCAGGACTTCTCAGTGCCTACAATAGTTTAACATGTATTGTGAATCTCTGGAAGGGAGAATAGAATATTCAGAGTTTTCCAAATTTATTTGACCACAGAACAATTATGAACTTGTTCTTTCCCTTCTGTGGAGCACCTTGCATTATGAGTGGCCTGTGGAACATAAGGTAGGAAATGCTAGAGTTAGCTAGGATAGCCACTCACAGCCTAGTATGAATTAGTTTCCAAACGAGCTTTATGAAATGGACTGTGGAAGTTGTAAGTGTTGCTGTAGGGGCAGGGGTACTGTCCAGGAAGGGGTTCCATGGTCAGTCCTAGGGAAATGGGATTAGGAAGACATAGGGGTGAGGACAATTTAGAGAGGCCCATGAAGTCAATCTCTGTGGACTCTGAGGCCCAGAATGAGGGCTGGGCCTGGCTACCATCTTCCAGCTAGAAGTTTCCTCACTCAGAGCCCCTGAGGCCCTAGAAGGCACTGGATGTAGAGGGCTCTGCTGCACCTACCACAGAGAGGCCACTGTTTGACTTTGACAGGAAGACTGAGTTGGCACCAGCCTCCAGAAGAGGCCATCATGGGTTTGGGTTTGCATCCTGGGTTTACCAGCATGTAACCCCAGTTTCCTCATCTTTTAATGGAGAAATTCTCATCTCCTTGCTTGCAAAAAGTTAAATGATATATTATATATATGCCTGTGCCCAGGGTACACACAAAGAACTTGGTAAGCTCTCAGTAAAGGTTGATGGAAATTGTTAGTATCATTCTTAATATTGTTATTAGTATTATTATACATTTCTCGGTCCCTTTGCTTTGACCTCCTCCCTTATCTCCACCCAAAACCCTTTACCCAAGCATACCTTTCTCAGAATAATGATGATAATAATATCGATGATACATATTGTGTTTATCCCTTTCACATGTGATATAATTTAAACCTCACAGGGCCGGGCCTGGTGGCTCACGCCTGTAATCCCAGCACTTTGGGAGGCCGACGCGGGTGGATCACGAGGTCAGGAGATCGAGACCATCCTGGCTAACACGGTGAAACCCCGTCTCTACTAAAAATACAAAAAAATTAGCCGGGTGTGGTGGCGGGCACCTGTAGTCCCAGCTACTCGGGAGGCTGAGGCAGGAGAATGGCATGAAGCCTGGAGGTGGAGCTTGCAATGAGCCGAGATTGCACCACTGCACTCCAGCCTGGGGGACAGAGCGAGACTCCATCTCAAAAAAAACCAAAAAACAAAAAAACAAAAAAACCTCACAGTAACTTCTTTATGCAATTATTGTCTATTTAAAGCAGAGACGTGAGGCTCAGAGGCTCTGAGAGTTCAAGCAACTTGCCTGAGACCACCCAGCCTGCAGGACCATTGAGCCCACCGTAGGTTGTGCAAGGTTTTGGGGGGTGGATGAAAGAGATAATGGGCACAAATAAAATGTATAAACAATAAGTTGCTGGGTTCATGTCCTCCCTTTAAAGAGTTAAACAAGGGGCTGGGTGTGGTGGCTCGTGCCTGTAATCCCAGCACTTTGGGAGGCCGAGGCAGGCGGAACACGAGGTCAGGAGTTTGAGATCAGCCTGATCAACATGGTGAAACCCCGACTCTACTAAAAATACGAAAATTAGCCAGGTGTGGTGGTGTGTACCTGTAATCCCAGCTCCTCGGGAGGCTAAGGCAGGAGAATCGCTTGAACCTGGGAGGCAGAGGTTACAGTGAGCCGAGATGGTGCCACTACACTCCAGCCTGGGTGACAGAGCAAGGCTCCATCTCAGGAGAAAAAAAAAAAAAAGCCCTTCACACTTTAGTATTAACAACTATAGAGTTTCTTATAGGAAAGCCTCAGGTCCTTGGGCAAAGCGGGCCATACTTGCTGCAGGAAGGAAGGAAGGAAGGAGTGGAGGAAGGAGGGAGGGAAAAAGGGAGGAAGGAATGAGGGAGGAAAGGAAGGGAGGGAGAGAGAGAGGAAGGAGGGAAAGAAGGAAGGAAGGAAGGAAATTGAAATTTGGTGGTGATCATTTTAGGAGCCACCCCAGTTAGAGCCAGGAGTAAGGCTGGCAACCATAAAAAATGGGAGCCCAAATGTGAGCTGATGCTAGAGCAACAGACAATAAAGAGACAATTTGTCAGGGGCGATCTTGAGAGGGGAGATAACAGAGCATGAAATTATTTTTCATGTCTTGCCAGGGGACCAATTTTCTTAGGTTATGAAAGAAAGAGAGCTTAAATTATTGATGCTATTTGGTCAGAAGTGAGTGGTAGGCATGGAACACCCATCACCTGGAACAATGCACACAGCCGACAGGACTGAACACAGGGTCCAGGGCTGTGGATCCCAAACCAGCAACCTCTTTGCCCAGAGAGGGAAGGGGACTTGTTCAAGACCACACAGTAGGCACTATCCATGTTGCTCCTTGCAGCCTGTTCCCTAGGTGCTCACACCTGTGAGTAGGTGATACAGCACAGAAGAAAAGACACCGGGTGTTGCACACACCTGGGTGTGAATCCTGGATCCTGTGTTTACCAGGTAAGGTGATCTTCAGTGAGCTGCTTTGCCCCACTGAGCCTCAGTTTCCTCGCCTCTTAAAGAGGAAGGCTGTTATGAGGGTTCGAGGAGTTGATACCTGGAAAAATGCTTTGAAAATAATCCACAATGTGAGCCTTCTCTTTTTTTCTTTTTTGAGACTGGGTCTTGCTCTGTCACAAAGACTGGAGTGCAGGAGCAATCACAGCTCACTGCAGCCTCTACCTCCTCGGCTCAAGTGATCCTCCCACCTCAGCCCCCTGAGTAGCTGGGCCATGCCTGGGTAATTTTTAAACTCTTTTTGTAGAGATAGGTCTCACTATATTTCCCAGGCTGATCTCAAACTCTCGGGCTCAAGTGATCTGCCCATTCTGGCTTCCAAAAGTGCTGGGATTACAGGCTTGAGCCACCGTGCCCGCCTCTCTTTCTTTCTTTAAAAAAAAAAAAAGATTTATTTTAAAAATTGTATTTTTTTTTTTTTAAACTTAGTTTTGCTCTTGTTGCCCGGGCTGGAGTGCAATGGCGTGATCAATCATAAGTCACTGCAACCTCTGCCTCCCGGGTTCAAACGATTCTCCTGCCTCAGCCTCCCGAGTAGCTAGCATTACAGGCATGTGCCACCACACCCAACTAATTTTGTATTTTTAGTAGAGATGAGGTTTCACCATGTTGGTCAGGCTGGTCTTGAACTTCAGACCTCAGGTGATCCGCCCGCCTCGGCCCCCCAAAGTGCTGGGATTACAGGCGTGAGCCACCGCACCTGGCCAAAAAATTGTATTTTTAATTGACATATAACAATTATATACATACATAGGGTACAATGTGATGTTTTGATATGTGTTTACAATGTGGAATGATTAAACTGGGCTAATTAACAAATTCATCACCTCACATACTTATTTTTTTGTGATGAACACATTTAAAATCTACGCTTAGCAATTTTGAAATATACAATGCACTAGTATTTATTATAGTCACCATGCTGTGCAACAGATCACTAGAGTTTATTTCTCCTGTTTAACTGAAACTTTGCACCCTCTGATCGATGTCTCCCCTTTCTCCCCTTTCCCCCTCCACCCCCTCCTCCAGCTTCTGGTAACCACCGTTCCACTCTCTACTTTGATGAGTTCAACTTCTTTAGATTCCACATATGAGTGAGATCATACGGTATTTGTCTTCTGTGCCTGCCTTATTTCACTTAGCATAATGTCCTCCAGGTTTATCCATGCTGTCACCAATGGCAGGATTAACCTCCTTTTTCTTTCTTCCTTTTTTTTTTTGAGATGGACTCTCTCTCTGTTGCCCAGGCTGGAGTGCAGTGGCTTGATCCCGGCTCACTGCAACCGCCACCACCTGGGTTCAAGCGATTCTCCTGCCTCAGCCTCCCGCGTAGCTGGGATTACAGACACTTGCCACCACGCCTGGCTAATTTTTGTATTTTTAGTAGAGACAGGGCTTTGTTACATTGGGCAGGCTGGTCTTGAACTCCTGACCTCAGGTGACCTGCCCACCTTGGCTTCCCAATAACCTCCTTTTTTAGCCATTGTGCATATAGACACCACATTTAAAAAATCCATTCATCTGTTGATGGACAGATGAATGGACTGTAGATTGATTCCTGTCTTGGCTATTGTGAATAGTGCTGCAATGAACATGGGGGTGCAGGCATCTCGTCAGCATACTGACTTCAATTCCTTTGGATAGATATCCAGCAGTGGGATTGCTGGATCATATGGCAATTCTATTTTTAGTTTTCTGAGGAACCTCCATCCTGTTCTCCATAACGGCTGCACTAATTTACATTCCCACCAACAGCACATAAGGGTTCCGTTTTCCTACATCCTGGCCCTCACTTCTCTTTTGTCTTTTTGATACTGGCCATTCTAACAGGTGGGAGGAGATATCCCATGGTGGCTTTAGTTTGCATTTTCCTGATGATTCATAATGCCGAGCATGTTTTCATATATATGTTGACCATTTGTATGGCTTCTTTTGAGAAGTGTCTATTTAAGTCCTTTGCCCGAAAAAAAAAAATCTCCCACTAAAGAAAAGACCAGGACCACATGGCTTCACGGTGAAATTCCATCAAACATTTAAAGAAAAACCAATACTTATCCTTCCCAAACTCTTCCAAAATAAAGAAGAAGGAATACTTCCAAGCATATTTTACAGCATTATCCTGAATGCAAAGCCAGACCAGGACACAAGGAAAGATAATTACAGGCCAATATCTCTGATAAGAATAGGTACCAAATACTAGCAAACCAAATTCAACAGCACATTAAAAGGATCATTCATCATGATCAAGTGGGATTTATCCCTGGGACGCGAGGGTGGGTCAACATAGACAAATCAATAAATGTGAGCTGGGCGCGGTGGCTCATGCCTGTAATCCTAGCACTTTGGGAGGCTGAAGCGGGCAGATCACCTGAGATCAGGTGCCATTATTTGAGGTCAGCCTGGCCAACATGGAGAAAATGTTTCTACTAAAAATACAAAACTTAATCGGGCATGGTGGCACATGCCTGTAGTCGCAGCTACTCAGGAGGCTGAGGTGGGAGAATCACTTGAACCCCAGAGGCGGAGGCTGCAGTGAGCCAAGATTGTACCACTGCACTCCAGCCCAGGCGACAGAGTGAGACTCTGTCTCAAAAAAACCCAAAATCAAAAACCAAAACAAAACAAAACAAAGATGTGATCACTACATTAATGAATTAAGGACAAAAACCATAAGATCACCTCAATAGATAGAGAAAAAGCACTTGATAAAATTCAACATATTTTCCTGATAAAAACTCTCAATAAATTAGGCACAGAAGGAACGTACCGCAACACAATAAAGGCCATATATGACAAGCCCATAGCTAACATCATACTCAATAGTGCAAAGCTGAAAGCTTTTCCTTTAAGATCAGGAAGACCACTCTCACGACCTCTAGTCAACATTGCGCTTGAAGTTCTAGCCAGATCAATCAGGTAAGACACACACACACACACACACACACACACACACACACACACACACACACACACACACGTCTTTCTTATTCTTCCCTTTCTCCCTCTCCTGCCCCCTCTACCCCAGTGAAGGAGGAGGAGGTTGCAGTAAGCTGAGATCATGCCACTGCACTCCAGCCTGGGCTACAGAGATTCTGTCTCAAAAAAAAAAAAAAAAAAAAGAAGGTTAATCCTGCCATTGGTGACAACATGGATGAACCTGCAGGACATTATGCTATTATGCTAAGTGACATCAAGACCTGGTTCCTCCTCCTGCCCCTCTACCTGAGCTCTCACTACTGCTCCACTGAGATCCCCAAGAGCAAAGCTGTGACAAAGACTTCAGTGGGAGTCATCAGAGAAAAAGGAACACAACCACCTAGCGTGAAAGGGGGTGAGAAGCTGAAGATCCTACACATCTAGGGTGTGTTTATGAGAGGAAGGGAGGGAGGCAGAGAGGGAGAGAGGGGCGAGAACAAGAGGAAGGGAGTCAGAGGGGAGAGAGAGAGGCCAGAGAAAGAGAGAAAGAGGGAGAGAGAGGAGGTGGGGGGACAGACTGAGAAGAGAGAGAAGAGAAAAATGGAGGGAGAGAGAAGGGAGAGACAGAGGAGAGAGGGAAGAGAGAGAGGGAGAGAGAGGAGAGAGTAGGGGTCAGGGGAGAGAGGGGAGAGAAAGATGGGGAGAGACACAAAGAGAGAGAGGGAGACAGTGGGGAGAGAGGGGAGAGACAGAGAGACAGAGAAAGAAGGAGAGGAGGTGGGGAGAGAGGCAAGAGAAACAGGAGAAAGAGAGAGAGGAGAGTGGAGAGACCAAGGGGAAAGAGAGAGATGGAGAGAGAGAAAAGGAGCACTGGCAAGCTTTTGTTTGTGCTCCCCTGAGAGAGGCCTGTATGGAATGCGTATTCATTATTAACAAGGACAAAAGCAGTGATGATTCCAGTAACAACCACCCTCACCACAGCCATTTGTGGAAAGGAGAGACGGCATCTACTGAGCGCTCTGCTCTGTGCTGGGCACCTGGTGAGGCCCTCACACATCCACAATCTCTGAGTCAGCAGCCACCAGGGGGCTGGCCCCTCACCTCAGCCGGGAGGAAACTGAGCAAGTGAGGCCCCCACCCGGCCTGCGGGTGGTGAATCCCCACCCACCGCTCCTACTTCCTGGGGCCTCTGTTTACCAGTTACTGTAATTAGAAGATTAATAGAGGGGAAATAGGGGAGGGGGTGGAGAGGCCCTTCCTTTTTCTGCTGTGAGTTCCTGGAATCTTCTCTTGACACAAAACATCAGGGAGGCAGGCCTGTGGGTCATGACAGGTTCCTCCCCACTGGAGGGAGGTGGCCTTCTGCTATTTTATCCTCCCCGGACCTTTAGCAGCTTCTGGGTGGACCCTCAGTTTTAGATTAAACAATCACCCTTCCTCTTCTCTGACTCAAGTCACTGAATGGGGTTGACCCATCTTGATTCCAAAAGGGAGGACATAACCCAGGTTTGGCCAATAATAGTCATCGTGATTGGGTTCAGGATGGACGAGCACGTGATCCAATTTGAGCCAGTGAGAATCGGCTCTAAAACTCTGGTTGGATCAATTCAGAAAGAACAGCTCTCTTTGAGCAGAGCTTAAGAAGCTCATAGGATGTAATTTTGGACCTTGCCATCAAAGCCACCCTGCAAACAAAACTGGTGCAGGAGAAAGCCGAGGCTGGAGATGGTGAGAATGAGCTCAAGCATCTTGTTATTGCAAACACCCCATTTGCTTTTTTTTTTTTTTTGACAGAGTCTCACTCTATCACCCAGACTGGAGTGCAATGGTGTGATCTCAGTTCACTGCAACGTCTGCCTGCTGGGTTCAAGTGATTCTCCTGCCTCAGCCTCCCGAGTAGCCAGGATTACAAGCGTGCACCATCACATCTGGCTAATATTTGTACGTTTAGTAGCAATGGGGTTTCACTGTGTTGCCCAGGCTGGTCTCGAACTCGTGACCTCAGGTGATCTGCCCACCTCGGCCTCCCAAAGTGTTGGGATTATAGGCGTGAGCCACCATGCCCCACTCCCATTCGCTTTTTATCACAGGAGCCAAAGAACACTCTCTCCCTGGTTTGCGTTTTTTTTTTTTTTTTTTTTTTGGTTCTACCAAGACATTTTAAGATGAGTTTCTGTCATTTCCATTTGAAAAAGTCCTGACTAGTTTACTCCCCCGAACCAACCAGAAGACACAAAGCAGAGCTCACCTTCCTGGAAATGGGCCCTTTACCCCCTCTTTTTTTTTTTCTCCTCTAGTTTGGAAATTCTTTCTCTCCACTTCTGCCTGTCCCAGGCTTCATTGGCCATGATCGTCCTCCATTGCTGGGTCTCAGTCTCCTCCTCCCTCCATAAATCTCCCCCTTTCTCAGATGAAAAGACCAACACTGAAAAGGCAAGTTGATGTGCTCCGGTTTGCACAGAGCCCTGGAAGCAGAGCTGGGATTTGAATTCTGGGCTCCTGATTCTCTGTCCAGGGCTCTTCATTCTGGCAGAGCAGGAGATCAATTTCTTCTCTTTCTTTTTTTTTAAATGAAGCTTTTATACATAGCTATCCACATATGTACAAGCAGCTCTTAAGGCCAGAGAAGTTAATTCCAAATTTTAGAGCTGTGGAGGCTCTACAGATTATATGGAGTTTCAGCTAGTGATTAAATCTGAGGTAACAGCATCTGGAGGCTCAGCCTTAGCACTGAGGGGAGTTGGAGGGAAAAATTAAGCCAAGAGTAAAATCTTCCCGTTCTGAAAATAATAGTGGCATAACACAATACTCCTGGACTGTGGGAAATAAAATGGAGAGGGACATGATTAGAAGGAAACTTCTAGAATTCTACTAATTCCACGTTCCTCAAATTGGTACAACTGGTGACAATCTCAGAGTCACCTGTCATCGCATCAAAGTTTGACAGAGAAGGATGACCCACAGGAGCAGCCTTGCTGTGCTTGAGGATTGTTTGACACTTGAAATGAGCTTCGGATCAGTTCTTGGCTGAAGTCCACCTAGGCCCCTTTCGCGAAGGCTAAGCTATCAGAGTCAACCACCACTCTTGCCCCACCCTGTTCAAATACCGTCGTCGGGGTTGATAACTGTATCCAGTGAACATCTGTACTGGAATCCGGAGCATCTACCTCCCTCCACCTGCAGCCTGAGGAATTCTGATCCTTTGGTGATTTCCAGAAGCCTCTGGACGCAGCTGTCCGTGAGGCGGATCTGCCCGTCGCCGGCCTCGGGGCTGGACGACACGCCCGGAGTCCCAGGGAGGCCGCGAGGAGCCTGCCCCTCGGCCAGGAAGTGACCGCTGTCTGCGTCGCGGCCCTTAAGGACAACCCCTGGGCGGCAACCATCTTCCTCCACCCAGGAGATCAATTTCTTTGTTGAGGTTCCACCTAAGGCTGTAGCACTCACTCACTGAGGTTCCTAAGAAACCTGCCTGTCCTAGGAAACCTCCTACTGAGACCTGCCCCGCACTGCCACCTGGTGGTAAGATATAAAAACACACCCTCCACGGTGGGATCAGATTGCGCGCCTGCTCCGCCCCCACCCCGCCCTCTCCCCGGTGGTGGGGTAGAGGGATGGTGGAAAGGGAACCAAGAGCTAGTTCCCAGAAGTGTAGGTATCTGGGATTGAGATTGGAGTGGGGCTACACCTCCTTCTCTGTTTTCAGTACCAGCCATAGCTCTGTCACTGTGCCTCTAGTTTCTTTCCTCTTTGCAGACATTGGCCACTTGTGAAACTAATTGTATTCCCTCTTTGCATTGTCTTCCAGGACACCTGGAACCAGCGTACAGTTCACTGTTAGCAACTGGATAGAATCGCATGGCAGGAATTTAGAAGAGGAGCTTAATCTCTGAGTCCACATTCCTTCCCCTGGGCCTCATTTTCCTACCTTATTTTATATTTAGTTTTCTGATGATGTTCAGGACATCCTTCCAGCCACCTTAACTCTCCTCTTTGTAAGGGACAGGAGGGACAAAGCAAGGTTATACATTCAGAAAGAGCTTGCCTACCTTCTGCAAGTCTCAGTTTCCTCCCCTATAAAGTGGGCACAAGAATCCCTGCCTTGGAGGGTTTTGTGTGTGTTTCAGGAGATGCTGGATTAATATTAGTGTCCACCCTATTTCCCACCTCCCCATCCTCCAGGCTCTCTGCCAGTTATGTGATGCAGGCTAGGATGCAAAGGAGATCAACAGCACAGATCACTTTTTCCCCAGTGCCATTTGTGCTCTGCAGGCCCAGTGGGTGCCCCTACTAGAGCCTTGTACCCTGAGCCCAGTCCCTACCTGCCTTCTGGAAGATGTTGGCTCCAGAATTCTCTGCCTCCCTCCTGCAGGCATTGTGGCATTCACAGCTGATTTGCAGAGAGCCCAGATGCATCTCATAAATAAGGAATGTACTGTTCTGCAGGACGGCTGTGGCGTGGCTGTGTGGGGGTGGGCAGGCTGGAGTAGACAGGAACCACGAGAGGCAGGGAGGACTGTACAGGGGTTGCTGACCAGGTGGAAGATGATGGGAGCCTCAGAAGGTGTCGTGGGACAGGGTCAGGGAGAGGGCTCTATGCGGCCAGGATCTGGATGCAGATTGTTGAGACTGAAATTTGGCTCAGATCCCTTCTAGTTGTGTCTGTTTATCTTCAGTTTCCTTGTCTATAAAATGGGGAGAGATTGTGTGTCCCCGGCATCACTGGACTGTTAATAGCTATTGCATTTATAGCATTTATCCCAGAACCTGAAACACAGTAAATGCTCAGTAAGTGTTATTATTTGCCCCAAACTGTCTTAGTGCTTTCCCCAAGAGCTTTGTGTTGTTTGTACTATGAGGAATAATGAGGGTGGTGTGGGAGTCGGCCTCTGTGTCTGCAGAGAGGACCACAGGCCACAGGAATAGAGACAGGTAGATAGGATCAAGGTGACAGGAACAGATGTTCAGAGCAAGAGATGAAGACGGCATCATCAACCCAGACAAGCCAGGTAAGTCCCTGAAAGGGGACTGCATTTCTGCAGCCCTTTCAAGGTGGGCACTTGAGACATTTGATTGGCTTTTAAAGGAAAGACTGACCTTTAGAAGGCATAAGCAGCTGGGGTCCCTGGAGACCCTGGGATGACACCGTCAGCATGGCTGTATTGAAACGGAGACCTCAGGCAAGCCACCTTTCTTCTCTGGGTCTCTGTTCCATCTATAAAGTGCTTTCTGAGAAGCCCTCCAGAACCGCAGCATTGGAAGCTTCAAGATTTAGTCATTCTTCTGGCAAACATATGTGGAAGGCCTCCGGGGTAGCACACCCTTCACCGTGCCCTGGAGATGCTGGGATGCGACAAAAAAGTAGGCTTCTCCCATGATGAACCTCACGGGTTAGTTGTGGGGGCGGCGGGGACGTGGGGGGTGGAGAGAGAGAGAGAGAGAGAGAGAGAGAGAGAGAGAGAGAGAGAGAGAGAGATTGTGTACAACAGAAAAGCAAATGGATATGTAATTCTAAACTGAAATCAGCCCCAGAAGGAGCGGGGCCCCAGTCAATCCAGGGACCTAAAAGTCAGGGAAGGTTCCCTGAAGACCATGAGGCTGGGCTGCTCCTGGAAGTGTGTGCCTGGGGTGGGAGCGTGCTGAATGATGAGGGTGGAACCTTGGGCTGGGGGCCAGCCATGGCAGGGTAAGGCTGCAAGGGAAGGTAAAGGTTGCTCTCCATCTTGAGACCAGAGGGGCTGCGAGCAGGGGAGTGATGAGGTCAGCTTTGCATTTCCAGAATCTTCAGGCTGCTGCAGCAAGGAGAACAGACTGGGGGGAAGCCCAGTAGGGGATGTTGGGGGCCAGGACCATGGTGGTGGTGACTTGGTGGGATGGGAGGGGGAATGACTTGGCGGAATGTTCCAGAGCATCGATGGGGCTTGGAGTGCATTGGGTGTGGGGGCCGTGGGAGAAGGAAGGGTGAGTGTGAAACTGGAGGAAGGGTGTTTTTGTAAAGTCTCCTGCAGAGCTTGTCTTCCCCATCCCAATTCCTTCTAGCCCCATCTCTGGCTCTGTCAGCAGCTGTCCATACAGGAAAAAAGATGAGACTCATCTCCTGTGGCTGAGAGGGGTGGCGGCAGGCGGGCGGGGAGGAGGGAAGGCAGCCGCTGTGCTGGCGGCTGCGGTCTGCACCTTTCTCTCAGCCTCAGCAGAAGCAGTAGCAGAAGCCACTGCAGCAGGGAGAGGATGGCCAGGCTGCAGCACCTGCTGGGGCGACTGGGAGGGCCCGGGAGCAGGTGCAGGGCGTCTGGAGGGGGTCTGTTTGCAGATGGATGAGAGCAACACACACTCTGCCCCGCTTCTCTGTTGTCTGGACACAAAAGGCCAGACAAAGAAGCAGCAGGGATGGAGACACGGCCCTGCACGCACGTAGGCAAGCGCACACGCTGGAGACAAAAGAGAGGCAGAGGCGAGGTGCATGGAGCAGGGAGCCTGGGGGCAGGGGGAGGCTCCCTGCGACCTCAGGCAAGGTCTCCTGGCCTCCTGAGCCTTGCTGTGTGCACCATAAAATACAGATGCTGGGGGAAACCAGTGGTCCCTGGACTTTCATAGTTTGATGGGGTTTTGTTTTTTTTTTTTGTCTTAATGGAAAATGGGTCATAGACTCCATAAAGTAGAGGATACATTTTCAGGTCCTGCCAATGGAGAAAAGACCTGATAATTTTTTTTAAGTGCCGCTAATGTAGTAGAGTATCTACACTGCCCTGAATTATAGTCAAAGCAACAGCATCTGCTCACGCAGAAAGAACAGCAACTGTGTCTGTGGACTGGACTTGATATGTGTGTGCACTGCAGACAGTGTTGGTGTCTGTTTAGCTTCTAAGATCCTTTATAATAACTAACCAGGTATAAGAACTCTAGGTCTTGTGGGGAGTCTCTAATGGCCTTGAGAGAGAAAGAGAGAGAGAGAGTGAGAGGGAGAGAGCGAGAGAGCGAGACAGAGAGAGAGAGAGAGAGAGAGACTACCAGGCTGAAGTCAAATCACTTGCATGAGGCCCAAAAACTGGGAGCAGGAACCACAGAATATTCACAGGAAGGAGGAAAAAATTCAGAAAAATAATAGTTCAAAGTCATATTTCATACTAATGTGAGAGAGAGAGAGAGCATTTACTGAGCAATGTGACAGGGCCATGTGTTTTCTGCACTCAGACCACTTAGTTCTTTCAAAAGCCCTGCAAGTGAGGTTATGTAATCTCCGTTTTACAGAAGAGGAAACTGAAGCCCAGAGGGTTGAAGTTCCCTACCCAAAGTCACATGGTGGGTAAGGGGCAAGGGTGGGATTCAAATTTAGTTCTGTCTGACTCCTGAGTCCATGTATTCACTGCCCGCCCTGGCTGGGAGGAAGGCAGAGAAAGGAAACAAGACAGAGTGTCAGGTGGCAAAGAGCCTGGCAGTCCCTGGTGGATTCCTCCCCACTATTCCTGCAGACTGAAGGAGACCAGGCCCCGGGTGCTGCCCATCACTTCTCAAACCCTGTTTCCTTGTGTGCCCAAGGCAGACAACAGTGCCCAGCTCATGGGAGCTGTTGTGTCAATTGGATGAGGGCACATGCTTGGTCTGTGCAAGGGGCAGCCTGGAGGTGGCAAGAAGTTGATGTCCAGGGATCATCCTTCAACCATAAGAGATAAAAGCAGGTGGAGGGCAGGGCACAGTGGCTCACGCCTGTAATCCCAGCACTTTGGGACACTGAGGCGGGTGGATCACGAGGTCAAGAGATTGAGACTATCCTGGCCAACATGGTGAAACCCCGTCTCTACTAAAAATACAAAAATTAGCTGGGTGTGGTGGCATGCGCCTGTAGTCCCAGCTACTCGGGAGGCTGAGGCAGCAGAATTGCTTGAACCTGGGAGGCAGAGCTTGTAGTGAGCCGAGATCATGCCACTGCATTCCAGCCTGGCAACAGAGCGAGACTCCGTCTCAAAAAAAAAAGTGAGTGGAGGAGTTCCACGACATCCTCGACCTGGGGTAGGACATGTCGGGTGTGTCCGACAGTCTCCCAGAAGACCTCAGCAGGACTGAGTTCTAGTCGCTAACAACTTGCTCATAGTTATGGAGTAAATTGTGCTCTCTCCACTCAAATTCTTATGTTGAATTCTTAACCCCCAATGTGACTACATTGGAAGATAGGGCCTCTAAAGAAGTAATTAAGGTAGAATGAGGTAGAAAGGGTGAGACCCTAATCTGACAGGACCAATGTCCTTATGAGAAGAGGGAGAGACACCCGGGTTGTGTGTGCACAGAGAAAAGACCACATGAGGACACAGTGAGAAGCTGCCATCTGTGAATCGAGGAGAGAGGCCTCAGGAGAAGTTGACCCTGCTTCTACCTTGGTCTTGGACTTCCAGCCTCCTTAAGTTGTTTGTTAAGACACCCCAGTCTATGGTATTTTGTTATGACTGTCCTTGCTGACAAGTATCCTCTTTAATGTACCTATTCCAGATTTCTCCTCTTCCCTGTCTCCCTAACCTGCTCCCTTACCAAGGCTTCCTGGTACCAATACCTCCTAAATAAACAACTTGCATTTGAATCCGTGTCTCAGGATCTGTATCTGGGGTGATCCAGGCTTATAATCCCCATTTATCCTTTATCTAGAGAGACTGCTGACTTTCACACATTTAGGCGCCACTGGGGGCAGGACAGAGATAAGATTTTGGAGACCACTGAGCTCTAGTTGACCATGGCATTGATCCTGAGCCCATGCCCAGATGAACAGACCCTGGAGTGACCCAAGCATGGCAGTGGGGTCATTGTTCAGCTGGCTGAGGGGTGGTACATCCCTTCCTAGGGGAAAAAAGGATTCAGGATGATGCAGATGGGTTTTCAGAGAGTCTGAGGGCAGCTTCTGGAATCAGACAGCACTGGGTTTCAATCTCAGGTTTACTACACACATTCTAGCTGGCTGACCTCGGATAAGTCACTTTCCCTCTCTAAGCCTCGCTTTCCTTACCAGTTGGAGATGACACCGATACTTCCTTAGAGGGTGCTAAGACAGAGTGTGGGTAAAGCACTTGGAAAGTCTTCTGGCAAGTAAGTGGGCAAGGGGTCAAGTTCATTGCATCTGATGGTGATTACAGGGCCGGGGAGGGGGTGGCAGGGAAATAATTTTGTAGTTTCAGGGAATTGTTGAAAGGCACATTCTTTCTGGGCCATACCAAATGCAGCTCTCCTCTCCTCTGCTCTACAATCACTCACTGCTGAACTCAGGGAGCCCCATGCTCACCACAGGTAAAGATGGCCGCTTTGATGACTCAAATGAGATTTTCTATCTGGGTAAAACCAGGAGCTGTTTGCTCAGGGGACAGCTGTCAGAAAAGAGATCCCCTGATCCCCTGATGGACCAGTCTCCATCAGTAACATGGCTGGAGGGAAGACAAAATTTGGCCTTGCCCAGAGCCCTTCCTCCAAGGGCTACAGGTGTGGCCCGGCAGAGAAGTGGAGCTGGGAACATGGGAGGGTGTATGTGAGGAAGCCCACCTTGCTACTGACTCCATAATCCCTCTGACTAAGGCAAGGTGGGGGAATAGAAAAGGAAACGTGGAACAGAGAGGTACGTACCCAAAAGAACGGAAAAGAAGGATTCAAACAAATACTTGCACATGCCTGTTCATAGCAGCGCTATTCAGATTAGCCAAAGGGTGGAAACAACCCATATGTCCATCAGTGGATGAATGGATGAATAAATTGTGTTCTGTTCATACAATGGAATATTATTCAGTCATAAAAGGAATAAAGTGCTGAGCCATGCTACAATGTGGATGAACCTCAAAAACATTATGCCGAGTGAAAGAAGCCAGCACAAAAGGTCACATATGACAATGGGCTGGAGGGGAAACTGGGAAGTAACCGCTTAAGGGTGTGGGGTGTTATTTTGGGGGTGATGAAAATGTCTTGGAACTAGCTAGACCTGGTGGCAGCATTACATCGTGAATGTACTCAGGGCCACTGAATCATACGCTTTAAATGGTTAGTTTTAGAGGATGCGACTTCCCTTTCTTTTCTGTTTGTTTCTTTCTCTTTTTGAGACAGAGTTTTGCTCTGTTGCCCATGCTGGAGTGCAGTGGTGCAATCAGAGCTCACTGCAGCCTCTAACGCCTAGGCTCAAGTGATCCTCTTTGCTCAGCCGTCCACGTAGCTGGGACCACAGGCACACACTACCATGCCTGGCTAATATTTAAAAGGTCTCTGTAGAGATGCGGTGGAGCCGGGGGTCGATCTCATTATGTTGCCCAGGCTGGTCTTGAGTTCCTGGACTCAAGCGATCTTCCCACCTCAACCTGACAAAGCGTTGGAATTACAGGTGTGAGGCATTGTGCCCGACCTTAGATTATGTGAATTTCCTATCTCTCTCTCTCTTTATTTATTCATTCATTTATTTTTTTTTTGAGACGGAGTCTCACTCTGTCACCCAGGCTGGAGTGCAGTGGGCATGATCTCACCTCACTGCAACCTCCAACTCCCGGGTTCAAGCAATTCTCCTGCCTCAGCCTCCTGAGTAGCTGGGATTACAGGCGCCGCCACCATGACCGGCTAATTTTTGTATTTTTAGTAGAGACGGGGATTTCACCATGCTGGTCAGGCTGGTCTCAAACTCCTGATCTTGTGATCTGCCCCCCTCGGCCTCCCAAAGTGCTAGGATTACAGGCATGAGCCACTGCGCCTGGCCCTCTCTCTCTTTTTTTAAAGAGGCACCCAGTGGGCTGATAACAGAATTGCAATGGGAACCCTGGCCTCCAGAGCCACTCTTGTTTCTCCAAGGGCTGTTCTAGGACTAAAGAGAAGAGAGACTCAGGCTCCCCTTTCCTTGATATGTTGTCAGTGTCAGAATTCTCCTGGAAATCTGGGGTTTCAGAGTGGTATCATGCAGAGCAGGAATACTGACGTGTCTCTTTGGGGTACTCTTATCTTATGGGCTCCTGGGGTCCAAGTTAGCCCTACACATGTTTCCTGGAAGGTGTTTACCATCTCGGGGCTTGCTCTTCCTAGCATATGTCCTAAGTCTACCCACAGGATAAGGTGAGGGTCACAGTTACATTGATGGGGAGGAGAGAAGGATGCCAGCTCTACTTCTCAAACCAAGCATGAACTGCAAAGGATGTCCAACCCTCCGTAGGGAAATGGAAGATGCTAGGGAAGACTTTGCTCACCACAAAGGCACTCAACAGATGGGCAAAATGAGGGCAAAGGACCAGCTGAATCCCCCAGAAGGGCTAGTCTGGTCTACCCCATGATGCAGAAATGTACCATGTTAGAGAACTGGGAGCAGAGGAGGCCACACAGGTATTGGCATCTGCTGAACATGAGGGTCCACTCCTTCCTTGCGTTACTCAGTTCACGGCTTGTCCCGAGTCCATCTGAGTTACAGTCTATTTGCAGTGAGCCACGGTATCCTCTAATGGTCACCCCTTTTGCTCCCCTCCGCCACCTCCCCACTGCTTGCCTTGAAAAGATTTTGTAACAGCGAAACAGCAAAAGAACTAACATAACTAACTCAATTTTTGTTTAAGGGGCCTTTTCCCATTCCTGTACGTAGGCTAGGATAATTTTAGAGCACTGAGATAATATGCAGAAAAAAGCAATCACGTAGTTTTTAAAAACTAACTCTGGGATTAAAGGAGAAGTATGTAAATCATCTATGTTTTGTGAAAGATTTATAAAAGCATTGTGACCTGACCAAGGACAAAGAAGTTCACAACCTTCTTGGACCCTCACTGGTGCCCAGGTGTCAGTGGTAATTGGTCATCTGTTGATCCCAATTCAACCTCCCTTCTCTTCCCCTTTGCTCTGTTGCCCAGGTTGGAGTGTAGTGGTGCGATCTCAGGTCACTGCAACTTCCGCCTCCCAGGTTCAAGTGATTCTCCTGCCTCAGCCTCCTGAGTAGCTGGGATTACAGGTGCACGCTACCATGCCTGGCTAATCTTTGTATTTTTAGTAGAGACAGAGTTTCACCATGCTTGGCCAGACTGGTCTCAAACTCTTGACCTCAGGTGATCCGCCCACCTCGCCTCCCAAAGTGCTGGGATTACAGGCGTGAGCCACCACGGTGAGCCTCTTCCACTTGACTTTAGCATAAAAACAGCATAAAATTTGTACTGACTTAATATGACTTAATATGGTACTTTAGAACAATAAATAGTCCATTAACTTCTTGGTTTTGCTAGCTCTTTAAGTAAACCTGATTTTCCTCCCATCAGCCCTTATCTCTGGTGTCTGGCTTTCAAGCAGTGAGCAGCCAAACCTAAGTTTGATTATAATATCTCTAGAACCAAAGATACTTGGAGATAGGATCATAGATTCACTATTGCTCATCCTTAAGAAGCCCCAGGGTATAGGATGAAGTGTGAAAGTTTGGGGTGAACAGGTGGCTTCATTTTTTTCCAAGTAGATATTGGAAATGATAGACTGACAGTCAGGAGAATTTGGGAATGGATTATAAAACAGGTGGCTTGGGAATACTTAAGAAAGGAAGTGGTGACCTCTATGGATCCCCTGTATTCAGTTAGAATGTGTCATGCCAAATTATATTTCCCTTTTTGTTTGTGTCTAGGGAGACTAGACTGGTGAATTAGGGGGAAGTCGTAGACCTGTGTGATGACAAAAGCTCAGGCAGGAGGATCCCTTGAACCTAAGAGTTCAAGGCTGCAGTGAGCTATGATCCTTGTCACTGCACTCCAGCCTGGGCAACAGGGCAAGACCTTGTCTCAAAACATTTATTTATTTATTTATTTTTAAATTTTTTTTGAGACAGAGTCTCACTTTGTTGCCCAGGCTGGAGTGAGTGGCGTGATCTTGGCTCACTGCAAGCTCCGCCTCCTGGGTTCACGCCATTCTCCTGCCTCAGCCTCCCGAGTAGCTGGGACTACAGGTGCCTACCACCATGCCCGGCTAATTTTTTGTATTTTTTAGTAGAGATGGGGTTTCACCGTATTAGCCAGGATGGTCTCGATCTCCTGACCTCATGATCCGCCCGCCTCGGCCTCCCAAAGTGCTGGGATTACAGGCGTGAGCTGCTGCGCCCGGCCAAAACATTTTTAAAAAAGGACTTTTGTGATTACATTGGTCCCACCCTGATAGTGGGCTGCATACTCTGGGCAATGCTGTGACCACACACTGCCTTGCCTTTTCTCTAACTCTTTCACATGGGTCTTACCACCCTGGCAGGACTGTTAACTCTGTCAGGGTAGGAGGCTGTGTCTAAAGCCTCCTTGGGACTCTCAAGCTTCCTGCAATGGTCTTGGGCTGGGCACATTGGAAATGTTTTATAGGTTTGTTGAATTGGGTTTGTATTTTCTGAAGACCAGGGCTGGTCCCAGCAACAGATGTGTAGTCCAGAGAAAGCTGGGGAAGTTGGAATCTAAAAGGACAGGCTTAAATCTACCTGAGTGCCTTACGGTGTCTGTGGGCAGCTCTCATTGCCTCTCTGAGCCTCTTTATGTGAGCGATGAAGATGATAAACAATATTCACAGAAATGTGACAAAAGAGATGTTGTAGTTTAATAATATAAATATGTCGTGAGCCCTTACTAGGTGCCAGCAACTGTGCTAATCACACTTCCTTCATTTAGCCTGATGATGTGGATTCCATTATTATCTCTACTTTATGGACAAGTAACTGAGGAAGGGTGTGGAGCTTGCCTAAGGTCACATTTGGTCAGAGGCATGGGCAGAACTGAAATGTAAACCCGGAATAGTCTGGTTCTGAAGGTCGCTGGAATGTTCTAGCACAGTGGTTCTCCAGCTTGAGTGTGCATCAGAATTCCTTGGTGGGCTTACTGAAACATAGATGTCTGGGCCTTCCTTTCTTTCCCCAGGGCTCACTGCAGCTGGGACTACAGGCACACACCGCCAGGCCTGGCTAATTTTTTTGTATTTTTTGTGGAAATAAGGTTTCGCTTTGTTGCCCAGGCTGGTCTGGAACTCCTGGGCTCAAGCAAGCTTGTCCCCCAGGCTTCCCAAAGTTCTGGGGTTACAGGCAGGCGTGAGCCACCACACCCAGCCTGAATTGTATTTTTCTTTTCTTTTCTTTTCTTTTTTTTTTTCAGATGGAGTTTCGCTCTTGTTGCCCAGGCTGGAGTGCAATGGTATGATCTCGACTCACCGCAACCTCTGCCTACCCGGTTCAAGCGATTCTCCTGCATCACCCTCCAGAGTAGCTGGTATTACAGGCATGTGCCACCACGCTTGGCTAATTTTGTAGTTTTAGTAGAGACGGGGTTTCTCCATGTTGGTCAGGCTGGTCTCGAACTCCTGACTTCAGGTGATCTGTCTGCCTCGGCCTCCCAAAGTGCTGGGATTACAGGTGTGAGCCAGCCACCGTGCCCGGCCTCTTTTCTTTTTCTTTTTTTTTTTTTTGAGATGGGGTCTGGCTCTTGTCACCCGGGCTAGAGTACAGTGGCGCGACCTCGGCTCACTGCAACCTCCGCCTCCCGGGTTCGAGTGATTCTAGTGCCTCAGCCTCACGAGTAGCTGGGATTACAGGCACCCGCCACCACACCCGGCTAATTTTTTAGTAGAGATGGGGTTTCACCATGTTGGCCAGGCTGGTCTTGAACTCTTGACCTCAGGTGATCCACCCGCCTTGGCCTCCCAAAGTGCTGGGATTACAGGGGTGAGCCGCCGCGCCTGGCCTCGAATTGGATTTCTAACACGTTCTCAAGCAATGTGGATGCTGCAACTCTAGAACCACTACTTCAGGACCACTTCCTAGCATCCCTACTCTAGAAAATAGTAGGTACTAAGAAGAGGGCAGTTAAATAAAAGACTAATCCGGGCGCGGTGGCTCGCGCCTGTAGTCCCAGCTACTCCGAAGGCTGAGGCGGGGGCAGGAGGACTGCTTGAACCCAGGAGTTCGGGGGGGTGCGGTGAGCTATGATTGTGCCGCTGCACTTCAGCCGGGGTGACAGAGTGAGGTCCCATCTCTAAAACAATAAGAATAAATAATAATAAAAAATTCAAGATTAAACCTATAAATGTTGTTAGGCCAAATGCTGTACACGCATGAAGTTAACAGTTATGGGTTCAAATCTGGACTCCACCATAACCATGTGCATAAAGAGGCATACACCCGAGGTCTTCCTGGTTAAGCCCTTGGCGCTATGCCAGAACAAGCGTCTTCTGTCCTCTTACTCCGGGGTTCAGGCTTCTGCGCCCCTGGTCCGCGGTCGCGCGCAGCCCCCGCGCCTCTCCAGCCCTGAGCTCTCTGCGGCCTAATGTGGACGGGCAAGCGTTGCCATGACAGCGCCGCGGGTGGGGATGCGGGAGGCTGAGCGCACCGGCCAGCTAGCCCCTTTGTGCGGCGGGGGCTGCGGAGTGCTCCCTCCAAGACCGGTTGCACCCCGCTTTCCTGGCCAGGACTCTGGGCGCGGGTAAGGAGGGGTTGGGTGTGAGGTTGTAGGGGCGCAAGGAGGCGGGAGGAGGGTGGAGGTGAGGGCCGGGGGTGGGGCGCCTCCGCCCGCCAGCCGCTCCCGCATTAAAATTTCATGGGCGCTGCAGCAGCTACAAAGACGACGCCGGCTGCGCTCGCGGGACCAGAGGGAGGGAGGCTGCGGACGAGTGCGGGGAGGAGTTTGAGATGGGAGGCGCTTGCAGGGGCTCCCCCAGTTCTGCGCTGTGAGCCGGGGCACAAAGAGCCCTCTGCACTAGCGCCGCAGGACCGCGGACCCGAGGTAAGACGTCGCCCCATCCTAGAAGCCTTCCTTCCCAAGTGTCCTTGTCCCCTAACGGGGAACAGCCTAATTCCCCAAGGCTGGGGTCGAGGGTAGGTCCCAGAGTCCCAGGGCTGGGTTCAGGGATGCAACGCCGCCTGAAGTGTCCCGCATTGGATGGATGAAGAGGCTTTACAGCCTGTAATTCTCAAACACAGCCAAGACTCTGGCTGGGATGGGGGGTGAGGTCAGGCAAGGGGAGGATGCTTTAGGAGTCCAGTGCGAATGGGGATCTTGCAATCATGATTATGAGGGGGAACAAAGACCCTTTCCTTCCGACGACACAAGACACAATTTGGGAGGTGGACCCGCGGACCTTCTCGGTCCACCAGGTTAGCAATTAACTGGCCAAGCCACGGGCAGAGCCAGAGGGTCTCGGAACTGGAGGTGGGGGTGGGGCGGTGGGGCAGGGTCCTTGAGCTCCCCTTCCCTCATACTCAGCCCGCCCCCGACCCAACCCCCCGAGCCTGCCATTCCTTCACTTCCCAGATGTCCGGCGTCAAATTTGGCTCCAAAAGGATGGAGAGGGCTGGTAGGTAACCCACCCTCGTTGAAAACAACAGTGACATCAGTTTATGGAGAGGTTACTCTACGCAGGGACGTGCTTGGTGCTTTGCAAGCGTTATCACAACAGTCCCACGAGGTGGTAAGAAACAACCCCATTTTAAAGATGAAGAAATGGAGATTCAGAGAGGGTTATCGACACCTCCAAGGTCACACAGCCAGTGATTGTGAATCCAGATATGTAGGACTCTAAAGCCCATGTTGCATCTCCTAAAGGGTCTGAGGAGATCCCGCAACCCACCAGCTCGATTCTCTCTACCTCTCCTCGGCTCCAGGACACTCCCTGGAGAGGCTGGGGATTTGGGAAGAAAGGGGCCAGACCTTTCCCCTCTTCCAGCGGAGGGCCCTGGGGTAGAGAAATTGTTTCTGGGATTGTGCAGGAGGAGGCCTGGGGGGCGCGCCCTGGATTCCCCACCCTCATCCCAGGCTCCGGATCCGAGGCTGCCCGGCGCCTGGGATTGTTGGCGCGCACACCCCACTGCAGTGCCGCCGCGGGGAAAACGCCCCCACCTGCTGCGGCGGGAGGGGAGGAAGTATGAGAGGGAGGACTGCGAGAGAACTTGAGGGAACGGCTTTGTTTTTTCTCGGGGCCAGGCTGGGACTGAGCACGACTCAAAGCAAAACACTTGCTCTGGACTCAGTGCTTTGCAAAGCGCATTCCCATTTGGGAGCATCTGGGAGCCCCGCGATGGCCCAGGGAGGGAGGCGGGGGTAGACGCAGGGCAGGGATGAGTAATTCCACTTGACAGACAGGGAAACCTGAGGACGGTGGTTCTCAGACTTTAGGGGCGTTGCTTCCAGTAAGCAGATGTCTGAGCCACGTGGCAAGGAGGATGAGTCAGCAGGTTTGGGGTGGGGCTGGGTATCTGATGTTTACTCAGACCTCCTCATCCTCATCCTGCAGGTGGGCAGATGCTTGGTTGAGGGAAGAGTGCCCCCACCTCGCCCCTCAACTTTCTAGGCAGAATCATCCAGCAGCCTGGGCAAACCATTTCCGGACACTTTGCCAGCTCCTAGCTTTGTGTGGCATTGAATTGATCCCACTCTAAGTTTGGTTAATTTCATGTTGAAAGCATTTTATGTAAACACCTTCCATGTCCCCCATGCCCGCCTATTTTACTATTTAGTGATCCTTGCCATTGAGAACTGTTCTGAAATCTACTCATTTTAAGCCTTAACCCTACTCCTTAACAGGGAAGAGTGGTGAAGTCTTCACAGTCCCCCAAAACAACCATAACCCCTTACCGCCAGCTTTAGGAGAATAATTCTCTATGCTTGCATTAAAAATGAGAATTTTGGGCTGGGCACGGTGGCTAACACCTGCAATTCCAGCACTTTGGGAGGCTGGGGCGGGAGGATGGCTTGAACCCAGGAGTTCAAGCCAAGCCTGGGCAACATGGTGAGACCCCTGTCTCTAAAATAAATAAGTAAAAATAAATGAGAATTTTTATAATTTTTTCCGATTTTAAAAGACAAATTCAATAAGTTTAATAAAATGCATGATAATTGTAAAGGATTTAGAAAAGACAAAAAAAAAAGAAAACTCCATTTTCTTTTTTTCTTTTTCTTTCTTTCTTTCTTTCTTTTTTTTTTTTTTGAAACAGAGCCTTACTTTTTGCTCAGGCTGGAGTGCAGTGGTGTGATCTTGGCTCACTGTAACCTCCACCTCCTGGGTTCAAGTGATCCTTGTGCCTCAGCCTCCCAAGTAGCTGGGACCACAGGCATGTGCCACCATGCCCAGCTAATTTTTGGATTTTTTGTAGAGCCGGGGTTTTGGCATGTTGGCCAGGCTGGTCTCGAACTCCTCACCTCAAGTGATCTGCCCGCCTCAGCCTCCCAAAATGCTGGGATTACAGGCGTGAGCCCCCACACCTGACCTGAAAACTTCATTTTCATGTATTTCTCTCTGGTATATTTTCTATTATTGAAATTGGCTGGGCATGGTGGCTCACGCCTGTAATCCTAGCACTTTGGGAAGCTGAGGTGGGTGGATCACCTGAGGTCAGGAGTTCGAGACCAGCCTGGTCAACATGGCGAAACCCTGTCTTACTAAAAATACAAAAATTAACTGCATGGTGGCATGTGCCTATAGCCCAGCTACTCTGGAGGCTGGGGCAGGAGGATCACTTGAACCCAGGAGGCGGAGGTTGCAATAAGCAGAGATTACACCACCGTACTCTAGCCTGGGTGACGGAGACTATCTCAAAAAAAAAAAAAAAAAAAAGAAGAAGAAGAAGAAAAGAAATTGCATTATATGTATAATGCTTTTGAAAAGTTACATCAGATGTGTTTCTCCATGTTATTACGACCTTTGCAGAAATCATTATGAGAGATTTCAGTGTTTCATGGAGGAGATAAGCATGGTCTACTTCGTCAGTTCCCTATTGTTGGTCCTGCTAGTTGTTTCCAATTTTTCTTTTCTTCTGCGTCTTCATTTTAAGGTCCTTTCTCTGGCTGTGATCCATGCTTCTTCCCAGGGCAGGATTACACTCTTTGAATTTACTTATTCATCAAGACAGTGCAGAGTGGTGGAAAGAGAAGCAGCTGAGAGTTACGCAGGTCCGTGTGCAAATCCTTCTCTCCATGTGTGTCCACTTCAGTCAGGGAGTAATCTCCCTTTTCTGAGCCTGTTTCCTCATCTATAAAGTGGCAATCACAATCCCGGTTTTAAAAAGCGGCCGTGAGGCTATGAACCAGTGCATGTTCGGTGCCCTGTAGGTGCTTACTAAAGCTAGTGAATGTTATCGTGCACCCACTGGGTGTCAGCTGAGTTCACTTATGTAGCCCCTGAGTCTTGTATGGATACTTAGTGATTTGCTTTTATTTCTGTTGAGGCTGCTGGTTTGTCTCCTGGGTGATTATTAGCCTGTTCGAGCAGCGTGTTTCTGGGGCATTGGGTCCATTGTGCAGATTCAATGGGCTGGTGAATAACTTGTAGGCCAGTCTTTGTTTCAAGAGGATCCCTTCCCTTGTCTCTGAGGCCTGACTCATCTGTCAGCTTGAGCTCCGAGGAACAATAGCCAGAGATTCTCAAGAGCAGAGGTGAAGTCTGGCTAAGAGTGACATCTGTCTCCCTATCCCATCCCACTCTGATCAGATCAGATGAGGCAGGTGTCCCCTTATCCCTTGTGGTGCCAGGTGGGCCCCTCTGGAAGCTACCAGATGAGTCATGGAAGGGAGGCGGGTGCTGAGCTATTGTATACTCAAAGGTGTGGAGTAGATGATGAGTAGTAACTAACCCTAACTACCACTTTGTTACCGTTTACCAAGGTTCTTGCTGAGTGCTGCATCATGGAGACTCCATGATAAGGCAGGGATTAGGCATTGCAGGTGGGAAACAGGCTCAGAGAGGTGAAGTGATGAGCCCAGGGCCACGCAGCGAATTAGCTGTGCAGTCAGGATGTCAACCCGTATCTTGTTTGACTCTGAAACATGTGTTTGTAACTACTACACTATGCCACTCTCCTAAAAGTGAACTCAATCATTTGCCTACAGACTGTGAAAGCAACCGGCATAAACTGAACAGAGATGATTTATCAATCATGGGCCAGTTTTCTCACAGTAATAGTAATGCAGATGGCCATCGAGTTTGCAGTTTACATATACCTTCCTTGGATCTTTTATCATTTAATCCATATATATATGGATCTATATAGATCCATATATATATATATATATATATATATATATATATATATATATATACACACACACACATATACATGGATCTGCTCTGTCACCCAGGCTGGAATGCAGTGGAGCAATCGCGGTTCACTGCAGCCTCTACCTCCTGGGTTAAAGCGGTCCTCCTGTTGAAGCCTCCCAAATAGCCACAGGCACAGGTACACATAACCACGCCCAGCTAATTTTTGAATTTTTTGTAGAGGCAGAGCCTTGATCTGTTACCCAGGCTGATCGTGAACTCCTGGCCTCAAGCAATTCTCCTGCCTCTGCTTCTCAAAGTGCTGGGATTATGGTGTGAGCCACTGCGCCCAGTCCCTGCCCCTATTTGAATACACCCTCTGCCCCTTTGGGGTCCAAGAGGCCTGTTTAGAATCCTGGTTGCCTTATTTTCTAACTGAACCTCAGTTTCCTCATCTGTAAAGTGGGGATAATAAAACCCAGCTTGTTTTGCCATGTAGATAAAGACACTCCCAATTAGCATCTGTTCTTAATAAGTGTTAGTTTAGCTTTCTTTTCCTTCTTCTTGGTTTTCTTTCCTCTCTCTCCACTGCAGGGGTTCCCATGTTTGAAGGAGATTTGAATTCTGAATCTCCTCTTTTGTGGACATTGTGTTTGAATTCGTAAAGAAACAGCGCTTTAATTCTCCTCTGCAGAAGCATCTGCTTCCCCCAGCATGTCTCCTGCGAGGCGCGTGGCACATTTTCATTATTCTCTGGAGCTTCCGTTATCTCTGGGTGCTGGCTCATCCAAGGCAATTTGGGCCAACATCTCTTGTACGTCTCAGATCTCCGAGTAGTCATTTTATTCCAGAGTCAGGGAAAAAGACCAAAAACCCAGAGGGATTCTAAAATGCAACAAATGTATGTTTTCCTGGCAGCTGCCCATCCATTACTAAGAACAGTACATGCTGTTTAGCGGGAAAAATGAATATCTCATGGGTAGTGTTAATGAACTGTGTGGTCAGTGATAATAATAATAATGATGTAAGAAAATGGTAGAATTCAAGCTAAGTCTCATTCATCTTCTCATTTGATCCTCATGACAACCCTGTGAGGTGGGCACTGTTATTATCCTTAGTTTGTGGATGAGAAGACTGAGGTTCACTGTGGTAAAGGACTTGGTCAAGGTCACACAGTTTGCCGGTGGCAGAGCAGCACAGGAATCCATGCCATAAAACCCATGTTAGGATGTATTGGTTGACACTGGCCTGATCAAAATACCTCCTTGTTTCCTGTTTTGCTTTTGATCTGCATCCAAGGAGATCAGTTTTGGGAAACGCTGTGATTTGAAACAGGACCTTAGCATCTATTCTCCACTGTACCCATGGGTATGTATTTATTCTCTCACTGCTGTCTCTTTTTCTCTTGATGACAGTTGGAGGCATCTGTCCACCCATGTGGTTCCAGACACGTTCATGTGGCCACCATGACCCCGTCGGCATCACAGGGGTAACCAAGGTGATCCTCCCTCTCTTCCTGTGTCCACTGGGGATGGTAGAGACCAGCTTAATGCTTTGAGATCAGATCCATCACGAAATCCGTATGTCCTGAGACCTCCTGAATCTTAAGGTGGGAGAGACTTCTGATGACCCTCTGGGTTCCAGTTCCCCAATCGTGGCTTTCCCGACTGACCTTGGCTTGAAGTGGGTGGTCTGTGTGGCCTAGTGAAAGCTGAGATGATGAGGCCCTGGTGCTCACAACTGGTTCTTTGTGCGGCCTTTGATCTGGCACTTTTTAGTTCCAGTCCTCTTTCATCACATACAAATGAGTTTTACAAAAATAACTTTATTGAGGTATAATTTACATACAAGGAAATGCACCCGTTTAAAGCACACATTTCAATGTGTTTTGACAAAGGTATACACCTGTGTAACCATTGCCACAATCAGGATGTAGAACATTTTCATCGTTCTAAAATGTTCCCCTGTATTCCCTCCCAGCCAATCCCCTCTCAGCCCCAGTCCCAGCCCCAGTCCCAGGAAACCACTGACCTGCTTTCTCAGAAGTAGATTGGATTCTTTTTTTTTTTTAATGTTCCATATATATGGAAGCTTCTGTGTTCAGCTTTTTTTTTTTTTTTTTTTTTTTTGAGACAAGATCTCGCTCTGCTGTTTGGGCTGCAGTGCAGTGGAGCCATCTCGGCTCACTGCAACCTCCGCCTGCTGGGTTCAAGTGATTCTCCTGCCTCAGTCTCCCGAGTAGCTGGGATTACAGGTGTGCACCACCACACCCGGCTGATTTTTATATTTTTAGTAGAGATGGGGCTTTGCCGTGTTGGCCAGGCTGGTCTCGAACTCCTGACCTCGAGTGGTCGCCTCGGCCTCCCAAAGTGCTGGGACTATAGGTGTGAGCCACTGCGCCCAGCTGAGGCTCATACTTCCTGTTGCATGTCTCAGTAGTTCAATTCCTGTTCTATCCAATTTTATTGAGGCATAGTTTAAAAGTCATATAACTCACCCATTCAATGATTTTTAATAAATGTACCAAGTTGTACAACCTTCACCATAAATCAGTTTTGGAACAGTTCGGTTACCCCAGTAAGATCTCTCATACCCATTTACTGTTCATCCACATCCCATCCATAACCCCAGGAACCACAAATCTATTTCTCATCTCGGTAGATTTTCCTTTTCTGGATATTTTGTATAAATGAGATCATACAATATGTGTTCTGTTGAGCCTAGCTTCTTTCCCTCAGCATGATGTTTGTAAGGTTCATCCATGTTGTAGTATGTACTAATAGTTTGTTCCTTTTTATTGATGAGTAGATTCCCTTATGTGGATAAGCCAGACTTTGCTTTTCCATTCATCAAGATAGGGGATTTTAATTTGATCAGTGCTGCCTAACTGTGGTATATACATATAATGCTACAGGATAAATATGGCTTATATTTCTGGAACATAAATATCACACACAGATTTACTTAAAGTTTAAATCATTGAGTGGTGAAAATAATTTTTGGAACATGTACTGTGTGCCAGGCACTGGCTAAGCTTTGAAAATCATTAACTTTGGACAGGTGTGGTGGCTCATGCCTGTAATCCCAGCACTTTGGAAGGCTGAGGCCAGCGGACTGCCTGAGGTTAGGAGTTCAAGACCAGTCTGGCCAACATGGTGAAACCCCGTCTCTACTACTAAAAAAAAAATAAGTTAGCCGGGCGTGGTGGCACACATCTGTAATCTCAGCTACTTAGGAGGCTTAGGCAGGGGAATCACTTGAACCCAGGAGGCAGAGGTTGCAGTGAGCCGAGATCATGCCACTGCACTCCAGCCTGGGTGACAGAGTGAGATCCTGTCTCCAGAAAAAAAGAAAGAAAGAAAGAAAGAAAGAAAGAAAGAAAGAAAGAAAAACAATTAACTTTGAGTCACACATTGAGTACGTAGGAGTGAGAGAGCCACAGTTTCCTCCAGGTTTCTCTAGCCCCAAAGCCCATACCTTCCTTTGTACCCTCTAAGACGGTGTCAGCTAAAGGTCCCTTGAAACCTCCATCACCTTATTAATATCATGACTCTAGGTCCACAGAACGAGGGGAAAGGGTCACTGTGGATCAAGCCAGGCTCCTCTGAGCAGTCCAGGGTCTATTTACAGAGAGCAGCAAGTTCCTGGGACAGAGGAGACAGAAGGGAATTTCCAGGTTCTTCAGGACGTTCACAACCACACTGAGAAGCATCTTTGCAGATAAGTATTTAAACTTACCAGCCCATAGCCTACCAGCCTGCCCTCTTCTGGTCTGTGCAGGAAAGTGTAGTATCCTAGAATGCCAAAGTGGGAGGGGAAATGGGTGATGTAGCTCATTCTCTTTTCTACCTCTATGGAAGAAAGAAAGAGCCTGTCCCCATTTTGTGGGGTCCCAGAAAGGGTGATTTTCACACTTCACATTTGGCGTTAGGGCTAGTATTTCACAAACATTACCGTCTGGAACTTTTGAAGGCTGAGTTAAATGACTTCATCTTGTGTACTTGTAGAACTGCTATTAGAAGGAGGCTGGGGACTCCCTGATGATGTGAACCAGCCCTTCTCTTCTCAGTTTCAGCACTTTGTGATCATATTTATAAACCTTGGACAGGGCTCCTTGGCCTTAGAGTTAAGTGAAGAGTTAACACTGTGACTTTAGATGCATTTTTCTCAGTGTAAGTGTCTGAGCTCATCTCCAGTTCTGGACTCGTGCCCCCACTCCCGGGTGCTGACAGCAAGCTCTGAAGATATGCTGAGAGAGCTCCCTGACTCTCCTGACTCAGGTCTGCCAGTTGATGAAGACAGCACAGTTGTTACCAAAAACAAAACCTGGCAGATGGTCCTAGGTCAGGATTAGTGGTCATTCTCTGGTCTTCTCCAGACTGGTGACACAGGGTGGTCTTAAAAGAGTCCTAGTCCAGCCTCTGGCTCCCCGAATTTCCTCTGGTGCATGGGGCATCAGGAAAGGGCAGGGGAGAAGGAGGGGGAGCAGAAAAATAACTGAGGCTGGGCAGAAGGGTCCCTTCCATTTCCCATCCATTGCTTCAAACAATGGGTGATTACCGTGCACCTTGAGTGAATGTCAAGGCAGGAAGGGTTCCAGGGCCACCCAGTGTGGCAGGAGCAGAGCTGGGATCAGAATTCTGGATTCCTGACTCTCCGTTCAGCTGCTATTCAGCTATCACCAAGCTGCTGAGTTTGTCCTACTTTCTCCTGGGTCACATTCTGCTGTTGTTGGGAAACAGGGAGTGAGTGAAGGGAACCTGGGAACCCTTCTCCCCTCACCTTTTAAGGATGTTCTGGGGTGGAATAAAGAGAGGTGGAGGGTGGGGTGCCTGGGCCCAGCCTCCCTGGCTCCTGGTCCTTCTTTCTTCAGCAGGGAGTTCTGGCAAGGCCTGGGCCTGGGGAGGGGGCCTGGGTGCAGTTTTCTCCTGCGGTGTGGTTGGCTCTTTTGTCTTCCAGGATGGGCCTGTGGGGTCTGTGTGGGGAAGGAAGGAGCTGGGAGCCTGGGCTGCCTGTGTGTCGGCTGGATGCTGCCAGGTAAGCCTGAGAGGGATGTGGGGAGGGAGGGAGGGAGGTCACATGGAGCTTGGTTTCATGGGGGTAGGTTGTCCTCCCACCTGTGCCCCCTCCTCAGGCCCAGAACGCTCCTGCTCATGAGAAGATGGCCAGGGAGCCAGGTGGCTGGAATGCTTGCTCTGTGTGGTCTTGGTGGGGGTGGGTGGGATGGAATCAAGACCATTGTGGGTGAGCTCGAGCAGAGAATTTAGCAAGTCCCTTCATTCAGCACCGGCATGGACCAAGCAACTTCTCTGAGCCAGATGCTGGGGACGCAGAGGTGAACCCAGAGACATGATCCCATCTGCTCAGATCTTCATGTCAGAACACGCTTTATTACAGTCTCGGCAAGGGGGTGAGCTCCTCGTCCTGGGAGCAGTGTGTGTGTGTGTGTGTGTGCGTGTGCACATGTGTGTGCATGCCTGTGTGTGTGTGCATGCGTGCATGTGTGTGCGCGTGTATGTGTGTGTATGCGCGCGTGTGTGTGTATGTTGGGGGTGGTGGTGTGCAGAGATCCTCCCAGTGGGAATGTTGTAAAATGAATTGAAGCCATCAAAGGCCTCTGAAAGTCCTTCCCATCCCCTCAAACCCTTGCCCTGTCTCTGCCCATGATGCTCCTGGAGCTTGCTATGGGCTCCCTTTACTGCTTTTCCTCTGGTCCCCTGAGCTAACCCTGCCTGGTGGGTATTCTCAGCTTTCATTGCTTCCTCTTTTTAGACAACTTTTTTTTCCTTTTTCTCAGAGACAGGGTCTCACTCTGTTGCCCAGGCTAGAGTACAGTGTTATGATCACGGCTCACTGCAGCCTTGAACTCCAGGGCTCAATACATCCTCCCACCTCAGCCTCCTGGGTAGCTGGGACTACAGGTGCATGCTACCATGCCTGGCTTATTTTTTGTAGAGACAGAGTCTCATTATGTTGCCCAGGCTGGTCTCGAACTCCTGGGCTCAAGTGATCCTCCTTCCTCAGCCTCCCAAAGTGCTGGGATTACAGGTGGGAGTCACTGTGCCTGGCCTAAGTTTCTTCTAAAAATGTTTCATGTCCAAAACCCTCACTTCCACCCTGTGTGTGTGCTGGGGGCATGAGAGACTGGGGGGATCTCTGAACATGAGTCCCCTCAGATGCAGAATTAGGCTGGGGGGATGTGGGAAGTTGGGGATGGAGGCTGTGGCCTCATCCTCACTCGCTGTCTTCTCCCCCAGGTGGCTCCATCTGGGCCGCATCTCCAGGACTCCTGGCCTGGACTTCTCTTTGGACCTCGGGTGACCTTGGATTCTGGCCACAGTGACTTAGCGGTCAGACTCCGGTGGTTTTCTAGCCCGCTGGGTGACTCCCTGAAGATCTCATCCTCTTCACACCTGTTGGGATGGAGCCTCCCATGGATAGGAACTCTTCCTGGTTGATGCTCAGCAGATGACTGATCTGGCTCTGGAGGACAGCTCCAGGGGTATGAGGGAGGCCTGGCAGCCCACTACTCCCTCCTCACCTGCTCGGGCCCTGCCTGCTGGGCCCTATTGTCTGGGTCTGGGGGCCCTTTCCTGCCCCATGTGAACTTGATTCCTCCTCGCGTTTCTGCCGGTGACCAGACAGAGCCTGGCCTGGGCCAAGTCCCCACTGACCACACTTTCCCCAAGGCTGGGTCTCAAAGGACCCTACAGGATGGGGACAGGAACAAGGATGGGAGTCGGGGAGGGGCTGTCAGGCAGAGGGCAGATGCAGCTCCTCGGGTGCCGCTGGCTGGAGTCCTTTGTCTCCATTTGCTCAGTGCGTAATTGTCATTTTGTGGGGGACTTCCTTGGTGGGGCTTTTCCATGCTTTTCCTCTCCCTGATGGTTACAAAGAGGAGACAGTCAGGATCTGGGAGGAGCTGGAGCCTTCCCCCTGTGCTGTTGAACTCTGGGAGGGGCAGCCAGAGGGGCTGAGAGTGCACCATCCTGAAAAGAGAGGGTCTTTAAGAGATAAGATTTAGGCTAGGGAAATTCACTAGAAAGAGACAGGTGGCCCTGGGTTTTTTTTCCTGCCATCCAAAGGGAACCAGTCTTACCCAAAGGCTTAAGGGGTCACCTTAGCCCAGTCTCAGGACACTCTTCTCCAATCAGATCGCTGCTTCTAGTTGCACTGCTCCTGGATTCTGTTCTTGGGGAACAGAAGGTGGCAGGACAGGCCCCACAATCTGCAATTCCAGCTCCCTCCAGAGGAGACAGTCCCAGCGTTTGCAAGAGAGCAGCTTGTGGCCTCCCTTAGGCAAGTTTAAAAGCCAGATGTCCTTTTTCCCAGAATGCGGAGTGGTGTGTACTATTCATCAGCTTGGGCTGCCACAGCACCATGCCAGACTGGATGGCTTAAACATCAGGAATTTATTTTCTGCCAGTTCTGGAGGCTGGAAAGTCCAGATCAAGGTGTTAAGACTTGGTTTCTGGTGAGGCCTCTCTCCTTGGCTTGCAGGTGGCACCTTCTCACTATGTCCTCACATGGCCTTTTCTCTGTGGAGAGGGACAGAGAGCATGAGCAGGCTCTGGTGTCTCCTCCTCTTCTTATAAAGACACTAATATCACCATATTAGGGCTTAAACCTATGACCTCATTTAACCTTAACCCCTTAAAGGTCCCATCTCCAAAAACAGTCACATAGCAGGCTACTGCTTCAACATATGCATTTGGGGGAGGGGACACCATTCAGTTCTTAACAGGGTGGTCACCGCAAACATGGAAAGTCAGAGCCTTCTCCCCTTCAGAATTCCCGCCCCCACCCAGGGATGGGGAGGAGGAGCAGAGAGGTATGGGAAGCAGACACGGAGAGTGGCAGGTACCATGCTGGGGTGGCTCAGGAGTGCTTCGGAGGACATATGGAACTGGCAGGGCTCAGTGCAGGGAGGCGGAGGCCCTGGGAGAGCCGTGTCCTGAGAAGGGCCTGGGCTACAACCCTGGGCAAGTTACTTCACCTCTGAGCCTCCGATGCTCTGTGAAATGGAAGGAATGTGCTTGCCTGTCAGGTGCAGGGAGAATTCAGTGAGATTGTGTGCCTAGCACAGTGCCTGACTCCCAGTAGGTGCTCAGCAAATGCTCCCATCCATCTGGGAGTATAGACTTAGGGTTTATCTATTTTTTTTTTTTTTTGGCTCTCTGGACTTTAAAACTCAGCATCTTCTGAACCAGAGGCATTTCTGATTAGCCCTTCCCTACCTATTTTCCTAGTATCACTCTTTAATCAGCTTGGGGAGGTGGCAGCATTTCATGGCCTCCGTAGTAACTCACAATGCTTCCTGGGGTATTTAAATTCTACTCTCTCATCAGCACTGAGCACCTACTTTGGGCCCTTTCCCGTGCTAGCCATTTGGGGGAAATATAGGTGAAGAGTGGCTGGGGTTTGAACCTTTAGGATTTCACAGCCATGCTGGATGGGATAAAACCAGCTCACATGGAGAATCAGAGAATGGGACAGTGCCACAAAACAGTCTACTGAGGCACAAGTTCTGAGTGCCTGGGAAGTGGTAGAGAGACCCCAGAGAGGGCTGCTGCAGTCTGGAACAGCTTCCTAGCAAGCTGTACCAAACAGGGCCTTGAAGGATGAGAAAGATCTGGCTGAGATGATACCCGACCCTCTAGGGAAATTCTTAAAGTAACTTCTAGGAAATGTCATTGCTCCTTAAAAAAAAAAAAAAAAAAAAAAAAGCAGGTTCTAATTCAAATTCCGCTGCACTACTGAAGTAGTGCAGGACTTATCAGAACCTTTAAAATGCTAATGGCAATTTCAAATACTCAGGGACAGGGCATAGGATGAAGTGTTCCTTGACTTTTATGGCCGTAGAATCTTTTTCTCATGGAACATCGTTTAGAACTGTGGGAGATGCTAGGCTGGGGTTTCTATGGGAAAAGTACAGCAGTGATAGAAGATGGCATAATTAGGGTACACTTAGGTGCTTTGTAGCATTGGCTGAAAAGGAAGCAGACCGGGTGGGCGTGGGGGAGTCTCAACTTGGTTCCAGGAGCCAGGCCAGCTTGATGCGTTTTTTTTTTTTCTAATGGTGGGAGGGCAGGCCAATAGTTGGAGAAACTAGAGGCCTGACAGTCGGTGATGGAAGAGATGTCTACTAAGCACGGTTGTCAGATCTTTTGCGGAGAGATGCGGGTGTGCGTGTGTCTGTCAGAGTGTAACAGGATCCAGCCCTCTGGGAAGGGGCTGACCAGAACCAGGCAGGGGGTTTCTGTCTAGGACAAGTAGGGTCCATTTTCAGGGGAGCTGAAATATTTGCAGGGGGTGCTCTGAGACCCACAGCCAATAAATAGGGAAGCAACATGCTTTTGGGCAGGGTCCATGTGGTTAGGGTTGATTTTGATGGGGCTGGGGGGCTTAGAGTTAGACCCCCTGCCCTGGTCAGGCCCCACTCCCTGGCTGGTGGGGGCGGGAGGCCTCTGAAGCTGCAGCTGGAGGGGCCGGGGCAGTGTTGCATGGTGTGATTAACCTACTAACCCAGGGCTCAGCCGGGACGCTGTGGCGTGTGACGAGGTGCCTGGCCTTCTGCCAACCAACTAACCCACTAACCAGGCCCGAGCATGCCCTACTAACCACCCCCCCGCAGCCAGATCCTACTAACTGTGCAGCTCATGGGCCTTTCAAGGGGCTGGGATATGGGGGCAGCCAAGGCTCCAGAAGGCTCTGCCTATGGGCTGGGATCTTTGTGCAGACCCACGTTCCAGGACAGAGAATGCAAATAAGACTCACCAACTCTGCCACTTCCTGTTGAGTGAGTTTGAGTAAGTCACCTCACTTCTCTCAACCTCAGTTTCCTCAGTGGTAGAATGCGAGTTCTGATACCTTACAGGTTGCAGTGAGGATTCCCGTCAATATAAGGGTCTCAGCACATGGCAGACACCTAAAAAAAAAAAAAGTATGAGGATGGAGGAAGGCCCCTCAAACCTGGTTGAACACGTCTGCTGCCTAGGCCCTGGCCTCTCTGGGTGTTCTGCACACAGATCCTTCTGCCTGGGGCAAGACACTTGGCTTTGAATCCATGTCACTTCCCCACATTCTTCCTCCGTCTCAGCTTTCTTTTCTGTAGGCAGCTCTTTTGTTCGATTACTAACCCGTCTAACCCCTGGGGTGCCTCAACTGCACCCCGATCATCCCTTAACAAACTAACGGACCTGCGTGCGTTCTTCCTTTTCTCTTAGCGACTCCTGTGTGTGTCTGCTGAGGTGCCCTGTCCGCTGGTGCTGTGCTCTGACTTACTAACCCAGCCCCTACTAACCCTGTTTTCTCTTCTTACTAACCCCAGCCCTGCCGAGCTCTGGGCTCCCCCCGGGGGCTGGTCCCCCTCCTTTTGGCAAGCAGATGACCTGGGGCTACTGGCCCTGTAGACAGATGTCCCACTTTGCTGCCCCATATTGGCTGTAAGATCAGAGTCCACTGGGCCAGGTCTAAGGCAGGGGATGGCCCTATTAACAAGACTCAGAGGAGGAAGAGGTGGTCCTGTGGATGTGGGAGGCTGGACTCTGAGTATGACATCTCTCCTATGTGCAGAAGTCTGGTTGCCACTGGGAGTAGGTGGGACCAGGGAAATCTCTGGGACGTGAGTGTGGAGGCCTGTTGGTCTAGACTCTAGACTGTGGAGCTCTGAGCTTTTGTGTCCTCTGGAAGGAAGCTGGGGAAGAATCCTCTCCATTGTTAAGTGACGGGGATAGAAGCTGTCCTGCACAGGAAGTCACGAGGGGGGCGTATCCCACGAGGAAGGCAGGAGGGGGCGTGCCCCTCACCGGAAATTAGCAGAGGGGCGTGTCCCACACCGGAAGTCAGAAAGCGGAGCCTTTCTTACACCGGAAGTCAATGAAGCGGGTCTTTCCTACGCTAAAAACCACTGAGTGGAGTATTTAGTACACAGGAAGTCGGCCAGAGAAACATTTCTCATATTTGAAGGCCGGAAAGAGGGACATTTCTGACACCGGAAGTCAGTGAGAGGACTCTTTCCCACACAGGAAGTCAGCTAGAGAGCCGTCTCCCCTCTCTGGAGCCGAGAGAGGCCGGTTTCCCCCACCGTAAGTAGACGTGGGGCCGTGACCGGAAGTCCTTGGGAAAGATCCGTCCCATTCCCGGAAGCTAGAGGGCGTTAGTTGTCGGGTTGAAAAGGGGTGTGGGGAGGGGAAGCAGCTTTACCCCGGGCTCGGAGTTTGCAGGAGAGAGAAGTGGGGAGCAAGAAGTGAACCTCAGGGGCTCACAGGGTTCCCGCAGATGCTCAGGCCGGCCAGGAATGCATCTCTGGCTCTCTGTTCCCACGGACGTCACTGCCTCAGCCAGCCTCCCCCAGAGCCCGCCAGCCGCTAAGCCGGGGCCACACCTGGGGGTGATTTCATGCCTCACCTCCAGTAGGCACCTTGGTTTCTTTGGGCTAATCTCTGGCTCCCTTGCGCTAACTCTTGCTCTCACCCAGCTAATCCCTGCCTCACCCTGACTGCCCCAGGGGCTGACCACTAACAACCAACCTGGCCCTGTCTGGGGGTTCCAGGCTCCTGGCCTGGCCCTGACCGGTTCTTAATTAACCTTTCCTTCACCTTGACTAACTCCTGCCTTCCTGGTCTGTTCCTTTCAGCAGAAACTAATGGTTTGTGGATTTTTTTCTGACTAACAACAGGTCTAACATTCCTCGTTACTGTTAACAGCTTGGATGTCGGCATGGCTGGGAAGGGGCTAACACAGCTTTGAACTTGGCTAACACAGGTTTGAACTTGGCTAACACAGGTTTGAACTTGACTAACACAGGGAAAAGCATAGCTAACAATTTTGGGCGTGGTGGCTGCTCTGAGTCAGAACAATCAGAAGTCGGTAAAGATGGTAGTTTTCTAAAGGAGGTGCCAGGGCTCTGGTGTGGACCAGGCCTGATGGAGCAGTGGTACCCACCAAGGTGGGGTCAGAAGTATAGCCAGTCTTGCAAGGTTTTGGCCATTGGGCATATCTTCACTCCTCATAGTCTGCATTTGGTTTCAGTTCTTAAAAAAATATAGCCTTATAGCTACAGTAGTTTGCACAAGTAGATGCAGCTCTTATAAACCTTAAAATACCTGTCTGGTGTCTACAGAGCATATGCCATTTTGTATAGAGTCACCCTTCCCCAGGCCAGGGCCTAGAGTCTTCATTTTGGGGACTTTGTGTTTTGGAAGTTCTAGGACATAAAGCTTTAGATCAGAGTATTCAGAAGGGTTATAACTCCGTCAGTCATTTACATGTTAGTAGTATAAATTATCTGAGCTTCCTGTTCTAACTTTTAGCTCTTCTAGCATAAACTCTTCTGTGCAATTTAGCTGCACCGAGGAAACGGGAGTTTTTCTGGAAGGGACTTTTGATCTCTTTAGACTGAGGGAACGTCCTTTGGGAGTAGAGGGGCAGGGAGCATACGCAAGGGATTCCAGGTGCAGGTAAAAGGTGGCACTAGTTCAAGGTTTTGCTGACTCAGTCTGGTAGTCAGAGTCTGCAGGAGAAGACAGTTCAAGGCAGGGCCTGGAGGATTGGATCAGTTTAGGGACAGGTCAAAGGCTGGCTTACAGACCTTAGAGGCAGGTTGCTTGGGTCGTTGAATGCTAGTCTGGTGCTGAGAGCCCTTTTCTCTGGCAACTGTGGACTCAGAGCTAACCAATTGTAGTTGGCAGTGGGGGTGAAGGGTGATCCAGAGGCCTGAGCTGCAGAGGGCACAAGAGAGAAAAGATGTCTTAGAAAGAGCTTTGAGAACATGCCTTGGCTGCTGGCAGGGACCTTGGATGGGGTAGTCTACACCCGGAAGTGCCTGCCTGCCATCCTCTAGTGGCTGCCTTGCTCCATTTCACTCAAAGCAGGAAGCTCACACCTCCTATTCCTGAAACTCCTCTTTGTTTAACTGCAAAGACTTGATGCTGCTAAGGATCTACTATGTGCCAGGCACTGCTCTGGGCGCTGGGACCTGCACCTGGGCTTTTTCGTCATGGTGCTTTTATAGCCTAGTGGGAGAGTTGGTGAAGTAGATAGTGATTCAGTGAGATGGGTGTTATGATTGGTCAGGGGTCTGTGGGAGCACCAAGGAGACAGACAAGATTGATGTGCACCTACTCTGTGCCAGGCGTGTGCCAGGCATTGGGGATGTAGTGGTAGTTAAACACCATTTGGTCTTCAGGAGCTTTAATTCTAGTGTGTTGGGTGCAGGGGGGTGGAATGGGGACAGAGAGACACCTAATCCACCCTGTGGTGGCTTTCTGGAGAGGGAGGCATCTAAGCTGAGCTGTGGCTGGGTGGAGTGTGGGTGGGGATGAGTTCCGGGCAGCGAGAGTGGTGGACACCAGTTTCTGGGGATCAGAGAGGATCCAAAGAGGTTCTGGAAGGTTCATGTGGAATGTAGCAAGAGATAGGAGACATGGACATGGTGCCGGGTCTGGTTGCCAAGAAGTTTAGATTTTATCCTTAGGCCTTGGGGAGCGACGGATATGATCTGAGAAAGGGAGTTAGTGGATTTGAGTTTTAGGCTGGCCATTTGGCTTTTCCAGCCCAGGTGGAACTCAGAGGAGTTTGCAATGGCCTCTGGCCACATTTTAGACAACTGAGCAGAACTTTTTGAAACTAGGAAGACCCTTTGGTCCATCTTTTGATAAACAGAATCCATACATGTCTACCCCAGTTGGAAGTATCTCTGCAATGACTGGAAAGTAAAGAGGACCAAGGTGAAAATAAAGGCTCGGAAGGGGAGCAATCTTGAAAACATGTCATCCCATGGTGGTGGGAAGTCCCTGGAGAAGATCAGGGGAAACACAGTCATAGGCTGCAAGTCTATAAGATAATTCCATTGGGGAGGGAGCCCATTTGTCATGCATGGCTGCAAGGGGCAGATACAAGTGTGGAGTAAGCTTGCAAGAGCTGATCCTGGTCCCAGAGAGGGAAAAATATGCCTTGGTGGGTAATGAACCTTTTGTTCCCAGAGGCAGAAGGATTGGGACTAGGCCAACATAGAGATTGGCGATGGTTGTGAGATTCTAAGAGTGTGTGTGCATCTTGACAATATTAGAGGAGGCTGAGCCCAAGCAGGCACATTCTCTTCGACCCCTCCCTCATTCAGTCTGCTTTGGAGTCTACTGAACATCAAGCTTGCTATGAGCAGGATCTTAGAGCTGAGGAATTGGCCTCCCAATCCGAACAGGTGTTATAATCCTTTCTTAATAGGTTGTGCTGTGGACCCAATGTGAGGGCTGTGCTGGTGTAAATGGTGACATGTTGAGCTGGGGGGATGCTTTCGGGGTGGGGGGACTGGTTCCATTCCATCAAAGGCCCTCTTGAGAGTCTATCCAGGGACCCATTGTTTTACTTTAACAGACCAGAAAAGATGTTTGTTTTCCATGTCATTACCCCCAGGGGATACCGAATGTGTGGGTAGAAATTTCTCTGTAGATTAAAAATCAGATTTTTACATGGATTCAACAAAGGAGCGTCACTTGGATTTTTGTTTTCATCCATGAATGTAGCTGCTTCTGTGTAAAATGCCATTTTGCTATTAAAAATCAATTCACGCTGGAAACATGACTGTGGCCTATGAAGCAGAAGGGACGTGCTGTTTAGGGGAGAGGGGGCAGCCAGTGGCATTCTCAAGGAGCAGGGGTGGGCTCTCTCGGTGAGTCAGCCTTTCCTCAAGAGTGACCCTAGAAGTCAATATAATAGGGTATTTTATTTTTTAATTTTGGTAAAATAATCATAACATAAAACTTCACCACCATAATAATTTCTAAGTGAACATCTTGGTGGTATCATTCACATTGTTGTGCAACCATTATCACCATTGGTATTTATTTTTCTTTTCTTTTTTTTAGAGATGAGGTCTTGCTATGTTGCCCAGGCTGGCTTTGATCTCCTGGTCTCAAGCGATCCTCTTGCTTCAGCCTCTTGAGTAGCTGGGACTGCAGGCGTGCACCACTGTGCCTGGTGGTATTTTTAAAAAATAACACTTCTTTATGCCTAGGGCAGTGCTTCCAGAAATCCAGGTTCTTATTGCCAGGGAATTTGTTTATTTTATTATTATTTTTTTTTTGAGATGGAGTCTTGCTCTGTTGCCCAGACTGGGGTGCAGTGGCGCGGTCTCGGCTCACTGTAAGCTCTGCCTCCTGGGTTCACGCCATTCTCCTGCCTCAGCCTCCTGAGTAGCTGGGACTACAGGCACCCACCACCACGCCCGGCTAATTTTTTGTATTTTTAGTAGAGACGGGGTTTCACCGTGTTAGCCAGGATGGTCTCGATCTCCTGACCTCGTGATCTGCCCGCCTCGGCCTCCCAAAGTGCTGGGTTTACAGGCTTGAGCCACCGCGCATGGCCTGCCAGGGATCTTATACTTCACTGGGGAGTCAAAGAGTTCCTTGGTGACAGAGAAAAAGATAGAGTTTAGTGTGTGATCGTGAAGGACTGGCAAATATAAGCCACACACATCGCCACTCTTCCCTTCAGCATCCTTGACAGACATTGCAAGTTGATTGCCTATCTCTCTTTGGGAACTTGGGTGCATTTTCAGGCTCTTTCTCAGAACAGTGTTCTGGGTAGCCAAGTTTTAAAAGAACTTTGGAGTCAGTCTTAGGATTGAGACTACTGATAATCCTCAGTTTGAATCCCAGCTTTGCCACACACCTGCTGTTAGATCTTGGGGATGATTGCCCTTCCCTGAGCCTCCATCGGCTCTGTAGAATGGGGAGACCACTCCCACCTCATAGGGCCATTGTGAAGGTTCCCAAGCGTTCTTGCAGAGCTAAGACAGCGCTTGATGCCCTGCAAGTGTTCCCTGAAACCTCATTCTGTGTTAGCACCAGATGATGAGATTGGGGGCCAGAGGTGCTCTGTTGGAAAGAAGGTCAGGAGGAGGTGGGGTGAGGGTGGGGGCAGTAAGGGATGGCTTTCTGGGAGAATCAAAACTTGAGGGGAACCTTGAAGGATGGGGAATAGTCAATAAATCAGGAGAAAATAGTGATGGTGCAGGGCATTTCAGGATGGCTTCTCCAAGATTCATTGGACTGGTTCGGTAGGAGATGAGGATATTGATAGGATATTGGGGTGGGGGCAGGGTGGACACTTCAGAGGAGGTTACAGATTGAGCTAAGAAGTGGAGGCTGGTCTGTGCAGCAGTGTTCAAGGCGTGGTAAGAAGAGTTGGGAATCTCCCACGGCTGGCAGAACTTGTGAGCCCCCCTGCCCTCAAAGGACTACAAGACCCCTAATGAGAAGAGAGCTTCCTCCCAGTCCTCCTTTCTCTTCCTCCTCTCCCTCCCTCTATTCACCCAGCAGCTGTTTACTGAGTCCTTCTTTTATAGTGGGCACTGCCCTAGCCTCTGGGATGCCAGGTTGCTGGCCTTTCTGTTACCAGTGCACCTATTTGCTCTCGCCTGGGTACCTACTTTTGCACTGGCTTTTCCCGTCACTTAGAATGTATGTCCCTCTGGTTTTCACGTGGCTGACTTCTTGTTGGCGCTCAGCTGAACATCACTTGTTCAGAGAAGCCTCCCCTGACCACCCTGTCCACAGTACTCTATCACTGCAGTTCTCAAACATTTTGGCTTCAGGCTCTTTACACTCTTGCCATATGACGCACAGTGCTAGCTGATTGCCTGCCTATCTTTGGGAACTTGGGTGCATTTTCAGCCTTTTTCTCAGAAAAGTGTTCTGGGCAGCCAGGCCCAGTTGCAGGTGTTTTTTCAAAGGCATTGTGGATGCTGGCCACTCACAAGGCTCAACTGGCCCCTGTTTCATTCATTCAGCAAAATGTTGTTGAGTCCTACTGTGTGTCAAATACAATGCTGGGTGCCCAGGGCACAGCAGACAGGCATCACCCCTGCAGAGTGCAAAGCCCAGGAGAGGCAGTGAATGGAAACTAGATTTGGATGGGGGACAGGGACAGAAGGAAACCATTGTAGAGACTCTGCCATGTTGTAAATTAAAACAGAGACGTTTTAAAAAGACTTGTTTATTCATGGAAAAATCACAATAACAATAATAAACCCATCGCATATTAACAAAAATAACACATGCTTTATTATGAATAACCGTATTTTCCAAAGCAAAATAAATTTAGTGAGAAGACAGCATTATTTTACTTTCTTAGGGTAAATCTCTTTAATGTCTGGCCTAATAGAAGACAGATTGTGTTGCATTCTGATATCTGCCTCTGCATTTAGTCTGTTGCATGTCAGTGTCGTGTAGCTCCTGGGAGTCCAGTCCGCTTTGTAGGTGCTCTGTGGCCCAGCCAGAGCTGTAGTTCACAGGAGCGACCAGGAGATGGTGGTGTTGCACCAAACCCTCACTGCTTATTATTGGAAACTCAGTTCCTCTCAGGGGCATTTGGGGCTGGATGCTCTACGGGATACTCTGGAAATCACAGAGTTTTAGGGCATTGAGTAGGACTTGGCATGGGTGGGACAAGGATAGGGACTGGAGAGAATGCAGCTGAGGACAGAAACTCTGGAAAACCACTCTTCATTTTTGCGGAGGGCTCCTTTTCTTTTCTCTCTCTCTCTCCCTCCCTCCTTCCCTCCCTCCCTCCTTCCCTTCCTCCCTCCTTCCCTCCCTTCCTCCCTTCCTTCCTTCCTTCTTTTCTTTTTTTTCCTTTTTTTTTTTATGGAGTCTCACTCTATCGCCAGGCTGGAGTGCAGTGACGCGATCTCGGCTTACTGCAACCTCTGCCTCCCAGGTTCAAGCGATTCTCTTGCCTCAGCCTCCCTAGTAGCAGGGGTTACAGGCGCCTGCCACTGCACCTGGCTAATTTCTGTATTTTTAGTAGAGTCGGGGTTTCACCATCTTGGTCAGGCTGGTCTTGAACTCCTGACCTTGTGATCCACCCGCCTCGGCCTCCCAAAGTGCTGGGAGTGAGCCACCTTGCCCAGCCGAGGGCTCCTTTTCCTAACAGAGGCCAAGCCAAGTGACTTCCCCTCTCTAAGCCTCAGCTTACTCCTCCACCAAATGGGCAAAGTACGCCTTTGGCTTCCATTCCATCCTGCCACTCTCAGCAGGGTTCACTATTTTGATAACACTGGTGTTTTCAGCAATGCAGGATCCCCCAACCATCGACCTCTGAGGCCTAGACTATTCCAAGAACTCGCTGATGCTGTGAGCTCTTCCTGCAGGCAAAACTGTTCCTTCTCTCTCCACCTCCAAACACACCTTCATTCACCTGGATTGAGTTAAAGTGGCCGGTACTGTTTTCCGAGTGTTTGCTCCATGCAGGCTCTGTGCTGAATGGTTTGGACACATTGATGTATGAAGTGCTCAGAAATAGTTTACGAGTTTCATTACCACCCCCATTTTATAGGAGGAGGCACTGAAGCTTAGAGAGGTGAAGAAACTCACCCAAAGACACATGGTTGGAGGATGGAGAAACCTGGATTCAAGGTGGTCACCACACCCATGGGGCCGCATCACCCCAAAATGCTGACTCCGTCTTGTGGGATCGAACCCAGTTACTCTTTCTATGCTGGTTTCTCTCCTGTCACTCCTTCTCCCTGCAGGGTGTTCATTGCCCTCGGGGATCTGAGCACAGTTTGTGATTTCATATTTATTGGCTCATTGACTGCTCCCCTGACTGTGAGCACCACAAGGGCAGGGGCAATGCAGCCTGCTTCACAGCTGTACCCTGGGTACCCAGTACTGCACTTGGCACAGAGTTGGGAGTCAACAACATTTTACTGAATGAATGAAACAAGAGTCAGTTGGGCTTTTCTAGTGGGTGGTGTCCAGGCAAATTAGGGAGTAGCCAGATCCACCCCTTACTGGTTATGTGACTTAGGGCTGATGACTTCCCCTGTTTGAGCCTCAGTTTCTCCATCTGTAAAATGGGAATAACTGTGTTCCTTTCTTTTTCTTTTTCTTTTCTTTTTTTTTTTTTGAGACGGAGTTTCACTCTGTTGTCCAGGCTGGAGTGCAATGGTGCGATCTCAGCTCACCGCAACCTGCACCTCCTGGGTTCAAGTGATTCTCCTGCCTCAGCCTCCCGAGTAGCTGGGATTACAGGTGTGTGCCACCATGCCCGTCTAATTTTGTATTTTTAGTAGAGATGGGGTTTCTCCATGTTGGTGAGGCTGGTTTCGAAATACCAATCTGAGGTGATCCGCCCACCTTGGCCTCCCAAAGTGCTGGGATTACAGGCATGAGCCATCGCGCCCGGCCCAACTGTGTCCCTTTCAATGAAGCTACCCGGATTTGGCAAGAGAGCATATGCAACGTGTCTGCATGTGATGGGCTCTCAATTCCTGTTTCATGTGTTGATGGTTTCTCTTGGCCTTGGGCAGGTATGGCAGGCCAACAGGGTTGGGGGAAGACAGAGTGGCCTGAGGATTAGACCGGGGAGCAACAGGACCAAGTCATGGAGCAAGCTGGCCGGCAGCTCTGGCCTCTTTATCCTCTGAGCCTGCCTGTGGTGAGCACTCAAGAAGCCACAGTCATGGCGGCCCAGTCCCTACAGTCATCTCTTGCCTGGCCCATGGCCTATAAACAGATCCTCCCCTGCAAAGCACCCACAACAGCGGCGTAGCCATGTAGCCAGGGGGACAGAGACCGCTGTGGGGAGCTGGTGCTGTTCAGCCTGAAACACTAGCGATTTCCTAATCTTCACTCAAGAGGCCTCTCCTGTGTGAAGGAGGCTTCCTCCCAGAGGAAAGCTCTGGAATGTAAGGAATGTGCCAGAGCCTCCAGCCCAGGCCCCAGGAAAGAGAACATCTTGGAGGCACAGGGCTGAGGGGGCATTTTCCCAGCCATCTCAGGGACGCCAGGCCACCGGGGAGCTCATACCAGACATCACCTTCTGGCAGTGGGGTCAGGCCTCAACCGCCTTTACGCTTTCCCAGGTTCTCAGGCTGGAATGACGGAGGCCCCGTGGACTCTCACGGTCTTTGATTTCAGCCTCTCGCCCAGCACCTGCACCCCTGGATCTGGGGCCAGACCCTGTACTGGGCACTGAAGTACAGAGAAAAATGAAGCTGGCTCTTGTCTGAGCCAACTGGAGGTGGGACAGGTCCAGTGTCAAGTCTGGATTCCCATACTGTGTCACCTTGGACAAGTCACGTCAGCTCTCTGAGCCTCTGTATCCCCATTTATAAAATGGGGGTAACACTAGGATCTTCTTTCTAGGATGGTCACAAGGGTGAAAGGCCCCCATGTTCCTGGTGCCATAAACAGAAATTATTATTGTTACAAAAATGGCTGTAACAATATCTCCCATCCCACGTGCGCCTCTTATAATGTGACTTTGACCCTTCTCCCCTTGACTCTGGGTGGTTTGTGACTTTGGTGGAAGTGATGCCATGTGACTTCCAAAGCTAGTTCATAAAACGCGGGAGGGCAATACTCACTCTTGGAACCCAGCCACCATGGTGTGAGGAAGCCCAAGCAGCTTCAAGAGGCTCACGTGGAGAGGAACCAAGGCTCTCACCCACAGCCTTGGCTGAGCTCCTGGCAATCCTATGGATGAACCATTTTGAAGGTGGGTCATCCAGCTCTAATTGAGTCACTGCAGTGGATACTGCATGGAGCAGAGACAAACTGTCCACACCAAGCCATGCTCCAATTGCAGGTTACTGAGCAAAATGATGGTAGTTTTAAGCCTCTAGGTCTTGGAGAGGTTCATTATGCAGCAATAAACAAGGATACAGTTCCTTTTAAGAAACAACTTTGTTTCTGTCTCAGCTGATCTCAGGATCTTTTTTCCCCAAATCCTAGTCCCTTCCAGCATTTTCCATCTCAGGAAAGAGCCCCAGTCTCTCCGGTTGCTTGAAAAAGAAACCTGACAGTCATTTTTCTTTCCTTCCTCAATCTCTGTCACAGCCATTGTCGAAGTCCTGTCATCTTACCGCCTAAATCTCTCTCTTTTTTCTTTTCTTTTTTTTTTAAGAAGGAGTCTTGCTCTTTCGCCCAGGCCTGACTGCAGTGGCGCTATCTCTATCTCGGCTCGCTGCAAGCTCTGCCTCCCGGGTTCATGCCATTCTCCTGCCTCAGCCTCCCGAGTAGCTGGGACTACAGGTACCCGGCACCACGCCCAGCTAATTTTTTGTATTTTTAGAAGAGACGGGGTTTCACCGTGTTAGCCAGGATGGTCTCGATCTCCTGACCTCATGATCCGCCTGCCTCAGCCTCCCAAAGTGCTGGGATTACAGGCGTGAGCCACCGCGCCTGGCCTTCTTTTTTTTTTCTTTTGAGACAGAGTTTCACTCTGTCGCCCAGGCTGGAGTGCAGTGGCACCATCTCGGCTCACTGCAATCTCCGCCCCCTGGGTTCAACCGATTCTCCTGCCTCCCGCCACTACGCCTGGCTAATTTTTGTGTTTTTAGTAGAGACAGGGTTTCACCATGTTGGCTGGGCTTGTCTCGAACTCCTGACCTCAAGTGATATGCCCGCCTCTGCCTCCCAAAGTGCTGGGATTATAGGCATGAGCCACCACATTCGGCCCTAAATATCTCTTCTCACTTTATTCTATCCCCCTGACATTGCCCCAGTCCAAACCACCAGCCTTCTGTTTTGGACAGCTGTGGCAGCTTTCTCACCAGCCTCACAGTTTCATAAGGAAAACGGGAATCTTGATATATGAATGATGTACGGAATAAGAAAAATCATCAGTGTTCAGTTTCCTTCACCTCCAGTGCTGTGTCTCTGAGCCCTTCATTTGTTTTTGCCTGGACTGTTCCCTTTTTTCCCCACATGAGCCCAGGATAAGACCCCTCCGGTCACTACATCTTGTCTATGCATAACACCCTCCTTGACTAAGCCTGAGCGAGTTCACTCACTGCTTTGGTCTCTGGGCAAGCAGGTCCTGTTTATTTTTTTTTCCCCATCTAGACTTTAGATTTGGATTCAGTAGTAGATCAGATATGCATTGACACTGTCCATGTGCCAGGCTCTGTGCTAGGCACCTAGAATAGAGTGGTGAGAAGAAACTAAATGTCTGTCCTCATGGAATTCTCAGTCCAGTGGGGGAGACAGGCATTCAGTATAGAAACAAGAAAGTTAAATCCTTTCTACCACTGTTTATTGCTATGAAAAGAAGTACGGCAGGACAGTGGGACAGGATGGCCCGGGTGGAGTGGAGGATGGGCAAGATCAGGCGGTGGTCAGAGAGGGCCTCTCAGAGGAGGTGGCATTTGAGCTGTTAAGATGGAGTCAGCCATGCGACATTAGGAGAAAGTGTCAGCAGGGGGAACAGCAGGGGCAAAGGTACTGAGGTGGGGATAAAGCTTGCCATGCTGAAGGGACAGAGGTAAGGCCAGAGCATAAGAGGCTGGTGGGATGTAATGTTGAAGGGGCAAGCCAGGGTTGGATAACTCAGGGCCTGCTGAGCCACAATAAGGAATCTGATTTGACTCTAAGTATATTTGGAAGCCATTGGAGGGTTTTGTACTGCAGAGTGACACCTCTGATTTATGCTGTAAACACTGGCTTCCAGCTGCTGGGTGCAGAATGGATTGGAGGGGGACGGGGAAGCAGGAAGCCTGGGGCGGAGGCTGTGGAGGAGTCCAGGTGAGAAACTGCATTTATCAAAGACACCATCCACACTGGTGTTGTGGGGCTGAGACTCCTCTGTCTCCACTGTGGACCAGCTACCCTGTGCCTGTGACTTCCAGACACTTCTGTCTGTTATTCTTTAAAAGGCAGTTCCCTCCTTAATTCTGAGGTGAGGATCTGCCTTCACAGACTCACTTCAGCATCCTGAAAGTCTGCCAGAAGCCCAGTCTGACTGCCTGAGTGAGGCCTTCCCAGCACTGTGTTAAAAGCTGGGATTGAACCATTTGTTCAGGCCCTCCAATCCTAGCTGTGCCCTACCTCCCCAGCAACTTCATCCTCTTCAGAAGGGCTGTCCCCACAAATAAGGCGGCAGCAACACCGTAGTGTGTTGACATTGGACTTGTGTTCTTATCTAGATGTACCAGGGCTGTATGACCTATGGCAAGTCATTTTACCCTGTTTTCCCATCTCTGCCACCTTCACCGCCTCTCCATATTGGTTCAACAAATGATGTCTCACACCTGTAATCTCAGCAATTTGGGAGGTTGAGGTGGGAGGTTCGCTTGAGGACAGGAGTTCAAGACCAGCCTGGGCAAAACAGTGAGACCCTGTCTCTACGAAATAAAAAAATAAAAGTAAAAAAATTAGCTAGGCATAGTGAGGCACACCTGTGGTCCCAGCTACTCGGGAGGCTGAGGCAGGAAGATCGCTTGAGCCCAGGAGTTCGAGGCTGCAGTGAGCTATGATCATGCCACTGATTCCAGCCTGGGTGAGTGAGTGAGACCCTGTCTCTTAAAAAAAAACAAACAAACCAGTAAAGGGTTTGTGCATGGTGAGGGGCCACTTGGAATTGAGAAAGCAACCAGGTTGTTAGTACTTTGAAAGAGAGAGGCAGACACCCCTTCTCTCCCTGGTGGGGCAGATAACACTGCTGTGCACACCATTAGTGCCCATTAAAAGTATCCTTTTATGAGGGCAAACTGTTCTTCAAGTTCACCTTGGATATTCCTGCTCGGTGTGAACCTCACCTGCTTTATGAAGGCTTCCAGGTTCAGCTGACCTCACGTTCCTTATGTCTGGCTGGACTCTGGATAAACTTTAATCCAAACACCCAAGACACTGATTTGTAATTTTCTTTGTGTAGATCTTTCTTCCTGATCAGGCCAATGTGTCTCGAAATGAGGCCCTCCAACCACATCATAGTTTTCAAGGTGGAATGGGTTAAAAATACAGACCCCTCTGAATCAGAATCTCAGTGTGTCGGCCCAGGAATCTGCGTCTCTGTTTTTTTTTTTTTTTTTTTTTTTGAGACAGGATCTCACTCTGTCATCCAGACTGGAGTGCAGTGGCACAATCATAGCTCATTGTAACCTTGAACTCCTGGGCACAAGGGATCTTCCTGCCTCAGCCTCTGAATAGCAGGGACTATAAGCACGGGCCAGCATTTCTGGCTATTTTTATTTTTTGTAGAGATGGGATCTTGCTAGGTTGCCCAGGCTGGTTTTAAGCTCCTGTTCTCAAGCCATCCTCCTGCCTTGGCCTCCCGAAGTGCTGGGATTACAGGCGTGACCCACGATGTCTGGCTGAATCTGTCTTTCATCTGGCAAATGATTCTTGGGCTCGCAGATGTTTTAGAACCAGTGCATTACAGAGTGAGTTCCTAAGCAGAGGGACTGCATCGGATACAGCACCACGTACCACGGTCCCCTGTGCAAATCTTACGCTCAATAAATGCATGTTGCTTGAATGAATGAGGTTTTAGGCAGGGATGTGGGGAGAGTCATTTTATTCTTCCTAGAATCCCCCACACTCGCTGATGGTCCCCATGTTCGACAAGAGGTCTCACCAAATTTTTCTGCCACTGGGAAACTTCTCCAGTAAGAATTCCCCTATGCCCCACTGTATAATCTTCTCATTAATACACAGTATTGTAAAGGTGATCTATAATTAGATGCTAACCGCGTTTGCCGTAAAATTGGGTGGGCGAGGTCAACAAGGTAAGCTGGGAGCCGGCTGATTGTTATGATCAATCAATAACCTATTTATTTCCCAACATTTCTATTAACCTCTGCCAGCCAATCACAGTTTCAATTTGAAAGGCTGGGGTCTGCTTTGCTGACTGGAGAAGTCTGATTGAAAGCGGGCCTCTGACATGACCCCAAGGGCGAAATCCAATTAAAATCATTTTCACTGGTAGATTAATATTTTTAGCATGTTCTACATCCTGGGATTCATCATTCCTGGCAATAACTAATGTCTTGTGACACGAGCAGGTGGATTGGCACTGCCATCAATAATAATTGTGATTAATTAGCTCATCAGGTGCTAGGATGGCTTTGGGGAGGCAGTTGGTGCAGCTTCTGGGAACTTCTCCCGTCAAACCCTGGTTATGTGGATGTCTCTGGGTCATACCAATGTAACGGCCTTTTCTGAGTAGGAATGGTGTTTATCTGTCTCTGGGTCTGAAACTCCCTTGGAACTATGAGTTCCTTGAGGGCAGGTATTATTTCTCATTGCTTTCAGCAAGTCACTTATTGTTTGGCACACCCAGCTGCCCTTTTCTGAAGACTGTCCTTTACTTTCTCCATCCGCACAGCTACAGTAGAAGCCACCATATTTGTGTAACATGGCCCCATTCCTGGCTGCTGCTTATTGAACTGGGGTAGAGCCCATCTTAAGCCAATGGCTCCATTCTTGGATGCTCTTGATTGGACCAGGGGTAGGTCCCGACCCAAGCTGGGACAATGAAAGCATCAAGGCACCACTTGTGGACACTGTTGATTGGACAAGGGGTAGAGCCAATCTTAAGCCAAACCAATGAAAACCTTATGGCACCACCTCTGGATGTGGTTGATTGGATTAGGAGAAGGGCCCAACCCAAACTGGGCCAATGAAAGCCTCACGACCCCACCTGTGGACACTGTTGATTGGACAAGGGGTAGAGCCCATCTTAAGCCAAGCCAATGAAAGCCTCTTGGCTCTACCCCAGATGTTGTTGATTGGACTAGGAGTAGAGCCCAATCCAAGCTGGGCCAATGTAGATCTTCCTTAGTATGGAATTAGGTTTAAGGGAAGGGGTCCTACTGGCCAACTTGAGTATTTAGGGGAGTTGATGGCCATTGTTTGTACTGTAAACAGGGAACTAGTTATGAATGAAAGTGGTGCTGAGAGAGGAGAAAGGATGAGGGATACAGAAAGTAGTACATCTTAGATTTCCTGGTACATCTCAGTTCCTGTTTCCAGGCCACTCCTGAAACCTGACTGCATTCCAGCTCCTTGGTTCTCTGAGTTATCTCTGCATCTTTGTAATAATTATTCTTCCCCCTACCTCCCTTGCTTGGGCTAATTTGAATGAGTCTGTTACTTTCAACCAAAAGTATCCCAGTGAATTTAGAGCCCAAGAGATGTCCAATGTCACACTGCAGGCCAATGAAAAACTATCCTCTTTCTGCTGACTCTCAGATGCAAAGCCTTTTGGGGGAAGAAAGAAACAAGGAAGAAAAAATAACTCACATTTATTGAAGGCCTACTGTGTGTTAGGTGCTTTGCAATGTCATGTATTTAATGTTTACCAGGCTGGGAGGTAGATTTTATTTTATTAGTTTACAGATGAGGAAACCGAGGCTCAGATATGTTGGATAACTTGTCCAGAGAAGAATTGGGGGTTGTATTTAATTATTTTGGCAAATTCCATGATTGCTGAGCACCCCATGTTGTCTCTTAAAAAGAGGTGTGGCCGGGCGTGGTGGCTCACGCCTGTAATCCCAGCACTTTGGAAGGCCGAGGTGAGCGGATCACAAGGTCAGGAGATCCAGACCATCCTGGCTAACATGGTGAATACCCGTCTCTACAAAAAATTAGCCGGGTGTGGTGGTGGGCGCCTGTAATCCCAGCTACACAGGAGGCTGAGGCAGGAGAATGGCGCGAAGGCAGGAAAATGGCGTGAACCCGGGAGGCGGAGCTTGCAGTGAGCCGAGATCGCGCCACTGCACTCCAGCCTGGGCGACAGAGCGAGACTCCGTCTCAAGAAAAAAAAAAAAAGAGGTGTGCTGCTTTGCTGTAGATATCAGCATGAGGCTGTTGAAAGATAATGAGGTAGCCAGTGGGGACCCTGGGAAGAAGTCAATCTTCAGATTGGTGATCAGCCTCTTGAAGTCCTGTAGAGAACAGACAGAACCAAGAGTTGAGTCTTGACCAAGTCTCCCCCACCTTCAAAAACCATCTCCTTCTAGAACCCACTCACTGCTTTCTGATTGCTTCAGGACTCCCAGGACCCACCCAGACAGCCCCAGCTCCAGCTTCTGGAGACATCTCATTAGTGGGTTCTCTGTAGCCATTCCATCCTTAGGAAAACCCAGGGCAAAACCATATCTTCCAAAAGAGGCTCTGCAATGGAGAAATCCCAGTGGACCAAGGTGCATGATCTGCTTTGAAGCGTTCAGGGATATTTGTCTTCTCCCATTGGGCTAGTGGTGGCGAAAGGTGCACCAGGCTCCCCTTAATGTACACATCTGGATTGAACTGAGATTCCCACAGCAGATTTTCCAATGAGGAGTGGATTGCAACAGGGAAATAAATATAATTATTTATATGCATGCTGGAGAGTTTCAACAGGTACCAACAGATATATTCAGGAGTCAGGAAACCTTGGGAAATTCCTATAGTCCCAAATTCGAATCTCTAGGTCAAGTTAGCTGACCATAAAAAATCAGCCTGGGAGGTGTTTTAACACTGCAGTTTCCTGAGCCTGACTTCTGGGGATTCTGATTCCTGTGGCATATTCGTTCTTTTGAGAAGCTTCAGAGAGAATCCTGACAACCAGCCAGATTAGAGATACACAAGGCACATTATCACATTAAAGGCACTAAAAAGTCCTGCAACAAAGACACCCATGACATTTCATTGAACCAGTTTATCAAAGTTAAACAAACACAGGTCCCTCTTTCTCTATGTTTTGGTATAATACCTGTTTTTACAAGGTCTACTGCTCAGAGAGCTTACCAACTTTCCCGCTTAATAATTATACACTAATATCATGAATCCAGTGATTTTTTTCATGCCCTTCCTATTTTATAGCATTGGGTTATTCTCTCCCTGAAGACAGGAATAGGATCTGTGTTATTTGTAACATCCTCCACATAGAGTCTGAGGAAATGAGTGAGTCTCTTAAAATCGTCTTTGAATAGGGGACGTGGTCCTCTGCCCACCAATAGGAACATTGATAACAGGGTAGGAGAAAGATTTAAAGCAGCTGGTCATAGTAGGAAAGCCTGCAGAGCCACATTTGGTTGACAGTTGTGGATGTTGAGTGCCAGCAGTCCAGCTGCTTCTCTTCTGAGCTGTTTCTCCACTGCTCTGAGATCTGCCTCTTAACAAACTTGGTCCCCAGGTATGAGCCCTCCTGAGACATTTGGTTAAGAAGAGGAGTTTCCCATTTCTCTCCTTCTCCTCCTTTCGGCCACCAGTGGATTGAAGGGAGCAGTGCTGAGGCCATTTAAATGGGCTTCTCTGCAGAACGAACAAGCCCTTGTGTTGGAAATTGGGTTAAATTCAGCATGCATAACCACTCACAATGGCTCTTTACACCCCAGGAGCAGTAAGATCCCACTAATCTTCAGTCAAAACAATTAGAGCATGAAGGGTGGTGTATTCATCCCAAAGGCACTGGGCAACTGGGAGTTAGGAAGGGGTGGGACCACCCACATTCGGGGCTTTGACTTTCCAGCCGCAATGACAAGGCCAAAAGACCCGGGGGATTCGGAAAGCGGGTCTGGTCAGAGAAGTTGCTTCAGTCCATCTGTCTCTTTCTCCACGTGGTGGACTCTTAGCAAGTGCGAGGCACTTTACATGCACCGTGTCATTGCATCCTCACATTAGCTTTGTTACCATCATCTCCTATTACAGCTGAGGAAACCGAGGTGCACAGAGGTTAAATGATGCACTCATCAGAGCCCAGCAGCAAATAGATGGCACAGTTAAATCAGTCCGGTTCAAGAAGAATTTAATAAAGGTACCATTCAAAGAGGTGCTGACAGTGTATTAGTTTTCTATTGCTCCATAACAAATAACCAGAAACTTAGTGGCTTTAAACAACACCCTTCTATTAGGTCATAGTCCTGTAGGTCAGTAGTTCAGGCACAGCATGGTTTTCTGCTCAGAGTCTCACAAGATTGAAATTAAGGTGTTGCTGGGGCTGTGATGCCATCTGAGGCTCAAAGTTCTCTTTCAAACTCTCTCAGGTTGTTGGCAGAACTCAGTTTCTTGCAGTTGCAGGACTGAAGTCCCCACTTCCTTGCTGGTTGTTGTCCAGGGATTGCTTTTACCTCCTAGAGACCACCCTCAGTCCACAGACAGTTCACAGCCTGGATATCTGCTCCTTCAGGGCCAGCAAATGGCTGTCTCTCACTTGAAATCTTTCTGACTTCTAAGGGTCACCTGATTAGACCAGGCCCACCCAGGATAACCTTCCTTTTGATTAACTCAAAGTCAACCTAAGACAGTATGAAATCCCATCATATTTGCAAGTTCAGGCCACAGTCAAGGGGAGGGGATTATTCAGGGTGTGTTCACCAGGGAGCTAGAATCTTGGCGGCCAGTTGAGTTTTCTGCCCTCCACAGACAGGATGTGGGAAGCCACCAGGAATAGTGCACTTCCCTGGGGATAGCAGTGGTGGGACTTGATTACCACCCCTGGTTATGAACAGATGAGGAGCTGGGAGACACAGAAGGAGAGGGCTGCGTAGTAGAAGCTGGGACCTTTGGTTGAAGGACACAGCTAGTCCCTGGTGACTTGGCAAGGAGGGAGCTAGAGGAATAAATAGGTTGACCTCAGTTTCCTTCCTCTCTTTCATCTTCTGTTGTTGCTCTCCGTTGGCTGATCTTAACAAGAGGCTGGAGGAAGGGGCACAGCCTATTTATGCAGCCAGTAGAGACCAACTTCTTAGGGACTGGGTAGGTTGGAGGAGGATGGACAGTGGATCAAGAGGGGTAAATAGATGATACGCCGCACAAGCAACTTCTTAGAGTCACACACCTTCTAGTGTTAGAGTTCAGATTCAAATTCAAATCTCTTTAAAGTCAGATCATACCGTGCACCCTTCCGTTTCCTGACAATCTAACAATCCAGTGAGAGACACACTTATATTTCTACTTCGTAAAGGTCCAGAGAGGTTAAGTAAATAAACCAGAGTCACACAGCTAGCAAGTGGCAAAGCTGGGATTCTAATTCAATTCCAAAACTTGACTTCCAACCTCTCCACCTCCATCGACCCATATATATCCACTGACCAATCTATTCATTCATCAGACTTTTACTGCATGTCTTAAGCTATGCACTGTGTTCAGAGCGGAATGAGATTCCATTCTTTTCTTTTCTTTTCTTTTCTTTTCTTTTCTTTTCTTTTCTTTTCTTTTCTTTCTTTCTTTCTTTCTTTCTTTCTTTCTTTCTTTCTTTCTTTCTTTCTTTCTTTTTCTTTCTTTCTTTCTTTCTTTCATCTTTCCATCTTTTTTTTTTGTTGACAGATTCCAGATTCTCCCTCTGTTGCCCAGGCTGGCTGGAGTGGAGTGGCATGATCTTGGCTCACTGCAATCTCTGCCTCCCAAGTTCAAGCAATTCTCCTGCCTCAGCCTCCCGAGTAGCTGGGATTACAGGTGTCCACCACCATACCTGGCTAATTTTTATATTTTTAATAGAGACGGGGTTTCATCCTGTTGGCCAGGCTGGTCTTGAACTCCTGACCTCAGGTAGTTTGCTCGCCTCGGCCTCCCAAAGTGCTGAGATTATAGGTGTGAGCCACTATGCCTGGCCAAGATGCCATTCTTATGTCCTCATGTTATTTACAGTCTGATGAAAGAAACGGACCTGTATACAGATTATCGTGCAGTGGAGGGGAACAGGAGCTTTAAGAGAGGAAAGTATAGTGCTCATCGGTGGGCATGTGGGAGGGAGAGGTCTGCTCAACTGGGGGAGCCTGGAAAGGCAGCATCCTTTTAAGCTGGGTTTTGAAGGATGCATAAGATCCCAAGGGGATGGTGCATCTTGGGAAGGTATGCTCATATCTTTTTAACCCAGCTGCCTCTCCTTTGCTGGAGCTTCCTCCTTCCAGGGCATGATTTGGAAGGACAGAGTTTTACTGTTATTGAGGACACAGAGTTCTCTAAAGTGCATAGCCCAGGGGATGGAATGGAGCAGGGGATGTATGTATGTGTGGAAAAAATCCACCTTGGTTTGAATTCTTGTCTGGCCATTTCTGAAATACATGACCTTATGGGGACCCTTCCCTATGTGGTCATCTCTACAGGAGATTTCATATCCCTACCCAACTGGTGTCAGGTTGGCCAGGTGACTTTCAGCCAATGGGATGAAAGTGAGTGGAGGTGGTATGTGCCACTTTTTGGCAGACACTGTAAGAACCCTTGTGTGGTCACCTTTTCCCTTCCCTCTTTGTGACACTATGGTAATTTTTACTATTTCCTAAGTGTTGTGCTTCACCTTCCCTTTTTACCTTGGCCTTGAGACCATCAGGTTTCCATAAGGGAGTTGCTCCCTTTGCCTTCATCCTGGAATGAAGTGAGGAGGGGCAGAGCAAAAACAGAGCTACAAGGGTTTGTCAGATTGCAGAGGAATGAATGATTGCTATCTAAGCCACCGAGACCTTTGAAGGCACCTGTTAGCATCACATAGTGTAGCCTAAGATGACCAAAACAGCAAGGTGTGTTGCCTTTCTGTGTGTTAGTTTGCTCAACTGTAGAAGTGCATTGATAGTTGTAGTTACCTTATGGAGGTCTGGTGAAGATTAGGTGGAATTCCTAAGTAAAAGTGCAGTTTCTAGCCTATAGTGTGTCTACACTTCGCAAATGTCTAAGACTCTTCTTCCAGTTCCTTGTCTCTGCTGTACTTACTTCTACCCCAGGGCCTGTGCACATCCATGCTGTTCTCTTTGCCGGGGGTATTCTGTCTTTCCCTCGTTCCCTTCTTTACTCAAAATCCCATATGCAGACCTAGCTCCTCCAGGAGGTCAGCTAAGGATGGGCTTGGAGCTCAGGAAAGTCAGGTCATGAAAGGGATGAAAAAGGTTGCACTTCAACAACCAGAATCAGGAAATCTAGAAAACAGTTCCTTTAACATCAACATGCACACATATTTTGGGTTTTATGGTTTTGCATTGTTTTAATTTCAGTTTACATAGGAGATTGCAGAGGGGGCTCCCTCATCTTTTCTAAGCTTAAGGCTTCTGAAGATCTTTACCTGTTCCTGTCCACAGATAGCAGGGCTGGGAGAAAGGGATGGGGAGAGTCCCTCCTGCCACTGACCCAGGATGGATAAAAGTACCCCTTTCATAGAAGGAAGAAAATGGGAACAAAGGTGCTGCTGATCATCTGAGGTTGCCTGCATGGCAGTGAAGAACATGGACCTTTGGGTGAGGCTACCTGGATTTAATTGTTGGTTCTGCCATTTACCAGCTATATGAGCTTGGGTGTGTCATTCTTTACCACTGAGCCTCACTTTTTACATTCATAAAATGGGAATAATTATACCAGCTTGCTGGGTCATGGTGAGGACAACTAAGGCGAGTGCCCATAGTGAAGCCTATATAAAGATGGCTGATTGTTCGGTCATTCCTTATTTATTGAATGTCTGCTATGTGCCAAGTTCCATGAGAGGCACTGGAGATGCAGAGATGACCAGGACAGACTAGATCCTTGCTCTCAAGATTATGTATTTGTAAATAAACATATAATGAGTCAGATTGCAGCAAGGGATATGGAGAAAAAAGTCAGGGTAACTGTGGAAAGTAACGGTGGATCAGATTTTATTTTATTTGGACATAATTGACAAATAGATTGACCAATACCCAAATATAATTGGGTAATGTTTAAGGGGTACAACTTGATGCTGTAATATACATATATGTTGTGAAATGATCCTTATAGTCAAGCTATTTGACACGTTCATCGCCTCACATAATTGTCTTTTTTTGTGGTGAAACCTACCCTCTTAGCAAATTTCAAATATATATTATTAACTGTAATCATTATGCCATACATTAGATCTCCAGAACTCATCCATCTTGCTTAATTGAAACTTTGTACCCTTTGACCAACATCTCATTTCCCTGTCCCTCCAACCTCTGGCAACCAGTATTTTAGTCTATGTCTCTATGCTTTGACTCTTTTAGATTCCAAATATAGGTGAGGTCATACAGTATTTATCTTTCTGTGTCAGACAAATTCTGTTTTAGAAAGCGAATTCAGAAAAGACTTCTCTAAGGAGGTGACATTTGAACAGGGACCCATGCACCAACGCTACATAACAAATGGCCACAAACTGAAAGCAGCATATATTTATTATCTTACTGTGTCTGAGGGCCAAGAACCTAGGCTGTGTCCTCTGCTTCAGAATCTCCTCTAAAACCTATAGTCAAAGTATTGGTTGGGGCTGTAGCCTCACTTGAAACTCAACCGGGGAAGGATCCACTTCCAAACTCATGGGGTTGTTGGCAGAATTCAGTTCCTTGTGGGCTGTAAGACTGAGGGCCTCAGTTTCTTGCTGGCTATAAGATGGAAGCAGCCCTCACTGCCTGGCTGTTTGTTGGCCAGAGGCTACTGCACATGGCCCACCCCAGTGTGGCTGCTTGCTTCATCAAAGCCAGCAAGGAGAGTCTCCTAGCAAGATGGGCATTAATTACAGTCTTATATGATGTAGTCATGAGAGCAGCCTCCTGTCCCCTTTATTGTATTCTTTCCTCTGTGGGTTTTTTTTTTTTTTTTTGAGATGGAATAATCTTGCTGTGCCACTCAGGCTGGACTGCAGTGGTGCAATCACGGCTCACTGCAACCTCCACCTCCCGGGTTCAAGTGATTCTCCTGCCTCAGCCTCCTGAGTAACTGGGATTGCAGGCATGCACGACCACACTGGGCTAATTTTTTTGTATTTTTAGTAGACACAGGGTTTCACCATGCTGGCTAGGCTGGTCTCCAACTGCTGACCTCAAGTGATCTGCCTGCCTCAGCCTCCCAAAGTGCTGGGATTACAGGCATGAGTCACCATGCTGGGTCCTCTTTATTGTATTCTATTGATTAGAAGCAAGCTCTTGGTCCTGCCCATATGTAAGGGTGGAGGTTATACAAATGGGTAAATACTGAGAGGTGGGGGGCATTGGGAGCCCCTTTGAGTCTATCTGCCATGGCCTATGTGAGGTAGATGGAGTGAGCAGAGTGGAGACCTGACCTGCCAGGTAGAGGGAGACAGCAGGAGCAAAGGCCCTGAGGTGGGATCCTGCTTGATGTGTTCAAAGATCAGCAAGGAGCTGAATGAGAGAGGGGAGGATAACTCATGTAGGGCCTTGTAGGTAAGAGCTTGTCTTTTGGATTTTATTCTTGGGCGTGCTGAGGAGCTACTGGGTGGTTTCCCAGTCCATCTATTTATTTATGTTCCTAGATTTTAAGAGTTGTGGTGAAAGACACATAACCTAAAATTTGCCATTTTAACCTTTCTAAAGTGGACAATTCAGTGGCCTTTAGTCCATTCACAAGGTTGTATAAGCATCATCACTATCTGGTTCCAGAACATTTTCATTACCCTGAAAGGAAATCCCACAACTATTAGCAGTCACTCCCCCTTGCCTCCTTCCCGCAAAACCTAGGCAACCACTAATCAGCTTTCTGTCTCTATCAGTTTGACTATTCTGGGTATTTCATATAAATGGAATTGTACAATACATGCTTGGCTTCTTTCACTTAGCATGTTTTCAAGGTTCATCCATGTTGTCGCATGTATCAGTATTTCATTCTTTTTTTTTTTTGAGACAGAGTCTCGCTCTGTCGCCCAGGCTGGAGTGCAGTGGTGCGATCTCGGCTCACTGCAACCTCCGCCTCCTGGATTCACGCCATTCTCCTGCCTCAGCCTCCTGTGTAACTGGGACTACAGGCGCCTGCCACCACGCCCGGCTAATTTTTTATATTTTTAGTAGAGTTGGGGTTTCACCGTGTTAGCCAGGATGGTCTCGATCTCCTGAGCTCGTGATCCGCCTGCCTCAGCCTCCCAAAGCGCTGGGATTACAGGCGTGAGCCACCGCGCCCGGCCTATTTCATTCATTTTTATGGCTAAATAATATTTCATTGAATGTATATATCACATTTTACTTATCCACTCATCTGTTGATGGATATTGGAGTTTCCAACTTTTGGCCACTGTGAATAATGCTGCCACGAACATTGGTATACTAGTATCTGTTTGAACACTTGTTTTTAGTTCTTTTGGGTATATACCTACACACACATGTGTTGAATTGCTGGTAGGTTTAAGTCATTGAGAAACTGTCAACCATCTTTTAAAGTGGCTGCACCATTTTATATTTCTACCAGCAGTGTATAAAAGTTCCAGTTTTTCCACATCCTTGCCAATACTTGCTATTATCGTTTTTTTTTTAATTATAGCTATTCATAAGGGTGCAAAGTGAGATTTTACTGTGGTTTTGATTTGCATTTTTCTGATGAATGACATTGAGCATCTTTTCATGCGCTTGTTGGCCGTTTGCATATCTTCTTTGGAGAAATGTCTCTTCGGGTCCTCCGCCCATTAAAAAAATGGGGTTGTTTGTCTTTTAGTTGTTGAGTTGTAAGAGTTCTTCATATCGATTTATTTTTATTGAGCTATTATCACCGCTGTGGTTGTTTCCTCAGTAGGGCTCTGTCTGAATCCCCAGGCATCATGAATGTCCTCTGCTTAGAAGGAAAGGGACTATAAATGCCCCTTCTCTTGAGTAACCCACTCACCGACTTGTCTGCATCAACTTCCCTCCAGAGAGCAGAGCTAATAATCCCCTTTCTCACTGGCCTCAGCCCTCCTTGAAAATTACTCTGAAGGCTCCCTGGAGTCCTCTTACCTAAATGCCTCCCCCGGGGCTGCTTAGATGGCTTTGTGGGGGGCTCTCCAGCTGGGAGAAGGAGATTCTCTGGGGAAGAGCACAGGCTTCCAGCTCCCTAGACCTGTCTCACCTTCCACCCCTGGTGGGTTAGAGACTCTGGGGACTCTAGGATGAGCCCAGGGTTCTGCCTGCATCAGGCCTGTTTAGCCTCTGGCTTGTTGCTGAGGCTTAGGGACAAATTAGGAACTTAATCCAGCCAGGAAAACTTGTAAGCACTGTGCAAGGAGTCAGAGAGAGCCCTGTGGCTTCTGGTCTGTGGTCCGCCACCATGAGACTGGGGTCCCTGGACCTCATCTCTGAAATGGGCTTGCACCTGTGTTGGAAGGAGCCCGTTTGAACCTTTCAGATTCAGGATTTTGTGATGGGCTTAAAAAATATTTTATTTAGAATATCTCCTCCTCTAAGAAGCTCATATCCCTCTAATTGCATTAGGTGACTGCGCAGCTACCTGAACTTATTCTGTCTCAGGTGTATCTTTTTGGTTGTGATTACTTCTTTATACATCTCTTACTCTTATTTGATTGCCAGAGGGTGAAGCTGATCATTTCAGTTTTTCTTAGAATTCTTTGAGGATTTCCCATTGCCTTAGGGTGAAGACCAGATCCTTACCTGGATGGGTTTTCATTGTCTCTCTCCTTTTTCTTTTTTCTTAGATGGAGTTTTGTTCTTGTTGCCCAGGCTGGAGTGCAATGGCATGAACTCAGCTCACTGCAACCGCTATCTTCTGGGTTCAAACAGTTCTCCTGCCTTGGCCTCCTGAGTAGCTAGGATTACAGCCGCCCACCATGCCCGACTAATTTTTTTGTATTTTTAGTAGAGTTGGGGTTTCACCATGTTGGCCAGGCTGGTCTCGAATTCCTGACCTCAGTTGATCCACCCGCCTCGACCTCCCAAAGTGCTGGGATTACAGGCATGAGCCACCGCACCTGGCAATTGTCTCCTTTTTCACTGTCACTTTGCATGGCACTACCCGTTGATCTCTCTAGTCCAGCCAAAAGGGTTGCCTTTGGGTCCTTGGTGCGTCCTACCACAGGGCCTTTGCACATGCTGTTCTCATTACTTGGATGCCTTTTCTTTCCCTCCTCATCTTCTTTACTTCTTCTTTAGATTTTAGTGCAAGCTTCACTTCTTTAGGGAAGCCTTCCTGGATTCCCCAGATTAATTCAAATTCACGTTATCAGCTCTGTGGACCTCCCCTCAGAAGATACTATGTTACCTTCATTTTAGGATAAATAATTGTTTCACCTTATTTACAAAAGAATCTGAGAGCAGGGACTCTGAAAGCAGGGACTCTGAGAGCAGGGATCATGCCTGTTTGTCCTCCATTGTAGCCCCAGTGCCTCGCCCAGTTCCTGGAGGAGAGTAGGTGTTAAATAAACCTGTGTTGAATGGCAAACAAATCTCTGTGCTATCGGAGTCTAGGTCAGGGCCTGGCATGTAGCAGGCACAAAACACCTGGTTCCATTTTTGTTGAATACATGAATGGTTTCTCTGAAATGTGGTGGATCCAACCTCTGCTTCTGTGTGGCCTCAACTGCATGTGCACTGGGACAGACAGATCTGTGTTGGAATGCGGGCTCCTTTATCTTCCAGCTGTTACCTTGGGTGCATCTTTTCCTTCTTGGAGCCCTTTTCTTGGTCTGTTCACAGGGGATCTTCATTAGGAGGTGCTGAAGGGATTTCACGGCTAATGGTTTTGTAGGCCCTCTGTTAACTGAAGCCCTTTGCAAATGCCCTTGAAGAAATGCTGTTTCTCCCAACATCTTCCACGGAGATTGGTGCTCAGACCAAGGTGGGTGCAGAGCTGATGTCTCCTCCTCTACCAGTGGTGCTTGAAAAATGGTGGCATGAGGCTGAATTTCCCCATGCTCTGAATGACTGGGGAGAGTGGCCACAAATCTGAACAGCCCAGATGTAATTTCTGACTCTGGGCACCTGTGTCTTGCAGAAGGGAGGAAGGTGGACAGATTTAGCTGCAGGATGCACAGTGCGCTGCTTGGGTCCTGTCTCCCTGCTTTATGGGTGCAAAAGGTGAGGCATGGTCATACTACATGCAGCCCCTGCTCTCCCCAACTGTGGGTTGGAGAGCATCTGCCTCCTTGCAACTAATTTGTTTTCTCATATGGTTTCTTCTAGCTTAATTGTAAAATAATGCAAGTTTGTTGTAAAAACAAACCAAAACCAAACAGTCAAACAACATAGCAGTGTATAAAATAGAAGGTGTTGATACTTCCTGGCCCACTCAAATCCCATATTCTAGGGTAACCAGTGTAGAGTGTGCCAGTGAACACCACCAGCTCCCTGTCTCTATAATCCACATCAAATATGTCAGCAATTTCCTGATTGATACGGTTTGGCTCTGCGTCTCTACCCAAATCTCATCTTGAATTGAAAATCCCCGTGTATGAAGGGAGGGAGATGATTGGATCATAGGGGCGGTTTTCCCTATGCTATTCTCATGATAGTGAGTGAGTTCTCACAAGATCTAATGATTTTATAAGGGGGTCTTCCCCCTTCACTTTGAAGGTGACTGCTTCCCATTCTGCAATGATAGTAAATTTCCTGAGGCCTCCTCAGCCATGTGGAACTGTGAGTCAATTAAACTTCTTTATAAATTACCCAGTCTCATGTATTCCCTTATAGCAGTGTGAAAGTGGGCTAATACACTGACAGTAGAGAGATAGATGGCAATAACTATTAGTTACAAATTGTGTACTATGGGACAGGCATTATGCTTTAAGTCAGGGGTCCTTAACCTGCAGGCCATGGACCATGGCCTGTTAAGAACTGGGCCACACAGCAGGAAGTAAGCTGTGGGCAAGCCAGTGGAGATTCATCTTTATTTGCCGCCACCCCCCCATTACTTTCATTACTGCCTGAGCTCTGCCTCCTGTCAGATCAATGGTGGCATTAGATTCTTATAGGAGAGAAAACCCTATGTGAACTGTGCATGTGAGAATTCTGGGTTGCACGCTCCTCATGAAAATCTAATGCCTGATGATCTGCCACTATCTCCCATCACCCCCAGATGGGACTCTCTAGTTGCAGGAAAACAAGCTCAGGGCTTCCACTGATTCTACATTATAATAAGTTGGATAATTATTTCATTATATATCACAATGTAATATAGTGGAAATAAAGTACACAATAAATGAAGTACATTTGAATCATCCTGAAACCATCCCCACCCTCACTGTCCATGGAAAATTCTTCCACAAACTTGGTCTCAGGTGCCAAAAAGGTTAGGAACTGCTGCTCTAAGTTGTTAGAAGAATCAAATGAGTTAATTCAAGGCTGGTAGAATAGTTGTACCCATTTTACAAATGAGAAAACTGAGGCCCCCAAATTTTTAGTAGCTAGTCTAAGATCACACAGCTAATAAGTAAGAGAGTCAGGATTTGAATCTTCTACATGTTGTTTATATAATACAATATATATGCATGTGTACACACAAGTACATAGAGGCTTTACTGCAAAAATTGGGTTATATCATATTTTTGGTTCTGAAATTTTACTTAATAATACATTGTATTATTTAATAATACATAGTTTCATAATAATATGTTGTTTCACAATAATACATTGTTTCTTATCAGGTCAGTGTAAATAAATATACATTTAGCATTTAGTTGGTTTTTTTTTTTTTTTTTTTTTTTTAATTTGAGCTAGGATCTTGCTCTGTCACCCACGCTGGAGTGCAGTAGTGCGATCACGACTCACTACAGCCTCAAACTCCTGGGCACATGTGATCCTCCCACCTCCTGAGTAGCTAGGGCTACAGGCTATTTTTTTCTATTTTTTTGTAGAGATGAGGCCTTGTTATGTTGGCCAGGCTTGTCTTGAACAACTGGGCTCAAGTGATGCCCCCACCTCGGCCTCCCAAAATGCTGGGATTACAGGTGTGAGCCACCACACCTGGCCCACATTTAATTTTTCAAATATTTTAATATCTGAAGAGGATTCTAGAGTATGGATGGGCTGAAATTTATACCAATCCTTCCCAAAGGAAAAACATATTTATTTCTAATTTTTTGCTAAAAAACTTAGTTATGGTGACCATTATTTCACAGATGTTTTTAAAACATTAAAAACATTTTTATGCACGTGGTAACCATTCAAGTAGTTTTTCAGGGTGAATAATCCCTGTCTGTCTCCAGGTACCCTCAAAAGGGGAAGTCATTGTTAGCAGTTTTTTCTGAATTCTTCCAGGAGGAGTGTGTGCTTTCAATTGTGTGTGTGTGTGTAAATGTATATATATGTATGTATATAAACACTCACATACACACATATACACACACATTTTGTGGTAGACAAGTGATACTGTACACACTGTTCTGCAAACTTGCTTTTTCTGTTTAACTATATATGGAAAATTGTTATGCATCTGTCCATATAGATTTCCTGCATTCATATTTATGTAACTTTGAAGGGGTAATATACTCATTGTTCAAATACATATAATAAAATATATAAAGGTGTAATATACCTGAATATATTTGAAGGAATAGAGTGAAACGTTTCCTGCTTCCACTCCACCCCGCATAACTATGATTATTTTCGTATGATTATATTAGCTTTTTAATATCCTTCCAGAAATTTTTACATATATACATATATACAAGAAAATATATCTATAATCTTATTTTAAACTCAAGAATAATATAATCCATATATATTTCTACATTTTGCTTTTTTTCACTGAAACGTGTAGATATTTTCATTTCAGTACATAAACAGCTTCCCCATTCTTTCTTTTTTCCCTTCTTTTTAAACAACTGCATATAGTACAGCATTCCATTCTATAGATAAATTAAACTATGTCTCATTCTTTTAGAAATTATTATTTTAATTAATTAAATAAGCAATGCATGCAAGGTACAAAACTAGGAAGGTACAGGGGAATAGTCAGTGAAAAATCAAGTTCTCCCACTCCTGCCTCCAGGTCTTTCAGTTCTTCTATTTGGAGGCAACCACGGTTCCCAGTGTCATGTTATCCTTCTTGAGATGGTCCACACATTGTGACCAAGTATATGTGAGGTGCATATGAGCATGTACACACACACACACACACACACACACACACACACACACACACTCTTTTTCTTTCTTCATGGCTGTGTGGAATTCCACTGCCTGCATGGACCGTCGTTTCTGTAATCAGTCCTGTATGATGGGATATTGCATTATTTTCAGTCTTTTGCCACCTCAAGCCTTGAGGCTGTGATTAGCCTGCACAAACCCCTCTGTGCTCAGGTGTGGATGCATCTAGACACATCATCACTGAGTTCAAGAGCATGTGCACTGACAATTTGAGGCACATTGCTAAGTTTCCTTCCAAGGAGGTTGCCACATGCAGCTCTATAGGGGTTCCACAATACCCAGGTCTGGGCTGGCTAAGAAGAGCTGGGGAGCCAAGGGAAAGTCAGCCAAGTTTTTGGTCAGTCTTCCCCTTTGTGTCTGTCCTTCCAAGTTTTCATGACCAGCTTTCTCTAGGCAGTGTGCTTGTTCTTGAAACCCCATCAAATTGAGGCACTGTTAACAGGCTTTATTATCATTTAGTCCATCATGCCCCAAAGGCTCTACTCTGGGACACACTTCTGTAGATAAATATGGAGGGTAAAAATTGCCTCCCTAATCCAGTGTGCCTGAGCAATGCTGAGTTAAGTGATATTAAAACAGGTGTTTTGTTGCAGGACTTATCAGAGCCTTTAACATGCTAATGAACATTGGGATATCTAAGAGGTGTTAGAGTGTGTGGAGTTCATCACATTGCTTTGACCACACAAGGTCAGAAAGGCTGATATGGTTTCACTGCTGCATTGTATTGAAAGGGAGGCTAAAGCCCAGAGAGGAAAGGTGAGTTTTCCAAGGACACACAGCAGGGGTGGTGACCTGAATTTCCAGTCCCACTGTGGTAGTGACACCAATAAAGTGCTCCATGCTCCTCTGTGCTAGCAATTCTTAAATGTGGAGCATTAGGTATCTTGGTGCCCTAAAGGGATGCCAAGACATATGCAACACACCATCCTGGATTAGATCCACTTTAATGAAAAAACTGGTAAAGTCTAAATACAATCTGTAGTATTGTTAATTGCAGTGTACCAACGTCACCTTCTTAGTTTTGATAAATGCGCTGTGGTTATGTAAAATAGTAGCATTGGGGGATGCTGGGTGAAGGATGTCCAAGAACTCTTTGTATCATCTCTGCTACTCTTCTGTAAATCTAACATGATTTCAAAATAAAACCTGCATATATTATTCATGCCAAACCAAACACTGAATCATGTACTAGATTCAGCCATAGATAAACAGAAGCAGACTTAGAATATTTTAGACTACCATCTGCAAATACCTTTGGAAAAATACACAAACATGCTGATAATCTCATTTGCTTGTGGGGAGGGCAACTGGGTGGCTGGTGTGTCAAAGGAGAAAGCCTTTTCAGTGTATCCTTCAATTATTTTTGGATTTCGGCCGGGCGCGGTGGCTCACGCCTGTAATCCCAGCACTTTGGGAGGCCGAGGCGGGCGGATCACAAGGTCAGGAGATCGAGACCATCCTGGCTAATACGGTGAAACCCGTCTCTACTACAAATATAAAAAATTAGCCGGGCGTGGTGGCGGGCGCCTGTAGTCCCAGCTACTCTGGAGACTGAGGCAGGAGAATGGCGTGAACCCGGGAGTCGGAGCTTGCAGTGAGCCGAGCTCGCACCACTGCACTCCAGCCTGTGAGACAGAGCGAGACTCTGTCTCAAAAAAAAAAAAAAAAATTGGATTTCAAACTTTGTAAATGTATTATCTCTTCAACAATTAAATTTTCAAAATAATTTAAGGGAGAAAATCTTTAATGAAAAAATTTTGAGTTTGACCTTTTTTTTTTTTGGAAAATAGAGTGAACATGGTAGAAAAAATAATTGTTGCTGTTATTGTTTATTGGAGTTTCTCTGATGTGCCATAATAAGAGTTCATATCATGTGCTATGGTAAGCACAGAACAGAGATTATCTCATTGAATGTCCTCAACAATTCACGGACCCCATTTTTCAGAAGAAGCACCATTTGCCCAACATGTCACTTAGAAAGTGAGAGAGCTGAAATCTGAGGCTTGTTCTGCCTGGTTCTGTAACCTAAGTTTTTAATTGCTGTTTCTACTGTTAGGGTACAATTATACACACAGGAGGCTATAGGAGCAGACACAACAGGGCCTGTAGTGGATGCTGTTGGGGCCCCGCCCATATTACCCTGGTACGTGCCAGTTTCGTGCATGCCAGCTTGACTCCCACATTTCTGCATTTTTTTTCCTAAAGGAGCTCTCTTTGCCCACTGGGCTTGCTCTGCAGGTACTCAGGGCCAGCTGGAGGTGCTGGGGAATTACACCTCCACTTCCAGCAGCCTTCATCCAATGACTAATAGGAGTTGGTATATAAATACCCCAGCTACCTCCCCTCGTGTAGTAACTCTGAGGTGTAGTTCTACACCATAAAGGTAGAGAAGACTGCCCAGAGTAATAGAATCTTATTTATTTTTACGTTAAAAATGAGGTATCCTTTATATTCAGTGAAATTCTTTTTTTCTTTTTTTTAACGTTTATTTTAACTTGAAGGGTACATGTGCAGGTTTGTTATATAGTTAACTCATGTCATGGGGGTTTGCTTACAGATTATTTCATCTGCCAGGTAGTAAGCCTAGTATCCATTAGTTATTTTTCCTGGCCCTCTCCCTTTTCTCACCCTCTGATAGGCCCTAGTGTGTGTTGTTCCCTTCTATATGTCCATGTGTTCTCATCATGTAGTTCCCACCTAGAAGTGAGAACATGCGGTATTTTGTTTTCTGTTCCTGGATTAGTTTGCTAAGGATAGTGGCCTCCAGCTCCATCCATGTTCCTGCAGAGGATAGTATTCCATGGAGTATATGTACCATATTTTCTTTATCCAGTCTATTATTGTTGGGCATTTAGGTTGATTCCATGTCTTGGCTACTGTGAATAGTGCTGCAGTGAACATATGTGTGCATGTGACTTTATGATAGAAAAATTTATATTCCTTTGGGTATCTACCCAGTAATAGGACTGCTAGGTTGAATGGTAGTTCTGTTTTTAGGTCTTTGAGGAATCGCCACACTGTTTTCCACAATGGTTGAACTAATTTACACTCCCACCAGCAGTGTATAAGCATTCCTTTTTCTCGGCAGCCTCGCTAGCACCTGTTATTTTTTGACTGTTTAATAATAGCTATTCTGACGGGTGTGAGATGGTATCTCACTGTGGTTTTGATTTACATTTCTCTAGTGATCAGTGATGTTAAGCTATTTTTTTCATTTGCTTATTGGCCACATGTATGTCCTCTTTTGAAAAGTGTCTGTTATGTCCTTTGCCCACTTTTTAATGGGGTTGTTTATTTCATGTAAATTAGGTTAAGTTCCTTATAGATGCTGAATATTAGACCTTTGTCAGATGCATAGTTTGCAAAATTTTTCTCCCATCCTGTTGGCTGTCTGTTTACTCTGTTGATAGTTTCTTTTGCTTTGCAGAAGCTCTTTAGCTTAATTAGATCCCATTTGTCAAATTTTGCTTTTGTTTCAATTGCTTTTGGCATTTTTGTCATAAAAACTTTTACCATTCCTATGTCCTGAATGGTATTGCCTAGGTTGTCTTCCAGGGTTTTTATAGTTTTGGGTTTTACATTTAAGTCTTTAATCCATCTTGAGTTAATTGTTACATTATCTTTTATATTCAGTGAAATTCTTAATGTTAAGTACACAGTTATATCAGTTTGATAAAGGCATACACTTGTGCAACCCATATCTCTATTAAGAAACAAGGCATCACCACCACCACAGAAAACTTCATTGTGCCAGGTAATTCCTTCATTCCTAAAAGCAACCACTGATCTGATTTCTATTACCGTGAGTTAGTTTTTATTTTTCAAGAACTTTTTGTAAATGAAATCATACACAGCATGTAGCCTTTCTATTTGTTTTTTTTATCTAGCATAATGCTTCTGAGATTTCTTCATGCTGTAACATATGTTAATTGCTCTTTTTTTTTTTTTTTTTGAGACGGAGTCTCACTCTTTTCCCAGGCTGGAGTGCAGTGGCCCGATCTCGGCTCACTGCAACCTCTGCCTCCTGGGTTCATGCCGTTCTCCTGCCTCAGCCTCCTGAGTAGCTGGAGGAGTAGCTGGAGTAGGTACAGGCACCCGTCACCATGCCCGGCTAATTTTTTGTATTTTTAGTAGAGATGGGGTTTCACCGTGTTAGCCAGGACGGTCTCGATCTCCTGACCTCATGATCCGCCCACCTCAGCCTCCCAAAGTGGTGGGATTACAGGCATGAGCCACAGTGCCCAACTTCCTTTTTTTTTTTTGAGACAGGGTCTCACTTTGTCACCCAGGCTGGAGTTCAGTGGCATGATCTCAGCTCACTGCAGCCTCAACCTCCCTGGCTCAAGCCATTTTCTCACCTCAGCCTCCCAAATAGCTGGGACTACAGGCACAGGCCACCATGTCTGGCTAATTTTTGTATTTTTTTGTAGAGACAGGGTTTCATCATGTTGCCCATGCTAGTCCTGAATTCCTGGGCTCAAGCAATCCTTCTGCCTTGACCTCCCAAAGTGTTGGGACTACAAGCTTGAGCCATCATGCTGGACCACTCATTTCTTTTTTTATTGCTGAATGCTATGAATATACCTCAGTTTATCTGTTCTCCTGCAAATCTGACGTATTTGTAGGTTTTGCCTATAATGAGTAAAACAGCTATGAACATTTTTGCACAAGATTTTTTGAGGATATATTTTCATTTCTTTTAGGTAAATTTCTGAGAGCAAGATTAATGGGTCATATGACAAATTTGTTTAACTTTTTAATAAACTGCTAAAAATTTTCCAAAATGGTTGTACCATTTTGTACTTCCACTCACTATAGATGAGCATTCCAGTTCCTCCTCATCCCTGCCAACGTTCGGTGGTGTCAGTTCCTTCCACTTTAGCCATTCAGCTGTGTGTATAATGGTGAGTGGGAGTTTGATGGATGGGGAAATAAGATGCCTGGAGTGTCAGACAAATCCATTGAGTGTAATACCCAAACAACATTACAGTTACTAAATATGGGTAATTTATTTGACAGTTTCAAGGAACCACAAATCCCCCCTGTGGAGGGCCAACTCTAAACTCATTTCCCACTCCATGCTGGCAGTAGACAACATGTCCCTCATGCTCATGCTCTCAGGGGTAAGCAGGTTCTTTTTTGTTTTGTATTATTTTGGCTTTAAACATTTTTTCTTTCTGCTTCTATTGGACCAGGGGAGTCAGATTATTTACAAAGTGCAGGTAATTTTATGAGAAGTCAAACTCCTTCTGTGCTGAGCCATGACATGCATGCAGAATGAAAAGTCAGCTCCAACAGTGACCAATCCTGCATTCTGATCTTTCTGCGTGACTGAGCCTGCTTTGTGAAAGCTCATTCTCTGGCTTGAAGCCATCTATTGACTCTTGTCACCAGAAGAATAAAATGCATGCTCCACAAAGCCTTGAGTGCCGACCATCATGGACCTCTCCACCTCATCTCCACATGCTTCCTCTCTATGTTCCACTTCTGCTGACTTTGTTAGGTGTCTCAAATGCTCAAGAGCTAACTCCTGTCTCAGGCCTTTGCTGTTTTTCGTTTTTTGTTTCTGGGACAGGGTGTGATTCTGTCACCCAGGCTGGAGTGCACTTGCTGTTTCTTGTGTCTGTAATGTTCTTTTTCCTGCTCTCTCTCTTTTTAATTTTATTTTTGCTATTTACTTATTTATTAGAGACAGGGTCTCACTCTGTCACGTAGGTTGGAATGCAGTGGCGAGATCACAGTTCACTGCAGCCTCAACCTCCTGGGTTCAAATGATCCTCCCACCTTAGCCTCCTGAGTAGCTGGGACCACAGGAATGTGCCACCTGGCTAATTTACATTTTTTTTTTTTTTTGGTAGAGACAGGGTCTTGTCATGTTGTCCAGGCTGGTCTCGAACTCCTGGGCTCAAGCCATCCTTCCACCTCGGTCTTCCAAATGATGGGATTACAGACATGAGTCACTGTGCCCAACCTCTTCCTACTCTTTATGGATGAATTTCTTAACCTTGGGTCTCAGCTTTTCAGCATTTTTCCATCTCATCAGAGATGATCTTTCCTAACCACCAAATTAAAATGATTTATTTAAAGAGCTAGATGTCCAGTCTTTTTATTAAAAATGTGGAATCTATTAGAGTCATAGGCCTTTCCCCCCAATCAGTCTTGAGGAAGAAGAAGAAAGTGTCAGTGACTCCTCTTCTGATTTGACTCTACCGTTCCACACCTATTTCTGTATGGATAACACAGAGATGCTCACTGCAATGATTACCAGGCAGCCCATTGTCAGGTAAGGCAATCAATCAGAATGCCATGACTCTCTTTGAACGTTAGTTTCACAGGACATGAAAATAACGTCTTAAGAATTTCTCAGGACCCCTTTGCTCACAGTGTACTTTCAGTTCCAGTTGCTTAACAATTATAGATATTCACACGCATCTCCATATGGCACTGAAAAATGAGACTGCATGTTCCTAAGAATGTTCTCAATTTCACATCTTATCAAATCGAATTCTTTGAAGCTCATTTTGTGAAGCAGGAAGATATCTGCCCCATGGTGACTACAGGAGAGAGGAACTCTCCTCTTCATCGCCTTTTGAGCCTTCCTCTGTTAATTGTGAAGCCTTTTGCATTGTTAAGGCCAGGCCCTGGAATGTCATTGTTTGATATTATCACAAAAAAGTTGGTTCCTGGAGCTCAATTTTGCTGGCAGAAATGGAGACAGGGATGAACAAAAGCATTTTTAAATGTAATAAAAAGTGAACTAAGGATCACAGGATATGAATCCTGCAAAGAACTTGTACTCTGTAATCAGTTTATTTATTTTTTTGGTTGCTTACAGCCTTCTTTGTTTTTCCCATTACATAGGGGAAATCCATGGGGTCAGGACTATGTATGTCCCTTTTAGGGCTTCTATGCCCAGCACTCAGCATCAAACTTGGCACATAATAGGTGCTTAGCAAGCATTTGTTGAATGAATGAATGGATAGCTGGATGGATGTGTGGATGAATGGGTGGGTGGCTCATTGGTATGCTTCTTAGATGAGGAGTCCATAAAAATTCTTCCCTTAGTCAGAATATTCCTTGTGTCTTCTGTGGGTGGGGAGGGGTCTGTGGTTCTTAGCAAGTTCCAATTTTTTGCCAAAGAAGGCACATTCACACACATGTAACTTCTCAGCTTCTCCAATTTTCCCGTCTCTAGCTCCCACATGACCAAGTCTACCTAGTACAGAGAAAAACATCCCCTAGCACCATGTTGGCTGATGGTGACACCTCAGGGCTCCAGTTTCTACATTCTGTGTCCCAGGATGTTGCAATCACAGCTATGCAGAATCACTTGAAAAGAATCAAGTGACCTCCCCTTTTCATAGCCGGAAGCCTGGAGTTCAAATTTACCCTAGTTTTGCTCCATTTCAAGGTGACCAAGACCCCACTGGGATGCAGACACCATCCAAGTCCCTGTCCTGTCCTGGGTGGGCCCTTTAAAAAACTCTTGGAGGAATCTGACTGCCAGAGTCCAGGCCCATTTAAGGGACAACCACAGACAAAGTGGTTTTAAACAGTATTTATTAGGGGATCCTAGGTAAAGTTGTCAGATTTAGCAAAAACAAAGGAACAAATGAAAACGAAAACCACAAGCTCAGTTAAATTTGAGTTTCAAATAAACATGGAGAATTTTTTCAGCATGAGTATATTCCAAATATTGCATAGGACATAGTCATACTAAATGCTATTCCTTGTTTATCTGAAATTCAAATTTGACTGGGTGTCATGTATTTTAACTGGCAACCCTACCTCCTCCAGCTCTCAGTAGCCACAGCAGAAAGCAAGGAGGCAGCTTTGAGGATGAAGGTCAGGGTCACAACTCCTAGTTACCTATTTTGTATTTTGAAGTTCCTCCCTTGACTTACTTTGTAAAAAGGGCTCCATTGATTTTCTTTTTTTAATTCTTGACCTAAACCTGAAAACCTCAAGTTTGACCTTCACATACAAGAAAGATGCCCCATGCAGTGGGCATTTGTCCAACTTGGGGTGTGGCTTTTCTCTCGTGTGGGTCTCAGGCTAGGTGGTAAGCAGAGAAAAGAGATCATGATGGTGAGGGGGTGGTGTTGGGCATGGTGGCTCACATCTGCAATCACAGCACTTTAGGAGGCTGAGATGGGAGGATCACTTGAGCCCAACCAGGAGTTTGAGACCAGCCTGGGCAACACAGTGAGACCCCATCTCTACAAAAAAAAAAATTATTAGCTGGGCATGGTGCTATGCACCTACAGTCTTAGCTACTAGGAAGGCTGAGGTGGGAGGATCCCTTGAGTCCAGGAGTTTGAGGCTGCAGTGAGCTATGATTAGGCCACTGCACTCCAGCATGGGTAACAGAGTGAGACCTTGTTAAAAAAAAAAAAAAAGTGAGCAAGAAACAAGCAAGCAAGCAAGCAAGAAAGAAAGAAAAAGAAAGAGAAAAAGAAAAGTTCACGGAGATCAAGTACTTGGCATTTCCAGGCACCAACACCCTGAGGCAATCACATCCAGCAGCCTCTCTGGTAAGGTGGGAATGGAAGTTTGAAGAGAGTACTGGAAGAGGAGGAGGTTGGTGCTTTCAGAGGGACTCCAAAGACACAAAGCCAGGGCCTGAGGGTCCCTGAAACTTGGGTTAGAAATACATGTTTTAGGTTGGGTTCCACCAGAAGCAGACCCTGAGACAATTACTTTAGTGCAGGTAATTTACTAGAGGAGATGATCCACAGGAGGGGAGTGGGAAGTTAGCCAGGGAAGAAAAGGACCCAATGCAGGTGTATGAATGAGCAGGTTACATGGTGGGCAATGAGCTCAGTCCTGCTGGGGACCTCTGGGAGGCTGTGTAGGGCATACCTCATACCTTTAGTTGTTTCATCCAAGACGTGAGGGAGCTGAGGTATTTATTCACCACCTCCTGTCAGCCATTGGTTGAGGGCTGGGGGGTGGGGTGAATAGTGAACTGCCCCTGACACTTTCTATATGTCCTGTATGTGAGCTGATCATATCCGGTGGCCAGAGACAGCAGACAGTCACAGGTACTTGCAATAGGAAGCTGTCAGGTCAGTGGTTGCCAAGGGGATGTGGGTGGGATACTGACAGTGCCTGCTGCAGTAGCAGCAGCAGCAATAGTGGTTACTTCTGATCAAGCACCATGTACTATGTTCTCTGCTTGGAGCTTCATGTGCAGTTGTTTAAATTCTCACTGACTCTGGGAGGGAGGGACTAGCATTCTCTTTAGTTTACAGAGAGGTGAAGTCACCTTCCTATGGTCACACAGTTAGGAAAGGAAGCATCTGTTTTGCAAACTCAAGTCGTTTTGACCCCAAAGGCCAGAATCTATCTATGCTTTGCTGAAGCTGTGATTTTTTTTTCAGACTCTCAGGGTAAAGAAGGAAATGAGAAATTGCAAGACAGAGTATTTCTTAGGCAATGGCTGAGAATGGCAACTCACCACATGCCTTTGAATAAGACGTGATTATTATTAACCCATATTCTATCAAAGAAGAAACTGAGGCTCAGAGAGGCAACTTACTTGCCAAAGGTCACTCTGCTGGTAAGTGGCCCAGCTGGACTTGGGCCCCAGGTTTCTTTGGGTTTTAACCACTCTTTTTGACTGCCTCAGTTTCCCCATCTGTCATAGGAGATGGTTGAAAACATGGTATCTGAGTCTCTGGTATAGGTTGAATTGTGTCCCACAAAAGAGATGGTGAAGTTCTAATCCCCGGTATCTCAGAATGCGATATTATTTGGAAACAGGGTAATTGCAGATATAATTAGATAAGAAGGGGGCGTACTGGCGTAGGGTGGACCCTTAATCCAATATGACTGGTGTCTTCATAAGAAGAAGGAAGATAACGTGAAGACAGACACACAGGGGGAAGGTCACATGATGACGGAGGCAGAGATTAGAGAGATGCAGCTGCAAGCTAAGGAGTGCTGAAGATTGACGGCCACTACCGGAAGCTGGAAGAGGCAAGGGAGAATTCTCCCATACAGGCTTCAGAGGGAGCATGGCCCTCCTGCACCTGGAGCTTAGACTCTGAGCCTCCAGAACTATGAGAGAATACATTTCTGTGTTTTAAGGCTTCCAGTTTGGGGTACTTTTTGTTTGTTTGTTTTGAGATAGGGTCTCGCTCTGTTGCCCATGCTGGAATGCAGTGGTGCAATCACGGCTCATTGCAGCCTTGACTCCTGGGCTCAAGCAATCCTCCCACTTCAGCCTCCCGAGTAGCTGGGACTACAGGAACATGCCATTGGCCTGGGTAATTTTTGTATTATCATTATTATTATTTTGTAGAGAAGGTTTTTCACTATGTTGCCCAGGCTTGTATTGAGCTCCTGAGCTCAAGCGACCTTTTCTGCCTCAGCCTCCCAAAGTGTTGGGATTACAGGTGTAAGCCATTATGACTGGTCCGGGGCATTTATTATTATGGTGACCCGAGGAACCTAATGGAGTCTCCTTCGAGCACCACGATGAACATAGAGTGACTGCCGTTCCCCACTCTGCTCACCCCAAGAAGCACAGTCGAGGGACCCTGTTGTGTGGATTTCTCATGGGTGATAAAGAGAAACCATATCATTATAAGAAAGTGAAGTTAAAATTGTCACTATTTTCATCCTGTTCTAAATTATATATTAATGCAGACTACCTCAATAGAGGCTCAAATACCCCCCATTTTAATGCCATATATGTATATATATATATATATATATATATTTTTTTTTTTTTTTTTTGAGATGAGGTCTTGCTCTGTTGCCCAGGCTAGATTTCAGCTCACTGCAACCTCCGCCTCCCAGGTTCAAGTGATTCTCCTGTCTCAGCCTCCCCTGGTAGCTGGGATTACAGGTGCACATTACCACGTCCAACTAATTTTTGTATTCTTTAAGTAGATATGGGGGTTTCACCATGTTGGCCAGGCTGGTCTCGAACTCCTGACCTCAAGTGATCCACCCACCTCGGCCTCCCAAAGTGCTGGGATTACTGGCATGAGCCGCCATAACTGGTCTTAATGCCATATTCTATTTTTAATAGAAATGTGTACAAAACAAGGAAATATCTTGCTCAATCATTAAAAGAGCTGTCTGTAAAACCACAGAGAGAGAGAGACCCCTTTTCATCTCCTTATCATACGATCTCCCCAGAGTTTGTTTAGCTGGTCTTATTTCTTACATTTCTTACATTTAAGTTAGGTGGTGTCTTGTCTTAGTTTGCGATCCCCGGCAAATGGGGTCTGAGAGGAGGGTTTGGATGCAGGAGGGTTGGTTGGAAGGAGATGCAGGAAGCAGGAGTGAGGGAGCGGGGAGATGAGGAAGAAAAGCAGGCCACCATATGGGGGGCATGTGTAGCTGGTTATCACTGGGGGAAACTGGGACTCTAGCCTGCAACACATCCTCTGAGGAGCCCCGCAGAATGTGCCTCAGAATTGCTCCCTTGAGGGATGGGGGCATTTGTCCCTCAACTCCTGAACCCCTAGCAGAGGGCCAGCCCTGGGGACGTGAGTGCCTTGTACTTGTTGGCTGCACCTAGTGGAGAACTAAGCTGCTTCTGCATCTTTGGAGATGTCCCTAAGGCAGAAAAGTGGAGTCGTTTCCTGGCTGCTGCTTGCGAAGAGTGTTACTAGTCTGCATGGAAGTGTGTGCCACAGCGATGCAGAAATCGGAGGTGGTTCAAGGCCGTGAAATGCAGGCAAACAATTTCCCATTAGTCATAAATGCTGAGGGTGTCAACAGGCTCAGTGTGGAATCATGATTAGCACTGGAGCCATGCTGTCTGGGCTGGAATTTCAGCACAGTTCTGTGTCATTGGAGCGCCCCTCTGAATTTCAGTTTCCTTATCTGTGCAATGAGAACAACCACAGTGCTTCCATCCTGGGATGAATATTAGTTGGAGTAAGACACAGGAAGCTCTCGGCACAGCCAGAAGCACAGAGGAGGTGCTCGGTGAGCATCCCCTCTCGTCCCTATTGTCCAGACACGGTCTTTGAATTCTGATGACCTGGTGGTGGGAGAAAGGGGCAGAGGTGGATATTCTTTCCTGGACAGTCAGGAAAGTTAAGAAACAAAGGAGAGAAGATAAAAGGCAATTGTAGCTCCAGCCAAGTGGACCAGGAAGGACTTTGCCACTTTAGGGACTTAGCCTGGCTCATGTTATTGATTTGCTTGGAGTATGGGGTACCCTCCCTGAGGCCCCTCTTCCTCTTCCTCCCCAAGTCTTCACCTACCTCGCCTGCCCCAGAGCAGCACCTCCACCAATTCTCCTCATTAACCGTAAACACAAATCCTGTTATCTTCCCCTCTCGCAGCACTTGCCCCTTGATTTAAGCCACATCCCTTCCCCTTTCATCAGCCCTTGGCCCCTCCTGTCGTACATCTTCTCGTTTATCTCCTTCCCCGTGGTCTCCAGCTTTCCCTGCACCGATCGATGCATGAGGGGAGATGGCAGGCGGCCCGCCAGGCCTTCGGAGCCCGCTCTTCTTCTGGGGAGCCTGGGCCAGTATTTCTTGTTAAACTTCTGTCTGGCTGTGTTCGGTTTCTCATTAGCTTTCTGCCGGGGTGCGGTAGTATTTCTTGCTCCTCAGCGGCACAGCCTGGAGATGCCTAGTAATTCTTAAAGGGCGAGGTGGAGACGTGTATCTTTAGAGCATTCTGGGTTCCATCTGGCTGTGGCTTGGAAAGGGGAAGCATGAAGAAGTGTCCCTTGGTTGTCACAGGTGGATGGGTCTTGGCGGGTCCCGCAGTCACACTGTGACTTTGCTCAGCACCGTGGGTTAGCACCTGTACCTGTGGCTGTCATCACCACCTTATGTCAATTTTGCAACCCAGTCATTGAATTGACTCTGACCTGGGTTCCCCAGAGCCAGCTTCCTCCCCAATTCGTCGCTGGAAAGACTTAGATGTGGGCCTGATTCAGGTTCCTCGCCTGTGAAATGAGATGCATGCTCTCTCTCTCTCTTTCTCTCACCTTATCCCTTTTCTTTATTTATTTAACAAACACAAAACATGTAAATAGTGTTCATTATGTCCCAGACAATCTTCTGAGAACTTGACAAACATTAACACATTTAAATTCTCCTAGTCACCGTATGATAAAGAGACAACCATTGTCTCTGTTTCACAGATGAGATACTGTGACACAGAGAAGGTAAGCAACTCGCCCAAGGTGGCACAGCTAGTAAGCAGAAGAGCCGGGATTTGAACCCAGGTAGTTTGGCTCCTGAGCATATACTCTCTTAAGAGATGGTTTCTTTTCATGGTCTTGTGGTCTCCTTAGAGTCCAAAATGCTGATATAGGCGATTTTCATTATTCATGCTAGTTATGCTCTATATATAAAGTTGCAAGCACTGAATTAGTGAAAACTGACGCATTGCTTCTAGATTGTCAACTGATCAATACATAACCAAGTTTTATGTGTGTTTCTGTTTAAAGATACCTTATTTAATATTTATCGTTGGGTTATTAAACATTGAACTCACAGCCAGAAGCACTGTAACTCATGCCTGAGTGAAGCTAACCGAATGCAGCCATTTTCTCTGTAAGGCACATCAGAACCTTCTCAGGTTTAGGAACACGAGACAGCGCTTCAACACTGTGCTTGGGCCCTTTTAAAGAGCAAAATCACCAAAAGCAACAAAGTGAAAAAGATGGAACTAAAAAGACTGCGAAAAGGACTAGCTAACAGTATGAGAGCTGAAATAAGACAGCCTTGCTCAGCCGCAGACGAAAACACTTGTATCAGGGACTCGTATGTTTCACTACACTGCCAGCACTCATGAAAGAGTTGTGGGTATTGATTTTGGGGTTAGAAATAAATTTTATCAAGTAGGTGAATTTGCAAAAACAGAACCCCTGAATAATGATCAACTCTATCTTGCATTGTTATTTCCCTGCTCAAACACCTTGTGAGGCTCCCTCCTGCCTATTATATTAACTATAAACTTCACCTGCCTGCCTTTCAAAGACTTTGATAATCTGACCCCATGCCATCTATTAAAATTTATTTCTGGCTGGCTACAGTGGCTCACACCTGTAATCCCAGCACTTGCTTGAGTCCAGGAACTTGAGACCAGCCTGAGCAACACAGTGTGACTCCATCTCTACAAAAAATAAAAATTAGCTGGGCATGGTGGAGTGTGCTCGTAGTCCCAGCTACTAGGGAGGCTGAGATGGGAGGATCACTGGAGCTCAGGAGTTCGAGGCTGCAGTGAACTATGATTGTGCCACTGCACTCTAGCCTGGGCAACAGAGCAAGACTCTGTTGCAAACAAACAAACAAAACCAAACAAAACCCCCTTATTTCCCATTACTCCTGAAAGGGCCATTTTCTTTTCCTGTGGGTTGGCAGATCGTCTTCCTCACTGTTCTACTGAGAACCAGCTCTGTCGTACCTCCAAGCCTTTTCTCCTACAATTTCTCCCCAGGCATGCTCTCCCTTCCCAACTTATCTACCAAGTCCTAGAGTTTAAAGGTTGGATCAAAGTTCTCCTTATTTATTTCAAATTTTTCAAAATTAATTACTTAATTATTATTTTCTTTAAGAGACAGACTCTCGCTATGTTCCCCAGGCTGGAATGTTGTGGCTATTCACAGGCATCATCATGGTTTATTGCAGCCTCAATCTCCTGGCCTCAAGTGATTGTCTGGCCTCTGCCTCCTGGGTAGCTGAGACTACAGCCGTGCACCACTGTGCCTGGTTTAAAGTTCTTTGTGCAGCTGATTTATCCCTTCTTGGATGCCGTAGACTCATATCATAGTGGAGGTTAATTTAAAATAAAATGTCTTTTTGTGGTTCTCTGACAGGTAGCCCACCTGGGAGGAATTTTCCAGAGATCACTGTCTGATGACCCTGTCTTGGAATTGGAGCCATGCAAGTTACACTGACCACGTTTGGGTTGGGATATTGAGGAGGTTATGGTTAAAAGCATACGATGGGAGATCATATTGTACTTGCGAGTGAGACCCGGCTGGAGGAATGTTTTAATTCTTCGGAAATACCAAGTGGTCTCTGTAAGTAACATAGGGTGGTTAGCCAAGCATAATGAGACCATTGAGGCATCCCAGCAAGAATTGATCTGTTTAGAGAAGAGATGTTGCTGCTGCTTCTTTTTTTTTAACATTTTATTTTTAATTTTGCTGCCTATGACAAGCTGCTTCTAACAGCCTCAGGGCGAGGGGCCCATGAGTGCAAGGACAGGAGAGGGGTCTGCGAGTTCTACTTGGGTAGGGCTTGGGGCATCATAGGAGTGCAGGGATCTCCTCTCTGGGATCCAGTTTAACCCTGATGACATCCCCCATGCAGCAAATAACTCCAGGTAACCGGCAGCAGCTGGTCCACATCATAGTCTGTGAGAGATTGCTCATGTCTTGCCTGTTTTCCTACCTCTTCATTCTAAGGAAAAGGACCCACAATCTGAGTGCCCTGCTCTGGGACATAGGTGGGGAACAGGCAGGGATGGGAGGTGGGGACCACTTTCTTCTGCACCCATTAAATATATGCCTTTTTTTTTTTGAGACAGGGCCTCCCTCTGTCACCCAGACTGGAGGGCAGTGGTGCAATCGTGGCTCACTGCTGCCTCAGTCTCCAGATGGCTCAAGCCATCCTCCCCCATCAGCTGTCAAAATACCTGGATTTACAGGTGCATGCCACCATGCCCAGCTAATTTTTTCTATTTTTTTTTTTTTTGTAGAGATGGGTTTTCACTATTTTTCCCAGGCTAGTCTCCAACTTCTGGGCTCAAGCGATCCACCCGCCTTGGCCTCCTAAGTCCTAGGATTATAGGTATGAGCCACTGCGCCTGGCCTTTTTGCCTTTTGAAAGTATCTGTTGTTAACAATATTCAATTGGGTTGAATCTTGCTAGGGACCAAGGTGAATTTGCATAAATTAGTCTATGCCAATTTGCATACTATCAGCAAATTTGTAGTGTACAGAATTTTGGAAATAGAAGGAAGCTAAGAGGGGTGTCAAATGCAGCTTCTTCTTTTTTTACCTGAAAAGATACCAAAGTCCAGCTCAGGGAAGGTCACACAGCTAATTCTTATCATGGGGAGACAGACCCAGGGACATCATGGTGCCTCCGAGATTAGTACGGCCCCTCAAACATCCCCATTTTCTGTCCCTAGCCCATTGGAACCCCTTAAAGTTGGTCCCTCGAGCTCGGGTGATAGCACACATGATGGAAAGTAGGCAGGCTTGCCATTGAAGCTCCAACCTAGCTCTGCACCACATCAGCTGTGTGACCTTGAGCAAATCACTTAACCACTCTGAGCATGGCATTTGTAAATGTCAAGGTAGCAACGCCCTCTTTACTGCCCTGTTGTGACAAATAAGATATATTCCATAAATATGATCCATGTAGTATTAAACTACCATTTACTGAGTCTCCCCTATGGAAAGCACTTAGTAGGTGCTCAAAAACTCCTAGTCCTTTCTTCCCCTCTTTCAATGTGTCACTGCATCTGGGTAATTTATACCCATTTCCTGTTTTCCTTTGAGAAGTGCATGTCATGCTCTGCACAAAAGTGACTCTTAATGGTGGCATTTCAAGCATCATGGCAGAGTGCTGAGACGCTGATGAAGATATTTTAGGCTGGGGTGCATGGGGAGCACTCTCAGGGCCTCTCATGCGCATCCTGAGCCCTTCCTGTGAACCAGACTGACCCTGGCTTCTGTGCCATTTTCATTCCAGCCAAGAATGTTCTGAAATGAAGCCAATATCTGAAGGATCTAGGATGCCTGTTCCCCTCTCTTATGCTGTCTCGGGGGATGATTTAGCCACCAAGAATTTTCCTTATGGTTGCAAGATGATTAAAAAAAACCACACACTCAGATGCTTTTCGGAGGTTGACATTTTTCACAGCCCCTCTTCCTCCTCCATAGATTTCCTGGAGGTTCCATCCAGCTCTGGCTCTAGCTGGCTCCTTGACTCTGGACAAGTCACTTCATCTCTCCAAGCCTTGTCTATAAAGTAGGGATAATACTCCTTCCCACTTCAGAGAGTCATTCGGGGATTAAACTGTGACATGTATGTAGCCAAGGGTCCAGCACACACTGACAACTCACCAAATATTAGCCATCACTCCAAACTAAGAAGGCAGGATTCCGGCTGGGCACGGTGGCTCACGCCTGTAATCCCAGCACTTTGGAAGGCTGACGCAGGTGGATCATGAGGTCAAGAGATTGAGACCATCCTGGCCAACATGGTGAAACCCCGTCTCTACTAAAAATACAAAAATTAGCTGGGCGTGGTGGTGCGTGCCTGTAGTCCCAGTTACAGGCTGGGAGGCTGAGGCAGGAGAATCACTTGAACCTGGGAGGCGGAGGTTTCAGTGAGCCAAGATTGTGCCATTGCACTCCAGCCTGGCGACAGAGTGAGACAGAGTGAGACTCCGTTAAAAAAATAATAATAATAAATAAGAAAAGAAGGCAAGATTCCATTAACTTCCAGAAGGTAGACTGTCTTAAATATTGGGCAATTCCCTTTCCTCCTCTCGGCCTCAGCTTTCCCATCTGAAAAATGGGAGTAGGACAAGGGAACTGGATCGCAGGCATTGACATAACTTTCTGTGGTTATTAAATAGGGCCCCACAAAGACAGTGTCGGGGACCAAGGAGCTCAGGCCGCCTGCCCCACCTTTGCCACCTGCAAGACTGTATACTCCAGCCAGTAAGGACCTCACTGTTCTCACTCACTAGTGTGTCCTCAGTCCCAGCCCAGGGACTCTGGCTAGGGGCTGACACTTAATAAATCCATGTGAATGGATGCAGGAACTCTGCTCCGATCTGTTCTATCTGCTTAGTTTTTGCATACAATTTTGTTTGAACAAAGAACCACGTGGTTTATCTATCAGTCAGGGCTCAGCAGGAAACACATGGCACATATATAATTGGGATAATTTGAGGAGAGTTTAGTAAAGGAATTGTTTACAAAGGTGTGGGCAGGGTGTAGGGAACCCACACAGGAGGGTATAACTGGGGTCTAGTGTCAGCGGGCGCCATCATCATTCCTAGGCCAGATGAGGGAAGGTTAAGAGTTAATGGCCGGGCGCAGTGGCTCAAGCCTGTAATCCCAGCACTTTGGGAGGTCGAGGAGGGCGGATCACAAAGTCAGGAGATCGAGACCATCCTGGCTAACATGGTGAAACCCCGTCTCTACCAAAAATACAAAAAATTAGCCGGGCATGGTGGCGGGCGCCTGTAGTCCCAGCTACTCGGGAGGCTGAGGCAGGAGAATGGCGTGAACCCGGGAGGCGGAGCTTGCAGTGAGCCGAGATCGCGCCACTGCACTTCAGCCCGTGTGACAGAGCGAGACTCCGTCTCAGAGAAAAAAAAAAAAAAAAAAAAGAGTTAAGGGGAGAAGGTGACGAGGTAGACAAGATCCTTGGCTGAGACCTTCAGTGAAGGGATGCAGCCAATCCTCAGAGACCCTGGCAGGCAGGAGCAGGGGGAATAAGTACGCTGACTCCATCTCCCCTTCCCCTGATTTCCTTCTGGGCCTCCAGTTGGCAGAACCAAATCGGAAGGCGGAGGGCAAGACAGTCCATTGAAGTCCACATGGGGAGAAGGGTGGAGAGGCAATGTGGGGGTTGCGGGGAGCACCAAAAGAAGATGCCCGACAGAGATGGCTAGCACCCCCGCCCCCACCGCACAACACACTCACGACACACTCACGACACACTCACGACACACTCACGACACACTCACAACACAGGACCAGAGAGCAGATCTCTACTTTCTAAGGATCTTTTCAGGTCTGACCTGCAGATTCTTCCATTTTAAATCAAGGCTAAAATATATTGAGGCTTACTGAGGTCTAGTGGCAGCTCGGAGTTATCAGTGGGTTGGGTAGTGCTTGCTGCTCTGGAACTAATGGCACAATTTTATTGCATTTAGGTCAAATTGTGCCTCAATTCCAATGTCGTATTTTTGGGTCATGGGTCTCCTCTCTCTTTCTTTTCTAAATGTGCCCGAGTATTCCTCCTGGTCCTTTGGGATGCTGACAGAGGAGCAGATATGCAGCATCTCTGCCATGATATAAGGGCTGCTGCAGTGCACAACTGTCTCCCAAGAAGGTACCGCAGGGGTGTAAAACTTCTCCCTGCATTGTCAACGCTGGTCTCCATGGATGTCTGCTGGCTTTTTCAAAAATTCTTGTAGAACAGTGCTTCTCATATGGTGATTTTGTCCCCCTTGCCCCAGGGGGACCTTTGGCCATGTCTTGAGATGTTTTTGGTTGCCGTGATTGAGGAGGTGCTACCAGCGTCTGCTGGGCAGAGACCAGGGATGCTGCTCCACATCCCACAATGCACAGGACAATCTTCTCTACAGCAATGAATTATCCAGTTCACAATCTCAATAGCACCAATATTGAGAAACCCTGTTGAAGATGGAGACTATCCACGGGGCATTGATCTTGGGGTCTCCCCCTTCCTGAATACTTGAAGTCCCTCGGCAGACTCTTGGATACCTCCAGCAATGGGGAGCTCACCACCTGTTTTGAAGCCAGGCAGGTTTGGGCTCTTCTTGTAGCTGTGTGACTCTGGATTTTCCCATAGGTGGGAGTGGATCCACCACCTTGAGCTTCAGTTTCCTCCAGTGCCATGGGATTAGCAGCAGCCCTGCCTCACAGATTGCGTGAGGATGAAATGAGATGATGCTCCTGAGTTGGCTGGTGCAGTGCACGGTACACAGAGAGTGCTCAATAAATGTTCCCTGCTGTGAATGCCCTGTCCTGGTTCACTCGCCTACATTGCGGAGCAGAGGAACTTCAGGGTTTCTTTTGTCTCCAAAATTTCAGGATTCTAGAGAGATGAAGCACTGAGTGAAGAATAATGTGTAGGTCTTTGGGAGAACTTTCCCCTTAGGGGTTGTTCCTCTGCAATGTTTGCTCATGAACATTTTGGGTGAATCATCTCTGTGGGTGTTGGAAGGAGACCTTCTAGCATAGTTTTATGATAGTCTGTGAAGGGAAAATCGGAATTCCTAAAGAAGGAAGCAGTGGGATGTCAGTTAAGTTGGGAAGCTGATGGCTCTCAGGGCCACCATTCATCACATTTCATTGAGGGGCAGCTCTACTTGGCTGCCAAAGGGTGGGCCTGGGACCCAGCAGGGCCTAGCTTGGGAGACTGGGGTTGGTGGGATGCGAGAGGGGGAATGGCCATCCCAGATGTGTCCAAACAGCTGGGTCCAGAGAGCCCTGTACCCCTGGAGGAATTGCTCAGCACTCTCTATCTGCTCCCCCAAATGCATAACTCTGGAGAGTGTAGGGCTTGGAGAAGAAGTATGCGTGGGGCTCAGGCCCAAGTCCATGGACTTTGAGAAATGACGCTTCCCTTCATTCTCATAATTGCTTAAAGCTCTCCTTCTGTGCAGGCTCCATGCTCATTCTCTCATCTGGTTCTATAATTATCCCATTTAGTGGATGAAAAGATTAAGGCCCAGAGAGGTGATGCCCCTTTCTGAGGTCACACGAATGAGAAGGGGCATGGCTGCGACTCATTCCAGGTGGCCGGGCTCCAGAGCCTGCTCCTGTGTCTCCCGCTCTGCTGTGCTGGTTTCTCCTGCAGAGCCTGCCTGTGGCTTGGGTATCAGCATGCACCTCAGCCCTCCTCCATCCATTTCCCCTTAGCCTGGAATCCTCCAATCTACGCGAGAAACCAAATGTTAACAACATTTAATCTCGCCTGGAGATTAGTGATAATTTGTGGCCTCACCAAGGTGGGGAGAGTTATTATTCAAAGTAGATATAAAGTCAGGAATGTAAGATACAAGGCAGTGTGACCAAGGGCATGGAACCTGTGGAGCAGAGGAACATGGCGGGGATGGACAGGCCAGGGGGCCCAGACCTGTGGAAAGGAGTTACTCAACACTTCACATTTACCTGCTATTCCCTAGGACAGGGACCTGTGGGTTTTTGAGGGGCCAGATGGAGGAATGTGGGAAGTGTGGGTTTATGGGGAGGATGTGTTCCCTGAGGAGACAAGAGAACAATGAGAGATGAGAGAGAGAATCCAGGAAGAGATGGAAGAAGGGGAGTAAAGAGGGGAGGGTGAGGGGGAAAAGGAACAGAGGGAAGAGATGATAAATAAAGGTGACCATGACTGCACTGAGCTCCTGTTATGGGATGGATGCTATACTAAACACTTGCATGCATTACCTTGCGTCCTTAGGACAATGTGATAATGCAGATTCATTTATTACCATTCTACAGATCAGAACGTAGATTCAAGTGAGTTTCCCCAAATTCGAGAACTAGCCAGTAACAAAAGCTGTGATTCAAATCCAAGATCAACACACCAGGGGAGAGATTTCTGCTTTTCCCCACTTGTCTTAGTCTGTTTGAGCTGCTATCAGAGAATACCTGAGACTAAGTAATTTACATGCAGAAACTTATTGCTCACAGCTCTGGAGGCTGGGAGGACAACATCAAGGTGCTGGCAGGCTTGGAGATTCTGATTCCAAGATGGTGCCTGGAATGCTGCATCCTCCAAACGTGGGGAACAAAACACTTCATCTTCACATGGCAGAAGGCAAAAAAGAGGCAAAAGGGAGCCAAAGTCATCCTTTATAATGGCATCAATCCAACTCATGAGGGCAGAACCCTCATGACCCATCCACCTCCCAAAGGTCCCATCTCTCACTACTGTTCCCAACAGCAGTTAAATTTCAACACGAGTTTTGGAGGAGACACACATTGAAACCCTAGCACCACTGGAAGGTTTTCTCCTAGGGTGTGTTTGAAGGAGCGTAGGATATGGGGGTGAAGTGACCTGGGTTCAAGTTCCACCCCTGCCTTGTGTGCGCTCACTGGGCAGCAATGGGGCTGATGAAGTTCTCAATGGGGCCAATGGAATTCTCAATGGAGCCAATAAAGCCAGTCCCTGGGAGGTAGCTCCCTGCCTCTTGTGCGCTAGGTAACCTTGGACCTATTCCGTCAACCATCTGAGCCTTATATTCTTCGCCTATTAGAAATAATAACAAGATAAACCTTCACAGGGTAGTTGTGAGGACTAAGTCAGCAGATCCTCGGGAAAGTGGTGTCTACATTTTAAAGTGTTGTGCTTGTGCAAGGGTTTCTATTCATCATCACTGTTTCTGGTTTCTAGAACCTGGGTTTTCCCCAGGCTCCCCGAGGGGCAAGATCAACCCGATAACACATATTACCCTGCAGGTAGCAGCCCTGTATCTGCAGCCCGCTCTCATTTCCACCAGCCGGAGTTGCTACTCATTGTAGCAACCATGTGTTTCTTTCCACTGCTGGAGCCTCTGGTGTCCCCTGCTGCGCCACTGTCCTTGTGCCCTATCATCCCAGACCTGCTTTCTGCCCTCCTGAGACTGCAGGTCTGCATGGATCCCCTAGGTTGCCTTTTCTACTTTGTGTGATTTTTATACTTATAGCTCTCAATATAGTTAATTCTACATGAGACTGTAGGGTCCCATGTCCTGGTTGTCGTACATCTTCTAAATAGGTGGCCACGGTAAAGAGCTTATATGGTTTCTTCACTTGCTCACCATTAACTGATTCACTTATTTATCTCTTTGGTTATTTGTGCATCTATCCATCTAATGGTCATCTCCTTTATTCCAGCAATATTCAACAGACTTTTACTCAGCATTTACTATGTACAGTTGCTGAACAGATAAATACAATAACTGCCTTTTTCTTTTGAGTCAGGGTCTCACTCCGTCACCCAGGCTGGAGTGCAGTGGTGCAATTATGGCTTACTGCAGGCTGGAACTCCCAGGCTCAAGCAATCCTCCCACCTCAGCCTCCCAAGTAGTCAGGACTACAGGGGCAAACCTCTATACCTGGCTATTTTTTTTTCATTTTTTATCTTTTATAAAGACAGTGTCTTTCTGGGTCATCCAGGATTGTCTTGAACACCTAAGTACCATTTTTAAAATGTGGTAAGATACATATAACAGGAATGTCACCATTTTAACCATTTTTAAGTGTACAATATAGTGGCTTCAATTACATTCATGATGTTGTGCAACCCTTACCACTATCTGTTTCCAAATCTTCACCCCAAACAGAAACTCTGTACCCATTAAGCAACAATTTCTCATTCCTCCTTACCACCGCCCCCCCCAGTCCCTGGTAACCTCCAATTTACATTCTATCTCTGCAAATTTGCCTATTCTAGATATTTCATGTAAGTGGAATCATACAGTATTTATCTTTTGTGTCTGGCTTATTTCACTTAGCGTAATATTTTCAAGGTTCAACCATGATGTAGCATATACCAGGACATCATTCTTTTTATGGCTTAATAATATTTAATCGTATGTATATATCACATTTTACTTACCCATTTATCTGTCAATGGACACTTGAGTCATTTGCACCTTTTAGCTATTATGAATAATACTGCTCTGAACATTTGTGTACAAGTATCTGTTTGAATGACTATTTCCAATTCTTTTGTGTGTATACCTAGAAGTGGACATTCTGGGTCATAGCATAAATCTATGTTGAAATTTTCGGGGGACCAATAGCTGCCATTTGTCAGCACTTACGATGAGTCAGACATTGAGTTTTATACTTTATTCACAATGTAATCTAATCCTATGATAGCCCCTCAAGGAACTTATCATCATCCCTCAGATGAAGACACTGAGTTGAAGAGAGTGTATCAGCCAACTATTGCCGAGTAACAAACCACCCCCAAATCCAGTGGTTCACAGCAGCCATCACTTATTCTTGCTCACACATTTGCAAGTTGGCTTAGGGCTGGTTTGTCAAGGCTGGGCTCTGCATGGGGAGCTCGGCTGAGGTGGCTCAGCTCCACATGCTTCTGAACCTCCTGGGAGCAGAAGGCTGGCCTGAGAATGTTCTTCTTAAGGCAGGAGTGCAGGAGAATGGATTAAAGCCTGCAACACATCTTTTAAAACAGGCATCCTGTCACTTACTCCTCATTCTATTATCTAAAGCAAGTCTTATGCCCAAACCCACAGTCAAAGGGCAGGGAAATATGCTCTGCTCCTTTAGTGGGATAAATTGCAAAGTCACATGGCAAAGAACACAGACAAAGGAGGGAATAAAGAGCTGGGGCCAATAATATGACCTAGCACAGGGATATTCATGATTCTCCTAAGATCAGAATGTGTGTGGGCTAGGGCCAGAATTCAACCTGAAGCCACTGGGCTCCAACTCCCAAACTGTTCTGATTTTATCTCTTTGCTTTACAAAGACAGAACACTGAAGATTCTGCTCTCAGGGTGTTGATTGACGTCTGGAAGGCAGAGACTCGTGGATTAGCAAGCATGTGTAAGAAAGTGCTCTGGATGCCACAGGGTGGTAATTTGTGCATGGAAAATGGCTGGGGTGAAGAGGAGACTAGGGTAAGTTCCACCTGAGGATGGAGAATGTGAAAGAAAGTTTTCCTAGGGGGCTGGTCTTTGAGTGGAATCTTGAAAGTTGGAGGAAGGGGAAGGAAAGGGTGTGCTGGGCTGAGGGAGTAGAGGGACAAAGGCCTGAAGGTTGGTAAGGTGATGGTGAGCTTGGGGGTTTACATGCAGTTCAATAAGATTGGAACAGATTTTCCAGGGGTGGGGTGAGGGTACAGAAGTGTGAGCAGTGTCAGCAGTTTGGAAGGGTCTTGGAAAGGGATATCCAGAAAATAACTTCAGATCTTTGTACAAATGAGAAAACAGAGGTTCAGAAGGTTGATGGATGAGCCAACAGCCTCAAGGAGACTGCTGAGTATGTGGACTTGTGCCCCATCTCCTAGGGGAGAAGCTCTTTGGATGACCTATTAATAGTATGAGAGGTGTGTGTTAGTCCATTTTGCATTGCTATAAAGGAATACCCAAGGTTGCGTAATTTATAAACAAAGGAGGTTTATTTTGGCTTACAATTCTGGAGGCTATACAGGAGGGATGGCGCCAGCATCTGCTTCTGGGGAGGACCTCAGGAAGCTTCCAATTATGGCAGAAGGTGAAGGGGGAGCAGGCATGTCACAAGATGGAGCAAGTGAGAGTGGGAAAGAGGTGTCAGTCCCTTTTAAAACAACCAGATCTTGTGGTAACTCATTACCATGGGGAGGGCACCAAGCCATTCATGAGGCTTCCACCCCTATGACATAAACACCTTCCACTAGCTCCACCTCCAACATTGGGGATTACATTTCAACATGAGATTTTCAGGGGAGAGGCAAATATCCAAACTATATCAAGGTGTATGATGCATAGCAAAGGAGACAATGCCCAAGGCGTGATAGCCGGGGGACTTGGTGGGCACTGGATGGAGGATTTGGAGGCCCAGATTGGAGAGCAAAAGGAAGAACTTGAGATTGAGTGTCTTAGTTCGTTTTCTGCTGCTCTAACAGAATACCTGAAACCCAGCAATTTGTAAAGAACAGAAATGTATCCTTTTACAGTTCTGGAGGCTGGAAAGTCCAAGATCAATATGCTGGTACCTGGTGTGGGCCTTCTTACTGCATCTTCACATGGCAGAAGGTGGAAGGGCAAGAGAGGGGTGAACTCTGTGTCCTCACATGGCAGACAAGCAGAAGAGAGTGAATACACTTTAGCAAACCCTTTTCATAGTGGCATTAATCTATTCATGAGGGTGGAGCCCCACCTCCCAAAACTGCTGCATTGGGGATTAAGTTTCAACATGATTTTGGAGAAGACAAAACATTCAAATCATAGCAATGAGTGTAGGACGCAAGCCAGGTAACCTCACTGTATCAGTGAGCAGTTGTACCCTCACTGTATCAGACCAACGTTGGCTACAAATTTCCTGCTGCAAAACATGAGCTCTCAAATGGAAAAGAAATGAAGATAGTTCATGCCTTGTCACATGCAACAAAAACGTTGCTTTATTTTGTCTGGGAAGAGCAGAGAGCCACTGAAGGATTTTGAGCAGTGCAGCGATGGAGATAGGTTTTGAAGGTCATTTTGGGACTGGAGCATGAGGCAGCAAGACAGCAGAAAGTCACCAAGTGGGGTCCAAGCTGATTCCATTGGCTTATTAGTGAAGGGCTCTAATCCTGCCAGGGGCTGGTGCCACAGAGTTGTGCCACATGTGACAAAGGACATGCTCCCTGAGCCAATCTCTGGACTCTGCAAGTTCAGTGCTTAGGGTCAATCACTCATTCCAGAAATGTTTATTGAGCACTTACTTTGTGCCAGGCACTGTGCTAGAACTCGAGGTGGACACAACCATGAGCAAAGAGGCAAACAAATCTATGCCATCATGGAGCTTGCAGTTTGAAGAGTTCCTCAACTGGGGCAAACCCAGTGATTGTTTCTCAATTCCTTCACTGTTTGTTCAGCTCCCTTGACAGCTGGTCCATTCCGTCTCAGGCTATACCTAGCACACAGTGAAAGGAGAAGGGCACCAGACCACAAGGTTTCTGTTATGATCCTGGTCTTGAATATCATGACCTGAAGAAACCTTTACTTTTATTATTATTATTACTTATTTATTTTATCTTTATTTTTATTTTTTTGAGATGGAGTCTCGCTCTTGTCATCCAGGCTGGAGTGCAGTGGTGTGATCTCAGCTCACTGCAACCCCCCCCTTCTGGGTTCAAGCGATTCTCCTGCCTCAGCCTCCCAAGTAGCTGGGATTACAGGCACTTGCCACCACGCCCAACTATTTTTTTTTGTATTTTTAGTAGAGACAAGGTTTCACCATGTTGGCCAGGCTGGTCTCAAACTCCTGACCTCAGGTGATCTGCCCCTCTTGGCCTCACAAAGTGTTGGGATTACAGGTGTGAGCCACCGCACCCGACCTGTTTTTATTTTTATTTTTTAATTTAGTTTTTTGGGACAGAGTCTTGCTCTGTCACCGAGGCTGGAGTGCAGAGGCACGATCTCAGCTCACTGAAACCTCTACCTCCCGGGTTCAAGCCATTCTCCTGCCTCAGCCTCCTGAGTAAGCTGGGTCTACAGGCATGTGCCACCATGCCTGGGTAATTTTTGTATTTTTATAGAGATGGGGTTTCACCATGTTGGCCAGGGTGGTCTCAAATTCTTGACCTCACGTGATCCACCTGCTTCAGCCTCCCAGAGTGTTGGGATTATAGGCGTGAGCCACCATGCATGGCCAGAAGGGACCTTTAAACCCCTAGAGTACACACACATCTTTGCAGCTGGGAAAACTAAAGCCTAGAGTGGCCAAGTAGCTTGCTCAAGAGCACACGGCATTAGAGATAGGGCGGGGAAAAGAGCTCTTTCCACTATTTAGTCTTTTAATATATTTTTGTTTGTTTTCACTGGTAATTATTGAGTGTCCACTGTGTGTGAGGTCTTGGAAACGCAGATATGAATAAGTCGCAAGGAGTCCCTATGCCCTTGAAGCCTCACCATCTAGTCTAGTGTAGTCCAGTGTAACTTTCAGGGTGATAGAATCATTCCATGTGGTAGCCACAAACCAAATGTGACTGCTGCAACTGAAATGTGCCTGGTGCAACTGAGGAAGTCTTAACTTTATCTCATTTAAATTAATTTAAACTTAGGCATCCACATTTGGTCAGTGGCAGCTGTGTTGGACATTGCAAGTCTAGTCTATGGTCACATGACCTCACACACACACACATTGATATTGTTTGGCTGTGTCTCTACTCAAATCTCATCTTCAATTGTAGTTCCCATAATCCCCACGTGTCGTGGGAGGGACCTGGTGGGAGGTAATTTAATCACAGGGGCATTTACCCTCATGCTGTTCTGGTGATAGTGAGTGAGTTCTCACTAGATCTGATGGTTTTATAAGGGGCTTTTCCCCCTTTGGCTTGGCACTTCTTTGTCCTGCCACCCCGTGAAGAAGGACATGTTTATGTCCCCTTCCACTATGATTGTAAGTTTCCTGAGGCCTTCCCAGCCCTGCAGAACTGAGAGTCAATTAAACCTCTTTCCTTTATAAACTACCCAGTCTCCAGTATGTCTTTATTAGCAGCGTGAGAACAGACTAATACACACAGTCATGAACTGTGATGAGTGCTGTGATAGATCAGAACCACTACATTGTGGGTCCGCAGGACCACTGACAGGTTCCATGAGTGATTTCAAGTTCTTTACTAGAAGGACTCCCAGAACTCAGAAGACCTGTTATCCTCATGGTTATGGTTTATTACAACAAAAGGATTCAGATTAAAATCTGCCAAAGAAAAAGGTGCATAGGGCAGGGTCCAGGAGAGACTTCCAGTTGTCCTCTCCCAGTGGAATCTTACAAACATGCTTAATTCTCCCACCAATGATGGGTGACAACATGTATCGAGTGTTGCCAACCATGGAAACTCACCTGAGCCTTGGTGTTCAGGGTTTTAATTGGAGGTCAGTCACATAGGTGTGGAGTTACCTATGGAATGACCTTAATTACTTGGTCACCAGCCCCTCCAGAAGTCAACGTGATATAATCACATGGTTACATAGATTGTCTGGCCTGGTTTGGCCCAAGTGCCCAGGTATACAAAGACACTTGAGTTAGGGAGGATACTGCAAGAGCTTAGAGTTACTCTCCCAGCAGTCAGTCAGGTGCTTTCTTTGGAACATGCAGGGTGTGAACACCGTAAGTCTGCTAAGTTAACCCTTTAATGCACACTAGGAATCTATTGGGGAAAATGACGGGGGCTTTGAAGCTTGGAGATTTAGAGAAGGTGTTGCTTGTTGCTGACCATTTCATCTGAGTAAGTTATCACCCTTCTCAGTGGCATGCTCCTACCATTTGACTTATTGTAATTTATAATTTTTCTATTTATCTGCTTGTTTACTTGCTTTTATCTGCCTCGTTTGCTAAACTAAGAGCTCCAGGAGGGTAATTTGTGTGTCTGTTTAGTTTCCTCAGTTTTCCCAGGCCTTAGCATGCTTAGTGTGCTGCTTTGCAGGGCCAACACTAGGAAATGAACCAAATGAGGCACTGTTCTGGGGTGCAAAATTTAAGGGGCGACAGAAGCAGTGATAAAAAAATCAGTAATCAAGATAAATAATGTTATAATGTAGTATTTTCAGAAATCAAAATGCAAAAAATCAAAAATATCAAAATGTTAAATAAAGATGGTGTAGTAGTTTGTTCTCGCATTGCTATAAAGAACTACCTGAGACTGGGTAATTTATAAACAAAAGAGGTTTAATTGACTCACAGTTCTGCAGGCTGTACAGGAGGCATGGCTGGGGGGCCTCAGGAAACTTACAATCATGGCAGAAGGCGAAAGGGAAGCAGGCACATCTTACATTGTCAGAGAAGGAGACAGAGGCTGAAGCGGGAGGTGCCACACACTTTTAAACAACCAGATCTCGTGAGAAATCACTTATCACAACAACAGCAAGGGGGGAAATCTGCCCCCATGATCCAATCGCCTCCCACTAGGCCCCTCTTCCAACATTGTGGATTACAATTCCAGATGAGAGTTGGGTGGGGACACAAATCCAAACCATATCTGATGGAATCTATTGTTGATTTTCCCCTTGGCAACAGGGTCCAGTAACGGCTTGGCATCATTACTGATCCTGTCTTTATGAGAAATTTTGAGATTTTGTTCATTATGGGCTTTTTGAATTAATTGTGATTTTTAAACATAGGGGATTAAATATTATTTATTTTGAGCACTGAATTCTTTGGTAATCCCTTAAATTTTGCACCTAATGGAAGTGCCTCATCTACCTTGCCCTCCTCCTTGCTCTGCTGCTTGCTACACATAAGGCCCTAACAAATATTTATTGGATAAAGAAGCACTCGTCTATGAGGTGGATATTGGATTCTCTGTTTTTTCAATGGTGAAAACTCAGGGAAGGCTCAGGGAGGTAAAGCAAGTTGCCTAAGACACAGGAGAGGGGTTGACATTCATTCTCAGATTGTCTTTCTGCAAAGCCTGGGCATTTATCCACTCTTTCCAGCTGCTTCCCCTTTTCCCTGCCTCTGTGCATCCTAACCTGGGGCGGACCCTCCTAGGGATCCCCTGCAGAGTGAAGTCTCAGGGCAAAGGAGGCTAAGTGGGGAGCAAAGAGGAAAAGGTCGGGAATTGAGAGGGTGTAACATTCTTCCAGGCATTGGGATGGAGAAACATGATTGGCACATTCCAGGCGAGACAAAACCCCCGCCTTTGTCACTCACTGTAAATTGTCCCCCAATCACTGGGCTGACAGAGATGGATTTCCAGTTTTCATAGCACAATTAAGCTTTCTCGGGAGTCTCACGGGGGAAGGAGGTAGTTGGTTTACTTGCGAATGCTTGGGGGTAATTTTCTAATGTTCCTTCCACCATTACAAAGGCTCTGCTCCAATCTCTTATCATATGTAATTCCTAATGATTTCTCTGTTATGTCCTGTTTTATTAAAGCGTCATTGAACTATACCCTATTGATTTAGATTTCACAGACAATTGAAATTTAAATTGACTCCAAATTGAATGTCTCCATGTAATCTCTGTTCTGCAATAAAGATAGATAAAATGCTTCTATTTTTGATAACAAGTTATACTGGAGGCACATTTTAATTTTGGGAGGGAAGAAAAAAATGTTGACGGAGTCTTGACTTTCTTTGAAAAGTGGCTGATGGTTCAAGGCCCAGGAGGTTGTTTTTTGTTTTTCTCTGGGGCATGGTGCTGGAGCTATAAAATTCTGGAATGTCTGGACTGACTCACAGGTGGGAGAGGAAGGTGATAGAGTCTGATCCATTAATTAATTAATTGGGTGATCCATCCACAAATCCATCCATTTCTCTGGTGAGCACAGCATGCAAGGTGAGAGGAAAGAGTGAGCCATAGCTCTCATGATGTGCATGACTCCAAGCTCACGTCATTTGAGAGTTGTGTCTAGGGAGCCACCATGCAAAAAAGAAGGGAGAGACATCATTGCAACCAACCAAAGGATGCTGTCTTTCAATAACCCCATCCAAGCCAGAATCTTCATGGCAATGTTCTTTCTTTCCTCTAAAGGTGAAGGTCAGCAGTTAGAGCTTGAGAAGGATGACCAAAAGAAGAAAAAAATGTGTCACCCCATGAATTCTCTATTCTTTATGAGATAGATGATCTAGAAAAGGGAGAATCAATAAAGCAATTATCTGAAGCTGGAAAGATGTTGAACTAGCCAGATCCTTGAGATTCTTTCAGAATAGTTCTAAGTATGAGGAATCGTGGTTTCTAGAAGGTTCTAGATCTACCAGGAAACCTACCCCACCTGAACCCCAGCATTCAGGAGACATAGGTTGAATAGTTGGAAGAGTGTGTTAGTTTCCTATGCTTGCATACTTACAGATGGCCACAAACTTACTGGATTAAACCAACATCAATGTATTATTTTATGGTTCTGGATGTTGGAAGTCCAAAGGGTCTTATAGAGCAGTAATCAACATGTCAGAAGAGCTTTGACCCTTCTGAAGGGTCTAGGAGCGAATTGGTTTCCTTCCCTTTTCTAGCTTCTAGAGGCCACTTGCATTCCTTAGCTCATGTCCCCTTCCTTCCTCCATTATCAAAGCCAGCTGGCTCTTTAGATCTCTCTCTCTCTGGCCTCTGTTTCTATCCCCACATCTCTGATTTTGACCCTCTTGCTTCTCTCTTGTGACTACATTGGGTGCACCTGTATCATTCAGGATAATCCTTCCATCCCTAGATCCTTAACTTAATCATGCCTGCAAAGTCCCTTTCACCATGTGAGGTAAAGTATTCTCTCATTCTGAGGATTGGGTTGTGGACATCTTTGGAGGGGTCATTATTCTGTCTACTACAAAGGGATTTGAAATGCTCACATTAGAGTAACCTCATTTTATGCATAGTATTCCCTCTCATAGCAAAATTCACTGAGGTTGTCCCAAGATGGAAGCCAATTGTGAAGATGAGAGCAGGGGATGGAACTCAAGATTCTTGCATCCCCTTCCAGCTTTATCTTGTCAGGTGGTCTCTGTGGTTCCAGTACCCATGAGGGAGCTGAGTCTGAAGGACCTTGGAGCTTTGCAGATATAAAGAAAAAGCTGATTTAAGCTTCCCCAGTTTTCCCTGCCCCCTTCATGAAAGAATTACAGCATATAATAAGAAAAATCTGGAGAAACACTTATTTTTATGGAGGGCTGGAGGACCCCAAGGTCAAACAGTGAATGGGACTGAACAAAAGGTAAGGATGTGACTCACCCATTCAGTAAAACTTGTTGATGCCACAGTGAAATTTCCCGCCTAGTGCACTAGCTAGAAATGCAAAAGGCACTCACCGTGGAGTGTAATAAGTGGGGGTTAAACACATGCTATGGAGGAGAACAGAAGGGGAACCCACACTGGTGACACCAGGCATGGCTTCCTGAAGAAAGTGGCCTCTAAGCTGATACTTGTAGGATGTGGAGGAGCTAGCCAGGAGAGTGGGCAATGGAGTTGAAAGAAACTTCTTGTCAGAGGGGAAAAGCATGTGCAAAGGTCCTGAGGTGAGAGAGAGCATGTCCACTCAGGGAAGTGAAGGAAGTCCAGTCTGGTGAGAGTGTTAAGTCTGAGAGAAAGACTAGATAGAACGAGGCTCGGAGGTCTCCTAATTTTCATCCCCTGAACTTTATGCAGTTGTAATTTTAAGGTCATTTGTGACATTATTCAGTGTTTCCCTCACTGAATTGTGAGCTCATAAGGGCAGTAGTTGTGTCTGTCTTGGTCAAAGCTGAATCCCCAGGACCTAGCATGGTGCTTAGCAGCTATAAATAGTGTTGAATGAATGAACGAGTAAGGTTAGAGAGGCAGGCATGAGCCAGATCCTGAATTGATTTGAATGCCATGGTAAATTGCTGAGCTTCTTTCCACTGTGGGTGGCCGGGAGCTGGACTGGGCTCTATTTCAGGCTACAAGAGGATCAAGTAGACATTTGGTGGTGGAGTGGGGCCATGAAAAAAAAAAAAAAAAACACTTTGATAGGACACCCTTAGCAGACAGGGACTATCACAGGAGTCCTATATTTAGAGCTTAAATAACCAAGAGTGGCTGGCTCTTGCCTGCCGTGGCATTTACTGATTATGGTCACTCCCTGGCTAAAATTCAGGGCATGTGCCTGTCTCTGAGGCCCACCAGGTGTCTCTTTCAGCCCTGATGGGCTGTTTGTTGAGGGTACAGCCTGTGTGTTTCATCTTGAGCTGTCGTCCACAGTGTCCTAAGGCCACTAGAAGTGCTAACCCAGAGTCCATTCCAAGTCATGTCGAATTTATCTCTTGGGGTGACTGGGCAGTTGGAGGAAACACCCTGTATTGTAATTGGCTTTGGACACTGAGCATGGTGCCTGGCACAGAGTAGGCACTCAGCAAATTCTTTCTGAATTATGAGTGAATGCCTGCTATAAATGAATCCTTAGATATCATTAAATTCCAACATGCAACGGACAGATGAGGAAGTCGAGGCCCAGAGAAGAGCCTTGATCAGGGTCCCACTGCGAATGGTCAGGGAACACAAGTCTAGAGCCCCTGACCCGTGTCCTTTGTCCTATTGTGATTGTAAATGGTAAAAGTAAAAGTAGATGGGCATCTCCTGCCAGTGAGTTCTATCTAATCCCTCCCATTCCATCTAGTTTATCCAGTCTCATCATGTACTATCCAAGTCACCCCACTCTATCCCACTACACCCCAAACTACCCACCCCTCCCCATCCCATCCCACCATATCCTGTCCCATCTCACTTAACCCCTCCCCATCCCACCCCCACCTCATCCCATCGCATCTCACCCCATCTCATCCCACCCCATCCATCCCATCCCACCCATCCCACCCCATCCCCTCTCACCTCCTCCCACTCCACTCCATCAATTCCCATCCCATCTCATCTCATCCCACTCCGCTCCATCCATTCCCATCCCATCTCATCTCATCCCATCCCATCCCATCTCATCCCATCCCATCCAATCCCATCTCATCCCATCTCATCCCATCCCATCCCATCCCACCATATCTGTCCCATCTCACTTCACCCCCCCATCCCACCCCCACCTCATCCCATCCCATCTCACCCCATCTCATCCCACCCCATCCATCCCATCCCACCCCATCGCCTCTCATCTCCTCCCACTCCACCCCTCTCATCTCCTCCCACTCCACTCTATCCCATCCCATCCCATCCCATCCCATCCCATCCCATCCTATCCCACCCCATGTTTCTCCACTCTACTTCATCCCATGCTGTCCCACCCCTACTTTCATCTTCACTCCCCTTCCCCTTATTTCTTCCCTGTTCCTTTCCCTCACATTTCCCCCATCCCATTCCAAACATTTCCATCCTTTCCCATCCCTTTTCCTTCCACTCCATCCCTTTCCATCCCATTCAGTCTCACTCCATCCTTCCCTTTCCACCTCAACCCTTGACATCCCTCCCCACCTCATTTCATCCTATCCCATGCCTTCTCATCCCACCCCCTCTCATCCCAGCCCTCCCCTTCCCACCCCACCCCATCCCATCCCACCCCATATCCTTTCAATCCTGCAACTATCCCATTCCACACCATCTCACCCCACTCCATTCTTTTCTGCTTCGCTCTACTCCATTCCATTCCATTTCACTCCACTTTATTCCACCCTTCCCATTTCATCTTATTCTATTGTATTATATTTTTTGTACCATCTCGTTCCATTTGAATCCACTCCATTCCATTCTACTCCATTGCATTTTATTCCATACATTCCATCATTTCCACTTCATCCCTTCCATTCTACCACAATCAATGTCATCCCTATTCATCCCATTCATATCTTTCATGCTTAGAAGTATTTACCGTGTGCCTCCAAGATGCCAAACCCTGAATTTCTCAGGATGAAAAGCAGGCTTTGATTTTGGAGACAAAGAACACGTTGCTTGACAAGGTGTCTGATCCATCTCTCTGCTGCATCCTTCAGCTTAGCCTGTCAATAAACCCAGGAGCAAAAGGATCTTATGATTGTCCATTCACTGATAAGCAGAACTTTGGTTCCCATTTGGGTATAATTTTGGGGTTGTATTGCAGGGAGTCTCAGCAGAAGAGTGAGTGGGTAGTCATCAAATCCTTTCCTAAACTTTATCCCTCATTCTTGAGGAATGCTCAGGCCAGTTTCTCACTTGCATTCCTGTTCTCCTGTGGGGATGGGGAGCTTTCCAGATCCTAGAGTCTCAGGAGGGACCCAGATGGTCTGCTGAGCTGTGTGTGATTTCCTCCCCTAATGGCCTTTGCCCAACCCCGGTTGGGTTTCTTCTCCCCACAGGCTGCCCTTTTCCCTCCATCCCACTTTTCCTGCAGCACATTCTCTGCCTGGAAGCTTGTTGGCCATGCTCAGATGGGATTCCCTCACACGTGCACCCAATCCATCCTCAAGTCCACTCTGCCTCATTAAAGGCTGGGTATTTACATGAGCTGCTGCTGTGTTTCTAGCACGCCCCCTGTGCTTGGACCCCAAGCTCGTCCGGAAGACCCCCTAAGATGCAGTGGCTCTCTGCCTTCTCTTGGCTGCCCCCTCTTCCCCAGCCTTCCCCAGGTCGTCTCCTGCTTGCCCTTGAGTCTCCTGGGCTTGGGAAGGGGAAAGCACCTGGCACATAATTGCTGCTTAATAAACGAATCCATCCTCATTAGGGCTTGATTGGTCATTAGCCTCATTATCCAGCAGCAGAGGGCTGGGGAAGTTTTCAGAATGCCGGTGCAGAGGGAGACCAGTCGGGGCGTGGACTCTAATCTCTATTTTGTGGACAGGACAACATCCAGAGGTGTCCAGAAAGAAGGTGGCCTTGACCAGAATTCCTCAGCCTTGGCTGCACATGAGAACCAGTGAGGGAGCCCTAAAAACGCTGATGCCCAGGCTCCACCCAGACCTATAGGTGCAGAACCTCTAGGGGAGGGCCCAGCCATCGCGCTTTGAAAAATCTCCTCAGGTAATTTTAATGTGCAGCCAAAAAGGCTTGAAACTTCATTTTTAATCTCTTGGGTGAAGGAAAATGTGGTTTGGCCATTGGAGCATTGCCTTACATGGATACTTAATAAATTGCAACTTCCCTGAAATCTTGGATCTTCTTCTCCTCCTTCTTCTCCTTCCCCTTCCCCTTCTCCCTCTCCCTCTTCCCCTCTTCCTCCTCCTCCTCCTTCTTCTTCTCCTCCTTCCCCTTCCCCTCCTCCTTGTTCTCCTCCTTCTCCTTCCCCCTCTCCCTCTCCCTCCCACTCCCCACCTCCCCTCCCCTCCCCCTCCCTCCTCCTCCTCTTCTTCTTCTTCCTCTTCCTCTTCTTCTTCTGTTCCTTCTTGCTTCTTTCTTCTTCTTGAGGCAGGGTCTCGCTCTGTTGCCCAGTCTGGTCTCAAACCATCCTCCTGCCTCTCTTCATTTTGGTATTCCATTAGCTAACGCAGGTAACAATCTCATCACCAGCCTCCTGTGTCTCATTGATATGTGCAGCGTCTCCTGTTAACTTCGAAACTCCCCATGGTCGCCATATTCATGGGTGGCTTGTAGGCATCTCTGCTTAATGTCTTGCTTTAAATTGAGTTTTAACCCACTTCTTATTCTTCCTTAGTCCATTTCTAAACTCTAATCTTATAGAAGTGTGGGTTTGATATTTTACTCATATTTTTCTCTAATATGCAAAAACATAAATATATAATAAAAATTGAAAATAGAGTCATGTCTCTATTAATGCAAAATCACTTGGCCGACTACGAGTTATGCTTATACTAAACTTTTGGAAGCACTATTTTACAGTTCTCATTTTTTTCAGAAATTAAATAATAAATGTGAAGTTTAAAAAATTGTACAGCTCATTCATGCATGAGATATTGTTATTCCTTCATTACATACTTCTGACAAACTTTGAAGTATTAAAAGTAGCAGTATGTTTCCAGGTAATCTCTTGATAGAGCCCCTGAAGGGTCTATTTTTGTGTGACTTTTTTTGAGATGGTTCAGGATCAGTTTTACCCCCTAAAACTCCATTTATGGGAAACCAGATTTCTTATGAAAAATCTTAAAAATATTAATATCCTTAGATCCATTCAATGCATTTAAATAAATGTATAAGAAGAAAAAGAAACAATTCAGAAGAAAGATAATACTTTACATACAAAATGTCCATGATAGTGTCATATACAAATTTGAGAAACATTAAACTACCTAAACGTCCAATAACATGAGAATGGCTAGTTTAAACACATATTTTCAGTTTAATAAAAGCTGTATTTTATAAGGTCAGAAACCCTAGAAGATTCTAATCCTTCAAGGATTTTGATTTTTACATCTCAACCACTTAGAACAGGGCTTGGCACAAATTGATTCCTCAAAAATACTGGTAGAGGTAAAATAATTCATCACAATGATAGTTACCAAGTTTATAATAACATAGAAAACCACTTTATTTGAAAAAAAAGCCAGAGTAAAATATAAAACCTAAAACATTGTCATCTCTATTAAAATGCTCACTAGCTTTGTATGTGCAAAAATGAGGTGGATTAGTGAAACGTACAGTGTATCCAGGCTACACAAGATTCTGTAGCCACTAATATGAAGTTCACAAGTAACATTCATGGCACAAGAAGTACTATAGCTAATTCCAATTTGTCTGTGTATGTATTACATATGTAATTACAGCTATACATTATGATTTATTAATAATTATAATTATATGTTGTTTATATATTTTATAATACAATATTTAAAATAATATAAATATGTTTATATTTCTATTAGTTATTATAAATTATTTCTATATATTTTATAATACAAATATTTAAAATATAAATATTTTTATATATTATGCACATTTAATGTTCAATTATATACTTACATATTTTATATATGTATATGTATAATATATGTGTATGAGTATATATATAAGACACACACACACAAGACTGGAACTACCCCAAAATATTAGCAGTTGTAAGTAGTGAGACTAGAATAGGTTTTTCTCTTCCCTCCATATTTCACCTTTTTCTATTTTCCAATTTCTTTCACATGATAAGCATGTATTACTTTTATCCAGACAAAAGAAGAAGCATGAGGTGTGTTTGAAACACGGGCAGTGGGGGAGCCAGGGAGAGGCGGTGGCCTGGAGGGACGCCGAAGGAGGAAGGGCTGAGATCACATCTCATCAGCTGGTGCTGGATTGATTGTGCCCAAGTCCTCTGGCCTTTCTCCACAGGAAGTCGTGGCAGGGCTGGTGGGGAAGGACGTGCATTCTCTGGACCAGGCAATGTTTCTTTGCGGGGACAGCTTCTGCTGGAACAGCAGCCCAGGGGCCCCGCTGAACTCTCCTGGAGGAATGCCTCCTTTCCCTAATTTGCTGGGTCCCTCCAGTCGCTAAGAATGATCAGCAGTAATTAAAACTAAGCTAATAACCTCCTCACTCTTGACGTTTCTGTGGGGTTTTTGTTCACCATTATCTACATATAGATTAAAAATTGTAATTGGACTGAAGATCGGGTTAGAAAAATCAACCACCCTCCAACTTGTCGTTTGCCAGGGACTGACACTTTGAAATTTTATTTAATCTGAGAAAATGGAGTTGAACTCTGGCACCCTGGGAGGGGGGAAAAAAAACCCCAGCTTTTATCTTAAGGACCAGTGCTAGCTAAGAAAATGTTTATGCTCCTGGTGGGCAAGACTGGGGTCTAGATATACACTGGTGCCAGTGGGGTGCTGGGAGCCGCTGTAGGGTACAGCAGTCCTGAGGTATGGAGCGGGGGCATCCACAGAGACAGCCACAGAAGGGGAAAAGATGGAACACCATATAAAGAAGGTTTAGGGAGAGCACGGCCACCTCCCGGAGAGGATGCTGTGTCATTTCATAAAGACTTGGGCTGTGTAAGCCCACTGAGTCCCATGTGCTGGCAGAGTGATGTTATTGGTTTATAATTCTGTGGTTTCAGGCCTCTGCAATGTTGTGGCTAAACAGCTCCATCTTATATTTTTCTGGTTTCCATAGGCCTTATATTTATTTTATTTTTTTCTTTTTGAGACTAGGGTCTTGCTATGTTGCCCAGGCTGGGCTTGAATTTTTGGACTCAAGCACTCTTTCTTCTTTAGCCTCCCAAGTAGCTGGGGCTACAGGCTCTTGCCACCATACCCAGCTTTGGTTCCCATAGTTCTCTGCAATACTGAAGCACTTGCCTCCACTTTCCTGGGTCTATCAGACAGTGTTTCTCTATCTCTAGGAGTCTGTGCTCCTGGGAGTCTATGGTGTGAGGAGTCTAAAAGTCAGTGATGATTATATTGACTTTAAAAGGTGGAGAACTGTCAGACTTGCCCAGCTGCTTCTACTATGGCGTCATTAATTTGTCTAAATCGAAACCCTTAAACTGATATTAATTCTTAGCCCGAGTCCCCAAGGTGATGGGCCAGATGAAGAAGATTTCTTTCCAATACACAATGTGGCCATGTCATGCCCCTGCTTAATGTACTTCACTGGGGTCTCATGGCCTCATTGGATTGAGCCCAGCCTCCTGATGATGGCTTCAAAGCTGTTCCAGGTTTGCCTTGTGGATCTCCCTCTTTCCTGACTTAGCCTCTGAATCTTCGCCGCTCACTCTCCCCCAACAAATGCTCACTCTCCCTTCCTTCCTCTCTTCTCCTTCTCTCTCCCCCCGCTCCCGACTACACGCAGTAGTTCCCTTACTGCGTGTAGTCGGGAACAGTTCTACTTACTGTTCCCTCTGCCTAGAATTACCCACTCTCCACTCCATTCCCCCTCCTCATGGCAATTTGCCTGCTTTCATCCACCTAATTTCTATTAATCTATCAGTTTTCATGTTGGATTCACCTTCTCTGCAGAGTATTTGTTGTCTTCCCAAGTCTTGTTTTCTGCTCCCTCAGCCCCCCATGGTGGCTCTGTGACAACTCTGGTATGACTCTGCCCACTTCCCCCACCAGCATCTCCTTGAAGGCAAGAATGCTTTCTTGTTCACTATTATATCTCCCAGCCCATGATGCAATATTGAATGAATGAAAGAATGAGTGAATCTGTGTGCCAAAGGCAGAAAACTCACAACTTTTTACTGTTGGAATGATACGTACTCATTTATTTACTCACCTCAGAAGGATTTGTTGACTGTCTACTTTGTGCCATGTGCCGTGCCGAGCCCTGGTGGGCAAGAGAAATAAAAACAAGTCGGTGCTGTTTCTGTGGTGTATGGGGAAAACAGACCAGAAGATTGATTGGGATTAGATTTGGGGGAAGAACATTCTAGGCGAGAAGAAACATTTGTGAAAAGACCTTGAGGGGCCAGGGGCAGTGGCTCACGCCTATAATCCCAGCACTTTGGGGGGCCGAGGCAGGGGCGGATCATTTGAGGTCAGGAGTTTGAGACCAGACTGGCCAACATGGTGAAACCCTGTCTTTATTAAAATTACAAACATTAACCAGGCGTTGCCGCACTCACTTGTAATCCCAGCTACTCGGGAGGCTGAGGCATGAGAATCGCTTGAACCCGGGAGATGGAGGTTGCACTGAGCCGAGACTCCAGCCTGGGCGACAGAGTGAGACCTCGTCTCAAAAAAAAAAAAAAAGAAAGAAAGAAAGAAAAGGAAAGGAAAGAAAGAAAGAAAGAAAAGACCTTGAAGAAGGAGAGGGAGAGACACAGTCTTGAAACAGAAAGGCGCCGTGGGACTGGGGCATTGAAGGATAGGAAGAGGATCCAAAATGAGCTCAGAGTTCCGCGCAGCACCCAGATCAGGAAGACCTTACAGGGTTTCCAGCATGGAGCGACAGGATTAACCACGCACTGTGAAAAGATTGTTAAATGACTAAGTCCGTGTGTAAGCTACAGGCAACCCGTGTCTCTTTATTCTGAGACTAATCATTCTTATCCTTCCTGCTTGTCACTTTAATCTTTCCAACACACATTCACCTCCTGACGTGGACTGTTGGCTTTCATCTGCCTAGAGAGCATTCCCATTGCCATTCTCCTAGAAATAGACCGGGCTCACCTTGGCTGCAGAAAGTGGTTAGTTACGTGGTCCAGGGCTGACCAATCACAGCATCCAATACCTCTGATGACAGTGATTGGTCCGTGAGGCAAGCACATGACCCAAGCAGAGCCAATGAGAGCCTTATCCGTGAGATGGGTATTTGAACCTGGCAGCACAAACTCTTTTTCCATTGAGGTTTGTAGGGAGGGTACCAGACACATTAGAGAAGGTGTGTCTGGAGTAGGAGACAGTTAAGGCCACTGTGATGAGTTGAGGAAAGAACAGATAAAGGGAGAAACATGAAAACTTTTCCTTTGAATGTTTGAACTATTCGGTATCCAAACTAATGTTGAAAACCAATTAATCTCTCCTTTCCCCATTAAGCGTGTTTACCTTGGGTGTCTGTCATTCCATCCAAGCAAGTCCCAACTCACTCGTCCCGTACCTGATTCCCAGACCTCTTCAGACGCAGTCAGAGAAAGCATCTTGTCTTCATTTTATAGAGGAGGAAACTGAGGCAAAAGGAAACTACCCGAGTTTATGCATAAAGTTCGTAGTAGAACTGGAATCAATCGACCCATCACCCCTTCTATCAATCAGTCACATCACAGTAATGAATTTACTGCTACCGAACTGTGCACTTAAATATGGTTAAAATAATACATTTTATGTTTGTTATATTCTACCACAATAAATAAATATTTAGTCTCTAGGCTTCTCAGATCCTTTCCATGGAATTGAATGAGTGGACACAACAGAGTAGTGTTTTGTTTTGTTTTTTTTGAGATGGAGTCTCGCTCTGTTGCCCAGGCTGGAGTGCAGTGGTGTGATCTTGGCTCCCTGTAACCTCTGCCTCCAGGGTTCAAGTGCTTCTCCTGCCTCAGCCTCCCGAGTAGCTGGGATTACAGGTGTGCACAACCACGCCCAGCTAATTTTGGTATTTTTAGTAGAGACGGGGTTTCTCCATGTTGGCCAGGCTGGTCTCAAACCTCTGACCTCAGGTGATCCACCTGTCTTGGCCTCCCAAAGTATTGGGATTACAGGCGTGAGCCACCACGTCCGGCCCAGAGTTGTGTTTCAAGCTACTGTTCTGAGGATGACGAATCTGAGAATTTTCTAGACAAGCCTCAATTTCAGTTACTCTGTCTTAGAGTCCCCCTCAAACCACCCTAATGGCTCACTAATGTTAACTGAGAAATACTTTCTAAAAGTTTTTCCATTTCTAGAAATAATAAAAAAATCCATTATAGCCACAGTTCTTGATTTTTCATGTGAAAGGCACTGTAATGACTCAGTTGTGTGCTGATAAATGTTTAACAAGCGGCTCTCTGAAGGTAGCTCTGACATGAATGCTGGTAGATATTTTTGTTTACCTTAATGAGTCAGGCAAAAACAACAAAGACGTATGTTGGTACTTCATTCGTTGTCAATGACGTGAACAATTTCTTTGCTGAACTGAATACAGATGCTCTTCCACTTATGTTGAGCTTACATTCTGATAAACCTATTGTAAGTTGAAAATACTGTAGGTCGAATATTGTAAGTGCATTTTTGATTTTGCACTATTGTAAACTCAGACAAATTCTAAGTCCAACCATTGCTAAGTTGGGGACCATTTGTAATGGTTTTTAAATAATAGAAGAATGTTTCCTCAGCTGTCTGTACCATTCACAATATAATGGCCACAGACACATAATACCTTTAAGTTTAACCTGTCTTATTAACACTCTGTACATCACTTTCTTAAATCCAGACAATCAACAAAATGATCAAACCCTGATTTGCAGCACTGGCCATTATCCCTGGTGTAAATATTCCCATTGTGGCTTATTTCAAGCTACCAGTGTGACGTCATTGAATGTGGAGTTGGGGAGAGATGCATAGATACCATTATATGTGTTTCAACCATATAGGTACAATTCATGCTAATAACTAGTGTACTCCATACAATTGTAAGCTTATATAATTTAATTTTATGATTGCATTTCACAAGCTGCTCATAAAATTCCTGAAAATTTAATGATTAGCTCTTGTGGGCTGGTATGAGCTGCACCCAGCACACTGCTATAAATCACTGTGGCCATGTACTTCCTGCTCAGTGGGTAATAAATGGCAAAGACCCCATGCCATAGTTCAGATGGCCTTTTGTCTTCTTCCTGGGAAGTTCTTTTTACACTGGAGGCTCCTTCTAAGGGCATCCTTCCTGTCCGGATAAAGCAGGACTTTACCTTTCTTCTCTTCCAAAAGCCTCTCTTTTTTCCCTTCATAGCACATAGTCACAGTTGGCAGCAACGTCTCCTTTTGGGTGTGGATTTATTTGTTCCCCAATGCAACTGTGAGCACCATGAGTGCAGGAAAGTGCCTGTTTCTGATCATGGTATTTCCTGGGTGTGACTTCATGTACAGTCAAGAGGAGAAACTCTGAGTGGGAGCACTAGGGAATAGTTGAAGCTTAATCTTCATTTTGGAGAAGAGGGAGTGTTATTATCCACGTTCATTATTCACAGTAGCAAATTTCACAGTAGCAAAAAGGTGACAGACACTCAATTGTCCATCGACAGATAAATGGATAAACAAAATGTGCCATATCCATACAGTAGAATATTACTCAGACATAAAAAGGAATGAAATTCCGATGCGTGCTACATGTAGACAAACCCTGAAGGCATGATGCTATGTGAAATTAACCAGTTACAAAAGGACAAACACTGGATGATTCCATTCATAGGATGTGCCTAGAGCAGTCAAGGTCATAGAGGTGGACAGTAGAATAGTGGTTGCCTGGGGCTGTGAGGAGGAGGAAATGGGGGGTTCATGTTTACTGTGTACAGAAGTTCTGTTTGGCAAGATGAAAAAATTCTGGAGCTGGATGGTGGTGACAGTTGACAATAATGAACTTAATGCTACTGATCTGTGTACTTAAACATGGTTAAAACAATACATTTTATGTTTGTTATATTTTACCACAATAAACAGCTACTTAAAAGTCTCTAGGCTTCTCAAGTCCTTTCCATGGAATTGAATGAATGCTTGTTTCTTTATTTGGACAAAACAAAGATGACACAATAATAGAGTGAGGATGATGATGATGATGGTGATGATGGTGGTGACAGTAACAGGTACAATAAATTGTGCTCCTAGAATGACCCAGGTTTGATTCAAAGTGTTTCTTATGCATGAGCACTGTAAGTCCACCTGTGAGGAGGAGATTATTACATCTGTCTTAGGAATGGGGAAACTGAGGCTCAGAGAGGTTAAGTGACTTGCCCAAAGCCACACAGCTTAAACCCAAGGCTAGTTGACTTTGAAGCCCATACTTCAAACACACCCTCTCTGTATCTTTATCTTATTTAGAAGGTAAAACAGCCACAGGACCTTTTCAATGACAATTCCTTGCCATTTTCCTCCCAGGGTCACCTTCCAGCCGCAAAGCCACAACACTCCCACTTCCTTTGCCTCCCTTGGCTCTCACAGAGCTTGGCTAAATCCAGTGCTAAGACTGAGTTGTCAAACAGGAGATAGAAAGAGAGAAAAAGCAATTTCTTCCATTTCTTGGCTCAATCCTATGCAGTCAATACTGTTAACAGTAAATCAAATAACAAGACTGCATTGACCCAGGAAAAGGCCAAGAAGAAAAAAATTCAGAGCAGAATCCAAAAAAGTAGAAAATAAAGTTCGGCCATAGGCATAAATCATACCTGGAGAACTGAGCCCACAGCACCAGCCTCAGGATGAGCCTGAGCTGCCCCCGAAAGCTGGGTCCCAAAGACCCCTGCTTTTGACTTTCAACTTTCTAGGACCCCTGTTTCTGGTAGATCCAGGGGAAAGGAGATCGCTCAGGGACGGGTTGAGGATATCTGATTTGCGGTCCCTCTGATTTGGGATGTCACTCCTCAACCCTGGGCTGAACTGGGAAAGGGGATCTGCAGAAAATGACTTTGGGAGAAAGTCCCCTTTGACTGCTCCCCTAACCCCTGCATTCCTTCTGGCATGCTGATCTTTTCAAGTTTCACAGTGCTGGATGCCGGCTCCAAAAAGAAAGAGGTTCACATGCTCTAAAAAGTATTCAATCTTGTCTGAGCCATGTTGCTGCCTGAACTATGGCTTCTTTAAATTAATGGAGTCATTCAACAAACATTTATGAAGCACCCACTGTATGCCAGGCATTGTTCTAAGGCCTTGGGGATTTAGCTGGGAACAAAATAGACACACATTCCTCACTTCACTGAAGCTACATCCTAGTGAGTGGTGGAAGATGATAAAACAAGGTTTGTATACTATGTTGGACAGTAATAGATGCTATGAGGAAACAAAGAAGGTAAAATGGGTTTCGTGTGTTTGTTGGGGATGGGGAGAGTCCAGTTTAGTTAAGGAAAAGAGACATTTGAGCAAAGACTTCAAAGGAGGCGAGGATGTGAGCCGTGGGGGTATCTGGGAGAAGGGTGTTTCAGGGACAGGGATCAGCAGGTGCAAAGGCTCTGAGGCAGGACGTGCTGGGGGCCTTTTGAAAAAAAGTGAGATATTACTGGAGGAAGTGAAGGGAGAGGGTGGCAGATGGTGAGGTCCAAGTTGGAGAGGTGACCAAGGGACCAGATTCTGTAGGGCCTCTGGGTGGATGCAGGGACTTTGGCTTTCCTCTAGGTGAAGTGTGGATTGTTGGGAAATTTGGAGCTGCAAAGGGACCTAATCTATTGGGTTTTAGCAATAAATGTTTACTTGTCAGTTTCTTCAGCCATGTGCTCTGACTAGTTAAGGTCATTAAAAAAATAGATGGAATTGCATGGGAATTTGTACATCCCTGAGAAGCACTCTCTGTGAAAATAACCTCCGATGCCCTGGCACATTCTTGGCTCTCAATAAATGCTCAAACATATTATTTGACCATAGAGAGAGGTCAGGATGGATGTTCAACAAAGAGTTAATGGTGCTTCCTTGGGAGAGTAGCTGGAATGAGTGTGGCAAGTAAAGGTTAATTATCTCTTTTATTTCTCTTTGTATTCATCAGATTGTTTTTTCAATTTTTATAGCTTTTTTGTTTTTTGAGATGGAATCTCACTCTGTTGGCCAGACTGGAGTGCAGTGGCGCAATCTCGGCTCACTGCAACCTCTGCCTCTCAGGTTCAAGTGATTCTCCTGCCTCAGCCTCCCAAGTAGCCGGGACTATAGGGGAGCACCACCACGCCCACCTAATTTTTGTATTTTTTGGTAGAGACGGGGTTTCACCATATAGGACAGTCTGGTCTCGAACTCCTGACCTCGTGATCTGTCCACCTCGGCCTCCCAAAGTGCTGGGATTACAGGCATGAGCCATTGTGCCTGGCCTATAGCTTTTTTTTTTTTTAAGGCAAGTTGAATGGGTGGGTGAAGACTAGGAGCTCTGTTTTGAGTTCTGTGACCTTGGTTCTGCCACTTGTGATTCTGAGCATTCATTTGCTCATATTTTTCACGAGTTAAAACTCTAAACTCTAATAGCTGCTTATGAAGTTTTAGGGGGGATAACAATGTAAATGGAATACGTTGTTCAGTGCCTGGCATAGAAATCAACGCTGATTTTAGTTTGCAAGGAGCCATGTAAGGTTTTTAAGGAGAGAAGTGAAGGCAAAAGATCTGGGTTTTAGAAAAAAGGATCACAGGGGTGTCCGTGCTAGTCTCCAACTACTGCTCTGAGCAAGCTTGGCCTCCTCCCTCTCCCTGGGCAGCTAGGGGCAGCTGGCCATTCCTTCTCCCCTTGATTTCCCTACCCCAGCCTAGTCTTCTCCACCCTTCCTGGGGAAAGCCAACCCCTTGCCTGGCAGGCCTCCCGGCAACCAAAGGACTTCTTTGAGGGAAGAAGCCACGTTACCCAGAAAAAATCAATAGAATCTTTTTCCAGGCAAATTTCAGAGACTTGTGAGAAGCAGCAGCAGCCTGGGAACTTGTCTCCCATTCAGCGTAGGAACCTCTTGCACAGCATTTGGCTATGAGGCCCTCAAAGTGGACACGTGTTCGTATCTCCTTTTCAGCAACTGCCCCGCTTTCTGGTAACAGCATGCCATCTTCCTTGAAAAGCCACCCTTGGCCATGCCAAGCCCAACAACATGGGTAGAGGTGACTCCTTCTCCTCCCTCACTGGAGGTAGGCATGGCCAGTGAACCAGGTCTGAGCCAATCGAGTACTGCTGCCCTCAGCCTACAGTGATTGATTCAGAGATGAGACTCAAGGAGGGCCAGCCGCAGGATTTTGGTTCAGTCTGATGATGTAACAGTCAGAGTGGACTGTGATATGCTGCAATATAACTAATACCTCCTAAATTCTCAGTTACAGTGACTCAGGTTTTTAAAAATTTTTTTTATTAATTTATTAATTTTATTTTTTATTTCAATTGGTTTTTGGGGAGCAGATGGTGTTTGGTTACATGAATAAGTTTTTAATGGTGATTTCTGAGATTTTGGTGCACCCCTCACCCCAGCAGTCTACATTATACCCAATGTGTAGTCTTTTATCCCTCACCCCCTCCCACCCTTTCCCGTGAGTCCGCAAAATTCATTCTGTCATTTTTATCCCTTTGTGTCCTCAAAGCTAACCTATCACTTGTAAGTGTGGAATGTTTGGTTTCCCATTCCTGAGTTACTTCACTTAGAATAATGGTCTCAAATGCCATCCAGGTTGCTGTGAATGCTTCGATTTTATTCCTGTTTATGGCCGAGTAGTATTCCATGGTGTATATATATCTATATATCACCTTTTCTTTATCCGCTCGTTGATTGATGGTCATTTGGGCTAGTTCCATATTTTTGCAATTGCGAATTGTGCTGCTATAAACATGTGTGGGCAAATATCTTTTTTGTATGATGACTTTCTTTTCCTCTGGCTAGATACCCAGTAGTAGGATTGCTGGATCAAATAGTAGCTCTACTTTTAGTTCTTTAAGGAATCTAGTGGCTCAGGTTTATTTTTTATTTTTTATTTTCTTATTTTTTATTTTTAGATGGAGTCTTGCTCTGCCGCCCAGGCTGGAGTGCAGTGGCACAATCTCAGCTCACTGCAACCTCCACCTTCCGGGTTCAAGCAATTCTCCTGCCTCAGCCTACCGAGTAGCTGGGACTACAGGTGTGCACCACCACGCCTGGCTAATTTTTTTTTTTTTTAATTCTAGTAAAGATGGGGTTTCACCATGTTGGCCAGGTTGGTCTCAAACTCCTGACCTCAGGTGATCCACCTACCTTGGCCTCCCAAAGTGCTGGGATTATAGGCATGAGCCACCGTGCCCAGCCTGGCTCAGGTTTTAATGGCACAGAGCAGCCAAGATTGATTTGCTGCTTGTGCTCTGTGTGCACGGTGTACGCCTCCGGGAAAAACCAAAGGGCAAAAACCAAGTCTTCACCAACCAAGCTGGTGGAGGCTCTGCTCCACATCCTTCTCATCCACAGACTCAGGCTGATGGAGACTCTATCACCTGGAACATCATCAGTTACCACCACAGGGGGGAAGGGAACGTGGAATCAGATGAGTCTGATGTCAAATCCTGACTTTGCTGTTTAAAGCAAGGGACATGCCTGACCTGCTGGGTCCATAGTTACTGCTTAGCTCCGAGAGTATTGATTTTCCCCCTGTCCAATGTCTTCAACCCTATTCATTGTGTATTCAACCAGGATTTTCAAGGCTTGACTCAAACACCTGCCATTCAGAGATTCCTTCTCAAACTCATCTCATGGCCAGCACCTCTCCGTCATCTTAGCACAGAGGGAAGCACAAAGTAGGGGCTGTGCTCAGTGCCCTGTCAGTGTCTAGCAAAGGCCTAAGCACTCAGTAGGTGCTATGCTCAGTGTCACCCAAGGTGCTTTGCAGTGTCAGGCACAATAGTGGATGTTATTCTCTGTACCATCGGCAATGCCCATCCCAGTACCAAGCACATAGTGTGCTCTTTCTTTGCTGTTTCCTTTCCCTGAGTGTTTCTAGCAGTGTGTCTCCAGGAAGTTATGCCCCAAGACACTTCCTCCAGGTCCTCAGCCTCTTGCACGTTGGGACTTGGAATGTGCCACCTGGAGCTGCTATCAGGGTGCAGTCGGCTGAAATAGGTGGGGTGAGGCAAGCAGTCCTTGAAAAGATGGTCCAGGGCTGTCCTTCCCTGTGGGGGTCATCTGGGGTCAGTGAGCAGCGACTTGGCTTATGCATTTCCTCCCAGGGCCCCAGACAAAGAGAGAGTCCTTGGCAATGCGGTTACCTTGACAACTCTTTGTGTTGGAGAGTGAGAGAGAGAGGGGGAGGAAGGCAGCTCAGGGAAGCGGGGTGGCTGCTGGGGGAGGGGGAAGGAGCAGGGAGGAGCTGGAGGAGAAATCCACCTTTAAAAGGGAAGAGAGAAATGACTCCACTTCTGGGCAGAGGGAAGGAAGTGTCTTTATGGTGCAGGATGGAGGCTGGTCTGGGTGGGACATCCTGCCTCTCCTTCTCACCCCATCTAGAAATTCTGCCAGCAGTCTTAACATCCAGAGAACTAGGTCTGAGTCCCAGCCCTTCTTCTAACTTTCTATGTGACTTTGTGCAAGTTACTTTCCCTCCCTGAATCTGAATTTCCTCTTGTATAAAATAGGGATAATAATCCACAAGGTGACTGTGAGCATTAGCTGAGCATTTCAGGTAAATGAATAGTAGTGGGCCCCTAGTGAGTGTTAACTCCCTGGGGGCCATTATTCATTTGGTATTTTCTTAGTGGTAACCTGGGCTTAGTCAAGTGACTCCCTCACCTTGGTCAGTCTCTTTACCCAAAAAGATTGTAGAATTTCTATGGAACTTGCCAGAAGCTAAGTGGGTGCTGCTGGTAGCTATGGTTACTGATGTTCCTGCCAGACTCTTGACATTGGTGGTGGGGGTGGGGGTGTCAACATTACTGGAATTATTAATTCAGAATATTATGGGTCATCATTGTGCAGAGGAGACCGATGCTCAGAGAGGGGTGGGGAGTCTGAGGTGTGCTTGAGGAAGAGACCTGGGAGAGGTGACCAGTGTGGGGGACACTATGTTGCCCAGCCCTCTGCATTCTGTGTCCGAGGGCCCCCCAGAGCCCCAGGACTTATCCTGACCCACCCCCCCAACCCTGTGTCATGCAAGCCCAAAAGCCAGCGTCTCTTCCTGGCTGCCCAGGACTGCTGAGATGCAGGAAGGTGGGCATCTGAGGTGTCAGTGGGAGACTGTTGGGGGTAGGGGTGGGAACCCTGGCTTCCTGAGAGCAGGAATGGTGGACATGTGGGACCCTTCTGCTGGGGTGGGGCCGGGTGCAGTTCCTCTCCTGCCTGAGGCACCCCATTCCATCACTTGCTGAGGCCTGAGCCCTTCAGCCACCATCTGGGGGATGCAGTCACAGCGGGAGATCGTGCTCCCCACTGTAAGTTGGCAGCCTGTTTATCAGTCTGGCCTAAGAGGTGCAGCTTTCCGAGTGATTTCCCAGATCCTGATCCACCCCAGAAAATGAGCACATGGAGTCTCGACACTCCCTGGGACCTCACTTAGCTCCCCAGAGCCCTTCTGTCTGTCTGTCCATCTCTCTCCTGCTTTAAGGAGTTGTCCTGTCCCTGGGCAGACAGACTCCCAGGATCTGCTGGGAAAGACCCGTTGGGCTCTGACCCCAAATGGTTTCTGATTGCTGGAGGGATGCACCTCTTAACAGCTATGTTCTATGCATGTTACCCGGGGGCAGGGGCAAACAGGAAGTGCTTCTGGTGTTCAGAGGGCTGGAGGAGTGAAGGGTGGGGGGCTGCCTGGAGGAGGTGGCATGCTTCTGGAACAGATGAAAGAAAACAGTAAGTGTCAGAGCCAGGTCCTTTCAGGACACTGTTAGTGGTGGACAGTGATGATCTCCATTTTACAGATGAGCAAACTGGGGCTCAGAGACATTAGGGACCTGATCCAGGTGGTCCAGAGGCCAAAGAGGCCAGGTTTGAAGCTGGGTCTGTTTGATCCAAACCTGGGGCTTGTTTCGTTGTGCCCTGGTGCAGCCCAAGATGCGCATGTCCAGGCGGAAGATGTAGCCAGGTTAGCGTAACATTGGGGATTCAGGAGGAGCCTGGTTAAGGGGAGTAGAGGGCATGAGAGGAGCGATACTAGCCAGGAGGGGGCAGATGGGAGAAGAGTTTGTATTTAATGCTGCTGGAAATCTGATGATGCCACTCCACTTGCATAAAACCCTCGGTGGCTCCCCAATACCCTTGCAAAAGCCATAAATCCTCACTAGGGCTTCAAGATCCACCTTGGCCCTGCTTCCCTCAGCAGCCTCATCTCTCCCTGTGCTGGCACATGCTCACTTCATCCCCTGCAGGTCCTCAGTCTCACTCTGGGACCTTTGCCTACCAACCCCTTCTCTCTGGAGTGTTCTGCCCCACTCCCCTGGATGACTCACCCCCCACTCATTCTCCTCATCTCCACCTAAATGTCACCTCCTCCAGGAAGACTTCCTTGATCTCCTGAGTGCTCGCAGCCCCCTCGGCTTTCCTGTCACTCCGATCTAATTATTATATCTTTAGTGTCTGTTCCATACCCCCTGCCTGCCCCCACCTTAGTCTGTGAGCCCCATGAAGGGCAAAAACCAAGTCTGTTTATCACTGGATCCTTAGTGCCAAGAATGAATGGTGCCGGCACATAGCAGATACCCAACTGAAATTTATTGAATAAATGCATGAATAAAGAATGAATGAGGTAAGAAACCAGTGAAATTTTAGGTAGGAAGAGTAAATTGACAGAAATTGGCTGGTCGTGGTGCAGGATCAGGGCAAAAGGAATACTGATTCAGACAGAATGTCACCCCACTGTGCCTCAAGCCCCCAAAGTGCCCCCGATTTCATCCCACTTCCTCTGTCCTTTGCGTGGAGGTGGGGAGGGGACTCAGCCGGGGCCCTGAAGACATCCCTGCCTTACTCCTCCCTCCCTTTCCCCCAGCCTCCACCTGTGGACTGGAACTCCAGGTACCTTAGAGGCACTCCTCAGCCCTGCAGCTTGCCAGGGGCACTGATTTCTGGAGAAAATCTTAATGGAAATCTCTCCAGCTATTTTTCTCTCTATGAGGAATTAGCAACCACAAAGTGCTGTTTTGCAAATGGTGGCCCTAAGAAGCTGCTTTCTCAGGGCTTCGGTGATCACCAGGAAGACCATCAGTTATTGAGCACCTGCTGTGTGCATTTTCCAGGAAGACCATCAGTTATTGAGCACCTGCTGTGTGCATTTTCCATGAACAGTTTCTGTTCTTTACCACCATCTTGTGTGGTTGGAAATTTCATTCTCTCCACTTTAGGAATGGAGGGAATTGGAACTCAGAGAGAAGAGATTTGCTGAGGTCATTCACTGGAGAAGGTTGGAAACCGTGTTCATGTCAAGGTCTGTCTCTGAAGTCCTTGAGTAACTTCAGGGTGGGCACCGGATCCAGCTGCTGTGGTTCAGGTGCGATTCCTCCACATACATCTACATCATCTTGGGCAAAGGCTCCAGCTTGCTGTGCCTTAGCTTCCTTATCTGTACAGTGGGCACAATAATAGTAACCACTTCCCTGCATCATTGTGAAAAGTTAATAGTTGAGAAAATATTTAAAGTATTTGGCATGACGTCGTATGTTCTCACTCATAAGTGGGAGCTAAGCTATGAGGATGCAGAAGCATAAGGATGACACCGTGGAGTTTGGAGACTCAGCGGGAAAGGGTGGGAGGGAGGTGAGGGATAAAAGACTACAAATTGGGCCGGGTGCAGTGGCTCATGCCTGTAATCCCAGCACTTTGGGAGGCCGAGGCAGGTGGATCACGAGGTCAAGAGATTGAGACCATCTGGCTAAGATGGTGAAACCCCGTCTCTACTAAACATACAAAAATTAGCTGGGGGTGGTGGTGCACACCTGCAGTCCCAGGTACTTGGGAGGCTGAGGCAGGAGAATCACTTGAACCCGGGACGCGGATGTTGTAGTGAGCCGAGATGGTGCCACTGCACTCCAGCCTGGCGACAGTGAGACTCTGTCTCAAAAAAAAAAAAAAAAAAGACTACAAATTGGGTGCAGTGTATACTGCTTGGGTGATGGGTGCATCAAAATCTCACAGCTCACCACTAAAGAACTTACTCATGTTACCAAACACCACCTGTTCCCCAATAACCTATGGAAATAAAAAGTTTTAAATAATTAAATGTTTGGCACAGCGCATTAGACACAGAGCTCAGTCAGGTTAGCAGTTTGCATTAAAGTAAACCAATTTTGTTAGGTGCCTACTAGATGCTGGGGCTATAGCAGGGGAACAGGGCAGAGCCCACCCTCATGGTCTTACCTTCTGGCATTGCCACGCCACATGATATAAGGTATTCTTCTCTGAGCCTTGAGCCATGTCTACATTCACCCATTCCACAAATGTTAGTTGAATGTCTCGTATGTGCCAGGCAGGCCAGGTAAGGAGTAATACGCTGCCTCTCCCTGCAGGTAGAAGACAGGTAGAGGCAGGGGTCTGAGATGAAATAGATGAGAGCTCCAAGGAAATGTGTGTTGGGATTACGATTTGGGAAGAAGAGCGTCAGAGAGAACCTTCAGGAGTCATTAGAGAGGGGAGGGTCATCCAGGAGCAGGACACAGAGCATACAAAGGCCTGGAGTCACATTAAACTTAGTGGCTATTGGACTCCTTTTCTTTCCTAAACTCTGCAAATAGGTGTGATCAGGGACATGGCAACTTTAACCCTGACCGGCTTTATATTCACTACCTGTATCCTCTCACTTAATCTGCACAACAGTCCTGTAGTTATTGTTGTAAACGTGTAGGGATAGAGTCTTGCTTCTCTTATTTTACAGAAGCAGAGAGGTGGAATGCTGTGTCCAAAGGCACCCAGTTATCGGGTCGCCAGGTTTGCAAACACAAGCGCAAAAACACAGCATTCCCAGTTAAAAGTGAATTTCAGATGAATAATGAGTGATTTTTTTTAAAAAAGATAAATCTATCCCCTAGAGATCTTTGATATACTAAAAAATTATTTGCTACCCAGTTTTTGGTAACCTCACCCCATTTCCTTTCGTTTCTTTTCTTTCTTTCTTTTTTTCTTTAAGATGAAGTCTGGCTGTGTCGCCCAGGCTAGAGTGCAGTGGCATAATCTCGGCTCACTGGAACCTCCGCCTCCCGGGTTCAAGCGATTCTCCTGCCTCAGCCTCCCAAGTAGCTGGGATTGCAGGCGCCCGCCACCAAGCCCGGCTAATTTTTGTATTTTAATAGAGATGAGATTTCACCATGCTGGCCAGGCTGGTCTCGAACTCCTGACCTCAGGTGTGATTCGTCCGCCTTGGCCTCCCAAATTGTTGAGATTACAAGGCGCGAGCCACCGCGCCTGGCCCTCACCCCGTTTCTGAACCTCATTTAGCCTGTTTTTTTTTTTTCCTTGAAAATAAAGGTGGTTGTAATTATGATCTGGATTTCTTGAGGGCCTACGACGCACCAGGCTCTGTGCTAAGTGTTATACACAGAGTATCTTGAGCTTCCCACTAAAGGCAAGTCGCGGGGGGCCCACCTGCGCCCTCTGTGCCCGCCTGGTAGCCCGCAGTTCTGTAAACAGCCACGAGGTGTCGCCCTCTGCCCGTGGTATCCTGACGGCGGCGGGGGCGGCCGGGCGCGCGCGGCCCATTCATCACCGCGCGGCCGCGGCGCCCAGACAATGTGGGGAGCGGCCCTGGCCCGCGCCCGCGCGGCTGTCTGTACAAAGGATGCGCTGTTAACACGTGTACGGTAATGGGCTCCCTCACGGCCTCCTCCCCGGCCACCCGCTCCCAGCCTGACGGATGGCCCGAGCCATCCATCTACATTATGTCATGGGCGGTGAGCCTCCTCCTCCGTCCAGTCCGTCTGGCCGTCCAGGACCAGCCATGGCCTTGGCCGTGCGCCCTACTTGGGCAACCCCCATTCCCTTCCCCTCTGCGGAAGGAACCTCGTGCGGAGTGAGGCCTACTACGTGCTGGGCCCCAGCTGTGCTGTCTCCTTGATTTTCATGCAAGGTGATGTGGCTTATTAGCCCATCCTGCAGAGGAGGAAACTGAGACTTGAAGCTGGGAAACCTTTATTCTAAGAACACACAGCTCTGGGGTTTGATAGAGTTGGAATTTTTTTTTCTTACAGCTTTGTTGAGACTAGACTTCTCATACCATAGAATTCACACATGTAAAGTATACATTTCAATTTTTTTTTGTATGTTCACATAGTTCTGCAACCATCACCACAATTCAATTTTACAGCATTTTAGTAAATTCTCCCAAAGAAATCTTCTATCTGTTAGCAATCCCTCCAGCCCTTGTCAATCATTAATCTACTCTCTATCTGTGTAGATTCTCGACATTTCATACAAACGAAATCATGTAACATGTGGCCTTCTGTGCCTGGCCTATTTCACTTAGTATAATTTCAAGGTTCACCCATGTTGCAATGTGCATTAGTACTTCATTCCTTTTTATTGCAGAATAATATTCCATTGTATGGATATACCACATTTTATTGATTCATTTGCTCATTGTTTCCACTTTTTGGCTACTATGAATAATGCTGTGAAAAGGTTTTATGCGGATAGATATTTTCAATTTCCTTGCAGTGAAACTGCCAGATCGTATGGTAACATGATATTTAACTGCTCAAATATCTGCCAGACTGTTTTCAGAGTGGCTATACCATTTTACATTCCCACCAGCAGTGTATGAGGATTTGGGTTTCTCTGCATCCTTGTCAACACTTGCTACTATCTGCCTTTTTGATTCTAGCCACCCTAGGGGGTAGGAAGTGTATCTCATCGTGGTTTTGAGTTGCACTTCCCTGATGACCAAGGATGTCAGACATCTTTTCATTTGCTTACTGGCCATTCGTATATCTTCTTTGGAGAGAAATACTTATTCATATCCTTTGCTCATTTTTTAAAAAATGGGTTGATTGGCCAGGTGCGGTGGCTCACACCTGTAATCCCAGCACTTTGGGAGGCCAAGGTGGGCGGATCACCTGAGGTCAGGAGTTCAAGACCAGCCTAGGCAACACGGTGAAACCCCATCTCTACTAAAAATACAAAAATTAGCTGGGAACGGTGGGACATGCCTGTAATCCTAGCTACTCGGGAGGCTGAGGCAGGAGAATCACGTGAGCCCTGGAGGTGGAGGTTGCAGTAAGCCAGGATTGCGCCATTGCACTCCAGCCTGGGCGACAGAGTGAGATTCCGTCTGAAGAAAAAAAAGTTGGGTTGTCTTTTGATTGTTGAATTGTAAGCATTCTTTATATATTCTGGATACAAATCAGTTATCTGATATAAGAATCGGGAATATTTTCTCCCGTTCTATGGAGGGTCTTTTTACTATATGGTTTTGTTTGCAGCACAAAAGTTTTAAGTTTTGGTGGAAGTCCAACACACCCGTGTTTCTCTTTTGGTGCTTGTGTTTCTGGTATTGTCTTTCAGAACTAAGCTCTGTGGGACTCTAAAATTGGTCCTCTTTTTACTCCACTGAAGTGACAGGTATTTGCTCCCCCATAGGGATTGTGGAAGGAGCTGGTCAGGACTTGGTGGTTGTCTCAGGCTGGTCGGGCATGGAGCTGTGGGGAAGAACAATGACCCTGGAATAAACAATCTGGGTTCCAATCCTGGTTGGGCTATTGCTTTCCTTGGTTCACTGCCACTGAGACTCAGTTTTTTCATCTGTACAATGGAGATAATCGCACGTACCCTTGAGGTGGCTGTGAGATTAAACGAGGGGGTCCGAACACATGGAAGATGCTTGATAAACACAGCTGTGATGACAAAGGCCTGTGAGGTCCCTGAGAAGAGGCCCCGGCTCTCCGCTCTCCCCAGCATGGTGTGAGGCTCTGAACCCAGAACTTACAGCTGTGTTCCTACCCTTGGGATGCAGGTATTGGGATGCATGGCTAGGAGTCCCTGAGACTCCCTGTGCAAATGAACTTTTTTTCAAGTGTCTTAACTCAAAGCACAGTTTTTCTTTGTCCTGCTGAAAACTGCAAGGGCCTCAGAGTGAAGCAGAAGGGATCACTGGGCTTTCAGGCAGAGGGAGGCAGTGGCTCAGGTGGACCCATCGTCTCTGCTGGGTCTCTCCTGGCTCCCACAGCCACTTTATCTGACGTGGATTCTGTGAGGGGGTTCAGAGATGAGTGAAGATCCCAGCTAGGAAAAGGCACCTGGAAAGGAGGTGTTATCACCTTCCTTGGTACTGGTGATGCAACTGAGGCTCAGACAGGTGAAAGCCACTTGACCAAGGCCATACACCTCCCCCTTGAAAAGCAATGCAAAAAAGAGCTCCTGGCCTCTGGGCCTGAGGATCTTCAGGCATCATTCTGGGACATGCTGGGGAAAGTAGGCCTTCTCCCCATTGCGATCAGGGCCTCAGGAAAGTCCCTGTCTGCAGTGCACCTGCTCTGCCCCTCAGTGGGGCAGGGGGCTTTGGAGCCATGCAGGCCTGGGCTGAAATCTGGCTACCCACCACTTACTCTCTGAACTTCAGTCTCTTCATCTTTCCAGTGGAGATACTTATTGTTCCTGCCTCCAAGGTGGCTCTGAGGATAAAATAATTGAGGCGGGTACCAGCTTAGTATGGACTTGACCCTTAGTGAGTGCTTTGAAATAAAGACTATTACTATGGTTATTAATAACTGAGACAAGAGCTCTGCAACATAGATTCACATTGGGATGGCAGAGGCAGTGGGTGGGGTGGTGGTCAGACCGTTCCCCCATCAGGCATGGGCCCCAGAGCTGGAATGTTCAGGGCGTCAGGAAGCTGAGGGCGCTGTCCACTGGTGGACGGAGTTGGAGAAAACTGATTCTGACCCAGAAGGCAGCAGGTGGCAGGGCAGTTACCGAATGCAGAGCTGCTGGAGATGAGAAGACCTCGGGTCATGGCTCTGCTGAAGCCCGGCTGTGGAGAATGGGTCTTGCTGGCTGGTGGGGCTTCCTGTCCCAGAGCCTGGGTTGTGCTGGGTGGTGGTGGGGCTGGGAAATGGCTTAGCCCCTCCTGCCCCTCCAGATGACAGACGGACAGATAGACAGACAGACGGACACTCCACTAGGGGAACATCACCCATTTCTCATGGGTGTAGCCTCCTACTTCTCCAGCATCCTTCCGGAAATTTGTTTCCCTGGCTGTTGCTTCTCTCTGTGTATTTGTGTTCCCTGGGGCCTGGCCCCTAGCAGGGGCTGGCTCCTAGCAGGTGCTCAGTTAATGCCTGCTGGGGTCAGGGGGAATGAATCGACATCGTCTCTTTAGAGTTGAAGGTGGAAATTTGAAGTTCAGCCCCCTGTCATCTCCCCAGATGGAGGCTGATGTTGTCATGCAGAGAACCCAAGCAACCAGGGCTGTGCACAGAGTTCCCAGACGGGGCTCATGTTGTCTGTGGCTCCATGCAGAGACCCTGTGGACACAGCATGGTGTTGGGGTCAATGGACAGGCTCTGGCGTCGAATCTGGGCTCCACACCTGCTGGGTGAGCTTAGAAGGGACTTGGTTTCTCTGAGCCTCAGTTTCCTCCTCTGTAAAACAGGGATAATAGTAGTGCCTGCTTTGGGGTGTCTAAACAGTGTATTGGCCATTGTAAGAGCTCAGTCATGGCCAGGCATGGTTGTCCCAGTGGAAAGGGTGTGGGTGAGTGTTGTGGTATGGGGGTTTCTAAAAGACTCAGCCTGCTCGGGAAGTCACTAGAAAGGATCAAGGTCTGGCTTGAAGCCACTTGCCTTCACAGAGTCTCTGTTTCTTCATCTGTAAAATAGGCTAGTTCAAGTATCTACTTGATGGGATTTGGTGAGGTCAGAGTGTAAAGGCTGAGCACAGAGCCTGGTCTAGAAGGAGTGGTTAGTAAAGAGATGGTGTTGATGAAGGAGGAAGTGGAGGAAGGAGGGGAGGATGCACTCCGAATAAAGATTTGTAGAATCCAGCTCCTATGATGCCCCATCTCGCTGAATAATCTTGGGCAAGTTGCTCTGTCCTCTTGCCTCAGTTTCCATATCAGTCAATGAAAGAGATGAATAAAATCCCAGACCACTGGGTGTCTGTGGGAAGGGTGGGTTTCTACACATAGGTACTGGATGGGGGATGTGACAAGACCACAGAAGGCAGCTGAGTGGCTCAAGCTCATGGGCAAGGGCTGCCCAGTGACCTCACCCCTTGGCCTCAAACTTCTCCCTTCCTTGGCAACAGGGATCAAGAAAGAGTGGACATTATTTCCTGACCACCTCCTGTAGGCCGGGTCCTGATGCAAGGACCACGCATGTTCCAATTCCTGTGCTATTCTCACTGACCCCCTCAAGGCAGAAACAGGAATGAACCCATTTTCTAGCAGAGGAAACTGAGGACTGAGGCCATGCAGTGGGAAGTGGTGGGCTTTCTTTGCTTCTTTTTTTTTTTTTTTTTTTAGACAGAATCTCACTCTATCACCCAGGCTGGAATGCAGTGGTGGGAGCTCCACTCCCTGCAACCTCCACCTCCTGGGCTCGAGCGATCCTCCCACCTTAGCCTCCTGATAGCTGGGATGACAGGCTCATGCCATCACACCCTGCTAATTTTTTGTATTTTTTTGGTAGAGAGGGGGTTTCACTATGTTTCCCAGGCTAGTCTCAAACTCCGTGCCTCAAGCTATCCTCCCGCCTCGGCTTCCCAAAGTACTGGGATTACAGGTGTGAGCCACTGTGCCTGGCCCCAGCATCGGAATTCTAAGTCCAGAATCTTCACTATGAGCCTATGTGTCTCCCTTTAGATAGCCACAGCTCCAGCCTCCTGAACAATGGCTCTGCCCCGAAAGGGAGGGCAGGAGTGGCTCACGGAGGGCTTGACACCAGCTCATCCCTGCCTGCTCCTCTGACATTTGGTGAATCAATGATAGGGTGCATTTTGTGAAACCCTGGACTGTGTGCCACGAGGACCAGCTGCCTCTGTCTCTGTCTCAGTCACCATCCTCTCCTCCACCTAGCACAGCGTCTCATGCAAAGCAGGCAGTTTAATTTTCCTTCCCCATCTCTGCAGCATGTGTCTTGTATACAGTAAGCACTTACCATGCAGTAGAATTGTCCAGTTCTGTAGCAAGAAGGGCCTTTTGAAATTCTAAAGCAGGCCGGGCATGGTGGCTCATGCCTGTAATCACAGCACTTTGGGAGGCTGAGGCGGGCAAGATCACTTGAGGTCAGGAGTTCCAGACCTGGCCAACATGGTGAAACCCCATCTCTACTAAAAATACAAAATTAGCCAGGCATGGTGGTGTGTGCCTGTAGTCCCAGCTACTCTGGAGGCTGAGGCAGGAGAATCTCTTGAACGTGGGAGGTGGAGGTTGTGATGAGCCGAGATCGTGCCACTGCACTCCAGCCTGGGAGACAGAGCGAGACTCCACCTCAAAAAAAAAAAAAAAAAAAATAAAGAAAGAAAGAAAGAAAGAAAGAAATTCTAAAGTACGTCTCACCCCATTTTACAGATGGGAACACTGAGGTCCAGACAGAGGAATGTCTTGCCCAAGGACACACAGTAAATCCATGTAGATCCAGGCCCTGAACCCAGGTCCAATGTTCCTTCCTCCCCTCTATGATGGCTGAGTGGGTTGATGTCACCTGCACAGCAGAGCCTGGGCCAGCTCCTGCATTTTACCCCACACCAGGAGGATGGGCGTGCAAAATGTTTCATGTCAGAGAGAGGCCTCGGGTAAACATAAATCCCCTTGACTTCAGAAAGAAACCGGTGCCAGTGACTAAGCCACAGTGAATAAGGAGGCTTCTCTGTATTGGGTGTGCCAGGCTCTGTACTGGGTGCTGGAGGGCACAGAAATGAGTAAGAGATGGCCCTGAGGGGCTCAGAGACCAGCATGGGAGACAGACAGACAGACATACACACACGCAGACAAGGCTTATCTTTGCGTGGCATTGGTTACAGTCTGACATATTAATGTTGCTTAAATGAATATTGGGGATTGGCCATTGGAAGAGAAAATTCTGTCCCCCTGGAGAGTCGGCAGCTGGGGGTGGGACTCTTGTTCTTTTGAGCTTAGAATGTTTCATATCACAGGCCTGGGCTGACACAGCCGGTAGTCAGACACAGTCCTGCCCTTGACTTACTCAGGGCAGAGACAGGCCTTGTCTGCCAAAACAAAGACCCACGGACTGGGCGGCTTATACATGGAAATGTGTTCTTTCTCTGTTCTGGAGGTTGAAGTCTGAAGCCCAGGTGTTGGCACCTCGGGCAGCCTCAGGGATTCGTGGGTTTGTAGACGGCCTTATTCCCAGCTTTCTCCCCACGTTTTCACACTGTTTTCCCTCTATGGTGATCTGTGTCCAAATCTCCCTTTTGAATAAGGGCACAGTCATTTTGGAGAAGGGCCTACCCTAACTAACAACCTCATCTGAACTCCATCATCTGCAAAGACTATTTCCAAACAAGGTCCCGTTCACAGTTCCTGGGGATTAGGACTTTAACATTGTTTTGGGTGACACAACCTAACCCATGATAGGCCCATAATGAAATAAACATGATACAGTGGTTTCTGAGCATCAGTTGTATACCTGGCATGGTGCCAGGCCCTGGGCATTCCAAGATGCTGAGGCGACATTCCTGCCCTCATGGTGCCCTGAGCACATTGAAGGAGACGAATCATTGCTGGGGGAGAGGACCACAGCGCAGGGTGTGGACTGAGGGTGGCGGCACGTGAGCTACATCTCTGGCTTGCAGGAGGCACATGGGGATGCTCCTTTGCTATGTTTCTGGCTTGCAAGGGGCACCCCGGGATGTTCCTAGAAAGGAAGGTGGCATGATGGTGACAGCCTTGATGCCAGGAGAGGAGCTAGCAACTGAACCACAGAGACATTCCCAGCAGTCAACAGGAGCCACAGATTGATGAGCTAAAGAGTTGTGCAAACAGTGTTTGTTTGTTTTGTTTGGAGAGGGAAGTCCGTGTGTTTAGAGCTCAGCTTGTCTCCCTCCCTCATGTTACAGGGGAAGAATCGGAGGTTCCGAGTGGGGAGTGACTCTCGCAAGGCCACGTGGCCAGCCACGGCCAAGAGCGACACCAGAAGGTGATAGTTCTACTTGCTTCTGAGTCCTTAGAGCGCATAGCCTAGTCTGCAGTTACAAACATGCTTGTTCAAAACACAACAGCCGTTGCTGATGACAATAGAAGTCGTTTGCCTGGTTTCGTTCATCTGCATCTCTAGGGGTTAGTAAATTTGCAGCCAATTTTCAAGGATTTCAAATTGAATTTCTAGGTAGCTTCTACTGAAACGTGGAGAAGTGATTCCTGGTTCCCATGTTTATCCTGTAAAGGGCTGGGCGGAATATTCATTCATCTGCTGAGTGTTTACTGACCATGAATTTTTTGTTGGGCCCCGAGATGAGGAGCTTTAAAAAAGACAGCCTCTCTTGGAATCCAAAAATGCTGTTGCTGCTTCAGCCTCATAAAGTTCAGTGTGCAGTGGGAAAGAGAAGCTGACAAATGGATTGTCAGAATCCAGGTTGCAGAGTGGAGAGGGCTTGGTTAATGGGTCCAAACATGCAGTTAAATAGAAAAAATAAGTTCTAGTGTTCGATAGCACAGTAGGGGGACTAGTCTTAACAATAACTTATTGTATATTTCAAAATAGCTGGAAGAGAAGGTTGAAATGCTCCCAACACTAATGCTCCTAACAAGAAATGATAAATGGTGGAGGCGATGGATACCCCAATATCCCAATTACTCTGATTTGATCATTATACATTGTAGGCATACATCAGACTATCACTTGTGCCCCATAAATATGTACTATTATTATGAGTCGATAAAAAAGAATCCAAGTAGCATGGTTGGAGCATGCCAGGAAGGCTGTGGGGGTCTCAAGGAAGTGTCTGACCTGCCTGGAGGTCAGGGATGGCTTCGTGAAAGAGATGATGCCTCAGCTGAGTCTTGAAAGACAAGATGGAATTCCCCACACGGGAGAGAGGAGCGGATGGCTGGGAAAAGCTGTTAAATGGAAAGCCATTAAATGTCCCTGGCCATGAGGCTGGAAGCAGGGGGAGTAGACAGGGAGAGATTAGCAAAGCCTTGATGTCATGGGAAGGATCTTGAGCTTTATCTAGAAGGTAACAGGTAGCTACAGAAGAGTTTAGAGCAGAAGAGTGACGTAACATTTGCCTTTTTTGAGGGATCCCTCTGCCTACCATGAGGGGAAGAACTGGGAGCAGAGGCAGAGGCCAGTGAGGAGATGGCTGCAATTGTACAAGTGGGATACCTTTAATATTAATAATTATTACAATATATCATGGTGTACCAGACACTGTTCTAAGAATCTTACATGTTCTAGTTCCTTCATCCCCACGTGTTAAAGTGCATATAAAACTCTTAACTTGGGGCCTGGCATAGGGTAAGTATCCAACAAATTATCCACACAGTATTAGCAATCTACATGAACTGTTCGTCCCATTTTGCAGATGAGGATTGGGGTTCACAGTGTTTGAGTAACTTACCGTATTGAAGGCTGTGATGCACAGCCTAGACTCATCTAATGGAAGAAAGGATTTTTTTTCTCTCTCTTTCTTTCTTTTTAGAGACAGGGTCTTGTTCTGTCACCCAGACTGAAGTGCAGTAGTGCAATCATAGCTCATCGCAGCCTTGAACTCCTGGCTTCAAGTGATCCTCCTGCTTCAGCCTCCCAAGTAGGTAGGGCTGCAGTGTGAGCCACTGCGCCTGGCTGGAAGGATTTATTTATAACTGCTGAGAGAATTGCCCTCTTCAGGGCTGCCCCAGCGCAGGAAAACTGCATCACCCAAGTTCACTCCCTTCTGGGGTCAACCCATATCCAATGACTGATAGATGCAAGAGGATAAAGGCCTGACCTCCTTATCCCAACTTGAGACAGCTCCAAAGGGCCAACCAGTTTCAGAGCGCCCCATAGGATTGGCTGAGACCTTTGTTGAACCTTCACCATGGCTCAACTTCTCCCTGTTCCCAACTCTGCTTCTTTTTCCTCTTCTCCAAAGGTGTTGATCCAAGAACACTTCCTACTAAACATGCTGCCCGCTAAACTCTGCCCCAGCATCTGCTTCCCAGGAACCAGTCTGTGACACTTTCCCAAGGTAGTACAGCCAGTAATCAGCAGAGCCAGGAAACAAACCTTGACTTTTTTAGAGACAGGGTCTCACTCTGTTGCCCAGTCTGGAATAATGTGGTGGTGTGATCAAAGCTCACTGCAATCTCAAACTCCTGGGCTCAAGTGATTCTCCCACCTCAGCATCCCAAGTAACTGAGACTACAGGCATGCACCACCATGCCTGGCTAATTCTAAATTTTGTTTTTGTAGAGACAGGGTCTCACTATGTTACTCAGGCTGGTCTTGAACTCCAGGCTGTAAGTGCTCCTCCCGCTTTGACCTCCCCAAACCTCCACTCATTTGATTGCAAAATCTCCATTCTGCCTTCATGCCACTCTATGTTTACCAAGTCTGTTGACTTTCTGAACTTTGGTTCCCTTGTTTGTAAAGTGAGAGTGTATCAGTCAGCTTAGTCCAGGTTATGCTGAGGTAACAAACATCTCCAAAATTATCTATGGCTTCCAAAGATAGTGAGAGGTGAAGCTGGCTGGGCTTCTGGGTCAGGTGGGGACTTGGAGAACTTTTCTGTCTAGCTAAAGGATTGTAAATGCACCAGTCAGCACTCTGTGTCTAGCTAAAGGTTTGTAAACACACCAATCAGCGCTCTGTCAAAAGTGACCAATCAGCACTCTGTAAACGGACCAATCAGCATTCTGTAAAATGGACCAATCAGCAGGATGTGGGTGGGGCCAAATAAGGGAATAAAAGCAGGCCACCCGAGCCCGCACCGGCAACCAGCTTGGGTCCCCTCCGACGGTGTGGAAGCTTTGTTCCTTGGCTCCTCACAGAAAATTCTGCTGCTGCACACCTGGGGGTTGGCACTACCTTCATGAGCTGTAACACTCGCCACGAAGGTCTGCGGCTTCACTCCTGAAGCCACTGAGACCACGAGCCCACCTGGAGGAACCAGCAACTCCAGAAGAGCCGCCTTTATGAACTGTAACTCTTACCACGAGGGTTTGCGGCTTCATTCTTGAAGTCAGCGAGACCAAGAACCCACCGGAAGGAACGAATTCCGGACACAAGAGGGTGACCAAAACTTGTTTTGGTTTGCCCAGGACTTTCTTAGGTTTAGCACTAGAATCCTGCATTCCAGGAAATCTCTCAGTCTCAGGCACCCCAAAACAATTTACTTGGGACTGTCAGTTTTAGAACTGAAAGTCATGCATCTCAGGAACCCCCGCAGACCTTCAAAAACCAGGAAGGTTAGTCACCCTATAAAAAGCAAAGGTTTATTTTTCATTCAAGTTACATGTTCATCACTCACACTTTTATCATTACGTGATGAAAAGTGGCTGATGCTTTGCTTAAAATACTTTTTACCCATAACTCAGGTCAGTGGACATTGCTAGTCCGAAGGCAGTTGAGAAAAGAGATTCAGAGAAGCATGCACGATCTCTTGCAGATTCTACCCAGAAGTGACACAAGTCACCCCTGCTCTGATTTCACTGGCTAGAACAGATCACATGACCAAGCTGCGAGGAATGGGGCAGGATATTTGCTGGGGATGGGCGGGTACGGGGGATATTCAGGGAGGGAATCTGGGGTACTTGGACGCTGCTTGGAGGAAGCATTCTAAAACATCTTGGGTGGCAGCTAAATGCTTCTTTTCGGAGCGCCCTGCATTTTGCAATGCTCTGCCATGCTAATGATTTGAAACGGTGGCTAATCTGACAAGCCAATTGGAGTCCCCGTGATTGCATTTGACTCTCTGACTAATGACAAGAGATGAACTCTCTTTTCTTAGTGCAACTTACGGTTGGATAGACTTGGGCCATCGCCCGGTCCCAATGTTCAAAATGTTGCCTTGTAAATTGTCTAATAAAGTAATAAAGAAAGGGACTTGCTAAATGATTTGTCTTTTAACCGTTGTAATGGGATTTTTTTTGGGTAACATTGTTTTATGTTAGAATGCAAAAATTATCACACGTAATTAGAATCATTTCAATTCAAGTCTCTGCCAGGCCTCTGACATATACTGCGACTTGTGCCACGTCGAGCAAGTCAGCTCGTAAAACCTAATCAACTACAATTTAAAAATGCAGTCAGATTTGGAGTGGTGCGGCAGAGACGAGTAGGGAAGGCTGCCCAAGCTGGCTTTGCCTTGGAGAGTGAAGAAAGAAAGAGGGAAGAAGGGGAAAGAAGGCAAGAAGACAAAAGCCACCAGTGTGTCTATTCAGCTTCATTAGGGGACCGATGGGAGGCAGGTGGTTGCTTTCTGCTGGGGTGGCCTCGGACCCGACTGGCCTTGGGTCAACCTTGATGCTCTTAATTATCCCCCCTTCAGCACCTCTCAGATCTGACATTTGTGTCACCGGGTTTCATTTCCTTCAGGCCGACCAGGTCTGTGTGTCTGCTTAATATTTAATCGTAATCATGCAGACACATGTATGTATCATTTATCTCCAAAAGCTGTAGTATAAATGTTTAACCAGAAAAGCACACGGCAACTCATGTCATCTCACAGACAAGCTTTTGCAGGGTGCAAGGACAGGCAGGCTGCCTCCTTCTGGGATAAGGGTATTTATTGAGAAATATGTCCCTGATTCCCAAAATGTCCAGGTCAGGCCTTGGAGGGTGGGAGAGGGGGTTACCAAGCTGTCGCTTTGTTCCATGGGCTTGAATGAGAAGCTGCTTTCTTCGACCAGAGCTCCAAGTTGGAGAATGAAGATGACCTCCTGCTAGGTGTTGGTGGGAGCCCAGGCCCTGTAATTGTCCCATGATATCCCCGTGCACTGATGACAACCCAATTGTCCTCACTGTGGCCTAGAATTTAGTTCTCTGCAGGAGGGGCTGTCTGCCCAGGCTGGGATGTGTGGGCGGCATCGGAAGATCACGTTGGAACAAGTGACGTGTGGTGGAATGATGACACCGTAAGGAGGAAGTGATGCCATCAGGGAATGGTAGTATGGCTCATGAATATTCTGGGCACTTGTACCCACAGCCAGAGCCGGGCCCGGCTCCTGATTCATCAATATTACGAATCGGCACGGTGGTGAGCAGGCTGTCAGCAACTTTAATTTTTGCTTCAAGTCCAAGGAATTACAATGGAAGTATTTCCCAGGGACTCCCAGCGAGAACGTGGGGGCAGTGCCTTCTGCAGTCAGAGGGGGTGGAACTGGATCTTGGGAGCTCTGCGTTCAAGACCCAGGTGCCCCACACTCAAGTGCGGGGTATCCTTAGGCAAGGCCTGACCCTCCCAGGGAGAGCAAGAGCATGTGAGCACCTAGGATGTGCCGGAAACCACATTGCAGCAATTCTGCAGAGGAGAGATATTGGCCCCATTGCACAGGTGAGGAAGACCGAGGCTCAGAGCAGGGTGGGTTGTCTAGCAAAAGGGTGATGGTGCTGAGGCTGGAGCCCCGTTTGAGTTTGCAGGCATTGGTTTCCTTACCTGCCAAGTGCATGTGATGATGGCTGCCTTGGGGGTTGTTAGGAGGACAAAATGAGGGACTGAGCTTGTGGGTGCTTTGGAGGTTATCTTGAGTCCTTGGGGGAAGGGCATTCAGAATCTTGCTATCAGCATTGCTCACATCAGCTCAGCCTGCTGAGGGCTGCAGAGACTTTTTTCCATTATGTGTCATTTCATCTTCTTAATGGCAGGGTGAGGTAGGTGTGAGCATGAACATGAGGTCCATGCTATAGGAGAGGAGAGTGAAGCTTGAGAAGCAGAATGCCTTGCCCTTCCAAGGCTCCTCAGTGTAGAAGTGGCAAGGTATCATTTGAAGGTCATGGTTGAATGTGTTTAGCAAAGTAAGGAGGGTAGGTGCTAGGTACCCATTTTGCAGATTAGAAATGGGAAGTCACAGGTGGAAAGTCAAAGGACTTGCCTCTGCAGAAATTAAGATTTCTTCCATCATTCTCAGCAAACTATCGCAAGGACAAAAAACCAAACACTGCATGTTCTCACTCATAGGTGGGAATTGAACAATGAGAACACATGGACACAGGAAGGAGAACATCACACACCGGGGCCTGTTGTGGGGTGGGGGGAGGGGGAAGGGATAGCATTAGGAGATATACCTAATGCTAAATGACGAGTAAATGGGTGCAGCACACCAACATGGCACATGTATACATATGTAACAAACCTGCACGTTGTGCACATGTACCCTAAAACTTAGAGTATAATAATAAAAAAAGTACAAAAAAAAAGAAATTAAGGTTTCTTTAAAAGGGGGGAGGGAAAGATGACCCCCTTATCTCAGTCTTTCCCTCTTTATCTCTATTATTTAAACTAAAAATAAAGTGGGAATAATCCTCCCTTTTCCCCTCTTATCCTTCCTCCCTGCCTTTGATGCTTTTACGAGTCAAGTGCAGAATTAGCAACAAAGGCAGACTCATGCCCACTGAGGGTAAGGGAGAGAGTCTGGTCATAAGTGGAACATTCATTAAGCTCCTACCATATGCCAGGCTGTGTAGGGAGCAGACAGGGGTGTTGACATTTGTATCAAGGAATTCATCGTCTTGAGATTTCAGGGTGTTGTTACCCAGAGCAACCTTGAAAATGTCTCTCTTACTTGACAGAGAGGAAAATTCCAACCCAGAAGGGTTACACAATTTCCTCACAGCCTCCAAACCACTATCTGTCATACAAAAACAAAACAAAACAAAAAAAACAGTAGTGCAGTAATGAAGTGAGTAGACTCAGAAATGGGATTGGCAGGACTAAATCTGGGCTATTACCGCTTATTAGCTGTGTGACACTAGGCTAGTTGCTTTACTTCTCTGGGCATCAGCGCTTTCCAGTAGCAACTGGGGCTAATTGTTGTCAGCAACGGGAGTTTCCAGCAGCAACTGGGAGTAAGTTTTGTTAGCAATGGGAAGGTGATTCTGGAATGCCTAATTCTGATCTGCCATTTATCTCCCCATCCCTGCAGGGTTTGGGGCTGACAAAGGTTCGATGCCTGACAAATAACAATCAAATGAGGAAGAAAGTATTCTTTATTCTTCAGCTCCAGGTTCAAGTGAGGTTTCTGATTTCCCAGTGTAAATATAAATCTTGGGACCTGTGTGCTCAGGATTGCCTGTAGGGAGAGAAGGATGGCCAGATCCTGCGAGGGGTCCTAAATGCGTGTACCCTACCAGGTATATCAAGCAAATAAAGACCAGTGGGGATGGCCAGAGATTCCCCAGGGATAAAACTCTGCTTAGAGAGAATCAGGCAAGAGGGTGCCGATTTTGTGGTACAGTAACCCTGTGCATAACTGAAATGTGGCACAATATGTATTTTATATATATATTTTATAGTGACCAAATAAGGATCTCAGTTTATTTTTCTCTGGTTGAGGGCTGGAAAAAATGGTTACTAGAAAGGGCAGAAGAGTCGGGGAGAGGTACGAAATTCCTTTCTAAGGTCTTTCTTAAAGGGTCGTCTTGCCCAGGCGCGGTGGCTTACGCTTGTAATCCCATCACTTTTGGAGGCCAAGGTGGATGGCTCACCTGAGGTCAGGAGTTCAAGACCAGTCTGGCCAACATGGTGAAACCCTGTCTCTACTAAAAACACAAAAGATTAGCCGGGCATGGTGGCAGACGCCTATTATCCCAGCTACTTGGGAGGCTGAGGCAGGAGAATCACTTGAACCCAGGAGGCGGATGCTGCAGTGAGCTGAGATCGCGCAACTGCACTCCAGCCTGGGCAACTCCATCTCAAAAACAAACAAACAAAAACAGGGTCGTCTCATAAATGAGACAGGTTGGGTAAATTGCCTCGCATCATAGTGCCTTGCACATACAGAAAAAAAGTAAGAGTTGCTATTATTGTTGCTTTTATCAGTGGGTACCCATTACCAGCCCAGCCCACCCTTAACCTCTTTTTTTTATTTTATTTTATTTTATTTTATTTTATTTATTTATTTATTTTTTTTTATTGATAATTCTTGGGTGTTTCTCACAGAGGGGGATTTGGCAGGGTCATGGGACAATAGTGGAGGGAAGGTCAGCAGATAAACAAGTGAACAAAGGTCTCTGGTTTTCCTAGGCAGAGGACCCTGCGGCCTTCCGCAGTGTTTGTGTCCCTGATTACTTGAGATTAGGGATTGGTGATGACTCTTAACGAGCATGCTGCCTTCAAGCATCTGTTTAACAAAGCACATCTTGCACCGCCCTTAATCCATTTAACCCTGAGTGGACACAGCACATGTTTCAGAGAGCACAGGGTTGGGGGTAAGGTCACAGATCAATAGGATCCCAAGGCAGAAGAATCTTTCTTAGTGCAGAACAAAATGAAAAGTCTCCCATGTCTACTTCTTTCTACACAGACACGGCAACCATCCGATTTCTCAATCTTTTCCCCACCTTTCCCGCCTTTCTATTCCACAAAGCCGCCATTGTCATCCTGGCCCGTTCTCAATGAGCTGCTGGGCACACCTCCCAGACGGGGTGGTGGCCGGGCAGAGGGGCTCCTCACTTCCCAGTAGGGGCGGCCGGGCAGAGGCGCCCCTCACCTCCCGGACGGGGCGGCTGGCCGGGCAGGGGGCTGACCCCCCCACCTCCCTCCCGGACGGGGCGGCTGGCCGGGCGGGGGGGCTGACCCCCCCCACCTCCTTCCCGGACGGGGCGGCTGGCCGGGCGGGGGGCTGACCCCCCCACCTCCCTCCCGGACGGGGCGGCTGGCCGGGCAGAGGGGCTCCTCACTTCCCAGTAGGGGCGGCCGGGCAGAGGCGCCCCTCACCTCCCGGACGGGGCGGCTGGCCGGGCAGGGGGGCTGACCCCCCCCCACCTCCCTCCCGGACGGGGCGGCTGGCCGGGCGGGGGGCTGACCCCCCCACCTCCCTCCCGGACGGGGCGGCTGGCCGGGCGGGGGGCTGACCCCCCCACCTCCCTCCCAGACGGGGCAGCTGGCCGGGCGGGGGGCTGACCCCCCCACCTCCCTCCCGGACGGGGCGGCTGGCCGGGTGGGGGGGCTGACCCCCCCCATCTCCCTCCCAGACGGGGTGGCTGGCCGGGCTGAGGGGCTCCTCACTTCCCAGTAGGGGCGGGCGGGCAGAGGCGCCCCTCACCTCCTGGACGGGGCGGCTGGCCGGGCAGGGGGCTGACCCCCCCACCTCCCTCCCGGACGGCATGGCTGGCCAGGCGGGGGGCTGACCCCCCCACCTCCCTCCCGGATGGCACGGCTGGCCGGGCGGGGGGGCTGACCCCCCACCTCCCTCCCGGATGGGGCGGCTGGCCGGGCGGGGGGCTGACCCCCCCACCTCCCTCCCGGACGGGGTGGCTGCTGGGCGGAGACGCTCCTCACTTCCCAGATGGGGTGGCTGCCGGGCGGAGAGGCTCCTCACTTCTCAGACGGGGCGGCTGCCGGGCGGAGGGGCTCCTCACTTCTCAGACGGGGTGGTTGCCAGGCAGAGGGTCTCCTCACTTCTCAGACGGGGCGGCCGGGCAGAGACACTCCTCACCTCCCAGACGGGGTCTCGGCCGGGCAGAGGCGCTCCTCACATCCCAGATGGGGCGGCGGGGCAGAGGCGCTCCCCACATCTCAGACGATGGGCGGCCGGGCAGAGACGCTCCTCACTTCCTAGATGTGATGGCGGGCTTAACCTCTAAATGAAATTAGAAGCCATGTGTTCTGACTGTCTGTATTCATCAGGATGCATAAGGAAAACAGAAACCCCTCTAGGTATTTCAATCAGGAAGAGATTTAATACAGGGAATGCAATGCTGCAGCATTTAGGATAGCAGGGTGTGCAGGGATTCCTGCAGAGCACTACTACTGAGGTCCTCAGCTGCCTACAGCACCAATGTGGGTTACTTAAGAGAAAATGTCCAGAAGATGCTGGAAAACACCATATGTCTGCTTTCTGCGAAAGTCCCGCTGCTAGTAGAACAATAATGCTTTCTTATTCTCTCCTGTCTTCCAGGTCTCACATGAGTACTTCACAATGGGGAAACTGAACTGGAACTCTACTGACAACGCAGTTGGGCAAGTATAGTTTCCAGGCTCTATCTAGCCTCATGATACAGGGGAGTATGTGGCAGGAAGCAGCAATGGCACTGAGATGCCAACAGTCCAGCTCCCTGTGCAGGGTCACCCCACCTCCCCAGAGGTTTTCTAACTGTGCTTGGGGTCCCCAAGGAATGTAAGGAACTACAAGAGGCCAACAATGAGGTGCACAGAATTTCATGTTCACTTCCTACTTTCAACATGATCAGCTCAACCCATTGTACTTATTGGATTTTATTTGAAAAAAATTTCACACACAAAGTTTGACTGTCATTAGATCACAGCACACTGGCTGAAGAGTGTTAAAGAAAAAATTATTCTGACATATGTGAAAACAGGAAGACTTTATTTAGGACTATCTTGTTGGGTATCAAGATGATTGCAATAGGCGAGAGAGATCAGGTTCAACTTCAAATGCAACAACTGAAGATATATGATCAAGGGTGGCGGGTTAGGGAAAGGGTAAGTGGATGGAAAATTACTAAGAGGGGAGATCAAATGGAGGAATTCTTGCCGAAGACAGTCCAAGGTGAACAGATATCACCTGGGGGACAGTGGAAAGATGAGGGATTTGACCAGATATGAATGATGAGCAGACAGCGGGGTGGGGGATGGTTCTCCCTAAACCAACTTAGCAGGATTCTTACTACAACTGGGCTATGTAGGCTCAGCAAAGGCAGGTGCCAGGGTCAAGGCTTAGCCAAGAAGAGGGTTCAGAGGGGCCTGACTGGAGCTTGGTTAAGGAGAGAATCTTTGTCAAGGGACAAGTGTAGCTTCATAAAAGGACAACATGGATTCCCCAGTCGGTTTATATGAACCAAAGGGAGGCACAGACCATCTTGCCTTGTCTTCTCCATCATTTAGGATCCCAAGCACAAATCTTGCTTCTCTTCCAGCTTGCAGTCCTCATGCAAATAGATGCCCGAGGGTAGAGCAGGCCTAACATGCCAAATTTCCACTCTTAGGCTCTGCTGAGATCTACAGTCCTGTGGGATTTCTTTTTTTTAAATGATTCTATGGTTTTTAGTATTCTTTGATTCTTTAGCACTATATCCTCAACTTCTATAGCTCTTCGATTTTGCATTTCTTTGATTCTGAGATATGATTATCTGGGGACATGGACTCTCTGGCTCAATTATTTCAAGAAATAATCTTTATTCTTTTTTCTGGATTAATGTTTGATTAATGTGTCTAAGCTCCTCCTGTGAGACAATGGTTCATACCAGGGTGGGACATCAGCAGGAGCAAGGGGGATGGTGGGGGTGCCGCTGACTAAAAAGGTCTCATATATTGGCTGTGTCCAAGGTCAAAACCAAAACCCGAGCAACCACACCTGGTATCAGGCATTAGGGGTCAGTATGTGACCAGGAGAGCCAGAGGGTGCCAGGTGATTAAAAGTCGGTGTATGGAGGATGGAGTGGGAGATGAAGGGCAATGAATGAAAATGAAGCAAACATCATATGTTTGATATGGTGAAAAGGATGCTAAAATTCCTCCCATTGAGTTTGGGCAAATCCTATGGTTCTCTGTGATAAGCCCTTTCTATCCCCTTTCCCTACCAAATCTTCCTGCTACATTACACTCTGCTCCCTACCAGGGAGCTAAATAGCAACCTGTGTATTTCATCTAGGTCGGTTACTTAACAATCCTAAGGAAACTATTTGAATTTAAATGACTGCCTTCTAGACACAACACAACAATGATAGCAATAAAAATAATGACTTGTAAATTAGTCAGCATCAGCTGGGCTGCTGTAACAAACAACCCCAAATCTCATAAACAAACGTTAGTTTTCACCCCTCTGAAGTCCACTGTGGGCCTAGGCAGCTATGGTCCATGTGGTGACTCAGTGATCCAGGCTTTTAAAATTGTGTGCTTCTGCACTGCAATTTGAGGACGCCTCATTTGCTGTGTCAGGGGAGGAGAGAGATTGGAAAACCTCATGGGGACTGTACACTTCCTTGGCCTGAAGCGATGCTCATCACTTCCATTCACAAAGCCAGTCATATGCCCCTTTAGCTGGAAGAGGGTAGGGAAAGCTAGTTTTCTGTGCATCCAGGAAGGATGAATATAAAACAGCATTTAGTGAACACGTAATTTTCTCTGTGTTGCAACGACCACTTCTTTTTAAATAGGTACCACAAGACAATTACTCTGCAGCGATTTATTTAAATCATCTCAAAGATCCTTACAGGTGAGGAAACTGAGGCTTGGAGAAGTTGAATGACTTGCCTAAAGTCACACATATAATGGTAGATCCAGAATTAGAAGCCGTGGTTCTGTTTCACCATAACCTGTGCCCCTCACTGTTCAGATGATGGATCCTCAGACTCCGGGGGAGCTGTGGGGTAACTCCCTCCACCCTTCAGCTACAGCCTGGAAACCATTGCCTTTTCTGCTCATTGCAGCCAGGCCTGGATCCATGTGAGGAAACACACCTGCTGCCTCGGGAATCCCATACCAGTGATGTGACACTCACAAAAGGCGATCAATGGTTCCTGACAATTTTTTCTTTTCATTTAGGCAAAAAATATGGAAAGCATATTTGATCTTTGATTTTCTTCCATTTCCCATCTGTTCTTTATTAGGAGTTCAAACTTAATAACCTTCCAGAGTTGGTATCAAATTCAGACGCTGACGCTCCTTGGAGAGGTTCTTTGCTGCAAGAGGATGGAAAGGATCACTGTGATTTTGTTTTTCTCCTGCTGCTCTGTCTGTAAGTCCATCTGTTTCTCTTGCCCTCTGTCTCGAATCCTTCCCACTCAAAAGGTCAACCTTACTTGTGGGTGAAGCAGGAGATGACCTGGTGTATAATTTCAGGGGTGTTGAATTGATCTTGTGTCCCTTCAGGTTCTCTCCCATGTGTGACTTGTGCATAAAATCCCACCATTCAAGGCTCTTCTCTTTAGCTTGTAAATCCTCTTAAGTTACCCAAGAAGGTGCCTTTTCAGTGATTAGGAAAAAATCTTAAGCAGATTTCAGAGGGGAAAAGAAGTCAGAGAAGAAATAGCACAGTTGGAGCAAAAGCGCTGACTTGGGTCAGAAAACCTGGAGTTGAGGTTTTCTGAAAAGCCACCCACGTGGAATATGGGTTTAGCAAGTCACTCACCCTCTCTGACTCTGTTTCTTCAGTTATAAAATGGGGATGTTTTAGATACCCCAGGACAGGGTCACAGTGGAAATGAACAGAGATCATGAAGACAACTTATATTCACCAACTGTTTTTGCAGCGTGGCAGAAAAATATTCTGGAATATTAACTAAGGTCTTGTTGTATGTGTGTGTGTTTTAAATTCCATGCAATAATTTATGTCCTGTGACCAGTGTCCTCCTTCAGGCAGCAGCCGACAGACCATGCGGCATTTATTGCCTCAGGGAAAGAATGACACAGCACAAAGCAGTTAGAGACCAAGTCAAATTCTTGGCTTTCGAATTTGAAAAGCCAGCCAAGGTCTGGGCAGATGACAAAAGATATGGAAGGATGCAAAAGTGAAGCCTCCCTGTTTCCAAGAACAGAAAAGACTCTCTGAGTTGCAGAACAGACACTGATGCATCCTTTGAAAGAGCATAAGGGGCTTAAAGTGAGGAGTGAAGGAGGGTGTTTGCAACGTACCCAAGGTCAGACATGAGCAAGAACATCTCAGCAGAAGCCAGTGGGATAAATACACCATCAAGAACCAGATGAACCCTATTCCTGACACCCTATGGGAGGCAAGCATCCCAGGTGGGCTGCATTGAGTCCCACCTCCTGGGATTCATACCCTCATTCAGTCTTCTCCTTTATTATTTTATTTATTTATTTTCAAAAGACAGGGTCTTGCTCTGTTGCCCAGGCTGGAGTGCAGTAGCATGATCACGGCTCACTGCAGCTTTGAACTCCTGTGCTCAAGCGATCTTCCTGCCTCAGCATCCCCAGTAGCTGGGACTACAGGCACGTGCCACCACATCTGGCTAATTTTTAATTTTTTTGTAGTGACAGGGTTCTTGTTTTGTTGCCCAGGATGGTCTAGAACTCCTGGACTCAAGTGATTCTGCTGTCTTAGCTCCCCAAAGCAGTGGGATTGCAAGTGCAAGCCACCATGCCCAGCCTCCATCTTCATTATATCAGTACCACCTGTGTGATCAGTGTTGTACAGAGGAGGTGATGTATGACTTCTGAGGTTATGCCGTGAAAGACTTGCAGCTTTTATCTCATCCTCTTGGATCCCTTTTCCTCAGGGAAGCCATGTGAGGAGGACATCTGAGCAGCCCTGTGGAGAGGCCCCCAGCCAACAGCCAGCATGAACTTGCTGGGCATGTGAGTGCACCACCTTGAAAGTAGAGCCTCAACCCCTGGTCAAGCCATCAGGTAAGATTGCAGCCCTGGCTTATATCTGACCACAACCTCATGAGCAACCCAGATCCAGGCCACCCATGTAAGCTGCTTGTGAATTCCTCACCCACAAAAATCATGTGACATAATTAATGTTCATTGTCACTTTAAGATGCTAAAGTTTGGGGTAATTTGTTAGGTAGCAACTGATAACAATGCAACTGATAAACAATCAAGTCGGCATACTGCAATCCCCCCAGAATTTGGACATAGCCCTGGAGAAAGTGGGTAGGCGTCCCTAAATGAACTATGATTCTATTTTTGCCACCTGGAAGAACACAGGCTGTAATAGAAATTATACTCAGTTACAGAACAGTAAAGTTAAATTTCTAGATTGCCTGAGTTTCTAGACTAGCTGAAATATTACAACTCATTTCAAGGAGCTTCCAAATATATTTTCAGAGCTCTGGAAGTCTGGGGAACGCAGGACAAGAGCCACTAGATTTTGGGAACAAGAGTGCTCTTCTCCCCAAGTGGGCAAAAAGGGAGCCGGAAGATATACGCTTCTCCAATTTCAGAATTTGGGGGGACCACTCAGCTTGTGCCTGTACCTTCTCCGGGCTCCCTTTTGTTCCTCATTGCACCCCCTTCTGTGAGCATGCACAAACTCAGCTTGATGCCCAAGCCCTTCAATTTGTCTTGTTAGAAAACCCTGTGTTAAAGAGACCATTAAAACAAGAGGGAAAGATAAATTGCCTGAAGCTGCAAGACTCAGGAGGCAAGGGAGAGCAGGTGATGGAAAACAGGCCTGTGATTAGAGGGCAGGGGGTGGCACAGGAGCCAGAGCAGGCAAAAACATCCACTGGAGATGTCAAAATATTTGAAAATCCTCTTCCTTTGGTGAATTGAGTTACCAAAATGTATTTTTTTTTTTTTTTTGCATGCGGAGAAGAGTCTGAGATAGAGGTTAAGAATATAGTTTCCAGAGTGAGGCAGAACTAGGCTCTGTCCCTTCCCAGCTGCTGTCAGACCTCAGGCAAATCTCTGAACCTCTCTGACCCTCGGTTTCCTCATCTAGCAAGAGGGGACAATGTAAGCCTGTAAAAAATGGCCCGAAGTCTTCACCTTTCTTTGTGTATGTGTCTTTTGCAATGTGACTTTCTAGCTCTTCCTGTGATGAGACGGAGTCCATTTCCCCACCCCTTGATGCTGGGATGGTCTCGTGACTTATTTTGGCCATAAAATGGGGCAGAAGTGATAATACATCAGTCTTGAGCCTAGGTCTCAGGAGGCCTTGTGCACTCTGTTCTCTCTGACCCTGTGATTCCCCATAGGGAGAGCTCAAGCTGGCCTGTTGGAAGATGACAGGCCATATGCAACAGACGTGAAGTGTCCCAGCTGATCCCCTTCCAGAACACCCACCTTCCAGATGACCACAGATGCAAGGGTGAGCCAGCCAATAGCTGCTGAGACATTCCCAGAAAGACAGAACATCCAGCTGACCCATGGACTCATGGGCGATCATGGATAAATGGATATTGTTTCAAGCTACTAGGTTTGGGGTTGGTTTGTTACGCAGCAATAGCTAACAGCTACACCTCTATTTTAAGGAGTTGTGAAGATAAATTGCAAAGGTACAGAAAAATGAATAGCTATAACAGCTACTAGTGATTGAGTGCTGGCTCTGCCTGGTACTGTGCTCAGGATTGGCATGCATTATCTCAAAGAGTTGCACAGGCTAGAAGGGCTGCAGCTGAAGATTCTAGAAGAGTTCAGGTATAATGCCTGGCACATGGTACCTGTTTCATGTATGCTAGTTGTTGGATGCTGCTGATGCTGGCAGCACGTGGAACTCCTGACACATGCCTCTGATTTGGTAGTGGGGTCTGAACTTTGTAATCTGTGTGTCCAGAGACCTTGGGAAGTCTTCAGCCAAGGGCAGACCAGGAGGTAGCTTTTGTGATCTGAGTGCAGAGAAGTTTCTTAGAGTGAATGGCATCCAGATAGGGTGGGGAAAAAGCATTAGCCAGGGTGCTCCACACACTCCCCTCACTAGTGTGGTCCCTGGACCAGCAGCCTCAGCCTCCCCTGGGCCCTTATTAGAAATGCAGAATCTCAGGTCCTACCCCTGCTTACTGAATCAGTAAGAGCATTTTAACAAGATCCCCAGGGGATTTGTGTGCATGTTAGAGTTTGTCCAGAACACTCTTCTCAAGCTATCTGTGCTGAGACACCAGTATTTTTTTCAAATTCCAATTTATTGCAGAATGACAGTTTTAAAAAATGCAGTAAAAAAGCAAATTCCTAGAAAAATTAAATGAAAAATAAAATATACAAAATCTAAGCCCTTTTTTCATTATTATATTCAATGATACAAAATTGCCATCTGCCAAATTGCTACAAAACTTTCTGAATACTTTTCTTTCTCTGTACGTATTCTTTGTGGGTACCTTACTGTGGACAGGTAACAAACGACTTGCCATGTGGCATGGGCTATGGACTGCCCGACAAGTAGCACCATCTTAGAGTTACCAATGATAATGATACTAATACAATATGACCACACATGATTGTGTGCTTGATATCAGCTCATAATAAGGGCTTACAAGCTTAAATACCTGGAAATCCTCTCAGCAAACTGTGGGGCAACTAATGTATTTATCTCCATTTTGTAGATTAGGTCATCGAGGCCCAGAGAGGTTAAGCAACTTGCCCATGGTCACACAGCATACAAGTGGAGCACCCTGAGCCCACCTGTTTGACCACTACAAGGCAGAGGGAGGGAGAGGAAGGCACCACCAGTGAGAGGCACAAGGACATTGTCCATTGTCTCTTGTACCCTATGTGAGTGACAGCTGTCAAAAAACCAGGTGTGGGGCCCTGGCTGTCTCTGTAACCGCATTGCAGTGGAGGCTGGAGCCCAGCAAACTCTTTACCAGCCCCAGGCTAGGGCTAGGAGGATCACCCTCGCACCTCACTCTTTGGTGCAGCCTGCAGGAAAGGAAGCCCTCTGTGAAGTGTATCACCCCAGCCTGCCGCGTTGCCAGAGGTGAGGGGAAAAGGGCGCCTGCCGATCGCCTTCTCCCTCTTGCTATCTCTTTTTCCTGAAGTCATAGGAGCCAGGCAGGAGGCTGGGGGTCTGGCAGGCTGGGTGATAGCTAGTTATCGACAGGTTGATGGCTGCCCCAGAAGACTGCCCGAGGACATCAAGGCGGAAGCCACTTCTGAGGCCCGCTGCTCCCAGAGAGCCGGCTGCCGGCATCTCTGCCCAGGGCTTGGCGCTTCCCCTCACCATCTCATTAATCCTGATTCACAGAAAAAGGCAGCAGGCAGGGGCCCTCTTAACAGGCCGAGCGGGCGACTGATTTGCCTTCACTGAAGACAATAGTGCCCAGGAGACCCGGCATTGCTGAATTATTCAAATCAGCCGTGGCAGGGAAATCTGAGGACACAGAGTGGCTGACATCCCCCGGCCCTTGCAAGCTGCCCTCCTTCCCTGCCCTGGGGTGCTGGTACCTGGCAGCCTGGGGTGGCCAGCACAGATCCCCTTGCCAGAGATGAGGGCTGCTCCCGACCTTCCCTCCTCCGTGGATGGAAGTTGAAATTGGTGTTGATCATCTCTAAGCACCTTGGAGCTCTAGTAATGGATCCAAAATGACATTTCCCACCTGCTGATCCCTGGAGGGACATTCTGACAAGGACTTCTGGATGAACAAGTGATGGGGCATGGGAAGATGAAGGCAGCAGGAGATGGCTGTTCTGCCAAGGTGTGTGTGTGTGTGCGTGTGTGTGTGCATGATTCAAAAAAAGCAGAGGATATCGGTTGAACCCTGGCTTGGCCAACCTTAGTTTTCTGCTCCTAGAAAAGAAACACAATGAATAGGCAGGTATCCCTGGCAAATGTGGAGATTCAGGAGCAAAACCACCCAGAGTCGGTGCTGACGCTGGGTGAAGACAGAGCAAACAGAAGTTTGAGAGGTCACGTGCAACAGACGTGAGCCCAGCATGGTGGTCTCCCAGTGGGGAGGGAGTCTTGGAGAGTATGAAGGGTAAACTGAGACCCAGAGAGGGGCAGGGACTTGCCCAAAGTTGTTAAGCAGTTTGTGGCCAAAATGGAATGAAAAGCCATGGTGTTCAGCTTGCAGTTGGAGGCTCTCTTTGTTAATAATACCTATCCCTGCCCAAGCACAGACACCTGAAGGCTTTTTAATATATTTCATTGCTAACTGTATGATAATCTCATGAGGCTGATACAACTAATATTCCCATTCTACTAATGAGGAAATTGAGGCTTGCAGAGATTCAGCCACTGGACAGGGTAGAAAGTGACAATCTGGGATTGGAAAGGTGGTCTGTCTTATGCTGAACCCTTAATTGCTGTGACTCAGTGGGAGGTCAGAGGCACCAGGACTCCAGATCGCTCCAAAACATCCCTCCTGGCCAAGGCTATAGTGTCAGCATGACCTCAGTTTGTGATGGCTTCCTGGGGGTAAGCATTGCCACTTACTTGTGTCCTCCATGGGAAGGAGCACACAGAGTTTTAGCCCTTCGCAGAAAGACTGACTTCAAAGCACCCTCAGCCATCCCAGGCATCTGAAAGGAGACCCCTGAGGAGGGGACCTCGAATGTTGGAAGGAAATTTATGAATGAAGAGGTTCGGAATCTCTGGGCACAAGATCCACCTCTTTGGGGGAAGCCAGTGGCGTCTTCTGTGTAAAGCTGCCATTGGCAGGACAACTTTCTCTAGGAGAGGCAGAAGCTGGGGGTGGTGGTGGGGTTAAACCAACCTTGCACATTGGTGGGAGGGGGCATGGGGTCAGTGTGTGAATAACAGCCTCTGCTTTTCTGCATCAGCCAAACAACAATAGAGTGGGAATGGCAACCTGTATTGAGGGTTCACCATGTGCTAAGCCCTTTCTTTATGTGTAGAAGCTCATTTAGTCCTCAAGACCATTTTATGGGGTCAGTATCTATGAGGTCAGCATCGTTATGTCCTTTTTGCAAAGGAAGAAAATGAGACGCAGAAAAGAAGACATTTAAGCCATTTACCCAGGACGCTGCTGCTGGGGTGAGTGTAAAGGAGCTGGGATTTGAAATCCAGGCTTCATAAACCACGTGGCCTCTAGGATATTGTGGCTAGGATTCCCTTCTCTGTTCAACTTGAAGTCCCTCTCGGCAGAGTGGTGTCCTTTTTCTCTGCCCATAGTGGCCCATTCCCGGGGTTGTGATCCATGCACGGGCATCCCCAGAAGGAGGCTTAGAAGCTCCTTGAAGCAGCTTAAATGCACCTTTGCCGTTGTGCCTCTACATGCCCTCTTCCTTTTCTGAGAACAACCAACTTCCTCAGGCCTTCGAATCATCTCTCATTTGGAATAATCACTGTCTGAATGGACGAGGTCTCCAGCATTTGTGTGGTGCGGCGCGGGCCTCCCAGGATCCTCCCTGCAGAAAAACGAAACGAAGAGAGATTTATCTCCTGGGTCAGATAAAGGTGACTAAATGCAAACTGGCCGATTCCTTTCGGCAAACAGTTCCCTGGGGAGGGCTCCTACAAGGAGGAGAAGAGCCAATCGATCCCGGAAATGCTTCGAGGTGACTTACAGGGAAGACTTAAAGGAAAAAGCCCTCGTGTCTTTACAGCCTCCGGCGACTCTTTCAGCCTTGTAAAACTGCCCGTACCAGCCCATAGAGCGAGGAAGGAGGGGGTCGGGGGAGCTTCTTCCTTACCATTGCTGCAAAGGTGGAACTCTGCAAAATTTGACCTCTGAGATCTCTAGCTGAGTCCTTCATTCATCTGTCAAGCATCTATTGAGTGCCTACTGTGTGCCTGCTGTGCACTTCGTATGCTCTATCCTGCTGAGTCCTCCAGATGACACCATCATTACCCCCATTTTCTAGCAGAGAAACTGAGGGTATCTGAAGGGAGGCAAACGTTTCTGGAGTCCTAAAGCAAGCAAGAGGGTAGGTCCTGAGATACGGATTTGCATTCACCAGCCTCCCTGGTTTGGTTTCCTTCCTGCATCACTCCCTCTGTCATCAGATCTGGTTCTCACCCAGCTTCATCTCCAAGTCTGGCTCAGGCTTGTTCTTCTCTATCTCTCTTCCTTTCTCCTTTCTGCTCTTAGACTCATAAGAAACCTTCCTTATAATCTGAGGAAACAGCCTGTGCATCTTGGAGACTGAGTTTCTTTTGGGATCCCCAGGTTCACACCAGCCTTTTCTCCCATAGTCATCCCGCCCTCATTTCATTAAGGTACCAGTAGCACCAGCTGGGAAGGGTAACTTGGCTTGCGGTCTGCAAACTTATTCTGGCCCTGCAAAAGGCCAAATAGTAAATACTTTAAGTTTTGTGGTGCATTGCGCTATTGGGGTGCCAAGACAATATGTAAATGAATGGGCATAGCTGTGTTCCAATAAAACTTTATTTACAAACACAGGTGGTTGGCGAGATTTGGCCCATAGGTTGTCATTTGTTGATCCTTGGGATAGAGGATAAAAGATCTGGTTTTGGGGTTTGCAGACCTGAGGTCTCCCCGCAGCCCACTTTTTTTTTTTTTTTACTTCCTTGCTGTGTTACCTTGGGCAAGTTGGTGCAGCTCTCTGAGCCCCGTTTCTTTTCTGTGGAATGAGATAATTATAGCACCTGCCGCCTGGGCTTTTGCTAAGTTTAAATGAAACCATGCAGTGGATTGCACATAGTCAGTGAGCAAACTGGTAGCTGTTATTTTATGACGAATGACTTTAAACCTTCTGAGGAAAGCAACCCCCCTTCCCTCATTTGGGGGTAAGGGAAGCTGATGTGCCAGTGTTCTGATATTTTGTGGTTCATTATGCTGTTAAGATTTCCATTCTTTTCAAGTTAATGCACTTGCATTTTAATGACTTAGGATGCAGAATCTGCCTCCTTTGGGATGGAACCAGCTGGCTGGCCTTTTGTGAGGGTGATAGTTGGTAAAACTCTGGACACCCCCATGATCCCTTTGAGTCTAACCTCTGGTTCCCTTTCCTGGCTCCAGAAGGACTGACTCAGTGGGTCTAGCATGACCACCAGTGATCCTCTGGTTGAGAGCTGATCACAAGTGGCCAATTAATCTATTACTTGCAGATACATTTTCCATTAGCAGTGGCGGAATCAATTAGTCAGCGTAATGAACTTGAGTCTGGGCAAACAGGAAGGAGAGGTTAACCCCTTGGTTTCCAAAGGAGGCTGGGATGGCAAGGGAGCGTGGAGAAGATCTGGAGAGAAATCGAGAGGCTGGATAGGGACAGAGGTTTGGGAACCACAGTCAAGCTTCCAGGTAGTAAGATGAGGTAGGTTGGACCCAAAGAGCTCTAGCTTAGAGCCAGGAAAAAATGGCTTCTCTAGTCATGTGGACATGACAGAGTCATTTTGAGCTCAGTTTCCTCCTCTGCAAATGGGGATCATAATTGTACACACCTCATAGGATTGTTGTGAGGAACAAATAAGACAAGTTGTATGAAATACATAGCCCCATGTTGGGAGCGGAAATTCTCAGTGAATGCTAATCTTTCTGCTACCCCTTTTTTTCTGCCTCACCACAAGCCACGAAGAGGTGAAAAAGAGACTTCTTGACTTAGAGCTAAAAATAGCAGAAACTTCTTACTAAAATTACTCTAGCTCAGATCCACATTCAAATGTGTTACAGAGGTCAGGACTCCAACAGGTGCCTTTACTGCAGGCCTTGTCAGGGACTTAAACTTCTGACATGTATCGTGACGCTCCACAAAGGATTGGAGCAAATTTCCCAGACGTATTAGAATGAAACAACATTCTTTTCCCATCTCAGAGCATTGCACAGGACTGTGAGTTTTATTGTTAAAATGGTAGGAAACGATGCATTCCCCAAATGCATCGTTTGGGGACCTCTGGTCCCCAAAGGTGGACCAGATAGAGTCCACCTTCTCCCAAAGCCCTCCCTGTCTATGCAAGCAACTTTCTCACTCTTATCAGTGTTGTTATATCACGTTGGTGCAAAAGAAATTGCAGTTCTTGCCATTACTTTCCATGGCAAAAACCGCAATTACTTTTGCACCAACATAATAGACTTGAATTAGGGTCTAGTTACCTGGTGCAGTAAGACCAGATATCCACACGGAGGTCTTGCAGTGGTGGAAAGAAAGGTGTTTATTTACCAGGTGCCAAGCAAGGAGGACCAGACGGCTAACGCTTATATCCTGACCTCCCGATGGCTTGCAGGTAAGTGTTTTTAAACGCAGGGGTAAATGTCGGGAGAAGCTATAGGCAAGATTGTAAATCCATACATGGAGGTTACACCTTGGTCTTGGCCAAAAAGGGCAGGATACCTTGAAGCAGAGGCTTACAGGTCATAGGTAGATTCAAAGACTATCTGATTTGTAACTGGTTAAGGAAGAGAAGCTTTGTTTAAAATTTGGGGTCAGCAGAGAAGAACATTAACTGGCTTTGGGGTTTGACTCTCTCCAGACTCCTCAGGAAGAAATTTAGAACAAAAAATGGGGGTCAGAGTTCAGCCATCAGCTCCCCCTTATCTGAGGTTTAGGTGACAGCAGAGCTGTTCAGTGGGGGTCATTGGTGGGGGTTCAGGGTTCTGGAAAACAACTCAGGGGCATATGTTAAGATGTTACTTTTAGTTTCTATAGGGGAATCAAACATCTGACTAACTTCCTTGGTTCCTGTCTTAGCCTTGTTACTATTACCCTCTTGCTTATCAAGCTGCTTTTCTTTTCTTTTTTTAAGACAGGATCTCACTCTGTCATCCAGGCTGGAGTGCAGTGGTACTGTCTCAGCTCACTGCAACTTCCACTTCCTGGGTTCAAGCAATTCTCCCACCTCAGCCTCCCGAGTAGCTGGGATTACAGGTGCCCGCCACCACGCCCAGCTAGCTTTTGTATTTTTTATAGAGATGGGGTTTCACCATGTTGGCCAGGCTGCTCTTGAACTCCTGGCCTCAACTGATCCACCCGCCTCGGCCTCCCAAAGTGCTGGGATTACAGGCATGAGCCACCACATCCAGCCTCAAATTACTTATTTACCTCTTAGGGCTAGCTAGGTGCCTGGAATTTCCCTTGAAGGAACTCGGAATTTTCCTCTATTTCCATTCTTGGTGGCAGGGGCATGCAGACCGCCAAAAGGGGGTCCTGCTCCGTCTCAGTGTGTTCCTGTCACAGACTGAAGGCCACACTGAGAAACTGAGTGTAGTGAGCCAGACGTGGTGAGAAACGAAATCACAGAGGACATGGGGGCACAGGGCCTTGGAGACTCTCACAGGTACTCTGGACGTCATACAAACAGGCCATCAGAGGTTTCTGTGCAGGGGAAGGAGATACTAGGTCTTAAACAGGCCCCTCTGCTCATCCACGTTATAGTGTACATCAGAACTCCACTCTTTTTAAAAAATTTTTTAAATTTTTTATTTTTTTGTTTTTTGAGATGGAGCTTCACTCTTGTTGCCCAGGCTGGAGTGCAATGATACAATCTCGGCTCACTGCAACCTCTGCCTCCTGGGTTCAAGCGATTCTCCTGCCTCAGCCTCCCTACTAACTGGGATTACAGGCATTCACCACCACACCTGGCTAATTTTGTATTTTTAGTAGAGATGGGGTTTTGCTATGTTGGTCAGGGTGGTCTTGAACTCCTGACCTCAGGTCATCCGCCCACCTCAGCCTCCCAAAGTCCTGGGATTACAGGCATAAGCCACCGCGCCTGGCCTTTAATTTTTTTTTAAGTTCTGGGTACATGTGCAGGGTGTGCAGACTCGTTGCATAGGTAAACGTGTGCCATGGTGGTTTGCTGCACCTATCAACTCATCACCTAGGTATTAAGCCCAGCATGCGTTAGTTCTTTTCCCTAATGCTCTCCCCCACCCCGCCCTTCCCCAACAGGCCGCGGGAAATGTTGTTCTCCTCCCTGTGCCCATGTGTTCTCATTGTTCAGCTCCCACGTATAAGTGAGAACATGTAGTGTTTCGTTTTCTGTTCCTGCATTATTTTGCTGAGGATAATGGCTTCCTCTTTATCTAGTCTACCATTGATGGGCATTTGGGTTGATTTCATGTCTTTGCTATGTAAGTAGTGCTGCAATGAACATACGCGTGCATGTATCTTTATAATAGAATGATTTATATTCCTTTTTGTATATATTCAGTAATGGCATTGCTGGATCAAATGGTATTTCCGGTTCTAAATTTTTGAGGAATTGCCACACTGTCTTCCACAATGGTTGAACTAATTTACCTTCCCACCAACAGTGTAAAAGCGTTCCTATTTCTCCGCAACCTCACCAGCATCTGTTGTTTCTTGACTTTTGAATACATGCAGCCAAACATACGAAAAATAGCTCAACATCACTGATCATTAGAGAAATGCAAATCAAAACCACAACGAGATACCATCTCATGCCAGTCAGAATGGTGAGAACTCCTCTCCTTTTTAAGACTGAGTAATGTCCCCTTGTGTGGGTATACCACAGTCTGTTCATCCCTTCACTCACTGACGGACATGTGGGTTGTTTCCAGCTTTCGGCCGTTGTGAATAGTGCTGCTGTGAACATGGGTGTACACATGTTTGTTTGAGTCCCTGTTTTCAGTTCTTTGGGGTATATACCTAGAAGTGGGATTGCTGGGTCATGTGAATTTCACTTCCATTAATAATAATAATAAAAGCTTCCTCTGGCTATAGGGGCCACAAAGAGGAGGCCCAACCAGCACACCCCTGAGCAAGCTGGCATTAAAATCCCATCTCCCAGTTGCCTAACTGGAAGTCACCCTGAAAGGAGCAAACACACTCCCTGGGGCAGGAACTTTCTAGTCTTGGCTGAAATGTGCTCCATCCCAAGTGCCCATCCACCCTCATCCTCCAGACACTGGCAGGCAGCCGCCCCGAGAGGATTGGATGTTCCCCGTGCTGCGGTGGCAGTAGGAACAGGCCGTTCATCAGTGTCTCGGGGTCTGGAAAGCCAGTCTGCACCTCCGTGTCACCGCCACCCCCTGCCAGGGAGTGTGTGTGGTGTATGTATTAGCAGGTAAACTGCCCCCCATAATGGAGATGGATGGGAGCCCAATTTTGTAACAGAGAACCTTTCATTAAGAAAACCACTGCCTTTGGATGATCTAGAGGCACTCACAGGCTGGCCCCAGCCTGGGACTTAATTATCTTACCACTAATGAGCTGCAGTTACCAGCTTGTTGGGGCATCTCAGCAACAACAACCGCCTGGCCTTGGGCTCCTTTTCCCCACTGTGGGCCTCGGGTGACATGGGTAGAGATTGTAGAGGATGCGCCAGCTGGGAAGGTCACCATGAGAATCACTTCCTAAGAATGGTCTCTGTCTTCCTGAAGTTCAACAGAGGTGTCTGCAGCAGGAGAGAGGAAAGTAGACAGGTGGAAGTACTTTCTGATGAGGTGGCCTGGAAAATGCTTACATGGGGGCCCTGAGCCTTAACTATGTCTGTGTCCATCTCTAGGCCCTAGTATCCTCCTAGGGTGGAACCACGACGAGAGAGGCCTGGGTTAGGTGAGAAAGGCAGGGATAGAAATATATTATATGCAAGAGTGTCTGTTATACAGAAGGACTTGTTCTCCTCCCAGCTGTTTGCCTGATTGATTCCTGCTGGTCTCAGGGGACGTGCTGCTTCCCCAGGGAGCTCTGCCGAGACTTTACTCTCCACAGTAGAAAACCTCCCTCATCTCTCCCTGGCACGTCTCCCTGTTTATATCCTTTCCAGCTCATCCTGTCTATGATTACCTTGTTTATTAATGCATTTAATTGTTTACTGTCTGGCTCCCGAGTTTCTGTCCTCTTCATACCGGCGGGGTCCTCATCTCTTGCAAACTCTCTACCCTTAGTGCCTAGAAACATGCTTGGTACATTGTTGATGCTCAATACATATTTGTGGAATGAAAGAATGAATGAATGAACTGTTGATTATTTCTGAGATATAGATGTATTAATAGCTCAGAGTAGCATAGTGCCCTTTTTAAAGTTTTTTTTTAATTGTGGTAAATTATACATAACATAACCTTTACCATTTGAATGTGTAGAGATTAAAGAGGATGTGGAGGCTGGGAGGATCATCATGAGGGCCACTTTCTAAGAATAGCCTCTCTCTCCCTGAAGATCAAAAGAGGTGACTGCAGCAGGAGAGAGGAAAGTTAGACAGGGGTAAGTACTTTCTGATGGGAGGACAAAGCCATCACCAGTGTCCATCCATAGAGTTTTTTCATCTTCCCCAATGGATATTCTATACCTGTTAAACTCTCACTCCCCATTTCCCCTGCCCCAGCTCCTAGTAACTTCTATTCTACTTTCTGTCTCTATAAATATGACTCCTCTAGGGACCTCCTATAAGTGGAATCATGCAATGCAAAAGTAACTTACTGAGCCTTCTAGTCTGGCGAAGCACCCAGCATTTTGCCCTGCGTGGAGTCAATCCGTCATTTTGTGCCTGATGTCTCTTACTTGGCATGATGTCATCCAGGTTCACTTGGTTTAGCATAGGTCGGTACTTTACTCCTTTTTATGGCAGAGTAATATTCCACTGTATGGATAAACCACATTGGGTTTATCCATTCATCCACTGCACAGTGCACTTCTGAGAGAAGACGGGTAGATGGTGCAAGGTGGGGAATTATATATTTCTGTTTTGGAAACTTCAGAGTAAGAGAGAGCTTTCCCATCCAGTCACGTCTCGTGCCTAGTGCTATGTCCTTTGTGTGCTGGTGACACTAACTTGCTTTACACCTCCATGCCTTTCCCTATGCTGTTTCCTGTGCTTGAAGCACCCTTCCCACTGGCCCATTGTTGGCCTGACAAGTCTCATGTCGGCTTCAGGGTGAAAACCTCAATGAAAGTGGAAATTACATCTGTTTTATTCACCTCTGTATTTCCAGATCATTAGATGCCATACATACAGATAAGCATGCATGAGTGAATAAGTCATTCCAAGCTACACTCCTCCAGAGGGTCCTCCTTGACTGTACCTCATGCTATGGAGCTAATGCTGGCTGTTTTCGAGTCAGCCACCACACTCATTGATTGATGCTGTGTTTGTCTCTCCTATTAGACTATGTGCTCCTTGAGGACAGTGCTTGTGTCTTACTCATTTTTGTGCCCCTCCCTTGTCCTATAATATACCCAGTGTAGGTATCTATTGAATAATGCTGAAGGTTGTGCACAGATGTCAGCTGTTATTATCTTCCTTCCCCCTGCCACCCCACCCCAGCTACCTGGCTTCAGGTGGTCTTGTCTTCATCTCAGCAGGGACTGGGAGCTTATGCTGTCAGTGACTTGCTGCACAGTGCTATGATGTGGAAACCTCCTGCTATAACTATCGTATAACTTCTTACATCTTTGTGGCACTCAGATGTTCCTTAGCTTCCTCAAGTCTCCAACAGCCTACTGATGGTTGACAGAAAAGACTGGCCAGGCGCAGTGGCTCACGCCTATAATCCTAGCACTTTGGGAGGCCAAGGTGGGCGGATCATGAGGTCAGGAGATCGAGACCATCCTGGCTAACATGGTGAAACCCCGTCTCTACTAAAAATACAAAAAATTAGCCGGGCATGGTGGCGGGTGTCTGTAGTCCCAGCTACTCGGGAGGCTGAGGCAGGAGAATGGTGTGAACCTGGGAGGCGGAGCTTGCTGTGAGCCGAGATTGTGCCACTGCACTCCAGCCTGGCAGCAGAGCGAGACTCCGTCTCAAAAAAAAAAATAAATAAAAATTAAAAAGAGAAAAGACTATGGGGTTCACTTTACAGGGTAGGAAACTGAGACTCAGAGATGGGAATGGCTTTGAAGTTTGTTAGTAACAGATGGTATGCCAGCACCCAGATTGCCTACCCCTAGGTCCTGATTTTCCCCTCTCTTCCATTCTGGGGGAACTGCATTTATAAAAAGTTTAACATTAGTAGTGATAAGAACAACAAAATCAATATGACTGGCAGCTAACTTGTTTTGAGCATCGGTTCTGGTCTGGCACAGTGCTCACCATTTTACATAGCATGGAGTCGGTATGGGTCAGTTTCCCAAATGTGCTTTTTTAAAGAACTGGAAACCCAGAGGCATTTGAAATATGTGTCTTTTGAATCAAAGAAACATAGAGGATTTGAAGATGGAGGAGACCGCATTTTATTTTATGGCCCTGGATAAAGTCACTACGCCTATCCCTCTGAGACTCAGTTATCCCCATCTGTAAAATGGGTGGTTGGATGAAATGAACACTCGAGGTCTTCTCAGAGCTGACATTCTACAGATTCATCAGTGAGTTTCCTCTGACTCTCCTTGAATGTGACTTTGTCCATTCGGAGGGCGGTCCTGGCATCAGCAAGGGTGACGATTGTTTCCTTCCTGGAATCTTTGGATTGCCATGAGAGCGAGGAGCCACTCAGCAACATGAGGAAGCCACATGTGCCACATTCTTCAATGGCAGCAATTTTCCGTGTAATTAAGTTTATTTATCATGTATATTAAGGGGAAAATGGAGACGCATGATCATCACAGCCCATTTGCCATCGACATCCATCTCTCAAGCGTTGCTTCTGTTTTCTCCAAGGCCAACAGCCATGATGGATGTGGGGCCCAGGAGAGCCATCTGGCACGAGGACTGGTGGGAACCCAGCCCCCTACAGGACCCAGGTCTCACCCCCTGGACAGATGCTTCTCCCAAAACCGTCCCTGTCCTCAAGGAGCTGATAACCCAGGAATCGTGGTTAATGGTGACATTGGCTAACACTGGATGTTGCTTTCCTTTAAACCTGCAGTTAGCTTTCTTCCAGCAGAATGCTGAGATATTACTCCTGTGTTCACATGTGGAAATGCAGCATGGCTGCACCATTTCACCATTTCTACCACTCTAATCATTGTAGCTTCCTCTTGCTCTCTTTTTAAGCTAAGCCTTAGCCTGGCTTCTTGTACCTATAGGGAGTTCAATTCATTTACCAATTCACTCAACAAATATTTGAGTGCTTCTCTGGTGGAAGACTACCATTCCAGGCTTTTGGGATTTATCAGTGAACGGAAGAAAGACTTTCGGCCTCCTCAAGCTTACTTGGTGAATATTTTGGAATCAAAAAATGAATAAAGGAGCAAGAACATACGAATCACTTCAGTTATTCAACAAACATTGAGTGCTTCCTGTGGACAGCACCTTGCTGATCACACGTGGCTAAAATGGGGCCCAAGCAGCTTCTTCTGTTTCCTCATGGAGCTTACATGCTAGAGGAGAAGGAAGACGTAAATCAAAGAATCACACCAATGAGTTTCTAAGTACAAAATGAGATAAAGCACTATGAGGGAAAGGGTGTTTTTCAGAGTATATGAGAAGTGCGTGTTCTATACTGGGGGTGGGGATTCAGGAAAACTTTTGGAGGGAGAGATACTTAAACTGAAACCTGAGGCAAGGGTTTTCATCAAGTGAGAGAAGGAAGTGCAGGGGCATGGGGTAGAGGAATAGCATGAGGGCTCTATCCGTTAGGATGCCTTAGGCTGTCAGTGTCTGAAGACCTAACTCAAAATGGTTTAAACCATAAAGACAATTTGTTACCATGTCATAAGAAGTCAGAAGTAGGTGCCAGGCGCGGTTGCTCACGCCTGTAATCCCAGCACTTTGGGAGGCTGAGGCGGGCGGATCATGAGGTCAGGAGATCAAGACCATCCTGGCTAACACGGTGAAACCCAGTCTCTACAAAAAAATACAAAAACAAAATTAGCCAGGCGTGGTGGCGGATGCCTGTATTCCCAGCTACTCAGGAGGCTGAGGCAGGAGAATGGCGTGAACTGGGGAGGCAGAGCTTGCAGTGATCCAAGATCACACCACTGCACTCCAGCCTGGGTGACAGAGAGAGACTCTGTCTCAGAAAAAAAAAAAAGAAGTAGGGCAGCTAGCTCCAGGGTTGGTTAATTCAGTGGCTCAATGACATCATCCAAGGTCAAGTTCTTTTCTGCCTTCTTTAGAGTGTGGGACAAAATACTCAACATTATTTCTTCAGGGTCACTGAATGGCTGCTGGAGTCGGCTCCCACAACAGCATCTAAACCTAGAAGAGAGACTTCTGCTTCTCAGCCTCCTTTTAAAGAGAGAAGAAGCCTTTCTCAGAATTCTCCCAGGACATTTTTCATTGTCCAGGACTGTGTTGGTTCATACGAGCCAATGGGGTTGGGAGGAAGCCTGTTGGGTGGATGAGAGCATCCTGGAATCCAGGATGACCTAGTCTGGAGCTAAGGAGACGTGGCTTGGAATCTGATATGGTTTGGATCTGTGTCCCCACCAAATCTCATGTCGAATTGTAATCACCAGTGTTGGAGGTGGGGCCTGATGGGAGGTGATTGGATCCTGGAGGTTAATTTCTTATGAATGGTTCAGAACCATCTCCTTGGTGCTGTTCTCGTGATAGTGAGTTCTCATGAGATTTGGTTGTTTAAAAGTGTGTAGCACCTTCCTGCACCTTGCTCCTGTTCCTGCCGTGTTCACACCTCCTCACTCCCCCTTTGCCTTTTGCCATGATTGGAAGCTTCCTGAGGCCTCCCCAGAAGCAGAAGCTGCTATGTTTCCTGTACAGCCTGCAGAACCATGAGCCAATTAACCTCTATTCTTTATAAACTACCCAGTTTCAGATATTTCTTTGTAGCAATGTGAAAACAGATTAACACAGAATCTCAGTTTTGAAGTCAATTGGCTGTGTGACCTTAGGTAAGTCTCTTTCCCTCACTGGGTCCTAAGCCCCCAATCTGAAAAACTAGAGGGTTGGATTAAATGGTCTGAAGGATTGTTTTTCCATGTGTAAGCTTCTAGGATTCTAAATGAGCCATTGCTAGGGTGGGAGTTGGACATGTTGTTCACCACATTTTTGTCTTTCTGCCTTCTGGGCACGTGAAGCTTGCATTTCCTGGCTGTCTTGCAGGTAGGTGGGGTTACGGTATAGTTCTGGCCAATGAGTTGAGCACATGTTCCTGTCCAGGCTGGAGCATTTGATTCCAGGTTTGAGACTACAGATTTCTCTTTCCCTCTGGCTATGGCTAATATTTGAGATGGTGACTGTGCCCTGTCAACCTGAGGCCCTGAGTGACAGTAATGAGAGCCTCCCTTTTCCATGCCAACCCAATAGGCATGCAACACAAGCATGAAATAAACGTAGGACGATTTGGGGGTTACTTGTTACAGCAGCAGGATGGATCCTATCCTGAGTGATACAGTTATGCTACTAACCATGTAGCTGACACAAAAGGGGAATTGACTCTGTGCTCGGCTGGGTGAAGCCCTTCACTTGCTTCTATTTACCCCTCACAGCAGCCTTGTAGAATGGGTGCAGTTAGCACCCCTATTTCAAAAATGAAGCAACAGAGGGGGAAGGCCAGCAGCTCAAGGTCACACAGCAGGGGAAGAGCAGAGCCAAGGATTCAAACTCCAGTGAGTCTGACTCTGAATCATGATGAAGCCATATCCTGCCTTGATAACTTGGCAGAGGTTTTGTTCCAGGCTAAAGAATGAACGAAGAGCTTGAAGAGCTGTGCCTGTGAGCATGTGTATGCATGCATGTGTGTGTGTGTGTGTGTGTGTGTGTGTGTGTGTGTGTGTGTGTGTGTGTTTAGCTGACTACCACACTTCACTTCAGAGTGAGAGAGGCCTTGGTGGGGGAGAAGGAGGGGCATTCCCAGTCAGAAGAGATTCCCATCCTGCCCCATCTTTCTCCCTGCAGACACCTCCTCCCCTCCCTGCAGCTTCCTCTGCCCCAAGCTCCCTGCAGGCCCTGAGCCATCTCTGCCTTCTATGAGACCTAATTAAGCCCTGGTGAGGAGGTCGGAAGCATCAGTTCCTGGCAGGCAGCTCCCTGGAGTGGGGATAATGGTGGGTGGCGCATCCATGGATCCTGAGTAGGGTAGCAGAGATGTCTACTATAATCATAGTGACCATAACATCACCCTGCTAGCCTTAGGAAGAGCTGTAACAGTGGCTGCCATTGTTACGTTTATCCCCCCACTAGCCTGGCTCAGGGTTGCAATAAGCATTTATGAAGCATTCCCAGTTGACCATTAGGATCTTACTGGAGACAGAATCCTTTCCTCTCTGCTCCATCCTCATCCACTCATCTCAGTGGGAGTGTTTGAGGGGGGTGCCCCAGCTGGAAGAGCCCCAGACTTGGCCTTCAGTTCAACTCATTGCCCTGCTTTACAGAATAGGAGACTGAGGCCTCGGCAGGCCAAGTTCAAGGCTGGCCAGTGGTGGAGCTGGAACCAGAGGATGTGGTGCAGGGAGGCGAACCCGGGTCCCTCTCCGGGCCCTTTGGGACTGTGGGTCAGTGGAGATGGGGAGGCTGAGGCTGGAGAGGGCCAGCTCTCCCCAGGGGTCACTCAGGGGCTATGGCTGGCCCTGGGCTACCAGAGGGTACGGGGTCGTGGAGGGCCATGGTCCTGCTGATGAGGCAGCCTTGGTGAGGGGCCATGGAGCTGAACCCCGAGGCTCTGACTCCCCAACCTGCTTCTGGCAGCCGCCGCCTCAGGGAAAGCAGCCTTATTAGTGCAGCCGCCTGCATGGCCGTGGGTGCAGCCAGGGGCGGAAAAGGCCTTATTTACCCCAGTGCTGGACCCTGTGAGCAGTGGCCACACACACTGCAAGGGGAGCTCGCAGAGCCACATGTATGTCTCGGGCCCTGGGTCGACAGAGTGTGCTTAGACAGGCTTGCATGCTCAGGTAAGCCGGTTGGCCAGGCTTGTATGCTCAGGTAAGCCGGTGTATACAGAGACACACACAGGTGTGTGGTGACACACAACTGCATGGACGTTCCCACATCCACACAGCACGGGGCACACACATATGCATCTGGGTGTGCAAACACAAGTTCAGACATGCATGCACGTGTGTTCCCCTCCTCCACTCACGTCCACACTCATCTCTCTGCACACAGAGTCACACAACAGGTGCCCACGTACTCAGGAACATAGAAATCCACAGAAGCACAAATATAGACTTCACATGCATGTATAAGCTCCTGCCTGTTCACCCAGACACAGGCTGGTAAACGTGTACACTGAGAAGACACACACATGGGCAGGTCTCCAAATACTACCCCTGCAGCCAGGAGCACACACACCCTGAACACACGCACATATTCCCTTGCCCTTTCCATGGACAAGCACTCCCGAAAAGTAATCATTGACATCGGCACACCGGTGCACACGGTGTGTGGACTCATCTGTCTCTCTGTCTGTGCTAAGTTCTACTCATCTTCCTGAGGAACAGCACTTGATACATTTTTACGGCACTGTCGCTGAACCCAAACCTCATTTGATTCCCCCAGCCTTCCCTGGGCCAGACTTTATGTATCTCCGTCTTACAGATGATGAGAAAACTGAGCTTCAGATGGAGCAGGGGACTCCCCAAGACACCCCGATAGACACAGATGGCATGGGCAGTCACAGTCAGATGTCCTGACTGCATCCCAGCAGGGGTAGGGTTGTGGGAAATGGCACACAGGCCTAGGTTTGAATCCCACTCTGCTGCTTACAGCTGGGCTGGGTGACCTTGGGCAGGTCTCTTTACCTCTCAGAGCCTTGGTCCTCCCGCATCGAGACACGCAAACACCCACCGCCACTTGGTGGCGTTGTGCGGAAGGTGAAGGGAGAACAATGCAGAGGACAGGCTCAGAGCAGGGCATCCTGGAAGGAGTCAGCAGATTCACCCATCTTTATTCTTATTTCCATATTATTATTATTATTCACATAGACCATGTGATGACATAGACCATCAACAGGTCAAGGACGGAGGCCTGTGACAGATCCTTCTCCGACAGCCCCCCAAGGGAACCAAGTCTGCTGACACCTTGTTCAGGGACCTCTGGCCTCCAGAACTTCAAGACAACAAATTCCTATCACTTAACCACCCAGTATATTTTGTATGGCAGCCCTAGCACACTAATAGAGATTTTGGTCTATGACATTTTTCTCTATAGCAAATCCAGTGGGTTACCAGCAAGGTCCAACTATTTATCACCCCTCACCCCGGGGCCTGGTGGGTCTCAGGTGAGGGGAGCCTGGCCTTTCTGGGAAGAACAGGACCTGCACCTGCCCGCGAGGAGTCCTGGGGAGCCGGGATTCCCCAAGCACAGAGCACTGGCGTTGCCGCTGCGGAGACAGCCAGGCCCATTCTAACAGTGACTTAGGGCTGATGTAACAACCCTCGTATTCTTTTAGTGTGGCCTGAAAGGTGCTATTAAACGGAATATTGAGATAAGGAAGTGGGAGTCGGGAAAGGTTAGAAACTATTTATTCAGATTTTCATAGGGCACTAAAATATCCTCACCCGCTGCTGCTCACGGCCCCTCCCTCCTCCCCAGCCTGGGCTCCCAGCACACAGGAAGCTCTGGGCTGTCACGCTGCCTCTCTGGCTGGCCGACCTCCTGTGGCAGCCTGGACCTGCGAAGAGCCTGGGTTCTGGGCGGGAGGGGATCTGGGACCGAATCTTACCCTGGCTTGCCGACCTGCACATTAACCGAGCTTTGGAGCTTGGGGAATGGTGGGGAACCAAGGACAGGGTGGGACGGTGCAGGGTGCATAGCAAGGGGCAAGGAGGACCAGTGCCCCTCCTCTCTCCCCAGAGCCCCCCCCAGGCAGGAGTGGGAGGTTCACAGTGTTGTCTTCCCACTGCACGCCCCTTACAGCCCCCCAGCTCCTCCCTCTCCCAAAGTCAGAATCCCAGGCTCACGGCTCTGCTGGCATACCTCTGATGGGAACCTGATTACCTCCTGCAGATTTTCTCTCCCTTCTCCTCGGTCCCTCAGGGATCCTTCTGGAGGTAGAAGTCAACCCGTCTAACCAGCCTCCTCAAGAGGACCCCCAAAATCTGGCATTTAAAATCCAGGGGAAATCTCCCTCTTTCCTCCGCTGGAGATCCTTGCGGGAGAATGATGTCCAGGGAGGTAGATGGACTGTCAGCCCCACGAGGCAGGGTCTGTTGGTTTTACGCATTGCTGCTTCCCCAGCTCTTAGCAGAAGGCCTGGTGCATGGTGGGGCCACCAGAAGTGTTTGTGGCAGGCAGGAGCAGTGGAGAAAAACTAGGATTTGGCATGACACAGCTCTTGGTTCAAGACTGGTTCCTGTAACCTCCCTGAACCAGAGTGGTTTCATCTGCACAGTGAGGACTCGATGAGGCCGTGTATGTAGAACTCTCTGCATACGGTGGGCACAGATAAAGGCTGGTGTTCTTCCTCCCCTATGTCAGCCTCTCTCTTTTCTCCTTGGCAGCCCCGGAGAGCAGGTGGGTATCTGTGGATGGATACACTTCCCTGGTCATGGTTGGAAGTTCTGGGTGATTGGGGAGGATTGGCTGAAGGTGTGATTCTAGGTGATTCTGGAGGCAGTCACACACACTCTGGGACATGCAGCCGGATCTGCTGTGGGTGAGATAAGGAACCTGCCAGTTGGTTCTAACAGCAGCACAGAGGGGCAGAGGAGAACATTTCAGGACAGGGCAAGCACCTGTGCAAGGGCCCTGGGGCTAGTGGAAGCAGGTGAGTAGAGAGACTGGGGGTTGGGGTGGGAGGGTGTGGAGTGATATAGTTTGGATGTGTGTCCCCTCCAGATCTCATGAAATGTGCTCCCTAATGTCGGAGGTGGGGCCTGGTGGGAGGTGTTGGATCATGGGGTGGGTCCCTCATAGATGGCTTAGTGCCATCCCCTTGGTGATGAGTGAGCTCTCGCTCTGTAGTTCACGTGACAGCTGGTTGTTTAAAAGGAACCAGGCACCTCCATCTCTCTCTTGCACCCTCTCTCACCATGTAACATGCTGCCCCTCTTCACTTTCCTTTGTGATTGGAAGCTTCCTGAGGCCTCACCGGAAGCTGATACTGATGCCATGCTTCCTGCACCATCTGCAGAACTGTGAGCCAAATAAATCTCTTTTCTTTATAAGTTATCCGGTCTTGGGTATTTGTTTATAGCAACACAAAAAATACTAACATGGGGGTGAGGTTGGAGCGGGGGGAAAGAAGGAGGAGTGGAGGAGACAAGGCTGGGGAACCTCAGGGGCCAGCCAGGAATGGCCAGGGGGCCGCGGCTCTTTGTTTGGATTTCCTTCTAAAGGCAATGAGAAGTGTATTCTAAGAAAACTGGGAAACTTTATAGGGATTTGAAGGAGAGGCCTGTAACAAGGAGGTTTGTGTTGAAGAACATTTCTTTGGCTGTAGTTAAGAGCTGAAGCACTGATCAGGGGCAAGAGTGGAGGCAGGGGGCCTAATTAAGAATTAAGAGCTGATGGGGAGGGAGAGAAGGTGGTGGCCAGGCCTGGGGGTAGAGTCAAGGTACTGAACTCAATTCTGGGGCCCTGGAGCCCTGCTCAAGCCTAAGATGGGAGGGAGGAGGGGCTGCTGCTGCTCTGTGGCTGGGCTGAGTCCCTGTGGGCTGATCTGGAGGGGTTAGAAACAGCCTGGGGAATGTGGAGGTGCTGGCTCAGGCAGGCCCCGCCCCCAGATCAGGGAGGTCACTGGGGCCGGTTAATGACATGGCGCAGGACCCAGGGGCAGGCTGTTCTCTGGGGAACAGTGAGAGGGGGAAAAGGGCATATGTGAATATGTGTGCCCACACGTGTTAGCACAGTCTGTGACGATCTGTATGAGGGTGCACGTGGGTGGGCATGTGTGGGTGTGCCCGGTTGCAGATATATAAACATTTACATAGGCAATGCCTGACATCACTGCAGAAAGAATGTGACATCCTAGGGACAGCAAACTACAGTCCCTTTTTCTTGAGAATTAACCCCACGGACAATGTGCAAAAGTCCTAAAATGCCCAGGAGTAAGAGAATACACACAGCAAGGCCCAAAGAAATCTGGTTTCACTGATGGGCATAATAATAATTTGTTGTTGTTTTTAAGAGTTCTGCAGGTAGTATCTCATTTCATCCTTGCAACGGCTCTACAATTTAGTTACTTATTTTTATTTTCAGGCACTAGAGCTGACCATGTCCCAGGACTATGTGGTTTGCAAGTACTAATCCATTTCATCCTCAAGAAAATGTCTAAGGTTTCATGCCCATTCTACAGATGAGGAAACTGAGGCACGAAGAGCTTAAGAAATGGGTCATACCTTACACAGCTAGTTCACAGGCAGGTCTGGGATTCAACCCCTCAGGGCTGTTTGGCTCCAGACTACACTCTTCAACACCATGTCAGACCATTTGAATCCCCAGTTTACAGATGAAGAAATTGAGGCTCAGAGAGGTGAAGTGACTTGCCTAAAGTCACACAGCTACAAAGAGGTGAGTCTGCCTGATTCCTGAACCCAAGCTCTTGACTCCAATCTCAGTGAGGTGACCACTGGAAGCTTTGCATTCTCCTCTTTCGACCCTCTCAGGAGGTGGGGCCTATGAGTAGTGGTCTTGGGGTTCACCTGTCATTGAGAGACATCTGTCCTCTGCTGAAGGATTAAGTCTTCAGAGTAGATGAGAAGAAGGACAACCCCACAGGACCCTTAGGGGACAGTAGGGAGATGGGCTGCCACCCTCTTGGGGTGGTATTTTCTCTTTCTAATGATTTTTGACAGCTCTGACTGGTTTGGGTGAAGACAGGTTAAGTGCCTTCATACCTGTGCATTTTTTCCAGCTACACAGGGAGAGGCAGGCTGTGTTGAGTGTGTGAATGGTGCCATCAGACACAGCATTCCTGCTGGGGTGCTCCCACCCATCCACACTGCTCCCCGCCACCCCGGCTTACAACAGAACTTTGAATCTAGTCTCTGTGCAATTTCCCCCCGGCTTCTCTGGCTGATCAAGTTGAAATGAAATTAGGGAACATCTACCTTGATAAAGGAAGGTAGGGAAGAGGATAGAGGAGGTGAGTGAAGGCAGAAGGAACAACAAGTAACATTTACAGTCGCTGTTTATTATTGGTATTTACTGGGAACCAGGCACATATATTATCTCGTTAATCCTTATATCCACCCTGAAAAGAAGGGGTTACTGTTAGCTCCATTTTACAGATGAAGAGACTGAGGGTCAGAGAGGCAGTCACCTGTTGACGGTCATCCAGTTAGGGCATTCCCAGGCTGCGATTTCAGAGCATCCTTCTGCGCATCCAAACTCCTATTTACTGGGGACGTACCAGGTGTCCAGAACTTGGGAGGTTTGAGAATCTGTGAGTCATGAAACAGGCAGACCAGAGCTGGCCACATTGGCTGAGGGGAGGAAGGGTGGGAAGACATATCCAGAGATACCTATGGGCAAGTAAAGGATTTCAAGCCACTGTGCTGAGTATCTGTATTAATTCAGTCAATCCACACACCCACCTGTGAGTTAGAAGCTATTAGCACGCCCATTTTACAGATAAGAAAACTGAAGCCCCATGAAGAGAAAGGATCCTACTGCTAGTAAGAGAAAAGCTAGGATTCAAAGCCCGTGATTTTAAAACTGTACTGAGGCTGGGCACGCTGACTCATGCCTGTAATCCCAGCACGTTGGGAGGCCGAGATGGGTGGATCACCTGAGATCAGGAGTTCCAGACCAGCCTGGCCAACATGGCGAAACCCCATCTCTACTAAAAATACAAAAATCAGCCAGGTGTGGTGGCACACCCCTGTAGTCCCAGCTACTCGGGAGGCTGAGGTGGAAGAATCGTTTGAATCTGGGAGGCAGAGTTTGCAGTGAGCCAAGATCGTGCCACTGCACTCCAGCCTGGGTGACAGAGTGAGACTCCATCTCAAAACAAAACAAAACAAAACAAAATAAAACAACCATACTGAGTTTCAGAAAGTGATGGTTAGTGGTGATGATGATCACAGGTAGACAGTATCACATGCCTGTTATTGGTCAGACACTGTGCTAAGTGCTCTTATAGATCACCTAAGTTGATCTATAAGAGCAATTGATCTTACAGATCATCTAAATTCCTCATCAACCAAAAGGAGATAGGTGCTGTGATCCCGCCCCACCTCCTTCCCCATGGATTAGGAAAATGGGGCTCAGAGAGGAGGAGTGACTTGTTCATTTGGGATTGGAACCAATTATCTCACTGGAGAGTTGGTGCAATTGATAAGGAAGCCACCTACCTCCATTGAAAGATTATATATATTTTGTGGCTAACCCTACTTCTAGAAAGACCCTGGGGAGCTTCAAAGAGGTGCTGGCTTTGGAGCTGGGTTTTGAAGATGGAAAAGGTTTCTTCCCTCCCTCTTTCCATCTTTCCTTCCTTCCATATTTGAGTATGTGCTATGTGCCAGGAGTGTAGCGGTGGATGAGAGAAGCATGCTTCTTGCCCTCATGAACTCATCTTAAGTCTGCAACAACACCACCATTATCCCCATTTAGCAGGTGTGGTGACTGAGGTGCTGATAACTTGGGCAAGGCCACCCGGCTAATCCAAGATGGAGACAGGACTGAAACTCAGTGCCATCCCACCTTGAACCTTCTGTCTGAGAGGGTTGCCTGCAAGGAACTGATGGGGATGCCCCAGGAGGGATGGGACCCCCAAATGAGAGCATGCAGAGTGGGTGCTGATGAGATGTGAGGATCACCCAGGAGCACTGCAGTAGGGCCTGGGTAGGAGGTGGGAAGAGGAACAGTGAGGACATCTCTGTATTTGGAGAAGCCGCCATGATGGAGTCAGCCAACCTCACACCTAATTCTGGGGTTCCCAGGATAGTGGAATTTCCTAACTCTTCTCTGCCCCGTTCCCTCACGGGAAGAAATTTGCCAGAGATCGTAATAGGCATGGGGGCAGACAGACCTGAATTCAAATGCTGGTTCTGGGTAAGTGATTTAAAACTGCAGATTTCTCATCAATGACATGGGCATAATAACACCAGCTTTCAAGTGAGAGCCTTGGGGGCTACTGAAGGTAAGTTACACATGCTTCGTAAACTGTAAAGTGTTGTGTGGATGTGAGGTTCTGGTCGTTATCTGTTCATGTGTCTGTCTTCACTACACACTTTGAGCACCCAGTGAGCAAAGCCCTTGTCTGACTCCATCCTGTATACAGTTGGTGCTCAATAAATGTCAAAGGCATGACCCGTTGTGTGGGTTATAGTTCGTTTTGTTTATTCCCTTTGGGAATAGGTAGCTGACTGTGACCTAGTCTGGGACTTCAGGAGTGTTTCCAAGATGATTACTAATAACAACAAGGTCAACAGCTTATTTTATGAAGCACTTTATATGTGTTTGGTTCATCTCATCCTCACAGCAACCCCATGATATATATACTGGTGTCATCCCTACTTTACAGATGAGGAAAGGGAGATGTTGTATTACTTGCCCAAGGTCACACAGCACCTAAGTCGGGGAGGTGGGACTCAAATCTCAGTTTGGGTCTTTCCGACTCCCAAATGGGGCCCCCCCAACCACTGGGGGACCCTGCTGCCAAAGTTTCCTGTCCCCAGGCCTGGATAGAAGACAGAACAATGTGGAGTCTGTTGTCATCTGGGCACTCACATCCACTAATAATACAGTCAATTGCTCCTTTCAAATTACAGTAAATGTTTCCCCCCTTTGAACAAATCATTTACCGCAACTGCAGAAAGAGTGTCCTGTTTACATGCAGGGCCAAAGGAATTCCAATCTGAGTCTAATTATCGATGCTGAAGCTTCTGTGGCCTTGGGAAAGAGCTGCCTAATTGCACCAATTAATACCTGCCACTCGTATGGGCTTCGTCAGGTTCAAGGTTTGGTTTTCTTCCTCTGCGGGTTGTGGGGACGAGACGGGTTAGTGCAGCCACTGCGGGTTCAGATCTCCAGACCATGGACTGGGTGCACAAAGGGATTTTGTTTTCAGGCTATTGCCATTTTTGGAGGGGGCAGCTTTATTTGGGGCCACCCAGGCACTTGGCCAGACCTCACCGTGGCAGGGACTGCCTTTTGCAGGAGAATGAGGGGCCTGAGGGATGAGGTTTCCAGGTTTCCTGTTGCGACTCTGACTCACACTGAGATCCTCGGCAGGGCGGGTCTCCTGCTGGAGCCCCAGTTTCCCCATGCAGAAATGGGAAGATTTATGGGATCAGATGTAACATCTGCAATTGCAGTGCAAACCCAATGAGGCTAGACAGGCTGAGGAATTTTTACTAAAAACGGGAGGGCAGCAGTTGGGCGGCAGGTGACCCAGGCTCTAGCCTTGGCTCCACCTGTTACTTTCTGTGTAGCTTTAAAACAATACCTTTGCCTCTCTGAACCTCAATTTCCCCAGCTGCAAAATGGGGATGATTCCACCTTCTCTCTCTGATGCTTGTGTGGAAACCTTGCAAAGAACATCTTGGCCCATAAATATGGAGGCTGTGATCATCCCATGGTGCTGATGAGTTGCTTGATGAATTGCCGTATTGGAAGAGGAAAACCGTCAGGAACTGGCTGGGTGGCAGATAGGGTGCTGGGTGGGAGTGGGGAGGCAGAGAAAAGTTCATGGGCTTTTACATGAAACTGGGTTTGAATTTTACCTCCAACTCTTCTGAGCTCTGTGGTCTTTGATAATAACAATTACAAGAATCTGTATTGATTTTTGCTGCGTATCAGGTATTGTGTGATAAGGTATCATTTTTATACCCGTTTTACAGATGAAGAGGCTGAGGCTCAGAGAGATCAAATAAGTTTCTCAAAGTGACACAGCCTGAGATTGGAAGAGCCAGGATTAGGTCCTAGTTCCCTGTGATTTCAGAGCCTGTGCATGCAGCTCTTACACCTTCCTACCTTCAGTTGCCTCAGTCTCCCCACCTGTATAAGGAGCTAATGGTAACTTCTTCCAAGCAAACAGGTTGCTAGGATTGGGCAAGATTAGTTATATGAGACGGAAGGCCCATAGTGTGGCACCTGAGAGCCACATGGCCACAGAAGCTACAATTCTACATGAATGGTGTGGATTGGGAGACTCAGCCATTGTCTCACCCTCCCATTCATTTGAACTCCATAAGGACTGGTGGGAAACGTGGCTGTTTACTTTTCTAACAGGTAAAGCAGGGGAGTGGGTTGGGGCCATTTTCATTCTCCCACAGCCCCCTTTGCTGAAGATTCCCAATCTTTGATTTCCCCAGCACCCCTGGGGTTTGCAGTCCCACCTGAGTGCGTTTGGGATTGTTTTCTGATGTGACATATTGTCACCGTGCATTATGTGTCATCAGCCCCACAAAGCAGCGACATCAGAGCCTGATGCCACACGATCGACAAAAAGATGTGGGTCCCCCAGGGGGTCTCGGGCCTTGACAGGAGCCCTGCCACTTCCCCCCACCTGCCTTCCACGCGGAGCCCCTCTTCTGCTTCTTGGCAAAGCCTACAAGGCCCCAAGGGGGTGGGACTCTGCAGGCAGGGCCTTGGCTCACATGGGGATGAGCTTGATGTCCTGGTGCCTGACACATGCCTTGTATGAGGTCCCCAAATTAAAAGAAACAAAGCTCCTTTGTCAAAGGCAGCCTGAGCCTGGTGGGGAGACATGGCAGAGCTCTGGAGTGCAGTGACTGACTGATTTCCTCTAATTACCGTTGGTTTAATATTTATAGGGTTGGTGCCAGAGGGCTGCAAGGGAGGTATTCAGCCCGAACGGCAGCTGTTGTAGGGCTTGGTGGAGGGCACTGAGCAGGGAAATGTCTGCTTGCATTTAGGGTCCCGGTGGATCAGACCCAACTGGTCTTTCCCTGGCGCCTTCCCGAAGCACAGAAAGCATCTATTTATGTAGTACAACCTATGTGCCCTGTGCTGGGCTTAACCCCTGACAGCTTGGAGGCCCCCAGGGCCAAGTAGTTCAAGGTGGGGGCTCTGGAGTCAGATGGACCTGAGTTTCTTATTCAAGTTTGACATATTCCTGGCTGTGTGCTCTTGGGTAATTGACCACACCTCTCTGAGCTTCAGTTCCCTTACCTATAAAATGGTGGTAACAATATGCCTCACTCATATGATTGTTGTGAAGATCTAATGTAAAACACACAAGGTGCTTAACATTGCTAGCACATAGTTGTGTTCAATAAGTAGTAGCCATATCTATGCTTCAATAGACATATACTTTGTAGGATGGAACCTCTGTATCAGCTAGCCATGTTCTCAATGATGCTGTGTAACAAACTGGCCCAAAACTTGGTGGCTTAAAACAATCACTGTTTATTCTCATAGATTTGTGGTGTGGCTGAGGGTGGGTTCATCTAGACTGGACTCTGACGGGTGGCTCTGCTGGTCTTAGCTGGACTTGCTCAAGCAGCTGGGGCTCAACTCAATGGCTGGACTCTCTGTATAACTCTCTCCTACTTCTGGAACTAGCACTGACCTCAACATGTTCTTCTTTTGGCCTTGGCTCGGGTGTGGAACATTATTATTTCTGAATAGATATCGAATCTATCCTTCTCCCTAGCATTTCTGTGGGGGAGAAATTATCATTCCCATTTTCTTGATGGGGAAACAGATTCTGAGATAAGAAGCCACTGATGGTGGAGCTAAGATCTGAACATTGAAAAGACCACATTCTTCTCAACCACCAGATTCTCTGAGCCACCTTCAATTACAATAGCAGGTACCATTTATTAAACACCTACTATATGCCAAGTGCTTTGAATAAATTATCTTTTATCCAAAGACAACCTTTGGTACTGACATGCCCATTTTACAGATGGGAAAGCTGAGGCTCAGGAGCTGAATACATTGTCTAAGATCTCATAAGGAATAAGTAAGTGACAGACTCAAGACTGGAACACACGGCCAGGAGTGGTGGCTCATGCCTGTCATCCCAGCACTTTGGGAGGGCTGAGGCAGGAGGATTGCTTTAGCCCAGGAGTTTAAGACTAGCATGGACAAGATAGTGAGACCTAGGTCTCTATCTTGAAAATAAAAATTAAAAAAAGTTTAAAAAAGATTAGAATGCAGATCTCTCTAACCCCATGCCAACATGCCTTTGTATTTGAGGTTCCCTTTGCCCGAACTGTCCTGGTCTCTCTTTGTCTCTGTCGCTTTCTGGAACCAGACTATATATTCATGACAATAATAAGTGTTCAGTAAATTATAATGAATAATAGATACCATGTTTATAAACTGAGGTGGTTCCATCCCCATTTTAAGGATGGGGAAACGGAATCACCAAGAAGTGAGGTCTCTTGCCCAGGTCACAGAGCCAGAAGTGGTTCTGCAGCACAGAAATAGCCCTTGAACTCTGCTCTGCAATGCTGAGCTATTAAGATGGAGGTAAGTTGCTGTGTGTTGTGTAAGGACTTGGCTCTCTCTAGCTTCCCTTGCTCCTCCTTTTGGCCTGCCTACTCCCCATCTGATTAATTGATACCTTTCTGCACTGAGGTATCTGCCTCCAACTGGCTGTCCTGTCTCCCACGCCTTTCCCTCTTCCATGAAAGCCTGCTTCTTCCATGTCCCATTGCTTGTGGTCTTGCTGGGGGCAGGAGCTTATCTGACAAGGTAATGTGAGCCACCTTGGGGTGCAGGGCTGAGGATGGCATCTCTTATGAACTTCTCTCCTGACCCCCATGGAGCTAAACTGGGTGGATGTTCCCCTCCAGCTCCCTGAGCCTTGGTTCCCTCATCTGCAAGATGGGGAGAAACGTAGCTACTCAGAGGGTTGCTGTTAGTGTCAAATGTGCATGCAACTGTTTTTAGTACAGTGTCTGGCAAAGAGTAAGTGCTCAATAAATGTAAGCTATTGTTATTGTCAGTCAGGCCCTACAATATTTTTTTCACTTGGAGGAAAATAAAAAAAGCTAAAAATTATGGAAGCCAGCCGGCTGAAGTTCCTGAGCCATCATTCTGCAGCCTGAGAAATTATCTAAACTCCGTCACCGATTCAGGGATGCAGAGAGGAGGCAGAGACTCTAGAGAGGAATGGTGCCAATGTTCTGTTCAACACCCTTTTATTTTTTACAAGCTGAAGGTTCAAAGCTGCCCAGGGGTGCTGTCCTAGCCACACGGCCCATTACTGAGGGGCTGAGGCCATTCTTGTCAGTTTCCTCTTTCTCTCATGCCCCCTTGGGCTGTAGTTGGGGCTCTGTGTGGTGTCCCAGGGAATAGCAGCAGAGCTCTCCCTGAGTCGAGAGAGAGCCAGAGAAAACTGCCAAAGCAATTCTCAGCAAAATCCCTAGGGATGTGTGTCAAGGACAAAATAGTGTGTCCCATGGGTAAATACAGTTAACACAGCTGCAAAACAGAATTTATTTCTTGTTTGAGATATCATTTTTAAAGTATGGCATAGGGAGAGCTTTAAATATGAAATTATAGCTGGCAATAAAAGAACCTCATAGGCACTGTATTCAAATTATGCTGTAGTAATAGGCCAAGTTCATAAATAAACATTGCTTGTTAACCCTTTGCTGAGCGCCGTGGGCCAGGTGGCTGGGACAAGGTTGGGACAAGGTTGGGACAGGGCTGGGAGAGGCAGAAATGGCATGACCTTCCAAGTGTCCTTCGGGCTGCCCCCTCCAACTTTCTCCACCCAGCCTCTTCATTCTGGTGTTAAAGATCAACAGATTATTCTCTGATAAAATGAGAGGCCTGGACTATCTACTGGCTTTGCAGAAATGTACCACCCAGACCTCTGAGCTGGGAGTATTTTAGGATCTGAATTAAATAGGTCCATCCTAAAGCTCCCTGCATTTCTGACCTCCTCTTATTGTAATATTGTATATTATTATATTATATATTAATGTTATTGTGCTATATATACTTATTATAATACATAATAACGTTTTATAGGATATAGACTCATTTGCTGTCTCTTGCTGTCTCTCTTTTGCATGACACTTCAGCACAGTGCTTCTCAACCAGGAATCCTTCTGCTCTCAGTGAACACTCAGCAGTGTCTGGAGATAATTTTGGTCGTTGAAACTGAGAGGTGCTACTGGAATCTAGTGGGTGGAGGCCAGAGATGCTGCTCAATATCCCACAATGCATGGGACAGTACCCTCCTCCACAAAGAATGATTTGGTCTTAAATGTCTGCAAAAGAACTGTTGCCTGAGACAGCCAGCTTTCCCCTACTAGCTGTGCAGAGTCCGTCCTCCTCACTGGGAGCTGGGCTGTCTGCCTTGCACTGCTGAATTTCTGTCCCTCAGCCTGGCACTTGGCACACAGTAGGTCTTCCCTAGGGGTTTGCTCAAAGATTTAATGAATTCATGGAACCTCTCCCCTTCCTGCTTCTTCACCTGACCAGCTCGGACCCTTCCTTTCGTTTTCAGCTTGGAGATTGCTTTCCCAGGAAGCATCCCCTGAGCCCCCTACTCTGGCGTTAAGTCCTCCTTCCCCCATTAGGCATTTCCATGATCCTCCTTGCTCTTCATGCTTGGATTGACTGGTTCATTGTTCACATCTCAGGTGAAATGTCACCTCTTCAAAGCAGCCATCATGACTGCCTAGCCAATGTGGCCTTCCTTGGCTCAACTCTCTCATCCTCCTATTTGGTTTCCATTGCAGCATTTATCAGTAGCTAAAATCATCTTGTTTATTATGGGCTGGGTCTTGGCCTCCATGGGGCCCCCACTGCCCTCTGTGGTCCTTGGACGAGAGTGACTGCACATGAAACACTCCCTGCATGAGTCACGGAGGGACAGAGAACAGGGAAGGCCCTCCTGCCCCCGCCACCCTCTCTCCTTCCTTTACATGTCCTGTTTGGTATCTGGAATCCTCAGGAGTCAACTTCCTTGGGATGTGAGAGATCACTGATCTCCCTCTCAGCTCTTAGTAACTTGCTGGGAGATGCTGACAAGTCACTTGCATGTCGATTGCAAAATGAAGGGGCTGGGACATCTGTGCTTCGTAACTCTCTCTCTCTCTCTCTCTCTCTCATTCTCTCTCTCTCTCTCTCTCCGTGTGTGTGTGTGTGTGTGTGTGTGTGTGTGTGTGTGTGTGTGGCATCACCTCCTAGGATCTTTCCTAAGAGACAAAGCCTGACCAACCCCAGGCCTGCAGAACCAGGTTCTCTAGGGAAGTGTGTGCCCTGGTTTGTGCTGATTACATTACTTGGTTGTAAAAACTCCCTTGGTAATCCAGATCCATGGCTTGGTTAAGAGCCAGAAAACCAGAGGATATCTAGGGCCCTTTCCAGCCCCAGCATTTGACATCTCTGTGATTTTAAGATGCCTGCCCTGGGCCGTTTATCTGAGTGACTCTCTTCCTGGGCTCCCCTGGCACTATTGCTAATTTAATAGCATTTAATTTAATTTTAAAATGATTTGTTAAAAAAGGCTTGTTGCCGTAGAAGCCCCAATGACCTCATTCCTCTTCTACCCTAAGGCTGGAAATACATCTTGTGGCTGAAGCCAGGCTTCTGGCCTCCAATGTCCCTTAGAGGTCCCACAGCTTTTTGTGAAAAATGCTGAGTTTGCTGTCCACCCATTGGGCGTAATTACCTTTCTTCTCTCCAGATCCCCCACGTGTTCCGATCCCAGGAGGAAAGAAAGGGCTGGAAAACCAGACCAAGTTAGAGAGCAACTCAGGAGCTGTTATCTCAGACAAAAGGAACAGCATAACTCAACACACTCACACACACACATATACACACACATGTGCATGCATGCACACACACATACACACATGGGCACACACAACTCATTCTTCCCCATTCTTTAGGAATAAGTGGCTATACCTGGTGCCTACATTTAGCGCTGGGCCCTCTCCTGGACATTTGAACCTATAGGAATACCCCATGGGTTTCTTTGCTCTTTTAAATTATTTTCTGTTCTGTAGTTGTTTTAACCCCATTTCACATGTGACCAATTGTCGTAAGTCATCTTCCATTCATTTATTCATGTGCCAATTAATTAATTAATTAAAATCTTCCTTGCATCCACCATGTGGCTAATAGGAGGACAGACATAGTAGTGAGCTGCATAGGCTTGACCTCTTTGTCAAGAAGCAGAGAGCCCCGCCTAGGAGGAGAGACAGATAAAATGAGGAGGCCCTTTTGGGTAAATATAGGAAGAATATATGGAGCATAGAGGATGGGCAGGTAATCCCAGGTGTCTTGGGGGAAAGTAGTTCCAAAAGAATAATATGTCATCTGTCAGGATGGTAGCCTTCAGCAAAAAGTCAGCATGGATGTAACACAATGGTGAAAGCTCAGATTCATCTGCAGTTGGAGTGGTGAAGAGAGCAAACTCTAGTCAAATGAGGGGATTTGATATGCTTCACTCCCACTCCTGGCCCACAAACCCTTCTGTAGATGAATCTCCATGTTCCTTCCCTTCCACTAATTTAGTTCAAATCAGCCAGGTGAGCTCGGACACTCCAAGCTGAGAATGGAGGAGCCGCAATATGGTAGGAACTTGGGTCTCTACTACTTCTTGAAGGACAGTCACCCTAGAGAGTTGCCTGACCAGAAATGTCTGCATTGGACTTTTCATGAGCTAGAAATAGACATCTACCATAGTTGAGTCATTGATATTTTGAGGTTTGTTTGTTACATCAGCTGATATAACCTTAACTCATGGGCCCAAAGTCTCTTGCTGCTTGTGTCTACAAATTAAGTTTTATTAGGACAGCCTATGACTGTTTTCATGTTGTAACAGCAGAGTTGAGTAGTTGCAACAGAGACTGTATGATGTGCAAAGCCTAAAATATTTATGATCTGGCTCTTTGCAGAAAGCATCTATGGACCCCTGCTTTAACTAATACAACCAGCATTTGACAACACCAGAACCAGTCTAGGTTCTTCTCCTGGTTTCCAATACTGGTTTCTTTGAGCAGATCAGCGCCTCATGCTGACTTCTTGCTCTGACTTGGTTATGGTGTACTCTGCCCCTTTGGCCCCATTCCTTGGGCCCAAATAGTCTTTGTAAATTAGGCCCAGAGACTTAAATAAAGTGGCAATCATTCTTCAGCCTCCCCAGTTGTGAGCTCTGATCTTCCAAATCATCTAGTCTAAGTCCTCAACTGTTCAGATATGGAAACTGACACACACAGAGAGAGGAGTAGATTTTGCCAGGCTCACTGAACCAGCCAGTGGTTGAGCAGTCCCACAAAGAAAGTGTGGGGGCAAATAAACTGCTTCCTGGATAAAAACAGCTAATGTTTATTGTATGCTTGCTTCGGGCTAGGTACCCCTTCAGTCTTTCCAACAAACCTCAAAGGTGTATACTGCTGTTATCATCATCATCCCTCTCATTTTACAGATGGAGAAACCGGGGCACGGAGAGAATTTAAGTTGCCCAAGGTCTGCTGTGTTGATGAAACTAGATTGAGCACAGCAGTATTGATATAGTTTGTATACTTGTCCCTGCTCAAATCTCATGTTGAATTGTAAATCCCCAATGCTGGAGATGGGAACTGGTGGGAGGTGTTGGGGTCATGGTGCAGATTCCTCATGGCTTGATGCTGTCTTTGTGATAATGAGTGAGTTCTCACAAGACCTGGTCACTTAAAAGTGTGTAGCATCTCCCCCTCATTCTCTCTCTTGCTCTGGCCATGTGACATGCTTACTCTCCCTTCACCTTCTGCCATTATTGTAAGCTTCCTGAGGCTTCCTCCACTGAGCAGATGCCAGCACCATGCTTCCTGCACAGCCTGTGGAACTGTGAGCCAATTAAGCCTCTTTATAAATTACACAGTCTCAGTCATTTCTTTATAGCAATGCAAGAACAGCCTAACCCAAGAATCAGTTCAGAACCACATTCTTGTTGACTCCACAGTGCCATATTGGTCTGTCATTCTTGTCCACTTTGGGCTTTAAAACTCCCCCCTTATCAGCAATGATAGAAAGAAGAGACTTAGGTGTATAGGGTAGTCTTCTTTTAGCCCCTTCTCTTGTGCCCCATTTCCCTATGATCCTCCAAGCCCAGAACAATTCATCAATTTTGTTTGCATATCCAACTTGAGACACTGTCATTTCATTAACTCAAGTGAGGGGCTCTTCATACAAGGTTGAGCTTCAATAATTCTCTTTAAAGTTCCAGAGAAATGTATGCTTAATTATATTTGCATATGAAAAATAGGGTCTAATTAGTTTGATTGATTATTATTTTAACCCTAATGGCATTTTGAGTATCTGTCCCAACTAATAGCAACTGTATCGCTAATAAATCATTGAATTTTTACGACATGGTCTATTGAGCTGGCTTATGAAATATATTTTATTAATATCCCAGAATGTATTGAAACTGATACAAGTCAAACAACTGCTCATTTATTAAACTGTTTAAATGTCAGTTTTATACAAGAGTATTAATACAGGAAATATGTTCATTCAGGAGACATCAGTAGGCCACGGATACTCAAAATATTAGTTATCTTGGAAAAATATATTGTGGAAATAAAAATCCAATTATATCATTTACTGCATTAAATAAATCTATATTGACTAACATAGATGTTGCACGTTAGCAGATGCACTTTCTTGGAAACTTTTTAATTCTCTGGGATTGAGCTCAAGGCTACAGTGGAAATACAAAGCTTGAGTTTCCAGGGCAGTCTTCAGCGGGCAGGGGAGTCCTCAGAAACCTGGTGCTCCATTTTCCTCATTGAGGCTGAGGCTGTCCTCCTCACCAGAGGTCTTCAGGATGTTCGTTCTTAAGATTTTCTCTTCTGGGACGTATCCAACATCTGGAGTTCAGGTCACAGCTGTTCCAGGAGCATGAGTGCCATCCTTCATTTGTTCGCCAGATGACTACACAGCACGGGCTCATGCTGCATGTCCAGTGTTGCGCCTCGAGGACACTGCGGTGCACCAGACAGGCAGGAACCCTGCTCTCATGGAGGTGATATGCTAGTGGTGGGGACAATGGGTAAAAGACTGGTGAGGCCATTTCTAATAGGAATCCGCACTATGAAGGGAATCAAGCAAGCTTTGGGGGTGGAGAATGCCATGGACAGGTATCCTTTAGATGGGAAAGGCAGGAAGGATGGCAATAAGGAGACAGCCAGGTAAGAGGGCTACGGGCACTGACTTCTAGGCAGAGGGAACAACATGTGCAAAGGCTCTCAGGTTAAAGCAAGTTTGGCTTGTTCACAGACAAGAGTGAAAGCTAGTGGGGCAGGAGGTGTGTGACGGGTGAGGGAGGTGGGCACTAGATCATGAAGGGCTTTGCAGACCAAGAAAGAAGGTTGGGTTTAATTTTAGATGAGATAGGAAGCCACTGGAGAGTTGGACTCAGGAGAGGACGATGGTCCAATTTCTATTTTGCCAAGGTCACTAGGGTGCTGGGAGGAGAATGCATTGAAGGGTCTGGGTTGGCCATGGAGAAACAGGGAGGAGGCAGGTGCAGTCATTAAAGGTGCAAAAAAGTGGAGGAAGAGAAGTCTATGCTTCAGGATGTTGTGGAGGTCAAGTTGACATGATATGCTGATAGACTGAATGTTGGGAGACAGAGAGAAAGCAGCCATGGATGCTCCCAGTCTTTGGTCTGAGCATCTGGGTGGGGTGTAGGAGGTTTCAGTCAGAAAAAAGCTGGAGGAAATGGTCCAGAGTTTGAGCACTGCCATCTTGCTGTGCAGCCTTCGATGGTTCTTATAACCTCTCTGATCCTTGGCTTTTTCACCTATAGTGGGCTGTAATAATGAAGCTATCTTCACAGGATGTGCTGAGCATGAAATGAGAGTCTCATGTGAGGTGCTTACCACAGTGCCTGGCACACGTAAGTCCTAAATACACATTAGCTATAATATTAATACAAATACTATGGATATCCAATGGTGACCTTGGAGATGACCCAGAGGAGTGACAAGAACATAAACTTGGGAATCAAACAGATCTGGGTTTAAATCCCATTTCTTGGCTGTGGGAACCTGGGCAGGTGTTCTCCTTCTCCGAGCTTGCATCATCTGTAAAATGGGAGGACCGAAGTTATGACACCCACAGGTAGTGTTGGTTTTTGAATTCGAATAGAATATGCATCAAGTTTCAGGCTCAGCGCCTGGCTCACCTCAGGTACTGGGAATTATTAGAATTATCACCCAGTTCCCATTCACTTACCCAAATCCCAGGCAATTGCAATTCCTACAGAGCCAGCATGAGCTGCCAGGGGCCTCCCAAGTGGGTGGCCGTGGAGGGGGTTGTGAGCCTGGGATCTCCTCCTGGGGCCCTGCTAACTCGCTGTGTGACCTTGGGTGAGCCCCTTACCCTCTCTGGCACCTGTTGCCTCTTGTGTGTAATAAGGAGGTTGGTCTGGTTAATCTCTAAGGTCTTTTTCAGAGCCTTAAAAAAATCAATGATTGTAAAAGTCTATGATTAGTGAGAAACCATCTGCCTCAGGCAAAGACCAGACCCTCCCCAAACTTTTGGCGGGGGGAGTGGGGGGTGGAATAAAACAATAAGCAGACGGCTTAGCAAATTGCCATCTTATAGGCCTTAAAAATGCATATCTGCTTTTGTATCAGCCTTGATTGAAATTCTTATGCTATGGCGGCTGTCCCCGCCATCAATGCCTTAATTAGAAATTAGGACAGTCACATTGGCATAAATTAAATCAGACTAAAGATGATTAACAAAGTAATGCAAGAAATCATTAAATTAAACCATTGTGCCAAGTCCTCTGCTGATCTATCACAAATTTGGGCTGCTAATGAGGTCTTAATTAGTAAGTTAGGTCGAAATAATTCATGTCATTCACTTCAAAGACAGCCCTCTTTCTTTCTTTTTTTTCCCTCTTTTTGAATCCAGCCCCCAATGCAAATTTATCATGGGGTGGGTGGACACTGTCAATAAATAGCAGCATTCCTTGGATTATCAAAACCTGCTTGGCATTGAATGTATTTGTTGGGAGGTCCATGCTGATGTCAGTTTAAGCTGAAGGGGAAGAAAGAGCTTGTTATCCTAAGGTGATAGAACTGTGGAAAGAGAGGAAACAGGTCTGAAGTTCATACTCTCAGGATACAGATGGGAAAACTGAGGGCCTCCGAAAGGAAGTGTCAGAGACTGAGTTTAGGGCAGAGTTGGGGCCCGGGTATCCCAAGTAAGAATCCATTCTTCTTTCTAATTTTTATATTTTCCCTTTGTTCAGAAAAAGCAAAGTATTTAGTGAAGTAGATATCATGTTTTCCATATCAATGAAGAGGAAGCTGAGCTCAGAGAGGTGAATTGACTTGCCCAAGGTCACACAGCCAGGAAGAGCCAGAGCTGGAATCAGACTCTGATTCCTGAGTCTGAATGCTTAACTGCTGTGCTTTCTTGCCTCAACAAATAACCACCGAATGGCTGGGTGGTGGGATGGGTGGACCCATGGGCATATGCTAGGAAATCGTTGGAAAACAGACTGTGGAAGGGCAAGCCAGCCCCAGATATGAACATGCTGACTTAGGATGATTGTAGAGCAGGATGTGGCTCTTGGAAGACTCATGACTTTGGAGTCAGGCAGACCTGGAGTCAGGCACCTGGTTCTGCAAACTCCTAGCCATGTGGTCTTAAGCCAATTGCTTAAGACCCTCTCTGAGCCTCAGTTTTTCTCACCTGTAGTATGGGTGCAATTAATCTCTTCTTGTGAGGAATTTGTGAGTGTTCAATGAGATCATGTGAGAAATGTGCCATGTATTACAGTTGGTGTTTAATAAATGTTACCTTCCCTCAGCTTCTCAGTGGTCCTCTGGTGATTCAGTTAGTTTTTGCTGTTTAACAAACCACATGAGACTCCTCCATGGCTTAAACCAAGAACAACTTCTTTCACTTGGGAATCTGTGGTCTGGCAAGTTGAGCTGGGCTCAGCTGGGAGGTTCTTCTGCTGGTCCTGGCTGGGTTCACACAAGAGGTGGCCATCAGCTGCTGGTCAGCGTGTGTGGTTCCACCCTTGGGGTTGGCTGGCTGTTGGCTGTGGTTGCAGAAGTGAATAAGCCGCATGTCTCCCATTATCCAGTAGGCTAGCATGGGCTTGCACTCTTTGTGATGGAAGGGTTCCGGGCCCGGCAAAAGAGGGCAAGTTCCTTGGCAAAGCTCCTCTTGAGCTTCTTCCTCTGTCACATTGGCTGAAGTCTCATGGATTGTCATAGCCTGAATAATGCACTCCCATCCCCTACTCTGTAGATGTCCATGTCCTAATCCTTGGAACCTGTAAATATGTCACCTTTTATGGCAAAAGAGACTTTGAAGATGTGTTTAAGAATCTTAAAATGGGGAGACTATCTTGAATTATGGTGGGCCCATTGATATTATAACAAGTGTCTTTATAAGAAGCAGGCAGAGGGATACTACAGAAGAGGAGAAGGTGATATGATGATGGAAGCAGAGACTAGAACCATGGGCTTTGAAGATGAAAAAAGAGGCCACAAGCCAAGGAATACAGGCAGCTCCTACAAGCTGAAAAAGGCAAGGAAACAGATTCTACCCCAGAACCTCCAGAAGGAGAAGTCTGATGACACCTTGACTCTAGCCCTTAGACTCATTTTGAACTTCTGAGCTTCGGAAATAAGAACACATTTGTGTTGTTTTCAGCCACTAAGTTTGTAGCCATTTGTTACAGCAGCCATGGGAAACATTGGCCAAAGCAAGTCACTGGCCAAGCCCACATTCAAGGGGCAAGGAAACAAGACTCCACCCTTCCTGTAAAAAATCTTTTAGCTTTTATTTTAGATACAGGGAGCACATGTGCAAGTTTGTTCCATAGGTATATTGCACCCAGGGAGCGAGCATGGTACCCAATAGGTAGTTTTTCAGTTCTTTCCCCTTCACTCCCTCCCCTCAGTAGTCCCTAGTGTTTATTGTTGTCATCTTTAGTCCATGAGTACTTGATGTTTAGCTTAGAATAACGGCCTCCAGCTGCATCCATGTTGCTGCAAAGGACATGATTTCATTCTCTTTATGGCTGCGTAGTATTCCTGGTGTATATGTGCCACATTTTCTTTATCCATTCCACTGTCGACAGGCAGTTGGGTTGATTTGATGCCTTGCTATTATGAACAGCATGGTAATGAGCATACAAATGCATGTGTCTTTTCAGTATGATGATCTATTTTCCTTTGGGTAGACACCCAATAATGGGAGTGCTGAGAACCTACCTTTTGAGGAAAGGAGTCACCAAGTCACATTGCAAAGAGGAGTGCATATAGGTTGGAAAGAATTTTTGGTCATATTTTGTAGTCTATCACATCTGAGACACTTCACCCCAGTAATTTTAAAAATAATAGTAATAATAATAATGATAATAATATATGCATATTTAGTGAGCACCTACTAGGAGCCAGGCAGTGCTAAACACATAGCACACCTTATTTATTTATTTATTGTTGTGGTAAAATATATGCAAGACAAAATGTACCATTTTAACCATTTTTAGGCATACAGTTCAACGGCATTAGGGGCATTCACAATGTCATGCAAACATCACCACTATCCATTTCCAGAATATTGAATCATCGCAGACAGAAACTCTGTCCCTTTTAAAATGATAAGTCCATAGCCTCTGGTACCCTCTACTCCAGGGGTCCCCAACCCCCAGGCCAAGGATGGCTACTGGTTGGTGGCCTGTGAGGAACTGGATTGCACAGCAGGAGGGGAGCGGCAGGTGAGTGAGCATTACTGCCTGAACTTTGCCTCCTGTTAGATCAGTGGTGGCATTAGATTCTCATAGAAGCACCAGCCCTATTGTGAACTGCTCATGTGAGGGAACTAGGTTGTGCATTCCTTATGAGAATCTAATGCCTGATGATCTGAGGTGCAACAGTTTCATCCTGAAAGCTTTCTGCCCCACCCCCCGCCCCCCACCAGTCACTGGTGCCAAAAAGGTTGGGGATCATTGCCCTATTCCACTTTCTGTCTCTGTGAATTTGCCTATCCTAGGTACCTCCTATAGGTAGAGTCATCAATATCTGTGCTTTGGTGTCCAGCATCTTCCCCTTAGCACTATGTCTTCAACATTTATTCATCTTGTAGTAGGTTTCAGAGTTTAATCCTCACAGCAATCCCCCAAGGCAACAGAGGCTCAGAGAAGTACCAAGGTTGACTGGTCCAGGGCCACACAGCTGGTAAGAGGGGTGGGGTGGCCTGAACTCCGATCTCCTGGACTCTGAGGAGTGGGAGTGTGCTGGTCACTTTTCACTTCTCCATCCTGCTGCCCAGGGCACATGCTGGGCCTCCCTGGTCTCACTACCCATAGCCAAACCACGGCTCGATAAGGCAACCCCCCCACAACAAAGCCATCCATTTATTTCCCACTCTGGGCTCCCCCCCCAGCCAGGGCCAAAACAATCACTTTTTCATCGATTCTGCTTCAATTAATTAAAAAATCCATCCAACTACTCCACAGCTTGATAGACTTTGAGGATTCAGACGGAAATAAATAAATTAGTCCTGGAACAATGAGGGTGGAAGAGAAATGGCTGGGGATAGGGGGAGTGGGAGATGGGGGTGCTCAGATCCTGGGTCCAGCTCTGTGCTGCTATTCGCAGAACTTATAGGAGGACTGGGGGCCCCCATAGACTTTCCGTCAGGGAGCAGGGGCCCCAGACTTGGTGGTTGTATTATTAGTAGTATTTTAAATAATAGCTGTTTTTACTGGGCATTACTTGGTGATGGGCTTTTATGCAAATTTTCTCATCAATCCCTCATGGCAGCTCTCTGAGTCAGATGAGGAAACAAGCTCAGAGGAGCTGGGTTACTTGTCAGAGCCTACGCAGCTAGAATGCATCAGGGGAAAATTCTGTTTCTTAGTCCTTCGTGCCCCTCTTTTGGGGTGCATTTTTTCATTTGTCCAGTGAAGGGCTATGAGGGAAAAGGGCATGGGGCAGGGTTCTGTGGCTGGCAGGGAGTCTAGGTCACTGTCTCTAAGAGGGGAGCGCTTGGGTGTAGAACCCCTGGGAAGTTATTTAGAGCTATAAGAGATCTTACCCGATCATTTGCTTTGATGGCTTTCAAACTAGTTTTAATTTGCAAAATCTAATGTTGAAGTGAGATCCTATGTAGGTTTGCCACGTAAGGGAAAAACAAAAAGGAACAAATAAACACACGAAGATGCTTGGTTGAATAGCATCAATATTAGCAACAATAATAACTGGCCTTAAGGTGCTGGAGCTGACTACCGGTCCTTTGTTAAATATTCAGGAGTTTTGTAAGCAAGTTATGCTATTGGGTTGAAATAAGTTATAGCGGAAGTACTTACACCACAGAAATGGGCTAGTGCTACAAATCAGTACTCCTCCCCACTCCTGAGAGCCGTTTTACTAGCATACCACTGACAATAACCATTTAATGAACATTTGCTGAGTGTCAGATACTGTGTTGAGTGCTTTATTAAAAAATACCATTTGGCTGGGAGCAGTGGCTCATGCCTGTAATCCCAGCACTCTGGGAGGCCGAGGTGGGCAGATCACCTGAAGTCAGGAGTTTGAGACCAGCCTGACCAACATGGTGAAACCCTGTCTCTATTAAAAAATACAAAAAATTAGCCAGGTGTGGTGGCGGGTGCTTGTAATCCCAGCTACTTGGGAGGCTGAGGCAGGAGAATCACTTGGACGCAGGAGATGGAGGCTGCAGTGAGCTGAGATAGTGCCATCGCACTCCAGCCTGGGTGACACGGCAAGACTCCATCCCCGCCTCCCCCACCCACACACAAAAAAAAACCCCAAAACCGTTTACATTTAAACCACATTGTAAGGAAGATACTATTAATATACCCATCTCTCAGATAGGAACACTGAGGCTTGGGGAGGTGTATGTAGCCACTTACACAAAGTTAACAACTGGCAAATGTTAGTGCTTACCTCATTCAAATCCCTGACTCTATCTCAAGTACCATGAAGTGTTTTTTAAATATTACTGAATCCCAGAGAGAAGAATCAGAGGGACAGACTTTCTCAGGATTGCACAGGGCACACAGCAAGTTGGGTGAAGGGCTGGGACCAGGACCCCACAACTTGTTCTAGGTTAGGAGGAAACAGGTGCAGATGTTTTCAGTGGGAAACTAGAGATAAAGAGTAATTGGGGCTCTGTCACAATATCCCTACTCCCTGGAAGGTCCATCCTGGGGGTACGACAACCCTTTTGCCTCCTATTTGAAAGTGTAGGAGAGTCTGTCTACTAGACAGTCTCAAACCTCCATCCTGCCTGGGAACATTCAGTGGCCTCATCTCCATGGCAGGATGGACAGCAGGTGTCCTCAGCTCTCAGGGATGCAAAGATAGCAACCACCTTGTATGGTTCTATTCAATTAAATGCCTGGCTTCTCACCAGCCAGAGAAGGCAACCCTGAAAACCAAGCTACGATGGGGAAGGGAAAGTTCTCCCAGCAGGGTGTCCTCACCTGTCCAGAGCCCTGCAGCCTGCAGAAAAACAGGAGTGGAAACCAGGGAGGGAAGGGCAGGGCTAGGTTTGTCTCTCGCCCCTCTCCTGCTGCTTCCTTATTTCTGTAGCTTTATGATAAAGGGGTGAACACCGGGCAGGAGACACAGGGAGTCCTCAAAAGCTGGGGGTCCAGTCAGGGTGCACACACAGGGTTGGGAAGAACCTTGATTCATATTTTGCAATTGACCATATCTGAGAATGCCTCCTCTCGCTCCAGGAACCAGGCTGAGAGGCTGCAGCCACAGTTCTAGGGATTTATCTAAGATCCTCCCTGAGGCTTGTGTCCCCTGGAGATCCCAGGGATCCCAGCTAGAAGAGCTTGAATGCCTCAGCCAGGGAATCCCTTCTGAGCCTCCAGCTGGGGCAGGAGTTGTCCCAGGACACAGCAGGTAACTGGCCATGAAAGAGAAAAGAGGCTCATATATATCGAATATGTGCTATATGATGCAAACATAATGATCTGGCTCTCATCATGTCTTCTCAAAGAATGATCTCCATTTTACAGATAAGGAAAACTAAGGCTCAGAAAGGGCAAGCATCTTATACTAGTTCACACAGCCAAAAAGTGGCTGAACTCAGAATCCAAGCTCCTAAATGTAGATTTTTTTTTTCAGTTTTCTAGAGCAGTGCTGTCCAACACAAATGTAATACAAGCCACATATGTAATTTAAGCTTTTCTATTTTTGTTGTTAATTCTTTTGTTAATTAAATTTTCTATTTAATATTCACTATTTGGGTGATGGGTACACTAAAAGTCCAGATGTCACCGCTATCTATGCAATATATGTATGTAAGAAATCGGAACTTGTACTCCCTATATATACAAAAATTAAAAAAAAAATTCAAGCAGCTTCATTAAAAAAGTTTGACAAGTAACAAGTGAAATGAATGTTAATATTTAATTTAACCAATACATCAAAATTATCATTTCATTATGTAATCAATAGAAACGGTGATGAATGAGATGTTTCACTTTTTTTCATTCTAAAGATTTTACACTTGAACTTACAGCGCAGCTCCATTCAGATGAGCTACCTTTCAAGCGCTCAGTAGCTTACTGTAGCTTGCAGCTACTGTATTGGACAGTGCAGCTCTAGAAGTGGGGACATATGCTCAGAAGGTAAAGCAAAAGAGCATTCTCACATTCTCTCTTGCTCACTTTCTCCTTTTCTTCTTTATGATACCTTATACCTGTGTTGCTAGCTAAGATGTAATATTATAATAGCTCATTGCTCCTTACGTGTCAGAAGCACCTCTGGGCTGTGGTGCAGGACCTGTCTCATTAAGAATCATACCAGCCCTTGGAAGGAAATATTACTACCCCTGTTTTGCAGTGGAGAAAACTGAGGCTCAGAGACGGGAAATACTGCCTCGAATCATACTGCATGCAACATGTCATAGCCAGTATATAATCCCGGGGCCCCTGATGCCACGTTGCAATTCTTAACTGCTAAGCCTGGTCAGTGGTTAACTTTTGTCCTTAATCCTGTCTCTTCCCATTCACTCTCCTGAGCTCAAAGCCACAGGAAGAGGCTGCCTGGAGTCTTTCAACCATGCCTGTTGAAAGTAGATGGCCAGGCCTGGTGTGGTGGCTCACGCCTGTAATCCCAACGCTTTGGAAGGCTGAGGTGGGTGGATCACTGAGGTCAGGAGTTCTAGACCAGTCTGGCCAACTTAGCAAAACCATGTCTCTACTAAATATACAAAAAAAAAAAAAAAAATTAGACAGGCATGGTGGTGGGTGCCTGTAATCCCAGATACTTGGGAGGCTGAGACAGGAGAACTGCTTGAACCTGGGAAGCAGAGGCTGCAGTGAGCCAAGATCGTGCCATTGCACTCCAGCCTGGGTGACAAGAGTGAAATTCCATCGCAAGGAAAAAATAAAAAAGAAAGTAGATGGCCACTGGTATGTTGTTTTAGGAGAAATGTCTGTTTCAGGTCCTTGTGATTGGGTTGTCTTTTTTTGCTACTGAGTTGCATGAATTTGTTATTTATTTTGGATATTAACCCCTTATCTGGAGACCTATTTTACAGCAAAGTGCCTATAGACAGGTACTAGCTAGATACTACAGCATAGTGCCTATAGCTAATAATATTGTATTGTACACTTAAAATTTGCTCAGAGGGTAGATCTTACACTAAATGCTCTTAATAATATAAATGACACAGGAGAAAATTTTGGGAGATAGTGGATATACCTAAGGCCTTGATGGTGGTGATGGCTTCACTGGTGTATACTTATTCCCGGACTAATGTAGTTGTAGCCTTAAATAGGTATAGGTTTCTTTCTTTTTTCTCTTTCTTTCTTTCTTTCTTTCTTTCTTTCTTTCTTTCTTTCTTTCTTTCTTTCTTTCTTCTCTTTTTTTTTTCTTTCAGATGGAGTTGCTGTGTCACCAGGCTGGAGTGCAGTGGTGCGATCTCGGCTCACTGCAACCTCCGCCTCCCAGGTCCAAGTGATTTTCCTGCCTTAGCCTCCCGAGTAGCTGGGATTACAAGCATGTGCCACCACACCCAGTTAATTTTTGTATTTTTAGTAGAGATGGGATTTCACCATGTTGGCCAGGATGGTCTCCATCTCCTGACCTTGGGATCCACCCACCTCGGCCTCCCAAAGTGCTGGGATTGTAGGCGTGAGCCACCGTGCCAGGCCAGGTGCAGGTTTTTAGGTGTCAGTCATGTCTCAATGAAGTGATTTTAAAAATAAATAAAACTTAACAATTTTTAAAGAAATAAAAAAACACATATATAAATAAATACATTAAATATGCCAAAAAAAAAAAAGAAGTGAATGGGCCTGCTGTGGCTCCCCGACGTGGCTGTGGTCCCCAAGGGTCCGTGGCGCTGTAAATGCTGAGATTCATAGGTCTGTGCCATGTTCCTCCAGCTCCGGATGCAACTTGGGAATTGGTGTGTTCTGGAGTCACAAGACCAGGAACACATCCCGGCCTTTGCACTTCTGGGCTGTGTGGCCTTGAGCAAGTCACCTCACCTCTCTGGACCACAGTCTCCTTGTGTCTGACAATGGTCTCTAGACTCCCCTTGTTATGGGATGGATGCTACCAAGCAGCAGCTTGTTTTTCCTTCACCCTATTTTGTGGATGGGAAAGCTGAGGCCCAGAGAGGCCAGGAGGCTTAGCTGGGGTCCCCAGGGAAGGAGTGACAGAGTTAGGACAGAATTGAGGCCTCCCAGGCACAACCATCTTATTTCCACAAGACTCCCCAGCCCTGGACATCTTGGAAGAAAGACGCATGCACCTTGCCTGACGCCCAGACTGCCATTGGTCAAACATTCCCTGACTCTTCCCAGCCTCAGCTCCTCGACTGAGCCCTGAGTCTGACAACCCACAATTCCTGCTCATATTAGGTGAGATGGGCCACCTGTCCAAAAAAGATTTATCTGGGGCTTGGAACAAGTGAGAGAATGAGGCAGACCCAGAGAGCTGCTCAGAGACGCCACAAGTCTATTTTCCTCCAATGGGGCCATTGAGGGGTTGGACCACCTGCGAGGCCTTGTTTCAGTTTGTCTGTTTTTAATCCTTCTCCTGAAAACAAGCGGTTTCAAGTGAGAAGTGTGATTTTCTGTGCACTCCATCAAAGGTGCTTATTGAGCACTGAGATGTCACAGAGTTTTTGGTTCATCCAATGGGCATCTTCTGAAAGTCTACAATAAATTTATCCATTCATTCACTCGTTCATTTAGTCATCCAACAAGCATTTATAACGACCTCTGGGCAAAAGGCCAGGCACCATGCTAAGCTGTGAGGATTCAGAGATAAAAACTTGGGCTCCCATCTTTAAGGTTCACTGTCTATACGACAAACATGCTGCTACGGGTCAATTGGTACTGTGCTAGTTGACCAGATATGTGTACAATGAACTATGTCAATGAAGGAGTGAAGGGAAAGCTTCCCAGCTGAAGGGCTGTTTGACTTGGGCTCTGAGGGTTGAGTAGGAGTTCATTAGGCAGAGATGAGTGTTGTAGGTAGTGGGATTAGCATGAATGATGTAGAAGAGAAATTACGTATATAGAGGTGAAGTGTTATTTGACTAACACGTGGAATATCTGAAAGTATAAATCTGTGTGTGTGTGTGGGTGGGAGGTAGGGGTCATAGTGGGATGGAAAGCTAACAAGGTGGAATGAGACAAATTAACAAGATCCTTGAATGCCACACCCTGGACAGTAAATTTTACTCAGCTGGCACAGGAGAATGCAGCAGAGATTTTTATCTAAGGAAAAATGGGATCCATGCATTTTTAAAAGGGCTGGATGCAGCAGGAATTTTGCCCCCTTCAGGGTCTTATAGGGAATTGAGTGGATAAGATAGATTGTACTTCTTTCCCCAGAAAGTACAGCTAGCTGGGACTCTTGAGCGCTGAGGCTCAGTTTAAGTCCTGCCACTTCCAGGTAGCCTTCTGTGATCACTCCTTCTCCGGATGTTTGGCTGGTGAGAGCACTGGGGCGTCATCTGCACATGGATTTGAACTCTAGACCCATGTTAAACAAGCTCTGCTCTCTTAAGAAGGCATCTCATCCCTAGGACTCTCACGTTCCTCTTCTCAGAAAGGAACCTGATAATGACTAGAATATTATCCTGGCAGGACCGTTCTGAAAATCAAATGAGATCATGGATGGGGAGGTGCCTGGTGCTGGGTCTCACTCCCTGGCAAGTGGGGCCAGGAAGTGAGTCTGCAGAGTCTTTCCCTGATCACTCAAATTGGATGCTCTGAAAGTTTCTGTCCTATTCCCCCTCCCTCTCAGAGATACTCGCTCTGACACTAACAGTTTTATTTCTGGAATGGAGGATCAGGGACAAAGCGGACCCTCTTAGTTCCAGGAGTGCCCATAAATTATGGGAAGATGAGAATATTTTAATACAAACCAAAGAATCTCACGTACAAAGAGCTGCTCTGAGAACGTGTTTTCTTCCCCCTTACTCCCCCTTCCAATTCCCCTGATATTTGGAGCTAAGAAGACTCCTTGGGGAATTTATAACAAGTAGAATATTTAAGGGTAAGGAGCCAGAGGTCTCTTTGGCGTTCACTTTTCAGGGAAGTCACCTCAGAGTGGTATGTACATGAGTGACATAAAAGGAAGGTTGTGCATAGAGAAGGGGAGAATATGCCAAGAATTGTCAATTATGCAAAAAAAAAAATTGCTTGTCCAAAAGAGTGATGTGTCTGGCTTTATTCCCCAGATAGAATTCAGCATTCTGGGCAAGGCCTTTGCCAGACTGTGAGATTTTCTGGAAGCGCCTGTGGCGTGGCTCCTCTGCCTCACCTGTGATGACAGGTCACTGGGTCAGCTGGGGGTCACTTTCCACGTGCTCCATCAGAGACAGCCTTAGGATTTGTGCTTTGACCTATCTCACAGAGATCCTGCTATTCTGATTCCTTTGGTTGGGTGACAGTTTCCAGGAGGGACCTGGATTGGCGACGTGCTATGCCCAGTGCTATGCATGGGAGAAAGATCTCTTCAATGAAGGCATTAGTTATGTATTGGCACAGTTAATGCTGCATAACAAACAGTAATGTAAGCTCAAGAGTATATAACAATATATTTTTTTCTTTGGCTCATAGGTCAGCTGGTTGGTTTTACTGATCTGAGCCAGGCTTGCCTAATCCCAGCTGGGCCTGCTCATGCAAGCTGGTGGGTTGGCTAGAGCTGACTGGTCTAGGATGGCCTCACTTGCATGTTCTATGGTTGACTAGCTGTTGGCAGGGGCGATGGAGGTGACTAGACCCCAGGTCTTGTGTCCCCCAGCAGGCTAGCCTGGGCTTTGCATGGGAGCTTGGAGGGTTCTACAAGAGAAAGTGAAAGCTTGTTAAGACCTAGGTGCAGAACTGGCCTGACGTCACTTCTGCCACATTCTATTGCCCAAGGCAAATCATATGGGCAGCTCAGATTCTAGAGGCGATGAAAAGTCTCCATCCTCCAATGGGCAGAGCTTCAAAGTTACATTGCAATGGGCATGGGGATAGGGAAGGGCAGATCCTTGGGGCTTATTTTTTTCAATCTGTCTACTGAAATGGATAAACAGAAGTAGTTAGTTTCACTGACAAGTATTACTAGCACCTCTGTGTTGAGTCTTATGCTAGGTGCTGGCAGAGGTGGTGAATATGAGACAGTCCCATTCTGAGGGTAAGACACAGACATAGAAATGGATGATTGTGATCCACTGTCAGTGCTGTAATTGGGGAAGCTCAGGCAGCGGTGGGAGACCAGAGGAGGCTCACACACTCCCTGGAGGTCAGGGAAGGCTTCCTGGAGGAGGTCGCTCCTGATCTGAGTCTTGACATTTGAGTGGGAGCTCACAGGGTGAGGGAGGTGGCAAGAGGGGTGACGGGAGGAGGAGAAATCAGTCCAAGAAGAGGAAGCAGTGAGTGCACAAAGGCATGCACGTGAGAGGGACCTGTTAGAGAGAGAGGCCAGGGCATAGAGCAAGGGACAAGGCCTGGCCTAGCTTAGGTCACAATGTCCCTTGGAATTAGGAGACTGTTGGCTTGAGATATCCACCACACCCAGAGCAGGGTTTTGAGGGGTGTTCTGATAAAGGGGTGAGGGAAATGTTGAGCAGAGCCTTATTAATAACAACGAAACCCCTCCAGTCGCCCACCTCCCCCAAACACGAAACATCAGCTGCCAGCCAAGTCTGCTGCGAGCTGGGGTCTCAAGGCAGATATAATCCCTGCTCCCAAAAACCTTACCAGGTCTCAGAGACATGCGTCAGCTCCTCAGCTTTCCAGGGTCTGCAGGAAAAGTGAGGAGCAGCTCTTGATGGCCACTAACCCGTAGCCCCACCACAACCCACCCTGCAGATCCCATCACTCTGCAGATCCCATCATCCTGCTTCCTTTCCTTCCCTGGGATTAGATACACCTGAAATTGTTGTTCTCTCTGTTCACTTTGTCCCCAGCCGACTCCCCCAGGCACCTCCTGAGATGTTGGGCTCCATCAAAGTGGCCACCATGTCTTTTTGTCCTTCATCTCGGTTTCTTTAGTACCCGAGTCAGCACCTGGGCATGATGGGTGCCGAAACTGTCTTGGCAGAGTAAAGGACAGGCCAGCTCCCTGCAAGATGCTGAGCAAGCCATGTGCTCTTTCTGAGCCTCAGTTTGCACATCTGTAATTCGGGGATGTTGTACAGCAGCCAATTCTGCCACTATTTTCTGAGATCCTGCTTGCAGCTGGACCCTGGCTTAATATACTGGAGAGAATTTCCAGGAGAGATTCTGACCCACGGATTTTCTTGCCTGTGGACAATTGTCAGAATTCTCCACCTTCTAGGGTGCGAGGATGGATTATGGAGAAATGGACATAAAGCAGGTGGCAGGAAACTTACAAAGGGGAGGCATTTCTGTCTGACTTCACATTTCCCATCAGCGGGGCCTTTTTTTTTTTTTTTTTTTTTTTTTTTTTGACAGAGTCTCGCTCTGTCACCCAGGCTGGAGTGCAGTGGTGCAATCTCGGCTCACTGTAACCTCCACCTCCTGAGTTCAAGCGATTCTCCTGCTTCAGCCTCCCAAGAAGCTGGGACTACAGGCGTGTGACACCATGCTTGGCTAATTTCAAAACTTTCTGCATCCTGAGGGGCATGCCCAAGTTTACCTGTGCTCACAGAGGAAGGAGGTGTACAAACCCACATGGGAGTTATTTTCCAGTGTGATTGACACTCCACACCCATCTAAGTGCGGCTGGCATGGAAGTGGTGGCCCCGCAGGCAGGACCCATCCTTATCTTTGCCTGGGAGCTTTTTAAAAGGTTACCAGACACCCACTTCCACTTCCCCCCCTTAAGCTCTGTTTCTGAGTCTCTTTTATTTGAATCCAGGGAAACTAGCTGAATGTAAAGCCATCAAAACCAAAGTGACCCGAGATGTCCGATTGGCCCATATTGGCCAGAAAATGAGTATTTCCCAGCTTCCAGGAGGGTCTGTTTGCCCCAACATCCTGAAACCTCAACCCCCTCCTTCCCCAGGAAAAGGAAGGAGCAGCTGGCTCAAATTGCTCCCCCAAATTCCTGGCCTGGCAGTGGTTAAAATGTGATCCCTTTTATTCGAGTAATAGAGAGGAAGTTCCCGGGCCTTCAAGAAGCATCAATCCAGAGATTTATTAACCAATTTAAAATACTATTGTCTTTCACTTCAGAGCAAGATTGAGGGGTGTTGTTGCAGGAATGTAAAGTCAGAGTGACTGAGCCTCAGAGCCAGGAGGGGTCTGTACCTGGGACTCAATAGATATTCATGAACATTCCCGTATTTAGTGAAGGAAATAACTTAATACCGACAGTGCGATGGAATAATAGCTATTTCCTGGCTGACTTGCAGGCCTCAGAAAATGAGATTGCAGTGGCTTCATTTTTCTTGTCTTTTCCTGTGCTCCCTGCCAGAGAAGGAGCTGCCACTGGGATTCTCTCTGCATTTGCAATGAGCTGGGGCCTGCAGCCCCCACCCAGGCCTGGTGACTCCCTTATCACCCCTTCTATTTGCTGTGACCTTGGCCTCGGCTTCATGGAGAGGTCACCCTGCACCCTGTTTAGCTGTACAGATGACCAGGAAAGTAGATCAACCTTTATTCAGATGGAGGGGCAGGCAGACTGGTTTATTTGAGGATGATTTTGACATTCATCCACTCATTCATTCACTCAGTATTCACTGAGGGTCTACCTATCACACTCTGAATGCTGAGGACACAAACATGAATACTGTCCAGTCCTTCTCTCTTGCAACTTGGTCCACTGAAAGAGCCACACACTAAAGCATTTCAGGGACCCCTAGAGGTGTCCACACAAGGCTTAGAAAGCCTCAGAAAAAAACGAGATCGTGATACTTAGAAAGACAGAAGATCAGGAATGACATCAGCAGGGACATGCCTCTTAAAAGTTGCCAAGGTCTGATTCATCAAAAGACCACCTGCCAAGCACTTTACCCGCTTTGTTTCATTTGGATCTCATAGAAGCTTCATGATGTGCACTTTGTCGTTCTCCCCATTTTATAGGTGATGAGATGAGGCTCATCCAGATGCATTGGCTTCCCCAAGGTTAACCGGCCAGAAAGCGGCAGGGTCAGGATTTGAGCCCGTGTTTGTTGGATTCTGATTCCGGGCTCTGGAGGGCCTCAGTGTCCTGCTGGTCTTTGCCCAGGTGGTAGGTGTAGGGAGGGTATTTCAGGCAGTGGGCACAGCCTGGGTAAAGGCACAGAGATGTGGAATGGTCGACCTGATGCTTTGGGGGACTCTAAGTGGTCACTTATGGGTTGATGGCAAGATGGGAGTGGGTGCTGGGGCACAGCTGAGTGGAAACCAGGGTAGAGAGAGGTGTAGAGGGGCGTCCTGAGGAGTTTGGACCTGAACTGGTAGACAAAAGGGGGAACTAATGAATGATTTTAGCTTGGAGACAGGGGAGGCTCTATGCACGATATAATCTGGCCCTCCAGACTGATCTCCATCCTTCACCATCCAGCCCTGAGCCCAGGAAACTGATATGCGTGGACCAGGTCAACAGATTCTCTCTGGCTCTGGCTGGGTTCCGCCAATGAGGATCCCCAGCAGGAGATCAAAGGAGAGGGAGAGGAAGGGCAGGGGTTCATCCTCTGGTTTCCTGGGCTGGCTGTGGCCTTTGACTGAAGGTCATCAAAGTGATCTAACCCCACTCTCCCTCCTTCTAGGTTATGGTAGCCTCCCTCTCCCCTCATTCAGGCCTAAGCCGGGGAAGTAGCTCAGCTGCTTCCAGCCAAGGTTATCTCCATTCCACCCACACCTTTGGAATGAGTCCCTTTGTAAATAAACTCTCCTCCATTGACCTTAACTTGAGAGTGCCACCCATTTCCCTCCGACCCACATAGCTCCTTTGGGCCATCTTACGTGCAAGTCAGAAATCTCAAGATCAAGGTGTCCAAAGGACCAACCACATTCCTTCTGGCGGCTCCAGGAAAAGAACCTTGCCTTTTCCAGCTTCTAGAAACACTCCTTGGTTCATGACCCCTTCCTTCAGCTTTAAAGCCAACAGGGTAGCATATCCCAGTCACTCCCCTGCTCTCTTTGACCACATCTTTTCTCTTTTACTTGCACCCCTGTCCATCCTGCCCCCGACTCCCTTTATAAGAATCTTCATGATCAAATTGGTCTTTCCTGGCTAACCCAGGATAATATCCTGTCTCAAAATCCCTAATGTAATCACATCTGCAAAGCCCCTTTTGCCATGTAAGATAACATATTCACAGGTTTTGGAGATTTGGATGTGGATGTATTGGGGGCCTTTATTGAACCTACTACAGCCGGGGAAGTTTGGATTCAGAAATCAAGCCAGGACAATATCACAAGTATATCTGCACTCTCACTGAGGCATGGGAATTAGCATATATGGGCATGAGGGCATGCCCCGGTTCTGGTTCCAGATTTCCTGAGTGACCTTGTGCAAGTCACTAAGCCTCTCCATGCTGCAGAATTCTCATCTATCAAATGAGTGACTTGTCCTGCATATGCTCTGAATCTGAGCTCAATTGTTCAAGAAGGTTTCAATGAGTATATATGTTCTCAAGGGGTCAGTATTCACAACCACATATTTGGGTAGGAAAAGATAAAACCCACCTATCCACACCTCAAGCCACACCTCTGGCTTGGGAAGAAAGAGATGTGTCTGTTGTGTTAGGGACTGGGGGACCACCAGAGCAAGTTTTTTTTGTTTTGTTTTGTTTCTTTCTGTTGGCCATGGGGCCAGGGTTTGCTCTGTTACCCAGGCTGGAGGGTAGTGGTGTGATCATAGCTCACTGCAGTCTCTAACTCCAGGGCAGGCTCAAAGTATCCTCCTGCCTCGGTCTCCTAAATTGCTGGGACTACAGGCCTGCATCACCATGCTTGGCTAATTTTTAAATTTCTTGTAGAGACAGGGTCTCACTATGTTGCCCAGGCTGCTCGCAAACTCTTATCCTCAAGTAACCCTCCTACCTCGACCTCCCAAAGTGCTGGGATTACAGGTGCAAGCCACCAGAGCACCTGCCAGAAACTTACATTTTAGAATGAGTCCTCTGGGTGCTGGCGGAAAGTTTATTCTAAGGGGGCAAAAATGGAGGCAGGAAGACCATGGAGGAGGCTGCCGAGGTTGTTCAGGCAAAAGATAAGGTGCCTGGCCCTAGAGTGGGCCCAGCCAGGGTGGCAAGAGGTGGGAAGGTGTAAGTGATGCTGGGAGGTCTCCCTAACAAGACATGGTGATGGACCAGGTATGGAGCTGGAAGAAGGAGATGACAAGGATGCTTTCTGGCCTCAGGGGGCTGGGTGGAGTTTGGCACCATCTGCTGAGCTGGGGCCTGTGAAGAGAAGCAGTTCTGGGTAAAAGGAAGATACTGAGTTTATAAAGCACGCTGAAGTCAAGGAGCTGGAGATCATCCCATGGGGGCTGTCCAGAGAGACACACGGATCTAGGTAGAACAATGCAGGTGTCAACAGCTCATAATGGTAGAAGGAAAAACCCAGCAGCCAAAGTGATGTTTTTGTTTGTTGTTGTTGTTTGTTTGTTTTTGTGAGACAGAGTCTCGCTCTGTCCCAGGCCGGAGTGCAATGGTGCGATCTCAGCTCACTGCAACCTCCGCCTCCTGGGTTCAAGCTATTCTCCTGCCTCAGCCTCTCGAGTAGCTGGGATTACAGGTGCACACCACCATGCCTGGCTAATTTTTGTATTTTTAGTAGAGACAGGGTTTCACCATGTTGGCCAGGCTGGTCTCGAACTCCTGACCTCGTGATCCGCCTGCCTCGGCCTCCCAAAGTGCTGGGATTACAGGCATGAGCTGCCGTGCCTGGCCTAAGTGATGTTTCACAAAGCAAATCAGACCAGGCCACTTGTGTGTTCAGTGGCTTTCCATCTTACTCAGCATGAAGTCTGATTGTTTTTACCAGGACTACACTACAAGGTTCTGCACACTCCACCTGCCATCTCCTCTTCACTCACTCTGCTCCAGGTTCAGCCGTCTCCTTGCTGTGATTTAAACTCAACCGCACATGTCCAGTCAGATCTTTTGCTCTCTGCCCTGTCTTCCTTCGCTTGCACAGAAGTGTTTGGTCCCCACAGCTTGTTTCCCTTGGTCTGCAGATGTAGGGATTATGCATCCACAGATGCTTCCAGCAAGCGTTTTCCAGCCCTGAATGCCCCCTACCTCCACCTGTTGGAGCCAGCTGTGCTTCCTAGTCAAGGACAGAGGGTCTGTCTCCTCTTGAGTCTCTGGGGCTCATCCAGTCAGTTCCCAAGCTGGGTTCCTCAGCAGCTTTCACGACAGAAAGGGGTCATGCCCCACCCTGGGACTTCTAGGAGAGATGGAGACAGCATTCTGTTGAGGGACAGATGTTACACAGGGAGACCATACTCTTTTGTATGGGTTTCATACAGGTTATGAAGAAAAACCAAGTAAGGAGTCAGCTAGAAAGGGACAGGCATTCTCTGTAGCCAGAAGATTAGGCAAGACGTTTCGGAGGAGGTAAGGCTTCATCAGGGACAAGTGAGTGGGTAATGAAGCATGTGGCCAGAATATTCCAGGCAGAAGAAACCAGTGCAAAGGCCCTGTGGCAGCAGGGTCACGGGGAGTGTAAGACCTGGGAAGAGTGCACAGTGGTAGGAGAGGAAGGTAGACAGAAAGGGAGGCTGGCAGATCCCAGACCATGCACGCCTTTGAGGCCACGATCAAGAATTGCTTTGGATTCTGGGAATAAAACATTAAAGAGTCTTAAGCAGGGAGTGACACAATCGGGTTTGGTTTTGACAAGATCCCTCCTGGTTGGAAAAGGGACTGGGGAAGAGAAAGTATAGATCTCAGTTTAGAGACAACGGCCATTCAAGAGTGGCTTGGATGGGACAGATAGAGAGATGGAAGGCTGGAGAGTGGGCAGTAAGTTGCAGATATGGGAGAGGGAAGAAGACGCATGTCCAGCTTGTTTCCAGCCCCTCCCACGGAATCAAGGGAAATTGTTTTAGGATGAAATCCCAAACAGTCCTGTTTTCCCAACCAGTATGTAGTATCTAGGAAACTTGGGCTATTAGAGATGCCCTAGGAAAAAATATATTTCTAAATGTAAGAAGATGCAGAGAAATTCCTGGTTGACAGATTGCCAGCAGGTCCTAAGGGAAATTCCTAGCACTCAGATGGGGATGTGGGCTGCTTTTAGGGACAGCAAAAATAGCACACTATGGTGGAAAATATCTGTTTTTACTCTTAGATGTCTGCTTGGAACGTCACAGCATCTGTGGGGTAGGGGGGAGCATTATCATCCCTGTTTTCAAGATAAGGAGAATCAGAGAAGTTGGTGATTTTACCAGGTCCACACGACTCACTGTCACTATTGGGGTGAGGATCTGGGTCCCCTGGATAATTACATCATGCTTTCTACTGTGTCTGGTTCCAAGGGATTCTGGGTCAGGGTTGCCTCGTCTGTAAAATGGGGATAATTCCCACACCTGCCTCCAGGGGGTGCTGTGAATTTTAAATGCAACAGGCACCTGGACAAGGCTTTGCCTCTGTGCACTCTAGGGGCAGTTCCTGGGCTATTGTGGGCTCCATCACAATGGCCACCCTGGTGTTCCTTCTCTAGTCCTTTGAATGAGCTGCTCCCTCCTCCCCTCCCAGGGCTGCTTCCTTGTTCCTTCAGGTCTCTGTTTAGATGGCACTGCCTTAGAGAGCTTTCCCTGGCTACACCATTTAAGACAACCCTCTTGGTTATCATTCACCTCAGTTCTCTGTTCATCCCATCATTGCACTCATCATAACAAAGGCAAATGTGTCTATTCAAGGACTTGTTAATGATCTGTCGCAGGCTCCAGTGGGGCAGAGTTCACATCCCTGTTGATAATTGGGGCTAACTGTATGCAGTGCTTGTCATACAAGGGGGACCCTTCTACATACTTTACCTGGATGAATTCTCCTATCTCTGATGACAATCCTATCATTCCCATTTTACAGATGGCACATAGAGCGACAGCAAGCATCTTTCCCAAGTTCACACAGTCGGCAAGTGCTCACACTGATATTTGAACCCAGACCATGCCTGGCTCAGAGTAGAAACTCAATAAATATTTGTTGCAAGAATGAAGGGTTGGGTTTTGTTGGAAAAAGGCCTGATTGTGGACTGATTGGCTGACTGTCAAGCCTCGCAGTGCATCGAGCATCAGCGCTACGAAGTAAGCTGCGTAAGTGATCCTTCTGGCTCCCAGGCTGCAGGCAGGTCTTGCCTCTAGCTTTCAAACAGAAGGGAGCATGCATCATTTGCTGGGCCAAATTAGGACTTTCGTCTTCCTTGTGTACTTTTGCATTCATGGGCCCTTCTCACCATTAAAAACAAATTAAAAATACATTTTAGAACTGTGCTGGTATAAAGAGGAATACGCTGCAGGTTGTATTAGGTCGGTGCAGAAGTAATTGCAGTTTTTGCCATTAAAAGTAATGGCATGAGCCACTGCGCCCAGCCTCACTCTCTCTCTTTTTTTTTTTTTTTTTGAGACAGAGTCTTGCTCTGTCACCCAGGCTGGAGTGCAGTGGTGCAATCTCGGCTCACTGCAACCTCCGCCTTCCAGGTTCAAGCGATTCTCCTGCCTCAGCCTCCCGAATAGCTGGGACTACAGGCGCCCGCCACCTCGCCCGGCTAATTTTTTGTATTTTTAGTAGAGACGGGGTTTCACCGTGTTAACCAGGATGGTCTCGATCTCCTGACCTCATGATCCACCCGCCTCGGCCTCCCAAAGTTCTGAGATTACAGGCTTGAGCCACCACGTCCGGCTGCCTCACTTCTTTTAAAATTAAAAGCAAAAATTGACTATAACATTAGGGACAGAAAAATAGCACACTATGGTGGAAAATATCTGTTTTTACTCTTAGAGATCTGCTTGGAACGTCGCAGCATCTGTGGGGTAGGGAGGAGGATTATCACCCCTGTTTTCAAGATAAGGAGAATCGGAGAAGTTGGTGACTTTACCAAGTCCACACGGCTCACTGGCAGTGAGTGACTCATGCCTATAATTCAGTACTTTGGGAGGCCAAGGCGAGAAGATTGCTTGAGGCCAGCAGTTTGAGACCAGCCTGGGCAAGATGAGTGAGACCTCCTCTTTACAAAAATAAAATAAAACAAAAATAATAATAATTAAAAGAAACGAAAGCATTTTTGTGGGCCCCTAGGTGTATTGTGGTCCCTAGATACTCTGCCTACTGTGCCAAATGGAGAAGTTGGCCTTGATTGATTGAGCTCTCAGTCCTGTCCTGCGCTCAAAGCATCCATTGTTTCATTTAAACCACAGCAAACAGTCATAGAGGAATGATTATGCCCATTACAGAGATGGGAAAACTGAGGTTCAGAGAGGTTGGCCAGCTTACCCAAGAGATCAGAGTGAGTCTGAGGCACAGCTTGTGTCTGTCTGACACTTTGCCACATTATCACAGAAAGTTCCAACCAGGGTACTCTTCAGCCATGCTGAGAATGAATGCTACATGGCAGTGACTTTGTCATGCCACCAAAAGAAACGCTGAATTGAAGCAGGGAGACCAGAGAGATCTGGCTGACTCGATGACCTCATGCCTGAATTATGGCCCTAGAGTGGTGGCCAGGGGTGGGGACAGAAAAAGAGCCAGCTCCTGGCCTTTGATTTCAACTTCTGGGCAAAGCTGGTGGCCCCTGGCTCCATGGGATAGAGATTAGGGCTATTTATGGCCTGGGAATTGCTAGTCTCAGCTCAGCATACAGGTGGCAGGTGATAAGGTGTCTGCTCAGTAATAAGCTCAGTGGGAAGTTAATAAACACCATTCTGTTCAGAGACGCAATTGCAGATTCAAGCAGGAAGTAAGAGGAATAGCTAAGGGGCCCTGGGGGTGGCAGCACCACCTGAGTTGAGAAGCAGCTGCCCTAAGGAGTTCCTTCCACACCCCTGCAATATCAGGGGAACCCTGAGGAGTTCCTTCCATGCCCATGCAGTGTCAGGGGAGTCGTGAAGTCAGTCAGTCCCAGGCTCTTACGATGGCTCAGCTGCTTCCTGATGCGTGACCTTGGGTGAGTCCTTTTTCCTGTGCCCACCTTGGCTGCCTCCTGTGTTAAACAGAGATAATGAGAATTAAAATAATGGTAACAGCCCCAACTTTATTACCATGCTACAAATGCGTAAGCCTGCCGTCCTGTCTAAGACCAACACATGGGACTGCTATACATGGTTCTTCTCAAATCCATTGTTTTCTTTTCTGGTGTAAGTGAAGAATTGAAGGCTTATGGGGTCGGTCTACAGACCGTTATTGAGTTCCTACAGAATACCCGGTTCTGGGCTTGGCGCTGGATCAGTCAGGCCCTGTTGGGTCTTGCACTCAAATGACAAACGTACAAGGCTTACACCGTGTGTCAGATGGCAATGGTGAAGCAGCATCAGGGAGTTGGGGAGGAGAGGTGGACTGCTTTTTTTATTGGAGGGAGGTCAAGAAGGATGCCTGAATAAGGTAACATTTGAGCAGAGTCCTAAAGACAGTGAGGGGACAAATCATCAGACTAGCAGGGGAAAAAGAACTCCAGGTGGGGGGAACAGCAACGGCAAAGGCTGTGAGGTAGAAACGCAATAACGTGTTTGAGGAATAAGGAGGCCAGGGTGGCTGGAATGGAGGTTAGCAAGGGAATGAGGGTAGGGGGCAGGTTCTGCGGGGCTTTTGTTAGGATTTCTCTTGGAGGAAAGGCTTATTACCACAGTGACTGAGAGTGCTGCCATTAGCCTATGACCCTCAGCTGTCAGCTTGTTCAGAGGTGGCTTAGCTGCAGATGGCTGGCTTCCCACATCCGATGACTGACCACAGTAGGGATATGAGGGTCTGACCATTTCTGCCCAATGCTGTCCAACTCTGATGGGCCATTCCAGTTCCAAGGCTCCCTGCGGGACTGATGGAGGCTGTTCATGGGACTGTATCCCTCCCTGGCTTCTCCCTCTGCCCAGTTCTCATGCCTTTCCTTCCTTTCCACTGGTATTGATCCCAAGGGTACATGCTTAGTGCCATCTCAGGACTCAGTTTCTCCATTTAGTGTGATTGAACTACGTGCATTTGCCAGCCCTGTAGTCCCAGCTACTAAAGAGGATTGCTTGAGCCCAGGAGTTCGAGGCTGGAATGAGCTATGATTGCACCACTGGACTCCAGCCTGGGCAACATAGCAAGACTCCGTCTCTCTAAAAAAAGAAAAAAAAAAAAGGTATAAATTGAACTGATGACCCCAAGGGTTCTTTCATCCCAGATTGTGTAATATAAGGCCATTCTGGCTGGGATCAGGGAAGCCCTCCCTGTGCCCTTTTATTTCTAAAATTCAACCTGCAAAAGCTTTGTAGGAAATTTTAAGGACGGGCTTTTAGTAAGATGGGGACACATTGAAGGGTCGTGGCCAGAGGGGAATGTGATCTGATCTGTCTTTTGAAAGGCCACTCTGGCTGCCGTGTGGAGAAGCAGGATTACCGTGGACTCTGGAAGGCCAGGAGGAGGTTCTTACAATGGTTTCAGAACAAGAGGACAAGTGTCTTTGTGTCCTTGGACAAGCCACTTCCCCGTATCTGAGACTCAGTTTCTCCATTTAGCAAATGGAACGATGGCCTCAACATGCTGAATTGTTTGATAAAGACCATTCTGGGGGTCAGAGGGCCCTCCTGATCTCACAGCTAGAAATGCAATGACTATGTCTGCTATCACCACTGTTACTACTGAGAACATGTCTCGATGAAAGCAATTCTGGAAAATAGGGGAGCAAAAGACCCTCTGTTTGATACTTTGAGGGGTCTTCTGTGGCATAATCTTCCCAGGAAGATCACAGATTTCCATTGCTGCTCTAATTTAACGGGATTCACTCTTTTTCTGTACCTCCTGTGTGCCAGGCCCAGAGCTAGGCACCAGGGATGCAGCTGTGAACAGACTTTGTCCTGTCCTCATGGAGTTTATAATTTGGTGGGGAAGACAGACAAGTCGATGGGAAACCACAACATGGCAAAAAGTGCCTGATAGCGAATGCACGAGCCCATGGATGTACAAAAGAAACACCTAAACAAATTTTAGAGGTGAAGCCCTGGAAGAAATAGAAGATCATACCACTGCATCCAGCCTGGGCAACAAAGCAAGATCCTGTGAAAGACAGAAAGAAAGAAAAGAAAGAAAGAAAGAAAGACAGAAAGAAAGAAAGAAAGAAAGAGAGAGAAGGAAGGAAGGAAGGAAAGAAAGAAAGAAGGAAAGAAGGAAAGAAGGAAAGAAAGAAAGAAGAAAGAAAGAAAAGAAAGAAAGAAAAAGAAAAGAAAGAAGGAGAGAGAGAAAGAAGAGGAAGAAAGAAAGGAAGGAAGGAAGAAAGAAAGAAAGAAAGAAAAGAAAGAAAGAAAGAGAAAGACAGACACAGAACAATAAGTAAAAATTAGCAAGAGAGAATGGGTGGAAGGAAAAGGAGTCCCCGGCAGAGGAAACAGCCTGGGCAAAGGCCCGGAGGTGACAGAGATCAGGATTGTTCTAAAAGTTCAAGTGTTTCGAAGTGGTGGGGCACAGAGTGTGAGAGATGGAGTCAGAGATGGAAGCTGCAGGGGATGGCAGGGCTTGCATCAGGAAAGGCTTGGCTTAAGAGTTAAGACCTTATTGGCTTAGTCGTGTTTCCTCATTCAATGCTGCAGCTGCTCATGTAATCAATTTGTGGCACCAGTTCTGGTTCGCATGGCTAAAAAGACACCCAGAGGGCCCTCTGATCCCAAGAATGGTCTTTATCACACAATCCAAATATGTTGAGGCCATTCATTCCATTTTCTAAATGGAGAAACTGAGGCCCGGGCAATGAGAAGTGGCTCGTTCAAGGACACACTGCAAAGCTGGGGTATAGTATTGGACTTGCACCCTTTTCTGCCTCATGCATCAAGGCTTTGTCCCTATAGCTGTGCCCTATCATTTGAGCAAGCAGCTAAAACTCAGGTAAAGCCCCCAGCATAAGACTGGCATGTAGTCGGTGCTCAGTCAATATCAGTTCTCTTCTTTCTTTCCACAAACCCTAGCTCTGCCACCACTCCTTGGCTGTGCAGACTTTGGGCAAGTTGTACCTCCTGGACCTCCTCTTCCTTTTTTTTTTTTTTTTTTTTTTGAGACGGAGTCTCACTCTGTTGACCAGGGTGGAGTACAATGGAGCCATCTCGGCTCACTGCAACCTCCCCTTCCCAGGTTCCAGTGATTCTCCTGCCTCAGCCTCCTGAGTAGCTGGGATTACAGGCATGTGCCACCATGCCCGGCTAATTTTTGTACTTTTAGTACAGACAGGGTTTCAGCATGTTGGCCAGGCTGGTCTCGAACTCCTGACCTCATGATCCGCCTGCCTCGGCCTCCCAAAGTGTTGGGATTACAGGCGTGAGCCACCGAACCCGGCCGGACCTCCTCTTCTTTGCAGGAAGGGTAGGACAAGAAGCCTCTGGGAACTTCTAAGAATTGAAAGGGGAAGATATCTATTCAGGTGCTAGGATAGTCACACGATTCCTTTTGTTAAGATTTCTACTCTCCAGGGCAGCCTGGGACATTTTGCTTTGCCCAATGCCCTGCAGTGCAAATTGCAAACAAGAGCAGGGGGCCAAAAGGGAGAATGCACAAAAAGCCAAAGTGGTCCCACAGTGTGTGTTTGCATTTGGGTTTTGTCCCTGCAGGAGTCGTTTTCCAAGCCGGCAGCTGCCTGTCTCCTTTGAAGAGTCTTGGAAGCAGCCACCATCCATCATTCGCTTGGCATGACTGTTAAGTATCAGCGCTCAGGGCTGAGGGCTGTGGGAAGGGGCTCCCAGTGGGGTCAGCTCAGGGCCAGAGAATTAGGAGGCAATCAAAATGGAGGGATTGAGCAAACCAGTTAACACGCAGGCTGTGAGTGAGGTGGCACTCGGTCTGATCCCCAGGTAGTGGGCACTTGCAGCTTGGCTGCCTTATGAATGTTCTAGGGGCTTGGTAGCATATTCTTCTTCTTCCCTTGTGGAAATGGTCCTCCCCTATACTCTGCACCCCTTCCCAGCCTCAGGGTTGGGCCTGGCCTGGACAACCAGCACTTTGCAATCCTTCTGTCCATACAGAACAGGGAGGATGGTTATATGGTCTTCAGTTGGTCCAATAAGACTTGGGATTCTGCTGTGGTTGCTGAATTGGTTTGAAGAACACCTAGAGTTAGTTGCTTATGGTCATCTTACCTGCATGAGGGGAAAGTCTTCATGAAAATAAAGCTATCACAAAAGAAAGATACCAAGAGATGGAGAAAGACAGATTCCTGAGAACCTAGATCCAGCCATACCTGATGCTGTTCCCTTATACGTTTTTTTTCTTTTTGCTCTTCTGCAGACAGTGACTGAACCCTTAGACTTTTTCTGCTATTTCAGCCTATAAGCTCCTTTTATTGGCTTAAGGTGGTTTTTTTGAATTGGACTTATATCAAGAGTTGCCAAGAGTCCTTACTATTACACTCATTAGGCATGTAATTTCTCCTCCCTGGACCTTTCTTATCTGTAAAATGGGAATGACAAAAACATAGATCTATTATGTAGCTTAAATAAAATAACACAAATAAAGCACTTATCAGTGTTTGGCTAGAATACATGCTCAATTCAGCTGCGATTAATCCACACTCATCCTTCAAGTTTCAAAAAGTTCTTTCTCCTTCACTTGTTCTCGTATAAACGGTTCCTGTGAAGTTTAAATGAGGTATCATGAGGGCAAAATGCCTGCCATGTAGTCTGGCACATTTATAATGTAGCTGTTAAATGGTTTTCTGATTAGAAAGTTATGGAAGCCCAGGTAAGGGAGGACTGCAGGGCCAAGAATGGAAGGCAGGGAGAGGTGGTTTGAGTAGTATGACTGTCCACTCTGTGGAATGGTGGTGAGGCTATCTCAACTGGCAGCTCAGCACTTAGCACAGTGCTGGAGCCACTGGCATGAGTGAATGTGTGTCCACATGAGAGAACCAATGAATAGTTCAACCACAGCCAGGACTTTGACTTGATCTCGTAGGGAGCTGTGCAAGTTCCCAAACTGGGCGCTGACAAAAAAGCATCCTTTACAAAGGACCCCTCTGTAGCCTACAGGGGCTGGAGAGGAGGTGGGGAATCTGGAGCTGAGTGTGCAAGAGTTGCCTGGGGTTGGGGTTGAGATGGAAACATCAGGGGCATGGATGAAAACGAGAGATCTGATGTAGAGAGCTCTGACCACACTTGACACAAGACCATGTGCATGTGAGTGTGTGTGTGTGGGGTCTTGCTGGTGAGCTTATGTGTGTGGAGTGTGCAAGTGTGTTTGAGTGTGTCGAGTGGGTGGAGATAGGTAAGTTCAGTGTGTGGGTGTGTGTGAGGAAGAGAGTGTGAGTTCCATGTAAGTGTATCTGAGTGTGTATGTGTGCACACTGGGTTTGCTGGAAGCACTGGTGAGACGGCTCTTTCTTGTGCGGAGCTCTGGCCACACGCCAAATGGTAATCATCAGCTTTCTTTGCCGGTCTTCCTTGAAGGTAGAAGTTGGGTCTGGTGAAACTCTGTCTCCGTAGACCCTGGCATGCTGCTTCATACATATATGTGGAATGAAGGGGTGAAAGCGTGGGAGAAAAGGGCTTCTGGCCCCTGCTCCAAGGAGCTCCCACAATGATCATGGGCATTTCGATGGAAGGGACGTCTACACTGCACTGCTCTATAAGAAACTTTGCACAACAATCAAACTTAATGCTTGCAACGAGGCTAAGCAGATCTATATCTGTAGATCATGATCTATACTAATAACACTCCTTCTATTTAAAAAACTATATTCTGATTACAAATGCAATACATGCTCATTGCAGTAAATTGGGAAATTTAAAAAAAAAGAAGAAAAGAAAACTCATCCATAATTCCATCCCCTGGAGATAATTACTATTCTAATTTTTATGTATATCCTTCCAGAGTCTTTTAGAACACATGCACACGTATATTACTTTCTTCTTTTTTTGTTTCAGTAGGGCTCATGTGGCAATATCATTTTTAAACTCACCCAATAACTCTTGAATCCCTACACTGTAAAATATCCCTTGTTCATATTATTTTGACTGGCTGTGTTAGATTTCATGATTTTCAAAAATGCATTTCTGTATTTTTGCCATTTTGGCCTCTTCTTTACAATTTTCAGCCATTCTAAATGATGTTCCTGGAATGCACTGTTTTCATTTCTTTCTGGGCCTTTACATGGACTTTTCCAAGTGGGCTCCTTTTCCCACCCTTCCTTGGGCTCATTCGAGTTCTTTGAGGTCCCAGCCTAGATGTGCCTCCTCCAGGAAGTCTTCCCTGATGCATCCATGGTGGATCAGATGCCCCCTCCTTTCTGTGGCGTGTTCTCCTTCTCTCATCACGACGTGTGAAATGGATGCACATAGACGGCTTACTCCATCCAGGCTGGACTAGGAGTTCCAAGGAGCCCAGGGTCCCATCTTACTCATGGCAGTACAGTGCAGCACAAGTAGGCCATGAATAAGTATTGGAGAGATGTGGAATAAACACTATGACATATGTTTCTACACAGCTACCTGGAATCATCATGAGGAAATACTGGCACCCGCATGTGATACTTGAGCTGAAATGTGATACTTGGGCTTAGCATCCAGTTTCATCTGATTCCAAAGGATTGTTTCCGCTTTGCCATACCTTCTCCATCCCAGCGCCTCGGCTTGTTTTTCCCATTCCTTCCCCCCAGGCTCTCAGCTTCTGGGACAGGCCAGGGGCAGAGGAAAAGGAGTCAGGGAGAGGCCTCTGCAACCTGGGAAGTAGAGGGCATCACCTGCTCTGGCAGGAGGCGAACTGGGAAGACTCCTGTGCTGACAGCATTTCCTGTTACTCTCCTCCGGGGGAGAAGTTGGCCTCCTTCCCTCTTGCTGGGGACTCACAAAATCCGATTTGAAATCTACTCAAGTGTACATTAACCAACTTCCTCTTGGCACCGGCTGGGGAGCCTATAATTAGAGCAGACACCATACCATTTAGTGGGTTTCATTCACATGAAAAGAAAGTGTACTTGCAGAGGGAGACGGCTTCAGAAGCAAACTTCTGGGAACATTCTCCAGAGAATTTATGCTTGCAGTGTATCCAAAGGACCCACAGGCCAACTGCGTTTCTAAGTGCAGAGGTTATGGCCGGCTGGACTTGGGTGGGGTGGTGATACCCTGTCGTCCTGAAACACACAGGGCTTGGAATTGGGCACACTTGTATTCAAATCCCTGCTCAAGACTCAGGTAAGCAATGCAACTTCTGTAAGGCAGTTTCCTGATCTGTGCATCTGGGACAGTATCCATTAGCAATCTCACAGGGTTATGTTGTCTAGGTGTAAATGAGATGGTGGAGATATAGATGTATATGCCAGAGAAGGTTCTCTATAATAACAATACTTACTACTACTGTGAAAACCACTACCACTAACAAAATAACCAGTATGTATTGAGTACTTACTACATTCAACATCCAGTTCTAACACTTTGGATGCATGAACTAGGTTAGTTTCACAACAATTCCATATGGTAAATAATATTAATGTCTTCATTATACATTTGGGGAAAGTGAGTAACAAGGAAATTATGCCACTTGCACATGATCACAGGCTGATAGCTTTTTACTAATATTTCAGGGGATGGAAGAAAACGTGATGGTATAAGACAGCATATGGGTTGACTCATGGAATGTATAAGCTCATCAATGCTAAGAATCACATTTTTCTTATTATGGTACTGGGACCCAGAAAAGGGAGAGAGTTCAAGATAAACTCTCATTTTTGGATGTACCTAATATAATCTAGGGGCTTTTACAGGGATGATTTTATTTTGTTCTTGTCTCCTGGAGATTGCAGGTGTGAAAGAATAGATTCAGAGAGCAGCAGTGTATCTTGCACGAGGTCATGCAGAGCTGTGGTTACAACCCTGGTCGGTCTAATTACAAGTTAATTACTCTTTTTACAATGTTGCAAGGTTGCCTGGGTGGATCAGGACTCTTTCAGATGCAGAGGCTAGTTTAAGGGAAGAAGAAAACTTGTTGGATCATTAGTAGGCCTTCAGGCACGGCTGAATCCAAGCGCCTGAATAAAGTACACAGGCATTTATTCTCCAGCCTCTCTTTCCTCTGTGATGACTTCATCCTCAAGTGATTCCTCTCTTCATTGTGGCAAGACCTCTACTTGCTCTTTGGTATCTGGCTGACCACATCCCCCCTCCACCCAGTTTCATTATCTCACCCCAACCTAGAAGACTAGGTGATATAGTGTTCAGGGGCCAGCCTCCCAGGACCCAGAGCAGAACAGAGAATAAAGTAGAATAGACTTGGGGGTTGGGGAGGAAGAAGAATTACCATCATCCTCCCCATCTCCCCACATCCAGGCTCCAGTCTCAGTTCCCTCTTTGGTGCTGCAGATTTCCTGCAGAAAATAAACTGGAGACTGCTTTGAAGTTCCATCTTCATCCTAGGGACTGAACAGTCTCCTTTATCCTCCCAGGCATTGGCTGGGTCCCCCTCCAACGACCCAATCAAGAAGAAGCCTGACGCACTCTCCATCTGACCCGGGATCCCTCTCTGTCAAAACCCACGATGGGTCAGGGCCCACTCATAGATGTCTGACTTTGGTTTCTCCTTTCCCCAGCTGCTGACTCAACCTCTTGACCAAGCCCATCCAATTTCCAGTGATTTCCTTGGGCTCTATTTCCTTTCTGCTTATACTCCAGTCTCTACCTCTTTTTCTGTCCAACCATCTCCGTTCCTCATTCCTGCCCCATCCTCACTTCCCTATTTCTTGTCCCACTAAACACCCCTATCTTGGTTCCTGCTCTTTGCAGACATGGCACTGGGGGACCAACCTTGCTCATTCCTTCTCTGCATCCTTGGCTTCTGCCTGAGCACCATTCACCCTCTGTGTGATTAAAGGCAAATTACCTTCCATGAGCCTCAGTCTACTCAGCTGCAGAAATGGGAATGATCCTCTTTCATCCAGTGGCTGTGTTGGGAGCCAGAGCTTGGCGATTGTATTTACAGTGACATGAGCACAATATGTGAGGAATTACCAGGAGGCCCCGGGCTGCCACGAGACTGGATTTGTACTGATATCGCCCATTACGAGGTGTCATGTTGCATTTGCAGGAGGTGGCTGTATGGAATTCCACTCTCTTGCACTGTATGAAATATTCACCTGCCTTCTCTGGAAGGGACGTGGGCTTCTTCTTCATTTCCTGACTGATCCACCTCAGAGGAAGCCAGGCTGCAGGCTGTCACTAATGCAAGGTGATGCCAGGATCCAATGTAGGGCCTTGGGGACTGGGACAGAGCAGTGAGGCTGGTGGGTGCTGCAGAATGGAAGAAGGGGATTTGAGGCCCTTAGGAACCCAGGGTCAATTAGAGCTTCTTACCTGCTCCCTATAGGAAAAGATGCATGGCGTTGGATGGAGTTATGAGTTGAGTTGTGTCCCCTCCAGCATTCCTGTGCTGAATCCCTAACTCCAGTACCTCTGAAAGTGACCTTATGTGGAAATAGGGTGGTTGCAGATGTTATTAAGTAGGATGAGATTATGCTGCAGTAGAGTGTTCCCTAATCCAATATGACTGGTACCCTTATATAAAGGGGAGATTTGGACACAGACACACACACACGCAAGGAGAATGCCATGTGGAGACTGGAGTTATGCTGCTGAAACCAGCAAACTATTGGAGGCTAGGAGAGGGGCCTGGAACAGAGCATCCTCAGGGGACACAGCTGTGCCGGCACTTGATTTTAGACTTCCGCCTTCCAGAGCTGTGAGTCAGCCCATTTCTGTTGTTCTGTGCCACTCAGTTTGTGGTGCTTTGTTCCAGTAGCCTGATGAAATGAATACAAAAGGAAACACACAGGTGAGCAGAGGGCTGAGGGGCTGCTGCGTCTGCAGGCATAGAGGATGGACTCCAGGGTCAGTCAGCATTGACTTGGAACATGAGAGTTGAAGTTTTAAGAGGGAATTTGGTGTTGAGGGTCAGAATCAGGGCTCTAGAGATAAGATTCAGACATTCTTAGCTCCTCATTTCATGGCGCTGGGCGAGTCATCAAGCCTCCCTTTGTCTCGGTTTTCTCATCCATATAATAGGGACAACAATGGACCTCACGGTATTATGAGATTAAACAGTATTACAAATGTTAAGAACTTATCATAGTCTGTGGCATGCAGTACACATCTGAAACGTCATAGCTTTCTTCATTCCTAGTTGAGTGACCTTGGGCAAGTCACTTTGCTTGTATGAGGCCTCAATTTCCTCCTCTGTGAGAGAGGGTTGATAATCCTGACCTTACTTTTCTGTTAAAAGCATGTCATAAGGTGTAAAAACATCTGTCCCAATAACTGGTAGAAAGTAAGGGGAAAATCACTACTTAGCTTCATTCTTCCCTTTTGAGTTCCCCAGCATCTGCTTGAATACCTCTAGTGATGGACAACTCATTACCTTTCAGGATGTTCATTTCTATTGGGCATAGAAGCCTCACACACACATAGAAACTTTATATAAGAGATTTTCTGAAGTTCCATCTATATGTGATGCCTACTCCTCAAGCTCCCATTTTACAGATGAGGAAGCTGAGGCCGAGGGGACCAGGCAGAAAGATGGGAGATGAGGCACCCCAACCGCTCCCGCCCCATCTATGCCCTGGCACTCACACAGACTAGCTTTCCTTCGTTTATGTCTGCCCATCTCGTCTTGAAACTCTAGGAGTATGTGTGGAAGTGGGGGAGGAACGAGAGCATGTGAGAATGTGGGGTGTGGCCCATTAAAATCACCTCCGTTCTGGCACCCTCTTTTCTGCACTTACTCCTTCCCCTCCATGTACTAAGATACGAAACAGCTCACACCATTCCCTGCCTCTAACTTTCAGTGGCTCCCAATTGCTCTTGGAAAAAATTCCAAAGGCCTTTGCTTGGCAAAGAAGGGTCCATATGACCTGGTTTTGGCTCTTTTTTCGGCTCCATCATAGATCCCTTTGTTCTTGCTCCAACCTCAAGGCCTCTTTTCATGTCTTCAGATACAGCATCCTCATGGAGCATCCTCATGGTCATCTTTGGGCCTCCCCAGTGCTCATCCTTCTGCCTGGGCATCACGTGCTCAACCTCTCATCATTCAGGTCTTGATCTGAAGCGCACCTCTTCCCAGAAGCCTCCCCTGCATCCCCTAGCTGGGTCAGTTCCCACCCCCATACGTGACTCTTCCTCATTGCCTGTTCATTCCAGCATCACACATGACACCAGTGGCACTAATAGATTTATTCTTCTGCCTCTTTGATGAATGTCTCCTACTTTCAACAGTATGAAAGCCCCCATGTCTATTCTTCTTCCCAATTGGACCCTCAGTACCCGGTAGGTATTCAGTAACTATGTTTTGAATGGTTGAACTGTAAATGGGTGAGTTTGGGTGTGGAATGTGTGAGGGCTGAGAAACGACTGTGGCTCCCATGGGACTGACTTATGTATCAGGTGTGTGACTCTGAGAGGACAAATTGCTCATCTTGAGATGACCAGAACCATAGCCTAAAACAAACAATTGAAGAAACTGTAAGAGTTTAACCTGGAAAGGACAAGACTTGGGGAATGTGGCAAGTACCAGTGTGCCACTGAAGACAAGGACTGTTCCTGTTTACCATCCTGTCCCCAGAATCTAGCCCAGTGTCTGACACACACAATATAGACTTTAGGAAATATGTCCCCAGTGAATTTTGAAAGAGAGAAGAACACCTAAGATAGGTGAAGCTCTCAAGGTTCAGGAACACAGATCTTGCCTCAATCAAAGAAAACCATTCTCATGTTTAGAGTTGTCCAGAGCTAGCACAAGTTTAGGGTGGGTAGGGGGTGACCTACACTGGGGGTTCTTCAAGTTCCTTCGTGCTCTGAGACTTTTTTTTTTTTTTGCAATGGAGTTTGGCTCTTTTTGCCCAGGCTGGAGTGCAATGGCATGATATCAGCTCACTGCCACCTCTGCCTCCCAGGTTCAAGTGATTCTCCTGCCTCAGCCTCCAGAGTAGCTGAGATTACAGGCGCCTGCTACCATGCCTGGCTAATTTTTGTATTTTTAGTAGAGACAGGGTTTCACCATGTTGATCAGGCTGGTCTCAAACTCCTGACCTCAGATCATCTGCCTGCCTTGGCCTCCCAAAGTGCTGGGATTACAGGCGTGAGCCACCGTGCCCGACCCTTGCTCTGAGACTTAATATTCTTTCCCTGGCTGGGCAGACATGGACAGAAAACAGAGTTGCTTTCCCTTCTCTTGTTTGGGAGGTGTAGGGAGTTCTAATTAGAGAGAGGTGAAACAGGCTAGTTTCCCACCTTAATAATCCTGTTTGTCTCAGGCATGGGTCTTGAAGAAGCAGTGCATTATTTAGGAAAGATTCTCATCCCTTCTTCTCCCTCCTTATGTCCTCTGATATGAGTCCTGCACAAGTCTTGCCTCTTTGTTTGTTTAATGATGATTTCCCCAGGTCTTGGAACCTGTCTCAGAATGCTTATTGTCTAAGTCACAACAAACCATCATGGGCCTTATAATTAAAAGCCAGCTTTAGGTCTCTCTGCTTGGGACTGGATCTTGGCATCACCTGCATCCTAGAAAGAAGACTATTTGGCAGATTACTAAGTGGGAATCTGGTACCCAAGAAGCCAGAGAAGAAGCACTTCAGAGGGGTTAGGGGAGCCTGGGCATTTTCCCCTGGTTGGTGGGGCTGGCCAGGGCAGATTGTATGTTTAAAACCACCCTTGATTCAGCATCCCAGTAGAATGGAAATAATTTGGACTCAAGCAGCTAAGGTTCAGCGTTTCACCTCCCCAGGGTGATCTCAAATAAGTCACTTCATCTTGGGCTTCAGTTTCCTTATCTGTAAGTTGGGGGTTGCAACAGCATTTAGCTCCCTGAGGTGCTGTGAAGAGTGAGTGAGTACAGTACTGAGCACAGAAGGCTCTGGATGGTCAACCTTATGGGAGGCAGAGAAGTATTTCTGATGCTTTTGAATTTCTGCTGTTTGGCCCAGTAGTTCCCTAATAGTGTACAAATGCCCTTTTTGGCAATTTTAAGTGAGAAATGTGGTCATTTCTTTCACTCCTTAAAAAAAAATTGGCCGAGGAATCTCAGAATACTAGAAGAGGGATGGATGACTTCAACATTTGTTTAGCCTGACTCCCTTAGTTGTGGAAAAGATGCTTGTCTGTGGCCACATAGCACGGGAATGCAGAAGCAGGATTAGAACTCACTTTTCCTATTTGCCCTCTTGCACTTTCTAGGTGAAGATGGCAATGACGGCTGCAGTCCAAGCCCTAGTGGGCAGATGAGGAGCAGCCCCTCTCCTTAAAAATAAAGCCGGATTCCTAACATTCTCTTCAACCCACGGCTGTGCAGGGCAGAGTCTCAACACAGGAATTGGAACATAACAAATCTGCCGACTGCCAGCTTTGATCTCACAAGGATGGAGTTGGGGAGGTGAAGAGAAAGTAAATGCTCTCTCGACTTTCCAAAGGAAAACAATTTTCTTTCTTGGTAACTGCAATTACTTGAAAACCATGTCAAAACAATAATGTGCCTCCAATAGTCTCCCACTCTCTCTCTCTCTCTCTCTCTCTCTCTCTCTCTCCCCCCTCTCCTCCTCCTCCCTGCTTCCTCTACCTTCTTCTCTTCCTTCTGCCTCCTTCGTTTTGCCCTGGTAATAAGGACCATGGACAGAGACACATAAGCTCCGCCCACACGCCCTTAGCTGACCTATGCTGGGAAAGAAGGGCAGTGGTCGATCAATACCCAAGATCAAGTGAGCTTAGCTCCTCACGTGAGTATTTCAGAAGGCATTGCTTTTTGGTTGCATTTCCTTGTAAGTTGGCGAGCTGCATACTGATGGACATTCTTGAGAAGCTTGGAGGGCACTCATCTCTCAGGGATGCCCTAGAAAGGTTGTCTGCACTAGTGAGATTTGCTGCTCATTCCAATTAAGGTCCTTCTAACTCCAAACCTCTTTGAATAATAAATAGATAATGAGACTGAGAAAAATAAAGAATATGTCATTAACAAAGCCGCAGACCACAGTTCATTGGCAATGTTGGGGCCAGTTAGCTCTATGATTGCTTGGACAACTGTGTCTGTACCTAAAACACCCAGTTTTAGGTCATATTCCCACTGTCTGATCACTGAACAGTCTGGGTGAGAGGTCACCAGATTCCAGCTCACATAGCTAAATAAGACCTTTTTGTAGGTTCTCTTCACTCTCATTTAATTACAGAAACAATTGTTTGAACAGATTAATATATCAATTTAGCAGAAGAATAACTGTACAAATGCAAAGCCCTTCCCAGGCCAGGATAATAAGAATGCAGCTCTCACCTCTGCCTTAATCAATCTTGTCTTATTTTAAGCTCACATTTGTGATCTATTTGGGGTTCATGTCTCTGTTATTCATGTCTTTAGAAATCTTGTCTTGCGGATGTGATGGGCAGTAACCAAAATAGTATCTACCCGATGAGACTCTCAGATCCTCGAGGGCAGAGTATTTACCTCACTTGCCTGTATACTGTCAAACACTTAGTAATTGTTCAGAAAATATAGAATGGATACATTAATAACGAATGAATGTTAAAAAGGAAGTTGAATTTAAGCCTAGTGAGGGTAACACTTTATGTCTTTTTTTTTCCTGTTGAAAACCCAACATCTAGAACAATGCTCAGTACATAGATGATGATCACTAACTACTTGTTTATTGTATGTGTGAGTGTGGAATGAGTGAATAAGAGAACAAAGGCTCTTTTCTTTGCTAACTCTGGAAGTTAGAGAAAGTAATTTATTCATTTTTTAATAGATGAGGAAATGAAGTCTCAGAAGAATCAATTTATGAGAAGTCGCTTGGTGAAGTGTAGAATGATATACAAATACATATCCATTATTAATTGACACAATAATGCTGTGAAACCACCACACACTTCAGCAGTGTATGGTAATAAATATTTATGGCTCAGGTAAGCTGGGCTAGGCTGGATGGTTCTTCTGGTCTCAGCTGGACTTTCCCTTTCTGAGCCTCACTTTACTCATCTGTAAAATGGGCATGACAGTTGCAGAGCCCATTTTGTGAAGATTAAATAAGGCAATCTAGGACATGGGCTTAGTCTTTATGTCCTCAAATACTGAGGGCTGGCCAGGACTTGAGGGACATAATGGAGACAAAAATAGACACGATTCTTATTTCTGTTGGAAGCAGGATGGTGGGGGTGAGGGTATAGATAGACATCATACAAAGAAAGGTGGAACTGAGCTGTAATTGCTGCAGTGGAGGGAGGGTGCATGTTGTTCTCTGACAGTTTCCAGTGATAAATTTAACCTCATAAGGGAAGTCAGAGAATTCTTTCCTGAAGTGTCACTCTTAGGCTGACATCTGAAGAAGTGACACCTAGTAGGCACTCAATAAACGTTAATTACCATCATTATCCCTTTCTTCCTCACCACCAGAGGCCAACTTATGAGCAGGAAAGGGCAGGATTTAGCATTTGAGCACCAGCTATATGGCAGGCAATTTTCACATTATTATCTCATTTAACCATCACAACAGTCCCCCGGGAAGTAGGTAGGATTGTTATTCTTAGCTGACACACTAAGTCTCAGATAGGTTCAAGCATTTTTAGAGGAACTGACAACACTGGGGTTAAAATCCAGGTCTTTGGGACTCCAAAGTTCTCTTCCCCTGTAGACACAGCATGCAGTTTACACCTTCGTGGTGTGCCTGATGGACAGTGGGAGCCTCCACTGAATCTCAGAACACTATCTGCAAACTCCTGTCTTTCCAAAGGTTGAGCACTGCCTGGAATGTCACCATTAGCTTGCCAGCTCTTTGGTCCTCTTTTTGGTAGGGTCCATTTTTTGCCTATTTTATGACAGCCAAGAAAATAAAGCAGTTTCCCATGAGTGGAGACACATTTAAGATCTTAAGCAAAGGAAGACCTGAATTTTGAGAAAGAAGAGAAATTTGGGAGGAGATACAGTAAAAGGCAAAATGAAGAAGATACACAGACCCCTCCCTCTCCCCCAGAAGATTAGAGAGTCCTGGGGACCATTTAATTCAACCCAGTCATTTAACGACTGAGAAACCTGAGGCTCAGAGAGGGTTAGGTATTTGCCCAAAGGCAAACAGCATAGGACGTACAGAGTTAGGGACTTATTCCAGAAATTCTTAACTGCTTTTGTGCTTTTTTTCCCCTCTGCAAACTCCCTCCAGTTTGGGGGGTGGCTTAAAATCTCCTCAAGGAAGGCAGCAGATTTATGGGTTAATAAACATTTACAATGAGCTCCTGAAAAAACAGACTCAGGTAGACAGGAATTATTCATTCAAATTAACTATAAATTAAGATCAACCTAATTTAGGCCTATTAAAATGGAAAGCATATTATCTCTCATTCAAAGGAATTTGTATTTGATGCAAATAGAACAAGTTCCTAAACTTTAGAAATGTTCTTGGATTTTTCATCTCCGTAGTTAACCAACGAAGAATGGGTCCCCCATTTAAAAACAGGGGAACATAAGGAACAATAATTAGTTATGTAAATAATGTGGCATTCTTGTTTATAATTAGTTCAAGAATAAAATAAAATTCACGCATGTCACAGGACTAATTTTCGTATGCAAATGAACAATCAAAATTATAAATGGTAATAATGCAGTTTGGGAGATGTGACATTCTCAATTTATTAGCAGGGGTGCCAGTTACAGCTGATGATGGCTGACGTTGGGAGATTTCAAAGGTGCCTGGGTCTGGAAAATTCTCACCCATCAAGAGGAGAAAATCTAACTAAAATATTTTCACCCATTTTATGTCACTGATGGCTGCAAAGTGAACCCAGGGCGCCTCTGTGGCTGGAGAGACAGGTGCTGCACCAGGGAGACAGGAGTCCAAGTGAATTTTTGAAAAGAACGCTCTGAAATTTGGCTGGTGAAAAAAGCAAAGACCAGGCATTGCAACCTGGGCTCTGACCTCAACAACGTGTGTCACCTTGGGCAGGCCCCCTTTGCTGCCTCCTAATTTCCCCATCTAGGGTGGAAGTTTTATTAAAGAGGAGGAGGGAGTTTTGAAATCAAACTGACTTGGAATCTTGGTTCTACCACTTGCTAACTGCAGGGCTTTCCTTAACCTTTCTACCTTACCTATCTGGACTCATGTAGCCTCATCTGGTAAGTGACAGCGATATTCTATATCTTTAGGCAGTGCCAAATTACCTTAAAGAAGGGCTAAGCACATGTTTGGGGCACTAGAAAAGTAGAGTACCAGGGGAAGAAAAAGTGTGAGATAATCAGGAGGTCTAGAATCAAAAGCTGCTTAAATTTTGGCATTATGAGAGCGTCGTGTCATTCTGAAAAATAATTTAAAAGTACTTAATATATTTAATTGAAAATTATATATGGAATGTATGGGTGTGCATTATATATAGAATATGCTTTGCTCCTTGGAATGCTGTGAGATTGAATGCAATTATACATATAAAATAATTAACACAGTGCCTAGAAGTTGGAAGAACTCTGTAAATAGTTGTAGCAGCTACTGTTGGTAAATGAGTAAGCTACATTCCAAAATATCTGCAGTCCTTTTTTAAGCCCCAGTGTTCTAGGATTCTGCCTGGAGGGAGGATGCTTAATTTCAGATAATAGCTGCATCAGGACCAACATGGGCCAATGGGGATTTCCAAAGAAGGATGGTCCAAAGCACGCTGGGAAAGTTGGCAGGATTTGCCCTAAGCATCACTGAAGTTGATGATATGATGAGACACAGCTCATCTGGTCTCAAACTATCTCCCCCAGCAGTCATGGTACCCAACATTTTGCAACTAGAAAGAAGCCCATATCTGCTAACTCACCAAGACTAGAAACCATTCTTGATGTCACTATGATGTACATCATTTTACCTAAGATTTACTTATCTACCTATATCCATCCATCCATCCATCCATACATCCATCCATCCATCCATCCATCCATCCAACATCAGGAACCTTCTGAAGGCTAACTGCACCATATGGTGGATATGATGGATAGATTTTAGTCCTCTTTCGTTGTTGGCACTCCAAATTTGGGATGGGAATTGTCATTGAGCAGCTATTCTGTGCTATCTAGACGCTTTAGACACATTATCCCACTTAATCCTAATGACGGCACTAAGAGCTATAGATAACAATGTTTATAAGGTAATAATAGCTACGATTTATTGAGTGTTACTATGTACTGGCCACTGTGCTTAGCCTTTTATATGAGATATCACATTTAATGTCCCCAACAGTTTTGAGAAGAACTCTTATTTCTTTGATTTACCATTATTGCCCAGCTTCAGAAAGGTTAAGTGACTAGCCCAAGGTCACACGGCACATTAGAGGTCAAAGCAAGCCTCTTTCCCTGGTCTTTGTAATTCCAGGTTGGTCACTGTCTGCTTCACTGTGCCTCTAGCTAACTGATTTTCTCTTGGAGGGAGGCATGCGGGCTCCCAACCTCACTAGACAATCATGGGAGGAGGAAAGACAAGGGCTTTCTCACAGAGTTAACTCTCCACTCCTTGCCCCCTGGGGAAGGGCACCCCCTCCTGAGCATCCTGACAGGTCAGCCTGCACTCAAAGTAGCCTTTCGGGGGGCCCTTGATGGCTCCCAGATGGGAACGCACACAGCTGTCAGGTGCTTCCGAGAGTCTCTGGATCCTAAGAGCACTGGCGGTGTGCCTGTAGGATTAATTGCTTCTCTGGCTTCCAGCAGGGAAGCGGGGTGTGGTAACATCTTGGCTTGGTTAAGGATGAAGGGGCAGGCACACAGGTGGCAGAGAGCATGCCTCTGTAGCACAGGATCAGAGGAAACTATGTGGCTGAGAACAGCTCCTGGTAGGTAGGGAAGCCCATGAGGACCTCACTTCCCCTAGAAGGAAGATGTCAGAAGCTGATGTCCTTTCCCCCTGTGCAGTTCTAAAATTATGTAACTGGAAGAGGTGCCACAGGAAAACCTGTTTCTATCATCCTTATTCGTTCTGTGTGGTCTTCCTCCTTGTCTTTCTTACAATTCTTCTTCCACAGTTAATTTTTTTCAGGCACCTTCTATATCTCATGCTCTGGAAATACCAAGATGAACCATGCAGACCCTGACCCCATGGAGTTGAGAGTCTGGTGGTGGAAGACAGACATCATCAAACGCTGGCACAAATAAAGGCACATTTATTTACTTGAGGGGTTACATGTTAAGTCACGGAGGCACAGATTCTAGAGGAGCCAGTAGCAGGGCCTGAGCTTGGTCCAGGGTTGGCCAGGAAGCTCTTTCCTGCAGAAGTAATGCTTGCACTCAGGACCAAAAGATGACCAGGTGAAGAGTCACCTCACTCCTTGAAACCTCAGTTTCCTTCTTTGTAAAGTGGGATGATAGTAACACCTACATTCCAGGATATTTGTGAGGATAAACTGAGATGACACAGGTGAAAATGAGTAGTACGGAGTCTGGTACATAGTCAGTGCCCATCGTATCATGGCTTTGGCCATAGTCCCTCGATGTGAAGTGAAGTTCCCATAGATTGGAAGGCCTATCGTTGACTTAGAAACTGCTGCCCAAGGGACAAAGAAGAATGCAAGCCCACTATGTGAAATGGAAGCACACAGAAAAGGAAGGGCCTCACTCTGCTCTCTCTCTTCTGTGTGTGTGTGTGTGTGTGTGTGTGTGTGTGTGTGTGTGTGTATGATGAGAAGTTTGCACAGAGAAGCTGGTGTTTAGGCCAGGTCCTGAATGGTAGATAGCAGTTTACAAGAGAAAAGGGGGAGGAAGGGTGTCAGAGATAAAAGGAACATCAATGCAAAGTGATACAAGGATGAGAATGAGTGTCATCCGCCTTGTCAGATGCCTGGGGAAATTCCAATGGGCACATGGAACAGATCCCCAAACAAAACAACCTTTAATAACACAATACTATTACTCCTAATGGCAATAACGGCAAAAGCAATAATCACAATGACCACAATAGCAACAGCCGTTACCATGCATTGACAGGTTACTCTCTTTCAGGCACTGTACATGGGTAACTTCACCTGAAATGCTGAAAATAAATCTTGCTCATTCTTTCCTGGGATATAGTGAATGACTTCATGCCCTACATTGTATGGGCTACCCACATAGGTGAGGAATTGAGGATACAGCCATGGAGGATTTTTCTGTTAAACCTCAGAAGGGATGCTCTCAATTTCTGCAAGGCTCTCCTGGGCAACATGAACGGTCCAGACAAGTTCATTCATTTTTTTGTTTTTCTGGAGGGTTAAATGGGGGATAGAGTATTCAGGAGGTAGGTTTAGCTCAGTCCAAGGATGGCTACAAAGAGCTGTGGTAGGTAGTGCTCTGACAAAGAGTTCCCTGTCGTGGGGATATTCAAGTGTAACTCAGTTAATTTCTTGTTGGGGATGTTCTGAGCATGGTCAGAACAAAGAGAAAGGGAAATTCAGGGGGAATTGGTCTAGAAGATCCCTTCAATTCCAGGATGCTGTGGTTTCAGGAAGGCAGGAATGATCTACCATGAAAGGTTTTTACAACAGTAGGAAACATCATCATCTTGGCTTTGCCTGTCTCCAGGAGGCTTGAATGTGATTTGCATAACCACAGGGGGATGGATGTCTTGATCTTTCACAGTTTTTTTCCAGCCCTTAGAATCATTCTGGTCTTTGCTTGCAACCTCCTTTAGAACCATATCCTGAGCCACCTCCATCCTTCTCCCAAATTATTGTAACAACTTCTGAGTAGGTCCCCTAGCACTCTATAATCTACCCTCCACACAGAAGCAAAAGCTATCATATAAAATAAAAATCGGATATATTTTCCCCCTACAGTTGTAACTTATGACCATAGCCGTCCCCAACCCAACTGGTTCTCCCATTCCACCTCCCCTCACCTAATGTGCACAAACCACTCTCCCTTCTTTTCTGACTCACAAACATTCAGGGCTTTTGCCTTTCCTCTGTCTGAGCCCTCTTCCCCTAGGACTTTGCAAGGCCAGTTTTTTTCTCATCGTTAAATTCCCAGCTCAACTGTCACCCCAGACAGGGCTCTCTGACCAGTCTCCAGTCACTCCATCCGGACGACCCTTTTAATTTTCCTTTCAGCATTTATCTAGCTGGGCCTGGTGATGTGTGTCTGTAGTTTCAGCCACTCGGGAGGCTGAGGAAGGAGGATTGCTGGAGCCCAGGAGTTCAAGGCTGCAGTGAGCTGTGATCATCACTTTGCTCCAGTCTGGATGACAGAGCGAGACCCTGTCTCTAAAACATAAATAAATAGGCCAGGTTTGGTGGCTCATGCCTGTAATCCCAGCACTTTTGGAGGCTGAAGCCAGTGGATTGTTTGAGCCCAGGAATTTGAGACCAGCCTGGACAACAGGTGAAACCCTGTTTCTAGGAAAAGCAAAAATTAGCCAGGCATAGTGGTACATACCTGTGGTCCCAGATACTCAGGAGGCTGATGTGAAAGGACCACCTGAGCCTGGGAAGTTGAGGCTGCAGTGAGCTGAGACTGCTCCACTGAACTCTAGCCTGGGCGGCAGAGTGAGACCCTGTCTCTAAATACATAAATAAAATAAGTAAAGCACTTTTCAGTATCTTTCTGGAATTCTTATCTATTTGTTAACATATGTATGGTCTTTTTCTGCTGCTGAGAGGTGAAGCCAGCTGGACTTCCTGGCTCGAGTAGGGACTTGGAGAACTTTTCTGTCTAGTTAGAGGTTTGTAAATGCACCAATCAGCGCTTTGTGTCTAGCCAAAGGATTGTAAATGCACCAATCAGCAACTCTGTAAAATGGACCAATCAGCACTCTGTAAAATGGACCAATCAGCACTCTGTAAAATTGACCAATCAGCAGGATGTGGGAGGGGACAAATAAGGAAATAAAAGCTGACCACCCCAGCCAGCGGGGGCGACGTGGTGGGGTCCATTTGTAGGTTGTGGAGGATTTGATCTTTTGCTCTTGGAAATAAATCTTGCTGCTGCGCGCGCTCTCTCTCTGGGTGCATGCTGCTTTTAAGAGCTGTGATACTCACCAGGAAGGTCCGTGGTTTCATTCTGGAAGTCAGCGAGACCAAGAACCCACCAGAAGGAACCAACTACAGACACACTGCTATATGTAAGCTTCTTGGGAGCAGGGTCTTGGTTTTTTTTCTTTCTTTCCTTCTTTTCTTCTTAACTTTCCCCCTTCCCCTTCCCTTTCGCCTTTCCTTCCTTTCCTTCCTTTTTTTTTTGAGACGTAGTCTTGCTCTGTTGCCCAGGCTGGAGCCCAGTGGCACAATCTCCCCTCATTGCAACCTTTGCCTCCAGAGTTCAAGTAGTTCTCCTGCCTCTGCCTCCCGAGTAGGTGGGATTACAGGTGCCTGCCACCACACCTGGTAAATTTTTTGTATTTTTAGTAGAGACGGGATTTCACCATATTGGCCAGGCTGGTCTCGAACTGCTGACCTGGTGATTAAATAAATTCGATTAATATATAACATACATGGAGAAAGATGTACAAGTCATACGTGTATAGTTAAATGAATTATCTCAAACACACTCCTGTGTAACCAGCAATGAGCTCAAGACACTCAACATTTCCAGCCCCACCTCAGTCCCCAACCCCCAAAATGTTCTCACATTCCCAAGTCGACTCCCCAAGGGTAACTGCCATGCTACCTTCCAACATGTAGATAAGTTTGTGGAGCTTTTGAACTCTTACGTGGGTAGAGTCACACAACAGTATGTATGTTTGTGACCAGCCTGGCCAACATGAAACCCCGTCTCTGCCAAAAGTACAAAATCAGCCGGGCATGGTAGCCGGTGCCTGTAGCACCAGCTACTTAGGAGGCTGAGGCAGGAGAATAGCTTTAACTCGGGAGGCAGAGGTTGCAGTGAGCTGAGATCGCGCCATCACACTCCAACCTGGGAGAGAAGAGCGAGACTCCATCACAAAAACAAACAAAAAAACAAAAAACACAAAAAAACCAAACTACAAATACATACAAAAATCTAGATGAAATGGACAAATATAATTTTGAGTAAAAGAAGCCGGATGTAAAACATACATACTGTGTGAGTCTATCCACATAGAGTTCAAAAGCTGGAGAGACTTATTTACATGTTGGAAGGTAGCATGGTAGTTACCCTTGGGGAGTCGACTTGGGAATGTGAGAACATTTTGGGGGTTGGGGACTGAGGTAGGGGCTGGAAATGTTGAATGTCTTGAGCTCATTGCTGGTTACACAGGAGTGTGTTTGGTTTGGGAGAATTTGTTGAGCTATGCACGTATAACTTGTACATCTTTTACCATGTATGTTATATATTAATAGAATTTATTTAAACATATTTATAGGGTCCAGCTATGTACAAACTGAATCAAGATTCTATGTACATCAGAATCAAGAGAGAGTGAGTTCTTGACATCACGGAGCGGTCTACATTCTAGTTCATGCGGTGGACCTGCTGGGTGGCCTCAGGTAAGAGACTCATTTCCCTTATCTATAAATTGAGAATCCTAACTCTTTCCCCTAATCAAACCCAGCTGGTAAATTCCCCCTTCACCGCTCCCTTCTCCCCTCAAAGAGACAAGCCGTCTTTGCCATATGCCTCTTTCTTTTTTCCACCCAGAGGTACCTTTCAAATGCTGGCCCAGAAAGGTGAGGCAAGGAGGGGACCTGGCCTCCATCTCTGTGAATCCCACAGCCCTCCTCCTGAGATCTGCAGGGGTAGCATGAAATATTTAAAAGCTCAAATTGAAATCTTGTTAGAGCCAGGTCTTGTAAAGCCAAGTTCTCCAACCCCAGAACATCAGTATCTGTTTGCTGGTGTCATTTAGGGACCCCGGCTTTCCAAACCATTGACTGAAACTTTCTGTCAATCCAACACTTTTAGGGTAATTTAACTTAATAATACCTTTGTCGGCACTGGCGCCTGTATCTGAAGGGTGATTACCATAGAAGTTATTTTAGGTTGTTTAATGGAATGTAGTAAATTCTCAATTGACAGGGCAGATCCTCAAAATGGCTTTTCAAAGTGTTTACCTTTCAAAGCTTTCTCCCTCACTTTACCGAACTTACTACTTTGAGCCAGCGAAGACTTCATAAATTATTAGCAATTGTTCTCCCCCCTGTGTTCACATGCATCATTAATTCTTTGTAAAAAGTTCAAACTGTCCGGGGCTTAATTGTTATCACTTGGAGAACGGCTAGAAATGGATGCAGGCTGTATTATTTCTGTCAAAAATTTTGACTTATTGCTCTTGATATTTTACCCATCACATCACATCCTCGGTACAGGAGAGAGGAAAAAGGAGAGGGGGAGGAGAAAGAACATAAATGCGTTTTCTTGAAACAAAACAAATATAATAATACATATATTTCTGAGGAGAAAAGTCAAGGATTCATCTGACAAAATAATAGTTTTAATCCTCCAAAGAGAGAGGAGGAGGGCAGCATTAGGGGGAAATTTCTATTGTAAATTCTATTGCTTCACACTGTACTTTTATTCTAAGTTTTGAAGGTTGTATAATTCTAGGAATCTAATGTTTAACGATTCTGAGATATTGAAATTTTATGAGTCCAAATTCCCAAGGTGTTTGATTTTAAGGATAAATTAATCCCACCGTCCAGTATTCAGGACTGCTAAAAAGTATAGTAGAATTAGAAAGATATTGACAATAACCACAGAAATAGCTAAGCTTTGTTGAGACCTTAACCATATGCAGGCACTGTGCTGAGTGCTTCATGTGCAGCACCTTATTTTATTTTATTTTATTTTATTTTATTTTTTTGCTTTTGCTAATTTTTTAAAATTGTACTTTAAGTTCTGGGGTACATGTGCAGAACGCGCAGGTTTGTTACATAGGTATACACATGCCAGGGTGGTTTGCTGCACCCATCAACCTGTCATCTACATTAGGTATTTCTCCTAATGCTGTCCCTCCCCTAGCCCCTCATCCCCCAACAGGCCCCAGTGTGTGATGTTCCCCTCCCTGTGTCCATGTATTCTCTTTGTTCAATGCCCACTTATGAGTGAGAACATGCGGTGTTTGGTTTTCTGTTCTTGTGTTAGTTTGTTGAGAATGATTGTTTCCAGGTTCATCCATGTCCCTGTGATCCCATTACTGGGTATGTGTCCAAAAGATTATAAATCATTCTACTATAAAGACACATGCACACGTATGTTTATTGCAGCACTGTTCACAGTAGCAAAGACTTGGAACCAACCCAAATGCCCATCAATGATAGACTGGATAAAGAAAATGTGGCACATATACATGATGGAATACTATGTAGCAGCACCTTATTTAATCTTCATGTCACTGTAAAGTAGGTACTGTTATTAACCCCTTATATAGCTGGGAAAACTGAGGCACAGAGAGGGTAAGTAACTTACTCAGGGACACACAGCTGGTAAAAAGCAGAGTTAAACTCTGACTTCAGGCCCTGTGTGTGTAGAACTTAACGTATATTGTGCCCCATCTCAAGACACTGCTCTTTTGCCCCACCTGGCATGCTGTGGATCAGTGTAGAAGTGATCCACATTGGTATATGAGTCTATTGTCAGACTACCCCTGAGGCAACCCAGCCCTGACCTGCTTTTTGTTTGTGTTGACGTTGCTCATCCAGTCCAGCAGATCACCCTTTCCCATACATTCTACAAGGTCATCTCCTCCAAGAAGGCTTCAGTCCTGCCGCACCATCCTTTGAATCCTCACAACAGTTGGTACCAGGGAAAGGGATAATGAGGCAGTCTAGTAGGCTGGCCAAAAGCATGGACTATGGGGTCAGATCCCTTCGGTTGGGATCTTACTTCTGCCAGTAAATCCATGCGCTAAGCTTCAGTTAGGCAAGCCATTTCAGCCTCAGCTTTCACATCTGTAAAATGGATATAACCACCCCTGCCTCACAGAACTGTTGTGAAGAGGAAGGGAGGTGCTCCAAGGGAGCTCTGTTTACTGCTTCACAACAGTCAGTGCTGAATACATGTTGGCTGTTGTTCTCTCTTGTCTTGTAGTGATCTCGTACTGAGAGTTTTGTACATTAAAGTATAAGAGTCAGTATTTTTTTTCCTAGTCAACATTTATTTTCAATGAGATTTGGAAATTTCCTTACCAAATAATTCAAGGTGAAAGTATATTAAACTATATTTTTAAAAATTGTATTTTTGACAAGTGACCATTATATATATTTATGAGGTACAATGAGATGTTTTGATTATGTTTATCTTGTGCAATGATTAAATCAAGCTAATTAACACATCACCTCATTTACTTATCATTTTTTGTGGTGAAAGCATTTAAAATCTTGTTTTTTTAGCAATTTTGAAATTATATATTGCATTATTGTTTATTATTGTCATCATTCTGTACAATAGGTCACTGAAGCTTATTCCTTCTGTCAGCTGAAACTTTGTACCCTTTGATCACTCTCTCCTCTTTCTCTACCCACCTGCTTCCCCCAGCCTCTGGTAACCACCATTCTACGCTCTCAACTTCTTTAGATTTCACATATAACTGAGATCATGCAGTGTGTGTCTTTCTGTGTCTGGCTTATTTCACTTGGCCTAATGTTCTCCAGGTTCACTGAAGCAAATGACAGGATTTCCCTCATTGTAAAGGCTAAGTTGTATTCCATTGTGTACATACACCACATTTTTTTAATCCATTCATCTGATGTTGGACATTAAGGTTGCTTCCATATCTTAACTATTGTGAATTACATTTCAATGAACATAGGAGTGGAAATATCTCTTGGGCATAGGATTTCAATTCCTTTGGATATACACCCCACATGGTAATCCTATTTTTAGTTTTCTGAGGAACTCCCATACTGTTTTCCATAATGGCTGTATTAATTTACTTTCCCACCAACAGTGCACAAGGGTTCACTTTTTCCATACCCACATCAACTTATTATGTCTTTTTGATAATAGTATTCTAACAAGTTGTGATGATATATCATTGTGGTTTTAATTTGCATTTCCCTGATGATTAGCGATGACCAGCACTTTTTAATTCCTCATTTGTCCATTCGTAGATCTTCTTCTGAGAAGTGTCTATTTAGGTCCTTAGCTAATTTTTTGATTGGGTTATTTATTTTCTTGTTATTGAGTTGTGTTTCTTATATATTTTTTATGTTAGCTCCTTATCTGATGTATGGTTTGCAGATATTTTTTCCCAGTCCTTGAGTTGTGTCTTTACTCTATCAGTCATTTCCTTTGCTGTGCAGAAACTTTTTAGTTTGATGTAACTTCATTTGTTTGTTTTTGCTTTTGTTGCCCATGCTTTTGGAATCATACCTAAGAAATATTTGCCCAGACCAATATTCTGGAGCATTTCTCCTATGTCCCCTCATAGATTCACAGACTCAGGTCTCATGTTTAAGTCTTTAATCCATCTTGAGTTGATTTTTGTATATGGTGTGAGGTAGGGTACAATTTCACTCTAATGCTTGTTGACATCCAGTTTTCCCAACACCATTAATTGAAGAAGCTATCTTTTCCCCATTGTGTGTTCTTGGTGCTTTTGTCAAAACTCAGTAGACCATAAATGTGTGGGTTCACTTCTGAACTCTGTTCTATTCTGTTGGTCAATGTGTCTGTTTATATGCCAATGCCATGCTTTGATTACTATAGCTATATAATAGATTTTGATGTCAGGTAGTGCAATGCCTCCAGCTTTATTTTTTTTTGCTCAAGATGCCTTTGGTTATTTGAGGTCTTTTGTGGTTCTATACAAGTTTTAGGATTGTTTTTTCTTTGCTGTGAAAAATGACTTTGAAATTTTGATAGAGCTTGCATTGAATCTGTACATCACTTTGGGTAGTATGGACATTTTAACAATATTAATTCCCAATCCATGAACACAAAAACATTTCCATTTCCAGTCATGCACTCCATAATGACATTTCAGTTAGACAATGAACTGCATAGACAAAAGTGGTCTCCTAAGATTATAATGGAGCTGAAAAATCCCTGTTTCCTAGTGACATCTTGATGATCCTGACCCTGTGTAGATAACTAGGCTAATGTGTGTGTGTGTCTCCTAGTTTTTAAGAAAAAAGTTTAAAAAGTAAAAAAAAAAAAAAAAAAAACTAGAAAAAGCTTAAAGAATAAGTATATAAAGAAAGAAAATATTTTTGTACCTTGTATAATGTGTATTTTACACTATTATCACAAAAGAGTCAAAAAGTTAATAAAATTAAAAATTTTATGAAGTAAAAATGTTGCCATAATGCTAAGGTTAATTTATTATTGAATAAAAAATGTTTTAACCTAAATTTAGGGCAACCTAAGTGTTCAGTGTTTATAAAGTCTGCAGTAGTGTACAGTAATGTCCTAGGCCTTCACATTTATTCAGCATTTACTCACTGACTCACCCAGAGCAACTTCCAGTCTGCAAGTTCCATTCCTGCTAAGGGCCCTGTACAGTTGTACCATTTTTTATCTTTTATACTGTATTCGTATTGTACCTTTTCTATGTTTAGATACACAAATACCATCATGTTAAAATTGTTTATGGTATTTATTGCAGTTATGTACTGGATGTGTTGGTAGCCTAGGAGCAGTAGGCTCTACTTTGCAGCCTAGGTGTGTGGTAGGCTATTCCAGCTGGGTTTGTACAAATATACTCTATGATGTTTGCACAGAAACAAAATTGCCTAACCACACAGTTCTTAGAACATACTCCCATCATTAAGTAACACATGACTATATTTGTGTCTTCTACATTTTCTCTCAGCAATGTCTTATGGTTTGTAGTATACAGATCTTTCACCTTCTTGGTAAAATTTATTCCTACATTTGTTTGTTTGTTCAAGGCAGGGTCTCACTCTGTCACCCAGGCTGGAGTGCAGTGGTGGGTTCATAGCTCACTGCAGCCTTGACCTCCTGAGCTCAAGTGATCCTCCCACCACAACCTCCCAAGTAGCTGGGACTACAGGCGCACATCACCATGCCTAGCTAGTTTTTATATATATATATTTTTGTAGATATATGATTTTGTCATATTTCCCAGGCTGGTCTTGAACTCCTGGGCTCCAGCAATTTACCCACCTGGGCCTCCCAGAGTGCTGGTATTACAGGCATGAGCCATCGTGCCCGGCTACTCCTAAGTATTTTAGCTTTTCTTTTTGGGACTATTGTGAGTGCGTTAGATTTCTTAATTTCTTTTTCAGATAGTTGATTGTTGGTGTAAAGAAATGCTGCTGATTTTTGTGTATTGATTTTGCACACTGCAAATTTACTGAGTTTGTTTGTCAGCTCTAACAATTTTTTTCATGGAGTCTTTGGAGTTTTCTGCATATAAGATCATGTCATTAGCAAACAGACTATTTCCCTTCTTCCTTTCCTATTTGATTGCCTCCTATTTCTTTTTCTTGTCTAATTGCTCTGGCTAGAACATCCAGTGTTGTGTTGACTAGAAGTGTTGAGAGTGGGCATTCTTGTCTTGTTCCTGATCTTAGAGGAAAAGTTTTCAACTTTTCACCATTGTGTATTATGTTATTGGTGGGTTTTTCATCTATGGGCTTTGTTGTGTTGCAGTACATTCCTCCTATTCCTAAAAAAGGATGCTGAATTTTGTCAAATGTATTTCTGCATCCATGAAGATGACAACATGATTTTTATCCTCCTCTTAATATGCCATATCACATTTATGGATTTGCATATGTTGAGCCAAGGATCAATATATTATGAGCATTTACTATGGGATCAGTGTCTGTGTTGAAGGTTTTCTGTTTGTGACATCACTTGACCTTCATGACCATTCTCTGAGCCAATGAATACTCCATTCTGCAAATGATGAGACTGAATCTCAGAGAAGTTAATCATCCTGACAGTAGTGGGAAGCCTGTGTTTGTCCACTTTTCTGCAGTGCCAAAAAGGGAGAGTGATGTCTTTCTCTTCTCTGTGTCCTCCTCCAGAAGCTCAATGAAGAATATCTGGGAGAAGTCCCCTGGCTGACCATTGTCCTATTTTTGGACCTTGGTCAGGGAGGTAGAGACATTGTCTGTCTGTGTCAGGTGCTGGTAAGCAGCAGTGCTTCTTGGATGACTCTAGTGAGGTGCTTGGATTTTATGCACCGCCTTCTGCTTGTTTCTCTCTTGTTGCTGATCTTCATGGGCTTCCTTTCTTAATGAGGCAGAAAGAGAGAAGGGCAGGAGTTTCTTCTGGATTGAGGGTATGGGAGGGTGGGAACAGTTGGGCCAGGAGTCAGAACACAGGGGCTTGAGTTGTGGCCTTGTCATCTGTATGACTTTGGGAACATCCCTTTCTCTTTGTAAACACTGGTTTCGATAACTGCAAAAATATATGCATTAGATGAACATCTCAGCGGCTCTTCCATACTGCTTCTGTTTTGAAGCAGTGGAACCAGCTACTCTAATGAAATCATTATCAGAAAGCCTTACACTTAAGTCAGATACAAGAGGAGTGGCTATGGATGGAGAGGGAGTAGGGGTGTTGATTCCACTCCCTCGCCCCACTCTGGTCCCCGAGGTACTTTCAATGAGCACCAGTGTTCCATAAAGTACAGTTTAAAAAGAGATAACCAAATCATCTCTGACCTACGCATTTCAGTGCTAAGCGGGTACAGTGGTCTTGGCCATTTGTTTTATATCTGCTTTGGAATATGGCTGTACAATTCTCCCCAGTTCACAAACCTGCCTCTGCCCCAAGTCCTGTGTGTGGACTCTCAGGTCCCTATGTTGCCATCTTTCTAGATGCCTCTTTGCTTTATTGCTGAGTGAGGAAGTGCCACTATCAACAAAGGAGGTGAGAACATTTTGGCAAATCATAGCACATCAGAGATTGTCTGGGCTAGTGGTCTACATGTTGGTGTCTTGGTAGGTTTCATGGAAGGAAGAGGAAGGGTGGGGGCCCACCATCCCTGCTTTTACAGAGCACCTGCACTCTGATTTCCTTCCATATGAAACTGAGCTTTTAAAATTAGTTTTGCTTTTAAAATTAGTGTTTTATTTTCCTCTGTTTCACACAGAAAGTGGTAGAGACTAATACAGAGGAATGCTGAAGCTGGTTCATTCTGGCTCACAAGAACCTATTGTTCTGGAGAGGATGTGGAGAAATAGGAACACTTTTACACTGTTGGTGGGACTGTAAACTAGTTCAACCATTGTGGAAGTCAGTGTGGCGATTCCTCAGGGATCTAGAACTAGAAATACCATTTGACCCAGCCATCCCATTACTGGGTATATACCCAAAGGATTATAAATCATGCTGCTATAAAGACACATGCACACGTATGTTTATAGCGGCACTACTCACAATAGCAAAGACTTGGAACCAACCTAAATGTCCAACAACGATAGACTGGATTAAGAAAATGTGGCACATATCCACCATGGAATACTATGCAGCCATAAAAAATGATGAGTTCACGTCCTTTGCAGGGGCATGGATGAAACTGGAAACCATCATTCTCAGCAAACTGTCAAACTATTGCAAGGACAGAAAACCAAACACCGCATGTTCTCACTCATAGGTGGGAATTGAACAGTGAGAACACATGGACACAGGAAGGGGAACATCACACACCGGGGACTGTTGTGGGGTTGGGGGAGGGGGGAGGGATAGCATTAGGAGATATACCTAATGCTAAATGACGAGTTAATGGGTGCAGCACACCAACATGGCACATGTATACATATGTAACAAACGTGCACATTGTGCACATGTACCCTAAAACTTAAAGTATAATAATAATAAAATTAAAAAAAAAAAGAACCTATTGCGTGCAGCTTTTCCCCTACTCTGTAATCAGTGAAATCAAATTGATAGCTTGGAATTGGCCATGGTGGGAGTATTTACATCATAAAAATTGGCCAACACTACAAATCAGGGTTTTCTCCTAGAAAAGCCAGTTGTTAAACATTTACCGGCCAGGTGCGGTGGCTCACACTTGTAATCCCAGCACTTTGGGGGGCCGAGTTGGGCAGATCACCTGAGGTCGGGAGTTTGAGACCAGCCTGACCAACATGGAGAAACCCTGTCTATACTAAAAATACAAAATTAGCTGGGCATGGTGGCGCATGCCTGTAGTCCCAGCTACTCGGGAGGCTGAGGCAGGAGAATCACTTGAACCCGGGAGGCAGAGGTTCTGGTGAGCCGAGATCGCACCATTGCACTCCAGCCTGGGCAGCAAGAGCGAAACTCCATCTCAAAAAAAAAAAAAATTACCAGCATACCACCAGACTAATATTAATGATATAACAAATACTTGTGTACCCACCACCTAGCTTCTAGCTTTGACATCTTGACATATTGCTATATTTGTTTTAGACCTTTTATTTTAAAGTTAAAATAATACAAAGGCAATTGGTCCTATCTGTATTACCCTCTACAATCCCATTCATTTGCTTTCTGTTCCAGAAATACAGTCCTATCCCAAACTTGGTGTTTATCATGTTTTAAAAATATTTTTACTACATATGTGTCCATAAATAATACATGGTATTGTTTTGCATATTCTTAGATTTATATCCATGATATTATACCATATGTATCATTCCACAACTTTTATTTTTAAATACATTTTACGTTTTTTTGAAAGGTTTATACATGTTGATATATGTAATTCTAGTTCATTCATTTTAATTTCTATATGGTGTTCCATTGTATAAATATATTAACATTAATTTATTTTTTTTCATTGATGGACATGTAGGCTGTTTCCAATTTTTGTACACGTGTTCTGGTACACATATGCAGCAGCTTTTAGGATATATACTTAGAAATAGAATTTCTAGGTGAAAGGATATGCATGTATTAATCTCTGCTAGATTTTGCCAAATTGCTCCCCAAAATGATTGTACAAATTTACCCTCCCACCAACAGTAGATGAGAGTTCTTGCCAGCAATTGATATTGTCAGATGGTTTAATATTTTCCAAATGATATCTCTTTGTAAAATGATCTCTCTTTGTGGGTTTAATTTGCATTTCCCTGGTTACTAGTGAGATTGTATCTTTATTTATGTTCGTTGGTCATTTATTTTTCTCTTTTATGAATTACCTATTCATTTCTTATGCCACTTTCCCCCTACAGTGTTTTTTATCTTTTTGTAAATCAATTCTAAAAATATATTCTGGTTACTAATTCTTTATGATTATATAAAGTGAAGTTTTTTTTTCTGCCAGTATATTCTTTGTCTTTCAATATTGTATGAGATGTCTTTGGCTGTGTAAAACTTTTAAAATTTAATCTAGTCACGTTTATCAATCTTTTATTGTATGATTTGTGCTTCTGTGTCTGGTTTAACAGTCCATCCTGAGGCTATATCTTTCTATAATTTATTATAGAAAATTTATATAATTTACTGTACAATTTAAAGGTTTTAGTATTGTCTGTTAGGTCGTTAATCAACCTAGATTAACAATCAACTTGTTTTTGTGTAATGTGTGAGGTAGGGATCTAATTTATTAATTTTTCATATATGCATCCAGTTTTCCCAGTACAATTTAAGAAACAGTCCCTCTTTTCATCTCTCACTTTCAATAATGTTTTGTAGATTTTAGTGTGGTTAACTTGGAATGTGGTTCATTAGGTTTATTTCTAGGTATTTGATATTTTTGATGCTATTACAGTTTTATGATTTTCTTAAAATTTTATTTTCAATTTGTTTATTGCTGATATATAGAAATAAAATTGATCTTTGTATATTGATCCTGTATCCAGTAACACTGTTACATTGAACTAAATTGAACTAGTAATGCTAATAGTTTATAGATATTTTTGGATCTTCTGCATATGCAATCATATTACCAGTGAATAAAGACAATTTTATTTCTTCACTCTCAGTTCTTAAGCCTTCAATTTCTTATTCTTTCCTGCTCTTTTGGCTAGAATACTCAGTATGTGCTGAATAGAAGAAGATAATGCTTGGTGATAGCAGGCATTCTGGTCTAGTTTCCTATTTTGTGGGGAAATGTTTGTGTTTCACCATTAAGAATAATATTTGTGGCCGGGCGTGGTGGCTCACACCTGTAATCCCAGCACTTTAAGAGGCCGAGGCTGGCGAATCACGAGGTCAGGAGTTCGAGACCAGCCTGGCCAACATGGCGAAACCCTGTCTCTACCAAAAATACGAAAAATTAGCTGGGCGTAGTCGTGGGCTCCTGTAATCCTAGCTACTCAGGAGGCTGAGGCAGGAGAATCGCTTGAACCCGGGAGGTGGAGGTTGCAGTGAGCCAAGATCGTGTCACTGCACTCCAGCCTGGGTGGCAGAGTGAGACTCCATCTCAAAAAATAATAATAATAATGTTTGATCTTTATTTCATTTTTTTTTTACCAAATTAAAGATTATTCCCCACTATTTCTACTTAAAAGCTTTTAACCATGAATGTCCATTGAATTTTGTCAAATGATATTCTATATCTACTGAGGTGATTATATGATTGTTCTCTCTCTTGTTGAAGTGGAAAATTACACTACATGATCACTGTATTTCTAGAATAAATATCAATTAGTCATGATGTACCATAGCTTTTATTTACCACTGATTTGATTCGCAAAATTATGTTTGGGCTTTTTGCCTGTAAGTTCATGAAAAAGCCTGGTTTGTAATTCTTCTTTTTTGTACTTTTCTGGTTTCAACATCAGAGCTATTCTGGCCCCATGAACAATACTGGGAAGTGTTTTTAAAAATATTATCTGGAATAGTTTGTGGAAAATCAGTGTTGTTTCTTTCTTAAATATAAAGAAGAGTTGACTGTGAATTTATCTAGATTTGAGGTTTTCTTATGAGAAGTTTTAAATGATACATTCAATTTTTTGATAGATTTTGGACTGTTCAGATTTTCAATTTATTCTTTTGTTAGCATTGCAAAGGTGGATTTTTTTTGAGGAATTTGTCCATTGCAATTCAGGTTGTCAAATTTATTGGTTTAAACTCTTTACAACATCTTATTATCTTTTAGACATCTATAGAGTCTGAAGTGATGTCTCTTATTATTTCTTATGGTATTGACAGGTTTCTCTGTCCTTTTTTCTTAATTGCTCTTGCCTGAAATTTGTCAAGTTTATTAACATTAACAAGTTGATAAACTAACTTCTGGTATTATTACTGTTTTGTTTTGAACACTTTTATTTAATTTCTGCTATCTTTATTATTTCCTTTCTTCTGCTTTCTTGCATTTGACTTAGTCTTGTTCTAGCTTTTTGAGATGGAACAATAAATTATTAATTTTTGTCTTTCTTTTTTAACAATATATGCATTTTGAGGATAGGGAGATCCCTGTATTCTCTGCTTTACCTGGATCTCATGTTTTGATATGCCATAGCTTCAGTATCATTAATTAAAATAATTTTAATTTTTCTTCTTGATTTTTGATGCAGAGATTGGAGTATATGGTTTAATTTCTAAGCAACTGGAGATTTCTTGGTAATCCATTTGGTATTTATTTAATTCCTATTTCTTTTGGGCTCCCCAGCATTTGGTCACGTGGCATATAAATGTTACACGTGGATATAAAAAGAATGTATCATTGTTGGGTGTGATGTTCTCTATTTGTCAATCCAGTGAAAGTTAACTGTGTTATTCTGATCTTTGTCATTGCTGAGCTTTTATTTTATTGCTCTACCAGTTATTGTGAAGGATGTGTTAAATTCTTTCCACATTACTATGCATTTGTCTATGTCTCTCTTAATTCAATTTTTACATTATTGATATATTTTGCATAATATTTTAAGCTATGTTACCAGATGCATACCAATTTAGGATTGTGACATACTCATCTTCCTCTTGGATTTACTCTTCCATATTTTCAGTTATACTTTCTGCCTTTAATGTCTACTTTTATGTTAGAATGGCTGAACCAGCTTCCTTTTTGGTTGATGTTTGCATAGCACATCTTTTTACATTTCTGTATTTTGAATCTTTTTATATAGTTATGTTTAAAGTATGTCTCTTATAAGCAGCGTATACTTTTCTTTTTAATTGAGCCTAACAATCTTTGCCTTCTATTTGAAATATTTCCTTTACATTTAAATAATTACTCTGTTAAATTACATGAAACTATAAATGTTTAAAACAAATTACATAATTTTATAAGTTTCATAAAGTTTTACTTTTATAGTTTATATATTAATGTTATATGATTTTAGAGTGTAAGTTTTACATAGATATATTACATTTATTCTTAAATATTTTACATATTTATGTAATATTGTAAATAAAATTTCATTTTTAAAATTTATGTTCTAGTTGTTCAGTGATAGTGTGTAAAAATACTATTGATTTTTGCTAAATTCACTTATTACAAGGACAGCAAATAAAAACAGCTTTTCTTCTCCCTTTCCAGTTTGTATGCCTTTTATTTCTTTTTCTTGTCTTATTTCAGTGGCTGTGATAGCTCAGACAATGTTAAATTACAAAGTGGTAAGAGTGGACATTCTTGTCTTTTTTCTAATCTTAGAGAAAATGATAACTATTCCGGCATTACTTTTGTTAGTTGTGGATTTTTTTACATGCTCTTTGTAAATTTGAGAAAGCTTTTTTCTATCTACAGTTTGTTGGAAGTTTTTATCACAAGTGGCTGCTAAATTTGAAAATAATTTTCTGTATCAGTTGAGACAATCATATGAAGTTTTTTCCTTTATTCTCATAAAATCATGAATTGCGTTGTTTAATTTTCAGACATTAAGTCACTTTGCATTCCTGGGTTAAACCTCACTTGGTTATGATGTATTATCTTCTCGTACATTGCTGCATTCACTTTTATAATATTTTGTTCAGAATCATTGCACCAATGTCCATAATGAATAATGGCATGCATTATTCTCTTTCTGTATTTTTTTCATCTACTTTTGATATCAGGGTAATACTGGCCTCATAAAATGATGTTCTATTTGTTTCTTCTAACCTTCATTTTCTGAAAGAGTTTATGTAGAACTGGTATTATTTCTTTCTTAAATGTATGATCGAATTAATCAGTTTTGCAGTCTTTTCCTGGAGTTTTCTTTGTGGGAAGGTTTTAAATTACACATCCAATTTCTTTTCTATATGTAAGATTATTTAGATTTTCTATTTTTTTCCTAATGCCAAGTTTGGCAAGTTGAGTCTTTAGGGTGTCTGTAGGATCTGTTGTGATATTTCCACTTACGTTCTCCATATTGGTAACTTGTACCATCTTTCTTTTTTCCCCACACAGTTTGACTTCAAGTTTACCAGCTTTCTTAATCTTTTCAAAGAATGAGCTTTTGGTTTCATTGATTTTCTTTGGTGTTCATCTGTTTTGATTTTTTTTTCTTTTTAAATTGCATTTTATTAATCATTATTGTCCTTCTTATTTTATATTTAATTTGTCCTCCTTTTTGTAGTATTCTAATGTGAGAGATTAGATAATTGAGTTTAAACCCTCTCTAATATAAACATTTAAATCTATAAATTTCCCTCTAACCACTATTTTACCAATATGCCACATATTGTAATACATTGTACTTAATAACTTCACTGAGTTACAACAGACATACAATATACTGCTGATTTTTAAGGAGCACCGTTTGATAAGTTTTGACATATTTATTTACCTGTGAAATCATCACCACAGTTAAGGTAATGAACATATTCATCATTTCCAAATTTTCCCTGTGCTCCTTTTTAGTTTTTCTCTTGCTTCTTTTTAGTTTTTCTCTCCTATCTTTCCACCCCAACTCTCCAACTCTAGGCAATCACAGATTTCCTTTATGTCACTATGGACTATATAAATACTGTCTGTAAAGTACTCATATGGTATGTACTCTTTTTATTTTCTGACTTCTTTCACATAGCAGAATTATTTTGAGATTCGTCCATATGTTTTATGTATCAACAGTTTCTCTCTTTTTTTTTTTTTTTTTTTTTTTTGCTGAATAGTATTTCATTATATAGATATACCACAATTTTTTATCCTTTCATATGTTGATGGACATTTGGGTTGTTTTCAGTTTTGAGGTATAACAAATGAAGCTGCCATGAACATTTACATACAAGTCCATGTAGGTACATATGCTTTGTTTCTTGGGTAAATACTGTGATGGTTAATTTATGTATCAATTTTTTACTGGGCCACAGTTTGCCTAGACATTTAGCCAGACATTATTCTGAGTGTATCTGAGGGTGTTTCTGGATGATGTTAACATTTGTATTGGTAGACTGTTAGTCCATTTGTGTTGCTATAAAGGAATACTTGAAACTGGGTAATTTATAAAGAAAAAAGGTTTATTTTGGCTTAGGATTCGGCAGGCTGTACAAGAAGCACAGTGCTAGCATCTACTTCTTGTGAGGGCCTCAGGAATCTCACAATCATGGCAGAAGGCGAAGGGGCAGCAGGTGGTTACATAGTGGGATAGGAAGCAAGAGAGAGGTGGAGGTGCCAGGCTCTTTTAAGTAACCAGATCGCATGTGAACTCATTACTGTAGGGATGGCACCTGCCATTCACAAGAGATCTGCCCCCATGACCCAAACACCTCCCACTAGGTCCCACCTTCATATTGGAGATTACATTTCAACATGAGATTTGGGTAGGACAAATATCCTAACCATAACACCCTCCATTATGTGGGTTGACCTCATCCAACCCATTGAAGATGAGAATAGAACCAAAAAGAATGAGTAAGAGGGAACTCCTCTTGCCTGAATGCTTGAGGTGGGCCATTGGTTTTTTACTCGTGTTTGGACTCAGACTGAAACATCTGCTCTCTTAGGACCTGAAATAAAACCATACGTTGGCTCTCCTGAGTCTCCACCTTCTTGACTGCAGATTTGGGACTTCTCAGCCTCCATAAATATGTGAGCCAACTCCTTATAATAAATCTCTTTCTATGTGTGTATGCGTGTATAAGTATAAGGTTGGAAATATATTGGTCTGCTTCTGTGGCAAACCCTGACTAATTCAAATATCCAGGAGTGGAATGACTGTATCATATGGTAGGTGTGTGTTTAAATTTCTGGAAGTGGTTCAACTCTTTTCCAAAGTTGTTGTTCCATTTACGTTCCCACCAACAGTGTATTAGAGTTCCCCTTGCTCCATGTCTTTACCAACACTTAGTATGATCAGTTTTGTTTTTAAAGTTCAGTCATTTTCGTAAGTGTGCAGTGGCATATTATTGTGATATTAATTGTATTTCCCTAATGACTAAGGATGTTGACTATCTTTTCAAGTGTCCAAAGAAGATATAGTAAATAGCAAATAAGCACATGAAAAAATATATGAATGAACACGAGTGGTCATTCAACTCCTAGATATTTGTATTAGTCAAATTATACATATATAAAATAATGTGTATTATGTATATAATATGTCTGTTATATATACATATATATAATATATATTATATATATATAGCTCTGAGGTTTGGGGAGTATCCTCAAGTTAGAAAGTCACAAACTGCAATTTCTATCACTTTTAATTGCATTTTTCAAGATCAAATTCATCTCTAGTGTCTTTAAATAGATTTTATTTTATCTAGTGTTTATATTTGTTATCTGTAGGAGGATTCACTCCTCTGTCATTTAAAAAAGTCTGCATTCATTGAGTTCTTAATTTTAAATATTTTATTTTCAGTTCTAGAATGTACCTCTGATTCTTTTAAAAAATAGGCTCCATTCTTTTTTGGTGAAATTCTTTATTTTCTAATCTATTTTGTTAAAAATTGTAGTTATTAAAAGTCCTTGTCTGCTAATTATAATAACTTTACCAACTGTGATTCTTCTTCTAGTGTCTGTTTTTTATTTCATAGCCTCTTGCATATTCACATGTCTAGTACTTTTACATTTTATGTTGGAAATCGTAAATGATAGAATGTTAGAGTTTCCTAAATTATCATCTGCCAGAAGATAACACGATGGCCTTTACTCTGTTAGATGGGGTGGAGTGCTAATCACCTCAATCCAACAAGCACTTGTATTTGCAGTTGTGAGGCTGCAGGTTCAATGAGGTCTAGTCTACCTTTGATCTGCCCTGTTTCTGGGGCATTGGCATGGCCCTCTAATGTTTTTAACTGAAAGTCTAGCGGATATTTTTATCCTCAGTTTTGCCAGCCTCAGGAAGATTCTGTTCTGCCCTTCAGAGGTTTTCAGTATAGCTCTTTAGTCTTATACCCACACAACTTCAATTTTAACGTGTGTCTTAGGGGGGAATCTATCCGTGTGCTTGCGACCCTTTGGTCTCCGGTTGCTTACAGCTGTTTTGATTGAATGTCTACATCTCTGCTGATTCCTCACTTCCCCAACAGTTTTCTTCTCCTAGGATCCAGTCCTGAGATCTCAGCTGCCAGCTATTCCTGAATAAGCAGATGCTCCCGGGGAAAGGGCCCTTGCTCCTCTGTGTTCATGGAGGTGACCAACCATGCTAGTTTGCCTGGGACCGAGTGGGTTCTTGACACACAGGACCTTCTGCTTTAAAACTGAAATAGACCCAGGCAAACCAGGCTGAATTGGGCACTCTCATGTCGATGCCCCATTCATTTTGGTACTTTTCTCTCTGGTTCTCCTGTTTCTAGTTTACCATCCCCCTTTTCATGGAGGGTCTTTTCTCTTAAGTATAGCAAGCCCTTGAGATCTGCAGGTTCCACATTTGCAGACTCAACAAGCCCTGGATACAAATACTTAGACAAGAAAAACAGTAAAAAATAATACAGCAATTTTAAAAACGCAAATAAAAGACAAGACAGCCATAACTATTTACATGGTATTTCCGTCGTATTAGGTGTTATACCTAATCTAGAGATGATTTAAAGTATACCGGAAGATGTGTGTATGTAGATTAAGTAAGGGACTGGAGCTTCCTCAGATTTTGGTATCCATGGGCAGCGGGATGTGGGTCCTAGAGCCAATGCTCCATGGATACCGAGGGAAGACTGTATTGCGATCCTGTGGGAAATTTCACTCTGCTTTTCAGAAGCTTTTGGCCTTGCTCTTTGGCCTCCCAGGAAGTAGTAGTGGAAGTCATTACAAAACACATTGTGGGTAGAGAAAACCGGCCTTTCAAATTTCAAATTTTATCACCATAGTCCCACAACTGCCAAAAGCTTTGCTTGTTTCTCCAGTGCTACGCCTCACATATTGGCCACCAAGAGTGAATAATTTATTAACATCACTTCCTTTTTTCATATGATAACATTATTTTGAATAATAACCATGTAACAATCAGGAATAATCATTATTTTGGTCTTACAATAAATACTTTTAAAAATTTAATCGTTAATTAAGTTTTTCCATTTTTAAAGTACTCTTTACATTCAATATTTTCCTTGTGAACTAAACTTCGTACTTACTAAACAAAACTATTACTTCTTATAGCTAATGCTCTATTTTTATTTTGAGACAGAGTCTCCCTATGTCTCCCAAGCTGGAGTGCAGTGGCGTGATCTTGGCTCATTGCAGCCTCCACCTCCCAGGTTCAAGTGATTCTTCTCTCCCAGCCTCCCAAGTAGCTGGGATTACAGGTGTGTGCCACCATGCCCGACTATTTTTGTGTTTTTAGTAGAGACGGGGTTTTACCATGTTGGCCAGGAGGGTCTTGAGCTCCTGACTTCAGGAGATCCACCCACCTCAGCCTCCCAAAGTGCTGGGATTACAGGTGTGAGCCACCGCACTCGGCCTATGCTCTATTTTTAAATTTAACAGTTTTAAAATTTAACATAGGGAAAAACTCCAAGTGGCCTCATATAGAATGATGGAATTTAAGTAACTCAAGTTCTTTACTACCGTGGCTTATTTGAAATCTATTATTTAAGTGAAGGAATATGGAGTAGTGTAGAGGTGAGAGACACAAAGTTCACCCCAAATAAGCACAGATGACTCTAAGTCATTATGAACTTAATTTTGAATGAATGTCTTTGGTCAAATTTGTATATAGTCAAAGCTGACTATACAATTGAGTTTTCTGAATTAGCTTCCATGTAAAATACAATATTTATTAAAAGATAAGTTTAAAAATGTGCTAATTTGAAGTTTACATTTATGACTAAACCTTAACACTAAGTACAGCAATTGTTTAGAACTTATAAAAAATAATTGGTGGGGGGGAGTATTTCATCTCTGAAATTGTTTAGAATTACTAACTCATGGTGATAACGAAAAGCAGATTGATGTTTAGTTTTATTTATTTATTTTTTTTGAGACGGAGTTTTTGCTCTTCTTGCCCAGGCTGGAGTGCAATGGCGTGATCTCAGCTCACTGCAACCTCCACCTCCTGGGTTCAAGAGATTCTCCTGCGTCAGCCTCCCGAGTAGCTGGGATTACAGGCATGCACCACCACGCCTGGTTAATTTTGTGTTTTTAGTAGAGAGAGGTTTCTCCTTGTTGGTCAGGCTGGTCTCGAACTCCCAACCTTAGGTGATCTGCCCGCCTCGGCCTCCCAGAGTGCTGGGATTACAGGTGTGAGGCACCGCGCCGGCCTATTGCTTTTATGTTCTCTACAGTCTCTGCATGCCTCTGTTGGCTGCCATCGGGGGCAGACCACTCCCACTGCCCATCCTTGGACTCCACTGTTTTGGTTTCCCTGGGCAGTTACCCTCTGTCTGGGCAAGTGAAGATTCTCAGCCTGAGCCCAATATCAACAATGTTCCAGGCTGAAACAGCAGTAGCCAATTGTCTGCCCATTTCTGAACGGTTCTTACTATTCTGGAACTGTAGTCCTTATACTTTTTTTCTTTGCTTTCACAGTTCTGGATTCCCTTAAAAATACTATTTCTGTGTTAAGTGTTTTCTAGCTGTCAGCACACATGCTGTCTTACCGTGACCTATTATATCTTTCTTGGAAACAGAAGGCACTACTGGTTTTTGAATGCTGATCTTATATTTTGGAATCTCACTGAGTGTTCTTATTAGTCGTAAAGCCTTATCTATAAATTCTCCTGGAAAGTTCCCTTCAATCCTTCTTTTAATGACAATTTGAATTATAAATGAGGATTGAATTTTTTCAAAATTTTTTCAGAATGGATTTAGCGAATTATGCGAATTTCTCATTTAATGTGATGTATTATACAATAAGTTTTTCTGATATGGAACCATCCTTGCATTTCTTAGATTCACCCTATCCTTTCATAATGTATTTTCTAAAATATTACTGAACCTGACTTCCTAGTTTTCCATTTTACACTTTCATGTCTATTTTTCTATAGATTTCTTTACTTTTGTATTATTCTTAGTGGATTTTGGTATAAAGGTCTTATTAGCCTCAAATGAATTTGAATTATGCCCCACCTTTCTCATTCTTTAATGCATAGACTATTGGATTTACCTGTACATTAAAGGTCTGACATAACAGGTTTATAAAATGTTAAGCTCCCAGGGAATGAGGTGCGATGGTCAGGAGAGGGGATAATAATAGATTTTGTACAATGTTTAATGGATATTAGACTTTTAAGTCTAACATTTTTTTCTTCTTCTGCCAACTTTGGTCATTTTTATTTCTTTCAAATCATTTTATTTAAGTTTCAAATGTATTGGTAAGTATGCTGCTTGTAGTATTTTTTTTTTTTTTTTGAGACAGGGTCTTGCTTTGTCGCCCAGGCTGGAGTGGTGGCACGATCTCGGCTCACTGCAAGCTCTGCCTCCCGGGTTCACACCATTCTCCTGCCTCAGCCTCCTGAGTAGCTGGGACTACAGGTGCCTGCCACCATACCTGGCTGATTTTTTTGTATTTTTAGTAGAGACGGGGTTTCACTGTGTTAGCCAGGATAGTCTCGATCTCCTGACCTCATGATCCGCCCGCCTCAGCCTCCCAAAGTGCTGGGATTACAGGCATGAGCCACCATGCCCTGTCTGCTTGTAGTATTTTTGAAATAATTTGTAAAAGCTCTCCTGTTTTTGTAGTTAAAAGACTTATGCTGTATAACTCTCCCTTCTCACTCCCTTTCTCCATTTTTTTCTTAATCAGACTTGCTAGAGGCTTTATTTATTTAAAAAGTATGTTTTGTTTTGTTTGTCTTTGAGACAGGGTCTGGCTCTGTTGCCCAGGCTGGAGTGCAGTGGCATGATCTTGGCTCACTGCAAGCTTTGCTTCACAGGCTGAAGCCAACTGAGTGGCTGGGACTACAGGCACATGCCACACCCGGCTAACTTTGTATTCTTTTTGTAGAGATGGGGTTTCACTATGTTGCCCAGGCTGGTCCTGAACTCCTGAGCTCAAGTGACCAGCCTGCCTCGGCCTCCCAGAGTGCTGGGATTACAGGTGTGAGCCACCGCTCCTGACCAAAAGTATTTTTTGTGCTTGTGGATATTCTCCATTGTTCCAATGTCTTGGGGTCAGAGTGTTGGCAATTGTCTTGCTGGTAGCCAGATTTGAGGATGACGAGTTTGCCCAAGGGAGACAATATTATAGTAAACAGTAATTGCGTGGCATCATTAAGTCCTTAAGGACAGGAATGGGGCATTATTCATCCTTTGATCTTCAGTATCCAGCACATGTAGAGAGCTCCATGATGCTTTGCAAATTGATGAATAGGATAGGACCGACAGAGATGCCAGAATTGCATACAAACCGTGTGACCTTTGCAATATCCACCCCCTAATACCTCATTGCCATCTCTGCAGCCAGTAAACTAGATTTTAGCAGAGATGGAAAGACCATTTATTTGGGTCATACTTCCTCAAATGCAAAATGGCTCCATCCATTGTGGGTTTTGGCCCTAAAATATAGAGCTTTCCAGAGCAGTTCTATTTGTTGGACAGGAAATGGCTCTACACCCTTCTCAATAGATGGATACCAATCAGTTTCATTCCAGCCAAGCCAAGCCAACTAAACCCAACGAAATCTACTTAACCCAATTCAATCCACATCAATTCAACTGAAATAAACCGACATAACCCAACTTAGTACAACCTCACCACCGACACAATACAACCCCATTCAACTTGACCTTATTCAGCAAAAACCATTGAACCCAACAAATTCCAACAAATTACATTTCAACATGATGCAACAGACCACTTCTCAGCCACCTAAGTCAACCCAATACAAGCCAATCCAAGTCAGCACAACTCCCAGCACAAGATAGTCCCACAACCCAATGAAATTCAATCTAGCGCAATTTAATAAACTGTTTCAACAACTCTTTTGTCTAAGGAAGGTAAGGTACTTTGGACAGAAGACCAAAATAATGTCTCTTAAATGTCTATTTGTTTACCATTCGTGTTTAATGGAACTCTTGAAATTATAGCCTCTCCAAATCTCCTCAGTGTGTGAGGTAACTGAAACTCAGGAATTAAAGCCGCCTCCCCTCTCTGGCCCCTGAATCCTCACACTTTATTTTATGGAGTTACTGGTCTCATCTGAACTAGATTGTGAGTGCTTGGGGGCAGAAACGGTGTCAAATTCATCTCCCTTCAGTACCTTTAGATGGGCATCAAGAAAATATAGTTTAAACGTATAAATGACTAGAAGTTTGTGAAGCTTATTCAGTTTTGGAGGTCAGTAGCGTTTTATCCCCTTTGGGGACCTGGCTGAGGAGGATTGTCAGGAGGGCCCACAGACGGACCTAGGTTTGACTCCTGGCTTTGCCACCTACTATCTGTGTGCCCTTGGGCAAGTCATACCACCTTTCTGGGGCTCAGTTTCCTTGTTCATAAAGTGAGGGATGTATTACTGACTCTAGGGCTGTTCTGGGGATAAATATTGAGTTGACACATGTGAAGCACTTCCACCATATCTGACATATAATTGAGGATGCATAAATACCTACTATATTTTTTTCCCTGAGTTTCCTTGTTCAGCATTTTCTTTTAGTGACTTGGGGACAGCAGCCTCTGTGGACCAGAAAATTTCAAAACTCTCTCTGGATCCCTTGTAGGATAATACCCTCTCTTGTGATAATTTCATTGGCATAATTGTCAAATAACCACCATTTGTTTTGTATTTTACTATGGTTCTTTAGCTCAAATAAGCCTGCAAATGATTGATCTGGTGGAAGTATGAATTTATACATATAAATAATTAGGGTACAACACACTGTGAGAATCACAATCATTTGGACACCCACTGTTTCCCAGGATGCGTGGGTAGAGAGCTAAAAGCAATGTGATCCCTGTCCCCAAGGAATGTACAGTTTAGTGGAGAACCTGATGCAGAAATAAGACTGGAAGGGGCTAACTTTGACTGAAGGCTCCAGCTACGGCAGCCTCGTATGCTGAGCAGTGGGTTGCCACGTAGGAAGGTAGCTTATTCTGGGCCACCACTGGTGAGTTTTCAACCAGGCCTTTTCTCTCTCTGACACTCAGTTTCTTCAACTGCAAAGTGGGGATCGTGGGGCATAGAAGACATCCTCGTTGGTTGTTGTGAAGATTCAGTGAGAGAGTGACCAGTTCTTAAAGCAATTCTCTGTCTTGAGTCATGAAGAATACATTTGTTGGACTCCACTTTCCATTACGAGAAATACACATTCCATCATCTGAACTACTGGACAAGCGCTTGCGGCTCTCAGACACACAAATGGCCCCGTATGAACAATTTGGCCACCACCATCTCTCTCGGTGCCAGATTGCCTGTGGCAGGAGTTGTGGCTGACCCTAAGTCCTCAGACTGGGGCTCACGTCTAAGCCACATTTGCTGTACTGGGCATGCCAGGACAGCTGGTTCCAAAGTCAACTGCATTCCCTGCCGAGGAGCCAGGGCTGAAGTCTTCATCACAGCCTGGTTATGGCTTAGGCATTATAAATGATGCTGTGCTGACAGCCAGGTGGACAGCCTGCCTAACTGGATGATGCTTCATCTGTCCTGACAGGGACAGCCCTGCAAATAGAATCTGAGGGATGGCAGACCTATTGGAGTCATCGTGTCCTTCCACTGAGTCTGGTGGGACTCTCTTCCACTCATCTCAGACTGGAAGATGCCTGCCTTTTTTCTTTCTTATAAGTCTCCACAGAGAAAGGGAGCTCTCCCCAGGACACACTTTATTTTTCTTTTGGCAGTGGTTAGTGCAGGGTTAAAAAGTTCTGGAGTCAGATCTGTGTTCAAATCTGGATTGAGCCACTCACAAGCTGTGTGACCTTGGGCAAGTTACCAAACCTCTCTGAGCCTCAGTTCCCTTACTGTTAAAATAAAAAAGAAGAATGATGACCAGCTCCAAGAGTTGATGTGGGTTTCAGTTGGAAGAAGGATCACAGGAAATGCTCTGGGAATGGGAGGTGTGATTTTTTGGGGGGACACTGGGTCATCAAGGACAATTGCTCTGCCCCCTCCCTTGGCGTGCATGGGAATGGTGAGAGCTGCCCATCACTTGGGACAGGTATAGCTCTGTCTGGTTCCAGGGCTAGATAAGACCCCCTCTGAAGGGCCACTGGTGTCCTCTCCCGGGCCCTACTCAGGAGGCAGAGTAGCACAATGGGAGGACACAGGACTGAGGATCAGGGCTTGATTCCTGGCTGGGTGACCTTAGTACATCAACTGCTTTCTGTAGGCCATAGCTGATGGGGAAAGCCCTGGATAGAGCTTTAAAAAATAGCCATGTTTGTGTTTGTGGTTCTCAAACTACCCTTCAGGGAACAGAAGTGCTTCAGATGTGGCTGTGCTCACCCCCATGCCCAGCCTTCATTAAAAATAGATTTGTGGCTGAACACAGTGGCTCCTGTCTGTCATCTCAGCACTTTGGGAGGCTGAAGTAAAAGGGTTGCTTGAGGCCACAAGTTCTAGATCAGCTTGGGCAGTGTAGTGAGATCACATCTCTACAAAAATAGGTTAAAAATTAACCAGGGATGGTGGCGCATGTCTGTAGTCTCAGCTACTCAAAAGGCAAAAACAAGAAGATCATTTGGGCTCAGGAATTTGAGGCTGCAATGAGCTATGGTCGTACCACTGCACTCCAGCCTGGGTGACAGAGCGAGACCTCATCTCTAAAAAATTAGAAAGAAAAATAAAAAATAGATTTGTGTTCCAAGTAAGAAAAGCTTAACAAGCTGCTGTTGCCAGCAGACTCTAGGTTTACTTGGAGGAGGTGGGGATTGTATTCTACCTCCAGCACCATGGCCCTCAAAGGCACCCAATGGTAAGTGTCCTCCGTGGCTCCCTGTTGCTTTTTGAGAGTCAGGCCTTCACTGGGCACTCAAGGCTTTCCAACCTGACCTGCCCCCTCCAGCTCACTCCCACACTTTGGTGCTCCAGTTATTCAACTCCAGGCCATTCTATGACTGCTTTTGCTGTGGCCCAACATTTCCTTTTGCGCACTGCAATTCCCTCCACTTTGAAAGCTGTTCATCCGCTTCTCCATGGAGTCCCGTTCTTTTTTTTTTGACTGTCCTAAATTGTTTATTAGGTATGAATTTTACAAACTTTAATTATATTAGCGGTAACGGTGGAGCTGGAGAGTATTGCGCCTTCTCTAAGCTGCCCGGCGAGAACCACCAACAGTGTGGTGGAACTTATGGCCCTTTCCAAGCCCAGGGCTCTTTCAGCCTTCAGATGTCAGCCCACGCATCTCCCTGTGCTTGTGGAGTGGTTTGATGATCCATTGGGTGTCAGGATTTCTTCTGATAGCTTTATGGAATGGATCAATGAGGACAACCTCAGAAAATTTTTATGTGGAATCTTCACCAACCCTGTAAGAATTCAGGACGCTCAGAGCCCCATGGTGGCGTCCAGCTCGCTCCTCTGCAACGGACTGAAGGCTTCGAGCAAACTTTAGCTGGTTAACACCATGATGGACAGGCTTGCTGTAAGTTGCACCCTTAGGAACTGGGCGTTTTCAGCCACCACGGCGAACATGAATCCTATATATAACGGCGAACACGAATCCTATATATAACGTAACCTTGCTTGGCCTTGTTTGTAGCCCAGTCGGTGCACTTTATCAGGCCGGGTGGGGCGGGGAGCCCTGTGGAGAGCAGATAGCTGGCGGTACTGCCAGCAGCGGACCCTCAGAAGAAAGCGCATGACATCAGACTGCTTCTTTCTCCATAGCTCCAGGATGTACTTGTATGCACCCATCTTGGCTTATCTGATGGCTGCCGCCAGACCGGAGTCTAATTCTTTACTTATTCTTCTAGACCACATTGAAATGTCCTCTCACATCAGAAGGTTTCTATTTTGAGCCCTCCAGGGAGAGGTCAGCAATTATTCATGCATTCCAATGCCGCATTTGTGGAATGCTTTACTATGTGCCAGATGTGGGGGATAAAGAGTGAACAAAAAGAGACACAGTCTCTAACTTCATGGAGTTTATATCCTGTTCAAAACAGAGAGTTAATCAAATACAGACACAATTGAGTATGTATTTAGAAATCTAAATTAGTGCCCCTAATGAAACAAGTTGTAGCAGAATGCTTAACAAGGGATCTGACTAAATTGGTGTATTGGAAGAGGCTTCCCTAAAGAAGGGATGCTGAAGCTTCAGGTCCAATTAGACAGGTGAGTGCGGAGTAGGGAGGGCAGCATGTGCAAAGGTTCTGTGGCAGGAATGATGGTGTATGGTGACTGCCCATCTTGGTCTACCCCAGGTAGTCCCTATTGTCCTGGCTTATTGATTAATAGCATTCTCTTCCTTTCTCCAAAGTGGCCTGGTTTGGAAGGTAAATTATATGGTTGACTAACTGAATAAAAAGAAGCTGGCTGGCCACAGTGTCTCACGGCTGTAATCCCAGCACTTTGAGAGACGGAGGTGGGTGGATCACAAGGTCAGGAGTTTGAGACCAGACTGACCAACATGGTGAAACTCCGTGTCTACTAAAAATACAAAAAGTAGCTGGGTTTGGTGGTTCATGCCTGCAATCCCAGCTACTCAGGAGGCTGAGGCAGGAGAATCACTTGAACTTGGGAGGCAGAGGTTGCAGTGAGCCGAGATCATGCCATTGCACTCCAGCCTGGGTGACAAAGTGAGACTCCATGTCAAAAAAAAAAAAGCCTAGAGTGTCAGGACTGCCATGCTGGAGAGGCTGGCAGGGACTAGACCACATAGAAGGCTGGAGAAGGAGATCATTATCTTGCCTAAGAATAATGAGACACCATTCACCATTGAAGGGTTTCAGACAGGGTGTGCCAGGGTATTCTCTACTTTTCAAAACAACTTCCCCCTTCTCTATTCTCCCAAAGTGTTTTTGGTGCCTGCTCTCTTGAGGATCCACCTTGCATATTATGGGTTGTCGTTTCCATAGTTCTTCTCTCCCTAGACTGTGAGCTTTGTGAGGGACAGAAGGAACCTCTCCTGGACAATGCTTCGTGTCCTTCTCCTTCCTGCTTGCTGGGTGTTGGGTGGGAACAAATTTATGGAGGCTCTCCCATGGCTTCAAAGCTGGAGCTACATTGGGTAGTTTATGTGAATAATAAATTAACTTCTATTATGTCTGAGCCATTATAAATGACTAGGAAATATTCAAAGGGAAAATACTAGCTACTGTGCATTGAGCTCATGGCCTGTGTTAGGCCTTGCACACTTTATACACACTATTTCATTTAATCATGAAAATATTTACTTCATGGATAAGGAAACAAAGATTCACAGAGGTGACTTGCGCAAGGCGACACAGTGAATGAGCTGGGATTTAAACCAAGAATGTCTGACTTAAAAGCCAAAGCTGGGCCGATCATGCCTGTAATCCCAGCCCTTTAAGAGGCCGAGGCGGGCGGATCACGAAGTCAAGAGATCAAGACCATCCTGGCCAACATGGGGAAACCCCATCTCTACTAAAAATACAAAAATCAGCTAGGTGTGGTGGTACACGCCTGTAGTCCCAGCTACTCAGGAGGCTGAGGAAGGAGAATCACTTGAACCCGGGAGGCAGAGGTTGCAGTGAGCTGAGATCATGCCACTGCACTCCAGCCTGGCGACAGAGCGAGACACCATCTAAAAAAAAAAATATCCAAAGCTCTTAAAACAGCAACCATGAAATTAGCAGCCCTCAATTTCTCCATTTGTGGGAGCAGAGAGAATCTCCCCACCCTGTGGATCCAAAGATGAGGTTGGCCATTGTCCTGCTAGGTAGAGCTTCACCAGAGCAGATGCTGGGGTAAGGGAGGTGTGTGGGAGAGACGGGCATCCCACACCTGCAGTCATAGCCTCTGCTCCCATGTCTACATCAAGTACCCAGCTCAGACGGGGGGCGGTGGTATTTCTTTCACCAGCCTGCAGTTTGGCAGGTTCCTCAAAGAGAAATGCTCTTACGTTCATTTAAAAGTCTAAGTAGGGACAGCACAAATTATTAGTGTTTGAAATATTTATAAAGTCTCTTGTTTGCAATGGCATAGGAGGTGATAGACCACAAATAAAAGAAAACCGCAGATGCACCACGCATGTAGAGAGACGGAGAGGGGCAGGAATGTTGTCTGCCTGCCGCCACCTCATTTTTGAAGGCTGCTAAGCCAGGTGAATTTTCATTCTGTGTTTTCTGAAACTGACTTCCTTTCTACGGCTCTGTTCACCTCTCCCTCCTTAAAATGATCACCAGACACTTAAACGGAAGATTTCAACATCACAAACCATGAACATTAGGGCAAGCTGGGGGAAAGGCAGATGAAATCACTCTGTTTTTATTTTTGTTTTTTTGAGAAAAGGTTTCACTCCTGTCACCCAGACTGGAGTGCAATGGCATGGTCTCGGCTCACTGCAACCTCTGTCTCCTGGGCTCAAGCAATTCTCCTGCCTCAGCCTCCCAAGTAGCTGCAACTACAGTTGCATGCCACTGTGCCCGGCCAGTTTTTGTATTTTTGTAGAGACAGGGTTTCGCTATGTTGCCCAGGCTGGTCTTGAACTTGGCTCAAGTGATCTGCCGACCTCAGCCTCCCAAAGTGCTGGGATTACAGGCATGAGCCACTGCACCGGGCCAGAAACACTACTTTAAAATTTTTCTGGGAGTCTAAAATGATATCAAAATTAAAAAGTTTAAAAAACACACATACACACAACATAAACTTACACAGCGTTTAAGTTGGGGAAAAAAAGCATGGAGAAAAATAAATGTGCTTTTCTGATTTAATAGATGTAAAAACCAAAGTCACGCAGTGAGTCAAGGATGAAAAGTGAGGTCGTCCGTCCGACTTCCAGCCCAGACCTCCCTTTTTGCTGATCTTTGGCCACTTAAATGCACATGCTAATAATTTAGAAAATAGGTGCTTAGGTCCTGCTTTGGGAATTACCATGGCTTAAATGTATTCATTGATGTGCATATGTACATACATCTGTTTATACATGCATATGCATTCATTCACTCATATCAGTGAATGAATGAATGAATGAACTCATTTGCACTCATTTACTAACTCAGCAAGTACTGTGCTATGTGCAGGAGATGCAGCAGTGAGCAAGAGAGATTTGGCCCTGCCTTTCCTGAGCTAGTAAAAGACGTGGATTCAGGTAACGTCTTGCGCTTCCAGTTGATCCCACGAGGAGCTCTGGAGTGTGACTTGTACCCTAGAGTTGTCCTGCCTTGGAGTAAAGAGGCTGGCCTTTTGTACCCTTGTATTAGTCAATTATTGGCTACATGACACCAGTGTATCCAACTGGTGCAGAGGGGATGGTGCACCCTCTCCAGGATTTTCAGGTAAGGCAACTCCTGTCAGTGGAGGGCAGTGTTAGCTGTGGGGTGCTGCTGTGTTAGCAGCAAACATTCACCACGGCAGGGGGCTGGACTTACCAATGTACATTACCAGTTTAATATACATTTAATGTACAACACCAGTTTAATGCACATTTAATGTACCATCAAGGAGGTTGGATGCATTGACTTTTCAAAGGGGATCTGAGTGGGGCACCAATGGCATCTACTACGTGAGAGACAGAGCTTTATCCTACTGGGAAAGTGGGGGAGGCAATCTAGAATTCACACTTCTATGTGATCTCAATTTGAGGGATGAGGGAGCTGGGCTATTTACCCACCAACTCCTGGCAGCCCTTACTGAAGGTGACTCCTGGGGAGGTTAATTCTCAGTGTGGCCTGTGTGTAGCCACAGAGAGCTCCAGCAGCCGACAGTCATGTGCTGGAAGGTGGAGATTGGGCAGATGTGCTTGGAAATGGGGAGCATTATGGAAATGTGGGTGTGTGGGATGCCAAGATCATCTGCTCCAGGTGGCCTGGACCAATCAGACTTATCCCCCAGAAATGTGGAATGAGGAAGCTGGTGGAAGCTTGGAGTCTCAGGTCAGCTGAGGACCAGAGCAAGGAAATGACAGCTGTGGCTGGAGTGGTCATCATGGCCTTTTGCGTGGTGAAAATGTATGGGCATGAAGGTAAGGCGTCATCAGCATTAATGGCCAGGACAGATGGGGAGTAGGGAGCTGTGTGCATGGAGATGCTGGGGAGTCACTTGGGCAAGGGGGTAGTTGGCTGGGGACCCCACCTGGCTTCTGATTATTATTTTATTTGTTCATTCATTCTACAGATATTTATTGAGACTACTGAGATCATGATGTGCCAAGCATTGTGCTCAATGCGGGGAATATGAAGGAGGAATAAAACAGACAGGGTCCTTGCTCCCTTGGGGTTTATGTTTTATGTGTGTGTGGGGGTGGGGGTGGGGGCAGGTAGGAGGGGGGATAAGTAAATAAATGAACAAGATAATCAGAGAGTCAGGTACATTCAGTAAAGGAAACCCAACAGGGTGCAAGGTGGAGAGTATCTGATGATGAGGGTACTTTCAACAGGCGATCATAGGCAAATTCTGACCATCTCCACTTTACAGATGAGGAAACCGAGGCTTTGAGAGGGTAAGGAACTTGCCCAAGTGCATTCAGCTAGGAAGCGGCCCTTACTGTAGATCTCTTCTGTCTCTCTGTAATACCTTCTACTCCTTGGCTCTGGGTTAGTTAATTCCTTGAGCCAACAGAGATTAGAGCCACTCTTTTTGCTTTCCCTATCAGTGATTTTATGATTTGGAGAGCAGGACACTGATCCTCCTGAGTCCCTGCCCAGACCCTTCTGGGCACGCACTGGCCTGGGATGAGCTGTGACTCACAGCTTTGGGGCCATCCTCACATTGCAACTGTCAGGGTCCAGGAGAGTAGAGTGGCTCTGGGGACAGGGAGGCTCGTCCCGGCCCACCACTCGTTCACTGTGGGACCTTGGGCGAATGACCTCACTTCTCCAAGTCCCAGTTTCCTCCTCTGTCACATGCCAGCACCAGTTGTCTCTACCTCCTGGCACTATTGTGAAGATTAAACGAGCTAACACTTGTGTAGGAGTTGGCGCCGTGCCCAGCACAGTAAACACTCACATCAAGCTCAGTTTGGGCAGCTGCTGCCCCCAAATACTCTGATCACCTGTCGGAGGGTCCGAAGGGGCAGGGGAAGGCAGGCACTCTCATCCATGATCTTTAAGACCCTCAGCCCCTGAATGACCCTGAACCGGAGCCGGGGGTGGAGAAGAGGCAATTTTCCGACTTTGGGTCAGGACTGCCAAAGCCAATTAGGGAAGTCAGACGGGCGGCAGCCTCCAGCACCCAAGCAAACCGATGTGGCAGCCAGCGGAGGGGCCAGCTCACTCTGACCTTAAACCCAAACGCTCCTGCCCACATCTGCAGCTAAATAAACCAAGTAAATCATGCTGGCAGATAGATAATTAAATAATTATCAGGCACTTAATAACAAGGAGTGGGTGTTCTGAATTACCATATTAGACAGTGTCTTTGAGGACTAATTGTTGCATTACATCAGAGTTACTCATTCATTATTCTTGTCATTTCGGGTGATAATTTGCACTTTAGGAGACAGCGACAATTTTAGCAGGCAATTAGAGACGTGTCAGGCCTGGCCCCGTGAGTTACTGTCACAATTATTGCCTTTTTTTCCAGGGTCCTCATTTGCAGTCGTGTATTTAAGGGGATTTGGGTAATTCCAGGCCTGGGCAAAACAACCAACCCACGGGATAGCGGCAGGGTGAGGACACAGCAGCCGCCACCATTGGAGCAAGGAAGGGGCGGCTTTCCCAGAAGTGGTGGTGCGGAGCTCGGGCCAGCAGGCAGAGCTGAGCAGGGCTGTCGGAGCCACATCCAGTCACTGAAAACGAGAGTTCTACCTCCCAAGTAGTTCGTGATGCTGTCTGTTCCTCTCTTGGCTTCTTGCCACCCACTCAACCTAGGCTTTTGTTACTGCTTACCTGAACCTTTGCGATGAGTTCTTCCCAGGCCCTGGGGAGGCAGAAAGGAGGAGAGAATGAGAAGGGAGAACAGAGAAGAGGAGAGGGGAAGGAGTAAAAGAGAGGAAGGAAAAAAGATGTAGAAATCGTGTTTTTAACTTTCTGTCTTTGATGATGCTTGGGAATTGTGGAGGTCTTGAGGATCCAAGGAGGGAGTGCCCCTCCCAGGGTTAGGTAATTCCTAGAGGTAGCAAACCACTTCTCTTCTGAGCAAGCCTTTGATATGCAAACCAACCAATCCTGAGTCTTTTTTTCAACCTCCTGCCTTCCAGGACGCTATCCCCCTGTTCCAAATCACCCCAGGACCAGGAACCAGACAACTAGGGACTGCCCCTATAGCCCAGAGTCAGCCGAAATTATTCAAAATGGCCAATGCTAAGTCTGCCTACCCTGGCTCACCTGTTCTTTCCAGTAAAACCCATGATATTGTTATCATTAGTATTATTACTGTTTTTGAGACAAGGTCTCACTCTGTCTCCCAGGCTGGAGTACAGTGGCACAATCTTGGCTCACTGAAACCTGTGCCTCCCAGGCTCAAAAGATCCTCCCACTTCAGCCTCCCAAATAGCTGGGAGGACAGCGTGCACCACCGTGCCAGGCTAATTTTTTGTACTTCTTGTAGAGGCTGGGTTTCACCATGTTGCCCAGGCTAGTCTCGAACTCCTGGGCTCAAGAGATCTGCCTGCCTCGGCCTCCCAAAGTGCTGGGATTATAGGTGTGAGCCACCATGCCCAGCCTATTATTATTATTATTATTTTATTTTGGCTACCATTAACTGAGAAAACAAAATCCATGATAAAGGCCCTGGCCTATGCTTTCCCTGGCTGCTTCTGCCCTGTGTAACGTGTTACGCCCCCTCCTCTTGGGAACTGTGAGTAATAAACTATCTTTTCAATAGCAGTCGTCTTCCTGCTGTGTGGGTCTCACCTAAATAAAAACAAAATCCTGTGTGCAAAATAGAAAAGAGTATAGGAAACAAGAGAAGAGAATAGAAGAAGGAAGAGAAAAATGAAAGAAAAGAAAGAAGAGAGGGAGATGGAGAGAGAAATAAGAGAGAAAAGGGAACGGGAGAAAAAAGTTTGAAAGAAGGAGAGAGAAGACTGGAGAAAATGAAGAGGGAGAGAGATGAGAAAAGGGAAAAATCAATGTGGAAAGGAAGGAAAGGGAGAGGGAGAAGAAAGAGATGGGGGAGAAGTGGAGGAAGAAGGGGAAGACTGGAGGGAAGTTTGCATGTGAAAGTTATATATGAAACCAACATTTTTTTTTCCATTGCTTGGAGTGTTTACTTTTCAGTGAAATCCAGTGTCTGGGTTCATTTACCCACAGCTGACTCACTTGACCCTGGGCAACTTCAGAACAGACACCACGAATCAATGACTCAGAATAGGCTCTCAGAAAATATTTTTAACTGGCTCCACAGTGTGAATCAAGAAAAATAAAGCACGATTAAATACAAACGTGAAACTCCACAGAAAGAGAAGAGTTTCAGCTTCAAAGCAATGACTTCTTAGCTCTGTTCTTAGCAATTAGACAGGAAGAGACTGCAGTGGCTGAACTGGGCCTCCTTTTTCCTTGGCTTAGACTTGGAAGGAATTATCGGTTCAGAATGCATGCTGCCAGGAGAGAGGGCAGCTGCTGGAGGAATGTGTGGCCCAGTAACAGTCAGAGGTAGTAAAACTCCGTGCCTCAGAATGTAGGCCTGGAGTCTCAGCTCCACTACTTATTAGCTGTGTGACCTTGGGCAAGTCACATTTCTGAAATCATAATTTTCTCATCTCAAGGTTGATGTGCTAGTGGGCTTTGCTGAGCTTTATAACAAAATCAAGTCTATAAAGAATTATGGGCCAGGCACTGTGGCTCACACCTGTAATACTACACTTTGGGAAGCCAAGGTGGGGGGATCGCTTGAGGCCAGGAGTTTGAAACCAGCCTGGGCAGCATAGTGAGACTCCCATCTCTACAAAAACTAGAAAAACTAGCTGGGTGTGGTGACGAGCACCTGTAGTGCCAGACACTTGGGAGGCTGAGGGGGAAGATCTCTTGAGCCCAGGAGTTGGAGGCTGCAGTGAGCTCTGACTGAACCATTGCACTCCAACCTGGGTGGCAGAGTGAGACCTTTACTCTCCACTAAAAAAATGCATAGGACCTGATGCAAAGAAAGTGTTTCTGGGTAAGTGGGAGCTACTGTTTTATTATTATTATTTTAAATTTGATTTAGTGTATGGTTATCTGTCCCTGTGTGGCTTTGATCTGAACCCACCATCTCCCTGGTCCTATCGGGTTAGAAGGTGATTCTGGTGTTTGGGCTGGTTCCCTCTGGCACTGGAACTGGCCCTTCCTAAGATGGTTCCTCTGAGGGTTAGGATTTTCCCTTGACCTCACTCCTTGGGGCATGCTACCCCAAACGTCGCAAGTCCACTCCCTGGCTGGGAAGCAGAAGGAAGGGCCATCTACAACATGCACTCAGCATCCACTGCATGCCAAGCCTCATGCCAACCACATAACATTCATCACTTTATTAAGCCTCACAGTAGCCTCTGAAGTAGGGGCAAGTAATCCATTCCCATTTTACACATGAGACAGGCAAAGAGAGGTAGAATAGGTTCTTTAGGGTGATACAGCCACTCAGTGGCAGAGTCAAGATTTGAGCCTGACTCAGGATCTTTTTGCAGTCTTCCCTGTCTCCTAAGATGCAATATCATTACCTGATGTGGTCACCCCACAGGTGAAAAACTCTAACAGTGCTTTGAACCCATTTCTGCAGCAAGAGTTGGCTTCATACGCAAAATGGGTTTTTCCCAAATGTGTAAAAAATTATATTTGAAGAAAACCACAAACGATTATGTAAAAAGTAAAAGTGACTGTGGACATTGCATTTTAAGGATAAGTATAACATATATAAATCTATGTGTGTATATATATACACACACACACACATACATCCTACACGCACGCACGCACACATATATGCATAAGCTAAATGGAGTTAATTAAGTTAAAACCACAGTAAATCTGACAGATTCATATTAACACGATGGTCAAAACTGTAGGAAATATAGTATTTTGAAAAAGAATAAATCCAGCCAATTACAGATTTATGTTGACGCCAGCACAGTTACCACCGTTTTACAATAATCATTGATCAATCAACGTTTTATGACAAAACTATAATTTTCACGTGTTTCACCCTCACCTAAAAGTTTCCTCGTTTGCTTAATTCCCGGAATGTGATTCCATAAATCTTTCTCTTTGCGATATTAAGTAGATAATAAGAATGCCATGTAAGATTTGCTTATGGTTTAAACCACAGTTGCAAATGATTTATAATTAGGGCCAAATCTAAGACAAAACATTATTAAAGTCAAAACCTGCTGTAAATTGGTGCGGTTGGCTTGGGCATTTAGGAATTTATCGGGGTTTGATGCCAGTATTTCCTCTGGTGATTTCCAAGGGGTCTGCTGACACCAAGGGGAGATATTTATGATTAAGGGAAAGCTGCAGAACTACCGGGGTGTCCCTGGTGGCATCAGCCAAGGGGACTGCCAGGCCTGACTCCGTGTGTCATCATCAAAGGCAAAACCCTCAGTGTGGGTCTCTCTAGGCATGTCAGCCAACACTGAGGTGCTCAGAGTCCACCCTGCTCTTCCCACGGGCCGATCTCCTTGGAGTTTTCAGCTGAAGAAGTTTCTTGGAACAAATCAGACCATGAGAGTGTCACTTGTGCAACATGTGTTTATTGAGCACCTACTATGTGCAAGGTCTTGGGGATACAGTGGTTAACTAATGAAGCAAATATCTCTGCTCTCATAGTGTTGTGGAGAAGAGACTTAATCCTCTACACATAGGAGGTAAGGCAGAGGCCAATGTAGGTGGGAGGCCCTGGAGAGATGCGGGTAATGGGGGAGAGGGAAGCAGGTAGGAAGTGGGAGAGAAGCTAGACTGTTGGAGAGTGGGAAGGGAGGCTGGTGGGAGGTGAGGGGGAAGTTACAGGGATACAGGGGAGGCTGGTAAGGGGTGGGAGGGAGGATGTAGAGTCCATTTAAAATAAAGTTGTCAAGGAAGGCCCCCTGGAGGAGGAGGTGGTTCCTTTGTTTTAGGGGTGGAGGAGTGAGCCAGGGTCTGTCTAGGGAAAGAGCATTGGTAGATCTCTTTCTGAGGAGGAGAGATCAGTAAATGCAGAGGCTGTGAGAAGACAGCATCCCAGCACACATAAGTAACAGGGAAGAGCCCAGTGTGACTGCAGAAGAGTGAGCGATGGGGAGATCGGGGAGTGGAGTCAGGGCTCAGGCCATGCGCTGCCAAGACCTTGGATTTCTGGTGATGGGGAGGCCATAGGGGAGGGTTGAACCAGGTGGTGACCTACTCAGATAGACATTTCAAAAATAATTGTTTTGGATACTGTTTGCACAAATGACTGTAGGGCCAGGAGCAAGATGGGAGGCATTCCTGCTATCCAGGTGGGAAAGGAAGGTGGCCAAGACCAAGAGGTAGAGAGGGGAGAGATGAGTGCACTTGAAGTCATTTTTGGAATAGAGCTGCCAGGACTTGTTGATGAATTGGACATTGGATGTGACAAGGAGGGAGGAATAAAGGTTGGGTTGTTTGAGTGAAGGTTGAGTTGTTTCAGGCCTGAGCACCTATTTGCATGATGGTGCCTGTTCCTGAAATGAGGACTGGAGGTGATACCAGGTTAGAGAAAGAGTGGCATGGGATCTAGATTTTGGCGAGGGGTTGTGAAGCTTGAGATGCCGTTAGTTTCCAAATGGAGAGGTCAAGGGAGCAGATGAATATGTGAGTCTGACCTCTTTTGGGAGAGAGATCAGGCTGGAGTGAGAAAATATGAAGGCATCAGCCTAAGGATGGGTTTAAGCCATGAGGTCACCAAGAACCGAGGACAGATAAGTACAAGGGAACATCTGCAGCTGAGTCCCGAAGCCTGCAAGATTTAGGCATTGGGGGAAAGGAGAAGCACCCGATAGTGGACATCCAGAAGGAGATTTCACTGACATTGGAGGAAACCAAGAGCATGTGGTGTCCTTGGAGAGAACATCAACCCACAAAGGTGAAGCCATCAGTGGTATCAAATACGGCTGAGAGGTCAAGTAAGATGACAATGGACTCTGACTACTGGCTTTGGAAACATGATGGTCTTCGGCCACGTGGACATCAAAAGTTCTGAATTCTTGGACTGCACTTTGACATTTTTTCATCAACCTCCCTGTAAGACATTTCAAGAATCAATGGTGTCAAAATTGCTTAATTTCTTGGAGACCTGTTTTTGAAGAGCATCCTCTACTGCATGACAGCTGCCTTGGTATGATCACCTAGGAGGTATTGCTTCCAGGGGAATACCAAGGAAATCTGCTTCTTTTGAATAACTGACTATATTTTCCATCTTTAAACACGTAGATTCCTATTCCCTTCTTTGCTTTGGCCACTAGTTGCTTAGCAACTGCATCCGGACAGCGTGTTTTGTGTGCCAAACTCATTCTTGGTTCCATCCTATTTTTTATTCTCATTTTCCCTTTGCCCTGGTTACCTTCTCTATTTTATTTTAATCCTCTTGTAATGTGCACTTTTCTCTCTAACGTGTGTATTTCTGGTGTGTAATCACTGTAAATTTCTCTGGAACCATATGGGGGTAAATAGTGTGACAAATGCCAAATGTTATGACTGTTACGTAGATATCCCTGAGCCTTGATTAAGAACCCGCATGCATCCCGATGGGGAGAAAAGAGACCTGGGCATGGAGCCAGGAGGTATTTACTCTAGTTCTGGCTCTGTCCCTAAATAGCTGGGTGACCCTGGCAAATCTAGTCCCCTCTCTGAATCTCAGCTACTTCCATTATCACACACAGGGGTTATAGTAGCTTGGGATTAGCAAACAAGAGGCGCCCATGCACTGACCATCACCTGGTTCCATAGCAGACATCACTCATCAATTAGGCACTCTTTGGCATTGGGCTTAAACAAGACATCAGAATCCTTCTTAACACCGTACCTCAGGCCATGGCTACCAGTTAATGGGAGTTGGCGTGCTAAAGGAGGCCTGTTTGCACTATGGGACTAAGCAACATTTCCATGTGAGATTGATTGTTGCTGATGAACTAGAACCCCAGTACCATCTGTAGTGGCTGGTGTTCTATTGTCCACATGATAGCATTTCAAAGCAGAGGGGATGGAAAGGCATTGTGGGAAGGCTCTATAATAACTATATAAAATTATAAAGTATGCCATGTATATCCTAGCATTTGTCATTGGATGTATGAATATACCCTTAAGTATATCCATAGAGGGTATGGTCAGACCATACCCTCTGTTTACTTAAGCTGAGCGTTTAGGACCTCAGGATATACAGGCTCACTGAATGCTAAATCTCAGAGATAATGATTTGCCTTCTATTGGAATAAGCAAAATCAGTAATTTCCATGATCACTAAAATGTGTTGTTTTTTTTCTTTCCAAATAGAAATAAAGACATAATCCAACATTTCTGTTTAAATCACCCTTTACATGTCTGGGAAAAAAGAAAAAAAAACTTTTCTTAATAGAGAAACTGGGAAACTAACTTTTAATTAATTAATTGATGTTCAAAAAATTCCCCGTTGCCTAGTGTAATTGAGTGTATCTATATGTCTGTGTTCTTTGAGATTCACAGGGCCATAACTATGTGACTCACACAGTACTAAGACCTCCCTAATTAATTCCTTCCTATAACCCTTTGAGGTGGCTAATTTTATTATTCCCATTTTAGCACTGAGAAAATTGAGGCTCAGAGAGTGACCAGATCAAAGTGCTTTCAAAAACTATCTTCAAAGATATCTCCGCTATAACAAAATCCTCACCAAAAACTTACAAGAATTCTGGCTTTCTATCCTCGTTTTTGAAACCTCAATGAGAAATTGATGGCTTCAATAGAGATTCTGTGAACAGGCTTTTATCTCAGAAAGAGGGTGATATTTTCTACATTTTCCCATTTCTCCATTTAATCCCCCTTCAACCTGAGAGCTAGGCATGGTTGTGATACCCCTTTTACAGATGAGAATAAAAAGGCTTTGAAAGTGGTGCCTTGCCAAAGCTTGTAGATTTGAACCCGTGCGTGACTCCAGATCCTCTCCTCCAGGATAAACTGCCTTTCAGGATGAACTGTCCTTCTCAGGACTAAGCGCAGGCGTATATTACTTCTTTGCAGAAATGAAAATGAAGGAACAAGATGATGATGGGGATTTCCAAATGTAGGTCCTTTATTCAGATGCCAGGTTGCTGGGGGAGGAGGGAGGAGATTTGGCCACCAGGAAAGACTTGGTGTCAGACGGCTGTTTGCATATGGTGATCTTGGTTTCTTGTAGCCAGTGACAAGTGGGTTACCTGGTTCTGCGGGCAGAAATATATTTTGGGATTCACTCTGGCCCAGGCACTATGGACAATAAATATTTCCTGAATAAATGATGGTTGAATAAGTGAACGAACAAATGAATGACAGCCCTGCTTGTTAGCACCCCAGCAAATGTCGGACATCTTTGCATCTTTCAAAAACCCATTTACGACGCCGAGCCATAGACGCCTTGCCTGCTCTGCCCCCAGATTCCAGAGGCAGCCACCCCCCTCCCATCTCTGTTTGGGGAGCCACATCCAGGAGATTTGCTGCAGCAGCACGAACCGGCTGACAACACAATTCTTCCTGTTTCCAGGGAAAGCCTTTATTTTGCTTTGTTCTGCACTTGAAGGGAGCAGGCACAAGGCTGCCAGAAGAGCTCAGCTACTTTAGGCTGTGCTGTTTGGAACGAGGGATGTTAAGCAGAAAGGCCCAGGCTGGTGGGGGACTGGGAGGCTGCCTTCCAGCCCATCCCTGCTGCTTGACCTTGGATGCGTCATTGGTGGTGGAACATAGGTTCAACTATCTTTAAAATCAAGGCTGGGCCGGCGCGGTGGCTCACGCCTGGAATCCTAGGACTTTGGGAGGCGGAGGCGGGCGGATCACCTGAGGTTGGGAGTTCAAGTCCAGCTTGGCCAACATGGTGAAACCCTGCCTCTGCGGAAAATACAAAAATTAGCTGGGCGTGGTGGTGCGTGCCTGTAGTCCCAGCTATTCGGGAGGTGAAAGCAGGAGAACCACGTGAATCAGGGAGGCAGAGGTTGTAGTAAGCCGAGATTGTCTCACTGGGCAATAGCACGAGACTCTGTCTCAAAAAAAAAAAAAAAAAATCAAAAAAATCAAGGGCTGGTGAGATTGCACCACTGCATTCCAGCCTGGGCAACAGAGTGACAGCTTGTCTCAACAAAGACAAAAAAAAAAAAAAAAAAATCAAGGGCCTGGCATGGTGGGTCATTCCTATAATCCCAACACTTTGAGAGGCCCAGACAACGAGGATCGCTTGAGGCCAGGAGTTTGAGACCAGCCTCAGCAACATAGTGACACCTCTGTCTCTAAAAATTTTTTTAAAGAAATTAGCCAGGCATGGTGGCACATGCCTGTAGTCCCAACTACTCTGGAGGCCAAAGCAGGAGGATTACCTGAAGCCAGGAATTTGATACCAGCCTGGGAAACAAAGCTCTCTACAAAAATATTTTAAAAATATTAGGTGGGCATGGTGGCACGTGTGCACCTGTAGTACTCAGGAGGCTGAGGCTGGAGGATTGTTTGAGCCCAGGAATTCAAGGCTGCAGTGAACTGTGATTATACCACTGCACCCTAGCCTGGGTGACAGAGCAAGACCCTGTCTTTAAAAAAAACAAGCAGGCTGGAAGAGATGCTCCTGGAGTCTTTTCTAGGTCAACAACATACCTTCATTTAGGTGGTAGGCACACAGTGCCTTGCAGGGAGCAGGAGCTGAATACATCCTTGCTGTTCTGATTTCAAAAAACACCAATCCCTCCCTCCCTCCCTCCCTGCTCCCTCCCTTCCTTCCTTCCTTCCTCTCGCTCTCCTTCCTTCCTGTCTTTCTCTCTTTCCTTCATGTCTTTCTCCTCTCTCTCCCTCCCTCCTTTCTCTCCCTCCCTCCCTCCCTCTCTTTCTTTTCTTCTTTCTTTCTTTTCCTTCCTTCCTTCCTTCCTTCCTTCCTTCCTTCCTTCCTTCCTTCCTTCCTTCCTTCCTTCCTCTCTCTCTTTCCCCCCCCCTCCCTCCCTGCCTCCCTTTCTTTCCTTCTTTCCTTCTTTCTTTCCTTTTCCACCTAGGCTGGAGTGCAGTGGGCGCGATCTCGGCTCACCACAACCTCCTCCTCCCCGGTTCCAGCAATTCTCCTGCCTTAGCCTCCTGTTTGTTTTAATAAAGATAGGGTTGCACTTTGTTGCCCAGGCTGGTCTGAACTCCTGACCTCGGGTGATCTGCCTCCCTCGGCCTCCCAAAGTGCTGGGATTGCAGGCATGAGCCCTTAGTCCTTCAGCAAGGGCCGGCCCTTGCTCCTTTCCTGAGCGGCTATTTTGAGAGCGATGGAGGGGAGAGGGTATTAGATTCCTGACCTTGAGGTCGGGGAGGGGAGGGTGATGCTAGTGGTGGACGAAAGACTTGAAGATAATGAGAAATTGCATCAACTTTACCCAGGCTGTTTCTGGGTCTAGAAGCAAGCAAAAATAAGGCGGGAGCGGGTGGGGGGAAGAAAAAGAGGCATTTATTTTGGAGCCGTATCGGAAGCACAAGTGTCATGGGCTGAAAGGCCGCCTTCTCCTGCGGGCTAAGGGTGTGGGCGACAGCTCGCACATTCAAATAAGGGAGCGATTACACGGCGCTTGCTTCTGAAGACGGATTTCCTGGTAGGGGGAGCGGGCGGGGGGGCTGGGCCGGTGTAAAGGGGACGGCAACATTAGGCTTTGGCAAGTTAATTAGGGTTCAGGAGTCCAGCGAGCGAGCAGGGGGAGAGGCTGGATTTGCATAAATCCATTTACATAATGTTCTTCACAAATTGTGCAGCCAGAAGGCAGGGAGGGGGTGGGGAGGGAAAGGGCTGGGGAGGGGGAGGTGGTTAGACGCCCGAGGCAGCCGCCGCCAAAGGGGGAAGGGCGAGGCCCGAGATGGGACCCGCTCCTCCTTCGCCGCTTCACCTCTCCCCTGCTCTTGTCTGCACCAGGGCCACCCCTGCCTATCTCGGCCGTCACCTCCATTCTGGGCCGGACCCCACACTGTCTCTCATCATAGGGCCGGCCCAGAGCAGTCAGATTTCTAAACTGCCTCTATGGTCACGGGTCTCCCTTGCTTTAACCCTTTCCGGGACTCCTGGCTGCACTCAGGGTCAAGTCCCGGCTCCCTAGCCAACCTATGTGACTCCTCGTGGTGGTCTTGCCCCTTTCACCCTCCTGACCTGGCTTCCTTCTAGTCCCCTCTTCCTAGCTAAGCTCAGTCCCACTGAAAAGCTCGTGGCCCTGGACTCCTTTGGCTCTCACAAGCCTCCTCCAGTCCTGACTTGTCACCTGTCCTGGAATGTCCCTACCACAAAAGCTAGCTTCTTTGTGGCAACCTCACCTCCTGCTGCACCAAATACTCTGCTCTTGGGGCATTTTCTGAAGTCCCCATAACTTCCTCAAGTGGACTGCTAGCCCCCTTTTGTGCGACCAGGGAACCTTCACCCACCTGTATTCCAGAACTTACCACGCTGTCTAGTAACTGCACTGGGGAGGGTCTCTTTCCCCACTGGGCTGTGACCGCTCCAGAAAGGAACTTGCCTGATGCATCTCTGCATCCAGCTGGGGCAGGAGTATGCAAACAGTAGATGCCCAAAACTGTTGATTGAATGAATGAAATATGTCATCTCAGCCAGAGATTGAGACCAGGTTTCAGTCTGCCTGAAATGAGCCTGACCAGCTCTCTAATTTCTCTGGGGTTCTATCCACACCTTCTTTCCTTATTGGGTTCCTCAGCCTGTCCTGTGTTAGTAGCTGCAGAGGATGAAGAAGCTGTGGTGACCTCTGAGCCCAATTCTCCACTGAGGGAAGCAGGCTAAGGCAAGCAAAAGGGGAAAGGGCAACCCAGGCTGGGCACACAGCATGTGCAAAGGCCTGGTGGCCGGAAAGTGCATGGAATGTTTGGAATGTGGAAGAGGGTTGAGTGGGTTAAAGCCAGAGATGAAAGATGGAAAATATGGCGAGGCTCCTATTCTGAGCTTAAGAGGCTGAAAAAGTTCTGGTAGATTTTTTTGAGCCTCTGAAGCTTTGTGATCAAGGAGAAGAAAGAAGAAAGTTGCAACCACTGAGCACCTACTGCGTGCCACTGAACAGGTGATGTAATTCAATGGCCAAGCACAGTAGGGATTATTCTCTCCATAATTACCAGTGTGGAGGATGACGAGCCTGCTGGAGTCACTTGCCTGAAACCTCACAGCTGCAAAATGGTCAAGCAGGGCTTTGGACCCCTGGTTTCCAAATCCCACGCTGCCTTCTGAATTCAATGTATTTATGTTTTAGAAAAGCATATAAAATGGAAGGGAAATAGAAGGGAGAAAGAGGCAAAGAGAAAGACAGTTGGGGGGAGGCAAGCAGTCATTTAGAAAGAGAAAGAGAAAAAGGGAGATAGAGAAGAGAGGAGAAAGACGGGGGAAGAAAGGGAGAGAAAAGAGGAGAGGGAAGAAAGATAAAGAGAGGAGAGAGGAGAGGGAAAGCGAGAAGAGAAAGGAAGAACAGAGGAGAGAAGAGGGAAAGAAGAGAAAAGAAAAAGAAAGGAGAAGAAAGAAAAAGAAAAGATCATGTCCTTTGCAGGAACATGGATGGAGCTGGAGGCCATTATCCTTAGCAAAATAACACGGGAATGGAAAACTGAATACTGCATATTCTCATTTATAAGTGGGAGCTAAATGACAAGGATACATGGACACATAGAGGGGAACAACACGCACTGGAACTTATCGGAGGGTTGAGGATGGGAGGAGGGAGTGGATCAGGAAAAATAACTAATGGGTAGTGGGCTTCATACCTGGGTGATAAAATAATCTGTACCACAAATCCCTATGACACAGGTATACCTATATGGTAAAACTGCACATGTACCCCTGAACTTAGAGTAAAACTTAAAAAAAAAAAAGAGAGACAAGAGGGGAAGGCAAAACAGAGAGAGAAGAGAGGGGAGGGAAGAAAGAGGAGAAAGAGACGAGAGCGAGAAAGTGAGAGAGGGGAGGGGAGAGAAAGAAGAGAAGGGAGAAAGAAGGGAGAGGGAAGGAGAGAGAAAAGAGGAGTGAGGGAAAGAGAGAAGAGGAGAGAGAGGAAGAGAGGAGGAAGTGGAGGAGAGAAGGCTGGGAGGAAGGAGAGGAGACTCAGGTGTCAGTCACCCTGCACGGCGGCAGGGATGCTCCTGCTCCTAGACAGAGCTGTCCAATAGAACTCTCTGTGATCTCTAATCTGCCCTCCAACTCAAGTGCTCAGTAGCCTCAGGTAGCTACTGAGCACTTGAAAAGTGGTTAGTGCAACTGAGAAGCTGAATTTTTATTGTATTTAGATTTATATTTAAATGCTCACATAAAGGTAGCAGCTACAGTATTGGACGGTGCAGCTTTAAGAGGAGTCCTTCTTTTTTCCATCAAGGTCCTGGCTTGAATTTTCTCTGGGTCCTTTTTGGCCTCCCCTTCTGGGACTCTGTTCTGAACCATGCATCCCTGATGTTTCCTTCCCTCATATTCCTGGACATCCTACCCACACTGAGGTTTAATTTTAGCTGATTCTCTCTCAAGGACAAAGTATATATTTTTATTTTAATTTATGTCGCCTGAACCATTTCCAAGTTTTACTTTTAGAACCTGTCAATATTAGTGACATGTGGCATTTTAGGTACTTTTCTGCTGGTGGGGCCTAAATTTATTGTCATTTTATGTCACTCGGCAAAATGCACAAAATGCCAGAAGTGTTATAAACAGAGACGATTTATGTTCGGGTTGGGGTGAGGTTAAGAGAATGAATATAATCAATTTTTTTTTCAGAGACTTTTATGCGAGTGTGAGGGCCAGCAGGTGCACATTTGAAGCTCAGTGGGAAGTGTTTTCCAAGCAACAGGAGACAGCAGATGCAGATGGGGTCCAATTACTGCTGCTCACGGCTGATCACGCCATGCACTTGTGTGCGGATACCTGGCTCCTGGTCTCAGGCACCTAGTATGGGGCTATGCACACGGTAGGTGCTCAGTTAAAGCTTATGGAAGAAGGGATGGAGAAAGGGCAAGAGACGTAAGTGGGAATTCTAAAGACTCTTCTGTTCAACCCCCGTCAGAGTGATATTTCTTGACCTTGTCACTTAACTGCTCAAAACCTTTCAATGGCTCCCTAGTACCCCTATGTTCTGACTTACAGGGTCCTTCAAGATCTGCACCTGAGGGTGTCTCTAAGGGACTTGGAATGCTCTGAAAGTTTCATATCTCTGCTCCTTGCCTTCCCATGAGCTCCTCCTGTTCTTGGGAGTGCTCACTCCTCTTTCTTGACCCTTCTTCAGTAACCAACTCAAACTCAAACTCAAACTCCTCTGTCCTTGCACCCTTTACCTTTTATCCCTCCAGTGAGAGTTTGGTGTTTATTGTTGGTACCTTATATATAGTCATCCCTGGGTACCCATGAAGGATTGGTTCCAGGACCCCCTGTGGATACCAAAATCCACGAATCCTCAAGTCACTGATACAAAATGACATAGTATTTGCATATAACCTACACAATCCACCTGTATGCTTTAAATCATTTCCAGATTACTTAACAATACCTAATACAATGTAAATGCTATGTAAATACTTGTTATACTCTATTGTTTAGGGAATAATGACAAGAAAAGAAGTCTGTACATGTTCAGCACAACCATTCTTTTTTTTTTTGAGACAGTGTCTGTCTCTGTCACTCAGGCTGGGGTTCAGTGGCTCCACTATAGCTCACTACATCCTCCACCTCCTGGGCTCAAGAGGTTCTCCCACTCAGCCTCCTGAGTTGCTAGAACTGTAGGCATGCACCACCACACCCAGCCTATTTTTTGATTTTTTTGGAGAGGCAGGATCTTGCTTTGTTGCCTAGGCTGATCTCAAATTCCTGAGCTCAAGCAATTCTCCTGCCTCGGCCTCCCAAAGTGCTGGGATTATAGGTGTGAACCACTGCGCCTGGCTGAAAATACTTATTATGTTACATCTTCTTATGTTACATTGAGTGGGTAAGTGAGTGAGAATCCTTAAATATAACAGAGAAACAGAAAACTAGGGGCCTGTAGATTGTGTTGCTTTACAAGATTCAGGTGAATTGCTTTTTGACTCTTCCAATAAGCTCTCAAGTATATTTAACATTTTTTTTTTTTTTTTTTTTTTAACAGAAGTGGTGTCTCACTATGTTAGGCCAGGCTGGTCTCCAACTCCTGGCCTCAAGTGATCCTCCCCCTCCAGCCTCCCAAAGTGCTGGGATTACAGGCATGATATACTGCGCCTGGCCTGCAACCGTCCTTTTTTCCCCCTGATTATTTTCGATGTGTTGTTGGTTGAATCCACAAATGCAGAATCCAAGAATATGGAGGGCCAACTGTATGTCTGCCTTAGAGGGCTCCACAGGTTGCCTCATTTGCTTCCCTGTTGCCACCAGAAGATCATGCACCACTGGGCGGCATGGTCTGGAGAGTCCCATTCATCTTCATCGGGGCCTGAACAGAGAAACTGACAAATTAAAGATAATTGAATGACATAATGAATGGGTGCAAATTGGGTTGGTCCCTCACCATCTCCACTTCTTAGCCATGTTGGATCTGCCAAGTCAATTACCACCATTGCCTTCTCACTTCCCCATTTCCAAACCTCATGACTGTTACCTTTTCCTCCGTTCTCCTTGTCCTTATGAGTTTATGCCTTTAAAACAAATCCTGTATTATAATAGTATTGTCTTTTAGGGAAGGAAATATATTAGAGGAGTGTGTTCAATCTACCATCTTTCCTGGAAGTCAGTAACAAATGAAAGGAAATTTACCTGATAGATTGTGGGCAAGTCACTTCTCTCCGTACGGTCTCTAATTCTTCACCTGTGGCATGAGGAAGTTGGGCTGGATGAGTTCTAGGGTCCAGCCAAAGTCTGCGAGGGGGTCAGCGCTGGATTAGAGATGTCTGGTGGACCGTGGGCATGGATTTTACATAACAGCAGTCACTCTCTGGGATCCCTACTCTGGCCAGTGCTCCCCTTGGACTGCTAATTCTCTTTCCACACATTCAGGTTCTGACTCCCAAACTCTGAGGACGATGGCAGGTTCTGAGGTCCCTCCCATCTTGTACAACTCACAGTGACAGTAACTGTCTCAGCCTGTTCGGGCTGCTTATAACAAAGGAGCATGGACTGGGTGGCTCATAAACAACAGGAATTTATTTGAGGCATGCTACCCCAAACATCACAAGTCCACTCCCTGTCTGGGAAGCAGAAGGCTGAAAGTCCTACATCAGGGCCAGCAGAATTGATTCTGATGGGGGTTTTCTTCCAGGTCGCAGACTATCGACTTCTTGCTGTATCCTCACATGGTGGAAAGGGTGCTGGGGAGCCCCATGCGGTTTCTTTAATGAGGGCACTAATTCTGTTCATGAGGGCTCCACCCTCATGACCTAATCACCCCCACAGGTCCAGCCTCCTAACAGCATCGTGCTGGGGGTAAGGATTTCAATATATGATTTTTGGGAGAACACGTTCAGTCCGTAGCAGTGACTGACACTTGTCCAGTTCAGTGGCTTACTCAGAGACCTCACCTTGACCTAATGCTTGTGCCAACCTGGTGAGAAATCTGGAATCCCATTCCACAGATTAGAAATCTGAGGTTTAGAGAGGGGAGGGGACTCACCTAAGGCCACGGAGCAAGTCAGTAAGGACCCAAGCTGGCAGTCGTGGTCTAACTGACCTACATTCCTGGAGCGTCCAGCATCCTGCCCATGGTGGCTGCTCAGCTGATATTTGTTTGGAATGAAAGGTGACCACACTTGAGTTGGGGTAGTCAGGATCATGGCGACAGCCGTGAGGGCAAGAAACAGCATTTTAAAAATTATTTACTTAGTGTGAGATTTTCAGAGCTATTCCATGCCACAACGTGGATCGGTACTTCTTCATTCTTTATGGCTGAATGATATTCCATTGTATACCACATGTTGCTTATCCATCTGCTAATGGGCATTTGAGTTGTTTTTACCTTTTGGCTATTGTGAACAATGCTGCTCTGAACATTCATGTGCAGGTGCATGTCTGACTCTAGGTGAAAGAAGCTCAACACAAAAGGTCACAACTATATACAGTTCTATTTGTATGAAATATCTAGAATAGGTAAATCCATAGAGACAGAAAGTAGATTAGTGGTTGCTGGAGCTGGGAGAAAGAGTGAAAAGGGAATGGCAGCCAGGCGCAGTGGCTCACGCCTGTAATCCCAGCACTTTGGGAGGCCGAGGCAGGCGGATCACAAGGTCAGGAGATCAGGATCATCCTGGCCAACATGGTGAAACCCCATCTCTACTGAAAAATACAAAAATTAGCTGGGCGTGGTTGTGTGTGCCTGTAGTCCCAGCTACTCAGGAGGCTGAGGCAGGAGAATTGCTTGAACCCAGGAGGCGGAGCTTGCAGTGAGCCAAGATCGCGCCACTGCACTCCAGCCTGGCAACAGAGTGAGACTCTGTCTCAAAAAAAAAAAAAAAGGGAAAGGCTACTGACGGTATGAGGTGTTCTTTGGAGGTAATGACAATGTTTTGGAGCTAGACAGAGCTATGGTTGCACAACACCGTGAATGAACTAATGCTATTGAATTGGATACCTTAAAGTTGTTAATTTTATGTAATGTGAATTTCACCTCAATCAAACAATGAATGACTAAAGACTTCTCTCCAGTAACATTCAACAAAGCCTTCTGTGTGTCTAGTAAGTGTTTGGTTCTCCAGTTTAAAACACATAGCACACACTTGGGAAACATTTGTGATATCAGTTCACCAACGGGCAAGTTGATGTTTCTGTCTTCAGCCTTGATACTCCCAGTCAAGTTCCCAGACCAGTGGCTCAGCATCCCCAGGAGCTGGTTGGAAATACAGAATTGTTGGCAACCCCAAACCTAGACCTACTGAATCTCTGCCGTATGGCATGCGTTTGCCTCTGCAACCCACTTTCCTGCTGTCCTTGTCTAATCACTGAAGAGAGAAACTGTAAGAGAGGGATTGAGGCTAAATGTCCCTGAAGTTCGTCCTCGATGAATAGATGTGCGGCTCACCTTCTCCCTCTCTCTCTGTCTGTCTTTTTTTCCCCCTCTTTCTCTCTTTTCTCCCAGGTCACTCTCTTTCTGTCCCTCCCACCCTCTCCTCTCTCTCATACCTCCCCCATTCAGTAGAGTCCCTTCTCTCCTGCATTCTCTGAATTGATTTTTCTCACTCATCTTGGCAGGTTAGTAATCACCATTCTCAGCAGAAATTCCTTCCGTTTCGTTACACCGGGTGAGAAATCCTGGGCAGCAGGGGGTGGGGTAGGGGCTGTGTTTCATTTCACTCCCATCTCTGTGTCAGGTGGGGAGGGAGGAATCTCCACACTGAGTATCCCACAGGAGGAAGGCCAGTGCTGGGAAGGGATGGAGACCCCTTGGTGGCTCTTTTCAGCTTCAAGGTCCTGTGCTGCGGCTCATCTCAGCTCCCAGGGCCCCTGCCTTTCTCTATCCTCAACAATCGCTCACATTTGAGGGGCTTCCATGGCTGGCAGAACCTATTTCTATGCATTGCTCAGTTTAATCTTCACAACATTTCTGAGACATTGGCATTGTCACCTCCTTCATGTTACAGGAGAAGAAAGTGAGGCTCAGAGATACTTGCAGGACACCTGGGAATGAGAGCCAGTCTCCAGGCTCGGGCAAGGTTGTCCTGGACTATACCAGAGTCATGTAATAAAAGGATCATGCTGCCCATCCACCTGCCAGCCATGGTGGGTTCTAGCAGAGAGAGCCCAACATTTGTGATCCTATGGACTTGGGGTCCATTCCCAGCTCTGCCACTTACTGGCCATGCCACTCTGGGAAAATTGCCCCATCCTTCTGGCCCTTCCTCTCCTTAGCTGTTCACACGGGATGGGGGGGATGGGACAGACCTGCCAGAGTACAACACCTAAGAACAAGGAATTCTGTAATGCAAACCAGCTGTGGAACCCAGGGGAGGATCCACCATCTCTTGGAGGTACCATTTCCCTATTCTCAAAGCATATTTAGAAAAAACACCTACTTTCTGTGTTGTTGCAAGAATTGCGTGAACTATTACAGCTCTCATGCAGCTTTTAGCGCATGCCTGGAACACGAACAAGCACTGGATAAATAAATACCCTGGATGGAAATAATAATATTGTAGTTCAAGGATTTAACATGCTCTCACAATGGCAGATGGACCCTGAATTCAGAGATGCAGAATATGAACGAAACGTGTGCTTAGAATTAAGAACATCATCCTGTATATGGTGCCTGCCCCATGTGAGGCACAAGGTGAAACATTTTACAGACGTTTTCCTACTGAATCCCGATGAAGAGTCCTACAGGGAGGGTGTAGTCTCCCCATTACATAGGCGAGAAAACTGAGGATCAAGGAGATGAAGTTACTTCTAACTCCTATAGTGTGTAAGAGGTAAAGCTGGAATCGACTGAGATGAGTCTGCTACCAAATCCAAAGTACAGATGAAAAAAACAAAAAATCAGATGTGAATAAGTTTTGCAAACTACATCGTTCTAGTCATGTGTAGGGTGAAAGATGGAGGAAAACATCATCATCATCATCACACTGTCATATCTATTAAACATTAGATATCATCATCATATCTACTAAGCGTTAACTGCTTATCACGTGCCAAACACTGAGCTAAGGGATTTATATGGATTACCTCATTCAAGCTCTGCATAGCAACTCTGTTATAATCCTCATTTCACAGATAAGCAGACAGGCTCAGAGTGGTAAAGCAATTTATCCTAGGTCACACAGCCAGGAAGTGGTAAAGCTGGATTCTGACTTCAGGGCTTACAGGCTCCAGAGTGGAGTCCTTAACCCTTCGCCTGAAATTGGAAGCTACTAATGTTGGCTGCAGGGAGTTTAACTGGCAGGACCCTCTCAGCCCTTGGGGACCTCCCTATCACCCCGTGCCCCGATCTGGGCTCCAAACTGGGAGTGGACTAGGCTCCTACCCACGTCTCTGTGATCAGCCCATCTTCAGATCAGGCTGTCCCTCTCCTAGCCCGTCGTTGGAGCCCCAGCCGGGACCATGCTGTATGCAGATCACCCCATTAAAATTTCATGTGGATTCAAAAATTCAGTGTTGACTCCGGTGACGCAAATAAGTATGAAAATTCCGAGGAAGGCACACTGTTACTGAAATCAAATGGTTGAACGGCCACTAATGAGGCAGACAAGGAGCCTCGCTCACCCTCTGAGGATTGAGGAGAGACGAGAGGAGCAATCGCGCTACATTATTCATGCCCTCTCGTTTGAGTTTCAGATCTCAAGGAGGCTCTGGAAGGGGAAGGCAGAGAGGGCAGAGGCGGCGGGAGGCGGGGGTGGCAGCCTAGACAGGGCCCCACTCTGCCAGCTGTGGAAGGCCGGGTGACTAATTGACAACTACTCAATGATCCCCTTCCCTAGGGCGCCCCTCTTCCATCTCTCATTTTTAGCTCCGGCCCACAAGCACCTCCCTTGCACCTGCCACGGTGCCCAGATTTCCCCCAGCAGTGGATGTGTGAGTGTGAGATGCAGAGGAAGACATGGCGTCTGGGCGGTCCTGGCTCTGTGTGATCTCGGGCAAGCGACTAAACCTCCCTGAACCTTGATTTTTTGTTCCCCTTGTAAAATGGGAAAGCAGAAGGAGCGGCTCCTCTACCTACTCTGGGGAGAGGTAGCATTTCTGAGAGTCAAATGCCGCATCGCCATGCTTCTCAAGTTTGAACGCTCAGGTGAATCCCGGAGGAACTTGTTGGGATACTGGTGCTGATTCAGTAAGGCTGGGGCAGGGCCTGAGATTCTGCATTCCAACCAGCTCCCAGGTGAGGCCCATGTTGCTGGCTTGCAGCCCACCCTGTGAGCAGCGGGGCCATACAGATAGGAAAGCACTTTATAGCGACCACTCGCTGGTCTAAGCCTCTCTGTGCATCAGCATTACTGGGGAGTTTGTAAAAACACGATGCCCTTCCCCATCCCCCCAGGGTTTGCTTTAATTGGTTAGGTCAAGGCACTTGTACTTCTTAATTCTGCCCCCGACACCACCCACCATGGCCCCTATATGCAGCCAGATTTTTGTAGTTCTTGTTACTAATATGTCTTTATTGTTTATGCCCCTCGTAGTTTCTTTTTTCTTTTTTCTTTTTCAAGACGGGGCTCACTCTGTTGCCCAGGCTGGAGTGCAGTGGTGCACTCAAGTGATTCTCCCACCTCAGCCTCCCCAGTAACTGGGACCACAGGCACATGCCACCATGCGTGGCTAATTAAAAAAAGAATGTAGAGACGAGATCTTGCTGTGTTGCCCAGGCCAATCTTGAACTCCTGAGTTCAAGTGATCTGCCCACCTTGGGCTCCCAAAGTGCTGGGATTACAGGCGTGAGCCACCGTGCCTGGCCCCCCTCATATTTTATGACCATTTTGCAAGCTTCGTTTTCTTCAACTCCTCTTAAACGTCAGTGCTGCAATGCTTTCTCTCTTTTCCCCGAGCAAACCCGTTGTCAAGAAAGAGGCTGAAGAACCAATTGCTCCGACTCGGAGGAGGAAGGAATGCTTCACCCCTGGGAACTGACCTGTTTCCAGGGGATGTCACCTCCCTCCAGGTTCTAATGGTGCACTTCAGGTCCCGCTCTCTGAATAGTGCACCTGGGGCAAGTTTGCACCAGGGGTCACCTGGGCAGCTGTCCCCTTTCTCTTTTTAAGATTGAGGCCTGACCACGCTGATAACACATTCTCTAGAAGTAGAAACCAGGTTTCAGACAAGCCACGGAGGTAAAACCAGCTAGAGAGGGAAGGAATTGATTTCCGCCAGAGAAACCTGCACAGAATGTACAATCCCATCGTTGTCCATGCACCCAGCATAACCAATAAACAGGTTCCCCAGTCCTCCCTGCATTTCCTAATTATTACTCAGCTATAAAAATCCCTTCTCCCTCCTGCCAACATTATCTTAGTAAACGTTATGAGCGCTCACGAGGTTAATGCAGGGCCGTAAATCCGCAGTGGGTCGAACAAGTGAGACTTGAGGAACTGTTCATAAATCTATGGGAACGGCTCCAGTTTGTTTATTTAATAAAATATCATTTCGTAGAAATGCACAGGGCACTGTGGGGTTTACACTCAGTGGGCACGCATGGAGAGGGGTGGGTGGTGGAGGTGTGCCGAGGGTGGGGGTGTGTGTGCACGGGCGTGCGGGCAGACTTCCACGTGGCCTCTGCCCGGAATCGCAGGGCGCCATGCCGTTTATTACTGCACCAGGCATTCTGAACTCAGTACCCGCTCCACTTAAGGCAGCCTGTTCTCTCAGAATTCTTTAATGGGCCTCGTCAATATTTGAAATGGTGCTACAAAGCCCAGGACACGTGTAATGCTGTTTGCACTACATGAACACCTCCTCGAGACAATCTTCTGGGATTTGTTAGGGGCGCTTTACCCACATTGGGCTGTTAAATCAACAAGAAGTCAGGCTTCCCCACATGGCATGGAATGAAATGCTAAAAGCATGGGCATTGGAGTAAACGGACATGGCTTCTAACACCAGTTTTGCCACCTGCTGGGAAGATGGCCTTGGCATTCACCTCTCTGGCCTTGGTTCCCTTCTCTGTACCATGGGGATGATTATCTGTACTTTATGGAATACAGATGTGATATGCAGAGAGACTAGAATGGAGCAGTAAGTTTGCTTTTTTTTTCTTTTTTTCTTTTTTTGAGATGGAGTCTCACTCTGTCACCCAGGCTGGAGTGCAGTGGCAAGATCTTGGTTCACTGCAACATCTGCCTCCTGGGTTCAAACAATTCTCCTGCCTCAGCCTCCTGAGTAGCTGGAACTACAGGTGCACCACCATGCCTGGCTAATTTTTGTATTTTTAGTAGAGATGGGGTTTCACCATGTTGGCCAGACTGGTCTTGAACACCTGACCTCAGGTGATCTGCCCACCTCGACCTCCCAAAGTGCTGGGATTATAGGCATGAGCCACCGCACCCAGCCTCCTTTCATTTCTCTCTCATTTACCTGTGAGTTTTCAGCATTGCAGTATGCTGAGATGACTTTGTTAATTAGTTTTGGCCGAAGGTCATCTACAGAGCCCCCATTCTTTTCTTTGTAATTGTCTGGGCCCCGAACTCAAAGGCAGTGGAATGGGATCAATGGAAACGGGAGATTCTGCAGAACTGGGATGTGGCATTCCTGCCCATAGGGGTTTAGCATCCCTGAGTCACCCCATCATAGACTGCTGTGAATCATGTTACTGAAGGAAATAGGCAGTGTGATCTAGTGGTAAGGACCATGGAGTTGGCAGCCCTGGGTTTGAGTTCTAACTCAAACACTTAATTATCTGAGTAGCCTCTGTGGCCAAGTAATTGAAGCCCTGGGTTCTTGGGAATTGGAGATCTTAATACCCACCTTCTAGGGCTCTGAGCATTTCCTGAGCTAATATGGGTAAAGTGTGTGCGTAGACATGGCACATCATATAAACACAATAAACCAAGGACAGATGGAGAGTGGAAGAGGAAAACAAGAGAGAGGCAGAAGCAAGGGTGACTAACCTGTCCCACTTTTCTTAGATCTGCTCCATTCTTAAAACAGGAAAGTCCTACATCCTGGGAACTCCCTTAGTCCTGGAAAAACTGGATGGTAGATTGCCCTTGCAGGAATGGACAAGTCAATGCTTGAAGCACTCTTAACTCTGGGTTTAATTTGGCTACAGCTATTGATGATTTAATAACAGCTGGCTGATTATGGAGGCTTCATCTAGAAGACTCTAATTCCCCAAGGCTAATTGTTGAGCGTTTGATTAACCCAGTGGCTCTCATTAGAATCACCTGAAGAGCTTTCTAAACATACCAATGACTGAGCCTCACCCCTAACTAGGGTTTCTCTGCCTTGACACTATTGACGTATCGGGCTGGATAATTTTTGTTGGGGCAGGTAGTGGGGAGTGGAACTGTTGTGTGCATTGTAGATGTTGAATAGCACCCTTGGATTCTATCCTGAAGATGCCAGGAGCCATGTCCCAGTCACATGACAACCAAAAATGTCTCCAGACATTGCTCAATGTCCCCTGCAGGGCAAAAATCACCCCCAATGGAGAACAACTGCCCCAGGCTAATTTAAGAATCTGGGGGCAGAATAGAAATTAAGCTTTGGTGTTTCACATTAAGTTCCCTGCCCCCAGATGACTATATATAGCATTTGGCTAAGACCAACCTCACTGCCAATGTGGATGGTGCTGACATCCAAGGAGAACTTTAGAAGGGGCTGGAGCTGACTTGGGGTTGGGTCCAGAATGACTATACAGAAGAGGCTGTGGGCAAAGACCTCACATGATAAGAGAGGTGCTGAATTCCTACTCTCTTTATTTATGTATTTATGTATTTATGTATTTATTTTTGAGATGGAGTCTCGCTCTGTCGCCAGGCTGGAGTGCAGTGGTGCAATCTCGGCTCACTGCAACCCTCTGCCTCCCGGTTTCAAGTGATTCTCCTGCCTCAGTCTCCCAAGTAGCTGGGACTTCAGGTGCGTGCCACCACACCCAGCTGATTTTATTTTTTCAGTAGAGACGAGGCTTCACCATATTGGCCAGGATGGTTTTGATCTCTTGACCTTGTGATCCACCCTCCTCGGCCTCCCAAAGTGCTGGAATTACAGGTGTAAGCCACCGCACCTGGCCCTACTCTTAAATATTCCCTTTCCCCCACCTTGGTATACAGTCCAAACCTCACCATTAGATATGAGTTCTTGCAGAAAGTTCAGAGTGCCGTGTTTTGAGTTGTCCTCTTTTAAGTTCTTCTGGAAGGCAGATCATGACATTGCTTTTGGTCCCTGATGACCTCTTCAAGGCGGAGACAGTGCTGGGTCTCAAGATGTTTTGACATGCTAAATCATTTGCTCCTCACAGCTCTCCTAGGTGAGGTGGATTTCTTTGCACGTTTTATGGAAAAATGATGTTCAGAGAGTTTTAAACAATTTTCTGAAGCTCACACAGCTGTTGGCAGCACAGATTAAAGCAAAACTCAGGACAATCACTAACTTCTAGTGACTGGCCCACTCTGACATGTCTCCTCCTATCCCTTAGACAGCCAAGTGCTGGCTGAGCACAGTGGGGATGGGAGTGGGACATGAATGCCCTGGCCAAGAAGGAAACATTCATGGCTGCTTTCTTTATGCCAAGTCTTGCACTTATATTATCTCCTCGAATAGTCCCAATGTCCCGGGGCAGCAATGCCTATGATTCCCCCTTTTGGGGAGGAGAATGCTGAGGCCTAGAGAAAGGAAGCAATTTGCCTAAAGTCATGCATCCATTATCAAGGGGAGGTGCCCTGATCTCAAAATCGGGGTGGGGGAAGAGCATTATAAATGGATTAATATTTTAAATTTCTCAGCTGTTAAATGAGAGGCACTCCTTTTTTTTTTTTTTTTTTTTTTTTGCAGCATTCCAGTGCTCAGAATTATTTAACAGCTCTGAATGGAAGCATCCACCAGTTGCATGTGTCTCTTTGGCATTCCTATGACTGAAAACATTAGACATTTTCTATGTTGATTGATCAGAGCTATCATCATCCCTCTGCTAACAAAGTCCTCCTTTAATTGGGAGGTTTCAGCCCAGCTTGGCTCTGATTGGCTCACACCTTACAGGAAGCATCTAAAGATCTTAGAGGCGAGACAGGAAGTGACTCTGTGTGAGGTCAGCATTTCTCCTCTTTTCTCCAAGGCCACCATAATCCTTATGGAGTGAAGGGTAGTCACAATGCCATTTTGAAAAGTGATTACGAGGATCATAATAGTACGAATGGTGAATGAGTTTTCTGACTGCCAGGAGAGGAAGCATTTTAGGATTGATTTCAGAAGAGAAATCCATCATTTTGATTTTAACTGTGGCAGTTAACACAATGTTCACTCTAATTTTAGAAACATTTTGAGACAGGAATAGGTTGTACTAGTCTTTGTCAGGCTGTAGATAACTTACATTTTCTGAGTCTAAAGTGGATACTAGCTAAAAGATTACGTTTAAAGAAAGTTCTCTTTTTTAGAATCACCCCAGAAATTTCTAGTGTAACGACAGCATTTCTTAACCCGAGTGGAACTGTGTGTGTGTGTTAAAATATCTGTGTTAATAACCAGCAACCTCGGAAGTGAGAGGGAAGGGAAAAATGGGGCTAGAAGGAGCCAAATCCCACTTGCATGGCAGAGGAGACCTGGAAGAGAAGATGGAGTTAATCAGTCTGAAATAATGGGTGATGAGAATTCTGCCATTGAACCACCAATGCTCCCTAGTGTGAAATAATGGGAAAGTCATGGAGACTGGAACAGCACATGAAAAGCCACAGAGCATAAAATACCCAGCTGTACTGGGGGTCTGGGAAAATTTCCAAGTGGTGGGAGCAAGAAGTATATGGCATGGGGAGGTCAAGAGATGTGATTAGTTGGGGAAGGTTAGGGCACACTTATCCTACAGTTTGCTTTTTCCCTGACACCCAACAGAGGCAGGCTTTAACCCCCAAGCCACCCTGTCTCCAAGGACTGGCTTGGATGCCTGTCTTCCTGAGCTCCATCTTCACTGACTCCATGGAGGACAGAAAACTCATTACCATCAGAGGCTCACCCTAGATGCCCTGTGTGGACCTGTGACTATGTTAGGTTTTGTGGCAAAGGAGTATTAAGATTGCAGGTGAAATTAAGTCTGCAGAGCAGTTGACCTTAAAATGGGGGAGATTATCCTGGATTATATGGATAAGCCCAGTGGAACCACAAGCGTCCTCAAAAGTGGAAGAGGGAGGCAGAAGAGAGAGAGAACTATGGAGATGGCAGCTTGAGGAGGACAGCTTAAGAATGCTGGCTTTGAAGATGGAGAAGGGGGCCAAGAGCTAAGGAATGAGGGCAGCCTCTAGAAGCTGGAAAAGGCAAGGGAACTGATTTTCCCCTGTTCTCCAGAGGAAGAACAGCCTTGCTGACACCTTCACTCCAGCCCAGTGAGACCCATTTCAGACCTCTGACCCTCAGAACTGTAATATAATAAGCTCCTAATATTTTTAAGTCACTTAATATATGCTAATTTGTTTAAGCAGCAATAGAAAAGGCCCTTAGTTCTTTAATCTCATAAATGGGTTTAATAACCATTTCATTTTGTAGTGTATTGAAAATTGAGTTAATGTACTACACCGAGTGTTTAGCACAGCCCCTGGACAATGGTACCTTTTTTATTGATGCCACAGGTGGAATGACCAGTGGTCCTCCTGGCTTAGTCCTCTGGCTGCTTTAATGTGGGACTAGAAGAAAGAGACCTAAATTAGGAATCTGACAGACCTGGGTTCAAGTCCCGGCTCTGCCTCTTTCTAATGGCCTTGGACTTGTTCCTACCCTGGAAGAAGTTTTCCAGTCTGTCTTATGGGTGTGGGAGGGATGATCTATCACATCTACCAGCAGTGAGCCTCCTGTGAAGATTCAGAGTGGGTGGGCTTTTGTAGCCCACTCAAGGCCCTCAGAGAAGTTTTCTGTAAATGTGGTACCTTGCACCAACTCCTTGGGAAGAGATTTTCTCAGGCTTCAGAACTGAGGGTATTCACCCCTGACCCACTTGCTTCTTTCTCCAGGGAACGCTCATGGATTCCTGAGAAGTTGGCTGGAACTAAGGGAGCATTCAGAGACCACAGATCCAGTTGACTGGTCCCTGCTGACATCCAGTCCACGTTGTTGGCCACATCAGCTCCTCTTCAAACTCATGATGCAAATCAACAGCTAAACATGTTGATATTTTTTGTTTCTCTCAGCTAAGTGGATCCCTGAGTCCTCCTGGTGCAGTGGAAAGATTTGAGTTTTGCAGCCAAATAGAGTGAGGTTTAAATGGTGGCTAAGCGGCTCACGCCTATAATCCCAGCACTTTGGGAGGCATAGGCGGGTGGATCATCTGAGGTCAGGAGTTCTAGAGCAGCCTGGACAACATGGTGAAATCCCGTCTCTACTAAAAATACAAAAATTAGCCGGACGTGGTAATCCCAGCTACCTGGGAGGCTGAGACAGGAGTATTGCTTGAACCCGGGAGGCAGAGGTTGCAGTGAGCCAAGATCGTGCCACTGCACCCCAGCCTGGGTGACAGAGTGAGATTCCATCTCAATAAATAAGTAAATAAATAAATACATAAATGGTGGCTAAGCCACTTGCTTGTGAGCAAAATGGTTAGCCTGCATGAGCCTTGGTTTATCCACCTGATAAATGAAGATACTAACAGTCAACATTAGATAACCATAGAGCCTAACTCATAAGGCCATTACGAGAATTGAGATGTTAGTTCAAGTAAAATGGTGCTATCATTTGGATGATTGTCTACTCCAAGACTCATGTTGACATTTAGTCCCCAGTGTTGGAGGGTGGGCCTCATGAGAAGTGTTTGGGTCACGGGGAAGATCCCTCATGAATAGGTCAATACCTTCCCTCGGGAGTGAGTGAGTTCTTACTCTACTAGCTCCTGCAAGGGCTGCTTGTTGAAAAAAGCCGGGTATCTCCCTCTGCCTCTTTTGTTTTCTGTCTCCATGTGGTCTGTATACACACCAGCTTCCCTTCGCCTTCCACCATGAGTGGAAGCAGCCTGAGGCGCTCATCACATGCCCAATCTTGAACTTCTCAGCTCTCAGAATTGTGTTCCAAATAACTCTTTTCTTTATAAAGTACCCAGCCTTTATAACAACACAAGATGGACTAAGATACTTGTTATGATGCAGGAGGAATGAAGAAGTGTGGGAAGTATTACCTCGCTAGTAGGCGAAGGAGGGCATAATAATTACAGAAAAATTCCCATAGGAGGTTATACTTGAGCTGAACTTCAATGGGTGAAATGGATGTAAACAGTTTAGCACAATTCCTGATGTGAATTGTGTGCTCAGAAATTAAAAGAGAGAGAGGAAGAAATTGGGTTCTCTGAGGTTAGTGGGGGACTAGGATCCCTCCTTGCCCCCTACTGAACCTGATCCACCCCAGTCCTCACCCTTCTTCTCTTCCTGCTTATTCCTCATGCCTCATCGCTGCATTCACTCTTGGTCCTGGCCCCTCACCCTGCATTCTACTGCTGGGGCAGCCAGCAGAGACAGACATGACAGGAGACAGGGAAAGTCAGAACTGGGAAGAGGGCTTGAAGAAGATTGATACTGGCATTGTTGTCATGGCAACACCAGGATGAGCTAGAGGCCCCACTGCTGGGATCAGCTTCTGTAGTTCTTCTCAGATTCGAGAGCCTTTGAGGGTAGGCAAGAAGCTCAGATAGGGGCCCTGAGAAAAACAGGTGGGGCCTCAGGGTGACAGCCAGTGAGAGGGCAGGCACTGGGACCTGGGATGCCCTTCTGACAACATCTGCTGAATGCATGGGACCTTAGAGAAGACGTGTCCAAACCCCTCAATTGAGTCATGGGGAACTGAGCACTAAGGAGGAGAGTGGAGAGAACACATTTCCTGAGTACCTACTATGTACCTGGCACTTACTGCTAGCTTTTAATAACATGTCTCTTCACCAGACTATGTGATCTGCCAGAGCAGGGGGGCATCTTGGGTGAGGCTAGATGTAGAGACACCTGAGTCCAAATGCTAGCTCTGCCACTTATCCTCAGGATGGCAGTGCACGTGATCTCCCCTCTCTGGGCCTCAGTTTCTTCATCTGCAGAATGAGTAAAGTTGATGTTATATATTACCTTCCTCACAGAGTGGTTGAGATTTTGAATGATGTAATTTATGTAGCATGCTTAGTGCATGCTTGGCAAAGCATAAATGTCATATATAATAATTAATATTACAAGCCTACCCAGAGAAAGAGAAATTTGCATCTTGATGGCTAAATAAAATAGACTGTGTTTGTATAGCTTTGGGAGAAGAGGGATCTAGTTTACTTCTTGAACCATCTGTTTTCATCCCCTTTCCTGCCTTACATTTTTATATGTATATATTTTTCTTTCTGTCTTTTAGAGAACAGAGCTCTGTGTGCTCATGGGAGCACACTGGTCAGCAGTCAGAGAACATAGGTTAAAAATAATAATAGTTCTCATTTATTGAGAACTTACAATGTGCCAGGCTTCCGGTTGCCCATTTGATATTACAACTATTTGATTTACAATAGCCCTTAAAGTTAAATGCTCTTGTTATCCCATTTTGCAGGAGAGAAAACTGAGGCTCAGAGAGGTTGTATAAGTCATCCAAGGTCACACAGGGCTGGTAAGGGGCAGAGGCGGGACCTCAGTCACTGGTGGACTTTATTGTCGAGGATGGGGATGGGAAGGAGAGCACCTGTGCCGCTGACCTTGGTCCTGAAACATCGGTGGGCACTGGGGCTGAGCTGCTCTTTGGAATGCTGGTTCTCCAATGATGATACCCATCCTGCCTCCCCCAGAAATCTGAAAAGTGAGAGAAGATAAAGTAGGGAAAGGGCATGGAAGGTGAGATGCAGAGAGACAGTGAGAGAGAGGATCAGAGTCTTCTAGAAGGATCCAGCTCCTGAACGATTGCTCTGGGGGAAAAAGGGGACTTGATTTGATATATGTTTTGAGCAACACTGTTGCTAGGGAAAGTGGTTTTCTTCTCGTTAGTTGGAAGAGAGACATTCAGTTTTCCCCCTTCTTGCCACACTAGTGGTTGGAAACCTGTTTTCTGTCTCTTGCAAATAGTGTCTCATTATTCCTACCTTACAGGTTGGTTTTGGGGAATCCAGGAAAGAATATTGGAAAATCCAAGCCTGGTGCTCACGCATGGGGGTGTTGAGCACATGTCCTTTAGCCCTTCTCCTGGTCTTGTCAGTAGCCCCTGCCTATATTTGCTCAGGCCATGCTGATAATGTGTAGCCAGTCCCTGACCCAGAATGTGGGTTTCCTGGGAAGAATTTCTGCAGCCCAGCCACCCAAGTTCATTTGCAATGCAGGCATTCCCTGCCATAAAGCTCCAAGCTGCTTGGAAGAGTTAGGCTTCACATTTCCCTACATTCAAAAGTGCCTGGAGTAAGGATCATGTTCTGATGGCGGCATGTAAATGCCTCTTTCAAGAGAGGAAATTGCTTTGAAGTTACTGTTTCCCTGGCTTTGATAATAATCTGCTTAATGTCTTGTGTCAAACTAATTACAGCATAATTACCTTTTTTAATAACAGGTACTTTTAATTGGTGCAGGGTTAAACAATTCTGTTGTAAAAATCGGTTGTTTTACATTCATGGCTATAGTTTACAAAGAGCTGGGACAACCTTGTAATATTAAACACTCCATAGAGCTGGGATGGCGCGTAAATGAGGGTACCACCATGCCTCCTCTCCATGACATTGAACCCTTTTCTTTGCAATGCTTCATCTTTTCACAGACAGAATTTCTTATGCCAAACACTTGGAAAAGGAGAGGAAGGATGCTGTTAGGGCCTCATGTGTTCACACACATCATCTTGCTTCATTCTCACATGTCCATGCACAAAAGCATGGGAAAGAGGTATTGCTATCTCCATTGTGTAGGAAGGTAAATTGAGGGTTAGAGAGGTTAAGCAAACTGACCCAAATCACAATGTCAAATGACTGAATCAGACTTTGAACTCATGCCTCTTTCTTCCAAGTCCCAAGTTTTTCTTTTTTCTTTCTTTTTTTTATTCTTGTTTTTGTTTTTGAGACAGTCTCACTCTGTTGCCCAGGCTGGAGTGCAGTGGCGCAATCTCGGCTCACTGCAACCTCTGCCTCCCGGGTTCAAGCAATTCTCCTCAGCCTCTCAAGTAGCTGAGATTATAGGCATGCACCACAATGCCTGGCTAAGTTTTTCCTATTTTTAGTAGAGATGGGGTTTCACCATGTTGGCCAGTCTAGTCTCAAACTCCTGACCTCAGGTGATCTGCCTGCCTCGGCCTCCCAAAGTGCTGAGATTACAGGCGTGAGCCACCGTGCCTGGCCTCAAGTCCCGAGTTTTTAAAAGGCTGTATGATTAAGTGGTTAACTAATTGGGAGAGGGGTCTGGAGTCCAAATATCTGGTTTGATCGCAGGTCTACAAAACAGGGTTGGATCTACAAAACAGCATTAAATCAATGCTATATAATTAAGTGGTTAACTAAGTGGGAGGGGGTCTGGAGTTCAAAATATCTGGTTTGATCACACATCTACAGCATAATTGCTTTGGACCTAGGGTTGTTTCTTACCCTTTCTGGGCCTCAGTTTCTTTATCTGTAAAATCGAGAGGTAATAATAGCCTCTACCTCATGGGTTGATCAGATAATATAAAAATAACACCGGGTAAGTGTCTAACATAGTAGGTACTCACACAGCAGTAACTCCTCCTAACGCATTGATCCAATCCTGTTTTTCTTCTCCCAGATTCTTTCTTTGTAGACCCCTGAGCACCCCATGGATGTATTTTCTCACGTCTTGGCTGGGAAAGTGCACACACTCATTTCATTACTGCAGCTTTTTGCATTTCATTAAAAAACTTGACAGGCCATTTCATAATAATTTATTAGCAGAGAGTCAATTTTTATTAATTACAATCATTAATTTATCAGTGTTCCCGTCATCTGAAGTTTGGTCAGAAATGAAAGGCGAGAAGTGCACAGAGAAAAATGGGGGAAAGTGGAAATCTAGGGGATGAGGATCCAGTGGAGTGGGGGAAGGGATGGAGGGGGCTGTTTGGGCTGGAAGGCTTGATGGAATGGAGCTGCCATCTTGAATGCAAAGCACTGGGCAGGGCAGCACCTGGCCCCGGAACCTAGGGGTATGACCATTGAATGATGCTTCCTTCATTCATGCAGGAACAAAGGTGGTTTAGGAGTGACAAATGGCAGGGGTTCACAGACTTTAGGAGCAAATTCCTCCAAGTTCTGGCTCTGTGTTGCCCTCCAACGTCTTCTCCTTCCCCTTTCCCTATTGCTCACTCTGCCTGCATATGTGTTTTTCTAGTTGACATCTGTCCTTCCATGTTGTAAGCTCCTTGAGAGCAGCAACCTTGTCTTGGTCAATACTTGGTCTCTGGGGTTTAGCAGAGCACTCAGTGAATACTTGTTGAATTAATGAATAAATAAACTGTCTGCCCACCCCCGTTCATTTTATGGAGTTGGAGGTTGAAGCCCAGAGAGGACATCTGCCCTACCCACAGTCACACAGCTGACTAGTGGCTGAGTCAGACCCAAGAGTTAAACCTACTGGACCTTTGACGAGTGGCCTTTGCATACCTTAATAGTCTCCCCTTTTGTGGCTTGGCTTTTTCTCTGGCCCAGCCTTCGAGGTCTCTCTTATTCATCTAAAAAAGGTGAAATGAAAAGCAAACATTTGGATCGAGAACATGGGTTCCCCCTCAGGGAAGGTCAGAGTCTGTTTCTTTCTGGGCCCTGGTCTCGTCTCTGGCACCCACATCCTGGCTCAATGTCTGTTCCTCTCTGGGCAAGGGGCCCTTCAAATGGCCTCACTGCAGAATCACTGGGGGAGCTGAGCTGGGGAAACATTTGAGTGCTGGGGTCCACTCTGGAGCTGTGATCCACAGTAACACTGGCACTGCGTGAAGTGTAGCAACCACTGATCTTCCTGCTGACACTACCCAGTCAACTCCATTGCCCACTGCCCTGCATCCCACATCTGTGTGGGAGTGCTTCCTCCCATTCTCTCCTCTTTCTGCTCTTAAAGACCAGGATGGAATTGAGTGGAAACATCATCCCTCCACTGTCTCATGTGTCCCAATCCCAGTTCACTGGAGCAGCAGGACATCTTCTTTGAGAGTTGGAGCCCCAGGGTCACACAGACCTTGGTTTGAATCCTAGTCCATGGGTTACTGTGAAGACTGAATGTCGGTGCTCATGCCCCAGCCAGGAGTAAGGAGGGGTGGTGGTGGGCATTAAAGAGCTGCTTTCAGGAGGTGGTATCAAGGCAGGGGACAGATGAGTAGGAATTAGCCGGGGACACTGCTGAGGATGTGGGAAAGACATTCTGGGCAGAGGTGATGCTATACACAGAGACATGTAGGCAAACCCAGCACGGTGTGTCCCAGGCACCCTGAGCACCTTGGTAATATGCTGAGTGTAAACTTCATGGCAGAGAATGCCGGGGAAGGGTGGCAGGGACCAGATTGTGCAGGATCTTGCAGGGCATGGTAAGGTGAGTGGCCTTTGTTTTTAAGGCAATAGGGGGCCATGGGAGGGTTTGGAGCAGGGGAGTGGCAAGACCAGATTTGAATTTTAGAATTCAAATGTGTCAGGGGGATTTGGGGAGGAAGTGTGGAAACAACCAGTGAAGAAGCTACAACAGTCATTGCGGGTTGCGAGATGATGTTGGCCTGTCCAGATTTGTGAGGACATGGGAAGTGACTGTGGGGGATGGGGAGAAGTTGGATTCAAGAAGAATGAAGAATTCTTTGCTGAGATTCTTCCCCACCTCTATCCCATCCTTAAAAGTCAAACCTCAAGTACAGCCCCTTGCATGAAGATGTCATGGGCCATCTACCTTCCTGAACTGGAAGGATTCTCCCCTCTGACTTCTGAAGCCATCAGATATGGCATCATGAGATCATGAAGTTTCTGGGTCTGGTCTTTTTGGGGAAGAGTCTGTGCCCACTATCTTCTGTTTCCCATCATTTAGTTTGGGGCTCGGCTCAAATTTGGCATGGGATGAATAACTACTGGATGGAAGAATCAAGTAGTGTTGAAGCCGTTGTCCACACCCTGATGCCAACAGCCCAAGGCACAGCAAATATATGAATTATATCATGCCTCATTCCTCAGAAACCTTAGTGGTGGTACCTTTTTTTTTTTGCCTAGAAAGTAAAGCTGAGCCTTATTGACTATATTGGTTTTTCTGTCCCTGAACAGCTTAAAAAATATCTTAGGATCTCAGCTCAGTTCATCCACAATTCCCTGAGCCTCAGTTTACTTGTTTGAAATTGGGGGTATGCACACCAATATTTCCAGGTGGCTATTTTCTGAATCCCCTTAAAACATGAATGTTTCTCTGGATTGAGAGGAAACCCGAAATGAGCAAGCTCCCATTTCACAAATGATTGTGGCACACTTGGGTTGTGGGATCTACCAGGATTGCAGCAGGAGTGCCCGACAGAGAGGCGTTATGGGGCCAGCCTGTTCTTGGCCAGAAACATGGCACACGGGAGAGGCTGGGGAGAGAGTGATTCAAGATTAATAACCCGGTTATTGGAGGCACTTTGTTCTGACTTGACAGCCATCATGAGCCAGGCTGGGGACAGTTGGCCGCTTGCAGATCCAGATCTGTCATGGGGTTTATTGTGGCATAGTGTCTCCTGCCAGCAGCAAGTTTGGCAAAACATTCCTTGCACGCTTCTCTGGGGCAGGAGCAGTCCAAGAGCTCCACAAGACCCCAGGCTCCCTGTGAGTCCAGGGAAAAGTCAGGGACTCTGAGGAATGGGGTTTGCAATGTCTGAATCATATTGTGTGCTTGGAGGCTGTGGACAAGCGGTCTTTGTATTGGATCACAGGCTTTGAATTGATTTCCTGGGCTGGGTTCAAATGCTGAATCTGTAGATTGAAACTCTGGGACCTTGGGCAAGAGGTTTAACTTTACTTAGCACAGTTCCTAGCACTTAGCAAGCTCTGGGCTCATGGCGAAGGGCATAAAGAAACACATTCAAAAAGCCCAAGGTCACACAGCAAGTTAAGAACGATCCCAACTTCTAGGCGAAGATTTTTCCCGGAGCACAGCTGTAAATTATAAGGCTCAGTCCTGAGGGGGATTTATCTTGATAGATTCTGACTTGGGTAGTGATGTCAAGGGAGGAGAAGAGAGAGGAATGAAGGAGGTCCCTTTTATTATTGATGTCAAGAGTCAGGACAAATTCCGACCCCCCTTCTTTGTTTCTGCTTTAATCTCTTTTTTTTTTTTAAGATAAGAATGCGAAGTGTGATATGCTTGTTTTTATATCATTCAGCTAATGTTTATTGAGCCCTTTTTATGTGCTAGAAGCTAGGGATAAATTCATGAGTAAGAACAGGCCGATTGTGGTGGCTCATGCCTGTAGTATCAACACTTTGTGAGGCCCAAGAGGGAGGATTGCTTGAGGACAGGGTCAAGACCAGCCTGGGCAACATAGCAAGACCCCACCTCTACAAAAAAAAATTAGCCAGACTCAGCGGGTGTGCCAGTAGTTCCAGCTACTCAGGAGGCTGAGGTGGGAAGATCGTTTGAGCCCAGGGGTTTGAGACTACAGTGAGCTACGATCATGTCACTGCACTTCAACCTGGACAACAGAGTGAGACCCTGTCTCTAAACAACAACAACAACAGCAAACCCAGACATGATCCCTTGCTTTTGAGGGCTTGGGAGGTTTTACAGAAAATGTGGTCAAATATGCATGCAATGCTAAAACAATCCAGAGCTCTTTCAACTACAAACTCTTATGACCATTTGGAACTAATTTTTAGAAAAGTATAGGAAGAATACTACTCTTGAGATATATACGATATTGGCTAAACTGGGAAGTTTGACAGCAAATCTTTTTTAGAAAGAGGATCTATCTAGGAAGAAATATTTCTTTTCTAAGGCATCATTTCCACCCCCATCCCCATCACATTCACTTTGAATATGCTGTTTCAGCATGGGAGTTTTTTCTGGAATGTCAGTTCTATCGATTTCTAACATATATATATGGAGATATATATATATATATAGATATATATATATATATATATATATATATATTTAATTGTGTTAAAATACATATGAAATGTTCCATCTTAGCCATTTAAAAAATGTACAGTTCAGTAATGTTAAGTGTATTCAAATTGTTCTACAACCAAGTCTAGAAGTTTTTTATGGTGCAAAACTGAAATTATTTACCCATTAAACAGCTCCCCCTTGGCTCCTTCCCCCAGCCTCTGGCAGCCACCATTCTACTTTCTGTCTCTGTGAATTTAACTACTCTAGATGTCTCATATAAGTGGAAACATTCAGTATTTGACTTTCTGTGATTGGCTTATTTCACTTAGTATAATATCCTCAAGATTCATCCATGTTGCAGCATGAGTCAGAATTTCCTTCTTTTTAGAGGCTGAATAATAATCTACCATATGTATATGCCACATTTTGCTTATCCATTGATCCACTGATGGACACTTGGGTTGGCTTCACAATGCTCTTGGCTGTTGTGAATAGTGCTGCTTTGAATTTGGGTGTACAAATATCTGTTCAAGCTCCCTTTTTTCCCATTCCCCAGGACATATTCCCAGATATGAAATATGGAATTTCTGAGTGATATGATCATTATATTTGTAGCTTTTTGAGGAATCACCATACATTTTGCAAAGCAGCTGCACCATTTTACATTCCCACCAACAGTGCACAAGGGTTCCAATTTCTCCACCCCCTTTCCCACACTTGTTACTTTCTCTTTTTCTTACATTTTTATACTAGCCATCCTAATGCTTGTGAGACAAGCACCTCTTTTTTATAGTAGGTGAGTTCACAGCATGCTTTGTGCTTCAGAACAACAGGTGAACATCCTTTCCTTGACCACATGTTGTTGCCGTTTGCTAGGGGTTGGGTGCACAGTGGTGCACCAGATGTGGTCCCCACCCTGGCGACACAGGCTTGGATCTGGCCTGAGACAGACGGTTGTGCTCAGTTCCAAATGATGCTGAAGGTGTCTATAGGGAAAGAGCAAGACGGGAGCTACTTGAACAGGCCTTAACAGATGGAGTGGTTTCACTCCATTGCCTTTGGCATGGGAAAACCTGGGTTCAAGTCCCAACTCAGCCACCTTTGAGCTTGGTGAGCTTGAACAAGGATTTTGTTTAACTCAGACTCAATTTCCTCATTTGTAAACTCTAATAGTGATGCCTATAGTCTTGATTTATTGTGCAGGTTAAATGATTTATATTAAATATAGATTAGATAAAGATATATCCACATATATCTAATTCAATCTATATATAATCTATATGTCCCTTAGCATAGTGCCTGGGAACAACCAAAAAAGGATAGTATCTATTTTTTTGGAAGGGGAACTCAGGTGCACAGAGTTGAGTAGACACCCTCTGCAAAGGTTCTTCTTTTGTTTTAAGTTACTCCCTGTCTTTCATCTTCCATCCTTTTTTGTTTTGTTTTGTTTTTTAGAGACAAGGTCTCACTCCATTGCCCAGGTTGGAGTGCAGTAGCACGATCATAGCTCACTGCAGCCTCCAACCTGGCTCAAGGGATCCTCCTGCCTCAGCTTCCTGAGTAGCAGGGACTATAGGCATGTGTCATCACACCCGGATAATTTTTATTTTTTATTTTTTGAGACAGAATTTCACTCTTTTCGCCCAGACTGGAGTGCAATGGCGCGATCTCAGCTCACTGCAGCCTCCGCCTCCTGGGTTCAAGTGATTCTCCTGCCTCAGCCTCCTGAGTAGCTGGGACTACAGGCATGCGCCATCATGCCTGGCTAATTTTTGTATTATTAGTAGAGATGGGGTTTCACCATGTTGGCCAGGCTGGTCTTGAGCTCCTGACCTCAAGTGACCCACCTGCCTTGGCCTCCCAGAGTGCTGGGATTACAGGCATGAGCCACCACACCTGGCCTTAATTTTTAATTTTTTTTGTAGAGACATGGTCTCAATATGTTGCCCAGGCTGGTCTCAAACTCCTGGGCTCAAGTGATCTTTCTGGGCCTTCCAAAGTGCTGGAATTACAGGTGTGAGCCACTGCACCTGGCCTTCATCTTTCCATCCTAATACCTCTCCTCTTCCCACCCTGGCCACCATCCTGGTTTATGTTTCCTCCAGCCCACTGACTGGCCATTGGTATCTATTTTCACTCTGGAAAAGTACATATATATATATATATATATGGTGTGTGTGTGTGTATGTGCTTCTGCTAAGTACAGACATGGTTTCCAGTCCTCCTGGCTCTCACTCTACTTGCTCAGCATGGTTTTGAGATCTGCCTCTGTTGCTGCATTTAGATCTGGCTAGTTTCTTTTGATAGTTACAGAGTATGTTCCTAGTGCGCCTCCCACCATGGATTCCTTGCGGCTGCTCTGATGAAGGGGGAGTCCAACTTTGTGTCAGTAGAACTGGGATGTAACGAACATCCTTGTGCATATCTTCTTGTGGCCCCAGGAAAGGATTTCTTCAAGCTCTGTCACCAAAGATGGGATTACTGGCTCTTGGTATCTGTACACTTAATTTCACTGAGTCTAGCCAGACTCAGATCTCAGATGGCTGCATTGTTCACACTCTCTCCAGCTGTACGTGTGAATTCCTCTTTCACCACATTTTTTTGTCAAGATACGATACTGCCTTTCTCTCTGACTTTTGCTAGTCAAATGGGGAATAATGTGCTACTTCATGGTGATTTTAAGTTATTGTCACTCACCATTAGTAATTTTGAACAAATCTTTAATATACTTAGTAATTTTCTTTCACTTGCTGTGAATTGTTTACTTATATATTTTGTTCACTTCACTACTAGGTTTTTAAAGTGTTTTTTTGCCGCCAGATTTGTATATCTCTGTGTTTTCTAGATAGCTATTCTTTGCAAATCTCTTGTTCCACTCTATTAGCCTCGTGCTAGCTTTGTCTCTGGTGTCCATGGGTCAGATCTCTTTAATTTTGACGTAACTACATGTGTCCTTTTACCACTTCTATGACCTCTGCTATTTGAATATTTTCAAGAAGTCCTTACTCTTCCCATTCCAGATGACAAAAATATTCTCCTCCATTTTGCTTTCACTTTTCATGTTCGGGTATTTAATATATCTGGAGTTTATTTTTGTGTGTGGTGTGAGGTTGGAATCCACCTGATTGTTCCACAAAGAGTGATTTAATTTTTCAATACACTTTATTGAATAATCCATCATTTCTTCACTCTTTGAGATTTGTGATGCTCTACGTATGTATGTATGTATATATGTATCTATCTATCATCTACCTATTTACCTGTTATCTATCATTCATCTATCATTTATTTATCTTCTATCAATTATCTATCTATCTATCTATCTATCTATCTATCTATCTATCTAATCTATCACCATTTTGCTCCACTTGTCTGTTTTTAAAATACGCTATTAATATGGTTTAAATAAACAACTGCAAAAGCTGAGACTCTCAATGGGCTTATCAGAAATCACGTCTACAAAGGCACGTTAGAAATTACCTGATCTGATCCCGTTGCATCACACATGGCATGATTAGTCTCAGGGAGAAAAGCTCCCCGGTCAAGGACATCATGTCAGAAATGGAATTCCTGTCTCCTGACCCCCATCCTCATCAAGCAGCCCTGAATATTTGTTCCATTCCATGGCACCTGAGGTGTTTGGATGGGAGTGAGTGCCTTTTAGGGGCAAACATATTCCAAGCCTTAATGATAGATTAAATACCAAATACCTTAACATTTGAAAAAATGACATTTGATTACACCAGGTTGTAAACAGAGAAAAAATTACAATGGAACCCAGTGTAGATCTTACATGAACGGCACCCATTCGGTGTAATGACTCTGAGAATGTCAGTGCTAACAAGCACATAATTGGCACCGGGGAGATAATTTTTGCCACCTTATGCAGAGGGGAAACCGTTCTGCATAATGATTTTACTAGGAATATTCTTTATTCAGCAGGCCCATTTGCATAACCCTCCCAACTTTCTCGAGTTAATACAAAATGCTCTGGAGACATTGCCAAGTCTCTTCCAGAAGACGTCTGCTTCTTGAAATAAGCTTCCATTTTGCGAGCATGTGTTACGTGCCAGGCTCTGTGTTCCCTACCTCATGTGCAGTATTTACATTTACAGACAAGCATCTCTTTGCTGGACATTTCTTGAGGGCTGAGTTCTTTTCTTTCCTATTCACCATACTCCCAAAATCTAACACAAAGCCCTGGATGCAGGAGGTGCTCAACATTGTTAAATCAATGTATGAATGAGTATCGTGACTACCCTGTGAAGTAGAGGCTTTTGCCACATTATTGAAATTGCTTTCTAAGGCCAAATGCTAGGAAATAGCCAACTGGGATTTGAATATAGGTCAGCCTGACTCTCGTTATATGTATTTTACAAACATCTTCTATCTTTCCTTTAGGGAGCAGAGTGTCTAGTTTCACACTGGCCAGTATACTAACCGCCAGCTACATATGATTTTTTAAATGTAAATTAATTAAAATCAAATAAAATTTAAAATCAGATCCTCCATCATTAAACCATGTGTGATCTATTGTATTGAACAGCACAGCTCTAAAATATTCCATCATTAATAGAGAAAAATTCTACTGCAGAGTACTGTGTTTGTATCTACTCTTGAGTAGATACAATCGTGTTTTGGGTCATGACTTAGATATTTGTGTATGTAGTGCTGGAACATGCTTGAGCTCTGGAATCACACAGACTTGGTTTCTAATCCTAGCTCAGGACTTGACTTTAGGTACAAAGCTTAGCCTCTCAGAGCCTGGGTTTCCTTTTCTGCACAATGGGGATAATAACAGGACCTAACTCATAAGGCTGTTGTGAAGATTAAAGGTGGTGATGCACAGAAAGCATTTAGTGAAGTCTCTGGCTGTGAAGATGAAAGATAATGGTCCTCATCCTACAGTAAGGAAACACATTCAGAGAAGTGATGGGACTTGTCAAGGTTCTCACGCCAGTGAGCAGGTCCCCTGGGATAAGAGCCAGAGTCTGCCTGGTGCCAAAGTGTGGGAGCTTTTGGTAACTGTGGACGCCTGTCTCTTAAAGCCTTTCCTTTGACAAGACAGAGAAGACTGCAGTGCCCACAACTGCAGGTAATCCAGGGAAGACAGGGAGTGGCTGAAGAGGTGTGTCCATGACAAAGCAGTCCTCCTCACTAACCAAAGAAGTCACGGTTCTCACAAAAATTTGAAAAGAACATTTTATTTTATTTTTATTTATTTAATAAAAGTCCTTTTGTAGCTACCTGCACTAGGCATGGCTGGGACATTTCTTGAACTCTTCCTTCCCATGGAAGAATGCATGATATGCTGAGGTCTTACCACGATCTCAGCTCACGCAACTTCCACCTCCCAGGTTCAAGTGATTCTTCTGCCTCAGCCTCCCAAGTAGCTGGGATTACAGGCACGCGCCACCACACACAGCTAATGATTGTATTTTTAGTAGAGGTGGGGTTTCACCACGTTGGCCAGACTGGTCTGGAACTCCTAACCTCAGGTGATCTGCCCACCTCAGCCTCCCAAAGTGCTGTGGGATTACAGGCATGAGCCATTGTGCCCAGCCAGAACATTTTATTTTAAAAATAAAAATAAAAACTTAGCCAAACCAAAGGCAATCTTTATTCTACATAATAGAAAAGCAGGCCTGGTGAGAGGGAATGAGTATCTTAGGCTCACCTACCTGCTTAATCTATGAACTAGAGTAAAATCTCATGTCTTTTAACTCTTAGTTCCATTTTTTTTGTCCTGCATTTTAATGATTTTAAAATAACTAGACTTTTTGATGGTTTTACTTATTGATTAGGGCCCTTTCAGTGACAAATACGAGAAGCCTAAATGAAATTGTCTTCACTTAGACAGGGAATGTATTGGCTTATGTGAGTGAAATGGGTCACAGCTTCAGGTATGGCTAGCTAGCTCCAGATGCTCAAACCATGTCATCGGGAATATTTGTCTTTCCACCTTTGGCTCTGCTTCTCTCTGAGCTGGCTCTGTTCTTGGGGCAAGAATTTCTCTTCACTGTGTTAAGATGGCCATGAGCAGTGGCAACTCTATTGGAATTATTTGTCCCTCATTGCCAGCAGAAAAGGAGTCTCTTTTCTGAGAGTTGTGGCAAAAGTCACAGGACTGGCTCTCATTGAATGGCTTGGGCTGTGGACCAATCACAGTGATCTGGAGGAATAAGACTTGCCTGTGGTGCCAGGGGCAAGGATTAGTGCAGCAAGAGTCCCGTGGACTGAGGATGAAAGAAGGGTCTCTAAAGGAATAGAAGCACCCTGTTCCCAGAAGATGGGGAAATAGATGCTGAGTGGCAAACACAACAAATGTTTACTGTACATTGTCTGGGTCTCTGCTTACGATGACCCTGCCCACTTGCCTGGCACAGGGTCAGAATTGCCAGCATTGTGGTCTTCATCAACAACAAGAATTTAAAGGGTAATAAAAGGAGGACTATCAGTTGCTTGCATTCATGACTATAAAGGAGGATTCAGCGTAACTGAGAGCTCTGAGCACAGAGAGGTGTGGATGGAGAGAGGAATGCCATCGAAAGGGTCACTGACCAGTGGCAGGGAAGGCATCATAGCTGTGTTCAGGGCAGGGGTTGGCTTGTAGATTAAGCTTCCGATTGCTCAACAGAACCAGGAGCTCCCTTTGGGGGATGTGGGCAATTGGGAAGGCTTCCTGGAGTTGGTGATGATTGATCTGGGCTTGGAAGTATAGGTGAGATTGGCATGGACCGAGGGGAATGCATTTGAAGGGAAGAATATATTAACCATGAGATAAAGTGGGCAGTCTAGCAATGTGTGGAGAAGAAGGATCAAAGATGCTGGTTATTTTCTTCCCCTCCATTCCCTTTATCTTCCTTTCATCCTTTTATCTAGGACTGTGGCTAGCCCATTTGGCACCTGTGTGAAAATTGGTGGTAGGCTCCTCCTCTGGAAAGAACCCAATCTTGTCCAGGATATATAGCTTCAAAGTACAGCGTGAATTGGTTTTTAGCCCCTACCTGTCCCATTGACTGGACATCTTGAACAAGCAATGAGTCAGACAACTGTACCCTGTAGTCCTCTTCCTTCCTTATCCCTTTTCCTTCCGTTTTTTCCTCCCCTCATCCTCCTCCATTCCTCCCAGTTCTTATTATGCATGTCCAGAAAATATGTCCCCTTTCATCTTTGGCCATCCAGCTAACCTGTACCCTGCATTACCCAGGACCATTTCAGCAGCCTCTGTTACTGCAGGCAACCCTTGCCCTTTGTTTTTCTTGCCCTGAGAGCCCGCACCTCTGAGGCTGCCAAAGAACCCTGCCACTGCCCAAATCCATCTCCAATTCCGCCCTGGGTGAAGGGCTTTAACTCATAGGCCCAGGCCCCCCTTTTGACAGGCTCGATTTGGCTCCCTGCACATCTGGGCCTCCCATCTGGCCCCCGCACTTCGCCTGTGCGGGTTGCTTTATGGATATAATAAATATTCCTTCCTTAATATGATTTCGCTTAGGTTCCCAGTAACTCACTCAAGCAAATCTTCCATTTAACACATGACTTTCTCTTCAGAGGGAGCAGAGAAAATATTGTTGTTGGAAGAGGCACAGCTGTGAGGGTTTGGGGAGGAGTGTGTCCACCTAAGCTCAAAGTTTGCTGCTGCCCACAGGCCTGGCCCTGGTAAGACCTCAGCATATCATGCGTTCTTCCATGGGCAGGAAGATTTCAAGAAATGTCCCAGCCATGCCTAGTGCAGGTAGCTACAAAAGGACTTTAGATGTCACATGCAGCCCAGTGACGTAGTGGGTCACACCTCCACTGCTTGGTGTGTGGAGTGGGGCCAAGTCCATTATATCATTCATCTGGATGGTGGAGAGGGCCAAACTTACCACCTAGTCAGTTTTTTAGACACATAAAATAGCTTTGCTTTCAACACGATGTTTTAAAATTACAATTTTAGCCAAGATTTGTTTTATCCAATGCTTAAGATATGAATAAATGGGACTGTCAAACAAAGATGGCCGGGAGTCTTTTAGCGACAACTACTGGTTAAACTGGTTATAGCAACCTAGCTCTATCTATTTTATCACCTTTGAGAGGTGGAAGAAATAAACACTTATTGAGTGGCTACAATGTGCAAAGTTAATTGTCGTGCATCGAATATTTATGGAATCCTCACATTTTTTTTTAAAAAAGAGTCAAGTTTATTGAGGTATGATTTACATAACATTTACCCTTTTTCAAGTGTACAGTTTGATGAGCTTTGACGAATGTGTACTATAGTATAAACACCAACACTATCAAAATATAGAGCATTTTCACCTCCTCCAAAAATTCCCTCATACCACATTGAATTCATTCTCCTACTCCCAACCTCATGTCTGACAAAGCCTAATTCAATTTCTGTCCTTACAATTTTGCCTCTCCCGGAATGTCATATAATGGAATCACACAGTTTGCTGCCTTTTATATTTGCCTTCTTTCATTTTGCACAGTGATTTTGTGATTCTTGTATATTGCTGAATGTATCAGTACTTGATTTCGTTGCTGTGTAGTATTTCATTGTATGGAAACATCATAGTTTGTTGATTCACTTTTCTGCTGAACTCACAATCATCTTTTGAGTTAATACATCCATTTTAAAGAAAAAACTGAGGTTCAAAGAAGTGAAGTAAAGTACCTAATGTCACTCAGCTAGCAGGGGGCTGCCACAGGATTTGGCACAGACTTGAACTCGAATTCTTGGAGTGGTTGTAATATTAACATTTTTTGTTCTGCTTATTCTGCTGAATAACCTCATTGGATCAAGAATATACTTCCGGCTGGGCATGGTGGCTCACGCCTGTAATCCCAACACTTTGGGAGGCTGAGATGGGTGGATCACGAGGTCAAGAGATCAAGACCATCCTGGCCATCATGGTGAAACCCTGTCTGTACTAAAAATACAAAAATTAGCTGGTCGTGGTGGGGTGAGCCTGTAGTCCCAGCTACTTGGGAGACTGAGGCAGGAGAATAGCTTGAACCCAGGAGGCAGAGGTTGCAGTGAGCCAAGATTGCGCCATTGCACTCCAGGCTGATGATAGAGCAAGACTCTGTCTCAAAAAAAAAAAAGAATATACTTCCTCCACAGAGCTTCATTTCCTCCTTCCCTCTCTCAATAAAAACTTGATAAATAAACAGGTAAGCACCACCAGGACTAGGAAATGAGCTGTCTTTGATGTCCTAGGGCTGTGCTGGAGGGAGGAGACCAGCCATCAACTTCATGTGTTCAGCAGAGATGTATCAGCGCTTTGCAAGAGGGTACTTGCTTGCAGAGATTCTAACTATGGTGTAGGGAGTTGAGTTACATACCCCTAATTGTCTCTTCTTCCCTTGACTTTCTTATTAGAAGAGGAGTGTTTTGGGGGAAGAAAGCCTGAGTAAAAATGCTGTTCTGCTATGTGACATTGTTATTTCTGTTCCCTGAACCTCGGTTTTCCCATCTGCACAATGGACGCCTTTCTCTGAGCTGTGGGGAGGATCATTTGAGGTGTCATGTGAAGGCACCAGCACAGCAGGGAGTGCCCTTCTGGTTCCCATCCCACATCTTCCCCACTGAGCTATATAAGGACAGAAACATTCTTTCCACTTTGGTTTCTCTACATGAGCGACTCCATCCTGCATGGAGTAGGAGGCATGCCCTTGGTTTCCCGGGAATTTGGCAGGTGTTGGGAATCCATTCCTAGACCCTGCCTGCCTCACACACATGCTTCCGCTTCTACCTGGCAGAGAAGCTACAAATCAAAGTCCTCGGTGTGGCGCGGTGGCTCACGCCTGTAATCCCAGCACTTTGGGAGGCTGAGACAGGCAGATCACCTGAGGTCAGGAGTTGGAGACCAGCCTGGCCAACATGGCAAAACCCCGTCTTTACTAAAACTACAAAAATTAGCTGGGCATGGTGGCAGGTGCCTGTGATCCCAGCTTCTTGAGAGGCTGAGGCAGGAGAATCACTTGAACCCGGGGAGGGGTGGCGGGGGTTGCAGTGAGCCGAGATCGAGCCACTACATTCCAGCCTGGGTGAAAGAGTGAGACTCTGTCTCAAAAGAGAAAACAAAAAGCCAAAAAACAAAGTTCTGTGCATTAATTCTTCCAAGGCGTTTATAACGGCTGGAGGGCATATTTCATGACCAGAGAATGGCTCTCTTCCTGTCTTATCATAACCATCTGTGCTTGTCCTATGGTGCATGCCCTGACTAATCCCTCTCCCCAGCCCCCCTGCTGCCCCCTAAACCCTCTGCTGGGCGGTTCTCAGAGCCCATCCATCTTGACAACAGAGGGCTCTATTGGTTGAGGACCAGCTGTGCAGAGGGACCACCTTACATCTCCTGCATCTCTCACCTTCCTCCCAAGTCTTGTGGGAGGCTGGATCCGCCCTTGTTTCTTGCCACTGTACCCCATCTGGCTTTTGTAACACGAGGACATACAAAAGCAGAAGCTGAAGCTTAGAGGAGTTGACTTGGATTGCCCAGGGCAGCCCAGGAACCAGACAATAAGTGATTCATTCACCGCGATTGAGATAGTCCTCTGTGCAGGCGACTTCATCACACCATGTCACTGCATCTTACAGAAACCCCGCAAGAGAGACACCATGCTCATCCCCATTTTTCAGGTGAAGACACTGATGCTCAGAGAAGTGAAGCCACTTGTCCAAGGTCACGCCGCTGGGTGTGCCACATGTGCCTCTTTAGTAGAGGGGCCGGGGATGGTGACTTAGTGACATTTGAGCAGGGCCTGAAAGAAACAAAGGAGTGAACCATCTGAAGATCTGAGGAAGAGCCCTCCAAGAAGGGGAGACTGCAAGTGAAAAGGCTGCGAACTGGGAACAAACTTGAGAAAGAAACAGAAGGGAACTGGGCATCGTGCTTCCTGAGTGAGAGCAACAGGGCTCGAAAATGAGGTCATAGGGCTGCTAGAGACCAGGCCAGGGCTTTGGATTTCACTCTGAGGGAAAATGGCTTCCCAAATATCACACATGAAATCAGGAGCCAATCTGAGTTAGAACTAATGTCCCCATAGACCCCATTTTGGGACTTTCTTCCCCAATACCAGGCTATGGGTGAAACTGGGAGTCATATCCAGGTAATCCTGCCCCAGAGTGCATGCTCTCAGCATTCATGCTGTGCTGCATGTGACCCACTGATTTGTGCTATACACTGCAAAAAAGGTGGAGATAGGTGGCTTGCCATCAGGAAGACCACCATCAATCTAGGTTGAAGATATAGATACAGGAAAGGCATAGCTAATTAAGCCCAGGTGGAATAATACTTGGCACCAACAGAACATCATGCGATTTGAAATTTGCCTTCCTGCCCTTCTTTCTCTGGCCCCTGTGCTTTCCTTCTTCCCACTTCATCTTTTCTGTGGCTCTGTTTATAGGTTTCACACTGTCTAGTTTGGAGCAGGATTTAATCGTGGTTTCATTAATAAATCAAAGGAAGAATGACAGTATTGAAAAAAAGAACGAAAAGAAGATTGAATGAATGTGGGGGCACAGAGGGAGGGAGGAGAGGGAAGAAGCTGGTTCCAGTCTCGTAGAAGTCTAGAAAGAGAAGACTCCAGCTTTTGCCATCAGTGCCTGCAGGTGTGATGTGGGTAGGACTTTAGCTGGGTGTGGACCTAGAAGGAGAAGCAGGTTGAAAGAGGACTGTTTAAGATTGGCCGTAGGGTGGGTGGCGCTGCTTCTGCTGCTGCTCCAGCCTTTGGCGTCTACACTTTTCAAAATAAAACACGAACCCCAGACGTGGGCATGCAAGGCTTGCTGTGAAGTTCTGACAAGAAAATGGACATCCTTGAAAAACAATGGCCACACACACAAAAAAACAGGGAGCATGAAGTCCAACAACTCGGGATCAGATCTTGCAGACATCATGGAAGCTCTGGATCTCCATTTGCTCATCTGGATGCTGGAATGATAACCACTGATTCCAATCATCCGACTATAAATCAGCAAGCAGAGGACCCTTTGGTTTAACCAACACTCCTATGAAATAGAGCCTGGTATTGGGGAAGAAAGTCCCAAAATGGGGTCTATGGGGACATTAGTTCTAACTCAGATTGGCTCCTGATTTCATGTGTGATATTTGGGAAGCCATTTTCCCTCAGAGTGAAATCCAAAGCCCTGGCCTGGTCTCTAGCAGCCCTATGACCTCATTTTCGAGCCCTGTTGCTCTCACTCAGGAAGCACGATGCCCAGTTCCCTTCTGTTTCTTTCTTAAGTTTGTTCCCAGTTCGCAGCCTTTTCACTTGCAGTCTCCCCTTCTTGGAGGGCTCTTCCTCAGATCTTCAGATGGTTCACTCCTTTGTTTCTTTCAGGCCCTGCTCAAATGTCACTAAGTCACCATCCCCGGCCCCTCTACTAAAGAGGCACATGTGGCCTTCCTAGGTTTTCTGACATGTTTGTTCACTTTACCTCTGTTTCCCCACAAAGATAAGTATGTCATCTGCCTCCTTCAACAGCCATATCCCTGAGGCCTAGAAGAGTTGATACTTGATTAACCATATGGTGAATTAATGAATGGATGAGGTTTCTGGCTCTCTTGGCCTCAGGCTTCCCCTCTACAAACTCAGAGAGGGAGACAGCATCCTAAAACGTGTGTGTCCCCACGCTTTCCCCCCTGCCACCCGGCAAGAAGGGTGTGTGGTGTGCAGTATGGGGCCTTGTGTGGCCCAGAGTTCCTGACGAATGAGGCTGATCCTGGTGACGCAGGCTTTATTGATCTGAGCAGGTTGTCAGTGAAGGGGAAGTTGTAATTGTTGCTGTAGTTTCATTGTAACCACCAGCCCCGAAGGGAAATTAAACTTTGCAGCTAATGGGGCTATATGATCCTTCAACCTTTGATGTATTGAATCCAGTGTGGTCCCTGGAATACTGAGCGACTGCTCAGAGCAGTCGTTTTTAAGCTGAAGCGGTCTCAGAGCTGATACTCTTTTTAGGCCTGGAGAAGGGGTGGAGCTGAATGACTCCTACATTCTTTCTTTCCACCCGTTTTCTAAAGAGGCTTAGAGCGCCTCTAAGAATCAAACCATGAAGTATTTCAGCTGGAAGGAGCCTCAAGGCATAAACACCCACATCCAGCTTCACCTCCTCCAATCCAGGCTCTTTACGGTAGCCCCACAAGCTACTAAAGGCCAGCTCTGACTCTATCACGTCCTGCTGAAATACCATCTGTGGAATCCTGTTGTCTGGAATCTTACTACTCAAAGTGGACCTGCAGCTTCGGCCACTCTTGGGAGCGGGTTAGAATGCAGACTCCTGATCCTCACTCCGGATCTGCTTATCTGGAATCTGATTCCTGTTCACGGTAGTTTTTAAAGCACTGGACTGGAGGATACATTCTAAGCTAATTTTCATGGCCTATAGGCAAATTTGATCTGAAGAGGTAACACAGTATTAAGAGTCCAGGGTCTGGAACTAGGCAGACTTTGAGATAATCCTGATGTGGCCAATTACGAGCTGTGTGGCTGTGTGGGATTTCCTTCCCTGCTTTGAACCTCACAGGGTTGTGGTGCAAATCAAATACATTTTTACATGCAAAGTGCTTAAAAGAGTACATGGCAAAGAGTAAACACAGAAAATAGCAGTGTCTTTTAGCTCCTGCCAAAAGTCTGCACACAGGCCCTTTATTTAGGGCTAAGTGTAAATGACTGATACAGCCAACTAATAATCAACATGATAATCATTCTTATATAGCTCTGTTTTTCAGAGGAGGAAACGATACTCGGAGAGGTGAAGCAAGTGGTGAAAGGGGATGAAGAGGGAATTTGAGCACAAAACTGTCTTACTCCAGAGTCTGGGTGCATAAACTTGACTTATGCATACTTGATTTAATTTTTTTTTTTTTTTTTGCAAACTACCTGGTGAGTAGATTTGCAGATGGTGAAGCAAGGGCTCAGAGACAGGAAGTGGAATTTATGCTTCCCAGCTTATGGATTGTAGGGAGTTTTCCTAATTCCAAGTTTTCCATTCATACAACCAGCATTTACTGAGCATAGATATTGCATGAGGCACCGTTGTAGTCCCTGGGGATCCTGCAGTGTCTAAGACAGGCTCAGCCCTGGCCCCCCAGAGTTAAGAGCAGACACCGAGACTCTTCAACATATTGCAAGGGTCCTGGCTCTCACTTCCCAATGTCCTGGTGACATAGAGGACTTTCTCCACCCTTCCCACTAGGCCTTCCTTCTCTCCCCTTGCCTCTCAATCCAGTCCCAGCACACGGCATCTCCTGGGCATGCATCCAAGCCAAGTAGGAGATGGGGCATATTTTATCCTGGGACCATTTCTCGTCCTGTTATTGACTTACAGGAAATTATCATTTCTTCCCAGCTGGCATTCTCCCTTTGTCATTTCTCTTGAGAGAGGGACTGGGTATGGGCCCTCCATGGGACTCCTGTGTTCTGGCTGGGGAGCTGACTTCTCTGGGGCTGGTGGCTGCCAATGTGTAGATGGGGATGCTGACAAGATGAATGCAGAGACAGCCCAGCTAGAAACCCACACAGTGCTGGGCTGGTAGGCAGGACAACTTGGTTTGCATCTCTGATCTGCTATGCTCTTTTGAATGATCTTGGGCATCACTTAATCCCTTTGGGCCTCTGTAGTCTCGCCCATGAAATGATGTTCACCTGCTATGCACGTCACATTCAAGAATACGCCTAGGTCACCTTACGTGAAGATATTGCTATATGTAAACATCCCTCATAGAAACATTGTCTGTATTTTACAGATAATACATGCTACAATGATTAGTGAAGTCTCCCAGGAGAAGAGGGAACCTGAGCTGGTCTCCCTTGCCCCTCACCCTCCCTAAGATTCCATCTGAAGGCCTGTCACTATGTGGTAGACTTTCCATACTCCATCAAGTCCTCCCCAGAAAAACATCTCAATGCCCTGTGAGCAGGAACAGTCCCAGGTGAAACTCCAGTCTGGCCATTTATGGCACGTGACCTTGGGGAGGCCAAGGTCATACATTAGTCTGTATTCTCCATGACAACTGTATTATTTTCTTAGTTTCAACTAAGAAACAACTGTATTAGTTTCTTATTGTTGTTTTAACTTAGGAGTTAAAACAACACCCACATTTATCATCTTAAAGTTTTGGAGGTCAGAAATTCAAAATCAAGGTGTTGGCAGCGCTAGGTTCCTTATGGAGGCTGCAAAGGAGACCTCGTTTTCTTGCCTTTTTCAGCACCTAGAGGTCACCTGCATCCCTTGGCTCATGACTCCAACCTCTGCCTCCACAGTCACGTCTCCTGCTAACTCTGCTCTTCTTGCCTCCCCTTAGAAGGACCCTTGTGATTGCAGGATAATCCCCCCATCTCAAGATCCTTAACTTAGTCACGTCTGAGCAGTCCCTTTTGCCATGTAAGGTAACATTCACAGGTTCCAGGGATTAGGACATGCATACCTTTGGGGGACCATTATTCAGAAGACCACATCAACACTTGCAGGCAGGACTTCTTATCATTTGGAAACAGAGGCCCAGAGAGGAATGTGACCACTGGTCATAAATGGTCACCCTGGGGTTTGAACCTTGACCTTTCCCTGCTCTCAATACAATGACATGCCTCTCTGGACAGGAGTTGATGGCGCTGGAGTGGGGGTGGTCAACTGGAGAACGTCCTGGATAAAGGCTTTATCATGGAGGATTCCAGGAGAGAAAAGGATGTATCCTTTTCTTGTTTATAAAAACCTTGTCAGGGCTTAGTACAGAGCCTGGTACATGGAGATGCTTAATAAGCATTTGACGAATAAATCAACATAAGGAAGAGAACATGAGGCATTTTACCAAAGAAAAGCAGTGATAAAGAATATAATCAGTGTGTCAGATTGTGAAGGGCCTTAAATGCCAGAACAAGGAGGTTAAACATCACCATAATACAACTGTGAGCCACTGGTGATACCTGATAGGAATGTGGTATTTCAAGGAGATGAGTTTGGCATTGATGTGCAAGGAGGACTCTAGGGAAAAGAGACTGGGGGCTGTAGAAAGGTTAGGAACAATTCACTGGAGCATTCAGCATTTTGCCAAGCTTGCAAACTCTTGAAACAGCCAAGAAAATATAAACAAGAGAGGCTAGTATGAGATATGCAACTGAATTGTCAAAACAAAAAGAGAAGTATACCTTGACCACTGATAGGAATAGTCACAGCTCTAAAGCACTAGATACCCACCATGTGTTATAAACTGGACTAGGTACTGGCACCTTTCCATACATATTCTTACCCACCCTCCCTAAATATGATTTTAAAATTCTCCTTTGCAGGTGATGCAAGTGAAAGTGAGGGGTGAGGTGATTCACCTATGTGGGTACAGTTGGGAAGTGGCAGAGCCAGCATTCAAACTCTTGCACCTCCACAGCTGAACTGGTATTTGCCCTGGTGACATCTTGTCTCTGGGGTAATGCTGAGAGTGATTGGTCAAGGATATACAATAGGTAAAATGAGAGTGGTTCTACCTTATCCACAATTTCGATTTCTGTGGTTTCAGTTACCCATGGTCAACCATGGTCTGAAAATAGTAAATGGAAGATTTCAGAAATAAACAATTCATAAGTTTTAAATGGCATATTGTTCTGAGTAGCATGATCAAATCTCACGCTGTCCAGCTTCATCCCGCCTCGGATGTGAATCTTCCCTTTGTCTAGGTATCCAATCTGTCTGCACAACTTGCCCCTTATCCACTAGTGGCTGTCTTGGTTACCACATTGGCTGTTGAGATATCACAGTGCTAGCTTTGAAAGAATACCTTATTTTATTTTTATTACAGTATATTATTATAATTGTTCTATTTTGTTATTAAGTATTGTTCTGTTGTTAATCTCTTCTTACTGTGTCTAATTTACAAACTTTATTATAGGTATTTATGTATAGGAGAAACATAAATATTATGTTTAATTTATATTATATAAACTTTAAAGTTTATCATAGGTATTTATGTATAGGAGAAAATGTAGTGTATATAGGGTTAGTTATTATCTGCAAGTTTCAGACATCCAGTGAGGGTCTTGGAACATATTCCCCACCTTGGATAATGGGGGGGAACCCTGAATTCCACTCTGGGCATATAGATGACATATGATGATCATGACAGGCTAGGACTGCTGATATGGGGAGCCTAGGAAGGTTGAAGGGAGAAAATCACCTTAAGTTGGAAATTTGTGTCTGGCTGGAACTTGGGAGAAGAGCTGTAGATGGAGATCCAGATCTGGGAGTTGCCGCAGACACTGTTGGTGTCCTCACCCATATCCCTGCAGCCTTGCCTTCGTAGGGCTTGCTGGGATGACTTCCAACAGTCTAAGGGCTTTGCTGTTGTCTGTGGCCTATTCTGCTTACCTGCATGCAAGTTAGAAGTGCCTGAGAATTACCATCCTCCAGGAGCAACCTCAACTAAAGATTGACAGGAGTTGGTAAATAAATGGCTCAGAACCCTGGCTCCTCGAGCGGGATAACTTCAACAAGCATGTTCTGCGTTGCTTCCCAGCATTCTCCAGCAGGATTAGGCTCCAGCTGCCCACGGGAGTTTCTGAGTTGATTATGTACCCTTGATTGGCTGTCTTTCCTTCCTGTTCACTTCTGCATCCTCCTTTCTGGTGTTTCCTGGGACCACAAATAAACTACTTGTCCTCAAAACTTTGGCTGAGGATCTCTCCTTGTGGTGGAGCCGAAATTCAAATGGGAATTCTCTCCACTGAACTGGACCATAGACTAAGTAGAGAAATCAGAATCATTCTTTGGAGGTACGGATACATGTAATAGGTGAAATAAGGAAGAGAGTTGAGGGGTAAGCAGAAAACAGGAAAGCCTAGAATTCTGGAATCCAAGAAGGAAATTGGCTTGGGGATATTGATCAGCAGTGGCAAGGTCTCATACTTGACCTACAGGTCAAGTATGAGAGCTGGAATCAGGTCTCAGATTTAGCAACTTTATGATTAATGATTATTTGGAGGGCAATCTTGGTAAGAGTGATGGGATCAGAACTCTATATCCAGAAGCTGAAGAAGGTAGAGCAAAATATAGTAAGCACTATTAATTTCTGATAAATATTTATTAAGCCTATTTTATGAGTGGAGTACCTTCACATTTATATCGTTGAGTTCTCAGTGCATTTCTAGAAATCAGGGCATGATACCCATTTCATGGATGAGGAATATGGAGCTCACAGTGGTTTGGGTGACAAGTTGGATCATCAGCAGTGGAAGAAAGGAGACACATGCTGGAAACTGAAGGAGGAGAGTGAGACATGGAATTTTCATTTATTGAACACCTATTGTGTGCAAGCCTGAACATTACTAGTTGTGTAATCTTGTGCCTATCACATATAATTAGTTGCATGTTCATTGTTACATATATTAGTTATTAGTAATTTATATATAATTAGTTACTATCTGTAGAACATTTAGAACAGTGCCTAGTACAAGGTAAGCCCTTGATAAGTTAGTGATTACTATTTTTATTATTAATGTCAATATTATTACTGCTATAATTAGCAGTAATAGAAATTAGCAATGATGTATATATAGGTCATAGCATCTGTGACCTATAGCAGCCAAAGGTAGTCACAATCTCCAATTTATAGATGAGATCAATGATGCTAAGAAATGTGTCCAAGGTCACAGAACTCGAAAGAGTACAGCTTGCATTTGAATTCTTCTCTGTGTGATTTCAAGGCCCATTTTCTTCCATTGCAGCAGCTTGGGCAGGGTTTTATCAAGTCATAAGTGGCTTGTGATAGATTGAAGGGAGAGGAGAAGAAGAAAAATTGAAGATGAGAGAGAGTTAAGTGGAAAGCAGGTGTGTCTGGTGTTGTAGAGAGTGTGATCAGAAGGCCAGATTTACAGATTTGCCCTGGATCTTACTACACAAACAAGAAGGAAGGAGGAGAAGTGAATTTGGCATTTTGGCAACAGTGAATTGCGGGTGAGAGGTTCCTGTTCAGGGATTTTTGCTGACCTGAGAAAATTCTGTTTCATGTTTTTAAGCTGGTGAGCATGGGAGGAAGGATGGGAGGTTTAAGGAGCAGTAAAATCTGGCCTGGTCTTTATGGGCATCGTGGCCCATAATAGAATCATGGCCCATAAAAGACTCGTGCAGGAGCCTGCAAGGACTAGGGGAGATAGCTCAACTTATCTGTGTGATAGGTCATCAGTGTCCTGCTCCTAGGTCAAAAGCTGCAAGTCTTGTTGGCTCAAAGATCAAGGAAGAACACCAAAGGCAATGTAGCATGGTAGAAACATCAAAAACTTCGAGTCAGACATTTTGGGCTTGAAGGGGGGATCTGCCAACCCCTAGCTTTGTGACTTGTGCCTAGTCAATTTCCTTCTCTGAGCTTTAGATTTCTCATCTATAAAAGAGGGTTAATAGTACTTTTCTTACAGGTGGTTGGGCAGATGAAATGACATCATGTTTATAAGTGTGCCTGAAGTATAGAAAGTCCTGATAGCAGATATGAACTATCATTAATATAGTCACGACTTAGAATTTTCCCCAATTTCCTAATGCAAGCTAAATCAATGTCTCTCTCGGCACCTTGCTTTTCTCCATGGGAAAACTGACAGAGCTGGTGTATTTTCTCCATATCTGGTTCTTGAAGTCTGCACTGTCTTTCATGAACTTGGGCTTGGAAAAATCCTGGCCTGAACCTTGGCAAGACTGAATCCCCAGACAGACAGATTTTCTGTGGTTCACCTTTCCTCAGATGTGGACAGGGATGCCTCAGAGGAGGCCAGGTCAAGCATTTCATGAGCAGCTCTTACCTTAGGTGGAGCTCTATGGAAGAGTTGGAGTTATGGGAGTTTTGGTGTGGCTTATGGGAAGTTCAGGCCTTTGTATACCTCATTCCACCGAAGAAAGAGATCATGATCCTCTGGGGAGAAAAGTATACACTAAGACCTTAATTCTTGTTTTTCTTTTTAAATTAATTGAGTGACCATTTACTGCACACCAGGAAGCCATGCAATAATGCAGGCCACACCAGGAAGGCCAGGCCCCAGGGAGCCTGCCACCCAGGAGCTGTCCGTGGTTCCGAAACCTTTGTGTTGGCATTGTGGAGGGGAACCCATCTCTGGCTCTGGTTCATGGTCTCTACTCTGAGAGATCCTTCTGAGTTCACTTCCATATGATACAATCTGCAAGTTCTGACACACATCCTATATGTTAAAAAAGTAACCTTCAAGCACCTAATAGCCCTGATTCTATTCTAGTCTCTTTTAATGACCAACAACTCCTGTAGTTAAACTCTAGCTGGAAAACAGAAGGAAAACTTGAATCTCTGACTTAGATCCCAACTTTTATTCCAGCTATGCTCTAGCAACATGTATTGGGAAGATTTTAAACCATCTTTAAAGACAACTGTGTTCATCACAAAAGAAAGGCACAGGGTAGTAGAAAGACCTGGTTTGAATCATGACTGCTTCATTGACCAGGTATGTGGCTTGAACAATTTTTTTTTTATCTCTCTGGTCCATCAAAGGTTCACTTTTTTTCAAACACACTGCCCACCACCTTCTGGGAAGCCTTTTTTCTTTGAGACAGAGTCTTGCTCTGTTGCCCAAGCTGGAGTGCAGTGGCACAATCTCAGCTCACTGCAAATGCCACCTCCCTTCACCTCCTGGGTTCAGGCAATTCTCCTGCCTCAGCCTCCCAAGTAGTTGGGATTACAGGCACCTGCCCCCATGCCTGGTTAATTTTTGTATTTTTGGTAGAGATGGGGTTTCACCATGTTGGCCAGGCTGGCCTTGAACTCCCAACCTCAGGTGATCCTCCCACCTCGCCCTCCCAAAGTACTGGGATTATAGGCATGAGCCACTGCACCTGGCCTCTGGGAAGCCTTTAGTGCCACCTCTAATCCCCACTAAATCCCTCTGCTGGGGTCACGCTATATCTATTTTTGTCTTAGCCATTTCTAAGTTCCCAAGGTACATATTCACCCCATATTTATTTAGTCAAATATATTTATGGATCTTATGGATTTGATTAAAATCAAATAAATATGGCAGATCGAACACTGAATCAGCAGTCAGGACAACTTGGATCTACTCTGATTCTGCTGTCGTTTTTCTGCATGACCCTGAGAAACCCTCTGCTCCTTTCTGAGGTATCAGTTTTTGCCATCTGAAAGGCAACAGGTGGTATTAAATAAATGTTAAGGGTAGTTCCAGTCTTTTATTTAATACATATTCAATGGGTACTTATTAAGCAACTATTGTGTGCTAAGTAGTAGAAGTTCTGATGAAGGACAAAACAAGACCCTGGCCTCAAAATGCTCTTATTCCAGTGAGGCAGGGAGGACAATGATCAGATAATTACCATGGCACATGATTTGTTAAGTTCTAAGACTATAACTGGTATCAGCACAGGTGGCGACTGCAGCTCCAAAGAGAGGTAGGTAACCCAGCCTGGAGTGGTGAAGAACAGTGGTGCTTCCTGGGGGAGGAGCTCTCTAAGATAATGCCTAAGAGAAGAGTAAGAGTTGCTTACTACAGAGATCTAGGGGGAAGTTTAAGGAGTTTTCAGTGGAGAAAAAATCACTTGCAGAGGCTTGGGTATCTAAGGGGTATTGAATATTTGTGAGGCCACAGCTGAAGCATGAGCTGTGTGTGTATAAAAGGGGGAGTAACGGCCGGGTGCAGTGGCTCACGCGTGTAATCCCAGCACTTAGGGAGGCCGAGGTGGGTGGATCACCTGAGGTCAGGAGTTCGAGACTAGCCTGGACAACATGGTGAAACCCCATCTCTACTAAAAATACAAAAAATTATCTGGATAAGATGGTGGGCACCTGTAATCCCAGCTAGTTGGGAGGCTGAGGCAGGAGAATCTCTTGAGCTCGGGAGACGGAGGTTGCAGTGAGCCGAGATTGCTCCATTGCACTCCAGCCTGGGCAACAAGAGTGAAACTCCATCTCAAAAATAAAATTAAAATAAAATAAAATAAAATAAAATAAAATAAAAAATAAAATAAAATAAAACAAAGTAAAATAAATAGGAGTGTAGATATCAAGAGGCTGGCCTAAAAATGTAAGCAAGGACCAGAGGTCTCATGGGTCACATTAAAGTGACCTTTATCTGGAGGAAAGCACTAAGGAGTTTAATCAGGAGAATAATCTGGTCAGATTACATTGCAGAAAGCATCACTGGTTGCAGTATTAGATTGGAGGGGAGGAAGGTTAGATTCAGCAGACCGCTAGGGTGCATCCAGGTGGTGGCTGGTACTAGGGCAGTGATGGTAGGGAAGGAGAAAAGTGGGTACAATTGAGAGACATTTACAGGGTCCTGTTGACTGGGTGTAGACAGTGTGAGAAAAGAAATTGAGTTCTCTAGTGGGAAAACTGGATGTCTGCACAGCCATTTATTGAACAAGGAAGAGCAGATTGAAAACATGGCTGGGTGTGTGTGTGATGCTTTCCGTTTTGGACAAATTGACTTTATGGTGCCATGGGGCATCCCAATGAAGATATAAAAGTTTAGAGCTCAGAAAACCGGTCTTGATGGGAGTTAGAGACAAAACTAAGATGCAAATGGCTCTGATTTTCTCTCCTTCCACTCTATTCCCTGAAGGATCTTTTCCTTTCCTGAACTCTTTGAGCTTGTTGGTGCCACACAATTAGGCACTTAATTGCTTTCTAATTGATATGTGCCTTAGCCTGTCTCACCAGATAAATTCGCAAGTTCCTTGAGGGTAGAGGGCTCCTTATAATGCCCTCCCCAAGACTCCCCCTGGGCACCACATGAGATTTGTGAGCTATCTGAATGGAGGATGGGAGAATTTAGGTTGTTAGTCATTTATGGCTGCTCTGGACCTCAGTTTTCTCATCTGTAGAATGGGAGCCACTAGACTTCCTCCTGTCATTCTGTGATCTCCTAAGGATTTTAGATTTGTTCATCCCCCAGAATGTCAACGAGGGAGCTAGGGGCAGAGTGCAGCTCATTACACCTCTGAAATGCATGGCCCTGGACTGGTCGAACATTAGGATGTTTAGGAAGGAAGCAGACGTTTAAAAAAAAAATAAAAGAGAGAAGAAAAATTGTTTCCCTCCAGTAGTAGCAGGCACTCAGCAAAACAAACAAGTCTAACGGAATGCTTTGACGATTATACAGACAAACAAATCACTTTCCCAAAGTGCTTCTTGGGGGAATTACGGCTCCTGGAAATGAAACACAAACAGATTATTAAAAAAGAGCTCCCCGTTGGGAGAGAAACAGTATTTACAAGAGAAGATGTGCCTAGCCGGACCTCTAATTGCCGTTCATTATCTCATATTGATTTAATTAGCTGTTGCACTCAGGTCTGAATTGCCTGCTGCCCGCAGCAGGGGACTGGCGAAGAGAGGGGGTTCAGATTGACCGAGCAGGCTTCTACCATCCCTCATTCTCCTCCTCCCTTTCCCCTGAAACAAGAGGGTCAGCTCACAGGGTGTCCTTGCGGTGGCAAAGTGGCGGCTGGCGGCCGGAGGCGGCCAGCCACGTCCAAGGCCTTGGGGGCAGCTCTGTCTCTCACATGCCTCAACTGGGGTGGCTGAGAGGAGCTAATTAGCCACAGTAATTAGAGACAGTGTCTTCATAGTGTGGAATTAGAGTGGTTTGGTGAAAGCATGGGGAGATATATGGCCCAGGCTGGCTGTGGTAATGGGGGAGAAGCTGGCAGAGGGGAGATGAGGCGGTCTCCTAGAGTGTCCTTTGGCCCTTGCGGGGTGACTCTTTTACCCCTTTCTCCAGGGTTGCCACTCCCATGTCAGCCTGTTCAGCCCTTTGTGGCTGCTCCACCCCTCTGTGACCCAGAGACTCCAACTGAGCAGAGATTTCCGATGAAAAAGGAAGGTTATTAACGTTTCTCTCTAGTGGGCGTCTGGGACCAATTGTTTTGAAGATTTGGGTTTTATAATTGCAAGTGATTAATGGGGGAGTTGGCAATCAGGCTTAAAAGGTTGCTAATTGCTCTTTTAACATAATTGTGTCCGAGCAAGCTAGAGCGCTGTGCGCACGGGTTTGGCATGCAGAATGCGCTGCATGGGGCATTAAATGGTATCTGTGCCTTTCCTTCCTCCCTCCATCCATTAAACAAATCTTGATTGAGAGTCTGTGGAGCTCCTGGCCCAATGCTGGCTACTGGGGACACAGCTGTGAATGAGGCAGAGCCCCTGCCCTCAAGCCTGGTGAGCTGGGGAACACTGAGGAATGGAATTCCCTTATCCGCTGTATTTGTGCCAAGACAACTGAGCCAATCCACAATTATAGAGAACGCCTGGGAATTTAACAGTGTTGTCCAGAGAGAGGACGATGGGGGAACAGTGAATTGAGTAGGTTCCCACTCACTTGGAAGTGTTTAATAGGACGACTGTATAAGTGCAGCACGGCCAATAAGCAGAAGGAAAGCAGGCTGAAAAAAGATCTTCCGAGTCTGTACATTCAGTTCCTGCACTGCTGGAACTCACCCTCAGGCTGCCTCACTCCGGGCCTAATAACTTTATATTTACACAAAATTATAACAAGCCTGATGATTACATTTTTTTTCCACAACAGGTAAAAAGCAGTGATATCTATACAGAGCACATCTCAGAAGATACGTGCCACCTGACAGAGAAGGGAATTCAGGCTTATGGAGGCAAGGATTACCCAAGGTTGCATAATCTGTGAATTAGGTTTCAGGCTTCTAATCTCATATTCTTTGCATCAGGCTTGCGATAGGTCCCCAAAGACCAGAGAAAAATCCCTTAGAGTCTATTGGATTGAAGAGTGGCAAGTAGATTTCATCTTGCTCACAAATTTTGCATTTTTTTTCTTTTTTTTTTTGTATTTTTTTGTAAAGGCTGCTTGGAATGTTGCGTAGGGAAAGGATTTGAAAGGTACATTTGGTCACGGTGGGGAAAAATCAGTGATCAATCAGTAATCTCTGCTTTGACTAAAGGAGAAGGTACAGTGACGTGGATGCACAAATTTGCCATCCTTGATAAAATTTCATCTCCTTCTCTTGCAGATATGCAGCCAAGACTCTCAAAGAGTGGAAGTGACTTGCCCAAGCCTCTTGGGAGTCCCTTTGGCAACGATTAACTCACCTGTTCCCATAGGTCCAGTCCTGCAGGGAAAACAGGAACCGTGGCTTGGACTCTTGAGGAGATGACATATTACTGAGAGGGGCCAGATGTAGATAAATAGTGTGTGCAGAGACAGTCCAGAGAAATAGTGAAGGGAGGGCATCACTCAGGAGGAGGATCTTGGAGGACTGAACAAATTAATTTGGGCAGCCGAAAAGATTGAGGGAGGATAGCTCAGGTGGGAGGCACAGCAAGGGCAAAGGCAGAGAGCTGGAGGAAAATTGTGTGTGTGACAGAGTCAAGGAAGAGGCTGGCTTCATTAGAATGGAGGCTGTGTGTTAGGAAGTGACGGGGAGAAAACTAAGAATCCCTTAAAAAAGGAGGATCTTTCATTGCTCTGGTCCCCTTGTAGTGATCATGGTGCCGTGTACACACTAGGTACTCAATAGGTGTTAAGTCCTTCTCCAGTCATTCATTCATTCATGACATCCTTTCAGTGTCATTCATTAATTCAACAAAGAGTTAGTGAGTGCTTAGTATGTACCAGATCTAGGACTGAGTGCTGGGAAACAGTAACAAATAAAAAAGACAAGGTGTCCATTCCTGTGACACTTAACCACCTGGCAGGAGAGGCTGCATGGCCAGAGGCATGAGCTCTGGGCTGGGCATCAGGAGGCCTGGGCTCTGGTCTCCTGCAGTCACGAATTTGCATTGTTTTTCTGAGAATATCACTTGCCTAGTCTGAGGCTCCCCTTGTTGCTCCTGCACGTCTGGGATCCAACCCTGCTTACCACTGCCTGTCATTCTGCTCAGGGGTCCATTCTGCTAATTCCCTACACTCTGAGCTCATTCCCACCCTAGGGTCTTCGCAAATGCCTCCTCCACCTTCCACCTGGCTGGCTTCTGCTTATCCTTTGGGCCGCCCTGTAAGTGCCACCTCTTCCAGGAATCCTTCTCTGACGTCCTCTGTAGGATCATCCCTTTGTTCTGGGTCACAGTCCTCTTTTGCTCCACGGAGCACCTACTACACCTTTTAAGTGTCCACTTGCTGCTTGGTTACCTTGTGTTTTTCCCTCTAGTTTGAGACCAAGTTTCCCATTTTGTTCCCATTGCCATGCCCAGTGGTTGGCTCATAGTTACACACATGGGCAAGAGTGAATGAATAAATGGCCAATTTTGCTGGACTTTCTCAGAATCAGTAATCAAGACCTTCTCACTGGGATACCAGGAGACCTGGATTCTTATTCTGACTCAAACACTCAGCAGGTGTGACTCTGGGAAATCTCTTCACCTCTCTGATCTTCAGTGTCTTCCTCTGTAAAATGGTGGTAATCAGTGTATCCACCAGAGTGTTGTCTTGAGGACAAAATGAGATTAAAAAATGACTGAACTTGGCTGGGCGCGGTGGCTCATGCCTGTAATCCCAGCACTTTGAGAGGCCGAGGCAGGCGGATCACCTGAAGTCAGGAGTTCGAGATCAGCCTGGCCAACACGGTGAAACCCCGTCTTTTCTAAAAATACAAAAATTAGCCGGGTGTGGTGGCAGGTGCCTGTAATCCCAGCTGCTTGGGAGGTGGAGGCAGGAGAATCTCCTGAACCTGGGAGCTGGAGGTTGCAGTGAGCCGAGATTACACCATTGCACTCCAGCCTGGGTGACAGAGGGGGACTCCGTCTCAAAAAACAAACAGACAAACAAACAAACAAAAAACAACAAAAAAAAACTGAATTCAAAGTCCAATGCTTGGAGCTTCTCAGTGTTAGGCTGTTTAATATTATTTTTATTATTATTAGTGTTTCCAAATAGCAGAATATGCTGCCTTGGGTGGGTAAGGGCAGAAATGGAAAGGGGCAGGTGTGGCAGGAGGGCTTCACCTAACTAGCTGGGGTGAGAGATGAGACCAGGCCTTCAAGTGCAGTCTGGTCCTGCCTATCAGAGGCTGGTCCCGGGCTATAAAGAAGGAATCAGCCCCATGGAGTTCTGATTTAATTAGCTTGGTGATATTGCCCTATCGATCACTCATTTCAAGTCTGCCAACCAGGGGAAGTGTGGTTTGCCCATCACCCTCTCACTTACAGAAGCCGACATCGACTTGTTTATTCAAGCCCAGCTGGGGAGCCCTTCAGAGCCCCTCCCTCCCCCAGCACATATTTGAGTTTGGATAAATCTCTCTCTTCTGCAGACTGCTCAGCCAGCCCTTCTTCCTGCTTCCTGGGCTTCTAAGGCCCTCTCCCCATCTCTTCTTTTCCAATTGAATTAGCTTTAATATTTTTTTGATGGAAAGAGTATTTGCTTTATCTCTGCTGCTAAATGTCCTAATTGTTTCCTTCATCTTGGGTAATACCTCGTTAATTTCGCGGCTGCCTGCCTGCCTCTTCCAGAACAGCCATAGCCTTCAGGGTTTCTTTTTTCCTTTTCTTTTTTTTTCTTTTTTCTTTCTTTCTTTCTTTCTTTTTTTTTTCCTGCAGCTGATGATGCTGAGTTGGAGGGGATCCAGTCACATTGGGGCTCTCTTGGGTTCTTCTCTCTCTCACCCTCCCTGGTTATCTGTCTCTCCCCTTCTCCTCTGCCTTTCTCTCTGCCTCTTTCCCTTCTTCCTCCTTTCACCTCCCTTCTCGCAGCTTCTCCTCCTTTCCTGGAAAGATAATTCAGACTTTCAGACTAGCTTCGACATGAGAACCTGGTAGGAAAAGAGATGATTCCATGAGAACCCAGAGAGCCCAGCTGGGATCTAGGTGCACTCTAACTGTCCCCACCATGGCCTGCCTGTCCTGCTTTATTTCCTCCACTGGAACCATTAATTTAGGGTTTTCCTCAAATACGTGACACTGAATGTAAACTCCAGGCACCTGTGGTCATGGGAGGGGAAGAGAAGGGCCTCTGATCAAATACACCGAGGAATGCTGTGCAATGTAGGGAGCTCATGAACAATCAAACTTACTGGGTAATTAAAGGCCCTGAGAAGGCCCGCAGTAATGAAACCTATTGAATCTTGTTTCATCCAAAGATTTCTGAACTTAATCACTTTTTTAAGTGTGGCATGGAACTTACTTGGGAAGTATCAGCTTCATCTAACAATGTTCCTTCCCTACTCTTCCTTCTTTGCCAATGAAAAGTTTATGTTTTAAGAAAAGACACTTTTCAGATGCCCCAGTTCCTCAAGGAAGAACTAATGACCTCTCCTGTGTACCCAGAAGAGATGAGTTTGAGACTCTGTTGGAGAATTGGCATGGACATCTTTTCCTCAGAGCTTGTCTGTGGCTCTGCATTCCTTAAAGGCAGGTGCTACGGGGGAGAAGATGGCCTGGCAGTCAGATACAAGTTCAAATCCCAGATCCACCACTTGGTGGCTGAGCTTCCCTGGCCTGTCACTAAAATTCTCTGTGACTTAGTTTGCTTGCCTGTCAAATAGGATAATCACACCCATATCCCCAGAGTCTGGGAGAGTTTATTGAGATAACACAAATGAAATGTGGGGCTCCTGGGAGGAGCTCGGTGCATTCTGGTGTGTGTGTTTGTTTACTGAAATAAATTTTATGTAATATAAAATTAACCATTTACAGTCTGCAATGCAGTAGCATTTAGTGCCTTCACAATGGTGGCAACCATCATCTCTATCCAGTTCTGACTTTTTCATCAACCCTAAAGGAAATCCCGGCAGTATGAGTCACCACGTCTCTCCCCCAGCGCCTGGCAACCACCAAGCTGCTTTCTGTCTCTGTAGATTTGCCCATTCCGAATATTTTATATCAATGGAATTGTACAATATACAGTCTTTTGTGTCTGGCTTCTTAGCATAATGTTTTCTAAGGCTCATCAATGTTGTAGCGTGTATCAGAACTTTATTCCTTTATGTGTTTCAATAATATTCCATTGTATGGATATGGCACATTTTATTTATCCATTCATCACTCAGTACATTCTCCAGTGGAATTATCCAAGGCACTCACTTCTCTCCTTTGGCTAAAGGGTGAAGCTTTACTCAAATCCACTTGTAGAAACCACACTAGAGTTAGGGTTTAAAAATTAACACCAGATAGTGGGGTGTGGTTTGTGGAACTCTGGACTGGAAGTCAGGAGACCGGGACTTTGTTTCTGAGTTTGCTGTGTGACTTTGAGAATCTCCTTTCCCCTCTGTGGGCCTCAGTCTTCCCACCTGTAAAATGGAACTGGGTCAAGATGATTTTCTGATTACTTTCTGCTCCAACATCCCATGATTTTAGTTGTCTCTTGAGTTTCCAACAGGGTGCAAATACCTGGAGAGAAACTCTTATTAGGGATATCAGAAGGCTGTTTTGTCATATTCCTGATTCACATATCAGGCCTAGGGGTGACATAGGCAAAGGGGAGTCAGTGTTTCCATTTGTAAAATCAGGAGGGAAGTGTGGACCCAGGCTTCAGCTTTACGCATCTGTGAATTACACACTCACTGCAATGGAGCTGGCATTTCTGCAGCTCCTCCTGATCAGTGTGCTGGTGGGACTGTGATTACTCAAACTTGGTTTTAAAACATCAACATCCATGCATAGGACCCTCTGCCAACAGCCTGGTCACCTGCACTCCAGGTAAAGGTTCTATTGAATTCCAATGTGGTATCTGCAAGCGCTCAGTATCTGGATTTTCTCATTGGTAGCTCCTCATTGAGACATATTTTGACAAATTAAGGATGTCTGTGTTTATTTCTGTTAAAATGGTGCCCTGTTTGCTATTGGTGAGCAGGATCTAATTAGAAATTAATGAACATGCTAGCATGGCAGCCCCACCACTGTCAGCAGTGATTTTAAGAGCTACATGGTCAATAGCAGTGGAGGGAAGAGCTTGGCGTTCTGGGGAATCCACTGCACTTGCTCTCTGAGTTCAGCGATCAGGCCTAGGGGAGGGAGACTCCTACAGCTGGGTCTTAGAGGAAGGGTCTACTGGCCAGAAGTCATCTGTGGGCAAACAGGTCACCATGAGGAAATCACACATCTCCTGGGTGCTCTGAGTCTAATAGCAATGGCACTGGGCAAATTACAAAAGGTAGCGTCAGCTTACAGGGCAGACTCCATGAGGGCAAGATCCGCATTGTATTGTTTATTTTGTTTATGTTATCTATCCAGCACTAGCACAGGGCTTCACCCACGGTGGGTGCTTAATGAATATTTGTAACTTGCCCTAAAGCCATGATGCTGGCATGTAGCAATTGTGGGATTTGAATTTAGGCAACCTTAGACTAGAAGATATGTGCTTCCTTCCTGACACAATCTTTCTTGTTCTGCACATACCACATGGTGCTGTCATTGTCAGGCCATTTGTCCATCTCCTTTCCTGGGCCATGAATTGTTTAAGTGAAGGAGGAGTGTTTTTTTTCACCTTCATATTTCTGATCCCTAGCACAGGGTCAGACCTACAGTAGGTGTTCAATAAACGCTTGTCACATTGAGTTGGATGAGATCTCAGTGAGCCACAGGAAATTTTTCTGCAGCAGAACAGACTAGAGTTTTAGACTGAGACCTGGTACTCTTGCATATCCCAGCACCCAGCCCTGAGCCTGATATGTATCAGAGCTTAATATTTGGGGTTAAACTGAAATGTATGTATCCCACCCCATTCAGCCCCAAAAGAATGGCCACTTTGCATTCAAGCGCAGTGTTGTCATTCAAGTTACGTTTCCTGAGGGCCAGTTATAATTAGGACATGTTCCCGTCATCTGCATTTTTAAAATAAGTGAATGGAAACTCCCAGGGGGTGACTTAGATTGGGTTCCCAGGAAACAGATTCTGAGATGGAAATTTGTATGTGGAATGTTTATTGGGGAGTGCGCTTGGGAGATGTACCTGGAAAAAGGGAGGCAAGGAAGGAAAGAAGGAAGAAGAGAGAGGGAGGGAGGGAGGGAGAGAAAGGAGGAGGAAGGGAAGAAGGGAAGGATTGGGCAGAGGGTTGATCCACCATGCAGTTGCTACTGAGATCTTAGTGGATCATACAGAGAGCTCTGGAGTGGGAATAGAACTTCAGAGTCATCTCAAGTTGAGAGATGAGAGCTGAGTCCTTGTGTATCCATCTTAGTCCCTGGGAAGAGATATGACCTTGGGTGGTGCAATTCCTCACCACCAAGGGCATCACAGTGAGGGATGCAGCTATAAGCCATCAGGAGCCAAAATTCTCAGCAGCTGAGGATAGCAGGGTGTGTGTGCCAGCCCTGAAGAGGGTATCTCTATAGGTGGATTGCTATAGTAACTAGAGGGATAGTGGGTCCCTGTGTCCCTCACCTTCTAAGTGACAGACCCGAGAGTTAACCCTGGTTTCTGAAACCTGGGTATTTGTTTACTACATCAATGGACTCACCCTACAGTAACGATACAAGGCACACCTGCCCCTATTATACAAAAGATCACAAACCACTGATTTGGGAGATTGGAGGAGAAGATAATGGCTGGTAGGTATCTGGTCTGGGCAATGACCATTGTCAACTAAAGGACAAAGGCAAGACAATGCTGAACTGTGATCAGAACAAGTGGGAGGATTGCCATTTCATAGGCATGACTAGAACTCAAACTTCCAAGACTCTTATCACAGTGCTTGCTCTACTGTGTCACACCTTATGGAAAGGGGAGGACAACTAATAATTATTTTAAATCCACCATGTGCCAGGCTCCTTGTGATAAGGGCTGCCTTCTTCTCCTTCTTTGCTTGCTCCTCCTCCTCCTCTCTCTCCTCCTCTTTCTCTTTTTTCTTTTCTTTTCACCCTCATCCATCTTCTCTGGTATTCCTTTTCTCATTGAATCCTCACAACAACCCTGGGAGACAGCACTAATGTATGCCCAGTTTACAGATGGGGACACTAAAGACTCTGAGAATTAAAATGGCATGCCCCAGGTCACAGCGGTGGTAAGCAGAGAATAAGGAAGACAGAAAGACCTCAAAGCAACCTTCCCTACCCATGAGTTCAACATTAAGAGTTTGGTTTTGGAATTTTAAGTTAAAGTGCCTGTAGATTTTCAGACATGTTACAATTCATCCCTGGGGGAGGTCATACAGATCCCACAACCACAAAGTGGCTTTCTGTGGATATAGTCATTGTTCCTCAGACCCAGTTCCAACCAGTGATGATCAAGCGCTCATCAGGGGAGTGGCAGCTAGTGGGATAGTCCAACGGATGCTCACATTGGGCCGGTAGAGCATCATTAGAGATGCTCTGCAGCTTGACCCACCTGTCTTTGTGACGAAGACTTGCTTTATTTTGTTTATCTCCCTTCCCTGACATGCAAAATATTCCCAGATTAAATTGCAGAGGAAACACACAGCTTCATGGCATCCTTATCTAGGGAAACTCTGGGTTTCTGACAGCCATTTACCTAGTGGGGTGCCAGTGACATTAGGAAGGATGGAGTCGGCGGGGGCAATGGAATATCTCCAATCACATGAGGCGTGAGGTCTACCTGAAGGGGTGGCTGAGAAAACCTCTTATAAGAACTCTCTTCCCTTCTCTTTGCCCTTGCGATTCCCAATGATACTGAAGGTTTCTGCAAAACATTCTACTTGAAATGTACCAAAAACAAGAGGGTTGGAGAGAGGTGCAGTCTCATGTTGGGATGTCAGATGCATCATGTAGTAGGGGTTCAATAATTATTTGTTAAATAAATGAATAAACCAGGTACCAGGGACGATCTAGACACATGCATACATTAGTTATTTTTTTCAAAGCACTCTTTGGGGATAGGTATTATCCTCATTTCTGAGAGGAGGAAGGCAGGGATGTAGCAGCAGAGGCTGTAATAGATGCTGCCAGGGATCTGCCCCTCCCCCTTTGACACTCTTGTTGACACAAACACCTTTGACTCTCAGCGTGGGAGCTTTCTACTGGCCACAGGGCCATGCTTAGCCCCTTCATGAAACATGTCAGAAGTGCTTGAGAGTTAATGGCCTTGGGGCAGTTCTCAATCACAGATGGGAGTTGGTGTACTAATATCCCAGTCTCCCAGGCAGGAAAACTGAACCACATGCTCTATGCTGTCTCCCAGAGTCCTCCAGTGGGATTGAGCTACAGTTGCCCACTGTGGTTATTTGCTTGGTCATCTACTCTGCATTGACTTTCTTCCCTTCCCTGTCTCACTTCCCTACTCATATATCTGTGTTTCTTGGGATCATCACTCATGTCAACTACTACAACTAGAATCCTTCTCTCCAAGTGCACTTCTAGTGGAAGCCGAACCACAAGAGGGACTCAGAGAGGTAGAGAAGTGCTCCTGTGTCCACAGCAGGTGGGAAGCTGAACGAAGATTTGAACTTGTGCCTTGCACCAATGCCTGCCCTCTGTCTAGTATTGCTTCTTCACCCAAGTACTCATTTTAATCTCCATGAAACCATTTAGAAAACAATAGCCATCATGTATCAAGTGCTCAGGGTATATCAGATACAGAACTGAGCACTGTACATACTTTACCTCAAGGTTTGTCCAACTTGGTCATGAGCACAATACCTTCAGTCCCAATGTGCTCACCTACCACCTGTTCGTATGACCTTTTTAATAAAATTCTCCAAATAAATCCAGTTACTTTTTAAATAAACAAAATAACTTTTCATGGGAATATTAGTTTTCCTCCGTGAATAGCAAAGTGAAATCACTTTCTGTAAGTACAAGCTAATTTGTAAACTAAAGACTTAAATTAAGTATAAAATGTTTAATTGTCTTCCTATTTAAAATTTATTGTATATCTTTGGCAGTTTATGGCTCACACTTTGGTCAACTCTGTACCATATCTATGAGGTAGGCACCTTTATCTTTCCCGTTTTTTGAAGAAAGAAAACTGAGGCTCTGAAGGTGAATTGACCCATCTGGAAAAAATGGCACAGCAGGGAATTGAGCCTAGCTTCAGTCAATAGAAAGCTCTTAGCCACTGAACCCATAGAATCAAGGAGACAATGAACTTCCCATGAGTTGAGTAGCGTCTGCATTACAGTATCATGTTGAAAACAGCAACATTTCTTCCATTTCTCTTTTTTTCCTCATTAAAAAGGCAACGATGCTTGTTTTTATGGGAATTGAAAAAGAACATATCAATGGAAGCGATAAGACTTAATGCTTAAGCCCCCCTTCTTTGGCCGTTTCTGTGTCAATGTCTTTGATCTTTGAAAGCCATCCCTGAGGGAACATTATTCTTGACCTTCTCATTACCACATTCAACATGGTGATCCTGGCATACAGCAGCACTGAGCTTGTTTACATAACCATACTCAGAATTTCCCATGAGCACTTTGGAAGGTTCCCCACCATTGCCTCATGTTCCCTTCCCACCAGGTCTTCCCTCCTCTTCTTGAGAACTACTACAACTAGAATCCTTCTCTCCAAGTGCACTTGGAGAGTGCCCAATGGCCCCCTTATGCTTTAATATGCTGTTGCAGAAAGGCAGAGAGTAGGAGAAGCCCAGCAACTATCTGTATGGATGGGTCACTTTTAACTCTGACACTGGACACGTGCAGAAGTTCTCAGAATTTATTAGGTTAAACCAGCATTTCTTAAAATGAGACTCCTGGGTAAACTTGAGATGCTTTCAGGAGATACCGTAGTGAAAAACTATTTTTATTATAATGTTAAGATATCATTTGTTCTGTCTCTCATTTTCCTATGAGTACACAACAGAGTTTTCCAACAAATGCTATTATTTGCTATGTGCCAATTACTTTCTAGAGGCTATGTGACATGGAATGATGTCATCGCTTCGACAATTAATGGAAGATGGGCTTGTATATCTTGTATATTTTCATGTTTTAAATATTTCTTAATTTTAATTTCGAATATGGTAAATATCTAGAGCTATACCCCACTTACACAAATGCTTTGAGGAGTGCTTAACAATTCTTAAGAGGATAAGAGGGTCCTGAGACCAGAAAGTTAAACCGTATGAAGTTGATGATATTTGACAACGTTTAACCTATAAAGATGGCAGCTTCATGTCAGCCTGATATTTACACAAGGTTGTTAAAAAACCCACACATGCCTTTTCCTTGGCTTGAGCAGTCTCTCTTCCCCTCCTAAGTAAGCTCCTTCTTGTGTTTCAGAGTTCATCACAACTTTCGCCTCCTCCAGGAAGTGGTCTCTGAGCCCTCTGGCCATGTGCCTCTCCTTCGATGCACTCATTGTGGTTGAAAGTTTACATTTGTCTATCTGGTACTTTCACTAATGATGTCTGACTCCCACCCACACTACGAGCTTCCTGTGTACCAGGACCATAAGTGATTTTGTTCATCAGTGGACCCTCAAACCCACAGAGCAAGTATTAACAGAGGGCATTGTTTGTTAATCCATCCATCCACCCATCCATTCATCCATCCATCAGTCCATCTGTCCGTCTATCCACTAATCTATCCATCCATCCATCCATCCATCTATCCCCTAATCTATCTATCCATTCATCCATCTGTCCATCCATCCATCCATCCATCCCTCCATCCACCCATCCTTCTATCCCCTAATCTATCTATCCATTCATCCATCTATCCATCCATCCATCCATCCATCCATCCATTTGTCCATCTATCCATTAATCCATCTATCCATCCATCCATCCACCCATCCATTCATCTATCCATTCAGTCATCTAACATTTATTAACATAAGCTGAGTGCCCAGCTCTGGACTTGGCAGTTTACTTAACTTCCTATTTAATCTTGAGAGATATCAAAGAGAAATTACTCTGGACATTTGGTGAAAACAGCAAGATACATTTTATTCAAGCTACTGCAATAGAGGAGAGTGACTTAAGCATATAACTGAGCTCAACTCTGAATCTAGTAAGGGCATCTGGGGATTTATAGCCAATGGGCAGGATGAGAGAATAAGTGGATGGAAAATGACAAAGAGGAACTTGATTAGACATAAGAGTGGGGAGATTCTTGTTAAACTTGCTTAGCAGGATTTTTTTTTTGCTAAACCTGAGTTTTACAGGCCAAGGATGGCAGGTCAAGGAAAAGGCCTAGTTGGGAAGAGGTCTTGGAAGAGACTGACTAATGTTTGGTAAAGGTGGGAGTCCTTGTCAGGGGGAGGTTCAGTTTTCTAGATAAATAAACTGAGGCTCAGAGATGATCTCAGGCTGAAAAGTGGTAGAGCATGTTCAAACTAGATCTGAAAGATCTAGTTTTGTACTCTTTCCACAGTCCTTAGTGCCCCTCTGCAGAGGGAAGGAATCCTAGAAGACTTCTGAGAAGTGGTGACTTTTCAGCTAGACACTAACTCACAAAGTATGATACAGTGTCTTCATTGGGCCCTCTTCTCAGCCTTACTGTCATCTATGTACTCCATCAGTATTCTTTAGGTAGGACGCTAGAAGCTGAGGTTACAGAGAAATATTAGACAAATAGGAGCAAAGAAATGAATAAACAAGTAAACACAACTGTAACTGTGAGATACCACAGTGTGGTATGAAAAAGGAAGGATGATAATAGGTTGCTATGAGAAAAGGAAAAAAAAAACTAGGTTGGGAGGGAACATCTATTTTAGAAATTCTCAAGTAAGTGATTTCTCTATCAGAGCCTCTTGGGAAAAGTCCTGCTTTGGGGAAAATTTTTAAGAGAGGATTGAAGGCACAATTTCTTTATCAAAAATGAGCTGTCACATTCTCTGATTAGATATTGGTGCATCTCTTTTGGCTGTAGCGTTGACAATAATCACTACCAAATGCTATTACTTCTATGTGCTAAGAACCTGAATGTATTTATTCCTTGAATCCTGACAGTCACCCTATAAGGCAGGTACAACTATTGGCTCCACTGTACAGATGCAGAAACTGAGACTCAGAGCTGCATTGAAGCCCAGATCTGAGGCCAGAATCCATGCTCTTTTCCACTACATTATCTATGGAGGTCCAAGGGCTTCCTTCTTTCCCAGCTGGAGGAGGTAGTTAGTGACGGCCCCAGAGGATGCACATTTGTGTGTGTGTGTGTTGGGGTTGGGGAGGGAGTCATGGCAGCTGATCACCAGACTTTAAACACTCATGATCCTTAGGAAAGGGAAGCTGAGTTGCATGGTGGTCACAATCAGACACATTTGAGTCAGCAGACATGGGTATTCTCCCTCCTCTGCCTGTCCTAGCTATGTGACCATGATGACTTCTTCACCTGGCACCTCAGTTTCCTTCTGTGTTAAATGGGATTAATACTTCTTCATGAAAGTTAAATGAAGCAGCACAAGCCCAGGATCAAGGATGCACCCCATTCTTTCTCTCCCTTCCTTCTTCCCCCACAGCTCCGCAGTAAGGTTATTGGGGCACTTCTAATTTGTGTTTCTTAAGTGTGGGATATTTGGCTCCAAAGCCAAAGCCGGGTTCACCAGCTTCCAATTTGGCCTCTTCCTTACCCCTAAGAGGGGCTGTTTGACTACAGGCCAATGCTTTGTTAATAAGAATGCAGTGTGCCTGTCACCTTTAAAGCACTACACATTCTGAAAAGTTCCTCCAAGTCTGGGAGCCATTAATCATCCTCTGTAATTAAATAACACAGCAACCTGTAATTAGGGCATTGATTTGTTGGTTTAATTGTGTACTCTTGGGCTCCCCTCTAGCCTGTGAGCTCCATGAGGGCAAGAATTACATCCATTTTTTATTCACAGCTGGGTCCCTAGTGCCTTCCCCAGTGCCTGGTACTCAGAAGGCTCTCAATAAATGTTGGTTGAATAAAGAAGTGGGTGGATATAGGGGCTCATGGTTCAGTGTCTCCCAGGCATTATACTAAGTTCAAGAGAGGGGTTGGCAGTTAGCAAGGAAAGTCAGTCATAATAATGATTCTTTGTATTTGGGCTGTGCTTCATAGTTTAGATAACACTCAATACCAATGTGTGCTGATGATGAAAATGATGATGGTGATGGAGATAATGGTGATGTTTGATGATGGCGATGGTGATGATAAGGATGGTAATGATGGCAATGGTATTGGTGATAATAGCAATGATGACAATAATAGTAGTGATGGTGATAATGATGGTGATGATGATGGTGGTGATAATGGTGATGATAATAGTTAGGATGATAATGGTTAGAATAATGATGATGATGATAGTGTTGATAATAATGGTGATGACAATGAAGGTGCTGATGGCAATGGTGATGATGGTGATGATGACAATAATGGTGATAATGGTGATGATGGTAATGATGATGATGATGACATCATGATGATAGTGATGATGATGATGATGGTGGCGATGATGATGGCTGATGATGACAATGGTGATGATGATAATGATGATACCATTTCTTGAATTTTGTTATGTACCAGGTATTTTATATGCATCATCATCACATAATTATCACAATAACTCTATGTTTATTATTTCCATTTCAGTTACAAAGAAACAAGACTCAAAGTGTTTGCTCAAAGCAATCCAGCAGATAAGGGGCAGAGTTGAGACACAAACTCACACCTGTCTAACTTTGCTCTCAACCATGAAACTCTAATGCCTTTCTTTGACCATGATCTCAATTAATCCTGTCAAGCATATAATAAGACAGTCACCACTGTCACATTTTTGCAGATGAGGAAGAACTTCAGAGAGAGAAGAGACCTGGCTAAGGTCACACAGATCAAGAGGGCCAGGGTGATGACTAGAATCCTATTTTTCTGATTTCCAACGTGGAGCTTTTTTTACTACAGGACAAAACGCAGGAGATTTGGGGGATCTGAAAACAGAAGATAACACAGAGGCAAGATACTTGGAACCTAATTCTGGCATTGCCTCTTACTAGCCATATGAACTTGGGCATATCATTGAAACTCAATTTTCTCATCCATAAAATAGCCATTTTAAGAGGATTTTACTGAGATCATAGGTATGGGAATAACTTCTAAGACAAAGAGCTCTATGCTTTCAATATTGTCAATTCCAATGCCTTGATAAGTCAACATATCCATGCCTTTGACAGTCCAGTGACATTTTTGAGTAGTCAGTTTCTCTGCTAAAATTAGTCACCTCTAAAATCCTTCTGGCTCTGACATTCTATGGCACCCAAGTAGTAACATAAAATGCTTTATTCAAAAAATGGAAAAGAGACATGATGTCCAAATGCCAGACTTCAATGTTGGTAATATTGATAAGAAAAGGCCCATTACTCACTATGTTCTAGTCACCTGGCTCATCTTCCCATCCAGAAAACATTTCATTTTCAGTCTCATCACAAGGCCTTTGCTCTGGGTGTTTTCTTGCCTGGAACAAGCTCCCCATTCGATTCAGTAGGATGTCAGCTCAGACATCGTCTCCACAGAGAAGCCTTCTTACCCACCGCTATCTAAAGAAGTGCTACCCACTCCATCCCCCATCACCACTCTTTCCCAACCCGTTGTTCTGTTGTTTTTTCAGCATTCACCAAACCAGCTGGAATTACCTAGTCAGTATATTCTATTCTCTTCTCTGTCTCCAGCATGAAAACATGTGTCTCACAAAAGTGGGACTGGTATCCCCAATGCCTGAATAAGTGACCAGCAAAAAAATAAGCATTTAATAAATATTAGTGTAATAAAGTACTGAATAAATGAATTTTATCCCATGTTACTTGGGCATGCCTGTGTTGTGGGTAGATTCTGACTCCCTCAATCTCAGGAGATGCCACATCCCATTTCCAGTCCCCTGAGTCATCGAGTGTCATGCCTGATAAATAGCCATCATTGTGGGAAGGCACCAGATCTTATTTCTCAGCTGGAGCTGACACCAGTACCTCCTGCCAAATGTGGGCGAGGTAAGCTGAGTCCACAACCGGAAGGGCCAGGAGGAGATGGGCACTCCAGTCCATGCTGTTTCAAAAAAAAAGTCCAGTTTTCTTGTTTCTATCCACTTGTGAAATCTGCTGTCACCCTTTTGTAAGGATGTCTGAGAAAGTGCAAAACCAGATTTCCTGGATCCAGGGATGCAATAGTTTGTGCAATTATAACCCAACACATCACAGAAGTCAGATTGGCGCTCGCTGCTTGCATAATTCATCACTCATTTTCTTGTCATGGCTTAAGACCTTTCATATCTGGTAGACAAAAAAAATTAAGTTTACATTGCTCAATTAAAAATTCAGAAGTTTAAGGGCAGGAAAAAAGGAGAATGTGAGTTGTATCATCGTTAAATAGACAGATAGAAATAAAGCACTGGAAGAGGAAACGTGGAAAAGGGGGCAAGGAAGAGACAATGGAAAAACGTGAACCTTGTTGGTAACTTGTCATTCTCAGATTAAGAATGTCAGTGGAGACTTCATTAATTCCTTCTTCCTAATGGTCAAAATTCAGGGACTGTGGCAGGATGGGAAGTGAGAAGCTTTGGGAGGAGGGTTTTCTAATCCTCCCTCCCTCTCTCTCTCCTTCCCTCCTTCCCTTTGTCTCTCTTCTTTCTCCCTCTCTTCATTCCTCTTTTCCAAAATTTTATTTAAGCCCCTATTCTTTACCAGCCATACTGAAAAGCCCTAAGGATATAAAGTGAATGAATCAGAATCTTTTATTGACGAGGGACCTGCAGGTTGTTTGGAGAAAACACAATTCTAGCCCAGAGTGATTAGTGATGATATAGGGGAAGCAGACAGGTTGTGGGAGCCCAAAAGGGATGGCTGATCCAGCCAGGGAATGGCCAGGGAAGCTTCTAAGAGAAAGCAATGCTTGAATGGTTCCTCTTTTTTTTTAGACAGAGTCTTGCTCTGTTGCCCAGGCTGGAGTGCAGTGGCGCCATCTCGGCTCACTGCAAGCTCCGCCTCCTGGGTTCACGCCATTCTCCTGCCTCAGCCTCCCAAGTAGCTGGGACTACAGGCGCCGCCACCACGCCTGGATAATTTTTTTGTATTTTTAGTAGAGACGGGGTTTCACTGTGTTAGCCAGGATGGTCTCGATCTCCTGACCTCATGATCTGCCCCCCTTGGCCTCCCAAAGTGCTGGGATTACAGGCGTGAGCCACTGCTTCTAGCCCTTGATTTGGTCCTTAAAGAAGGCATGAGTATTAGGTGGGTGATGGATAGGGGATAGGGTGAGGGATGGCATTCTGTGTAGGAGTGAACAACATGTGCAGAGGCCCAAAGGCAGGATAAAATATGGTGTGTTTGTGTGGAGGGTGGAGATTGGGCTGGGTGGAGATGGGGTTAGAGTGAGGCAGCGCTCAGGTCATTAAGAACCTTGTGGGCTAGATTAAGAAGCTTCTACTTAGCTCCCACTAGATCGAAAGGTTCCTTGAAGGCAGGGACTATGTCTTTTCTATTCTTTGGCCAGTGACAACCCATTCCCTGGCATATGATCTGGCACAAAACAGGACTCAACGAGTGTTTGTTGACTGACTTTATTATTTCAGAAGTCATAGGGAGCCATTGAAGAATCTTGAGCACAGGAGCAACATAATCATGTCTGAACCCTTGAAAGATCTGTCTGGATGGACAATGGGTGAAAATGACTTGGAGGAGGAAGAGAGGAGCTGGCCAGGGCCCTAGGCTTGGAGACTGTAGTCAAGACTATTAATGGTCACAACTATTTAATCTCCTCGTCTTCCTTTTGGTGATAGAATCCCCTGAAGCACAGGGCACAGAGCTGCCTAGCTAGAGACTGCATTTCCCAGCCTCCCTTGCAACGAGGTGTGGCCATGTGACTAGGTTCTAGCGAATGAAATGTGACTGGATGTGATAGGTGTGTGTTTAACTTTCACACTTCCTCCTTGAAAGGGAGCTACCTGTCCCATTTCCCTCGTTTTTTCCTGTCTTGGATATAGTCAGAATGATGGGGAATAGTTTCAACCACGGAGATAAGGATCATTCTCTAGGGCAGGGATTGGCAAACTTTGCTTGTGAACCTGTACCTCCTGGCCATTTGTTTCTGTAAATAAAGTTTGATTGAAACACAGCCACATGCATTCATTTACCTATTGTCCATGGCTGCTTTTTGCTACAGAGGCAGAGTTGAATGGTTGTGACAGAAATGTTTATGGCTCTCTAAGTCTAAAATATTGACTATTTGGACCCACTGTGGTGGCTCATGCCTATAATCCCAGCACTTTGGGAGGTTAAGGTGGTGGCTCACTTGACTGTAGGAGTTTGAGACCAACCTGGGCAACATAGCAAAACTTCGTCCATATGAAAAATCAATCAGGCATGGTGGCATACACCTATAGTCCCAGCTACTCAGGAGGCTGAGGTTGGAGGATCACCTGAGCCTGGGAGGTTGAGGCTGCAGTGAGCCGTGATTATGCCACTGCATTCCCGCCTGGGTGACAGAGTGAGACCCTGTCTCAAAAAATAAAATATTGACTATTTGATGCTTTACAGAGAGTTTGTCAATCCTGTTTTAGGGGATGGCAGAGCTACAAGGTGGTAGAAACCTGGGTCCCGGGATGGCTTTGTGGAGCAGAGACACCTACCTACTTTAACAGCCCATTTACATCAAGAGTGATAAATGAGGGAAAATAAATGTAGATGTTCGGTTCTCTGTTGTGGAGGCAGCTCAGTTCTATACTTAAGTATTCATCAAATAGTTATTGAGTCTGTTGAATTGGGGCAGATGGAAGATGGAGTGATCTGAACTAGGGCAGAGTTGATGAGGAGGAGAGAAGTGAGTGGAGTCCAGAGACACTGGGGAACTCAGTGGGCAAATCTGGTGTCTGTCTGGAGGAAGAAGTGATGGAAGAACCAGAAATGACTCCCAGGCTAATGAGGTGACTGCAGGGGACAGGGGAGCAGGTTGGGAAAACTGAACTCAGTTTTGTTTATATGATGGTTGAGGTATCTGTGAGTCCCAATGGGTCTGGGAGGCGGTTGGCTTTCAGGGGAGGATTTGGAGAAGTGACATAGCGTGTATGAATGGGATAGAGCCCACTGCTTGGTAAGGTGATGCTAGCACCAGAGTTTGAGCTAGAAAAGTCTCTAACTATCACTCAGCCATTTCCCCATGGTATCCCTAAAAAGGCTGAGGCTTAGAAATGATAGCAAGCTCTTCCAAAGCCGCACAGAGGGGTGTTGGCAAAGTCCAGGCATCCTGAGTCTGGGTCTCGTACTGACTCGCCTCCTTCACAGACATCCACATGCCAGGTCCGCTGCCAGGCATAGGGTTACAGTGGAAAGCCAAACACACATGGTCACTACCAAGTGAATGATGACACGCCAACTGTAAGAGGCACCCGATTTCAGAGATGTGGAGACTTGCCAGATGTGCATCTTAGGAAAATGAGCTATGGTGATTAAGAGCAGCTACTATTTCCTGAGCATATCTCACCATGGGCTGAGAGAAGTGCTTTTTATGTATAATCATAGTCAGTTCTCACAGCACAAAGGTAGGTGTTACTACTAGCCTCACTTTGAGGATGAGAAAAAGTTAGGTTCAGAGATGCCATCTCTAGTCAAAGGTCACACAGCAAGAAAATTGCCAGAGTTGCTCATTCATGAATTCATACATCCATTCAGTAAATATTTATTGAGAACCTACTAAGTGACAAGTGCCATTCTAGCATCTAGATTTATAGCAAGAAAGAAAATTGATCAAGTTACTGCTCTCCTGGGGTTTGGTTTCTAGTAGTGGGGGGAGGAAAGGTAAATAAATAAATAAGTAAATAAGTAATGTATCAGATAACTTCAAGTTCTGAAAAGAAGAACAACAAACATAAAAGAGGTTGAGAAATAAAGGGGTGGTGCTGTTTCACAGAAGATGGCCACAAAGGACTCCTTAATAAAGTGATTTTGGCTGGGCGCAGTGGCTCAGGCCTGTAATCGCAGTACTTTGGGAGGCCGAGGTGGGCAGATCACTTGAGGTCAGGAATTTGAGACCAGCCTGGCCAGATGGCGAAACCTCATCTCTACTTAAAAAAAAAAAAAAATACACACACAAAAAAATTAGCTGGGCATGGTGGCATATGCCTGTAATCCCAGCTACTTGGGAAGCTGAGGCAGGAGAATCGCTTGAACCCAGGAGGCAGAGGTTGCAGTGAGCTGAGATCATGCCACTGCACTCCAGCCTGGGTAACAGAGCAAGACTCTGTCTCAAAAAAAAAAAAAAAACAATAAACATAAAAAATTAATAAAGTGACTTTGAGCAGAAACCTGGATCAAGTGAGGATGGGGTAAGCCAAGTAGAGATGCTTCAGCAATGGGAACAAGTACAAAGGTCTTGGGGTGGGACTGAAACTCAGGTCTATCTGTGGTTAACACCTTTTCCCCCACTCTGCTGTATTCAATTCAACATGTACTTTACTGAGCATGTGCTATGTGGCAGCCTGAATCAGAGGCTGGATAAGATAATGAATTCTGCCAGACCCAATTCCTGCCCTCAGTGTTTTTCACAAAGTAACAGGGGAGATGCACACATCCAGTGGACATTCTGTGAGGACCCCAGGCAGATACAGAATAGGTGAAATAAAATAGGAATGGGAGCTTGTCTGGACAAGGAAGAACTTGCCCTGGAGTTCGAAGGCAGTTGGATTTTTTTTTAAAGCTCCTCTTAGTAGTATAAATACACCAAACAAGTGCACGGCTTGATACATTTCACAAGATGAATGCCCCCAGCACCCTCATCATGAAACAGAGTATGGCAGGCTCCCCAGAAGTTCCTGAAGACTCCTTCCAGTGACTCCCAGGTAACCCTTAGCCCGACTCCTAGCACCACAGATTATTTTTTCCTGCCTTTTATGTCTGGTTTCTCTTGCTTAAGACTATGTTCGTGAGATCCATCCATGTTGTGTGTAGCTGTACCTCATGCATTCTCATTACTATCCAGCACCCCAGTGTGTGGATACACCATAATTTATTTGCCCATTCTGCTGTTGCTGGAGAATTGAGTTGTTTCCGTTTTTGGCCATGGTGGGTTGTGCTGCTATGACATTCTAGTGCATGTCTTTGGAGGAACATATGTACACATTTCTGTTGGATATGACCTAAGAGTAAGCTTTCTGGGTCATGCGCTGTGCATATGCTGAGCTTCAGTAGACTCTGCCAAGCAATTTTCCAAAATGGTTCTACCAATTAACACTCCCACCAGAAGTGTATGAGCATTTGAGCAGTGTATCCTCAATAACATTTGGTATTTTCTGTCATTTTCATTTTACTTCATTTTTATTCTTTTGGGAGTGAGATGGTATTACATTGTAGTTTTAATTTGCATTGCCTTGATGACTAATGCAGCTGAACATGTTTTCATGGTTACTGGCCGTTTGATAATTTTCTTTTGGTGCAGTACCTGTTCAAGTCTTTTGCCTATTTTTATTCTATTGGGTGCTCTACCATTTTCTTATTGGTTATAGGTGATTATACATTCTGGATACAAGTCCTTGGTTGAAGATCCTATTGCAAATATCTTCTCTGCTCTGTGGGTTTCTCTCTCATTCTCCTAATGAAGACATTTGATGGATAGATATTCTCACTTTTAATATAGTACACTTTATCTCTCTTTTTTCTTACAGCAGAATAGAATTTTCTCAAGGATGTTTAAACGCAGAAAGCAGTCTTTTCCAGTGGAGGGAGGGGTGGGAAGGTGGGAAAGTCAGGGTCTTGGAGGACATAGGTGTGACCTGACCCTCAGAGATGTGTAAAAATCTGGGAGGTGGGGAAGGCTGCAGAAGTTTTGGGGGACCAATCATGGAGGCTTCCTTAAAGCTATGCTGTGAAGTTGGACTTCCTTCCTGAAACCGACAGAGGACTGAAGTTTTGAGCAGGGGTTGGCAAGACCACAGCTGAGGTTAGGAATGTTAATCCCACAGTGAATGCCTGATAGAGTAAAGTGGAGTTGGGGAGGGTCCAGCCTGGAAAGACTTGGGGCAGCCTTATAGAGAGGGCTTGACATTCTTTCTCCCCACAGGAGGATAGCCAGGGGGTGGAGTTGGGGACATATTTATGGATGATGTATCCTTAAGGATAATGTCACAGCCCTCTCTGGCCCTGACTTAGTATAGAGCTGTTTTTCTGCTGTTATGTAGAAGCTCAGAGAATAAGCAGATGCATCAGAGGATCACAGGTCAATCCTTTATCCATCAGCCCTCAGAGCTTTGGAGGAGATGGGGCAAGCTTGCCTGTCTTATGTCTGGGAAGAGTTCTCTGAGGTGGAAGACAGGGTGGAGGCCTGGGAAGAACTGGGGGGCATGGGCAGGAGACCTGGATTATAAGCTTGGTTCTACTTCCGTCCATTGACATATGACCTCGGGGAAGTTTCTTCCCCTCTCTGGGCCTGAGTTCCCTTATCCACAAAAAGGGTTGTAAGACTCACATGAATGCATGGACATGAAATGGTCTGTGACTAACACTTCACAAATGTAATGAATTACTGTGTCTTCCCCTTCCTCTCTCCGCCTCCAACCCAGGAACCTGGGGATCAGAGAACTTTCCATTTATCCTGCTAATGATTATGCCTGCACTGGTCTATCTACAGGGACTGTATTACTAGACCTAACCCAGAATTAAAGGTATTTGTCACCTAGGCTTCCTTGCTTAACTGAGTTACGAGGAGTTCCCACCAATACCAACCTCCTCTGTCTGAAATCTAAGCATCTTACAACCCAGATAGGGACATGGAAATTATGTATTTTCATTTGTAATGTATTCTCAGTTTCTCTAAAAATATTTAAGGTGACTGGCAAGATAATAATAACTATATCCTTAGGTCAGACACTATGCTGGTCATCCTGGTAGGAGACACGCTTGGAGTTGTGCACAGACAGGATGCTACCAGCAGAGGCATGTAGTCGGAATAGAGCAGGAGCTCAGAGAGCCTGTGGTGGGGAGTTGCATGTGTCAACCTGGTGAGGCTATCGCACCCAGTCAACCCCACACTGATCTAGGTGTTGCTCTAAAGGCATTTTGTAGATATGGTTAATATCTACCATCAGTTGACTTTAGATAAGGAGATTATCCTGAATAATCCAGCCCTATTCAATCAGTTAAAAGGCCTGAAGAGTGGAACTGAGGTTTCTCTGAGGAAGAAGAAATTCTGTCTGAAAACTGCAGCATCAGTTCCTCCCTGAGCACTTCCAGCCTGCTCTTCTGTCCTGCAGATTTTGGATTTGTTAGCCCCACAATTCCGTGAGCAGATACCTTAAAATAAGTATCTTACTGTATCTCTCTATCTCTATCTCTCTCTATGTACCTCTATCTCTACCTCTATTTCCTTTTCTATTTCTATCATCTTCATCTCCATCTCTATCTCTATCATCTCCATCTCCAATTCATCTCCATCTCTATCTCCATCTCCATCTCTATCATCTCCATCTCTATCTCTATTATCTATGTCTCCAACTCTGTCATCTCCATCTCCATATCTATCTATATCTTTATCTCTGTTATCTCCATCTTTATCTCCGTCTCCATCTCTGTCTTCATCTCTATCTCTATGTGTGCATCTACATCTCTGTCTACATATCCTATTGGTTCTGTTTCTCTGGAAACGCTCCCTGCCAGGCACAGAGCCCTAAGAAAGTACTTAAAGCCAATGTCGGTGGGAGCAGTGGATGATGAAGACCAGCTCTCTGGCCTTAGCATCTTCTATTTTCTCTCCTTTACTCTGCTCTAGCCTCAAAGACCTTCTTTCTAGTCCTTAAACATGTCAATCACATTCTAGCTGTCAGACCTTGGCACTGACTCTTCCCTCCACTCAGAGAGCTCTTCCCCACAACCTGAGCATCTACTTTATCTAGGTCTCTGTGTAGATGCCACCTTGTAGAGAGGCTTTCCCCGATGTCTCTAATCTAAAATATCTACTGCCATCATCCTCTTTTTACTCAGATATTTTTCTTCCCCGTGGTTGTCACTGTTGGCTATTTCGTATCTTTCTTTTAATTGTCTACTTTGCCCACTGGAATAGGAGCTCCATGAGAGCAGAGACATCACTTATTCTTTCCTATGTCCTAGTCCTTATCACAGTGCCTGGCACAGAGTGGCACTCAATGGGTCCAAAATTGTGGTAGATTTTGAATGCTGGGCTAAGTAACTGTAAGGAGTTGAAACCAGCTTCACCAACTGATCTCCTTCTGACAGCTGTGGACTCCCAGAGGGACGGCATGGAGGGAACTTGCAAAGAGACGCCAGCACGAAACAGCTTGGAGGTACTTGACAATTTTCCCTTATCTCCAATCCACGTTGCCTGGCCAAGTTGTTCATGAAGGAGGCCTTATGATGCATCTCAAAAAAGCAACCCCAGCCTATCAATCACTCAGCAAATTTTGGAAGGAAAAACAGATATCAAAAACGAAAGTGCACAGTGGTAACATATGATATCAGATCCGTCATTCTTTACAGCAACATGGATGATGACGTTTGGGAAACAGCAGTTGTACCCAAAAGATAGACAGGCAGTTTTGACATATCTTGCCAGAGAAGGATCACCCACCTCATCCCGGTATCCCCACCTTCCCAACCCGATCACAAAGAATGACAGAATTACAAACAATCAGGCAGATAGCAGAAGCTGCGGACATTTGGGGGTGGGTAGTAACCACAAGATGAAGTTCCAGGGAACCAGGTATCAGCATATTCTCAGTCTAGGCAAGGGGGTGGCTGCCTACAAGGTGAGATTTGGTAGGCTCTGGGAGGACTCACTTGCCTCCAATAATGCTTTCAGTGGTCTGTCCAGGGTGCTGAATTGGCACCGCTCAGGGTTAATTAGTGTTGGCAAGGAGTCTAACAGGTGATGGTTATCAGCCATTGGCTCCTTTGTGAGAGTGAGTTTATTGTGAGCTAATAAAGCTGGAGTAGGGAGTAGATATCTAGAAATTACAATCATAAGCTTACAAAGGCCAGTTGATAACATAAGCAAGTTATAAGGCAATAGGGAGTGGTGGGGATTGTGGTTAAGTTGAGAGTACAGGCTCCACCTAAAAAGGGAAGCCACCACCCAGTTTCAGCTGTTTGAGGCCAGGTGGAATGTGAGACTGGCGATTTTAATCATAATTTATAGGAGGAGCTATACGCCTCTTTTATGTGAGATCTCTTGGTTTTAAATCCTGGCAACTAATTTTAATGTGTTCTAGGCTAACTCCTTATCTTAAGGCGAGGAGATCCAGGCCCAGAGAGGGGAAGAGACTTGCTCATAGCAGCTCAGAAAGTTGGCTTCAGGGTAGGGACTGGAATCCCATTGACTGACTCCCAGTTTAGTGCTCTTTCCTCTTTACTCCAGCATGCTTTCCTCTTCAACAGGAGAAGTCTTTCCTCTCTGACCCCTAAACTTAGAAAATACGAGTGAAGGGAAGAAACAGAGTTGGGGAGATGTCTGAGCAAACCAATTCTAAATTTTACAAGAGCACAAGATAGCCACAATTATTTCATCACACTCTAGCTCAGCTGAAGCTCCAGGCTGAGAGGTTAGAGGCTGGAGAATGAGGATATTAGGATTGATGGAGCAGTAGGCTTTGCAAAGATATGTGCCCCTCCTGGGCCATCTGCAGAGTTCTGGGACATCCCCTTGGGAGCACCTCTGAGCTCAAAGCCAGATGCTCCCCCTTTTCCTTTTATCCTAACCAGGTTTCACAAGAACAGATCCTATTGATCCCCAGTAGTAGCAGATTCTCTTTGTAGGAGTTCTCTGGGCAAGAAAAATCAGGCAGACCATAGGGAATAATCAGCCAGGAGGTATCTGGTCTAGCCACCTACCCTACCTCAATCCCATCCTCCATCTACTCCGAGGCTTGGGGCCCCTGAGCCCTCATCCCCAAAAGCTGGAGGAATCTTTCTTCCTTGACAATGCTGGGGACAGAGTCTGCATTAGACAAATCAACAAGGCCATCTCAGAAGAGACCAAATAGGAAATAAGAGGCCCCATTGCCTAATGGGACTTATCAATTATGATCTAGGGCCATATTTCTTTGAGGGGTGATTGTTTCACGGAGTCTGACATCTCATATAGCTTTAAATTACTCACAACCGGGATGGCTTACAAGATAGCAGTAAAATCAGGAGAGGATTGGGCAATGTAATTATAGTATGGAAATGATGTTGATCACTCAAGCAGGGAGCAGACCTTGAATAGAAAACCCTGCTCTGTCTCCCCACCCCCTGCCTTCCACAGCTCCCACTGGAGCTTTAGCCACCACATCCAGGAAACCGGGAGGTAACCTCCTTCCTACTTGGAAGCTGGAAGGTGGCCAGGTCCCTATGTAGAGTATAATGAGGTGTGGGGCTGGTGTGGACCAAGGGATCAGGACCAAGGGCAGATCCCATGGGACCCATTATCAGGTTAATGGGAAAATCTGAGTCGGCAGGGCTAACCCATTACGCTAGTTTACGAAGGTAACAATTTCCCAAACGGTTAATATGTGCGAAGAACTATATTAGGATCTGAAATTTTATACATATCCTTCCTTCCTCCCTCCTTCCCTTTCTTCCTTCCTTTCTCCCACCCACCCTTTCTTTCATCCATTCATCTATCCATTATCCATCCACTCTGAAATACTTCATTTCATTTTTAATTCCCCTCCTCCTTCCTTCCTTTATCCCGCCCATCCTTCCTTTCTTTCATCCATTCATCCATTCATGTATCCATCATCCACCCATCTGTTATGAAACTATTAAATCCATCCTTTCTTTCTTCCTCCCTCTCTCCCTTCCTTCCTTCCTTCCTTTTATCTACTCATTTACTGAGTACCACCTCCATGCCAGAAAATATGTAAGGCTTTCAAGGATACAGAGATGGATTATTTCAACTATTCAGTGAGCATATACTATGTGCAAACATTGTGCTAGCATCCAGATAAGGAAAAACTCATTATTCCTATTATTCCTCAAATACTTACGGATAATTGACAAGTTTGTAGGACTACTCACTGCTCATCAAATCAATTTCTTTTTTTTCCTGAGCACACAGTTTAAGCTACATCTCCCAGCCTTCCCTGCAGTGAGGTCTGGCCATGTGACTGAATTCTAACCAAAGAAACTTGAGCAGAAGTGATGTGGGCTAGTCCCTGGCTTAGCCACAAAATCATCCTACTCTTTCTCCAACCTGCCAGCTGGGCTTCAGCACCCAGTGTGACCCTAGAAGGCCACTTGTCGAAACTTGCAGGATCATCAGGAGCCTGGGTTCTTGAATGAACAAGTGGAACAGAGCTTCTCTCTCACTCCTGATCCTCTGCTGCCCTGAACCTGCATTGCATCATCAGGTAAATAAGATAAACCTGTGCTTTTTGGGCTGAAGGGGCATGGGTATTGTCAGTTGCAGTAGTCAGCTACACTCTATACCAGGTGCCGGGAATGTAAACATACATGCAAACCTTTCCTTGGCACCTACTGTGGTCCAGGCAGCATACTGAGTGCCCGGAATGTGGAGCACAGCTCATTCATTCAAACACTTATTGTTCTAGGCTCTGGGGCTATGGAGACAGATAAATAGCAATTAATTGGTCATTTTCACAAACATTCATTAGGTAATTAGTATGTCCTAGTCTTGGAGTTAAACACTGGGGGCACAGAGGACAATTTATTCAATCATGGATTAAGTTTCCTACCACGTGCTGGACACTAGGTTAAGCATTAGGGAATCGAAGATAGACAAGACTCCTGTCCTCAAGGCATTCACCATTTGGTGGAAGAGCCACATCACATCCTGGTGGTGTAAGTACAGAAAGTGTTCAAATAGAACTTTTTATGAGGTTGTGTGGTAACCCAGGAAATGATCTCTACTTGGAGCTGAGAAAGAAGAGGTGGGAGCAGGGAAGATTTCAATAAGTGGTGGTTTTATATCTGGGCAGATAATAGGTGGAAGGGAAATCCAGGCAGAGGACACAGCATGTACTAAGGAGGTGTGTCCTGGGATCAATGAGTTCTGCGTGACCGGAGCTCAGAGACAGGTGGCAAGGACAGAAGCAGGTGAACAGGGTGGCAGCCTGACTCCAGGGCAGATGCTCTTCTCTTTCTCCCTGCAGTGTTTGTGTGATTGGAGCTAGCAGGGGTCAGAGGCTAAGACTGACTCCACCTCTGGCTGAGGTGGGAGTAGACATTCTGTCTTATGCCTCTCCCACTTCCAAGGACGGCGGCTGTTTTGTTTCTCCTTTTTAAACAATACCTTTTACGGGAGCGCGAGCTCTTAATGTTATCCCACTAATATTATCTCCATTTTATGAATGAGCAAACTGATTATCAGAGAGGTAAATTACTCACTCAAATCACACAGCTGTCTGATCCCAGGGTTGGCACTTAAATGTCCAAGTGAGATCACATTCACGATGTGCTCGTGGCCCTTGCAGAGTAAGAAACAAGTTTCCAGCCCCAACAAAGATGCAGAGGCTCTGAAAGTCTCTGGGGGTGATTGACTATATTTGGCAGAGGCCAAGGAGCTTCTCCTCCCAAACACTAAACAGAACTGGCTCCACATGGAGCTGGTGTGTGTGTGTGTGTATGTGCGTGCAGTTAGGGGTATAAGGGTGGGGGAGTCCTAGCTGAGCCAGGACCAGCCCGAGCTATGCCGGGAAGGAATAAATCTCTCTCTGAGCCAACATTAATATAAGCTTGGCAGGTTCTGGGCAGGCCCCCGGTTGATTATGCCAATGGACACTGGGGAGGGGAAGATTAAGCTGCCGGAGGGTGGTGTGAATGCATATCACACAGGGTAATGCCTTGAAAATATATAGCATCTAAGCAGGCAGACAACTGAAGGCAGGGTAAAGGAGGATGGTGGGAGGTGGGGGATGGCATCTGTTTGCAATTATGATGACCAGAACCCACTGAACAAGGCTGAGGAATAAGATACCTAGGGTACCTACTTTAAGTGAGTTGCAGGAGAGCCAATTCTAAATTCATTACATGTTTACTGGGCACCTACTCAGTGCCAGGCACTAGGGGTAAAGGAGTGAATAGCCAGACACAGCCCTGCCCTCATGGAACTCATAGACCTAAGTAAGCCATCATGCCAATTGGATACATGTAACTGCAAAATGTGCATTAAGGAAGAGGGCAGAGAACAGTGAGGGCCTGTAGCAGCTTAGGTGGAGATCAGGGAGGTCTACCTGGAAGAGATGACATTTGAAAGGAGAGCTGGCCGGGTGCGGTGGCTCAGGCCTGTAATCCCAGCATTTTGGGAGGCCAAGGTGGGTGGATCACTTGAGGTCAGGAGTTCAAGACCAGCCTGGCCAACATGGTGAAACCCTGTCTCTACTAAAAATACAAAAAATTAGCTGGGCGTGGTGGCAGGCGCCTGTTAAGCCCAGCTACTTGGGAGACTGAGGCAGAAGAATCGCTTGAACCCAGTAGGCAGAGGTTGCAGTGAGTCGAGATCACACCACTGCACTCCAGCCTGGGCAACAGAATGAGACTCCGTCTAAAAAAAAAAAAAAAAAGCAAGTGTATTGGGGTTAATTGGTTCATTTTATCCCAGCACATCTGTGAGGGAATTTGACAAAGGTCATGAGGCTCAGCCCAGAATTTGAGAGCCATGGACAGCCATGTCCTAGAGAAAGAGCATGATGACCTGCATAGGAGTCTGGCTTGGAGATAGCTAATGGGAAAGATCTGAAAAGGCCAAGGGTCTATGGAGAGCCAGAGACCTCAAGACAGCATAGCAGAGCAGGTCACAGAGTAGGCTTCTTATCCCAGGGCTTTGGAGGCTAAGAAGCTGCCTTGAGCACTCATCAGCTGGAAATTCAAAAAGAAAATAACAAAAACCAAAATAAAATTTAAGATTATTTCCTTTGGAAACATCTTCTCACCTCAAGTTTGGAACGAGTGGTCTAATCTATTTGTCATGTATTAGTATGGTCATATTCAGCCAACATAGTGGTAATTATGGTAATAATGGATACCGGTAACAATAATTCATTCATTTGGTGAACAAATGAGAACTTACTATAGGACCAACACTAAACTAACAACTGGGAATAGATTGGCAGAGACTGGGATGAAGTCTGCTTCCATGGAGCCTGCTGTTTTGTCTAGGGTAATATTAACTACCCTTAGTTGAGAGTCTGCTAGGCACCATCTAAACAAGATGTGCCATGTCCCCATCCCCTTCCTTAACCTCCCAGCCACCCTCTGGAGATGGCACTCACAGCAGACATTGTTGGTCCCTGTTCAAATCCTCTTTGCCTGGTCGGTGCACCCAGCCCTGAGCTACTATGAGTGTTGGTTGCTGACTCCTCTCCCTGCTTCCCAAGATTGGCTCTAGAACTACCTTGCTCAGAAATGCCTGAGAAGTTAGGCACACTCAGGGATTGTCTGTAGTCAGTGACTAATATAGGAGCTCCCCTGTCTTCCTGGAGGGCAATATTTTGGTGTCATTCATGGTCCACAGCTCCCAGGAATCAGGCAGAGGTGAGCACTGAATTGAAACCACTACTTTGCCTGGCTTCTTCCCCTTCTCTGTTCAGTTCCCCTCATCTTTACAAGTTTTTCTCCTGAGAGCTCTCCCAAAAGAAATCTCTTGCATAAGAGTCACCAGAGCCTCAGGGACAGGACTAGGGTGAGGCAGAAGAGGCACTCAGGGCACAAAATGTAAGGAGGCTTCTACTTTCAGGGGTTGGCTTTGCACCTGTATGTGCCGGAGAGTGAGGGTTTCTTTAAATTTTGTACCCTGTGCACCTCACTTGCCATCTAAACAAGATGCGCCATACACACCCTCTTCTCCTGTCCTCACTCTGGCCCCAGTTCCAGACTTAGGTTCTCCTTAGGAAACACAACTCAAGACAGTATCTTCTATTGTACCTAATCCATAGTTGGAGACATGAAATTGGACAGACTCAGAAATTTATCCAGGATCCCACAGCTTGGAAGTGGTGGACCTCAGATAATTTGAAGTCAAATCTGATTGTATTGTCTTCAGGGAAATATGTTTGCTTATATTGGGAGCTGAGACTCAAAGGTGAGTTAAATTGAGAAAAGACATCCCAGATCTTCAAAGAGACCTCCAGTTTTATCTGGTGCAGCCACTGCCTCTAGGCACCTACGACAGTTGCTATGGCCATTTTAAGGATGAGGAAACTGAGAACCAGGTGGTTAAAAGTCAAGACTGAAGCCACACTAAAGGCTTAATTCACCCTTTCAGAGCTACCTGAGTGAGGAGGAACAGAATCAGGACTTGGATGCTCATGTCTCTGGCTTTGACACTTTGAGGTGGTCTTGAAGGTTGAGAGGGATCTGGGGGGGCAGCCGGTGGTGGGTGGTAGAAGTAGACAGTGCTGCCCAAGATGGTTGGCATGATCCAAGAAAGGCAAACCTCTACCATGGATCTGACCTGAGTTTCAGAGGAATGGGGTTGCCCTCCATATCTTTAAGCCTGGGGTGTGTACCACTGTCTGTTGGCATGGGATTTATTCTCTGCCTGTAATCCATGCATGGCCTTGTAACTGCCTCTCTGCTAAGTACTGACACAATCAGGTCTCAAGGAAAAACGGTTTTCCTTTGCTCACCTCATATTTATCTTATTATGATCTGTCCCTGCAAATAGAGCAGCTGATTGTGCTATTATAATGATGGCTTAAGATGTCCCCTCCTTTTCTAGTTCAGTTTCTAAGCGGAATTACCTGTTAAACCTGCCATCTTGGAGTTGCTAAAATGGAAATACAGGAAGAAAGGAATTAACCTGTGGAATGGAGGATCAGTAGGCTGGAGGGGGAACACCTGGGTGTGTGATCTTTGGCCAGTCATGGCTCAGTCTGGACTATAGTTTCTTCCTCTGTAAATTGGTGGGAGGGAGGCTCTGTCCAACCCTATTTTCTCTCTCCATCCTTCTAGATGATCCCACCTCCCCAAACTCTATGGTCTTCTGGATGTGCAAGATATGTGCACTGGTGATGCACGCGAGCCTAGGAGGGGGTAGATTCCAGAATATGAGTTTCTGGGGCCTCGGAAAGGAAACAGCTATTTATCATGCATCATTATACACCCTGCTGTCTGCAGATACTTCAGTGTTACTGCAGGGGATTCTCTGAATTTCTCCGCTTTTGGCTTCCCATTTTCCCCTTCCCCCAGCTCAATCCCCCATTGATCCAGTCCCCTGCACTCTGGAGGCTGTTTCAATGGAAACTTATGATCTAGATCTAAATGACTTTTAAGTCACCATTGCCTGGTTCTGTGCCAAACCCATGCAAAGGAGGAACTGCAAAATTACCTAACTTTTCAGAGTCCTGGTTCCGAATCTCTTACTCCATGCCATTCCTTACTGTGTACTGGACTGTCTTCTGCTTCCCCCAAGTTTCTTGCTCCATCTTTCCTCCCCTTGATGGCTTGATGTTTCCTGCAACATGATTCTGGATAGATTCTCAAGAAAGAGAATGAGCTGCTGTATATGAAGTTCTATGTGTCCCAAATGCTTTCAGCTAGTCCAAAGACCAGGAACCATATCCCTAGGTTTTACCTCTTCCCTGTATCCCTGACATCTATAAAATAAAGGCTTAACTCTTCAGCAATACAACAGCTAGTCTCAATGAGTCCTTCCCCTCTCCATGCCATTGTCCAGGCTGTTCTCCCTAATTCTCTCTAATTAACAGTTAATTAGAGCTTATTTTGTGTTTTTATGACAAGGGGATGCAATAAGCAATCTCGAGAGCTGTGGATTCCAGAAGAGGGAGGGCTGGATAAGATTGTCACTCCCCTCTTGTATTTTGCTATAATCCACATGGAGAATCTAAGGCTTGCTGAGTAATGTTCAGGGAGCTAGTTCTCTTCTCTAAGCCTCTGCATTGCCCATCTGTTCAAATGGGTGGGCTGGGTAGACTCAGAGCCAATGGTTCTCTGAGATGAAGCCTTATGTGCTGTCTGCTGGTCTTTCCTGAGTCTCATGGGGCAGAAGGGTTTTGAGAGCATTCATCAGTTAATGCATCACTTGTTCATTAAAGATTCTTTCTAGACATTCCACTTTTCCAGGCATTCAACCCCCATTCCCAACCGTGCCGACAAATTGCTGCTTGAAGTTCCTGGTCCCAGAGGCCTTCTTAAAATGTTCAGGAATGCAGGCATGGAAGGTAAGGAGGGGAGTGTGGGGGCGTGCTGGCTGGAGGCCAGCAGCCACAGCCGCGGGAGGAAGGGACAGAAGGGTGGGGTGCAGGCACCCCGAGATTGCTCAGACAGCAAGGCGGTCAGTGGCATCCTGACTTTGAAAGCAATCCAAAACAAGGCCTGCGTCTTAGTCTCCAGTGATGTCACAGCTAATCATTAGCCTGGTAATTACATTGAAAGCCTTCTGCGATCTTATCCTCAGCAGGGTCATTAATGCAAGGCAACCACACCAGTAAATGTCTCATTAGTCTTATTTGAGACTTATGTATTTTTCAGGACTACAGAATTTTAATAGTCTGCTTTCCTCTCAGCTCCCCCTCCTGCGACATTAATATCTATTCCTCATGCCAGACTCTTCCAACACAGCCCCCTCCCTGTTTTCCCTGCCTAAATCCCCCAAGAGGAAGGCCCAGCATGGAAGGGAGGCTGGAGTGGGGGTTGGTAGGGGAGAGTCTTTGGCTTCCTCGCTAGCCCCAGCTCTGTTTCTGGCCCCAGTCTTTTTCCTGTAATGACAGCCTTGTCCTGTGTATTCTATGTCTTCCTCAGGAAGCCTCACTCTTTATTTTAACCCTCTTTAAACCGTTTTTTTCCCTTATTATTAAAGAAATGTATGCTCATTACAAAGACAGGAAGAAAAAATTACTGTTAATCTCAGACTTCAGGAAGAATGATTCCCCGACCGTCTCTTGCTCCCCACTCCAGCTGTGCTGGCTTTTCTTCTGTCCCTGGAGTGGGCTGGTCCTCTCCCCTCTCAGAGCCTTTGAACATTGCTGTGCCTTCTGCCCAGAGCACTTTCCTTTCTACTCTGCCCCTAGCTGACTCCTGCTCATTCTTCAGGTTGCAACTCAAACATCACTTCCTCCTAGGAGCCCTTCCTGCCTGCCGTTCTCATTCAAGTTTAGAATTGTGCCTCTGTCATTTGATGCCATAGTCTCTGCCACACATCCCACAGGTCACAATCACCATTAGCCATCTATATGTGACACTGATTGGTTGCAGTCTGCCTCAGTAGGCAGCATACTTCAGGTGGGCAGAGACTACCCCTGTGTGGCTCATCAGCTATAGAGTCCCGTTTGTCACTTTATGGGCAGCAGATACAAGGAAGTACTCAATAAATACTTGTTGAATGAATGGATGAATGGGTGGATGGATTGAAGAGTGAGTGGATGAAGGGCTGCATGAGTAGATGGCTAGACTGACTGATGAATGGATGAATGAATGAATGAATGAATAGATGGATGGATGAATAGATGAGTAGATGGATGGGTGAATAGGTGGTTGGATGGATGAATAAATGGGTGGATGGATGGATAGATAAATGGGTAGTTGGGTGGATAGACCGATGAATGGGTGGATGTTTGGAGGAATGAATGGGTGAGTGGATGAATGGATACATGAGCATATGGGTGAATGGGTGGATGAATGGCTGGCTGGCTGGCTGGATGGATAGCTGGGTGGATGAATGGGTGAGTGGATGGGTGGATGGGTGAATGGTTAGATAAATGAACGAATGGAAGGATAGCTGAACTTATTCTGCATATCCTTCTTCAGTTTTTCCTTGACAGTTTTAGATATCAATAAAATAATACAATGTGTAATTTTGTATCTGACTTTTTCATTCTACGTTTTTCTATGTATTAACAACTATAAGTACTTTTGATGGCTGTGTAGTATTCCATTGGGTGGACACTCCCTAATTCACTCAATCAGTTTCCTACTGGTGTGCATTTGAGAAGATGATATTTCATGAAAGTTAAGGCATTGGGCTCCAGCCCTAAGCACCAGGGTTCAGAAATTGCCATACCAGCATCTCAGCAGCATGACCACGTGATTACAGACAGGCTGTGTAATCTCTCTGTGTCTCAGTTTCCTCATCTGTAAAACAATGGTGATAACTTCTGGAGTTCTTATAATGATGAAATCAATTCAAGTAAAATATGGTGAACAGTTCTCGGTACCTAGTGAACACTAATGACTGTTTTCAGTTGTCACTCATACATGATTCAGTGAGGACTGTCCAGGTGGATGGAGCCTTAACTGTATCTCTGACTGTTCTGTCAGGATAGTCAGAGTGTTGCTAGAATTCTAAACCTTAGAATACTCAGGACAGGAGCCGAAACATCTCCTTTTCCACTAATGGACTCACAATTTAAAGTGACCATTCTGCAAAGCATGTCTGTCAGCAACCTGTACTATCATTTCTCTTTCACATTTCTGGCCTTGTCCTCAGATCTTTCCTCCTAACAGTGTGGCAGGAAGAGCCAGGGCTTTGGAGTAAGGGAGGCCTGGAGAATTTTAGAAAGTAACTTTCAGTTTTTGAGCCTTAGTGTTATCCATAAACAGTAGCAAACATGCCCAGATTGCAGGGGTGCTGAGAGAATCAATGGACAAATATATGTCTGGTGTTTGACCTGTGCCAGTGCTCTGACCTCTTATTCCTCAGTGGTCACCATCCTCAGACATGTGCTGAGTGGCCCCTGTGTACCTGGCCACATGTCAGGGGCTTGCCAGGCTGTATCACAGTAAACAAGCAAAGAAAGGAAGGAAGAAAGGCAGGCAGAGAAATGGGTAGATTTTGATTATGGAAACTCAGAGATGCAAAACAGACCTTTTCCTCCTCTTTGCAAGCTTTGGTTCTGAAACGTTCCAATAACATCACCCTTGCAGTCCTCATTTATTTAGCATCAAGAATTTCATGGTAGGTGAGGATGATTCCATGAGATAACTGTTAATACACAGTGAGTAAGCTATTTTGTTTTCCTTTACTGTAAAAAGGGACAGGCCCCGAAGAACCCGAAAGTCACAGAATCAGAGTGTTATGACTGGAGAGGAGCTTGGAGATCGGGTCTTCTTACTCCTAGAGCTGGACAGACCCTCTGTCCTGAGTCACACTGCCTCTGGTTTCCATCATTGATGCTTACTGAACTCAGAAATGAGGTAACTATCACGTGTCCCCCACCTCACCTTACTCCCAAATCTTTTTTCTCATTGCTATGGAGCCTGAAGGCCCTCTTACCAGACTATCACGCTAGGTCACGAAGATGTGTCATGGAGTTTGGGGACCTTTTCATTGGTGTATGTGCATCACAGGGTATGATTCATGTGGATCTTTTTTGCTATTGGGTACACAGAGACTGGCATAGTGCCTGGCCTGGACACATGTAGGGGCCTCATAATTATCTGTTGAATGAATGAGGGAATACATTTTTACCTGGAGAAGGAGCTGCAAGCCTAGAGAGGCCAGCTGCCAAGCCTCCTTCCCTGGCTCCTTCCCTGAAGCCTGTGATATTTAATTAATATGAGCCAAGCAGAGCCCACTTTATGGTGCTGGCCCAGGGGCCACCCATAATTGAGAAATGATAGGAGGCACCTGTGACTTGACCTTGGCTAATGATGAATGGACCCATATAGAGACCAGGAGCCAAGGATTCATGGGCTGGAGCATCCATCCAGAGAGCACATGTGGAAGAAAGGGAAAAGAGATGTTTGTAGCCCTGGTCTGTGATCTCAGAAAGTGGAACAGCTCCTGTGAAATTCTGATGATAGCATTTCCCAGGGGGAACATGCAGAGGTGTTGAGGGCTTGCCAGAAGCCAGGCTGTGGCTGAGCACTTTACAAGGAGCCTTAGAATGACAGTAGGTGCTGGTGTTCTTTATGGGGACTTAGTACATATCTGTTTGTTGAGTAAATAAATGAAAGAATCGAGGGATGCTTTGTAGGGAAGCAGAATAGAAATAGCATCTCACCAGGTGAAGGGGAATGAGCCTTAGACTAGTGCAGCCCTCTCTGCTCCTGCCTTTTGGCTCTGGTGATGTTTTGGGGGTGAAGAGGAGCTCTATGTTGCAGACTCCAGTCTGGGGTCAGCTCGTCTGCTTCCCTGGCTCCAGCATCTGAATCCTCAAAGATACAGCCCCCTTATTTCCCTCCCAAGGGAAGAGGGCTCTATTTGAGGGAGATGCTGCCATCATTTCCATCTCCAGAGAAGCAGAATCTTCGGGGCCTTAGGTATCCCCCACCTGTGCTGAGCAATGTTCTGGCACAGAAAGGAACACCAGAGGCCCTTTCACACCCTCCAGAGGAGACATTGCACTTGCCAAAGGTATAAAAGATGGAAATAGAATTCAGGTAACAAGGCTCTGGTGGGTGGTGGTGGGGCCTTCAGCAGGGAAGACATTTGGCTCCAGCCACAAGGTCACAGAAGCGTGGACCTCCTATGACCAAGAGGTGAATGCAAAACGACAAGATTGCAGAAAACAGTGCTTTAGAGTTGATAGGGCATTTTTCAAATCCAGCATGGAGAGAAGAAAAATACAATTTTAATGTTTCTATGAATGGAGGCACCAACTGCTGCTTGGAGAGCAGAAGCTGCCAGCCGAGGGCTCAGGGCTGAGCAGTATCAGCACTGAGCACCGAGATTCAAACCACGGTTCCAGGCCAATGCTCTGCTCTCTTCCCCCAACCGCTCTCCACCCCTTCTGAGCCCTCAGGAGAGAAAGAGAGAAAGAGAGAGAGAGAGAAGAGAGAGTACACATCTCACCCTCTCTCTCTTTTTAATTTTGGTAAAATACACATCACATAAAATCTACAATTTTAGCCATTTTTAAGTGTACATTTCAGTGACATTAAGTACATTGTTATGCAGCCATCACCACCATCCATCTCGAGTACTCTCTACATCTTGCAAAACTGAAACTCTGTACCTATAAAAAGATAACCCCATTCGCTCCTCCCTACCTTCCAGTTTCTGACAACCACCATTCTACTCTGTGAATTTGACTCCCCTAGGTACCTCATATAAGTGGAATCATTTGGTATTTATCTTTTTGTGACTGGCTTATTTCACTTAATGTCTTCAAGGTTCATCTATGTTGTGACTGTATATCAGAATTTTCTTCCTTTTATTGCTAAACAATATTCCACATATATGAGTTGCATGGATATATCACATTTTGCTCATTCATTCATCTGTTGATGGACAGGGTTTATTTCCATGTTTTGGCTATTGTGAATATATTGCTATGAACATCGGAGTTCAAATATCTCTTTGAGATACTGCTTTCCATTCTGTAGGGTATATAACCAGATGCAGAATTTCTGGATGACAAGATAATTTTTGTTTAACTTTTTGAAAATCTGCCAGACTGCTTTCTGCAGCAGCTGCACCCTTTTACATTCCCACCAACAGTGCAGATTTCCGGTTTCTCCGCATCCTCGCCAACACTTGTTATTTCCTTTCTTTCTTTTTTTTTTTTTAATAGTGGCCATTCTAATGGGTATGTGGTGGTATCTCATTGTGGTATTGATTTGCATTTACCTAATGTATAGAGGATGTTGAGCATTGTTTTCATGTGCTTGTTGGCCATTTGTAAATCGCCTTTCCATGTGATGCAGAGAAAAGAGCCCATCTTTTAAGAGTCCAAAAGGTCCCCTGCTAGCCTAGTCACGGCTCAACCTTTAACTTCTTCACTGTGTGACTTTGCAAAAATGGCTTCACCTCTCTGGGCTCCAGTTTCTTCATTGATGAAATAAAGAAAATTATGCATGCCCATGGGGGCCAACATGAGGACTTGAGGAGGGTTTAAGATTCTAGTTTCTAGCTCATATGAAACCCTTAATGAATGCTAATTCATTTACCTCCATAGTTCATCTTCTTTTGAAGTTGGGATGCTGGTGATTGACTAGGGGTGCAGTATCTCTGTGAACTGGCCTCAGTGACCAGCCAGAGGCACAAACAGGCATTCAGGGAAAGGGTGATTCTGACCTATGTCTTTGCTTTTTTAAAGAATGGGCTTGAGGCTTGCACCATATCCAGTTTGGCCACTCCAGTGCTGTGCCGGTGGCTCACCACCCAGAATTTGTGGTTCTTTGAGGGCTGGAGTCATGCCCTGTTCCTTTCTCTGTTACTCCATAATGGCTAGCATTGTAGATAAAGCAAAGACTGTCTAATTGTTCAGCACACTAATTTTCCATTGCATCTAGACCTATAGGAAGGCCGCATTTCCAGCCTCTCTTGCTGTGGGTTGGGGCCATCTTACTGCGTTCTGGCCATGGTCATTATGAGAAGGGTCAGTGGTGAGGGGGCTGCCATACCCACTCGGTCATAAGGACTTACAGCTGAGGCCCATCCTGTTCCACTCCCTGCCTGGATTGTGCTTCTGACTCCCTGAGCAGTTCTACCTCCCACCAGAAGCAGCCTCTGATTACAGTCACACTGTCTCCAAACCACCCTGACCAGGCAAAGGACTGTAGCCCAGTGGTTTCGAAACCCAGGTCTACTACTGCCTCACTGTGTGAACTTGAACATGAGCACTCACTGAGCCTGCTGCTTCCCTTGTAAAATGCGTGTGATTAAAATTCCCACTTTGTTGGGTTGCTGTGAAGTTGAAACAAGATTATGCCTAACATGCTGACAATGATGACATTTCCCGGGGAACCCAGTTAGTCTCTAGAAGGTCAGCATCTGTAAAATAATCTTGGTGAATCACTGTGGAATATCAAGTGCTCCCTGTCACACCAGGGGCAGCCTTGGGAGAATGGGGATCAGCAAACTACAGCCCATGAGCCAAATCTGGCCCACTGCCTGTTTTTGTGCATAGAGTTTTATTGGAACACAGTCACACTCACTTGTTAGTATATGACTGTTCATTAATGTAGGGCTGCTTTTGCAATATGATGGCAAAGGTGAGTAGTTGCAACAGAGACCTTGTGGCCCTTGAAGCCTAAAATATTTCTCATCTGGCTCTCTACAGTGAGATTTTGCTGATCCTTGGTGTAGAACAATATGAGCACTGGCACTTATAAGACCAGAGTTCGAAACTCGCCTTTGCCTTCCTTGGCTGTGTGGTGTTGACACATATTACGTAAAACCACCGTTCCTCATTTGCCAAATTGAAGTGATAAATTTACACCATAGAATTGTGGGGGTGATGAGATAAGATGTTTGTGCAAAATGCTTCTCACTGTGTCTGCATGCAAGAAGAACTCAAGGAACCTTCAGGCTTTAGCTACTGTGTGTCACAGTCCCTGGTATCCAGTGAGTGCTGAATATGTTCCTGTTGCCTCATGCAGGAATCTTCCCCATCATCTCTGCCTAGGCAGAGGTTGGGGACCTGATCTCTGCTACAGAGTAGTTAGTTTCTGGCCCCATGGTGGGCACTCAGCAACGGCAACTAAAATGAGTCCACTTAGCCCTTCAAGGCTCAAAGCAAATCCACCAATTCAAAAGCTGCTGTTGGCCTGGGCATGGTGGCTCATGCTTATAATCCCAGCATTCTGGAAGGTGGAGGCAGGTGAATAGCTTGAGCCCAGGAGTTTGACACCAGCCTGGGCAACATGGCAAGACCCTGCTTCTACAAAAAATGCAAAAATCAGCTGAGCATGATGGTGCACACCTATAATCCCAGCTACTCGGGAGGCTGAGGTGAGAGGATCACTTAAGTCCAGAAGGCAGAGTTGCAGTGAGCCAAAACTGCACCACTGCACCCAGTCTTGGCGACAGAGAGAGACTCTGTCTCAAAAAAAAAAAAAAAAAAAAAAAAGCTGCCCTTAAAACCAGAGTGGCGGCACTTTTCTGTCCTGTTGCCCTGTACTCTCTGCTCAACTGCCATCACACTTCCTGTAAGTGATGGAAAGAAGTCAGTCAGAGGAAAAAGACAGATTGAGTGCCTCCGTGGCCCTGGCATTTCCCTGCAGATCTCTGGATTTCCATATATTTGAAAACCTAATATAAACAACAGAGAAGAAATTTGCATTTCGGGCAGCAAGGAATGAAAAATTGAGGCGGTGTAACGTATTGCTGAGCCAGAAAGAGGGATGACCGTGGTGAGTCCAACCTCTTACGACAGACCCAATAGGCCAGTGGTAAACTCATTTCCTGGCAGAATATAGGGTTCATCTGTTGGAACATTTAACAGGCATCAAAGAAAGATCGCTTCCACCTCTCTCGCCCGAGATGCCGCGCTCCTGCCTCTCTTCTTGCCATTTTATTAAACCCCTTTATGTGGTTTTAATACAATATGTATGATCCACATGGAGACAAATAAATTCTTATGTACTTTTCAGGATTCGGAGTGTTCTAATGGTTATGTATGCTTTATTTATATTTTCTGAGAGACATTAAAAGGACGATGTGTAAAAATACGCAACCCAAACCAATGGTGATTTATGGTTACTCATGGAATGATGGCAAAATGGAAAGTTATGAAGTTAATTTCCGGATGTGTGGCGGTGGGGAAGGGGACACTATAGCCTGCAGTAGTGGCAAAGGTCTTAGTTCTGGCAAAGGCTGGATTTGGTGGGAAATTTGTCATTGGGATGATCATAGCTCTAAGGCCTTTTTTGGAAGCAGTGTAAAGCCAGTGGGAATATTAAGGGTGTTTCTTTTGATGCTGGAGATGGGGAAGGGCTGCCCAGACAGGTTAAGTCAGTTTTCTAAAGTCACACAGCAAGGGATGGCAGAGCTAGGATTAGAAGTCCTTATGTGGTTCCTCCTTTGGGTGTCACAAAGCTGCTTAAGCATCTGCCACAGGTTTCATAATGCCTCTGGTGGCCTCTAAGTGGTAGGAAGACAGCCACAACTCTAAAATGGGCAGACAAGGGCAATCTGAAGTCCCTCTTTGACCTTCTTCTAGCATGCCACACCAGGGCAGAGTAGAACCAGCACGTGCGGAAACACTGGAGCTAAGATCTATGCGAGTGGCTCTGGGAATCCACTCATGGGGGCATTGGGGATCTGGAAGCTGGCAGTGCCACCCACTTCATGGACCAGACAGGCATGAATTTACCTATGGCACTTGGCTGGAGATGTTGGTTTACTGGGAGCCTGGAGGGTGAAGGGATTCGGGGAACTCATACTGAAACAAGTTCTCCCCTTTCCTGCTGGACTTCCCCCACACTCTGCCCTTCAAATCTGATGTCCACTCAGCTCTTGATGTTGGAGTCAGTGATTCTGCAGAACAAGTGTTTAGAGCCTAGGCTGCCTGGGTTCAAACTTCAGCCTCACTGCTTAGGAGGGCTAGCTGCTTAACTTCTCCGGGGGCCTCATTTCCTCACCTGTGTAGAGGGATGATGACTCTTACTCTGGAGAAGTGTTGGGAGCTGGCGATAGTCCAATGCACAGAAGGAGCTTAGCAACGCATTCCCAGTCCAAATAAATGCTGGCTTTCATCACTGCTGTTATGTTCCACCTGTTTCTGGACCTCAGTTTTCCCATCTGCACAATAAAAGAACTTAAAGAGTTGATCTGAAACTCCCTAGGCTGTGTCCTGGACTTTAACAGGGCAATCCCAAAATCTGGCAGCTCCAACATTCACTAATGCTTGTGGGATGATATTTACAAGGGGTCCTTCTACTTTTTGGCTTGATGTATCAAAAGCTCTAAAAACATTCATTTCCTTTGATTCAGCAGCTTTTACTTCTGGAAGCTTTTACCTTAGAGGATTAATCATGGGCATATGCAAAGCATTAACTACAAGCATTTCTGTTGTGTTGTTTAACATAGAGAAAATTGGAAGTGACCCAAATGGGAACAATGGGGAACAGGTTAAATCCACTGTGATGTAGCAGTAGAAGATCCAGGGGGCTAATTGGGCACTTACTGTATGCCCAGCCTAGGATGAGCACTTGACACTTTTGCATTGTGCTTAATCCCAAAATCACATTGATAGGTTGTGATTAGTTTGGCCACAAGGGAGCCAAGCTCAGAGAAGTAAAGCACCCACTCTGGCAAGTGGCAGAGCTTGGAGCCAACTTGAATTTCTGACTCCAAACCTGGCCTCTCTCACCACACCACGTTCCTCAGGTTGATGTCAGGAAAGTGGCTCCAAGGAAAAAGGGCTCCTTAATGACTGGCGCGCATGGAGTCACCTGTGAGTTACAGGCTTTGAGACCATGAGAACACAGCAGTGTACTTAAACTTCTATGAAGCCACCATGTGTGACTTGATGTCAATTTTATCATTGTGTGTTTATGAATTTGCCCTGGACCACCTTGCTATGGTTTTTATCTGTGGGAAACATTTACCTTTTGTTTACTCCAATGTCAGTTTTTAGGTTCTAAGATTATGATGACTCAGCATCACGTTTATGTTCCTACTTTTCATCCATCCCTCTCAATGTGTGTAGATGCTCATCTAACCACCAACTCACTCCTTCACTCATCTGTCCATTACCCATCCCTCAGTCCATCCATCCATCCATCCATTCATCCATCCATTTGCCCATCTACCTGCACATTCGTCCTTCCTTTTATTCACTCATCTACTCACCCATCCATCTACACAATCACCCATCAACCCATTCACCAATATACCTGCCCATCCATCCATCCATCCATCCATCCATCCATCCATCCATTCATCCATCCATATATTCCTCCATTCACCCATCTATCCCTCTGACCATCCATCCACCCATCTTTCTATTTATTCATCTATTTGATTGATTGGTTTCTTCATTTTTCATTTATTCATTAAATCATCAAATATTTATTGAATAACTCCTAGGTACTAGGCACTGTGCTAGTCACCAGGGTTACAGAAATGAACAAGCCAAACACAGCCTCTGCCTTGAAGGATCTTGCAGACCAGTAGGGCTGTTGAATGAGCAAGCAAATTATTGTGATCATTTGCCAGTCAATAAAGATTTATGTTATTCTGCTTTATTTTTCTCCGTAGCATTTATCATGCACTGCCAGGACACTGTATTTTACTGCTTATTTTTTGTCACCCCACATGCTAGCTCCATGAAGTCAGGAATTTTGTTCTGTGATTACTGTATCTTCCACTCTAGGTGAGTATCTGCTCAACACACAATTAATTAATGACAAGATGAGTATATGGAGTAGACTGAAGCTGATGTGATCTTGGCCTTGCCAAGCTCATTGTGTCTTGGGAATTCAGATAATGATCAAATTATTAGAAAAATGATGTCAGTTTGGAGGAGACGAACAGTGCAATAAAAGTCCCCAATAGAGATTTTGAGTCAGTCTGAAAGTTTCGGGAAGGGGTCAGAGTTTTCCAGGTGAAGGGGTACCTGTATGTGTGCAGGTAGGGCACACATACAGGAAACAGGATAGATAAGGACTTTGAGATGCAAAAGAGCCTTTAAAATAATCAGATTCTACCCATGTACGTAGCACTTTCCAGTTGGTGAAACATTTTTCTTCTCTATGGTCCTTTTGTATGCAAAGCACATTTATGTGGCAAGACAACTGTTTTCTCTCTCTCATATTTCTGGATAGAGAAACTGAGGCCCCAGAAAAAAGTCCCATGGCAGAGTGAAGCCTCATGCCTTGACTGCAGTGCTGGATGGCCATGTGGCCCTGCTACTCATCATGGTGATCATTGGGCTGGAACATAGAATATGGTTACTTTACCTTCATATTGGGTGAGATAACTATCGAATGTATTGTAGGTTGGTGAGTGAGCTCTGCTTCCAGGTGAGGTGGTGGTGATGTGAACACTGACTCTGGGGCCAAGCGGATGGGTTCACATCCCAGCTCTACTAACTCCTCTCTTTCTTCTCAGGTACAATTAACTAAAAAGTGGAATGAACTCACGCCTGTAATCCCAGCACTTTGGGAGGCTGAGGTGGGTGGATCATGAGGTCAGGAGTTTGAGACCAGCCTGGCCAACATGGTGAAACCCCGTCTGTACTGAAAATACAAAAATTAGCCAGGCTTGGTGGCACATGCCTGTCGTTCTGGCTACTCGGGAGGCTGAGGCAGGAGAATCGCTTGAACCTGGGAGGCGGAGGTTGCAGTGAGCCAAGATCAAGCCACTGCACTCCAGCCTGGGTGACAGAGTGAGACTCCGTCTCAAACAAACAAACAAACAAACAAACAAACAAACAAACAAACAAACTAAGGAACGAAAGTGGAATGAAGACCTGACACCCATGAGTAAGTCCTCAGTAAATGTTAAGATTTCCTCCCAAAATACTGACAGAACCTACTCTCTGCAGCCCCTGTACTATGATCTAGGGATGCACTGATAACGAAGACCAGATGTTATTATTGTTTATACACCAGTAGGCTGTCTAGGAAACCTCTCTTCCTGATGTTTCCCAAGGCAGATGTCACCACGTCCTTTCCATGAAGGAGCTACAATTGTTGCATAACTTTGCTCAAATTTTTGGATCACCCTGGGGTTTGGTTTCCCCATATCTTTAGTTACTTCTCCAAGCCAGACATTCAAGATTACCTGACTCTGAGTGACCCCATGATGGCATGGGACCTCATGGCTGACACACCTACCAATGCCCAGAGCCCTGGAGGAAGAGCAAGCCCACTTCTGATCACACAATGAAATTGGGGGCTTTCTGCAGAAGACTTTAATCCTGCAGAGGCTGACAGTCCCAAAAACGAGCTGACAAGGAGCAATTTATTTGAGACTGTCCTCAAAAGAGAGAATAAGGCTAGTTTGTAGGAAACGTGCCCAGACATCTGAAGGCACATTTCCAAGATGGTACTTCCTGCTGGAGGCCCTGGGTGATATGAGGCCACCTCTCTGGCCTGCTTTGAGGGTCCACCTGGCACTGGGAAGTGAGGCACCAGGAACCCACCTCTCTTGCTTTTAGGCTAGTGCTGGAGTTGCGTGTTTGCTGTGAATCACTTACAAAACTTTCTTGAGACATCAGCATGTTGTCTTGGAGCAGAGAGTTTCTTATGGAAATTCTAGTAGCTGGGAAAAAAAACTCCTAATGTTTCCTTCCTTCCTTCCTTCCTCCCTCCCTCCCTGCCTCCCTCCCTCCCTTCCTTTTTTGACAGAGTCTCGTTCTGTCGCCCAGGCTGGAGTGCAGTGGTGTGATCTCGGCTCACTGCAAGTTCCGCCTCCCAGGTTCATGCCATTCTTCTGGCTCAGCCTCCTGAGTAGCTGGGACCACAGGCGCCCGCCACCATGCCTGGCTAATTTTTTGTATTTTTAGTAGAGACGGGGTTTTACCCTGTTAGCCAGGATGGTCTCGATCTCCTGACCTCGTGATTTGCCCCCCTCAGCCTCCCAAAGTGCTGGGATTACAGGTGTGAGCTAAGAAACCCAGGAGTAGAAAAAGAGGGCTTTCATGTGAATTACTCCCCCTCTTTGGAACATCTAATGAATCAGTCAGCAGGTCCTGTCAGTTCTGTCTCCAGATTCACCTCTGGATATCTCTAGGGTCTGAGCCCAACTCACTATCTGCGTTGCTCCACTCCAGCCCAAGCCACTATCATTTCACTCCTGGGAGGCAGTGAGTCTCCCACCGGATCTCTGTGCTTATTCTACTCCTGCCTCCTGCCCCTGCCTTTTCTCTACCAGCACAGTGGAACACTCCTCTGAAACAACATAACTAGGATCCTGTCTTCCACCTGTTAAAATGCTTCAATGGCTTCCTGTGGATGGAGTCCCACATCCTGCCCCTGACCCAAAGACCAGTACTTCTTATCACCGAACTCCTAACATCATTCTGATTCCACTTCCCCTTGCTTCCTGTGCCCCAAGTACCTGAGTATTCTTTTATTTCCTTGAATATATCAAGACTGTTCCTACCCCAGGACCTTCTCAAATGCTACTTATTCTGGGAGGGGATGCCCTCCCCTCCTAAACTGTGACCATCTTTCAAATCTCAGCTTCACCATCACACCCCTTCAAGTACGTTCCCTATAGTAGCAACCAGTCCATGAATCTTTCATAATAGTTAGAACTATTTACAACTATATTTTGCTTTTTTTTTTTTTTTTTTTTGAGACGGAGTCTCGCTCTGTCACCCAGGCTGGAGTGCAGTGGCCCGATCTTGGCTCACTGCAACCTCCGCCCCCCAGGTTCAAGCAATTCTCCTGCCTCAGCTTCCCAAGTAGTTGGGACTACAGGCACCCGCCACCGCCACTCCTGGCTAATTTTTGTATTTTTAGTAGAGACCATGTTTCACTATGATGGCCAGACTGATCTCAAACTCCTGACCTCATGATCTGCCTGCCTCGGCCTCCCAAAATACTGGGATTACAGGTGTGAGCCACCGCACCTGGCCTATATTTTGTTTACTTTTTTACCTTGTGTTTTATGTACTGGACTACAAGCTCCATGAAGGCAGGAATCACATCTGGTCTGCCCACTGCTGTCTCCCCAACTCCAGTTTTCAAGCTTTCATTTTTTATCATGAACATAAGAACAATGCTGCCCTAATCATTTGCATCATTATGAAGGGGGCTAATGATCCAAGGCCTAGGTGAAATTGTGGATGTGGAAATGTTTTCACAGGTTTCAATGACCCATGGTATGAAGGGGAGGTGCGGGCGGATTTTCTGAGAGCATAGTGATCCTGTGACCCCTATTTGCTGAGGAAGCTCTGAGTTCAAGAAAATGACTTCAGTCTAGCAGGGGAAAAAAGAGCCCAGCCTTTGGAGTTGAACTAACTTAGGTCAAATCTATTTTCTGCTTTCTTACCACCTATGTGCCCATGAGCAAGGGACTTTGGTTTTTCTCCTGTGTCAAATGGAATAATGGTGTCATTAGGGTATTTGGGGGGTTAGTGGGTGGAGCTTCATGAGGAGCCATAAAACAATCTCAATACCCATCCAGTGTCAGTGTCCTTGTGTTGTCTTGATCCTCAAGATGACCCAACATTTGAGTCCATGGACATGGTCCTCGCATCTATCTATAAGACCTTGAAGACCTCTCCCCACTCTAAAGTTCATGGAAATCATACTAATAAAGTGACTTTAAAAAACTCGAAGTCCAACCTAGATGTCCATAAAAGGAAGAAATGTGGTATGCCGCCTCAAAGTGGAAAAGGAATTCGGAAGTCAAGCACGCTTCTTTTAAATCTGTCTCCTCTCCAACCTGTCCCCTCCCCAACCTGTCCCCTCCCAGTGGTGAAACCAACAACTCACTGTGCCCTGCAATATGAAAAGCTCATGATGGAAGGCAGTTGAGTCTATTGCAAGCTTGTCCAACCCATGGCTTACAGGCCACATGTGGTCCAGGTCGGCTTTGAATGTGGCCCAGTACAAATTTGTAAACCTTCTTAAATAATTTTTATAGATTTTTTTGTATTTTTTTTTTTTTTTTTTTTTTTTTTGCTCATCAGCTATCGTTAGTGTATTTTTAGTGTGGCCCAAGATAATTATTCTTCTTCCAATGCGGTTCAGGGAAGCCAAAAGATTGGACACCCCTGGCCTAGTGATTAAGTAAGCACGGCTGCTCTGCCACTTCAGAGCTGTGTGACTGTAAGAGGTGGAATGGCACCCCTAAAATATATGTGTCTCTGGAACCTCAGAATGGGGCGTTATTTGGAATAGAGCATTTGCAGATGTAATTAAGGTAAGAATCTCCCGATGATATTATCCTGGATTAAAATGAGCCCTAAACCTAAATTTATGTTGGGGCTCAGAAGGCCACACCCCGAAGACTGGCGCTTTGACACGCAGAGAATCAAACTCAGAATCGAACTCCCTCCCACCTTTTTTTTTCTCTCCTACCCCAAGCCCAGGAAGGGACTCTCTCTGGAATTTCCTTATCTGTCTGAAAAAGCTTCTTTCCAAAAGAAACACAATTGCCTTCCTCCCCTTTCTGAAATCTCATTATCTATCTTAGAAAAGAAGACCAAGGAGTGCAATCATACCTGGAGGGACTTTTTCACAAGATAATGTCTGTCTCTAGGGCTCATTCAAATTTACAAGTTAATTTCTGTCCCTTCCTTACCCCTAATAATCACTAGCTGACCCTCGAAAGTATTATAGACATTCCCTAACTCCCTCTGCCCCTATGGAACAGGGTACATAAGCTTCCCTACCTCATTAGGTTATTGGGGAATCATTGTCTTGTGATTCCCCTGTGTTTTGTGCATTAAAGTAAATTTTGTGTGCCTTTTCTTCTCTTCATCTGCCTTTTGTCAGTTAACTTTCAGGGAAGATTCAGAGGGCGAAGAGGAAGTTTTCTCTTTGCCCCTACACTTAGAAGAGAAAGGAAGAAGGGAAGACAGTGACCCAGAGGAGAATGTTATGTGAAGATGGAGCAGAGACTGGGGTCACCAGCCTACAAGCCAAGGACTGCTGCTGCCCCCAGAAGCTAGGAGAGAGACGTGGTACAGATTCTCTCTCAGAGTCTCCAGAAGGAACCAACTCTGCTAACTCCTTGATTTCCAACTTCTAGCCTTCAGAACCGTGACAGTGTAAATTTCTGCTGTTTTAAGCCTCCTAGTTTGTAGTATTAGGTCGGTGCAAAAGCAGCTCTGGTTTTTGCCATTAAAACCACAGTTGCTTTTGTGCCAACCTAATACTTTGCTATGGTGGCCCTAGGAAACGAATGCTGTGACCTCAGCCAACTTGGTTAGACTTTTCAACCTCCCTTTCTTCGTCTATAAAGTGGGCATCTTGTAGACTTTATTCTTGAGAGGCATTGAAAAATTAAGAAAAATCCAGCCTGCAGACTATTGGGGATATTGCCTGGCACATAGTTGGTGCTCAATAAATTGTAGTTATTATTAATTGTTGTTAATACTGATGAGTCTTCTCTTGAGCTCCTTCTAGCTTAAACCAAAACAGTTCCTTGCCCTCCCTTTAGCAAGAAAATAGCCTCCCTGGAAAAGGCAGGGAGTGGGGGTGGGGTGGGAGGGAATGGAGTGCCCTTTAAGTTGGCCATGACAGTAAAGAGGACACTGATCTCCCTCGTTGTCAATCCTAATGCCCTTGCCCCTACTTCCATTTCAGCAGCCACCATTACATACCTCTGTATCATTGACATTTCTCTAATAATCTTTGACCCATTCATTCTCAGAAAGAGGAACAGTTTTATTTTTCAGGAACAATACTAGGGAGCAGTTTTAAAAATGCAGTGCTTGCTGATAAATGTTAAGGACTCATCTCCTGGCCTCTCTCTCCTTCTCTTTCTATCTCACTCTTGCCCTGTCTCTTTCTCTATCTTCCCCTCCTTGCCTCTCTCCTCCCTCTTTTCTTCCCCCTCCCTCTTTTTATTGGAAATGGCTATCCTTCAAAGATTTAACAGATTTGTAAAAATCATGCCTCCAAAAGGCTACCATTTAATAGGAGCACTCAGAGGACAGCGTGTGGGTGAGAAGCAGCACCATAAATTGAACATCGCCAGCCCACGGTGCGCCAGCTCAGGGCGGGCCCAGAGTCATAACTTTCTCCTCTTCCCCTCCCTACCCTCCAATTCCATGGCCTTTGCCAACACCATTCTATTTTCAGGAAGGCTTCCTTGACCCGTGGGTCCTTCAGCCACAACAGAGGTGGTGCCGACTGGAATCCAGGCATGAAATTATGAAAGAATGGGGCTGCTGCTGACTCCAGTTGTGCACTGGCCTCAGATGTGAAATTGCCATTTTTTTCTCCCCTGTCTCACTGGCCTGTCGCATGCGGGGCGGAAAAGATTGTATTTATCACCTGTCAGGATCTGCCAGAACTGAGTTACGTGAGGCAGGACAGCATAAAATTATCATACACAAGCATGAAATTACAAAATCGCTCGGAACTGAACAACAAAATTATTTCATTTCGGAGGGAGGCCATTCCATTTTTTAGCCCTGACACCTTGACTGCCAAACTTTGAATGGAAATTGAGTGTGAGGGCCATGGAGTAGAGACAGCAATAACAAGAAGTAGCATGTAAACTAGCCATGCAGACACACAACATTAATGGTCCTCGAAACCTCCCACCAGAGATATGTAACTAAATAAATGTCACATGTCCCAGTGACTCAACTTGCCTTCCACAACTAGAAATGACTTAGGCCAGTGTTAAAGCCTAGGTCCAATATCTAGGGGTTTCTGGGAGAAACTGGGTCTGGGTTGGTTCTCCTAATCCACAGAGCGATATCCCGATGAAATAGAAAGCTTGCAGGCTTTGGAGTCATGCATGCATAAGTTTGAATGCTGGCTCCAACATTAACGAGCTGTGTGACGTTGAGTGACTTTCTTAACCTGTCTGAGCCTCCATTTCCTCATCTGTGAAAATGAAGACAATCATTTCTGTTTCTTCAAGTTGTTGTGAGGACAAAAACAGCTCAGATATGGAGTCTGACGTATAGTAGGTTTTCAATATGAAGGTTGGGACAAGTGAATTACCTGCCCTCATCTTTCCCCCTTCAAAGTTTTTGTGCCATTTTTACACTCTGTGGTGAAAGCATTTATCCAACAAACTTTTGCTAAGCATGGAAAAAAAAACTGTCACAGTTAATTTGTGTTTAGATATAAAACAGAGTTAGGCTGGATTATTGATTTTTGTTCCCAATGTTTCAAGCTTCCATGTACCTCTGCCCTTTGCCATGTGACTTTGAGGCCCTTCCTACTAGAGGTGGGGCTTATTTCCTCATCCAGTTGTTACTGGGCTTGGTCATGTGACTTAATTTGACCAATGATCCCTGAGCAGACATAATGCAAAGGGAAGATTTAAATATACTGTGTGGTTTGCCTTGGCTTCTTGCAGTCCTGTTATTTGCATGAGAACAGCATGCCCCAGGTACATGCCGGTCTATGGAGGAAGAGAGAGAGGTGAAGCAGCCTAGAGTCAAATGCAGTCAATCTGTAGGGCTTCTGAGTAAGAAAAATAAATGCTTTTTGCCAGTAATTGAGATTTTTGGGATTATTTGTTACACAGCAAACACTGAGTAATAAAATAGCTAGACTCAGGTGTTTATAAACAAAGGTTTACCTTCATGAATGTTCTATAGAACATTTAAAATTTATGTGTGACTCAGGGTGATTCTTTAGTGAGTGCGAATTACAGTATGACTAGAGTCTCTGGCTTCTGCCACTTCAATATCAATGTTGACCTTTCAATATGGGAACTAGACAGTGAAGCTCTGCCTTACCAGACCACACATACTCTTCGTTATACACATTATAACCTCCACTTCACTATTCTGAATTGAAAATCATACATTTCATCTACATATACATGTAATTTCAAAAAAGTTAATATAATGCCCTAACTGTAAGGGAGGAATAAAATGAAAGCAATTTATAATAAAATAATATCTATTTTAATATGTAAATTATCAAAAACCACTATATGCCAGGAAACATGATGAAGCGGTCTGATGCTTGTGTCTACTTATAATGAGTAAGTTGAAATTTCAGACAAATATTCAATTGAATATTGTCGACATTTTTTTCTCTATTTTTGACATTTTGAAATAAGAGCTAAATTAGTATATTCATATATATGGGTAGTGTCACTGTGAATAGGACTGCAAAAGTCGACTGACACAGGTGTGCAGGCAGCAATTCACGTTCCACGATCAACTTTGAGGTCGATGCCTGGATTTTCCAAAGTGAAAAACAACTCTTGTTGGGGTTTTGGATAAAACAAAGTATTCCCTTCCCCCAATTTACACTGCAACTACATTCAAGGAAAATCCCATGTAAAGCAAATCTGTGCCAAAACATTTAGCTGTATGTAAGACGGATTTAAATTCTAGGCTCAGATAATTATTAAGGAGGAATTATATCTACATGAATGCCCAGAAGGGCACTCAAAATTCCTGAGGCACTTGGGGCCATTCTTCTTGCTGTGGGACTGTCTTGGGAATTGCATGTCCTGCATTGCTGATGTAATTCTCCCCAATTACTAGGACGGATCTTCTCAAAGTTAGTACCATTGACATCTTGGATCAGATCAGATTAAGTCGTTATTGTAGGGGGTTTTCCTGTGCATTGTGGGATGTTTAGCAACCTCCCCGGTTTCTGTGATGCCAGAAACATCTCCCCCTTAAGTTATGACAATCAAAAATATCTCTAGATATTGCCAATGTCTCCTGAGGGTGCAAAATATCCACTTGTTGAGCACCACTGGGATAAGATAATAGAAAATGCTTCACATCCTACATTCCTAAAATTCCCCTTAGGAGATGCTACTAACTCCATTAAGATACACTTGTCCAGGAAGCCCTGGATTTTATTGTATTATTTCATTCCAATACCAGAAATTGAGCACTTATGTTGTGTCAGGTGTCATTGATGTAGCAAGGAATATGACGATCTTTTAACTCTTTGGGTTCAAAGACTATCCTTCTGCCTCCCCTCTGCTGTCCTTGCTCACAGTGGGAAGATGGCCCCCCAGGGAGTTGGGAGCTGGGACTGGATTGTGGAAAGCCTTGAATGTCAAGCCAAGGAGTGGTCAAACCTCAGAATTAGGATGAATCTTAAGAAACGTCTGGTTGGCCGGGCGCAGTGGCCCACGCCTGTAATCCCAGCATTTTGGGAGGCCCAGGCGGGTGGATCATTTGAGATCAGGAGTTCAAGACCAGCCTATCCAGCAGGGTGAAACCCCACCTCTACTAAAAATACAAAAATTAGCTGGGTGTGGTGGCAGGTGCCTGTAATCCCAGCTACTTGGGAGACTGAGGCAGGAGAATCACTTGAGCCTGGGAAGTGAAGGTTGTGGTGAGCCGAGATTGCACCAATGCACTCCAGTCTGGGTGACAGAGTGAGACCCTGTCACAAAAAAAGAAACATCTGGTCCCCCAGTGGCCATGTCCACCAAAACAAGACCTTCTTCTGAGGTGATGGTGTCCCCTGTAGATCCCTTAAAAAGGAAAAAAATACAAGGGGAGAGTTAGGTTATTCCAAGATCAGATAGTAGAAGGGCGGGGGAAGAGGTGCAGAATTTAACTGCAGTCTGCGGCAGCTCCTTCTCATTTCCTTTCCCCTGCTGGGCTATGAGAGTTACTATCTTACAGAACTTTCTCAATCCCTTGCATGGCAAGGAGTATTATTCTCATTTTACAGATGATAACACTGAGCCTCAGGTAGGGAAAGTCATTTGCCAAAGGTCACTGAGCCTGTAAATGTCACAACTGGAATTTGAACCAAATTCCCCAGAGATTCGGCCAAGTGCTAGTACCTCTTATGTGGTGACTGGACGAGTCTCCTTAATGGTTTCATTGAGTCCATGTTAGTCACCCCACCTATTGGTCCTTCACTCCACAGCAGAGGGGTTTCAAAACGTACAGATCTGATGTGATGAAGTTAGTGCATACCTTTCTCTTCCACTGATTCTAGGGCTAAGCCCTAGAATGGCCACATCCACAATGGCCACAATGCCCTATGAGAGCTTCCTCCTGCTTATCTCTCCAAACCCATCTCTCTACCCTTCTTTTTGCTCAGTCTCTGAGCTTCAGGCATACAAGTTATCTCTTGGCAACTTGGGGCCTTTGTGTATGATATATTCCCTTTGCCTATTCAGATGCTTTTCACCTTCTGCTCTCCCAAACCTCAGATCAAGCATCACTTCTTTATGCAAGTCTCTTCCATCCCCATTTATATCCCCAGTCGTCTGGGTCAGGTCCATGTATTGTATATGCTCATACAACAGTGTTTCTTTCTATTGTATTATTAAATGTTAATCTATTCTCTTCCAGTAAACTTCCCACAAAAGCACCAGCTCAGCTTGCTATGGTCTTCTCATTCACTGGCTTACTGCATGGCACATAGTAGGTGCTCAATAAGTGTCTGATCGGTGAATGAATGAATGTCTGACTCAGATTCCTGTGCTTCATCTTCTGCTCCCACCACCTTAACATTTGTTTGGCATTGCCTTGAGGGGGTTTGCCACTCCTCTTACTCATTGGTGGGGTCCATGATAGCCCATCAGGGGGCATGGTGTCTGGAGTCTCACAGTAAATGGCTGTTGGCTTCAAGCTGTGCTGGACTACCAGCACCCATGAGGAGAGCTGCAGGCTGCAGTGGGGAAGCAACACTGTCATTTTGCAGAGTGCTAACAGCTACAGGTACCAGTCACAGGCCATTGCCCCCCAGCCTTCACCACGTAAATCCTCCACTAACGATTTGTATAAACTTCTGTTACATGTGTTATTTATCACTGCAAATAACTTCCACAGTGGGTTGGACTGTGTGCTTTGTGCATTCACACACACACACACCTCAGGGAAAAGCATGGGCTGAGTGGAGGAGGGGGTCCCGTAGTTAAACTGCCTGTGTAGGGCTCCTGGCTCTACCTCCCACTTATGAGCTGGGTGGCATTGGGCAAAATCCTACCCCTCGCTTTGCCTTGTTTTCCTCAACTGTTCTGTTGGGATAAGAATAGTGCCCACATCAAAGGGGACTGGAAGAATTAAGTGAGGGCAGATAAAGCCTCACATGGGGCTGGACACATAGTAAGCACTCAATAAAAATTAGTTGCCACCACCACCACTACCATCATCACCACCACTATCATCATGATCACCATCACCACATCATCATCACCATCATCACCATCACCATCATCATCACCACCATCATCACCATATCATCATCACCATCATCATCACCACCATCATCACCATCACCATCACCATCATCATTATCACCATCACCATCATCATCACCACCATCATCACCATCACCATCACCATCATCACCATATCATCATCATCACCATCACCATCATCAATATCACCATCACCATCACCATCACCATCATTACCATATCATCATCAGCAGCAGCATCATCATTATCACCATCACCATCATCATTACCACCATCATCAACATCGCCATTATCATCACCATCATCATCACCATATCATCATCATCACCAACATCATCATCATCATCTTACACAGGGACTCTAGGCAGCATCCCACTCCACGAGGCTGTAAGAGCAAGAGAGAAGGGATTCCATCTCCTGCTCATTTAAAGTCTCTAGCACACATCTCTGTCACACAGTAGGTGCTCAACCAGTATTAGTTAAATGAGATGAGACAGATTCAGGCTCAGAATCAGCTACAGCCCTAAGCCAGTTGCATAGAAGGGGCCAGATTCACGTGCCCTTATGCCCATTTTCTAGTCAGTGCAGATGGTGACCTACTCTGGCCAGATGAGTGACCTTGGCTAAGTCACCTCACCTCTCCCAGCCTTGGCTTCCTCATCTCAATCAAATTAAAAGGGGTGGTGGCTTCCTTTCACCATCCTCCTAGATTTTGGAAGACCAAGTGAGATAATGGATGTGGAGTTCACTCAGAGTCTGGCATGCAGTGAGTATCCAAAAAATGTTGGGTTCGAGCATTCATTCAATCAACAAACTTTATTGGGTGTTTCTATGTGCCAGACACTGTACTAGGCACTTGGGCACACCAGTGACCAAAACCCTGTCCTCAAGAGTTTTCATTCCAGCGGGAGGAGAAAAATATGAAACACAAGTTCTGAAAATTAATCTCACTATTGAAAAAAGAGTATGCTGAGGGGATCAACATGATGGAGCAAGGGGTTGCACTTATTGGTATGGTGGCCAAGGGAGGACTCATTGAGAAAGATGCCATTCAAACAGACTTGAAGAAGTCATGGATATATTTCCCAGTATCTGTGGGAAAGGCATTTAAGGCAGAGAGAACGCTTGTACAAAGTCCCTGAGGTGGGCATGTGCCTGTTCAAGAAACAACAAAAGTGAAGGAGTTGATTTGCCTGGGGCAGAGTGAGTGGATACAGGAGATGAAATCAATGAGTTCACATGGACCTAGACTGTGCAGTCTTGTGGGACATCATAAGGACTTTGGTTTTTACTTTTAGTGGGATGAAAGTCATGGGAGGCTCTTGAGTAAAGGAGTGCCAAGATTGGACTTAGATTTTGAAAGGATCACTTCTGCTTCCATAGCAGTGGAGAAAGAGCAGAAGCCAGGAGATCAGTTAGGAGGCCACTGCAGTGCCCGTGGCACAGGGCCATGGAGGCTGGGTGACACCTTGATACATCTTTGCTGGGGCTTCTCATGTCACCCTTCTTAGGGAAAAGAAACAGGAAGGCATTCAGCAGACAACACTCACTTCGGCTGTGAGAGCCATGCCCAGTTTGAGGATGGCCATTCCACACTGGGTGACACTGTCTCCCTCAGCACCTCAGATGTGCAGGACACCAACACTTTCTCCTTCCAAGCCCCAGTTCTGTCCATCTCATTCTGACTCCTTGCTGCTCCACACCTGCCTTGCCAAACCCCAGTTGTGTTTGGCAGCCTGTGTGAACCTTGGCTACCACCCACTAGCCACCTGGCCCGCAGCAGCCCTTGGGAACAGCAGCTGGCTGGGTATGTCCAGGGCCTGATCCTCCTGGGTCATTGGTCAGGGCTTTGGGCCACTTCTTCCCTGTATCAGTTTCTAGGGCTGCTGTAACAAAGTACCATAAACAGGGTGGCTTAAAATAGTAAAACTTTATTATCTAACAGTTCTAGAAGCCAGAAGCTCAAAATCAAGGTGTTGACAGCGCCATGCTCCCTCCACGCGCTCTATGGAAGAAACTTCCTTGCCTTTCCTGGCTTCCAGTGGTTGCTGGCAATCCTTGGCTTTCCTTGGCTTTCACAGGCATCACGTCAAATTCTGTCTCTGTCCTTACGGGGCTTTCTTCTGTGTATGTCTTGCCTTTGTACATCTACAAATCTCCATCTCCTTATAAGAACGTCAGTCATTGGATTTAGGGCCCACCGTAATCCAGTATGACCTCATCTTAAATTGGTTGCATCTACAAATATCCTATTTCCAAATAAGGCCACGTTCACAGGTACCAAACGTTGGAGTTTCAACATCTCTTTTTAGGGGCATGACTGTGGTTTGGTCTACCATCTCCTCTCAACTTCCTCACTGGTCTCCCTGCCATCAGCCTCTACCTCTCCTGTCCAGCCTCCTCCCTGCAGTCAGAAATCTCTCTAAACTATCTGAGAGTGCCACTTCCTTGCAACAAACCCTTCCATGCCCTCCCAATAAAGTCAGCACTCCTTAGCATGTCATTGAAGACCCTGTTGTTCTGGCCCTTGTAGACTCTCTCTTCTCCCTGTGTTTGGTCTCGCTAGTTTAGCTTGGTAGTTTTCACCACTGGCTGCCTATTACAGACAACTAGAAACTTTCAAAAAATGTCCATGCCTGGGCTCCTGGACTAATTAAAGTGGATACCTGGGATAGAGGCTGGTTGCTGTGTGCTGTGGAAACTCCCAGGTGATTCCAATGAGCAGTCGGGGCTGAGGACAACTGCTCTGGCTCTACCAGTGTTTCTCACACTGGAGCAAAACTCAGAACCCCCTGGAGGGCTTGTTACAATAAGGACTTCTACCCCTCAGAGTTTCTGATTCAACAGATCTGGAGTGGGGCCAGAGAGTTTGCATTTTTAACAAGTTCCCAGGCAATGCTAATGCTGCTGGTATACTGGAGTTTCTCAACCTTGGCACTATTGACATTTGGGCTGGGTGATTCTTTGTGGCGGGGGCTGTCTTGTGCATTGTGGGATGCTTAACGGCATCTTTGCCCTCAACTGTTAGATGCCAGTAGCACCCCTATCCCAATACACATACTTGTAATAATCTGAAATATCTCCAGACATTGCCAAGTGTCTCCTAGAGAAGAGGAGACAGAATTTCTCCACACAGTGGCACTGGGTAAGCACAGATGCCAGGCTGGGGCCAGACAGTGATCAGGGAAGGCCTTGGTGGTTGTGATAAATGACAGATAACTCTCATAAGTGTGACTGACATGGCCTCTCCTGCCTCAGGGCCTTTGAACATGCTGATCCTGTTGCAGGCAGCTCTATTCCCTTGTCTTTCCCTGACTGTCTACTGTGGGTCGGTCAGCTCTCAGTTTCTCCATCACCTCCCCCGGGAGGCCTTCTCTGATCACTGCCTGATGCCAGCCTGGCTTCTATGCTTACCCAATACCACAGTGTGGAGAAATGGACAGTCCACAGCTGTTCCTGACAGCAACCCCAAAGGGATGCCCCACAGAGGAGTAAAGCAACTGTGCATGGCTAGAGTTCAGGGGAAGGAACGTTCCCTGGGGCTAGGCCAGAATGGGAAGGCTTCTGGAGGAGGTGGCCTCAGAACCATAAAGGATGGGTAGGTACTGGATAAGCTGAGAGGAACTAGGGGGACACTGGTCCTGAGGGAACCTCGATGCGTGAGTGTGGAGGCTGGAAAGCCAAGGCTATTTCCTTGCCTGTAAAATGAGGCCAATAATCACACCTGCTTTACAGAATTGCTGGGGGGATCTAATGCATGGTATGCGCCAGGTAGGAAGTGCCCAGTAGATGTCAGAGAGGATGAAGATGATGGTGGGTGGGGAGCCTTGATCATTCCAGTGCGGCTGGAATGGGTTGGGTAGGGAGGGGGCTTGTGGGAGAGAACCAGAGAGGGTGCTTGGACTTTGAGGCAATGCAAAGGCATGGAAGGGGTTGGGGCGGGGCAGGGCAGGGGATGTGGAATACGGGCTCTTTGGGGAGTCTGTCTGCAAGGCGAGGTTAGAAGCAGGAGCACAGGGAGAAAATGTGGCAGCCAAGGTTCTGGCAGGAAACAGGTGGAATCTTTCGACGGGAATTTGAAGAGTAGTATTAAAGGGATTATTTACAAATGTGGGGACAGGATGTAGGGATATCAGAGAGCAGGGGCAGCACTGGGGTTAGTCATAGCAGGAAGCTGTTACTACCTCTAAGCGCAAATGGGCAAGGGAGGTGAGAGGTTCCCAGAACCACAGGATAGGGAGGGTGAGTGATGGGAACCTGCGGACAGGAGCTGTGGACCTCAGTGGTGGGGACCAGCCTGCTCGAGGGACTTCCCTCATAGGAAGCCTTCAACCTTACTTCTGTCATCTCCTGCTGGTCCTTGCTGTTGGCTTAACACAACAAGAAACCCTTGATGCATGCACAGGTGGACCTCCAGGGCAGAGAGTGGGGTGGAGAAGGGTGCAGAGTAGGGCAGATGGGCTGATGGAAAAATTGCCAGCACTGACTAGATAGGAAGGCCAGAGTGTGTGAAGTGTGTGTGTGAGATTATGTGTGTATGTGTACTTGTGCACATGAGTGTAAGAGAGAGTCTATATGTGTTCATTTATATGTGAGTGTATATGTGTGAAAGGGTGTACATACGCGTGTACATGTGAGTGTGTGTAAGTGTGTGTATGAGAGACTGTGCACAGAGTACATGAGTGTGTATGTATATGTGTACATAAGAGAGGGTATGCAGGGGAGGGAGAGTGTGTATGTGTGTGAGAGATGGAGTGTGTGTGGGTACATTTGTGTACGTGTGTATGGGAGAGTGTGTGTATGCGTAAGAGTGTGGATATGTGTGTGCACGAGTGTGACAGGGATAGAGTTGTGTATATGTACATGAGAAAGATGGAGTGTGTGTACATGTGTACATGCATATATGAATGTGAAAGTGTCCATGTGCATATGTGTGTACATGTTCTTATGAGAGTGTGTACATGTGTGGACAAATATACATAAGTGTGTGATTGTGTACGTGTGTGCACAATATACATGCGAGTGTGTTTGTGAGAGAATATGTACATATGTATACAAGCATGGATATGTGTGCATATGCATGTGTGTGAGAGGGAGTATGCACATATGTGCACACATGTACATGTATATGTGTGTATGAATTCACATGAGTGTATGTACATGGGTCTGCATGTGTCTATGTGAGAATGTGTGCACATATATGTGTGTGAGAGAGGAACGGGAGAGAGAGAGAGAGAGAGTGTGTGTGTGTGTGTGTGTGTGTGTGTGTTGGGGAATGAGGGAGACAGTGGCTGGGGAATGTAGAAGTTCTCTATCACCTGGCCAGGTTATAAAAAGTGAAGGTCTCAGGTGTGAAATAAAACAACCACCTTGGTCACAGGCTTCCACAATTTTTGGTAATTATGCAGATGCTGCAAAGATGCCTACTACTAGAAGCCTTCTTCCTACGTGCTGTGCACCTCACGTGCATGTGACACTCACCACCTTCACAGTGGGTATTGCTTTCCCCCTTTACAATGAGGCACCGAGAGGTGAAATGACTTCTCCAGGGTCACAGAATTAGTAAGTGGCAGCACCAGAACCCAAACTCAGGTCAGCCCCACTGCAGCACCCCCAATGGCACAGTGCCTTCAAGACACTGTCGAGGCCATGCCCTGGCTTTCTAGATGGGGAAAATGCTCTGAGTCAGGAGGGGCTGTGACTGGGAGCTAGAGCCCACAGTCTCCAGCCTGCAGTTCCTCTATCCCCTGGGTGGGTCACCACCATCACCCCACGGCCCGCATGGATACCAGCTTTATTCCCTGAGAAAGAGCCACTTGTTTCTCACAAATAAAATACTGTAGGAGTGTTGCTGGGTGACTCTCAAGGCAAGATTGAATTGGTGCTGTAGTTTCTGCTCCAGCTCTCCCTGAGGACACGCATCTTTGGGCCCTGAGGCTGCCATGTGACATGTTTGTGGCCCTGAAGCTGCCATGCTGGGAAGACCATGTGGCGAGAGGGCATGGAGACAGAGATGCCCATGGATCCCTACTGTCCCAACCACCAGCTGTTGTATCTGCCCAGCTCAGGCACCAGGCATGGAAGTGAAGAAACTTTGAAGGTATCCCCATTCTGGCCACCATCTGACTGCCATCTCAAGAGAGATTCCAAGCCAGCACCACCCAGCAGGGCTATTTCCAAATTCTAAATCCCCAGAAACCATGAGAAATAGTGAGTAGTTGTTATTTCGGGCAACCAAATTGTGGGATTATTTGTTATGCAGCAGTACTTAACTGATACATGGCTGAAGATTCCTGCTGTCTTCTCTTTATTTGGCATAACACCCCATTTCTTACACAGGGAATCTGTTCTGAACCCAGATACCCTTTTCTGACAGTGGAAACTTCCAATTATTGGCCAGTTGGTGCATGTTGGGCTCTGTGCTTAAAGCTAGTATGGTACATACATGATTTCCTTAATCTTCTTAACAACCACACAAAGAAGATAGCATTATTTTCATTTTACGGATGAGAAAACTGAGGCTCAGAGTAGTGGAATGATGCTCCCAACTTAAAGATGGGCCCAGTGGCCTCAAACCTGAGCATTTTCCCTGAGCTAGTCTGAACTGAGCTAGCCAGGGGGTCAGGTCGTGGTCTTATCCCTGGACATTACAGGCTTCTGGGACAGGTAGCCAGGCAAAGCAGGGTATGAGGCTGGGTTGGAGGCCTGGTCTGAAGAGCAGGTCAGAGGAGGGGAGAGTAATTCTGCTACAAGGGGCTTCCTTAGCGCCAGTGACCCAAGATAGATTGACGATAGCCTTCCATACCATCCTGACCTTCTGGAAGTGTGGAGACTGCTGTCTTACCCTGCTCAGGGAAGACTGGTGTGGCGCCAATATACTGTGGATGCGGCCCCCGTGAATGTGCTGTCTGCAGCTCCCTCTTCATCTGAGGCTAAGCCCAGGTGCTCTCACAGAGGCCCCTGATGCCCCAAAACGTGCCAGGCTCTGCCCATCAAAGCAGATAGCATCATCTCACTACCCCAAGGCTCCATCTTGCAGCCCATTCTCGGTCCAAGCTTCCAATAGATAATGATACTTCATTTAGACCAGTTTCCTGTTCATTTTAAAAAGATTTACTTAACAATTAAGCATTTATTACCTTTCTCTTTATGAGAACAAGGCAAGCACATTATAGAAAATGTGCAGGAAAAATTCCTCTCCATCCATTCAACAAACATTTCTCATGCACCCACTGTATGTCAGTGCTGTGTCAGATGCCAAGGACATAGAGGTGAGAAAACTATCATGTCATTCCCACTCCACTGACTCACACATCATGGAATTGGGGGAAGAACATCTTAAAAATCTCTTTCTACCTCCCAGAGAAAGGGACCATTCACATTTTGCCGTATTGCCTCCAGGAACGTTTCCCCATAAAATTTCTATGTATACATATAAATATATATATATATCTATAAATAATATATATCTTTGAAATATAACCTCCTACCATACATGTTACTCTGTAACTTGGTTTTTTTAGTTGTAGTTTTTTTTCACTTACGAACTGATTGTCAACATTATGTCACATCAATACATTTTCTACAATATCACTAACTACCTAGGGGAGGTGGGAGAAATTTCCCCAGTGCTCAATTATCCAGCGTCAGATATTTCTGTTCTTGAAAAGAATAATAAGGACAAGTGAGGTTGTGGGTAGGAGCAGAGTGAGAGAGAGGCCCAAATCAGTATTTGCTACCCCTCAAGATGCATCCCCTCCTATTCAGAAGAGTCTGCTTGCCTCCACCACCACCCAAAGGCTAGACCTGTTCTGTCAAGGTGGGAGGTGTTAACACTCTTCTGGGGATGTTTCTGTTTTAAGGAGGGATTTTTTTAAAGCAGAGAACATAAATACCCCTGGGGTAGATAACCCACCCCAAGTAGGCAGCTGCCTGTGTTACCAGCTAGGTCCTGCAGAGTCCAGCCCTGAAGGCAGTGATCTGAGAAGCAGGACCAATGAGAATCAAAGCTGGAAGGGGACTTGGTTAGCTCCAGGGCAAACCTGCCCATTTTAGAGATGGGGCCACTGGGACCCAGAGAAGCTCACACACTACCTGAACAAGACCAGAAGCAGGTCTCCAGCCTCCAACTCATCAGTCTTTCCCAGGTTGATTAGGGTGGAGGAGTTTCTCCTTTGAACGTAGGAACAAGTCATCTTTACATGAGTATTTTGGAAACTTCCAGCACACATGGAAGACCAAGACAGGCACGTTGCAGGAAGAATAGATCGCTGGAAGCTATGAACCAATGGGGGAGATGGAATGGAAAAAGACCAATTGCATCGTCCAAAAGCCATTTGACTCAAGGGCTGCTGTCTCCCTGGTTGGAAGGGCTCACTAGGGGAGGGAAGTATGTGTCCCCCTGGGAAAGGCACCTGCAAAGTGCTCTCCTTTCTACTCTCCACACAAATGTGGTGCAGTGAAGCCACCAGCCCTGGAATCTACAACTTGAGTGCAGATCCAAGATCTGAAGCTTCCTGGCTGTGTGACCTTAGGCAAGTAACTTCACCTCTCTGAGTCTCAGTTTTACCATCTATAAAACAGGGCTGATAATGCCTCCCCAGCAAGATAGTGGGAAGCTTGCAGATAAAGTATGTTAAATGCCTTACATGTGGGAAGGGTTCAATTAAAGTTATCTGTGGTAGAGTTAACCCCTAAGAGGCTGTGCATCTTATTTTTACGCTTTATAAAAACACAACAGGGGGCATCAGGTGCCTTGAATTCTCATCTCAGCTCCTGTGTGACCCTGGACAAGTTAGCTAACCTCTCGGGCTCTTAGTTTTCTTATCTGCGAAATGGGAATAATAATAGAATTGACTTTGCAGGGTTGGGATATGGAATAATTAAGATAATTACTATACACAAAGAACTTAGCTAAATACCAGACGTGTAGATGGAGTGTAGTTCATGCTAGCTGTTATCATTATTAGCAGTGGTATTTTAATTATTACTACCCTTTGGAAACATGGAAGACCTTTCTCTGTTAGCTATTCTCCCCATCCCTTAATCTATGTCCCAGGAGGGGAACTGTTATGGGAAATACATTCATTGGGCATCTACTATGTGGCTGTTATGGGGCAGGTAATTACACATGCTGTATTTCAGGTAATTTTTCTGAAGTCTTCTGAAGTAGAGTATTGTCCCCAACACCATTAGTATCTATGGAGAGAAATTAGAAGCAGGTGAAGAGATTGGCCCAAAGTTACAGACTGACAAAATAGACAGGCTGGGATTTGAACACAGATCTGCCTGAATCCAAAATCTTAACCCTTCCTTCTCCACCAGACTCACCCGTGTCTTTCTCCAATTGCCCCCCTCAGCAGTTTCCTAAAAATCCATTACTCACGTTATTCCTAGAAACTATGGTTCCCTCTCTTGGCTTGTGCTTCATATTGTAACTAATGGTTTACTCATTTTTGCCTTCATTTATTACATTTATCAAGGATCTACTATCCATCAGGAGCAACTGCTTCATTTACTCAATTGCTCAATGGGCATGAAACATAATAGTGATGCCCTACATTTGTACAGTCCGTTATATGTTGTATAGTGTTATTACATAAATGATCTCATTTCACCCTCATGACAGCCTTCTGAGATTAGAATTATTTTACAGATGAGGAAACTGAGGCTATGATATGTAAAATAGTTTGTTTTAGGTCATTCAACTTGTATGTGATGGAGTGAAGACATCAACCAGATGTTTTTAGTTTGATTTGGGAGCCCTTTCAGCCATGCTAGTAAGCACCTGTTATAACCATCCATCCATCCATCCATCCATGCATCCATCCATCCATCCCCCCTTGTACCCATCCATCCTTCTATTCACTCACACATATATCCGTCCACCCACCCTTCCACCCATCCTCCAATCCTCCCATTCTTCCACCTACCCACTCATCCATCCATCCTTCCATTCATTTATTCATCTACCTATCCATCCATTCACCCATCCACCCAACCATTCTTCCACTCACCCACTCACTCACTCACTTACTCACTCACACATCCATCCATCAACCCCCACATCCATTCTTCCATCTATTCACCCATCTACACATTCATCCTTCTACTCACCCACTCATATATATATCCATCTGTTCACCCATCTACACAACCATTCTTCCATCCATCCATCCATCCATCCATCCTTCCATGCACTTATTCATCTATCTATCCATCCATTCACCCGTCCACCCAACCTTTCTTCCACTCACCCACTCATGTATCCATCCATCCACCCCCCCATCCATTCTTCCATCTATTCACCCATCTACACATTCATCCTTCTACTCACCCACTCATATATCCCTTCATCTATTCACTCATCTACACATCCATTCTTCCATCCATCCATCCATCCATTGTAAAGCAGGGATTGCAAGGCAGGTAAGACATAGTCCATGTTTTCAATGGTCTTTCTTTCTAGGTTTGTGCTGTCCAATGTGGTAGACATTTGTGACTATTTAAATCTAAATGTATATTAATTATAGTTAAATAAAATGTAAAATGTGGTTTCTCAGTCACATCAGTCACACTGCAAGGGTTCCACATGAAACTGGTGGCTCCCATATTGGACAGCTCAGATATGCAAAGTTTCCGTCATCACAGAAAGTTCTATTAGAAACAGTGCTGCTCTAGAGGCAGAAGCTGAAAGATATACAATTATGAAAGCATAAGGCAGGTGGTGAGAACTTCTGTGAAGTATGTAAAGAGCTACAAATACAATCAACCACAGGACAACAGCAACAGCCACGGTTGCTTGTTGGTTAAGAACTTTATAATTTGCAAAATCCAGGGGCACCCATTTGCTGTTTGAACACTTTGCTAAATGGGAATTTTAAATATATTTTACAGATAAGGAAATTGAATATCATAGAGATAAAGAGACAAACACGGGGGAGTTTGGGAATTATTTTTTTCCTTCCTTCCTTCCTTCCTTCCTTCTTTCCTTCCTTTCTTTCTTTCTCTTTCTTTCTTTCTTTCTTTCTTTCTTTCTTTCTTTCTTTCTTTCTTTCTCTTTCTTTCTTTCTTTCTTTCTCTCTTTCTTCTTTCTTTCTTTCTCTCTCCCTCCTCTCTCTTTCTTTCCTTCTTTCTTTCTCTCTTTCCTTCCTTCCTTCCTTCCTTCCTTCCTTCCTTCCTTCCTTTCTTCTTTCTTTCTCTTTCTTTCTTTCTTTCTTTCTTTCTTTCTTTCTTTCTTTCTTTCTTTCTTTCTTTCTTTCTTTCCCTCCTTGGAGTTTGCAGAAGGAAAATATCTTTCAGGGCTCTATTTTCTCTTGATCGGAAAATGCCCAGCACCAAAACACACCTCCCTTGGCATCCTGTCATTTTTCTTTTAAAATTTCTTAGCTATGATGAATCTGATGCAGCCAGCTTCATGGCTTCTGGCTTCTCTCCTTTCAGTCTGACCCAACAGTAGCTACCAGAGAGGTCTCCCTAAAAGGCAAAAAGACCAAGCCTTTCTCCTGCTTAGAACCTTCCCTGGCTTCCCATTCCTTTTAGGGTAAAGTGCAAACTGCACACCGTGATCCAGGCCCTGCTGACTCACCTGCTGAGAATCCCCTCATTCTTCGACACTTGGGTTAGTTCTTTAGGGCTGTCATTCCACAGGTCGCTTTATGCTCCTTACCATATAGTATCCCTTTGCCCCGACACCCTTCTGGCTCTTGACTGCCTGATGGACTTCTAGTCTTTTTCCACCACTGCTCTCAAATATGCAGAGCTGCATCTAGTCATATACCTGTATGTGATGGAGAGAAGCAGAAAGAGAGGTGGGGGGAGAGAGAATGGGAGGGAGATAGGGAGGCAGACAGAGAAGAGAGGATAGGAGGGGAAAGAAAGGGAGGAAGACAAAGGGGCGAAGAGAAAGACAGAAGAGGGGAGAGGAGGAGAGGGGAGGGGATAAGAGGGATAAAGAAAGAGAGGAAGAGACAAGCAGAGAGAGATGGGAAGGCTGAGAGAGAGAGTAAGGGAAGAGAGGGGAGGTGAGGGGAAAGGAAAGAAGGGAAGGAGAGAGGAGACAGATGGGGAGGAAGAGAGGAAAATAGAAGGAGATATCTAAAACGATATTTGCCCCCCACCAAATGTTAAGTGATTATCCTTGGGGGGAAGAACTTTGGAAGTTACACTTTCAATTTTGTATTTTAAAATTGTGTGTATTTTTAGTCCACTTACAGATACACTTTTTCCAAACAGCATACAACGACAAGAAAGTAACATTCAAATATTACCAGGTCACTTCAGCTGTGAATTCTTTTCAGGACCCCCCTTTTTTCTTCCAGAATTATGCACATCTTCCCTTCCACCCACCTGCCCCAAATGGAGGGGTGTAGCTGGCCACCTGGGAGTTGTTGAAAGACAGGAAGATCAGTGCCTTATCTTCCTGGTCTCCAGTGTTCTGCACCGAACCCGGCCAGGACAGGCCGGGCCTTGTAAATATTGGTTTAATGACCAGACGCTGGAAACTCATTATAACACCATGCATTGTCCAGGTTAAATAATGGAAAGGATTATTACAGCAATGATGCTGCAATATACTCTCAATTAGCCATGGCAATGAGGAGCACGGGGACAGCTCATGCCACTAAGCTGGGGATCATCAAAAGGCAATTTTCCCTTCTGTGGACCACCATGCCCTCTTTGTGTTTTAGTTATTGGTGATTCCCTATGAATACACCATCCCCCACACCCACATCCATACACCTTTTTTCTTTTTCTTTTTAGGGCAGGGGCACTGACTCAAATCTCAATCATATCTGGTTGGAGTTGATCACAAAACCAGCTAGTTTCTTAACACAGGTGATGAACCGCCAGTGAGCAGCTGTTCTCAAAGCGTGGGCCCCGTATTTGCAACCTCGGCATTGCTGCCTGAGAACTTGTTAGTAAGGCACATTTTGAGGTCCACCTCTGAATCAGAATCTTTAGGTTGGTGTTCAGAAATCTACACTCCCATGAGTTTTTCAGGCGATTCTGATGCATGCTCAAGCTTCAGGATCATTGGCCCGAAAGGGGACTCAGTTGCTTGGGTTCCATTTCTGGCTGTGCTGCTTGTTGGCTGTCCCACCTCTGGCAAGTCCCCTCACCTCTTCATGTCTCTGCGTCCTCACCTGTAATATGGGTACATCCACAGTGCCCATCTCATAGGATGTGTCAGGATGGGTGAAGAGCAGTCAAACAGCACTCACACTTAGTCCCAGCAGATGCTACCTGGTACCATATTTCATGGAGTAGAAGCTGCCTTTGATCATCAGACTCATCCAGAATTCACATAGTAAGTGTAGGGCATAAGTTTTCCTTAAAACAGTATTTCTCAAACTTCAGCGTACACACAAATCACCTGGGAATGTTGTTAAAAGGCAGACTCCAATTCAGCAGGGCTGAGGCCAGAGACGCTGCATTCTTAGCAAGCTCTCATGTGGGAGGATGCTGCTGGTCCCTGGACCACATTTTTGTTGTATGGGTTGGATCCAGAACCAGCACCTTTGTGTACGGATTGGATCTCACAGTGGGCTCACATGATGTGCTGGCAATGGTCATGGACTGGTCCTGGGACAGGGTGGTGGAACAGGATGTAGTTCATTTTGCTCATTCTTCTCTGGCCAAAGGACAGCAAGGATTGACATAAGAACTGGAGACATGGTTTGAGCTCCTTGTAAGCCCACTCACTGGCCTAAAGGAAGCCCTTTGATCTCAGCATCCTTATCTGCCAAATAGACCACTCAATGCCCACCAAGTCCATTCTAAGGGCAAGTGGGGAAAATCAAATACCCATGTTCTCAGTGAGTGAATTAATGACATATCTTTCCTTGGGACCATGGTTTTTCCAGAGTTTAAAAATAATGAAATGATGTGGATATTTAAAGGCATCAGGACAAGGCATTGCTGGTGAAGTTGGCTAATTATTACATTACCATATGATCATCATCGGTGTGAGTCATAAGCCCTGCACTCTGATTCTCTTCTGAGCACCAGCCCTAGGAATGGCCAGTCCTTACAATCACCCTGGAATTCTGACAGTTCCAGGGGACACCTGTCAGGCCACCCTCCTGGGTGGGCTTAGCATACTGAGGGCCATGCAGAGGGAGACCCGGTTGTATCCTCAAAGCCTCATTACTACAACCATCGTCTTTGCAGCCACTCTGATTTCAAGGCACTGCTCACTTCCTAGGGGACATGACAGGGCTGGAGAGAGAAGGGGTCATGCACCGCTCAGTTCCAGAATGAACAAAGAACACTTATGAGGGAGAGAAAAAATGCCTCTTGACCGCCCCCAGCATATGTATGCACAAATACACACACAAACACACACATACACACATGCATGCACATGCACACACATACACGTGCACGCACACGCATACACACACACACACACACACACACACAGGCTGCCCCAGCCTGCATGTCACCATCAATCAGCGCCTTCCCACTTGCCGTTTGCAGGCAGAGTTCCCCACAGATGTGCTCGGGGGGCTGGGAGAAGGAGAAGAAGGTGGAGCTGGGGCTAGGGAGGGAGGGAGGCAGAGATGTCCTCAAAGAGTTAAAACCTTGCCTCACCAGACTGCGAATCCTCCTCGACTCTCCCCCACCCCCATCCCCCTCAATCCAGCCAAACAACAGCTTGACATTTTCCATCCTTCACGAGAAAGACAAAGACGGGAAGATATTCCCATGATCCCTTTCTGCATGCCTAACCGTGAGCTCAGGTGCCGTAGCGTTTGCCCTGCGCCGGCCCCATCAACATGAAGGGCGAACTCATCCTTTCTGCATCTTTTTCTCGCCACTGCTTGATTAATTGGCTGACTACTACGCCGGCGGAATACCTAATGCTTTTCCTTCCCCTATTCTTCCTTCACAGTTTTTTTTTCCTCCTTTGCTCCATTTACATATACTTTATATTCCATAATTTTCACCCAAAAAGAAAAAAAAAAAAGAGCGGGCCCATCTCAGTAATTTGATGTAATGACGGCATGTCACCAAAAAGAGGAATTAGAAAAATCTGTAGGTATTTAATTTATTCTTGTTTTTTTTTTTTTTTTTGAAGTAGAGCTCTCTGAGAAAAGCATTAATATTCATGGGCAAGAGAAAAAAGTATACTCAATAGGAAAATTCCAGATTTTTTAGGGGTGGGGAGGCAGCTACATTCAATGCATTTTTAAGCACCATTATTTAACTAATAGTGCCTGAGTCCCTCTGGCCCTAGTTCCTCCCTTTCAATGAAAATAAGTGGGTTTTAGTTTGCCTTCAAGGGTTGTGTGTGTTGGGCTCACACCCACGCTGTTGAAGCAGGAAAGCTGGGCTCTGTGCTTTCCTCCCCTCCTGGGAGGACTCAAATGAAGAAGAAAAACATAAATAAAGGCCTTTCAGAGTCCCAGGGCTGGAGTTTTGGTTCTCCTTCAGCCTCCCCTGTTGGCTGTCATAGTTTTCTGATGGCTCTACAGACAGAACAATTTCCTTGAGGTTTCCCACTAGACCAACCCCTTCCTGTTAACTTGGGTTTGGGTTTTATGCTATTAATTAACTACTTACTTATCAAAATAAGTGTTGAGTTATACCATAATCATGATCGTTACCAATGAAGCAGGAAATAAAATAATGAAGCATCAGACCGATGCCATAAATATGAGACCTGAGACCTGGAATGGGAGCAGTTTTTCTCTCTCCAAGGCAGGTCTTTCCAAAGGGTCCCAGGGTGTGTGGCTCTCCTAGTAACAGTGGTAAGTTTGAGGCATCTGAGGATTTGACTCAGTCTAGTAGGAAGATGAGTTCTCAGCCATGGGGACCCAAATGCCCACCCTCATCTTAATCAGTGGGATCGGAAACATGTATGAGTTTATGGGCCCTGAGTCTAAATTATTTGCCAATTGTGATCATAAAAATTATTATTAGCATAATGATTATAATAAGCAATTCTATGTACTATTATTTTTCTTTATTTTTAAATGGGGTTATAACTTACATTAAGCTGCACGAATCTTATGTGCAGCTTGATGAATATTTTACCCATGTTTGTACTTTACCCAGATCAATATATAGAACATTTCCAACACCCTAGAAGGATTTCTTGTGCCACCCAAGTCAAAGCATACCTCCTCAAAGATGGCCACTCTTCTGACTTCAGGCACATAGATTCATTTTGCCGGTTCTTGAACTTTAAACAGATGGAATTATACAGCATATACTATTTTGTGTTGAGGCTTTTTCTCAAAAACAAAGTTTTGGGGACTGATCCATGTTGCTACGTGTCGCGGTAGTTCATTGTTATCATTGTTGTGCAATATTCCAATGCATAAACACATTAGAATTCAATTATCCATTTTCCTGTGGATGGTTATTTGGACTCTCTCCAGTTTGGGCTATTTTGAGTCAAGTGGGCATGAAACTCTCTTCTACGCCTTTGGGGTAATAGAAGTTCTCATTTCTCCTTGGAATATACCCAGGAATGGGATATTTGGTCACAGGGTAAATAGACCTGTAGCTTTAGTAGAAACTGCCAGTTTTCAAAATGGTTGCACCAATTTACACTTCCACCAACGGTGCCTGGGGTTTCAGTTGCTCTGTATCTTCACCAACTCTTGGGATCATTGTCATTTCTTTTACCTTTAGCTATTGTTATGGGTGTAGGAGGGGCAAGAAGGAACCTTGTCAGAAACCAAGCAAGGAGAAAACAAAGGATGCTTACTCAGCAAGACACAGAGAAACAGAATCAGAGACACACACACAGAGAGAAATAGGAAAACAGCCAGGAAAAACCAGAGAAATACAGGTGGAAATGAAGACAGAGGAATGCTTTGAGAGCCAGGTAAATGGATGGGGAAAGGGGCCCAGAAAAGAGAAAAAGAAGAGAGAAAAATAAAATGGAAAAGGTGAAGTTGAAACGGAAAGAGGAAAGGTTGATAGAAGAGAGAAAAGCAGGCAAGAGAAGGGAGGAGAGAATGAACAACCCTGGGTGACCGGCCAGGGGAGCAGGGCAAGTGCAGAAATTGGTCTCTTGGTATTTTATGAAACATGGCCCTTTCTTTCTTTCTTTTTTTTTAAAGGGCTTCTTGATATTTTTATGTTTATATGTTTTAACTTGGGCCCAACCTCATGGAAAATGCATGAGAAATAAGTGGTTTCTAGGAATGTTTTATACATGGCCAGGGAGTTGTAAGGATGCAGAGGTGGGCAGAAGAGAGGGAGGGTGTGGACAGCCCCTTCCTTGGGTCTCTCTGGCAGGGCTTGGCTGTGGGCTGTGGGCAGGTGCTCTCAAGGTTGTGTAGAAGGTAGCCCAGGGTGGCAGACAGCAGGTGCACCCAGGATCTGCTCCAACCGTGTGACTTTGGGCAATCCACATCCTCTGCTCTTAGCCTCAGTTTCCTCCTCTGCAATATGGGATGCTAGCATTGCCAGTTTTGCAGAAGAGGGGGGCTCTTAATCTGATCCAGGGCCGGGTGGGGACCACAGGGCTCTAGGAAATCTTAAGCAATCAGCGGTTTAAAGCAGAGGATGAAATGCAAAAGACTGTCTCTGAAATCAACAGAGGACTCAAGAAAGCTTCCTGATGCATCTACCCGGTAAAAACTTTCCTAGTGTGAGGTTCTTGATATAGGCCCCATCTATTCCCATGCTTTGCTGCCACCATCCAGGAGCCCCGTCCTCAAGGACTCTGTTTTTCCAACATGCCACATAACATTGCATCCCTTGTCACTGGACACACTGTTGCTGTAAGTTGAAATGCCTCCTTATCCAGTAAGACAGTGCTTCTTAAAATCCCTGTGGAGGAGCAGAGACTAAAATCCATTTTACCAACCAGATGGGAAATTGTACACCCTTTCCCAAGGAAAACAATGCACATTCTCACCGTCTTGTTTACAACGTCAATGGTTTCCCTGGCCTCAATAGTCCCATCTCTGAACTCTGATTTAGGAGTTTCTACTTCAAGAACTTGCTGCTAAGGTCATTGCCTTCATAGAAGCTTCTATCCAGGTTTGCCCTAAAACACCATCAGCCCCTCTCCTGAGATTGGTCTCCCTGGGACTTGGGATTTTGCTCCATCATGTTTATGTGTCATCTGTTCATGTGTCTTTCTCCTCCACTAGCAGAGGAGGGTTTGTGCCTGTCTCTGCATCCCTGAAGCCCAGCACAGGAACTGGCCCAGGGGAGGCCCTCAGGAAACATCAAATGCATTTGTAGACATGTCTCTTTTGGCCTTCATGGTCAGAGTTTTGCAGTAACTGCAAAGGCAGAAAGGGAGCCTTTTAGAGATTCCCTTCTTGAAGCTGGACCTTGTCTCTTTGCAAGGATGAAGGCATCCTCCAGTGGAAGGGTGGGTTTGTGTAGGGAAACCAAGGCCTCCACAAAGCCTAACACACTCAGTCCCGAGAAGCAGGAAGCCTCCCAACACCATGAGCATACTTTATGCTAAAATTGGCAGAGGCAGCTGCCAGTACAATGGAGGAAGTAAACTGTAAGAAGTAAGGAGTGGGTTCCCATTCCAGCTCTGTCACTGTCTCCTGTGTGACCTTGGGCAGGTCTCTTTCCCTCTATGGGCCTCAGTTTCCTCATCTGTATATTGGGGTGGAGTGAGAAAGGATTTGGGATCTTCAAGGTTCCCCCCAACTCTGAGAGTCTATGAGCTCTGAAGATGCTCTTCAGGAAGGCTGTGATTTATATCACAGACGTGCAGGAGAGAAACAGTTGCAGAGGAGTCAATTTTTCTCTTGTAAACGGGATCTTTTTTAGAGGCCTCCAGGGAGAAAGAAAGGGACAAACATTTCTAGAAGGCCTACGATGAGGCAGAAGACACCGTGTAAACCTGGTCTTGTTTAGCTCCTTACGCTAAAGTTTATTTACCTTGCAAATGTATTATATGACTAAAATTTAAAAATAAAACAATAATAGGTTGATGTTTTGTCTCAAAAAAAGGAACCACATGATCCTGAGGAAAATGTGGAAAATAAAAAAAAATAGGAAGTAAAGGGACAAATAATCCATTCATTCAACAGGAATTTATTGAATACGCACTATGTGTCAATTATGATATAAAGAAACTGGGTCTTTACATAGCTTTATATATATATGTGTAAGTGTACGTATATGTATATACATATGTGTGTATGTATACATACACACGTATATATATACATATATACACACGTATATATATACATATATACACACGTATATATATACATATATACACACGTATATATATACATATATACACACGTATATATATACATATATACACACGTATATATATACATATATACACACGTATATATATACATATATACACACGTATATATATACATATATACACACGTATATATATACATATATACACATGTATATATATACATATACACACACATATATATGATTATAAGCATAGGGTCTACAATATTTAAATTCTGCAATTTAATTTACATTTCAATTCTATTCATTTTGGTGTTGTAATATAGCTAGTTCTTAATAAGCCTACCAGTTACAAGTCAGCTTTCTTTTTTCTGATTATAAAAATAACACACATCTTTACTGAAAAATATGTGGACATTACAAGCACATAAAAAGAAAGGAATAAAGATTACTCATAATCTACCACCCATACTTTTTTCTACTTATACATTTAGACTCTCAAAGTACGTGGATATCACCTCCTTCCTTCCCCCAGGGGACCCCCTATTGCCCATTCATCAGCCCCCACCAAAGTTACACACACAATAATGTTGCATGCTACCCCAAATCAGCAATTCTGTCTATTTAAATACTGCTTTCTATTCAGCACCTTGAACAGTGCCTGGTGCACAGTAGATGTTCCATACCTCACAAATGCTCTCTATAACGGAAGCAATGACTGACAAGGGGGTCATAGAGAACACAAGGTTTTATAATACGCTTTTAACAGAAATACCACCATGCCACAAGTAGTTTCAATACTTGATCTTAGCCAAAAGGCTGCAAAGCAATTGTAAGTACTTTCTGGTATTGTGAAATATTCTGCTGTAATATAATGGATGCTGTCTTCCTTATATCCTGTCACATATAGACTAATCATAATTACTTTCCCAAGTCTCATCTTGTGGCCTTCGAAATGATGGGTTCAGAAAGATCCTGGTAGCTGTTCTCTGCACAATTTCATGATCATTTTCTTGGGATAAGTTTCCAGATGTGCAATTGGTGGGTCAAAAAGCAGGCACATGCAATGGAACATTACTCAGTTGTGAAAAGGGGTGAAGAACTGATGCATGTTACAACATGGATGTACCTGGAAGACACCACGCTAAGTGAAAGAAGCCAGACATAAAAGATCACATGATCCATCATTTGTATGATATATCCAGAATAGGTGAATCCACAAAGACAGAAAGTGGATTAGTGGTTGCCAGTGGCTGTGGGGAGGGGTAATGGGAGTGACTGCTTAAGGGGTATAGGATTTTCTTTTAGGGTGATGAGAATGCTTTGGAACTAGGTAGAGGTGATGGTAGTATGGTATCATAAATGTACAGAATGCTGTTGAAATTATTCACCTTAAAATGGTTAATTTTATGTTATGTGAATTTCACCTTAATTAAAAAAATAAACAGGCGTGACATCAAGGCCAACTTTCTGTTCCCATTTGTGTATCCATCATTAATGCTATTGAGTGCCTGTTTCCTCAAAAAATCAGATTCTATGAACCTGGCCAGTGTTGTAAGCAAAATATATTGATTATTAGTGATATCAGTGTACTTTTCTCATGGGCTAGTGGATATTAATATTCCACTGACATGCTCATATTTGCCAATCATACTGGAGTGCTGGTCTTACCGATTTCCAAGAATGCATTTCTCCATTGATGATAACCCTTGCCATGTACATCTCAATCTTCATCACCTATTTATTTTTGCCATCTAATTTTAACATAATCTTAACTTTTTAATTGTAACTGACCTACAACCAGTGACTACAACACCATCCTGTTGACTGCCTGCTAGACATTGAGCTCCTACACCCATTTTCCTCCTCCTCATAGAGTCCAAGTCCACCATCTGTGTCCTGGAGCCAGCCCTGCCTCCAGTCTCAGAGAGCAGGCCCTGACTGACCAATCCAATTACAGCCACTTTATTTATCTTCTCAAGATTGGTTAAGACCTGGACATATGGCACGATCACAGGCCATGAGATATAAAGAAATTTTGCTGGGTGCCCCTGGGAAACTTTGTTTGGCTTTTACAAAGAGGCATTCATGAGGCAATGTCCCCATTCTTTCTCTAAATGTGGCTGGATCTGGGTGTGATGCTGGGATCTCTGCAGCCATTTTGTGTCCATGAGGAAAGTGAGCCCAGGCAATAAAGCTAACATGTAGAAAAGGACAACTGCAGGCACCTTCTCAGTGCACTCTCACTCTGGGCTTCTCATAAGGTAAGATAGTGGATGTCCTGACCCCTTCAGGCAGCTGAGTTAAGATGCCTGTTGCTTGCAGCTGAGAATGTCCTAAACCACCAACCCCATCCAGGGCAGTTGTTTCACTTTTTTTGTTTTTTAAATTTACAAACCAACTGCTTCAATAAGCACCTTCTTAAATAAAACTTTTTCCATAGTTTGATACACATCTTCAGATTGATTCCCAGAAGTGGAATTAAAAGATGACATGATATTAATTTTTTTTTTTTTTGAGAAAGAGTCTCGCTCTGTCGCCCAGGCTGGAGTGCCGTGGCGCAATCTTGGCTCACTGCAAGCTCCACCTCCCAGGTTCACGCCATTCTCCTGCCTCAGCCTCCCGAGTAGCTGAGACTATAGGTGCCTGCCGCCACACCCGGCTATTTTTTTTGTATTTTTAGTAGAGATGGGGTTTCACTGTGTTAGCCAGGATGGTCTCGATCTCCTGACCTTGTGATCTGCCTGCCTTGGCCTCCCAAAGTGCTGGGATTACAGGCATGAGCCACCACACTTGAAGTCACTTGATTCATATTTTTATTTGCTTTCCAGTTGAAGGCTCTACAGAATTAGTCTCTAAAGCTAGAAAATAAGGGGGTTGCGGGCTAGACCCCAGGTCTTCTGATATCACATCCAAAGCTAGATATGGAAAGTGAGCTGATCTTTACTTCCTTTAAATCTGAAATCATGGGTAATGGGTTCAGTTTGCCTGAATAAAGCATCCCCTGGATAGCCAAACCATGCTGCTATATGCATTTCTGTGCTTTATACTTTATTATGCAGTGTTTCAGAATGTATCTCTAAGTGTGATTGGATCTGGGGGTGATGGTGGGGCTTCTGCAGCCATTTTGTGTCCATGAGTAGAGTCAGCCCCTGAAATAACTGTCCCTGAATAGGGTTGGTGGTTCAGGATGCTCTCAGCAGCAGGTAAAATGCACCTGAACTCAGCTGCCTGAAGGATTCAGGGCAGCTTTTTTTGTTGTCGCTGTTGTTGTTTTTTAGATGAAATCTCACTCTGTCACCCAGGCTGCAGTGCAATGACGTGATCTTGGCTCACTGCAACCTTCGCCTTCTGGGTTCAAGTGATTCTCCTGTCTCAGCCTCCCGAGTAGCTGGGATTGCAGGTGTGCACCACCACGCCTGGCTAATAGTTTGTATTTTTAGTAGAGATGGAGTTTCACCACGTCAGCCGGGCTGGTCTTGAACTCCTTACCTCAAGCGACCCACCCGCCTTGGCCTCCCAAAGTGCTGGCATTATAGGCGTGAGCCACTGCGCCCGGCCAGGACAGCTATTATGTTACCTCGTGGGAAGCCCATGTAGGATTGGGACCGACATTAATGGTTGTAATTTGAGGTGGGGTGGGTCATGAGCCCCCATGATGACCTGATGAAATGTGTGAACCATCCCCCAGAAGGTGGCATGCTCACCTGTGTTGGTCTTCTAGGGCTACCATGACAGGGTGCTGTAGACCAGGGGGCTGAGAAAAAGGGAAATTTATTTGTTTACAGGCTTGGAGGCCAGAAGTTAGAGATCAAGGTATGGGCAGGGTGGGCTCCTTCTGAAGGCTGTAAGACAGCATATGTTCCAAGCCTCTCTCTTATCTGCCTGTGGTCCCACGGGTCCTTGGCTTGTAGATGGCTGTTTTCTCCCTGTATCTTTCCATCGTCTTTGTTCTATGTATGTCTGTGTCCAAATTCCCCCTTTTGATAAGGATATACCCCATGACCTTATCTTAGTTTGTTCATTGGCAAAGATCCTATTTCCAAATAAGGTCCCATTCCCAAGTTTGGGAGGTTAGGATTTCAACATCATTTTGGGGACACAATTCAACAGATAACACCATCCAAATGCATAAGCTTGCACCTAGAATGTCAGGGGTCATGAACATATTACGGTTTATCTAGAAACCTCGAGGCAGGATTTTATTTTATTCTGAACTATTCATTAGTAATAAGAATTCATGGGTAATAAGAAAGAAGTGATAGAGAAACCAAGGCCTGAAGAGGGAAGCACATGTTCTCACAGCACCCATGAGAACATGCAAGGACTGGAACCAGGACTCCTGGGCTTTCATGGAGCATCTCATCAGGATTCCAGCCTTTGCTGAGTCCAGTTCTCCGGCACTCACAGAAGCTGAGCCTTTGAATTAGACAAGCTGAAAAAGGACTGGCGAGCCAACTTCAAGGGAGACAGAGAGAAGCTGGCAGGAGCTGTGGGTCCCTGCCGGGGGACAATCCTTCCCTGCCAGGTGAAGGAGGCTAGAGCGCTGGGAGTCAGGGGCAGGAAGGTGTCAGGTCCTGGGGAGGCCAGAGCTTGTGCAAATCAATGCAGATCCTAGGAGGCGTGGGAGAGGAAGCTCGCTCTCACAGCAAACTCCTCAGGTCACAGCGGGGTGGATTCTGGCTTCAGTTCCCATTGACCATGACCCCTGGCCATTTCAGGGAGCAGCCAGGAGGGGGCGAGGAACCCTCCTCTCTGCTGCCTGTGCCAGCTGCCCGTCTATAGGAAGCCAACATGTCAGCCCTCCTGCCCACCGACGCCAGCCCAGAGGTGCCAAGACACCAAGTGCAGCGGAGCCAGCTGGCAGCGTAACGGAGAGCCAACGGCCCGGCCGGCCGGCCCATCTGCTCCTCACTGCCAGCTGCGTGCCTGTGGGAGGCGGGCCGGCAGCCCATCCGAGTGGCCGAGGTGCCAGCCACCGGGTGCTCTGGGCCAGCTGGCAGGCTGACAGGACTGGCCAGCATACCCATCTGCCCGCCGGCGCCAGATGAACGTGCAGGGAAACTGTGCCCGGGGACCTCAGGGTGCCAGCCTGCCTCGGGTTCCAAGGCATCGGAGACCCTGGTTCTCCTCTTCCCTCTGTCTCAACCCTTGTGAGCCCTGAGATGTTACTAACAAAGACCCAAACGAAGGCATGGGGAATCACAGAGGGGGGACAGGAAGTAACCCTTCTTGCAGGACTCCAGATCGGTGAATTTACAGGCTGTCAGGAGCACAGCCCATCGGTGATTAAGAGCATGGACTCTGGGGCCAGACTGCCTGGGTCCAGATTGCAGCTCTGACACTAATTAGCTGCATGACTTAGGGCAGGACTCTTAATTGTTTGTAGCCTCAGTTTTCTCACATGTAAACTGGGAAAGTAGCATCGACTTTATTGGGCTAAATGAGGAAGAAATAGAATGTGGTAAACACCCAATACCTGATGCTTATTATTATCACTCACATTATTAGAATCAGATTCAAGGAGTGTTTTAAACTCAAGTGTGCCTCAGATATCATCTGGTCCAATTTCATCATTTTAAAGTGGAGGAATAAAGGCCCAGAGAGGAGAAGGGCCATACTCAAAGTCACAATCACGTAAGAGTCATTTGGGGTACAGAGGCTAAATTCCAGGTCTCCTGTCACTCTCCCTAGTCTGTTGCCATGAAATGCTCCCCTGAAATAGAAGAGGATGGATGGAAAAGTAGGCAGGGGCCTTCCTGTCCTGCCCAATGCACCTAAATGCCTCAGGTGCACAGCTGCCACACTCCCTGGTTAGCCCTCAGAATGCACTGCCTGATATATGAGTGTGGGTGTTTCTTTCTGAGTGTTGACATCTATACTTGTGTATCTACTGTGTGAGCATAAATGTTTGGTACTGCCAAATGGATCCAAATCTCAAGTGCCGAGACCATGTTTTATTCAGGAACATCAACCCCCACCCCCACAAAGTCACCCCTCTCGAATGCTCAGATGTCATATCCAGAAAGCCTCTGACATCCCTGAGCCCCTATGCTTAGCACAATACCTGGAATATAGACATAGCCCTGGTTCAGCTGGTGCAGCTCCTTTAATTTGATGAATCAGAACTTTTACTGTCCACCCAACAACCAATAAGAGCAAGGATCCTAATGTTTTAAATCCTTTATGCTAATCTGCAGCCCTTGGATCTCACTTAGAGCCTAGCTATTCTTGGTTTGCGCACAGTACTAACGAAGGTGGTTAGCTGACCTTCCTGTCTACAAATTGAATTCAACAAATAAAAAGGGAGAAGGAAAAGCTGCAGGTAATAAAGGCCGATAAAGGTGGCTGGTGGTGTCTTCATGGGCATCAGAAATAGGTAGGATTATTTGAAAGTAGCCTCACTAATGGCAAAAACTGAGCGGTCTAGGGCCATTTTGTGAAGGGGCAAAGGGGGAGACCACTTCTCATTGTACAGAGCCTTTCATTTCTCACTGGAAAATAAATGATGCTCATAATGATAGCTCTGAGATTTAGTTCAAGGGCCACTGCCCAAACTATCAAAGAGCATCGTGCATTTTACAGAGATTTTCATCCCAAACATAATTTTTAAGATGATAATTAGAGGCGATCTTCCATCAACCAGAAACCTTGGCTTTCTCAAATGACTAAGTCAGGGAAGGTTATATGCTACGGGATCCACTGCTCTTTGTGTGGATGGAGATGACAATTAGAGAATTTAAGGGAAGCAAAGGGAAAGTGGAAGGTGGAGAGGGGGATCAATCAGGATTGCTTTGCATCCTGGACATGAATGTCAACTCCCCTTAGCTACATATGTATAGAATGGGCAGTTTTCAAAACTATTTTGCACCCATTATTCATCATCTCATTTATTGGGATTCTTGTCGACCAAAGAGGAAACACATGCACATATGTGTATGCACACACACACACAGAGATGTGTACACATACATGAGGATACACATCCATACACACGTACATGCAGACACTGACACACAGAGTAAGTCCCATCCTAAAATACCCAAGAAGCAATCGATGAAAAAAAATCACTTTGCAGAAAAGTACATATATATGCACGATGCACACCCTCAAGCATGCATATACAAATACACACACATGCGTGCATAGAGATACACACAGGCTCACACACATCTACACACAATTACATGCAAAGATGCACACGTGCACATGTGCATGCACATAAACACACAGACATGCACACATGCTGCCATCCTTTATTATTGCCTCAGAACAGCGAGCCTGAAAGATTTTTTTCACGGTCTTGGATTGGTGAAACTCCACATAACTTTGGGATCGTGACTTTTTTTTTTTTTAACAGAGTTTCGCTCTTATTGCCCAGGCTGGAGTGCAATGGCACGATCTCAGCTCACTGCAACCTCTGCCTCCCGGGTTCAAGCAATTCTTCTGCCTCAGCCTCCTGAGTAGCTGGGATTGCAGGCGCCTGCCACCATGCCTGGCTAATTTGTTGTATTTTTAGCAGAGACGGGGTTTCACCTTGTTGGCCAGACTGGTCTCGAACTCCTGACCTCTGGTGATCCTCCCACCTTGGCCTCCCAAAGTGTTAGGATTACAGGCGTAAGCCACTGCTCCTGGCCTGGGATCATGACTGTTAGGAGGGGATGATGATATTGTAACTGCCACCATTCTGAGAGGGGGCCTCATATGTTCAAGATCTTGTGCCTGGCATTTGACACTCCATTTACCACCCTTTATATCTTTTTCTTTTCCCCCTCTTCCTTCTTTTTTTCTTTCTCTACCTTTTTCTTTTTCTCTCTTTCACGAGCAGTTCCATGAGCACTTTCTTACTGTAAAACATCAACATTATACACAAAACAAACCTTCCTCCTGTATATTTCCTGCCTTCATAACCACTCAATTTCTGAGCAATAATGGCTGTGATCAATTTCAAGTGGAACCTGCATCCCCCAATTTGACATGCAGTTCTATAGTACATACAGAAAAGCCCTGAATATCCGCAAACAGGATGAAGGTTAAGCACGCTCTGAAATACCATACAATAGCTGAAAATAACCAAAGCAAATTTTTGGAATAATATTAGTCAGCATCTACCAGCCGTAAATAGGAGTTGGCACTCTCCCTGCATTCCGTCATTTAATCCTTTCAGATACACCTGCACATGATTAATATTCCCATTTAACAGATGTGAACACCGAGGAAAGGTGGGATTAGGACGTTAGGACATTTGTCATGCTCATACACTATAATTGAAATGATATACAGATGATTAGCATGGTCCCTGTGCAAGGATGACATGCAAATTTGTGAAGCATGTTAGGACATTTGTCCAGCCAGCATGTTGCAGACCTGAGATTTAAACCACGTGATCTGTCTCTAAAGCCTGCATTCTTCTTCTTCTTCTTCTTTTTTTTTTTTTTTTTTTTTTTTGAGACGGAGTCTCGCTGTGTCATCCAGGCTGGAGTGCAGTGGCGTGATCTCAGCTCACTGCAACCTCTGCCTCCTGAGTTCAAACAATTCTCCTGCCTCAGCCTCCTGAGTAGCTGGGATTACAGGCACCCACCACCATGCCCAGCTAATTTTTGTGTTGTTAGTAGAGACAGGGTTTCACTACGTTGGCCAGGATGGTCTCGTACTCCTGACCTCTTGGTCGCCCACTTTGGCCTCCCAAAGTGCTGGGATTACAGGCATGAGCCACCGCACCTGGCCTTAAAGCGTGCATTCTTAAGACGCATACTAAGATAACCAAGAAACAATAAGTGAAAAAAAAATCCATTTGCAAAAGAGGGCGCACGATATGATCCCGTTTATATAAAAACTGAATACATATATGTGGGTGCATACATGAATGTATGGCTTTCTATAACTCTTGCAACATCCCAGTACACTTTTAACAAATGACTGGTGCAGCAGAGGTGAACGGACTTTCTGTGGCTGTGGAGCTGGGTTCAAGTTCACCTCTGTCCAACAACACAGCTTGTGCTGTATTCACAATACTTTTCTTCCTATGATAACAGAGTGAACTTTGCGTGGGGGTGGGTGAATTGGGAGAGGATTGTTTTTAAAGAGTTTGCCACCAAAAGCATCTTTTGGGGAGAACACCTGTCCCTCACTGTTTCATGCTTCTAGAAGGGAATGGGTAGCTCTATGAAGTCAGAGAAGAAAGAACTCTAGGCTGTATAAAGTATAAGCCATCACAGAGGGAGGACCCCTCCAGCACTGACGATTGAAAGACGCCTCCAATGCCTCCATTATAGGGCGACATAGTTGACTGGTCTCTTGGTTTGGCAGTGCAAAGTCTCTTAAAAAATCTTAGCAAGTTTCAAATGCACTATGGGGCTGAGAAAAGTGCTTCAGCTGGGGCGCAGGAGACCTGGGTTGCAATCCTATCTCTGCTTCTTGCTTACTGTCTGTCCTTTCCCTACTGTGTTTTCCAACTCTGCTCACTGGGGCAGGGGTTTGGACTTGGGGAGTGGACTTGGGGAGCCAGTGGAGAGAACAACAGGTTTAGCCTTCAAAACTCAGCCTCATGTCTTACAAAATTCACGATGTGAAGCAACACACTTGATATCTTGGAGCGTCACTTTCCTCATCCATGAAGTAGAAATGATTATTTGATGCATATCTGTCTCATGGGTAGTTACTATTTACGAGTTCTTGGTGGTGTTCTAGGCAGAGGCAATTGCAAGTGCAAAGGCCCTGTAGCATCATGCTTGATGCTGTATGACTGCCATCTCAGACAGGAAGGCACCAACTGTGGGCCACCTTGCATTGATCACTCCACCTCTACTCATGATGATCAAGAGGACCAGAGTGGTCAAGTAACTGGCTCAAGGTTGCAGAGCTCTCCGATGACAAAGCAAGGACTGGAACCAGACAGGACTAAAGTGAGACAATTGTTGGACACAAAACTTAAGGGGCACCAAAAAGTTCAGTAGTCAAGATAAATAACACTAATAAAACATTACTTAAAAAAGAAAGTTAATGCAAATGAATTCCTGATGAGCAGAAGATCAACATTTTAAACCATTACAGGATGAGTATTACTGATTTCTCCATTTGCTTCAGCCTCCAAAATGTTTCTTCATAAAGCTTTTTTTAGAATTTTTAGACTTTGTTCAATGTGGATTTTTCCATTAAATTTGATTTTTAAAAATACCACATTAAAATATTTATTTTGGCTATTGAGGTTTCTGGTGCCCCTTAAGTTTCATGCCACTCATCTTACCCTGGTCTGGGCCCTACAGGTCTGCCAACCAGGTTGCTTTGTTCCTTCCCTGCATCTCCTCTCTCGTTCATTCATTCACTTACTTATTTGGTCAGTCAGCAAGTATTTTGGGAAGTCAATGATTTCAGGAACTGGGAAAATGTCAGTGTATTAGTCTGTTTTCACACTGCTAATAAAGACATACCCGAGACTGGGTAATTTTTAAAGGAAAGAGATTTAATTGACTCACAGTTCCACATGTCTGGGGAGACCTCACAATCATGGTGGAAGGCAAAGGAGGAGCAAAGTCACATCTTACATGGCAGCAGGCAAGAGAGCTTGCGCAGGGGAACTCCCGTTTATAAAACCATCAGATCTCGTGAGACTTAGTCACTACCACGAGAACAGTAAGGGGGAAACCACCCCCATAATTCAATTATCTCCACCTGGCCCTGCCCTTGACATGTGGAGATTATTACAATTCAAGGTGAGATTTGGGTGGAGACACAGCCAAACCATATCAGTCAGTAAACAAGATAGTCATTGTATCTGCTCTCCTGAAACTCATAGTCTAGTTGGGGAGACAGATATGATTCAAATAATCACATAAACCAATGTAAAAGTAGAAATGTGGAAATAGAACAAAGGGGCAGTTATGGGGGCATTGACCAAGAGAGGCAGTCAGGGAAGGCTTCCCTGAGGAGGTGGTGTTCAGGTGAGATGGAATTAACCAGCTGGGGGTGGATTGAAGATACGTGGCTAAGAATGATCTAGGCAGAGGAAACAGCAGGTGCAAGGGTCCTGTGGCAGGATCAAGATCGTGGAGACTTCTAGAAACACAAAAGAAGCCAGTGCAGCTGGCATGCTCAGTGCCAGGAAGAGCAGGGGGCAAGACAGGGATGGAGAAGTGGGCCTGCAGACACAGTGGGGAAGGATTTGATCTCTGGTCCAAGGACAATAGGGAGCCTTGGGAGGGTTTCGAGCTGAGAAGTGACATGATCAGGTTTGCTCTTTGGAGCGATGCCCCTGGCTGCTGGGTAGAAGGTAGGCTGGCATTGTGGATAGATCCCAGACTCCCTAGGTTTCTAGTCCAGCTTCCCCCTTGCTTGTGGTGTGACTGTGGGCAAGTTACAGAGCAGTTGCTTTCTCTGTGAAGCACTTGCTTCTGAAAAGCACTTGCTTTTTAGTTCACTCATCTGTAAAATGGGTTACCAGCCTCTTAAAGTTGTTGAGAAGATTAAATGAGATATGCGTTGGTCTCCTAGAATAACGCTGGCATAGGGTTAGCATTCTATAAATGTTGCCGTGATTATTATTACAGATGATAGATTTGGGGACAAAATAGAAGACAGTGAGAGATCAGCTCCTGCCCTCAGCCCCAGGGGTGGCTCAGTCCATCTTCTCTGCCTGAAGTTCGTGGCTCCCCTCATTAGAAAGTGGCTGTTCTTTCTTCTGTGTGCTCTCTGGAGGAGAGGGCATGGTGGAGGCTGCAGGAATGCTGTGAAGGTCTTAAAAGAAATTATAGCCTGCATAAAAATATTCACTCCAGTGGAGGGCCTTAAACCATTCCCTTGGGCATTGAACAGTGACTGAGAGTATATTACTGTGCACTTAAGGCGACTGCAGCCACCCAAGGTCAGAGAGAACGGAAGGGAAGCACTTAAGCATGGAAGTACCCCTAAGTAGGAGCATCCTTCCCAGAGCTGTTCCTCTCCTCCATCTGCCAATGTCTCATCAGTCCCTTCCTTATCACCAATCCCAAGAAAAAGAGCAGTCACTGAGATTCCTTAGGGAGGTAAGGGAAGGAGAGAGGAAAGAGGATGAGCCCGGGCTGGGAACAAGAGAGTGTCCCAATTTTAGGGTTCGGTGGCTCATGCCTATAATCCCAGCACTTTGGGGGCCTGAGACGGGTGGATCGCAAGAGGCCGAGAATTTGAGACCTGCCTGGCCAGCATGGCGAAACCACATCTCTGCTAAAAATACAGGAATTAATGGGGCATGGTGGTACATGTTTGTAATCCCAGCTGCTAGAGAGGCTGAGGCAGGAGAATTGCTTGAACTCAGGAGGTGGAGGTTGCAGTGTGCTGACATTGCACCACTGAACTCCAGCTTGGGTGACAGAGTGAGACTCCATCTCAAAAACAAACAAACAAACAAATAAACAAAGAGTATCCCAGTCTTAGCCATGATCTAGGAAGAGTTACTTAAAACCTCGGATCTCAGAAGCATCAACTGTAAAATGGGACCTGCCACCTGCTTAGGACCAGGCCACCTGCTTTGTTCTAATTTCAGCTAAGGCTGAATGAAGAATCCCAGCCTGGAATGCCACATAGAAAGGGCTCAAAAATGATCCTTTGTCCTTCTTGTTGCTTTTTTTCTTTATTCCCAAGACATTCTTTTTTCTCTCCTAAACTCTAGGTGACTTTACTTCTTGGCAAGTTTCATAACCTCAGCAAGCCTCAGTTTGCTCATCTTAAAAGTGGATATAGTAACTGTAAGGACTTACTGGTGGATTGTGAGGATTAATGAATCATTTCGAGCTGTTGCATGCTGAGAGCAGGGAGACTGCATCTCACCTGTCTTGATAGGTTTTGTCTCTTCACAGTATGAAGGCAGCAGCAGGTAGATGCCATCTTCACCTACTTACTCCCGTGCAGTATTTTCTGCTCACGGTCTCAGCAGTGTGGAATCATAGGTAGTCCTGGATCTTAGCAGGTCCGTGAATCAGTCCTCTGAAGTCATGCACACAAACTCATCATGTCCTTAGAGAGAGGCCAGAAACAGGTCCCTGGCATCCCAAAGAACAAAGGAGCATGGTATCACAGGGAAAGGTGCTCTGGGCCAGGACTCAGAATCCAGATGTGGGCTCTCACTGGCCCGGGGTCAGACTCTTTAGCTAGTTGTTCTGGCCTCATTTTTGTCACTGAGAAACAATGGGTTAAGTAAGGGGGAAGAACGGAGCGTGCTTCATAGGGTTATTGTGAGAGGTAAGCAGGACAATGCATCTGAAATGCTTAGCACATAGTAGGAACACCAAATCTATTAGCTTGTTTTCCTCTTTCCTTGGGGTAGAGCTACATTTTGTGCAATATGCATCACACTTCCATTTGCTCTCTGACCAGTATAAAAATTAAAATATATATATATATGTATATATTCACACACAGATATATATATTCATCAAGAGAGACTAAATAAAGAAGAAAACTATGCTCACTGGCTAGTAGAAAGATCCGTCACTACCAAGGAATATGTTTTGGTGTATGTGGGGACAAAAAGACATTCTGTGGTTCAATAGGTTAGTAAGCCTTGCACTGATAAAAGTAAATGGGTGTCCATCCTGGCTAACACGGTGAAACCCCGTCTCTACTAAAAATACAAAAAAAATTTAGCTGGGTATGGTGGCGGGCGCCTGTAGTCCCAGCTACTTGGGAGGCTGAGGCAGGAGAATGGCATGAACCTGGGAGGTGGAGCTTGCAGTGAGCAGAGATGGCACCACTGCACTCCAGCCTGGGCGACAGAGCGAGACTCTGTCTCAAAAAAAAAAAAGTAAATGGGTGTCTTTCCCATAAGGTAGGTTGACCCTTAGCATGAGATGTGCATTGCAAAGCAACAAGAAGAACTTAGATATTCGGTGTTTTCTTTTTTTTTTTTTCCCCAACCTATGTGGCGGTGAATGCTCTGTATGGGGCATCTCTCTGGACTAAGCCTCTAGGGCACACTACTAGGGGCTGGGGCAGGGAATTAAAAACTGCAGTAGCCAGTCTCTAAGAGCTCCTCTAACTCGTGAAAGTTGATGCCTCTATTTTAGCTGTTTCATTTGCCTTTTTTTTCAATAACTCCTCTACGTAACTCTTCTTCATTTTTGTCTGTGCTTGTCTTGATGCGGTTCACAATCATGGTTTTATTGACCTTGTTTTCGTGTTACAAAATCACTCTGTGTTTGTGATTTGTTTCATGGTATTTCTCAAGAAGTGGCTTCAATCCCCTCTGGGATAGGCACATTACTATGTACCACAGGGCAGGCCAGGCTGCAGGAGGAGCTTGCAGTCCTGGAGGCTTCTGGCTCTCCTCTCACCCCGCTGCCCGCCCCTCAGTGATTAGTTGGAATCCAAGACAGCAATACAAGATGTGTCGTTGGTGGGAGTGATGGAGTGCCTGCTGAGTGGGCCGCAGATAAGCACCGTGATTTCGGAGGACGCTTCATCATTTCGCCGTAAGAACATGTTAACGGGTGATTGTTTGAATGTCTCCAGCTAATAGGATATTATTCATAACACTCTGGCTAGTTGGAATGGAAGATGATAAGAAATTAAATCCTTAATGGCTTTCTTTAAGGGAGGACTTTTCCCAGGGGAACCAGGAACCCTGGGAAATCGCTCCATGTACCCTGGCAATATCTATACGGAGAGAATTGGCTTTAAATGAACCTCTGAGGGTTACACAAAGGGTAAAAGAAAGAGAACAAAAAGCAATTGACATTAACCGGGTCCCTACTACGTGCCAAGTACTTAGACATTTTACCTACATCACGTTACTTCATCCTGGCCCTGTCTCTGTTGTGACAAGGCACTATTAAGCTCATTTCAGAACTGGGAAAACTGAGGCACACAGAGGTGAGCTGACTTGGCCAAGGTCTCATTTCTGGTGCTGGAGTCACGATTTACATTCTAAAGCAATATTCTTCTCGTGAAATGAATTATGGAGAGAGAAGTTGTCTGGGAGAAGTAGCCCTCACATGCAATTTGAAAGGTGGAGAAGCCATAGTCGCATAGAGGTAGCTGCAGCAGGTGCAGAGGGAAGGCGAGGGTTGTGCAGGTGGCTTCTATTGATGCCTGGGAATCATCTATTTCCTGGATACCTGCAGCCAACATTACCCATGAATATTTCCTGCGGTCCCTGAGCTTCCGCATTTCCTGGAAGCTTTTCTGAGCTTTGCTCTCCCTGTCTTTCCAACAAGTAAGGAAGCTTCTGACTCTATGTATCAAATCCCCTCCTGCTTGAAATACTGAGAAGAATGACAGAACCCTGCTTGCAAAGTACCCTGCGTAAGCATTACACACATGCATGGCACACACACACACATACTCAACTCACAAAGGTAAATTCCCAAGAATAGAATTACAGGTCACACATGTTGGGGACATAAGATATTACAATGATAACAGTAACAGTATGGTTTTTTTTTCCAACATGGAAACCATTTCTGGAACAATTTCTACAAGCCTGGGAAGAAAGAGACCACACTACTTTTTACCAACAACTGCTTTTTACACATAATGAAATCCTCCTTCTAGATAAACAGGACAGAAATGGTGGTGAAATTCTTCAACAAGCAAGATTCACTTTCAGTGGGAACTCACCATAGCAACTGGCTGCAAATATTTAAAAGTGAATGCGATTTTTGTTTGTTTGTTTTGATTTTTGCAGGGTACAAAATATCCAATATGTTCCCAGCCTCCCCACTCTTCTTCCTTCAGGTCTCATCAGCTCCCACAGTGAAAGCCAGCTTGGTTTTCCATTTGCAAAGTTCACAATTCACCCAGCCATGAGCTGTGCCTTTAACCACTGGTAAATTGTTTCCTGACAGCCCTTGCTACAATTTTCTCCCCTGACATTTGATTTACATATGATCTTTAAGCACTGCCATGGCGGTAATAGCGATTTGGTTAATATTCCATGCGCTCCCCCATGCCCCGCACCTTGCAGGGCCATTTCATTGCTGCAGTGTGGCAAAATGCATGTACCAAATAAATGTATTGCTAATGAAATAAACTGATTATGGGGAAGAATCAATTGCCCTGCTGCCGGGATGAGGCACCAGGAGTTAATTTTGTCTGGATCTGCAAGGGTAGCTGTTAATAGAATAGGCTTTTTACCTAATTGGAGGCAAAGTAAATGAAGTACAGTAATATTCCATGATGCATTGGATGAATTTACTTCATTTTCTCTTAGTCTTGCTTGATGAGTGTTTACAGCACAATAGAATTTATGGTCTCTCTCCTCTCCCTATTTTTCTTTTCTTTCCCTGTTCTTCATTCTTTCTGTTTATTCCCTTTACATCTCATTTTCTTTTCTTTCTTCTTCCCTCCTTCCCTTTTGTCCTTCTTTCTATTCATTCACCCTCGTCCACCCACCCATCCATCCATCCATCCATCCTTCCACTCGTATCTATCCACCCACTTATGTATCCATCCATCCATCCATCCATCCATTTCTTCATCCAGCTAAGAAATCAGGGTCTCAAATACAAATGTCTCCAGGAAACAGTAATATAAATGAGAAAATCTTGGTGAATCCTGTGGCAAAAGGGAACCGTCACTATCCTTCTCCTCCTCCTCATCAACATCAATATATCTGTCATTTATTGAATGTGTCCATTCATCTTCCATTCTTTCAACATTTACTGAAGCCTGACTATGCTAGTTAAGACCTGATTGGCTTCTGTGGATATGATCAAAGAAAACAGTGTTGCTGAAAACTCCTTTACACCAATCTGTGTATCTGGCTAATACCTAGCCTCTTACCCAGGGACTTTTCTTTCTCTTCTCCTGATGAACACATTGAAATTCTGCTGCAACAAGTGTGCTTGCTTGCCAAGGGCTGGAACCAATAGGTGTTAGGTGAAGGGTGGTCAGATCAGTGGTATCAGGAGTAGGAGGCGTCACTAAAAATCTTAAAGAGAAGGATCTAGGCACATTCAAGCATTTCAGACTTTTTTCCTAGTGCGAAGTCATGCATGGGAGATCAGATACCAGGGGAAAGAACAGAACATGGCTTACTGAATGGAGAGGTCATGAGTTAGGGGAGGTCATGAGTTAGGGGCCGAGGCTAGGGCAGCTCCAGGGTCAGCCTCAAGGCCTTTAATCTGGGCAAATCTGACCTCGTAAAACAACTCCTAAGATACTCTCTCCAATAGCAATAATCCTAAATGGCATTTACTGAACACCTACTGTATACAGAACATTGTTCTTTCCATATGTTATCTCATTGAATCCTACAGCGAGCTTTCAAGAGGTGAATCCTGTTATCCAGCTCTGGATGAGGAAAGAGACTCAGATTCAAAGAACATCGTGCCATGTTATGCAAGGTCACATGACTGATAAGAAGCAGGATTAGGATTGGAACTCAGGATTTAGAGCCCATAGTTATCTCCAAAATTTAGCACATCAAAATTCCTTGGAAGCTTTTCTAGCCCATTGATTCTTAGTGAGTAAGATCCCCAGGTGATCCTGATGCAGGTGTTTTGCAGACCACACTCTGACAAACTCCACCTGAACCTTGCTGAGACATGTTTGGGGGGACTTTTATTTTTGCAGCATCCTTTGGTTGATCATTGTCCTTAGGAATGTGACAGTGCTCAGAGAAGAATCAACATGGGGCTGGGGGAGTGCCAGGGTAGCAGTTACTTACACATGAACTTTTTGTTTGCGAAAGTTTCAGGTTTTATTTTCAAGGGCATGACTTCATCTTCTATAAATGTGGGATAGACTGGGGTCTGTCATTTTCTTACTGAGGACCAAATCTCTGCACAGATCCAGAACCCAGATTTTGATTTCTAGTTAAATGCTCTGTCCAGGGTGAGTCATTTCCTGAAAGCCTACCACGTGGCAGATACTTTGCTGGATACTGGGGATGCAGAAATGAATCCACCAAGATCTTTAGCCTCCAGGAGCTCAATGTCAAAACCACATTCACCTCTCTGTTCTGCGTCTGTTGGGCTGACACTCTATAAAGCATTAATCATCTTGTTCAACTGTCTCCTCTTTTCTACCTTCTCTTATTGCAGACTTCTGCCTGTGTAAACTTTGCTGAGAATTTGAGCAGAAATAGTAAATAATGAAGCTCCAGAGGGTTGCACTAATTTCCCAGACATTTAATCAATACGGAGCTGCCCTGTTCATTACAGCTGTCAGAAATATGCAAAATCGTCCATCTGGTCCTCTCAGGTACAGAGCTCTGAGCTGGAGTCACCAGTTGCCTGCTTAATTACCACGCCCCATTTTCCCTCATTCTGCGGCCTCTCCATTAACCACCAGCTACCAGCTCAAGTATAAAGGCAAACAATAAATATTTGAAATGGCATTACCTAGTCTGGGGTCTTTAACACTGGTTGAGTTGGGTCTCTAGATGAGGAATACAGGTGGAGTTTTGTGGAAGAGCAGCCTCCCCCAGCTTCTCCCTTGCACCACGACTTTGCCCAGTCTGCAACCTCCTTCCTTCTGAGGCCACTCCCTGCCCCTCAAATATTTAGACCTGTTAAAAACCATTGGGGGGAAAAATGATCTATACAAAAGCTTTGCATAAAAAAGTGATCAATGCAAATTCCTCTGAAGAAATTGCTTCAACAGATGGAAACGGCCCATTTGCAACAAATGCCTCTGGCTGTGCAGATGGTAATTATGGGATGTATGTAAACATGCAAGCTCTGGCAAGCAGAGCAAACTGCACTGCTGAACTTAGCCTGCATCAGGGCTGCCTGCCCTGGCACTGCCCCTTCCCTGACTGGCCCATAGGCCAGGAGTTCAAGAGGATGGATGGTGGTTTGGAATTCCAGGACCTATTAACCTCTATTTAATTACAGGTCTTTCTGAAAAGGTCCCTGTGAGGCAATCCATACATTCTCTAATCTCTGGGTGGACCCAGGCTATGGCATGGCCCCTTGGAAGAAAGAAATCAACAGATATTGAGCTCTCACTGTATGCTAGGCACTGTGCTGTTAATTTTGAATGTATTATTTTGTTTAATCTACATAAAGACTCTGGGAGGTTAGCCTTATTACATCATCATGATCACCACCATTTTGCGAATGGGGAAATGAAGGCTTGGAGACCAGGTGAAGTGATTATTTTCAAGATCACAAAGTTAGGAAGTAAGGGGACCAAGATGTATCAGTTAGCTGTTGCTGAGTAACAAACAACCCCAAAGTTCAGTGGCTTTGAACAACAAGCATTTGTTATTGCCTACAAGTCTACGGGTCAACTGGGCAGTTTTAGTAGTCTGGGCTGGACTCAGCTAATCATGACTGGGCTTATTCATGCAAAAAGATGGATTTGCATAAGTCTGGTGGTTGGCTGACTATTGGACCAGGATGATGGAAATGTAGGGCCATGTGTCTCTAATTCACTAAGAGATCATGGTAGATGAGCAAGTTCCAAGAGAAATAGCAGAAACTCACAAGGACTTTTAGGGCCCAGGCTTGGAAAAGGCACCGGATCCACTGCACACATTCTGTGGGTAAAGTAAGTGACACTGCCAATACAAATTGAAGAGTTGGAGACAGACACAACTATCTAATAGAGGGAACTGAAAAGACACATTGCAAATGGCAAGGACACAGGAAGGTAGGGAAAACTTGGGCCAGTTTTGCAAGCAAATAAATCAAATAAGACTTGAACTTAGAGTCCTCTGGCTCTAAGTTCAAATGTTCCAAGGCCAGCCATGATGGCCCATCATCCTAGAGATGACTTAGCCCTTCTTTTCCTTCTCACCCTGACTCTGTCTTGTCTGCATGTAAGTCTTAGCTCATCTCTTCTTTCTCCCAGTGATTCTCACTCCCACTCTCAGCCTCCCTTCCTTGGACATCTGAATTAGATGGCATTTTGAGCAGGAAGGGAGGAGTTGGCTCATTTGAGCTCTGTTTCTATCTCCATTTGTTTCTATACCCTTTTGGGTCTCAGACAATCCCTCATCCTCCCTGAGCCTCAGTGTTGCCATCTGTACAATATGTAAGATGGAGAAGATTCTATTTGAGATTGCTTCCAGGCAAATTCTTCATGATTCTATGAGTAGTAAGTGGTTCCCTAGCCCTAGTGGTCTAGCTCATGCCTGTACCTGTCCTGAAATTACCACCATCCTAGTCTCTACTTTAGGGAAATATCTGGCCTCCAGAAAATCTATATTGGATAATTTATATGTATAAAGCTTTGTCACTGGGAGTCAGCATAGTGTCATGGACTTAGTTCTGGAATGAGATAGGCCTTGGTCCAGGCAAGCTTCTTCAGGCAATCTCCTGGCTACATGACCTTGGGTAAATCACTTGTTTTTTCCTCCATCAGGCCAGCCTGGGCTTGTTCTCATGGTGCATGGTCCATGGTGCATGGACTCTCTCTCTAGAGTCCAAGAGAGAGAAGAATTGCAAGAGGCCCTTTGAGATACCAGCTTGGAAACAGCACAGTATCTCTGTTCCCATATTCTCTGAGCTTCTGTTTCTTCATCTGCTCGCAAGGTTACTGTTCATTAAATAGCACATAGTAGAGGCTTAACAAATGTTAGTTACTATTCACTTATTTTATTTGTGCCATAGAACTCTTTTTTCTAGACATTATCTCATTAAAGTCCATGATACAAGACAGGTGGATATTTTTATAGATTTATTTCACTTATGGATGAAGAAATGGAGACCTTAAGAGAGGGTGTGACTTGTTCAAGACAACACAGAATGTCAGCAGCAAAGCTGGGGTTGGCCTCTTGACCCACAGTCCGGTGCTCATTTCATGGTAACTCATCAGACCCGTCCCTCTCTTTCCCACTTATTATTCTGGTGTCCAGAGTACTCAACTTTGGCTTATCATGAGGATGGAGTGGGGAGCCTTGGGAGTGGAAGGGCTGAAAGGGAAGAAGCATGGTCAGGAAGAAGCAATGAGCTTGGGCTCAGGTGATACATAGACTTAGGTGTGCATGCCAGATCTGCCATTACCTGACTTAGTGACTTCACCTCTCTGAGCCTCAGTTTCATTGTGTGTAAAATAAGACCACTGCCAAGATTAAATGAGATAAAGCTCATATAGGAGGTAACACATGGTAGGTACTTAATACATCGTAGTTCCCATTTTTCTAGCAATAGTTGCCAAAATACTGTGTTGTAGGGGGATGGTAGGGGAGTGCTTCAGGAGAGTATATGTAATGATCTCACTGCCACTGTGTCTTTGCTTGTCCTGGGTGTGAGTCCTGGATTCCACTCCTGGAAATGCCAATTGCACTTCAAGATTTGATCTCAGAGGACCCAGAGTCTCCAGGACCTGTTTGTGACATGAGCTTTATAACTTGTCTTGCAATATTCTCCTTAATGATGATGATGACAACATTTCACATTGAGCAAACATTGAATCATTTCATTCACTCATTCAACAAGTATATTCTCTTCTGTGTCAAGCACAGGAGATACATACGGATATATAAGATAGGGTCCCAGTCCTCCCAGGTTGCAGGCTACAGAGGGACATAGTCATGCAAACAGACAAGTTTTAAAGCTTTAAGGTGTATCTAATCTTTCAGTAAAATATACATCCCAGAGTCCTGCCACTGGAGTCTGATTCAAGAGGTCTGGGGCCTGCATTTCTGAATAAGTGTTCTTTAGGCCACAGTTCCAGAATCATTGGCTCAGATAACAGGGTTCTAAACATTTTAGAGTTTTATGCAATCCTTCGTGTACCTCTTGAGAGCTTCTCATATCCATTATTTTACTCCCAGTCACTTCCAATACTTCCTTTCACCACATGGCCTTTGTACTCACTGCTCTGTCTGCCAGGGAGTCCCTTCCTTCCCCTCTTCCTTTAGTCCTAATCCCTTCTCAGCCCTAGTCCTCAGAGATGCCGTTCCCCATCTATCAGACCAGGCCAACTACTGTGACTCCATCTTAACCTCTCTCCTTAGTGGGGATATGATATATACAGTTACCCACTGCATAACAAAATAGCGGTCAACAATGGACCACATATATGATTGTGGTCCCATAAGATTATAATGGAATATATATAGAAACCTGATGAATAGCATTTGATATTGACATTGCAGATCAAGTAGGAAAAATGACTGATATTCAGTAATGGTGCTGAAACATTTGGTTTTCCATATGAAAAAAATATTAAGTTGGTGTAAAAGTAATCATGGTTTTTGCCATTACTTTTAAGGCAAAACCACAATTATTTTGCACCAACCTAATATGTAAATAAAAACATGCAAAAATATTAATACCATCTAGGTTTGTGTAAGTACCCCATGATGTTCGCACGATGATGAAATCGCCTAATGACACATTTCTCAAAACGTATCCCTGTTGTTAAATGACGCATGACTGTATTTACATGTTGTTTGATGAAGGTTTGTCTTCCTGCTCTAGAGCCGTAATCCTTGTGAGGGCAGGAAGTCCATTTGTTTTGTTCATCTCTGTGTCCAGTGTCCTGTGATTGTTGAATAAATTGCTGAGCAAGGCAATGAATCATCCAGGATGCTCAAAGACCCCCTGAAATATATTCATAGGCCCCAAGTTAAACTTCGGTTAGAGGTATCACCCACTCCCTTCTGCCCCTTTAAGCTCTTTCTGTTTGCCAGTATGAATGGGTGGGAGAAAACACAGCTAATCTCTCTCATCTTTAGTGACCAGAACAAGGAGAAGATTTGGAAGTACCTAGGAGGCAATGTAGACCTTTCTAACTAGTAGAGATGCTTCCAGGTGGAGCTGGCTGTCTCATAATGTAGTGATCTCACCGCCACTGTGTCTTTGCTTGTCCTGGGTGTGAGTCCTGGATTCCACTCCTGGAAATGCCAGTTGCACTTCAGGATTTGATCTCAGAGGACCCAGAATCTCCAGGACCTGTTTGTGACATGAGCTTCATAACTTGTCTTTCAATATCCCCCTTAATGATGATGATGACAATGTTTCACACTAAGAAAACATTGAATCATTTCATTCACTCATTCAACAAGCATATTCTCCTCTGCCGATCACAGGAGGTATATAGGGATAAATAAGATAGGGCCCCAGTCCTCCCAGGTTGCAGGCTGCAGAGGGACATAGTTATGGAAACAGACAGTGAAAGTTCAGTGTGATCAATTCCAGGATTTTCATAGAACCCGGAGGCATAAAAGCACAGAGAAGGCGTTGAACACTGTTAAGGGATTAGGGAGGACTGCCTGGAGGAGGAATGACTTGAGCTGCGCCTTGAAGGAAAGTAGAAATTAGCCAAGCAAGTCTGAGGTGGAAAAATGGGAAGCAGCATTCCAGGTGGAGCAGTCAAAGCACAACCATGAAGCTGGTAAAGAGCATGTGGTGTTCTGGGAGCTGAAAGGCATCAGTGAAAAGGTGGGAGGATGTGTGACTTTGAGAGCTCCTTCAGGCAGCCGCAGTGGAGATGGCAGGCAGGGGCCAGGAGAGAGAGAAAAACCAGTTAGGAGAGAGACTGAGACAGAGGCGGATGGTGGCAGTGAGGCCTAGAGAACCAACCAGACCCAGGGAATGTTACCGGGGGTTGATTCCATGGGGCTGGCTTCTTACAGGAAGCAGGTGAGGCAGAAGAAGGAGGTTGTCCAAGTTTCTGGTTTGAGGGTGGTTCCCTTCTTGGGAAGAGAAATGCACTTGGAGAGGGATGACAGGTTGTCATTGCAAGCTCTGGAACTGAGAGCAGCAAGCCATGACCTCCATGCCTATCATGAGCACCTTTGTGCATCCGTGAAAAGCAACCTTTAGGAAGAAGCTCTTGATCACCAAGGCATTGTCCTCAGTGCTTTGCAGGGAGAGGTCATCAAATCAATGCTCTGAGTAGGAATCGCTCCTAACTTCACTTTTCACCTGAGGAAGCTGTGGCACAGAGAGGCTAAGTAACTTGCCAGAGATCACACAGTCAGCCAAAGGCAGAGCTGGGAGGTGAGCTTGGGCAGTTCTGTGCCACAGTTTATGTACTGTGATAATTCTACACGCACACATGCTTGGAAACAAACAGGCTGAATGTGACGTCATGCATTAGTAGAGGCCCATCAACCCAAGTAAGTTGGCCCAGAGGAATGGTGGAAAATGGAAGGCCCCTGGCTGTATATGGCCAGCAGATGTGATGACATTTTATTAATGTAGAGTTGTGAAAATTCTGAAGTCTCATATCTAAATTGTACTCCTCTTTAAAAATTAGATCTGGTGACACCAGGCTGACATCCCTGCATGACATCAGACTTCCTGCCTTGGCAGGAAGAAAAGGGTAGTGCTGCCTTCTTTCAATGAGACTTGTATTGCCCATTGTGCCCCAGTCTCCATCATTCCCTATTTCTCTTCACCTGGCCCACCTCGCTCCCTCATGTGCACCTCTGTCCAGCCCCTGTAGGTATTTGAGTCTGTAGCCCCTGAACTCAGAACCTCTCTGGCACTAAAATTATTTGGATCTGTTCTATCTCAACAGCTCTGTGAAGAAGATAGTATTATCATACACCAATTTTACTGGTAAGGAGACTGAAGCTTATAGAGTAGAAGGGACATGTTTAAAGCCTCAAACCTCCTGAGTCTGGCCTGGAGACAGAACCCATGACTTTTAACATCCAACCCTCTATGGAGAGGTTAGAGGCCTAGGCTAGGACCCCAAGCCAGAGCCAAAACCTCTCCCCAAGGCCTGGCCAGGTACTTTTTCCCCTGATTCTGTTTCTTCATCCTTCAGACACTGCAAGGAAGCCAGATTTCTCCCCCTGCTGCCTTCAGCTCCCCCACTCACCCCCGCATTGATCTCCAGCTTTACGAGGGTGACGGGCCATACCTTTTAATTGCATTATTACATCTTTATGGTCTGATCATTGAGCTGGGCAGCCAGGTGCTGGAATTTATATGCGGAACTGAAACGTTTACTGGAATCATATTGATAAAGGCATATTGTGAAAAGGCCTGTGGCTCTTAAGAAGAGACTGGGGTTCTCAGGAGACAGGGAGAAGGCAGGTCAGAATACTCCCAAGGAGAGAGTTGGTCACTTGTGAGATATGAGGGCAGGGCCTCCCCTCATGCCCTTCCCAACCCTTAAATATTTCCTCTTTCATCTGCCTGTTAGGAGCTGGGTAGGAAAGAAGAAATGCCTGCAAAAGGTACAGAGAAAGGGACTAGGAGATTTCTGAAGGGCAGCAGGATTCCAGGTTCATGGACTAGTTGGGATGGCAAACACAGGGATTGCCCCTGTTGACATGAGGGAGGGCCCTTCAGGTAGAGGCTTGGTATGAACAAAACATACAGCAGGGGCCACGAAAGGACATAATGGACTTTGCTTGGAGCAAGCTCTACAGGGAACGTACGTGGCCTGCTAGACAACTCCATGTGACTGTCGTGCAGGCATCTCAAACAGAGTGTGCCCCAAATGGAACCAATCCTCCCCATTCTATTAGCAGGTGTATCCATTGCAGGCAATGACAAATCCACCCTCCCAGGTGCTCGGGGAACCTTGGCGTCACCTTTATCTCTTCCCTTTATTCCACTGCTCACCTTCCACTCCATCACAACCACTGTGGGCTCTACTTTCAAAATATTCTGCGACTTTAAGCTGCCCTTGCATTGCCACTGTTTCTGTTGTGGATGGAGGCCCAATCACCTTTCCTTGGATTCTTTCAGTAGCCTTGGAATAAAATTTTGATTCATTCATCTTCTTCTCAGCAAGATCCTCCCTGATAACCCTACTTTAAGTCACAATCTCTGCCATACACTACCGTCTGCTGCTTGACCCTGATTCATTTGCCTTCATAGAACTTTTTTCTATCAAATGTGGTATATAATTTATTATTACTATTATCTGTCTCTCCCACTACAATGTAAGTATCTTAAAGGCAGAACCTTTTATTTTTTATTCTCTGCCCTAGCTCACATCTCCAGCACCAAGGACAGTGTCCAGCGCATAGTAGGTGCTCTCTCTCTTTCTCTCTCTCTCTCTCTCTCTCTCTCTCTCTCTCTCTCTCTCTATATATATATATATATATATATATATATATATATATATATATAAAGAGACAGTAAGAGACAGGCTGTCTGTCTCACTGCAGCCTCGAACTCCTGGACTCAAGCAATTCTCCTGCCTCAGTTTCCTGAGTAGCTGGGACTACAGGCATGCACCATCATGCCCAGTTAATTTTTAAAATTTTTGTACAGATGGGATCTCACTATGTTGCCTAGGCTGGTCTCAAACTCCTTGCCTCAAGTTGTTCTCTCACCTCAGCCTCCCAAAGTGCTGGGGTTACAGGTGCAAGCCACCATGCCTGGCCATAAATATTTGTTTAATGAGCTCAAGAATGGATTTGGTTGGAGCCAGGTCCTGGGGTGGGGATAAGGGAGATCTTCCATGTTGCTCTGGAAGCTGAAGCATGCGCCCTGAGCTCTGATTTCCACCCGGCATGAAACTATGTGTTAGCAGAGTCCTTACCCACGTCTAAGGCAATCAGCATGCCTTCTCGGAGCTCTGAATTAGTAATATCACGCGCCATGGAGTCAACCCTAAATGGAGAATTTAGAAGAGGAATAGCTCAGGGGTTAATTTGAATGTATTTCCGTGTCTCAAAATCAGCACATTGTAGGAAAAAGGGATCTGCTTAGCATAGTAAATGGCATTTGATGCGTAGCCTCTTTCTTTAAGTATGATCTGGGTCGTCTGTCTTTTTGATTTTGAGATGATTGTGGTACCCAGTTGAAGGGTGATTTGATGTTAATTGGTGGCAACTAATTAGACCCAGTTTGTGAACTCTCCCAGGCTATAAGCCATGGATGCTTTGGCTCAATGTTATAACAATCACTGTCCTTCTTTAAAATGGTTCTCTCTTTGATGAGAAACACTGGCATACAGCTAAATGAACCTCCAGAGATCTCTCCTAAAGAGGGGCAGAGTGGATGGTATTTTAGGGCTGGGATCCCAAGTTGGAAGGGTCAGATTACAAAGTTTAGGCCAGATGTCTCTGGGTTCAAATCCTGGTTTAGCCACTCAATAGCTGTGTGGCCTTGGGCAAGTCCATGACCATGCTGGGCTTTAGTTTCCTCATCTGTGTAATAGGTAGGTTACAGTTTTATTCCCAAAGTTCTTGGGAGGCTTACATTAAATAACTAGAGAAGGGAGATTGAGTGCCTTTTATTTAACAGTAACTGTGGCTAAGTATATCCCAGTTGCTTCATAGGGACATTTGAAGATTCTCAAAAAGTATCCGTTAGGTGGGTATCTGAATGTAAGAGTTATTGTTGAGTGAATGGATGCAATTCAGAAATTATAGGAACGGACCACGTGTCCAACGAAGAAGATGGCAGGACTCGGTATTAAAAGTATAAAGACTGTTCATGAAAAATTCCAAAGTTTCAGAACTTGAAGGGGTCTCTAAGAGCCTTCTCGTTTTGAAGGTGAGTAGAATCAAGTCCTAGGGAGGGGAAAGTGATGGGGCCATGGACGCACAGTGAGTGGAGGACAGAGTTGAAGTTGGAACTAAGGTGCCCTCTACCCACAATGTCCCCAACTCAGCCTCTTCACAGGTGCACATGGGAGAGACAGGGGCAGAGTCTAGAGCTGTGGTTCAAATGTTGGGTGGGGAAAATAAACAACACTCAGAGACTCCTTCTCAGCATCCACTAAAGGCCTGGGAACTCCCCATAGTAGAAGACGAACAAGGACAAACCTCATGGGTGTCAAGGAGATACGAGAAAAGGAAGGCACCATAATTAATAACCATCAGCAATAGATTGTGTTGGGGTGAGCATTGAGATGTCTATTGATCAAAGATGTAAACACAAATTGCTGTCAAGTTTCCCTTCACCCTGGGTCAATATGCTTCACATACAAACAATCCAGAAGCTGTTCTTGATACTGGAGATGTCTTAATCAGGGTGGCCAGGAGAGCTTGCATCCCTCAGAGATGTCGCTGCGTTGTGAGCTAGTCTAGTATAGATGCTTTTTTCATTCCTTCATCCATTTGTTTATTTAACGTATCCTAAATGCTTACTACATGTCAAGCTTCTTGGAGGCGCTGGGATAGAGCAATGAACAGGAAGGCAATCCTTGCCCTGATAGTGCTCACAAAATAGACAAATAAATAAAGGGGATAATTTCAGATGGTGATGAATGCTGTGAAGAAAGTCACATAAGGGTAGGGGGATAGAGAATGAGGAGATGGTGTCTTGCTGAGATGAGGTGACTGGGGAAGGCCTCTCTGAGAGATGATGACATCTGTGCTAAGACACCAATGAATCAAAGGAGCTAACCTCATGATCCAGAGTGAAGGGTGCTCCAGGGAGAGGGAACAGTGTATGCAAAGGCCCTGAGGTGGGAATGAGCATGGGATGTTGGAGGAACATAAAGGAGGCTGGAGAAGAGTAGAGTGGCAGGAGATGAGGTCAGAGAGGTGAGCAGGGACCAGGTCACGCAGTCACATCTTCCAGGGTAAGGAGGTGGATTTCATCTAAGTGATGAGGCCATTAGAGAAGGATCAGCTGTCCCCTTTCAGTGTGAGCACCTCAGCAGTGAAGCATTCACCTAGAGTAAGGGACAGGCTCCTGGTTGGAGTCCTGCAGGCATGGCCTGGGCTGAGCATGAAAACTTGGGCAAGGTCCTCCCCACAGTGAGACCCCCATTTCCTTATTCACAACATGCAGGACTTGGGCTCATGAATCCCCAGCTCTATCATTCTGGCATTTTTTTTTTTTCAAGAAGATGAGGTACAAATATGCCATTCATTCACATGTGGGAAAACCCTGGCCACTGGGTCGCAAGGCTCTAGTGACCACATGCATGGGTGGCAGGTAACCACACTGAGTGCAGGAAGCCCGGCAGAAAATCCAAGGAGCATCCAAGGGCATCCTTGAGTTCAAGGTCACCTCCTCACTCAGCCCTGGGTGTCCTTCTGTTTGACCTCCATATATCTCAGATGCCAATGTGACCTGGGAAAGCTGGTTTGACCCATCACCCTTTGGGGTCTAAACTGGATTCCTGGCCTGTACAGGCCCATAGCACTCTGAAGATACAGGTTCCTCTGGGTAATGTAGAATAAGCTGAGCTCCTTCCTCAGTTCCTATGTCTGTGGGATGAGGGAGGCAGTGATTACAGTAGAGAGGAGGAAAAGCAACATTCTGAAAAGTGCTTGCTTGAGAAGGGCTCCACCTGCAAATGCAGGTCCTGGGCCCGTGTGTTTCCAGGTCCATGCTGATAAGTGTGGGTGCATGCCTGTGTGAGGCTTCCTGGGCGTATGTGAGTGTGAATGTAAGTACCAAGCAGGCAGGGGCTGTGTTCCATTTCATTCACTGCCGATTCCCTAGCACCTGGCGCGTGGTGAGTAATCGATAAACATTTGTAGAGTGAATGAATAAATGTGTGTTCATGTGTAAAAGTTAAAGTTATCTGTTTTCTAACTTGACAATCTGTTATTTGAGCTTTCTGTCCAGGAAATACATTGAGAAAATACTTGGCATCACTATCTACACCCACCGTTTCTTTTTTTTATTTATTTTTAAATCTTTATCGACGAACAACGTGCATGTGGGAAAGTGTAGACATCAATGTGTGCGTCTTGATGAATTTTCACAAAATGAACTCCCACGTAATCGACACCCAGATTAAGAATCAGAATGTTCCCAGCGCCCAGTTCAGTTACTATCCTTCATGGATAGCCATTATTCTGTCCTCTAGCAACATAGACTAGTTCTGCCTGCCTTTGCACTTTATGTAAATGAAATTGCACAACAGGTTCTTGTGTGTGTTTTCTCCTTTCACTCAATATTATGTTTGTGAAAATCACCCACGTTTCACAGGGAAGTTATAGACAGCTGATTTTCATTCTTACACAGCAGGAGTCGGTAAGTTTGTTCTGGAAAGGGCCAATTCTGCTGTTGTAGTACAAAAGCTGCCATCAGCAATATATAAATGAATGAACCCGGCTGTGTCTGATAAAGCTTTATTTACAAAACAGGAGGTGGCTGGATTTGGCCACCGGCTGGATTTGCCAAGCCTGTGATATGGTACACCTTTCTGGGAATATGGCACAATGTATCCACTTAACTGCTGATGGACATTTGGGTAGTTCTCAGTTTCAGGGATTAGAGGAATGCACCCAGAACATTCTCACACATGTCTTTCAGTGCACATATGCAGTCATTTTTGTCAGGTGTGTACCTAATGTGGGATCTCTGGGTTATGGTGTTGGCACCTGTTCAGGTTTAGGAGTTACTGTCAAACAAACAATTACAACACTGCTGGTTCTTAATTAGGTGAGCTTTTGTGTTTTCATATGATGCAACTGTTTCCTTTACTTTGTGCTGTCCTGCTGGTTGGTACCTTGCACTGCTTGTTACTGTCACCAGGAATTGCCCTCAGAGGTTGCAACTTCATCAGAGGCATGCTGGGAGGGTAGCCAGCAGCTCTTGAAACATGGCTGATCCTTAATGCAATCTGGAATCAAGGCATAGGCAACTCAATAACTCAAAGGAGTCAACTGTGATGAGAGTTATTTACAAGTAAACTCTTCTCTCTGGTGTATTAACATATCCTGTCACTTCGCCTTCCATTGCCTTTACCACCACAACCCACCTTGCATGGCAAGCAAAGGAGGCCTTCCAGATAAAATGAAAGACTGGGTCTTTACCAGTTCTGCTTGGAAATAGCCACTCACTTCTGTTCCTAAACAAGCTTACCAGTTTAGTGAACCATATGTTTCTTTGAGAATCTTCTCTTTGAAGACCTTTGAGCCATTCAGCCCAAAAAGCCAACTGATATGACTCTGGATTTTTGTAAGCACCAGTCATCATCATACCTGCACCATGGTAGCTAGCACCATGCAACATGATGGCTGAACAAGCACACACCTGAGTTCAAATTATGCCTGTTATCATAACTTCCTCTGGCTTCAGGCACGTTATTGAACCTTTCTGTGATTCAACTGCTGGGCATCATTTCATCTAATCCCTCCAGTGACAATATTGAAGGAGGTACTGTCATTATGCTCACTTTAAAGATCAGGAAACTGAGGCTTAGAGATGTCAAGGTCTTGCTTGAGTACATACCCACATCTGCATCCTGAAATCTAACTTTAGAGACTATCTGTGGCTCTTAAGCACTGGTTCCAGTTAGGCAGCCAAATAGTTTCCTTTGGAAAAGTCACCATTTTGTGTTTTTAGAGTCCTGAGTTTGGCTAATCAGGAACAATCTCCTTTTCTTGGAGAAATAAGTCAATGTTGGATGCAGTCTTATGGAAAAAGCGGCTTCCCTCCAAATTCTTGTAATGAGACAGTCCTCGCCGAGGACAAAATATTGAGGTCTTTTGAGGAGATGGCACCTCTTAGTCAGTGGAGATATGCAAAATTTTTTTTTTCAACAAAGGACCTGCTGTTTTAAATTTCCAACAAATGGCTTACTGTTTAAATGCTGGAAAGGAGTGGGCTTTTAGTACCATGGGTCATCTCTGGGCTGGTAAGTCAACCAATTTTGAGCATCAAGTCAGCCAGAAGTGAAACTGGTGTTTTCAAATGTATTTCCACTTCCTCAGAAATAAAAGCTGTTTTTTTGGAAAAATTAAAATTACATGATCCATTATTAAGTATAAGAGGCAAAGTGCTGGTGATACTTCCTCCATCAGCTGATCATGGTTTGCCTGACAATATTTCATTCAGTCAATAAGTGTATAAGCCTAGCACATTTATTGGTATCACTTAGCAAATATGCCCATGGTGTTTACCTGTGGAAGTGGACAGCTAGATTTCTAGCTGAGTGGTTCGTGAATTCACCTGGTTTAAAAACTCTCAGGAAGGGCTGGGCTTAAAGTTCCACCAAAAAACTGCCCTAGGCTCAGGACCTGTTCTTTGAACACCATCAGTCATATAGGAGGCCATTTACATCCAAGATGGAATAAAAACCAAGATGGCACCCTACAGAGTAAACACCAAGATGGCGCCTTACAGAGTAAAATCCAAGATGGTCACTATGGAACCAAAGGTGGCCATTTGCACCCATGGGCTACTGAGGTTGCGAGTGGCAGGACATAAAGTAACTTGGAGGCTAAGCCCACAGCCCTGGAAGGGCCAGAAACTGTAGAGAGTGACCTATGGATCCTGGAACACCAAATGACCCCAGGGCTGAGAACCTGAGCCCCAAAATACTTGATTGCCCCATCAGAGATCCCACAGAGGGAAAGACGCCCAACTTCCTAGCCAGCATGAGTATGGATGGTGAAGGGTAGATTTTAAGCAGGACCACCGAGGCATGAGAGAATTCCTGTTTCCACTTGCCATTTTCCAGCTGGGACATTGTTAAACACCACTTTCTGTTAATTAAGCATTTCTGAGAGGCTTACACTAGATTGCTGGCAAGAAGTGAACAAAGCCTGGCTGACCTGTCTTGTAGGTACTTGGAGGTGTGTGAGGGAAAGGGGCAGGAATGTGTGGCACAGGCAAAGTGACAACACTGTCCAAGAAACAAATTGCCACCTTGGGAGCAGAGAGACGATTGTTCCAATGATCAATGTTGGAAAACCAAAGGTACTCACCCATATCTGGCCTCGGCCTGGCTGCAGACATAACCTGGAGAAAGCAATTCACACTGATTTTTCCCAGCCCTGGGATCCACCTTCAGCCTGGGATCCAGGCCTTCGGTAATGAGCAGCCCTGGCGAATGAGGTTTGGAGTCGAAATCCATCTGAGGGCTCTCTCCCTGCCAACGTCTACAGCTTAATAATTGCTTCCTCGCTCCTGCTACATTCAGGTTCAAGAGGAGCGTGAGCCCCTCCAGCAGCATTATGCAAATAGGGCCCACTCCGTTCCGGCGGCATATAGAATATGTAAATTTATGGCGGTGGTGGAGGCTGTTTAAGACAGAAGATTTCTCAATGATGAAATTAGATTTTCTGGAAAGAGGCTTCCGAGGACCTGTCTCCGTTCCTCTGCCTCGTGCTGTGCTGTAGCCACAAAACCGGGGCTCTGGGAAATAGTTAACCGAATTACAGTCTCAAGCCTCTTTAAAAAAAAAATAAGGAAAGAAATAGACCAGGTTTCATGAGGCCACAACAAATTCATACTTTACAGAATGTGTAAACAGGAAGGGAGGCTGAGTGGGAGGGAGGGAGGCTGTTGTGGAGCATGGGCTCTGGCTAGCAGGAGGCATTAATGCAGAGCAGAGAGGCTACAGCATCACCTTGGCCTTCACACCTGGCCCTGCGGAGCCTCCAAGCAGGGGGACAAGGATGGGGAGAGTGAACAGAACCGTGGGTCCTGGTGGCTGCCTCACCCTTAATGCTGCAGCTCTGATCTGCTTCCTGTGCCTGCCTTTTCATGAATTTGATAGAAGGAAGTATTGATGTCATTTCAAAAAATGCAAAATTAGCAATCTAGACCAGAGGTTCTCAAACTTGAACATGCATCAGACTTACCAGGAGGGCTTGTGAAACACAGATTACTGGATCCCACTCCCAGAGTCCCAGAATTAGTCCATTCAGGGAGGGCTCGAGAATTTGCATCTCCAACAAGCTCCCTGGTGACGGCTAATGCTGCCAGCCCAGGCAACACACGTTGAGAACCATGGCCCTAGAGTACTGTTTTCATTTGACAGACGGGGGAAATTGAACCCCAGAGAATTAGGTGCTTTGCCAAAAGTCACACAGTGGAGTCAAGGCCCAGGTACGGATCTACCTCTCTCCACCATTTTTGTCCTTGGTCATTGTCATCATCATCACCATTGTCACTGTCATTTGCTAAGACCTTTCAACATGCTAGGCACAGTGCTAGGCACATGTATGCCTTATTCATTTAGCCTTTACTGCGGTTCTACACGAGAGCTGCTGCTATGATCCCCACGAGGATCCTGAGGTTCAAATTCAAATTGCTTCACCTCTTGAGCCTCAGGTTTCTTATTTGTAAAATGGGGAGTTCTCATCCTTCAGAATGTTGGGAGGATTTAATGAGATTTTACACTTAATGTGCTCAGCACAGAGCCCAGCAAATGGAAAAGACTCAGTTATTAGATATTATAGTAATAATAATAATAATTATTATTAGTCAAGTTGTGGGGATTAGGAAACAGAGTGAGGTTATGAAGTGAGATTAAGGATTAAGAATATAAAGATCTTGATTTCAGTCCCTAGTCCTAAACTCACCTGCTGTAAGACTGGACAGGATGGCGTCACCCCCATTCTCTAAGGTCCAGCTTTTGTGAAAAGGGGTGGAGGCAACTTAAAGGTCCCAGGTTACTTTCAGCTGTAAAATTCTCTGATTCCATAATTCCAAGATTGGGATAATTTATCCCCCTCCCCACATTGCCCCAGTGTGGGTACTATCCCTCCTCTCCTGGGCTGTTACCCAGTCTCCTCCTGGGCTCCTTGCCTCTGGTCTCAACCCAGCCAATCCACCATTCTAAAATTCCCAAAAGCCAACCTGATTCTGTGCTCTGCTGCTGAAACTTTCCATAGCTCACTATTTATCTGCTTTCAGTCAAGTCCGACCATCTCAGCTTGGCAGTTGAACTCCTTCATGACCTGGTTACTTTAAGCCCTTCATCTGCCTCTCCCTCTTCCACTCTATTTTCCAATAATATGTAGAAGTACATTTTACTGTCAGTGTGACACCATACTGTTTCCTGCCTCCCTACTCTGGTTATTGTACCTTCTGCCTCATAGTCCATCCCTGCTTTTCTTCTCTCCCTCTGCAAACTATTTGACCTTCAGTGCTCAGCTCAGATATTTTGTGCCCTGAAAAGGTTTCCCTCTCTTATCTTCTTCCTGTCTCCAACCCCAGGTTGGATAAGGTATTTTATCTGAGCTGCCTATAGGCATCTCATTCTAGTGCTTAATAGTTTACATGGTAATAGTTTACTGACTTTTCTGTCTTGTCAAATGGACAGTGACTCGTTCAAAGGAAGAGACAAGTTTATTCATCAAGCTTTTTGGAAATTTCCCGGCTTGTTGCTTGTTTGATCTGCTGTCTGTAAGTCCCATGAGCGGAGGGGCCTTATGTATTTTGTTTGCCATTGTCATTGCAGTACTTATCACCATGCCTGGCACATAGTCCATGTTCAATCCTTGAATTAATAAATCTGAAATCCCTGCTCATTTTCCTAGATACCTTACTAACCATTATATCCCTACTGCCTAGCAAAATGTCTGGCATGGAAGTGCTCAAGAAATATTTGCTGAATGAACAAATATGTGAATAGAATGAATGACTTCACATATAACTATATCAGTCAGCTGTTGCTGTATAACAAACAGCCACTAAATCTCCATTGCCTACAACCATAAGTATTATTTCTCATCTAGCTTTATTCTGCAAGTAGCTGGGGCAGCCCTGAGCTGCAGGTGGTGCCTGGCTTGACTCTGCATGTCTGTCAGCCTCTGTGTATGAGCAGGTTAGCCAGAACATGCTTCTTTCATGGCAGGGACAGAGATGCAAGAGAAAATGTGGAAACCTGCAATGTTTCTTAAGGTCCCATCCCAGAACTAGCACACTGGCCCTTCCACTTGTATTCCATTGGCCAAAACAAACCATGTGATCATGCCCAATGTGCAGGATCCACCCTGTAGGAGGAGAGGCTGCAAAGTCACATGGCAAAAGGCTGGATAAAGGGAGAGTGAAGAATTGGGGTCAATAATTCAATTCACTCCAATGACCAATCCCAGCATCCAGCGCAGAGAGCTTATAGCACATGGTAACTATTCTCTACGACCACCTAGACAAAGTGACCCTGTGTGGACCACCCCCCACCCTGCCCTAGGTGGCCCTTCCATGTTCAAAACTCTAGAATATCTTTGTACTTTCTGCATGTTACACTCTCCTTCATCCACCACCCTGAAGTTTTCAGTGATTTTCCCAGGCCCTTGTTAAACAATCTCCAGATCTCAGCCCATGGTATTGGTGCACTGGGGCATGTCAGAAGTGTCCCCTCAGCCTGTACTGAAGCACAGAACTTCCTCCTCCCCATCCTTCTCCCGCCCCACGGTGTATGTTGTGAGGGTCCCCCTGATGTTTAATGCATGAGCTCCACATCCTCCCAGCAGCCGCTGCAGACAGATTTTCTCAGCATGGGAACGGCCATGAAATCAGATGACTATACAGGAAGCAGCTCCTCACCCCTCCCCAATTTTTGTGATGCTGCCCTGCTTCAACTCACTTCCAGTTTTGTAATCTATTTTATTAATGTGCCAGAGGCAGAGAAAAATGCGTTTGTAATTTCTCCTTAATGGCTGGTGGAACTTCTTTTTGCTTCCTTTCTGAGCATTTGTTTGTGGTACACACACACACACACAAACACGCACACATACACACACACACACACCAGGTCAGGAGAAATTGAGTGGCAAGGCAGTAGATGTAAAAACACAGAGTCTTGGAATATTTAAGGAGGAAAGGATCTGAGTCCAATGGCTGTCACATTGTGTTCCCAGAGCCCCAGGGTCCCTCAAAATAGCATCAGAGAGTGCTGCAGGGTGAGAAGAAGAAAGAAGGAGGAGGCTGGCAACCCCTCCCTGAACCTTGCTTCAATCAGCGCATCTCTGTTCTTACCTGCTTTGTATATGCAGGAAGCTTGTTTGGAATTAAAGCCTTTGCTGCTGCACAAAATATGAAACAACTCTCATCTCCTGTACCCTTGGTTTCACAGAAAGGGCAGTCCAGTCTCAGAGAGTCTGTGACTTACCCAAAGTCACAAAGTGAGTTAGTGGGTGGAGTGGACTCAGGGACTAGGCCCCAGCTTTCCAATTCCAAACTTGATGCTGTTGTCTGCAAACAGGTTCTATCTCAGAATGCCAAGCATCTTCCCTGAAATGGCTTGATATATGTTTTTTTCACTTCCCTAACACATTGACCATGGATTCTTCTACTAAAGGGAAAAGGCAATGGCAGGGAGGTCTCTTTTCCTTTCCTGTGAAAGAAACAAATACTGAACACCTAGCATGCAACTGGCACTGAACTGCAGGGGCATTGGATGCCTATTACCTAATCAAAACCACAACAGTAGGTGGGCATTACTGTTTCCTATGTTTACAGAGGAGGAAGTTGAGGTTGGGATGGACGAGCCAATTCAAAGACACAGGGCCAGGACATGGTGAAAATGAGATTCAGACATGGGTTCACCTTATGCTAAAGATCCTCATGGACTTTAAGAGCCCAGATCATTCAGATGATAATATATGGTGGCAGTGATCACAGCTGCTGCCAGATCTGAGTGTTTGAGACTGGCACAGGCTGAGTGCTTTACATGCAGAGCTGCCAGGTATAGTTGTGCAGGATGTGGACTGCCGAAGAGCTCCCAACCAAAGAGGCAACTGAGAGCTGAACCCAGTCTTTGGGCTGCTAAGCAGACCGTGGCATAAGGCAGTGCACAACTGGAGTATGAGGAAGCCGTTCTCTAATTGCTCTGCCAGCAGGAGCTGGCTTTTCCTAATTCTCACAAAGGTATTCTGTGCAAGCTGCTGTCCTGTGTGCCTACACGATCTCATGCACCCACAGCCTCTGGGGCAGCTTTGTTACTATACCCATTTTAAAGACGAGAAAAAAAAGGCACAGAGGAATTAGATTTCTTGACCAGCATCCTGCAGCTCTTTCAGGGACAGACCTGCAATTTGAACTCAAGGTTGCAAACCTCCAAAGCTAGATGAGCTGGGAATTTGTAGCTATATCCAACCACACTCCTGTCTCCCAAAAGACTATTGAGTTTCACAAGGTTCTAAGGATGAAATCTGGAGATGCAAAGTTTGGGGGCTCCTGGAAGGAGGTATTCTCTGCCCTGAGTAAGGGGAATCAAGAGAGATTTCGAGACAGGAAACAGCACCCGAGAGAATCAATCCAGCTGGGCCTTTTCAATTAGTCTGTTTTTGGATCACGTGATTACACTCTTCCCTGCCTCCTTCCTCCTTAAAAGAGACCCCCTGGAGGGAGCAAGGTTGTGTAGATATGACCTTCCCTTCCCCATCTCTCCTGCCCGACACCCTCTGTCTTTGAAAACATTAGAGCTGGAAGAAGACTCCCCTGGCGATAAACATCTACGCAAAGCCAATTGTCAGGCGATGTCCCAGAGCCAATTATTCATTCTGAGGGACCCCGAGGTGGTTTGCGGAGTTGACAGATAAAGAGGAAATAATTCGCAATTTGCTGTTTACACATAATCAGTGTGTACCAGGAAAAAAAAAATAGTGTCGCAGCTTCCAGCTTCCCACGTTTTATTTTGATCTTCTCCTAAATCAATACGTTAAATGGAAAGGTGGAGGGAGACAAATGTTTTGGGGAAAAAGACGTTTGGGTGTGTTTGGCTAAAGAAAAGACTCTCTGTAAACACAAGGGCGTGGCCAAGGTAGGTTGAATGAGAGCGTGTTACCCACTTCCAAAAACTGGTGAGCAGCAAATGACAGTTAAAGGACTCTTACTCCCTGCCAGACGCAGAGGCAGGCACTTAACCCAGCGATTACTATGCAACCTCCCATCCACCCTGAGAGGTAAATTTTGCTGTCTGTTCTATTTCACAGGTGGAGAAACTGAGGCTCCAGGAGATAAAGTTTCCTGTCAAGTACATGTGACTTGCACAAGCTGAAACCATGACTAGCCACCCAACCCAGGCTGATGTTGAAGTCCAGGATTTTTTGGCTTATCATTTTGCTCCACGTTCAGTTTCTTGAGTTTTGATGCTGTCTTTTATTTTGAAACCCTTAAGGGGCTTAAAACAGGGCTTGTTCTCTTGAGGAGAGGATCTTGGGGAGGTATCTCCTCTCCAGTTGTCCTTGGCTGATTGTCAAGACTACAAGTAGTTATTCAAGTACGTGAGGAACCTGGAGAGAAAGGGGACTTGGGCAGGAGACCTCAGGGAGTGGGGCATGGTGACAGTGGCTACTGTTCATGGTTTAGGAGGAAGGGTCCACTCAGGGAGGTGTCCCAGTTCTGCATTTTTTGGAGTTCATTCTTTCTCTTTCTCGGGCTCTTTGAGAAATTGAATATCTCCTGCCAGTGCTTACCCTTCTCTCTCACCTCCCTTGGACTTCAAGCAGCAAAGGTTCCTTCCGAGAACTTCAAGGCTGTTCTTCCTCTCCTATCTAAACATTCTCTCTCCTCTCATTGGCCTAAGACAATAGATTTTGGAGTCACAGGGACCTCAAAAATTGACCTGGTCTAGCCCAAGAGTCAAGAGAGATAAGGGGACCTCAGCCTCATTTTATAGACAAGGCCATTGAGGTCAAGTGCCACTTGTTGGCCCAAAGTAGAAGAGAGAACTCAGATCCACCCTCCAGCCTCTCTTGACCCCGACGACCTGGCTTCTTCATCAGGGAAGCCTGCCTCTCTTTGTTCTCTATCTGCCACTGAGTCTCCCAAGCTTTGTGCAATTTACATCGACACGCACCCACATTTGCATTTAACACACAGACACACGCAGACACAGGACTGCTCCTGGCTTGAACAACAAGGGATGCCAAATGCCGTTCACATCTTTCTGGGGAGGCGCGTATCCATCCCGATTCTGTCTTTGCCAAATGTGCCATACGTAGCAGACGTACATATATTCCGCGTGAATTTCCTTAATCTCCCTCACAGCTGTCCCTTTCCCTGGCCTCTGCTACAGTGTTCCCAAATTACTTGTCTCCTGACTGGTATAGCAGCCTGTTCCCTGACTCTTTCATCTCTTTAAAAACAACAACAACAGCAGCAACAACAACCGTCATCATGGCTGCTGTTTATGCAGCCCCTACTCTATGCTCAATGTGAGGTTAAACAACGGGGTGGCATCTTCTGTTGCTCTTTCAACAACTCTGGAACAGAAGCATTATTAGCTCCATTTTACAGGTGAGAACAATGAGGCTTCAAGTTTAAGTGCATTATGCAGGGCTCGGGGTTGAGGTGTGGAGCTGTAGTTGACTTTGAGACTTGTGCCGGTAGCTCATGTCATAGGCTGCCCCCTTGATAATCCCATCTATCCCAGCTGCTGGCCATGACACAGTGGACAACCCTTGTTTCAGAGGCCCCAGGATGTAGCAGTTAAGAAAGTGCACCATTTCAACCTCTGATGGTGTCATTTCTGTCTAGGTGAACTTGGGTATGTCATTTAAGCTCTCTGAGCCTGTATCCACTCTTGTGAAATGTGGATCACAGTTGTACCTAGACCCACAATGTTGCTATGGATACTGATAAGATCATTGCAAAGGAAGCACCCTGCACCATTCTCAGTGCCCAATAAATGTGGGATAATGAAACTATTGTAAAATAAATAGATGACTTTGTGTGTGTGTGTCTGATGCTCAAGGTTCTTTCAGGTGGAGCCCTGAATTTCTTTCCATCAATAATGCTCACCAAGGCTATTTTGCATCCCAGCCTTTGGCCAGAAGGAGCCCCTCACTGGTATCCCCAAACTCCCCACCATTTCTAACCTCTGTTGATTGGTCCAGTTGGGTCCCGCTGCCCATCGGCCTTGCACTGTCTCTGCAGACCCAGAGTCGTCTTGTCCTCCATGTCCAGCTCAGAGACTGGTTCCTACTTGGTGAACCCCCATTATCTGCCCATAAGAAATTAACTCCACCTCCTCTGGACATGGCCCTGAGTTCCAGTGTCTTTTAGTCCTGTTGTGCTACTGTGTGCCAGGATAAAGATTTAGCTACACCTTGAGGACATGATCCCACCTTTTTTTTTCTTCTTTTCCTTGCCCTTTAAATGCCACTAGGTGGAAGAAACCCTGGGTCTCTGAATGACTGTATGAAACAAGGCCCCACCTCCTGCCAACCCACATAGGACAAGACATGACAGAAAACAAAACTGATGAAGCCAAGCTCTAGTCTTGGAAGTCAGGGTAGTTTTTACCTCTAGCAAGGACTGGGGAAGCAGAGATTGAGAGAGGCCCTAGGAAGGGTCTTGGATACTGGCAACATTCCATTTCTAGGCTTGAATGAGATTTGTCTATGAGCTGTACATTTATGCTCTGTGTCCACTCATGGATATGTATCACATTTCAATTAAAAATGTAGTACATATTCATTGAGGAATACTTAGAACCATAAGAAAACACAGGAAAATGAAAATTATGCACAACTCCATATCTCAAGGATGTCTTCTGTTCCCATTTTGGTTTAATCAGTAGATTTTCCAGGCACAAAGTGAGGGAGTCCAGGAACAGTGTCCATTTTATCTTGATAGCCCTATTCCAAAGTGCCTAGCACAAAGCCTTGAATTTAGTAGGCTCTCTATAAATAGTGGTTGAATTACAGATTATTTCATTGTAAACCTACCACACTTGGGTTCAGCTGTTGTAGTTGAGATAATGCCGTGGGTTCACCTGGCCTCTTTCATTTTCCTCTTGGGCACACAGGAAGACTACATTTTTCAGCCTCCTTTGCATTGCAATGTGGCCATATGACTGAGTTCTGGCCAATGAAATGAAGGTGAAAGTGATGTCAGCCACTTTCGTACCTCTTGAGCAACGCTACATACCCTCTCTTTGAGGATCCCTTCAGAGGAACTTGAGGCCCTAAGGGTCACTGAAACCAGAGACTGAAGGAACTCTGAGCCCCGGAATGGCTGTATGGAGCAATGCCTTACCTCCCACCAACCCACATTGGACTGTGCCATGAGCAAGAAATAAACCTTTGTTGTGTTGAAACACTGAGAACTGGAGATTGTTATAGCAGCAAAACTGCCCTAATATATCTATCTACCTAAAATCTGTCTTTCTTTCTGTCCCTTGAATTTTCCAGAAAAAAGTTGAAGTCATTTACAAACATATATTTTTAAATGGCGTGAAAGAAAATTAGAAAAATACTTGTAGGAACATAAAATAGGACCAGAAATAACACTCAGAAATGTATTTGATTCAAATCACATACATGTGTGAATACATGTGTGAACACCCCTACTATGTGTGGACCAAAAATATAGCTCTGAGCTTCCTAGTAGCCAAGGAAAAAAGGGAGACCTGTTTAATTATACACTTCTCAGAGTCTTTGAGATAAATGAAAACACAATTACAGAATAAATACAATGAAATATGAGACTTTTTTCTATCTGACATATGAAATATGAGATTTTTTTCTACCTGACATTTTCATGAAAAAGATCATTGAGTGGTAAAAGCACAAGTCTTTAGTATTGCTGGGGACTTTCTCTGCATAGCAAAGTTTTTTCCATGCCTTGTCTTCTTTAAATACATGAAAATATGTGTACATGTAAGCATATTAATGATGTTGAGGAACTCTCTTAATGTACCTCACTGGGAGGTACTTGGGATCTCTGTAGGCCTGAGATACTCTTGAAGGAAGAGACTCCACCATGTTCATTCCCGTATTTTTATAGTTCAGTACAGAGCTTGTTACATGGTGGAAACACATAGCGAATATTATTACTGCTGCTACTAAATATGTGTGTGAGTGTTTGCTAAGTGTGTCAGGCTAGTGCCCTGGGAACCATGAACTCTACAATGGATTTACATGTAGTGTGTATGTGTGTCATGATGTACTATGTATATGATACATATATGTTGAGTATCTGTGTTGTGTATTGAGTGTATGTTGTATATGAGTGTTGTGTGTGCATCGTGTTGTATTGTGTTGTGTGTATTGTGTTTGTTGTGTGCATGTCATTGCATGAATTTTGTGTGGGTGGCGTGGGGGTATTGTGTGAGCCTTGCACATGTGTTTTGTTTGGATGTGATGTCGCATGGGTGATATGGGTGCTCTGTGTGCATTGTGTGTTTTCGTGGGGGTGATGTGGGTGATGTAAGTATTGTCAGTTGCATTGTATTATAGAGTGCTGTGGGGTGGTGTGTGTGTTGTATGTGTGTGTTAGAAATTGTAACCATGTGTGTTCCAGCACTCTGTATGCCCTGAGTATTCCACCTATTCCCTGAAGGCTCAGGGCACACTCCCTGTGTGTGACTCATGCCATCCTGTGTCCCTTTTATGAGTCCAGGGCATGACCCTTGGATGCCTAAGGGCATATGGGCTTGCACCCTGCCACCCCTCACCCTTCATGCAGGCTCCATGTATGCACACATTAGGTATGTACCCTAAAGTCATTGCAGAGACATCTAGAAGGTGGTGACTATTGTCTTCAAACAGAGAACAGCCATTAACACATTCATTAATTAGGATCATGTTGACACTTCTATTGCCGACTAAAAACATCTGTTTGTTTAATCAGAGTCTCCTTAATTCCTTACACTTATTCTCTCAGTGAGAGAGGATGGGCTTGCTTCCCCCACGTGTGTACACTGGGGTTTTACGAGGTGGGGGCACAGGCTCTGTCAATATTGTCACAGGGTGACAGCTCTCGGGACAGCCCACCATCTTCCTAAGCTCACAAATCGGCATCCCTTTCCACGGTGAACAAAGAGTCGTACATGGGTCAATTTGCCAATGGCCAGCTCTTGTTTATTGGTGTAGCCTGAACGACATGTTATAGATCAGATGTAAGAAATCCGCCACAGCACTAGGTCTAAATGCTGCAGGGTGTGATGTGGCACAGGGCAAGGCAGCTGCTTCACAACTCTGTGCCTTCAACCTAGGTTTGTACCTTACGCCCCTCAATAAGCAGCCGGTAGCCTTGGCTGAGTCAGTTTCCCTCTCCCGTGACCTCAGTTTTCTTACACGTAAAATCGAAGAATAAAAATACAAAACTGAAGATTCAAATAAAACATATCTATGTACATACCCATCACAGAACCTGGAACCAAGGAGGTATGTGAGAAATGTCACTTCTATCCTCTCAACTCACACTCTACATGAATTCACAAGGGCCAGGGGTGATGACAGAAGTAAAGACTCAAGGTCAGGGACGGGACTGCCCCTGGTCACGGACCCTGAGTCAGCTGTTCCCCACTGGTCACACCCTTGGACATTCACCCTATCCACTGCTCTCCTCCTCTAGGCCAGGCTGGGGCTGGGTGCTGGACAAACACGTACCTGTCCTTGGGAAACTCATCATGGCCCGATGAGAGACACTTTGCTGTGCTGGATGGGCTTGAAGACCAAGTAGGATCTCACTGATGAAGGTGGAAAAGGAAAGCATTGCCAGCAGAGGAGATCAGGGAGCTGGGGCAAGATTAAGGCTCCCAGAGCTGGGAGCATGAGGGAGAGGAGCAGGGTTTAGACTGAAAGGGTTGAAGGGATGGACCATGGAGAGGTTTTCCTCTGGAGATTTTTTTGTTTTGTTTTAATTTGTTGTTGTTTGGCTTCTTGTTTGGTTACTAATATGTTTGGATAACTTTTTATAATAAACATGCTCTTTGAAAATATTTACTTATGGCCGGGCACGGTGGCTCACTCCTATGATCTCTGAACTTTGAGGCCGACGGGGGTGGATCACTTGAGGTCAGGAGTTTGAGACCAGCCTGGACAACATGGTGAAATGCCGTCTCTACTAAAAATATGAAAATTAGCTGGGCGTGGTGGCAGGCGCCTGTAATCCCAGCTACTCAGGAGGCTGAGGCAGGAGAATAGCTTGAACCCAGAAGGCGGAGGGTGCAGTGAGCCAAGATTGCACCGCTGCACTCCAACCTAGGTGACAGAGTGAGACTCCGACTCAAAAACAAAACAATCAACCAACCAACTAAACAAACAAAAAAACCCCGAAAGTGCTTATTTTTCATCATTTTAAAAATTGTGGTTACATATTATATGTACGTAACATAAATGTGCAGTTTGTAATAGAATGAGAAGTAAGATCCTAGTTTCCCTCTTTAAGCATACTTGGTGCCTAGCATGGCTGCTTCTCATTTGTACAATGGGAACCAACTGTTCTCAATGGGTGATAAGAGGATTTGATGCGAAGACATGTGCAGACAGGGCCTTCCTGAGTGCCTGATACACGGTCAGAATCCAAGACCTGGGAATTATTAGTGGGAATTGGCACAACTCAGTGGTTAAAGGCACAGGCTCTGGACTCAGATTTGTCGGCTGTGTGACTTTAGTCCAGTTACTGCACCTTTCTGAGCCTCCGTTTTCTCATTAAAATAAGATAATACGAAAAATATGGAGGGGTGCTATTTGGATGTGCAACAAATGATATTTTATTTTCAAATCATCATGATTCCTTTCTGCTAATTCTGTACTTGAACAAAACCTGTTACCTCGATTAAGATTTACTTTTGTTTTTCAGCTTTGGTCCAGGTGGTGCTGCCACACATCTTTTCTACACGATGGTGCATTCTAGCACATCCAGTTTGTTGCTGCAAATGATGGTGATGGTGGTGGTAGAATCTTTGAGTGATAGTTTTATTCTTTCCCATAGCAGAGTGAGACTGCAAGGTAAGAGGAAGGACTGACTGTATTTCATGCTTCTTAAGAACTAGACAGTCTTATTTCATCCTCACAGCAACTCTTTGAGGGCAGCACCATATCTATTTTACAGGTGAGGAAACTGAGTTTCAAAAAGCTTAGGCAATTTTCCCAAGATCACGCAGCTAGTAGATAGTTCAGTCAGGAGTTAGACTTTGGATCTAACTTCAATGTTTGTGCATTTTTCTCTATATTAACTCATTTGTTAGATAGGTAGACCAAAAATCCCTAATGGTAACCCCATTCGACAGTTTAGTCAAAAGGAGAATTTATGGGTTCTCATAAATAAAGTTTAACTTGGATTCGCGAGTGGCTGAATGAATCTAACAATTTCCTTAGGACTTGGTCAGTCCATCTTTCCACCTCTATCTCGGTTTTGTTTCCCGGTGTGCCAGCTTCATTCTTATCCTCATGATGACAAGACGCCCTCCAGTACTAACTTCAGGTTCCATCCTCCAAGCCTGGTAACCCCTGCTAAGAGAGGAGCAGTCCCAGCCAAAGTCCCAGAATCAGCCCCAATTGGCCTGACTTGGGTCACGTGAGCATCCATAAGCCAATTATAAGAACGAATGGGATGCTCTTATTGGCCAGATCGGATCCATGTGGCCATCTCCGGATTGTGGAGATCACATTCATTCCACGCTGAACCAAACGACCATGAGGTGGAGATTTTCCCAGAGGGAACTCTGGGTGCTTAACTTAAAGATGGAGTCTTGGCTGCTGGGAAGGGAATAGGAACGGACGTCCACTCCAGCCAGCTTTGGATTACACAGAAAGGCATCAGAGAGGTCTTAAAAGGAACTTCAGCGAGTCTAAAAATGGCAGCATTTGTCCCCAGCCAGCCTCCAGGCAGGGGGACAGACCATGTGACTCTACTGAAGTCCCTTCACAGCAAGCCTTTTGGGATAGCTCCAACCAGGACTTATTGTTCTGGCAAATCCCCCAAAGCTTTGGGAACTGAAAAGCACACGAAAATGCAAGACCATCTGTCAGGGTCCTTGCCTTTCTTCTTCTTCTTTTAATTATGAAATGTCTATTGCTGGACTATTGATCTCCTGCTTGTACGAGCAACTGGGGTGATATACGGTGTGCTAGTCCACTCGTTTAATTCTGCAGCACGATTGAATACTGCCTTCGATGAAGCGCTTATTAGTCATGCGTTGGAGAAGTGAAATAGCTTGTAGCACTGAGGGAGGGCTTTTGGAGGAGGACGGGCAGTTTTAGGGGTGAGATAGGGTTTCTCTTTGGTTCTCCCTACTGAGAAGGGCAGACCCTTATCTCGGGTCAGAGGGACAGGTTATCCTTATTGAAACCTTCTATCCCTGGGTCAGCCTCCACTCCCAGTCTTTCACTCAAAAATGTACCATCTCCTCTTTTTGACAACATGCCAGAAATTCCACCATTAGGTCATTCCTTGGGTTTAAGAAGTTACCCATAAAAGGCCCTGCTAACATGAATATGAATTCTAAAACTACTATTACAACCACACTAGACTAGTCACGATTTGTTGACCAATTATATTTCTCTTTCTTTCTTTTCTTTTTTTTTTTTTTACACACAAAGAAGCAAATGCAGAGAAACCAAGTATTTAATAGACTATTGGTGCTAGGATTGGAACCCGCTTGGACAAACTCTGGTCTCTGAGATTTTTGGAACATATGAACCTATTAATACAGAGTTTTAGGGGACTGGGAGGAAGGAGCAGAGCAGCTAACAATTGTCTTAAGGCTGGAGATGGAGTAGAAAGATTTTAATTTGCTAAATTGATTGCTTTAACTCCGTGTGCCTCAATTTTCTCATTTGAAAAGTAGAAAAACTCATAGTATGTGCCTCATAGGATTATTGTAGGGATTTAAGAAGACGATCCTTGTAAAGCCCTTAGCAATTAGCAAAGGCCCAATAAACATTAGTGGTTCTTGATATGACTATACATATTAGCCCCTCTGGGGGTTTGTTTCCCTGTACTTCTCTCTACAATGAGAGACTGAAAGGAAGGCACATCCCTGGTTCTAAATCCCTGTCTGGAGTCATAGGGAGAAACTGGACTTCTCCTAAGGGCTAGGAGAGGAAAGGGAAGGAGAACTTGGACTGGAGATTGGTGTTTGGCCTCAGCAAGAAAGCCAGAGGGAGAGGTGCTGGGTGGGGAAGAGACTTCAGTCAAGAGTTATGAGGGAGCAGCTGGGAAGACAGAGATTGGGACAAAGAGAGAGGTAGAGGAAGAGATAGAAAGAGGTGAGAGATAGATGGAGACTGAGATAAATGGAGAGAGGCAGAGACAGAGAGAGACAGGGGGTAGGAAAAGAGAGGAGGAGAGCAATAAATCAAGAGAGAAAGGAAGAGGGAGAGAAGGAGGGAGTGAGGAAGGAAGGAAAGAAGGATGGAAGGAAGGAAGGAGGGAAGAAAGGATGGAGGGAAGGAAGGGAGGAATCTATAAAAAGAGATACGGAAGAGGAATAGAATGATGGAGAGAGGGAAAGGTAGAAACGAAATGAGAAAAACATCTTTTGTGGGGAAATAATCTGAGTGTGTGGCTGAGACGGTGGGAGTCAGGACATGTGTGCACCAGCTTCCAGTCAGAATTCAGAGACATCTGCTGAGCTGCCTCCCTCCCGTTTCAGCACATTGGACAGAGCCTCTGCTACGTCTTCACATTGACCCTGCCACCCTTGTGACCTTGGATAAGTCAACCTTGTGACCTTAGATAGGTCATTCTTCTGTCTGAGCCTCAGTTTCTTAGCAGTCAAATGGGCCTATTTACATCTGCCACCCAGAAACCTTGCTCGAAGGATAATCTAGAGTAACTACCAGCTGGATTCATCTGTGGAATTTTAAATAATTTTGATGCCTGGGCTCAAATCTCCAAATATTTTTATGCAGTTGTTTTGGGACAGAGCCTGGTATTGGTATTTTTAAGAAACACCCTGACAGATAGTACCAATTGGTGCTAGTCAGCATAAAGGCTTTGTCCACAGGAAACTCAAGGAAGTTAGCACTATTCTTTCTCATCTCCAATGTGCTTGTTTCACTGATAGAGTAATTGGAACCCAGAGAGGGAGGTGACCTGCCTGGGCCACACAGCAGGTGGAACAGCACCTTCAACGTCTAGAAAACCTGGAGGGACCCTGGGCTAGTACAAAAGTTGAGCAGCAGCTCCCCCACGTCCCTGCTCGAGGGCTTCTCTGTCAACCCCAGCCCCATGGGAAATCTGTAGGCTCAATTCACTTCTTGCATGGCTACACTCCAGCCACAAAGGAACCCAAACATGTTAAATTCTCCTTCCTCATTTGTTCTCTGACCCATTTCACGTCTGAGTGCCACTCAGCAAACCCACCTGCTGTCTTCAGCCCCGGCCGAGGGAGAGGCAGGAAGAATTAAAGCTGGCCCTCCAGCTTAGGTTCAATGTGTCATGCTTAGGTTCAAACGTGACTTCTCTGGACTGTAATGCCAGAAAGGGCATCAATGAAAAGAATCATTGCCAAGCTTTGCAGGGTTTTGTCAGTGGCAAATCCCTTCCACATGGGAGGAGGATCAGGGCAGAATGAAGGGTGCCGGCTCTGCTCTCTGACTGGCCCCCTGGTCCAAATGCTGGTTGCTTCTCTGGGGATCTTATGGTGACCCAATGCAAACAAATAATATTTCCAGTCTTATGTTTTATCATCTGGAGAATAGGGTAATAGTACCTTCCTCCTAAGTTTCCTATAAACGTTTTTGAAGTGTGTCTTGAGTATGATAAAAATACTTAATAAACGTGAACTGAGGAGGGGAGGGAGAAGAAGGTGGAGGAGGAAAGGAAGAAGAAAAAAAGACAGAAGGAAAAGGAAGAGGAAAAGGAGGAAGAAGAAGAGTTGGAAGAGGAGAAGGAGATGATAATGATGTTGGTGATGATGGAGCTATTCTGCTTATTACTTCAGTGAATACTTATGACCCATGGTAGACGGAGTAACTAGGATGTACAGATGATACATGACTTGTCTGTGTTCATCCAGAAAGCTGAGAGCAAAGCATAGACCAGAACTCATCTTTCCTCACTGAACATTCAATAAAGTCTGTGAAGATGATTGCATTAGGAGACTTGGGAGAGATCCTGTTTCTCTTGGAGTTGTCTAAAGCCCTGAGGATGGGTTTCCTCCTGGCCACCCACTTCCCCCAGCATCTTTGTGAGAAGATGAATAGTGCAATGCATAGAGAACGGAATCCCAGCTCTGCACCAGCCGGTAGCTCTGGGTCTTTGAACAAGCCACTCCCTCTCCCAAAGCCTCAGTTTCCCATCTCATCATTGGGAAAGGGGTCAGACTAGGGGTCAGAAATCAGTGCTGAGGCTCCAGAAGCACTGATTTCTGGGACTCTCTCACATCCTGCTGTGATTCACACTTCACAATCAGTCCCAGGAGGTTCCGTGATTCTCTGGGGCCATTTAACAGCTTCCGAATTCTATGTATGGGGGATTCGACTGATGTCTGGGGAGTTCTCTGGTGGAAAAGTGTCTTTCAATAGATGTAGACTCAGGAGGTAGTTTCTCTGGAGACAGCAGAGCATGGGAGGATGAAGATAGGAGAAAATCTCCAAGGCTTCCTGGGTCCCAAAGGCTGCAGGAGGAAAAGCCATAGAAGTGCATGTTTCTTGTGAGCCTGCTTTTTAACCAACATAGTGTCAGGAGCATTTATGTGGGTTGTCTCAGAGAATCCTCCAATCCACCAAACCATGCAAGTGTCATGGCTCTCAGGTAGCAGGTGAATGAACTAAGGCTGGATGGACTCACCTTGGACTCCATGTCTAGGAGGTGATGACATCAGGTGTTTTGACTTAGAGTCCAGTGCTCACTGCTGGACCATGTCTGCTTCTCATGGGTGGGAGCCCAGCTTTGGACTGGGTTCTCTGGGCAGGGCTGTAGAAGAATGGTGGGGGCTGACCCTGTCCCATGGAGCTGACAGTGAAGTCCACAAGAAGAGACAGATAGGCACAGGCAGTGACAGCAGAATCAAGAATCAAGCAGATGTGATGTTAGAGGCAAAGGTCGAGGCAAGAAGCCATGAACAGACAAAAAGCCCTGGACTAGCCTTCGGTGTCCTGTGTTCAAGTCCTGGCTCTAACACTAACTATATATTTTTAACTTTTATTTTAAGTTCAGGTTTGGTATATAGGTAAACTTGTGGCATCTCTTGTACATGATTATTCCATGACTCAGGTAATAAGCCTAGTATCCATTAGTTATTTTTCCTGATCCTCTCCCTCCTCCAAACCTCCACCCTTTGGTAGGCCCCAGCGTGTGTGGTTCCCCTATGTGTCCATGTGTTTTCATCATTTAGCTCCCATTTATAAGTGAGAATATGTGATGGTTGGTTTTCTATTCCTGTGTTAGTTTGCTAAGGATAATGGCCTCCAGCTCCATCCACGTTCCAGCAAAGGACATGATCTTGTTCTTTTTCACAGCTGTATAGTATTCCATGATGTGTATGTACCACATTTTCTTTATCCAGTCTACCATTGATGGGCATTTAGGTTGATTCCATGCCTTTGCTATTATGAATAGTGCAGTGAACATATGCATGCGTGTGTCTTTATGATAGAATGATTTATATTTCTTTGGGTATCTACCCAGTAATAAGATTGCTTGGTTGAATGGTATTTATGTTTTTGTTCTTTGAGGAATTACCACACTGCTTTCCACAATGGTTGAACTAATTTACACTCCCACCAACAGTGTATAAGCGTTCCTTTTTCTCCACATCCTCACCAGCATCTTATTTTTTTGACTTTTTAGTAATAGCCACTCTGGCTGGTGTGAGATGGTGTCTCATTGTGGTTTTGATTTGTATTTCTTTAATCATCAGTGATGTTGAGCTTTTTTTTCACATGCTTCTTGGCTGCATGTACGTCTTCTTTTGAAAAGAACAAAAGAATGTATCTGTATATGTCTTTCACCAAGTTTTTTAATGGGTTTCCTTTCTTGTAAATGTGTTTATGTTCCTTATAGATGCTGGATATTAGACCTTTGTCAGATGCATAGTTTGCAAACATTTTCTCCCCTTTTGTAGGTTGTCTGCTCACCATGGACAGAAGTCTGCTTCCTCCTTGACCAACACTACCTTCCTGAAGCTCCTCTCTTTCAGCTCCCATGGCCTCCCCTGGGCTTTTTCTTTAGGGAGGAGCACAGAACGGGTAAGAGCTGAGGTTTTCTTTAGTAACAGGATGGGTAAGAACCCACGAGGAGAAACAGAGTTTCTTGCCCTTCTCCTCACCTCCCCTGCCATCCTGTGGGCACTTGGTGCCTGCTTGTCAGGGAGAAAAGAAGGAAATGCACTTATTACCTAAAAATGCCAAGAATGAAGACAGGAAGGTTTGTTTTTGACATTTGTAATGTAGAATCTTTATTCACATGGTGGTTAGAAGCATAGAGCCTGGAGTTAGACTCTGTGGGCTTGCAGTGCCAGCTCCACTGGACCCCAGCTGTGTGACCTTGGGCAAGTGAGTTCACTTCTCTGAGCCTCAGCTTCTTCATCTGTAAAATGGGGACAATCACTTCCCCTCTGTGAGTATCAGCTTTCCCATCTGCATTGGGAATTCATAAGTATGCTGATAATCACTGTCTACTTACCAATTTCTCTCTTGGGTGACTTCCTAAAAGCAATCACAATAATAGCTAATGTATATAGTAATGTGCTCACTGCATGCCAGACACGGTTCTGGGCATGTCACATGTATTAATTAACTCATTTGATTGTTCTACAAACCTGTGAGTTGTGTGCTATTACTACAGCAACTACTAGACAAATGGGGAAATGGGGGCTCTGAGTGGTTTAGTCTGTTGGTTGAGTCCACCTATCATTATTATTATTATTATTATTATTATTATTATTATTATTATTTTGAGAGACAGGGTCTTGCTCTGCCTGCCAGGCTAGGAGTGCAATGGTGCAATCATAGCTCACTGCAGCCTCAAAATCTTGGGTTGAAGCAATCTTCCCACCTCAGCTTTCAAGTAGCTGGGATTACAGGTGTTCTCCACCAGGCCTGGCCTCTTTTTAATTTTTTGTAGAGATGGGGACCTTGCTACGTTGCTTATGCTGGTCTCAAGCTCCTGTGTTCAAGAGATCCTCCAGCCTCAGCCTCTCAAAATGCTGGGATTACAAAAGTGAGCCACCATGCCCAGCCAAATGCACTTACCCTTAAAGTGGCAGAGCTGAGATTGGAACTCAGGTTCCATGACTCCCTAGGCCTCCTGACACCTGAGACATGGTCTGAGAGGCAGGCTGCCGTGGGTACCCACATGTACCACAGGTACTCACCTGGGCTTGCCAGCCTGACTCAGAGTCCGTTCCCCTCCATGCACAGTGCTGCCTCCCCCTCCCTGGCGGAGCAATCTTGCTGAGCCCTCCACAGGGCTCTGGCCAAGGTCTGGACTGATTATTGACAAATTAAAAATATAAGCTATTGACCAGATGCCGGGATGGAGTCCCAGAGCTGCAGACCTGAATCTCAATGAGGCAGCTGAGCGTGAAGATCGATTCTGCAGGTGGAGGAGGAGGCGGACAAATTGCCCCATGCATAATGCAGAATCTGATGTTCTGGTTAATAACTGCCTGGTGGGGAACAGACAGGGGGTGGCCTGCCTGAGTCAGCTCTCTCACCATCCAGGAAGGCTCCCACCTTTTACACTCCAGATCCAGCCCTCAACAGTCCCATTGGAGAAGGAATCGCTAACTCCATTTTATGGACAAGCACATTTAGAGACCCACAGGTATTGTCCAAGGCTGAAAGCCACTAAGTGTGAGGGCTGGGATTTGAACCCAGGTCCTCCTAACTACAAAGCCTGGTGCTTAGAGGCTCAAGCAAACTATGGTTTCAATCCCAGCTCCATCTCTTCTATCTCCATGTTTTCTGTGTGACTTTGGGAAAATCACCATACCTCTCTGAACCTCAGCTTCCTTCCTCTCTTTAAAAAGGTGGATAATAAAATCTACTTTAAAAGACTGTTGTAGGGATGAAAGAGAAGGCTAGGCGTGGTGCTTTCTGTGTTGGACATCTTCTGTGTGCCCCTCTCAATCCTCTTTCTTCTCCCCCACCCCACTGCTATTGGATTCAGGCAGCTGACTGTGGGCCATTTCAGCGGTGTCCCTTGCTCTCTGGCTTCCAGTATGGCTCAGCCAATGGGAGGTGATGTCAGGAAATTGGAGGGTGGGAGGAGTGAGGTTGGGATATTTCTTCCCTCTGTTCCCTCCCTGCCTGGCTCTGGGTCAGCTGTGGCTAGGTTGCTCTACCCAGTGTTTCTCACAGAGGCAGCCACAGCTGCCTCCAGCATCCAGTATCACTCACCTCCTCCAGCACCCTTCAGCCTAGGGCTGGAAGGGCTCCCTGCTACTCCTCCCTGCAAAGGTGCTGCATCGTCCCTATTGCTCTTTCTGTCTTCCTCCAACGCTGTCATTAATATCCTATTGTTAAACTCTCCTTGGTTATCCCACCGAATATACCATCTCTTGTCTAATGTTCCACTTTGTAAACTGTGGTACAGAGGCAAAAAGCTATACTAAAAATCATTGCCATCTGTGTTGCTCTCGTCAATTAGTGTCTCTCTCTTTCATTCATCCATCCATCTCCCTCTAACATCCCTCAGTGAGCACTCATCCCACTAAATCTAAACATACCAGTTTATACAGGGGCTGCCTCTACTGGGCGGTGACCTCCTCGAGGGCAGAGCATGAGGTTATGCAACACTGCTTCTCCATGTACAACACCTTCACGGGGCCATGGACCAAAGAAGGGCTCAGGGAGTGTTTGGTAAATAAATAAATGAGTCGTAGATGACTTTTTGAGGCCACACAGTGAAATTCTGACATGGAACTAGAATTCAGGTCTCCCAGCTCTCAGAACAAGGATCTGAAAATGTCTGCTGGACGAATAAGTGAACAAAATACGGATAGATGAATGGCACCCCCAGAGACAACAGATGAAAAGTACTTCTTCCTTATCCCTGCCTCACTGGTGCTCAACTGGGGGTGATTTTTGCTCTCCCTACCCCGTGAGGAGACATTTTGGCAACTTCTTGAGATATTTTTGGTTGTTTGATATTTGGTGGGGGGTATGCTACTGGCATCTGGTGGCCCTACCGTCCAGGGGTGCTATGAAACATCCTACAGCCCCCAGAGCAGAGAATTATTTGCCCCAGAGTGTCCAGTCACCGAGATTGCAGAGGCTGGGAAATGCTGCCTTACCAATACACACCTTCTGAGGCACCTGCCAACACAAATGGCCCCAAACTGAGGGAGGCTTTTCTAATTTTACTGAATTGACTGGAAACTTTCTCTTATTATAAAAATGTGTTTATAATAAAAAATGTAAAAAAATACACAAAAATAGAAGGAAGAAAATGAAACATGGTCACCAATTCCCCAACCTACTGTTAATTTTATGGTGAATATCCTTCTACTAATATTTCCGAATTGATGTAGCCCCATCCAGACACATGCTCACACACATATCAAAGTCATTTTAAAAATACAGTTTCCTGTGTATTTTCACCGTATTATATCTTAATCACTAGTCTTTCACAAGTTTTCTAAATGGCCATACAGAATTCCATCTTATGTACCATCCGTAACAACCTATGAATATGTAAGACGATTCCAACCTCTGTGTCTACGATCTTCTCTGAAGATGAGTTCCTGGACATCGGATCACTGGGTCAGAAACCACAAATTTCTAAGGTACACGACGGGCAGCCAGATACCTTCCAGAAAAATGACTCTTCCTCCTGCCATGGTCAAGGGATCTATCTTGACTTCCTCTTGCCAACATGAAATAAACGCATTAAAAATGTGTTCCAAACCCACCATTTCCTCCTAGTGAAATTGGCTATGTGCATGTTTTTCATCTGTTCATTTAGTCATTTGCATTTCTTCTTCTGGGAGCTGTCCATTTCTGTTGACTCTTTTCCTCCAAGGGTTTTAATGTTTTCTATTAGATATGCAAGAGCTTTGTAAAAAAATATTGAGGGCACTAAGCATTTGTTTATCACAAGCGTTGCAAATATTTTTCATCAGTTCACCAGTTGGATTTTCATTTCATTTATGATGGCTTTAGTCATACCAATTTTTTTCCAGTTTAATTTCAGGTACACAAATCTATCCAATTTTCCCCTTCTTTGTGATTCATTTCTTTGTTTTTCTTTTTAAGAAATGCCTTCCTCTCCCTGGTACCATTAACTCCCCATTTTTGTCTGCAAATTTTTTATTAAATTTTACATTTGACTCTGAGTTTACAAAATCCATCTGGAATTTATTTGGTTGAATAAAGTGAGAATCTATGTTGATCTCCTTCCTTACTTTCCCCCACAAAGCCCAATATTCCCAGGGGAGGATTTGCAAGGTGACATCTAGTACACTCACCCCACCTGCGCCAGCCTGGGAGAAGTAGCAGGGCTGGACTCTCCAGCTATCACAGCATAGCCAGAGCTCTGCTGTGGGAGCTGCATCCCAGACCGCTCCTTGGTTATCTCAGAGGCTGGGATGGGCCCAGCACCATTGGAGCCCAGAAAATGAGGGATATGCTGGCCTCCCTTCTGCAGGGGATTCTGAGACTACCTTATAGCAGTTAGGCCCTCCAAATGCCTAGCGTTGCCTGACATGTAGGTCTGCTGCAACCTGCCTGAATCTATTTACTTTATGTTTTGCCCTTGAAGTTAATTCAAATTGGAAGCAGAAGCCACCATGGTCAGATGCCTCCTGTGTTTGCTGTAAAAACTGCCCTGACCACGTTCTTTATTATAGTGTCCTGTGTCCCCAGGGTGAGGGGTGTCGGAGCAGCCTGGTGGATAGAGGGGGACCAGGCTGGGCCTGGGTGTCAGGCAGACTCCACTGACCCCTAAAATCTCTGCTGCATGACATTAAGCAAGGCTCTCTCTCTACCTCACTAAGTGCTGCATATTTCCTATGTTAAATGGGATCTGCCCTGTTTACCCATACGAAGTTAACACATGCGGATTGCTTTCCACTGTGATCAAAACACAATGGGGCTGGACAAGGTGGCTCATACCTCTAATCCCAGCTCTTTGGGAGACCAAGGCGGGCAGAATGCTTGAGCCCAGGAGTTTGAGACCAGCTTGGGCAACTTGGTAAGACCCCCATCTCTATAAAAGATAGAAAACCTGGTCAGGTGTGGTGGTGCTCACCTGTGGTCCCAGTTTCTCGGGGAGCTGAGGCAGAGAGATTGCTTGAGCCCAAAAGTTCGAGGCTGCAGTAAGCTATGATTGCACCACTGCACTCTAGCCTGGGCAACAGAGCAAGATCCTGTCTCAAAGAGAAAGAAAACACATAAAAGAAAAAAACAAAACAAGAAAAGAAAATGCCAACACCACAATGGGTATCTGCTCAAGAAATAGAACTACAAAAATTATGCAACTATTTTCCACTTTCAAAGCAAGAACATTCCTGTCTCACCCAGGAGTTTGGTTTGCTTCTGTTTATGAGCTGGGGAGAATTACATAACTATCCAGGCTCTATTTTCTGTGTTGGCTTCCAGGAAAGTGTTACCTAAGGAGGCAGTGGGTGAAGAGGTTAAGAGTATGGGCTCTGAATGTAGAGTCCCTGGGCTTACCTCTGCTAGCAGTGCTCCCTGGCTGAGGCATCTTTTCCGGCCTAGCCTCTTCAAGCCTCAGTTTTTCTCATCTGAAAGTTAGAAACTAGACACTCTCCTTCTGAAAGTTTCAAGGATTAAACAAGATAGTCCATTTGAAAAATGCTTATCCCGTTGGCTGCCAGATAGAAAGCCCCCCTATTCCATTTCACAGAGCTTCAAAATTTCCATTCATTTATTCATTCATTTATTATTTTTCACCTCTGTATTTCCCAACACCTGGTACATAGTAGGGGCTCAACTGAATAATTCTTAAATAAATGAATTTGTAGAGCATTATCGTGAGTCAAGTTCTAGGCTAGTCACCACAGATACTCCGAGCTCAGGATCTAGCAGGAAAGACAGACACAAAACAACAAAATAAAACAAAGCAAAACAAAACATTTTAGGGTTGTTACTGTCACAAAAGAGACATGCCTAACATTTGAAAGGATTGTAAGGGCGGTATTGGTCCCATCTGAGCTAGCAGGAGCAGGTGATGCCTCAGATGGATTCTGAATCCAGGTAGGAGTTTGCTGGGTGGAGACACATGTTCTCAGCACATACATGAGCTCCCATAGTTCTGAGCCTTATCAACCTTGAGTAGTGTCTTCCCATTTTATAGCCAGGAAGCCTGAAGTCCAGGGAGGTTACAAGACTCTTCCTTGGTCACACAGATAAAAATGATGAAGACTAAGCTCAGTTGTTGAGCTTTTAGAGCCAATGTCTTATTCTAGAGCTACCTTAGACCTTATGTAGATGCCAAGGTTAGGGTGGGAGGGTTTTAAATGACAAATGTAGGAAACGTTCCTCAGACCCTGCAGTCATTTTCCCCAGATTATCCTGTCTTCCTTCTCTCTGTTATCACAGTCTGTGATTGGACCATTTACACAAATGCCTTTAAATCCTTTGAGAATCTAGCCTCCAAGTACTGTTCATTCTCCCTCCTAGAGAGCCCTTGGATCTGTACATCTCTCTGTCAGTCATCTCAAGCCAAGTTGCTACTGAGGCCCCCTCATTGGGTCTCCCAGCTTCTACTCCTTCCCATCTATGATCAACATCACAGCCAGAAACATTATTTCAAATCACATATATGATCACATTAGGTCCCTAACACCCTCCATGGCTCCCACTGTCCCTGGGATGAAGTCAAAACTCCTTGGCATGGTCCACAAGGTCCTGCATGACCTGACTCTTGCTGACCTCTCCAGCTTCATCTCTGGAAATCTTCCCCTTCTTACCCCCACTTCCTTGAGCTGCATCATTCTTTCCATTTCCAAAAGATGTACTGCTGATTCTTGCCTCTGGGCCTTAGCATGTGTGATTCCCTCTGCATCCTCCCCTTCCTCATGATCACCTAACTAACTTCAGCTCTTCCTCCGTGGAGCTTCAGTTTAGGACTCACCAGAAGCCTTCTGGGGCTGCCATCAGGATGGTGCGTACTACATGGTAAGATAATTGTCTGCCTGCCCTAGCCCTGCATTTCTCAAAGTGTGCACCATGGAACATCTATATCAGCAGCACCAGGGAGCCCATTAAAATGCAGATTCCCAAACCCCACGCCAGGCCTCCTGCCTCAGCATCTCTTGAAAATGGATTCTTTACATTTTTAAAACAATTTTTTACCATGGACATTCTCAAACATACACAAAAGTAGAAAGGATAGTATAAAGCAACGTGTAGTCTAGTAGCAGCAACAGCAGAACCCTCTGGCATTGTTAGACCTGCAGCATCTGCCCCCAATCCCAGACCTGTTGGATGTGAGTATCTGGAGTAGCTTCCAGAAATCTGCATTTGACAAGCCCTGCAGGAGGTTCTGCTGCCCACTCAAGTTTGAGCTGCATGAACAACTCCCACAGCTCTCTACTCCTAGCCCGTCTTGTTCTAGCTACACCACTTCTCCCTCAATTTACTGCCTCTTGTCTTAATTTGGAGCCAATCTAGACACTGTGTCATTTCATCCTTGGATATTGCTGTATGCATCTCTAAGAGATATGGACTATTTAAAAAATACATTTTAAATTCTAACCACTATGTCATTATCCCCTTGGGTCATTCTAACATGTGTCAAGTCTGAGATGCTGCTGTGGATATTCTGTGTGTTCTGGGAGGGCAGGGGCCAGGGCAGTCCTCATCACCGTAAGCACTCGCCAATATCCTGCTGAATGTCAGCAGTTTGAATGGGAACGCGGACTGCACAAGGAGATCGGGGACGGGAAGAGTTAAACTCTTCACAGGAGGAAGGAGCCAGACTTCACTGGCAAAAGGAATTTTTTTTTCTTTCTTTCTGCCTTTGCAGCCCCAAGCCTGGAGCTTGGTACTCTAGGGAAGGCACCAATCAGATTGTTGCCTGCATGTTGGAAAATATTTATGTCACCTACCAAGCTGGGAGCATACTCAGCAGGCTTCCCGGGGCCTCCTGATAGACAAGGTCGCATCCCAGCAGCTGTGAGAAAGGAGGCGTGCCGGCCTGGCAGCTGTGCTGGGCGCCGGGAGGCTGCCAGCGAACGTGGCATCACACAGGAGAGGGAGATGCACTTCTGTGACCCCCCGCTCTCAGGCAGTGGGTGATGGGGCATCCCCGCTGCGTGAGACAGCTCCTGGGAGCACAGACCAGCTGGGGGCAGGGGGTGGGGGCCTGAGAAAGGACAAGCTAAGGGCACGGACAAGAGGATGGGGTAAGGATGAGCCAGGCATTTACAAGGTGCTGGCACCATGCTAGGTGCTCTGCAAGTGTTATCTCTCAGTAAATCTTTGTCACATTCCTTGCCATGGTTAGGATCATGCCCATTTTACAGATGAGGAAACTGAGGTTTTGAGAAAGTCCGTGAAAAATGGAGCTGGGACTCGATTTCTAATTTGTCTTTCTTAGATCCTGCATACATCACAGATGTTTACCATTTGGCCATAACTCTGACACGAAAAAAAACAACACCAACAACAATCTATCTATCTACTTATCTATCTACTTACTATCTGTCCATTCATCCACCCATCTATCCATTCAATCTGTCTATCTACCCCATTTGTCCATCTATTTATTTTCCATCCATCCAAATCTGTCTCCCTCCCTATCTACCCATCTCGTCATCCATTCTAATCTATCCATCTATCTATCTATGTATCTATCTATCTATCTATATATCTATCTACCTATCTATTATCTATCTATCCATCCATCTATCTATCAATTTATCAACTTAAATTCGACAGTGAAATCTCATCCTACAGCATTGGAAAGACCTCTAATTTTGATCACAAGCAACAACAGCAAGACCTCAAAATCATGTATCTGAAAATATCAAGCTGGGACACCAATGACCAGCTTCATGGTCCTACCACTATCATCAGGATGCAAACTGCCACAGGCTGCCGTTCCCAGTGGTTAACAGTGTGGGCTCTGGAGCCAGACTTCCTGGGTGCAAATTCCACTTGGGCAAGTTACTTCTTCTCCCTGTGCCTCAGTTCCTCAACTATTAAATTGAGATATTGATAGGCCTTCTAACATACGTTTTGAATATTAAATCAATGAATATTTGTAAGATGCTTAGGACAGTGCCTAGCACTGGGTACTCTTATATATAGCTGTTGTCCCAATTACTCTGGCTGTGTAAAAAAATGACTCCAAAATTCAGTGGTGTAAAGCAACCACAAGTTATTTATTATGCTCATGGAATCTGTGGGTTAGGAGTTCAGGCAGGCCACATGAAGCTGAACATGAAGTCTTTGCTTCATGTTCTCTAGGATTTCAACTGGAATTCGTGAAGTCTGGAAGCTGGAATCTCTGAAATCTAATACACTCACATATTTGACATTTGTGGTGGTTTATAAGCTAAGACTTTATCTGGGACTAGAGCCCAGAATATCCACCCACATGTGGCTTCTCCATGGATCTTGGGCTTCCTCACAACATGGCAGTTGGTTTCAAGACTGAGCATCCCAAGACAAAGAAGGCCAGGTGGAAGCTCCATCTTTACAACCTAGCCTCAGAAGTCACATAGTATCACTATTAATATAAATTTGTCAGAGCAGTCTACAAGCCCTCCCACGTTCAAGAGGAGGGGGAAAAGATTTTACTTCTTGATGGAATATGGTACGGCATTCGAATAAGGTAGGATTGGAAATATTGCTGTGACTGTTTAGGGAAATTTCATCTGCAGCAGCCATGATTGGCTATACTCAAGCTGCGAGCATTGGGAACTTGGGGAAGAGGGTCTCAGGGAACCCCTGTAGCCAGGATTACACCTCCCTGGGTTCACCCACAATTCTTCCTTCCAAGATCTGGTCACCTCCCCAATATACTCAGGTACATTCCCCACCTTCCATCCCTCAACCTCATTTTGGTTTCCAGGTGCTCCAACTGCATTCCTCTTGCCCCAAAAGTGTGCTGTTTCCTTTCCCCTCTTGAGAACATCTAGGGCCATATTTTCAGGCAGGAAGACATTTAACAAAACACAGGAAGGGCCCCTGGCTTATGTCTGCACTTTTTCCTCTAGGCATGGAAGGACCATAGGCCTGGGTCCCAAATGGAAGAATGGGAAAATGTAGGAGAATCAACTCAGAGATATTTATGCTATGAACGAGGCCCAGGCCCAACTCAGAGAGGCAAAGATTGCCTGCCCCCTGTGTCTCCTCTCTCCATGCCAAGGAAAGGCATGGGGCATAGATAGGCAGTAGAAGGGGAGCTGGAAGCCTTGACAGAGGCAGCAAAGAATTGAGAAACCCAGTCTAGCTTCAGCTGGCATCTAGGCAGTTGATGGGGCCAGATAGGATACCTTGGATGTGAGCCACAAAAACACAACTGAAACAACTTAAATATGTTACCAGACCCAGGGAGACTTCTTCGAGCTCTTAGCCCAAATGAAATTTTATAATCACCTGTGTGGCTGTTTGGTTCAACTCTTAGTCCCCACAGCCCCCACCTAACCTGTGTTTCCAGGGACCTGGCATCCTGTGTTGGGAAAGACTGTGCCTTGTACTAGGTGACAGACGTGACAGAACATGTTATTAGCTAATTAAATAATCCATTCAATAAATCAACCTCACTGAGTGCCAATTCCATGCCAGGCACTGTCCTAGGGCCCGGGGATGTGGCAGCAAATGAAACTGGCACAGCTCTTATCATCATGGAATTTGATTCTAGCAGAAGACAATGGACTACAAGATAAATAAATGTGTGCTATAATGTCAGAGTGCAGGGAGCTCTCTGAAAAAGTTAAAAGGGGGGAAAAGGATAAAGAGTGACAGGGGAGTTGCTAATTTACATCAAAAGTAATTAGAGAAGGCCTTGAGGAAGTGGTGAAATTTGAGCAGAGACCTAGCAAAAGAAGGGAGGAAGCCACGCGGGTGCAGGAGAAAGAGCATTTCTGGCAGAGGAGACAGCAGGTGCAAAGGGCCTGAGGTAAGTCTGAGCAGCAGCAAAGTCAGGGTGATTGGAGTGGAGTAAGGTGGAAGAATAATGAGGGATAGGTGGAGGGCAGCTATGTGGGGCCCCGTAGGGCACAGTAAGGATGCTGGGAATTTCAGAATAAGTTGTGTACATGATAAAATGAATGAATAAATGAATGAAACCATGGAGACACGGATGGGTGGATGGATGGATGCTTACATGCATGTTTGGAAGATTGGATGCACAAACAGATGTGTGGACGGACAGATGGATGAGCAGATGAACAAATGGTTTGGTGGAGTGCATGTGTGGATAGGTGAATGGATGGAGAGATGGATGGATAGATGGATAGATGGATGGAGGAACAGATGGATGGTTGGACCCTAGAAACACACACTAAGATAAACCTCCTTCGTTCCTTTTTTTTTTTGAGACAGAGTTTCACTGTTGTCACCCAGGCTGGAGTGCAATGGCGCGATCTCGGCTCACTGCAACCTACGCCTCCTGGGTTCAAGGGATTATCCTGCCTCAGCCTCCCGAGTAGCTGGGATTTCCTTCGTTCTTTTTCAGGACTGCCTTTCCATTTTCTGACCCATATTACAGTCCCACCCCAGCAAGAGAAACACCCCAGGAAGAGCAAGGCATGGCCCAGCTGATGCCCAGCTGCTCTCAGGAGCACAGGCTGAGCCTTAAATAATGCCTCCTCCTCAGGAAGAGCCGTTCTGGTGGCGCGGGCACCAAGAGGCGTTTGGGGCAGGCAGCCGTCACTAACAGATTCATTAAGCTCACTCCAGAGCAACGATAAAAAATCAATTTAGTTCACCAGGCAGCTTGAACAGGAGCCAGGAGCAGGGGAGCCCTCCCATCCGTGAGCTGGGGGCGTGCAAAGAGGTGCCGTGGAATCGGCGGGGGCCAGAGCATGGCAGTGCTCCATTGTCGAGGAACTCCCCCACCACCGCAGGGTTGCAAGAGCTCTGATGGGAAGGCCTGCCAGGGGAGGCGACGGGCGCAGGGTGGATGCCTCTGTAGCACCCCAGGCAGCTCTGCAGACACACCCGCCTCACTGGCACGCAGGCCATGATCTCTCTCCCCCACTGCCTTGACTCGTTAATTTATATTTTAACAATCCGCAAGAGCTGACTCTGCACGAGGCTGAAGGCGTAAGAGATGGAGGCGTGGGAGATCGCGGCATGGTCTCTGCTCATGCAGTGCTCCAGTCTGGCTGGGGAGAAGATCTGGGCCCAGTGCAGAAAGGCAGGTGTAAGCAGAGGTTTGGAGAGGGGATAGAGGAGAACAGAGAGGGAGAGGGTGGTACTGGAGTTCGGCAGAAGCAGGATATTGGCATCCATCAATGTCAAAGCAGAAAACAAGTGGGATGCAGCAGGAAATAACTCCAAAGGGGTCATTGAGGGAGAATGGGATGAAAGAAACAGCAATAAAAGGGTGGATGGGGGGACCCACAGAGATGGTGCACCTCAGTGTTAGCAACAGCAGGGAGCTGCTAGCACCCTTAGGCCTGGACTGGAACCCACAGAGAGGCCTGGCTGCCAGAGAGGACCATCTGCCAGGGACATGGGCTCCAGTAGAGGCAGTCCTGCCAGCAACTTGGGATTGGCAGGGAAGAATGAGGACAACAGGTATCTTCGCCTGCCTTGCCTCTCCTATTTTGAGTCCCTTTGGGACCTGCATCAGGAAGCCAGGACTAAATGAGACAGGTGACGCGATCTGGAGAAGCTGCATTCACAGGGCACAGGGCTTAGGAGACAAGGGACAAGAAAAGGCTGGAGAACAGACAGCGAAGAGACAGGGCCACACTGTAGAACAGCCCTGATGAGGCAGTGGGGAGAGAAGTCACCTACTGAGCCCCATCAGGGGACTCGGGGGCTTCCTAAGAGTCCTGGCTGCAACTAGGATGGATGGGCTTGTGGCATCGTCCTGGGAGAGGCTGAATAAAGTGAATGGATGGGAGCAGCTGGGAGGTGGTAAGAGACGGACAGAGAGAGGCAGAGATGCAGGTGCAGAGTGGGAGACACACACACATAGAGGGACAGAGGGACGGTGTGAGGGGGTGGGAGAGAAACAGAAGGAAATGGAGACAAAGAGCCAGAGCAGGAAGAAGGTCCTGCAGAAACAGAAAGAGACAGGAAGACACAGAGAGGACAGGACAGGACACAGACTCAGAGAGAGGACATACAGGCAAAAAGGAGGGGGGAAGAGAGAGGGGAGCAAAGAAAACAAATGGAAAAATGTTCCTGAAGGAGCAAGAAAGACAGAGACTAAGACAGAAACAGAGGAGGGAAGAGGAAAAAAGAGAAGAAGAAAAAAGAAAGAGGAAGAAATGAGAGAAAATGATGGAGTCCAAGGTACAGAATTCAGACTTTGGGGGCAGAGAAGATGAAATAGAAAAATACAAACACAACTGAGGAAATTCCTGGGAGCCCAGAAGGCCAGCTGGAGGCAGGGACAAGTCTGAGAAGTCCCTGCCAGCTCTCGGAGACACATCAGTATCTGAATAGGATGCTTGGGCTTGGTCCCTGTGCTCAACATCTGCGTGCCCTTTGCGCATTTCCTTCGGGCTGGTGCTCAGTCTGCTCCTTTGCAAAGAGGAGATGGTATCAGGCTTCACTTTAAGGGCAGGTGGGTGGATGAGCCGAGTCTGTAAAGAGAAAGTTCTGGGCTCAGGATCACACCACGCTCTCCAAAGCATGGCAGCTAAAATGTCTACAGAAAGACAGGAACACTCACGTCCGGGTGGGAAGTTGTAGAAATCAGGGTCCAGGAAGTATTTACACGCAGCTTCCTATTTACCCAGTTCTTGGAGCTCGGAGGATACTTACCTAGCCAAGAAGAGGGTGACAACAGCACAGGCATGGATACACACACACACCACATAGCACACACACACAGAGTACTGCACACACACATGCATATTCAATACACACACACCACACACACCTCACATACATGCACAACCAATACACACACACCATGCATACATGCAAAACCAGTACACGCATACACCACACACATATATGCACGGCCAGTACACACCCCCGCCATACATACATGCCCACAACATATTCATAGATGACACACACATGCACACCTAATACATGCTGGCACCACACACACAACATACACATCATACATCACACATGCCTGCACTCAGCACACACACACCACACACACAACATACACACACATCACACATGCATGCACTCAGCACACACACACCACATACACAACATACACACACATCACACATGCATGTATACTCAATACATATACATATCACGCAACTCACACATAGTACACACATATCACATGTACATGCATACGCAACACACATCACATATATGTGCACAGCCAATGCATACACACCACACACAACATACATACAGCACACACATACATGCACACTCAATACACACACCACACATTACACACAACGTACACACATCACACATGCATACACACTCAATGCATATACACAATACATATAAACTTCACACAGCTCACCCATAACACACATATTACACATATATGCATACTCAACACACACACCACATATATGTGCACATCCAAAGCACATGTGCCATATACACGACTTGCAGACATCACACACCAGACACACAACATACACACATCATGCATACATGCACACCTAATACACACACACCACATACCACACACAACCTACACACACATCACACATGCATGCACAGCTAAAACACACTCCACACACAACATATGCACACATCACACATGCATGCACGCCCAATACATGTGCACACTATGCAACTCACACAGAACACACACACACATACATGCACACCCAATACACACACACCACACATACATGTACACTCCACCTCCTGCACACACACACGCACACACTCACACACCCACACACACACCTCATAGTTCCTGAGGAATACCTTTATCCCACCTGCAGCTTGCACTGAGGCCATCCGACAAGTCTGGAGTGAGCCAGGTTGACCCCAATGACCAGCAAGATGGGTTGTAGATAAGCAACAGGGATCTCTGCCAAAAGACATCCACCTTCCCCACACCCCCAGGCCCTGTCTTTTCATCTCCTCCACCCTCAGGAGGCAAGAGCAGAGGGTCCAGGAGCCCAGATCAATCCAGTGCTCTTCCTCCAGTCTTTAGAAGAGGAAGAAAGCATCAAATGTGAACCAGGAGAGAGCTAGGAGGCTGGTGGGAGAAGGGTCGAGACAAGCCAAGACATGACTGGGTTCATGGAAGAGACATAGTAAGACAGCATCTGATGCCATGAGATCTAGTGGTGACAGACAGGGAGGGGCAGAGAGGAGTTCTGGGTGCAGAGAGTGAGAGGAAGACCAGGAGGGGCTTGAAAGGCTGCCCACCTGGGGTCATGCTATGAGTGACTGTGGCAGGCAGGGCCGGCTAATATAGGAAACATCAGGGAGTGAGAGGCAGAAGTCTGGGGAAACTGAGACACAGGGGTGGGAGGCGACTTTGTTAGGATCATCTGGCAGGCTAGGGGCTTAACTTCTGCATCAAAGTCTTACCTATCCATCTTCCTGCTTTCTGGATTACACCAAAAAGTAAATATGAGATTAGAGCAGGAGAGAAATACGATTTGGCAAACATCTGCTCTGTGTTAAGCCTTTATTTTACATTGACTTGTGGATTCCTCACAAGGGTAGGATGTGTGTGTTTACTCTTTTTAGTATTCCCATTTTACAGATGAAGAAACTGAGACTCGGAGAGGTGACTCCACCAGAAAGTGGCTGAGTCTGGGCTGAGACCCGAAATCTTCAGGTATCAGAGCTCTTCCCAGCACGCCTGTGGGTTTACTGCCCAGTGCTCCAAATCTGCTGAAACAGAGAGGAACATTTGTGGATGGGGTGGAGGGGTGAGTACTCTCCATCATTCCTCTGGGAAGAAACTCAGCCAAAATTCCTTGGAATCGGTTGCTTTAGGTTGCACGCAGGGGAGAACAGACTCAGACAGGGATGTTTATAATGGCTTCCAAATGTCTGGCCGCAGCTGCCTCTCTGGCAGTGAGAGACGAGGAGGCCCAGGGGTCGGGGAGGCGAGACCCACTCCCTGCCTCTCTCCTCCACATGCATTTTGAGAACACTGGCGCTTCTGGAGACCTGGGTGGAAAGATGTGCTGCTGCTCCAGTGTAAAAGCAATGAATGAATGGGTGAGTGAATGAATGAATGAATGAATGAATGAATGCTGCAGGTGCAAAGTACAACTTTCCTTAACTGTTAAATGGGAATTTTTAACACCATTACTGGTCACTTCTTTCATTCTGTGAAGTCCTTCTGCGTATTAACCGCCTTGATGAAATCTCCCAAGGATCCAATCAGCATAGCCCATTTGACAGATAATAAAAGCAAGGCTCAGAGGTGAAGGCACTGGCCTAAGCCACTTAGTGATGATGGAGGGAGAACTTGAGCAGGGTCTCTTTGTTTTTAGAAGTCTTGCTCTTAACTTCACCCAAGGTAATTGGGTGAGGGGCTAACATGGGGCTAGGCACACAGTGAGTGTTCAGTTAATCTCAGTGGAAAAGATACATTGATAAGAGCTTCCTAGGGGTAGGGGTGGGGGTGAGTAGAAAGTGCAGGTGAGCCACACAGACCTGATCTCCATGGAGACTGTCATCCTTGATTAATTACCTCCCCTTGCCAAGACTCAGTTTCTTCTTCGTAATGTTGGGCATAATAACCTCAACCTCTCCCATCACTAGCAGGCACACAGTAGGTAGTGTTTTAAAAATATCAACAGTAAGAACATAAATAATGGCTAATCTCTTTTGACTTTCTATGCCAGGTACAGAGCTCTTTATATGATTTCTTTTTGTTTTCTCATCTGTTCCTCCATCCAACCCTATGAGTTCAGTTTCTGTTTTCTAGAAAGAATAAGGAGGCTCAGAGAGGTTAAGTGGCCTGTATAAGGCCACACAGCTAGGAAATGTCTGAGTTGAGAGCCTGGTTTATGAACCTCTAGGCTTTTCAACTAACACACTTGTGAAAACATGCCAGTTGGTGTTTGGCTCGTAGAGGCTTACAAAAAGAGCTAGACATTGCCCCCAGCTTTTCCCTATAAGAATCTCTCCTTTTCATAGATGGGGATCTGAGGTCCAGGGATGGAATGACAGACTGCAGCCATCAAACGGTGCTTGCTCTTTGTATTAGTTTGTTTTCACATTGCTATAAAGAACTGTCCGAGACTGGGTAATTTATAAACAAAGGAGGTTTAATTGCCTCACAGTTCTGCATGGCTGGGGAAGCCTCAGGAAAGTTACAATCATGGTGGAAGGGGAAGCAGGCATGTCTTACATGGCGTCAGGCGAGAGAGAGTGTGAAGGAGGAACAGTTAAACACCTCTAAAACCATCAGATCTTGTGAGAACTCATTCACTATCACGAGAACAGTATAGGGGAAACTGCCCCCATGATCCAATCACCTCTCACCAGGTGCCTCCCTCGACACGTGGGGATTATGGGGATTACAATTGGAGGTGAGACTTGGGTGGGGACACAGAGGCAAACCATATCACTCCTGAACAAGATTCCAGGTCACCACCCTAGAGGAAGAGGCCAGGGCAGGCCTGACAAAGCCCCCCACTATGTTCAAGGTCCCTCCCCGGATAAGCCTCCTTCTTGCACCGTTGCCCCTCTGTTAAGAGGAGTTAATCCTGATTTACTTTTAAGTTGCACATACCTGGGTTTTAGTTTTTCGATTAGAAATATGAAAGAGATTTATTGCAGAAAAGCAAGAAAGGCGACATTCTAACTGGTTCACAATTTCCCTATTTGGAGAAAAACACGGTTTGGCATTTTCTACATTTCCTTCTTGGTACAATCGCCGTTGCTATGATCCGTGATCCTACAGAATACTCAGCTCTGCACAGATTCATTCTTTTTCCCAAAGCCAAGTCTATTGTTTTTTATTGATGAGAATGGAAAGTACGAATGGGTAAGAAGATAAAGTCCTACCTAGGGAAAGGTAGTCACTGTCACTGTTTTGGCAGATGATAGATGATGATAGATAGATAGATAGATAGATAGATAGATAGATAGGTAGATAGAGATATAGTCACTGTGTATGTGTGTGTGTATCATTCACACACACACACACGTCCTCCACTCATATGTAAACATTATTGCATACTTCAGTTCAGACTTTGCATCAAGGTCTCAAACTCATAAGCCCTGGCAGGTTACAGGAATGAGTGTGGGGGCCAGGTGGGGGCTGGGCAAGCTGGACTCCACATGCCCCATCCACAGGGGCAGCTGTTACTGCTCAGCTCAACTGCTGCCACAAAGAATGCAAGCCCAATGTCATCCCATGTTCCAATTTTACAAAAATTGGAACTCCAGAAATCTAGATTTTTATATAAAAACTCCAACTTTTTAAAGATATTGGCAGCAAATTCCTTGTAAATAAAGCATACATGGAGCAAAGAGACACATTGCGGGGTTGCCCTGAGTTTGCAACCTCTGCCGTCTGCATCCTGCAGACATACCCTTCTCACTTGATACTTGTACGCTAGGCATTTTCTCATGGACCTGGTTAATTGCAAAATCTCTCATACATCTACTATTCTGGTTTGGGGTCAGAAGGGCACATTTTCTTCCTGTAGTCCTCCTTGTCTGCTAACTTCTTCTGAATCTCTCTCCTCTAGAACCACCCCCAACCACTGCCCCGGCATCCTGCTCCCCCAAACCATTCAATTTTATTAATGGTTGATTTTCTTTTAAAGCTGTCTGGAGGCTGCTGCAAGCTCCACGGTTGCCAGTGGCTGATCAATATCTGGGGAGGGCGGGGGTGTCATTTCATTAGCTAAGTGCCATGTAATCTACTTGGTAAATCCCATAGCCTCTTCCTGAGCTGTCCAGAGATGATGCAAAGAAGCCTGGCCACAGGCCTAACTACGCCATCCTGCTGGAATCGGGAAGAAATGTTTGGAGATCCCCCTGCTGAGGTTTGATCTGGTCCCTTGCATTGTCCCCATCTCATCTCCCTCTGTGTCTCCAATCAATCATAGCCTGACTTCTTCAAGGCTTTAAAATGACAGAATTTCTCCGTCTGCACTAAGAAAGGCCTGATCATCCCAAGAACTCTGCAAGGGGAGCAGTACACCCAGTTTACAGAGAAGACCGAGGCAGGGAGAGGTCATGGCACACTGCCAAGGTCCCAGCAGGCAGAGGCAGGATCTGAACCCGGGGCTGGCTGGCTCCTCATCCAGAAGCTGGCTCAGGGCAGCCACAGAAAGAGGCTTGTGTGAAGTGGCCTGGATTCCTGGCCCAGCCACAGTGGGAGTCCCCACAGTCTTGTGAAAAATTTACCACATTCCTCTGGTTTCTCTTTATGGGGACTGGTAGTCCCAGATGTCATTCAATTACAAAGTTATGGCCACCACCAGGGGCCAGTGAGCCCCATTCCTACCTGGCTGGAAGGCATTAGAGCTGTAAATGGCTTTCCTGGAGGCAGAGGGCCCGTGGGAAGGTGAGCTGGCCTCATAAGGCAACTTACGGGCCAGGGACAGTATTTTCTTGTGATTGGAGGTCAGTTTCAGTGTGGAGGACTGGAGACTCATGAGCAACCTGATACTCAGAACACAGGATTTCCATTGATTGTCTCTGCAGGGCATCTGGGGACATGGCACCAAATTGTAGTGACCCCACCAGTCAGACTCAGAGGATATCCAAGGACCCTGGGCAGCATGGTCCACCTGGGCTGGTAGAGCTGGGAGTCCCTGAGGACAAAACAAGGGGGAGGAGAAGATGAGTCCAGGAGTTGAGAGCACTGCCTTTGGAGCTAGAGAGAAGGGTTCCAGTCCTAGCTGCCCCCTTCATCAGCTGACAACCGTGGATATTCCACCACCACTTCACCAGCCTCTATTTTCTCATCTGTGGAATGGGGATAATGGTACCTACTCCATAGAATTGTTCGAGGATTAACTGAGGTGATAGGATTCAAGTGTTTTACATCAGGCTTAGCACGGATTGCCCACATCAGATTAGATATTATCACTAGCAGTAAAAGGAAGAAATGAGATTTGCTGTAGTTTCCCCCTTATCCTTGGGGAATATGTTCCAAGACCCCCACCGGATGCCTGAAACTGCAGATAAGACTGAACCCTATATACACTATGATTTTTCCTATATGTACATTTTTCCTATACATATATACTTATGATAAAGTTGAATTTATAATCTCAGTAATAGATGAACAACAATAACTATCATAAAATAGAAGAATCATAACAATATACTGTAATACAAATTCTGTGAATGTGGTCTCTCTCTCTCTTTTCCTCTCTCTCTCGCAAAATAATGTAGTATGTTTGGCCGCAGTTGACCGTGGGTAACTGAAACCACAGAAAGCGTAGCTGTGAGTAAGGGAGGACTCCTGTGTTCAGAAGCTATTGTGTGCCAGGTACTGCGCCATCTTTCATAGACATTTCATGTCATCCTGGAAAAGACCGATTTGAAAGATGAGGAAATTGAGGCTCAGATGAGCGTGAAGGGGTCTATTCTATTTTTTTTTTTTTGAGACAGAGTCTCATTCTGTCACCAGGCTGGAGTGCAGTGGCACGATCTCGGCTCACTGCAATCTCCACCTCCTGGGTTCAAGTGATTCCCCTGCCTCAGCCTCCCGAGTAGTTGGGACAACAGGTGCATGCCACCACGCCCAGCTAATTTTTTGTATTTTAGTAGGGATAGGGTTTCACCATGTTGGCCAGGATGGTCTCGATCTCCTGACTCGTGATCCGACCGCCTTGGCCTCCCAAAGTGCTGGGATTACAGGCGTGAGGCACCGCGCCTGGCCTGAAGAGGCCTATTCTATCAGGAGCCCAGGTGTTAAGCCAGTTACGTCGGGCCCCTCCTGTGATGCTACACAGCATCCCCTGACCTCCTGTCCAGGGCGTTGCTGAGTAGGGCAGGAGACGGGAGGCAGGATCCAGAGACAAAGGCGAGAGAGGCAGTGTGAGGAGACCCTGTAGTCTGGAGACCTGGCAGAGACGCCTGATCTGGGACAGATGCCATGCGTCTCCACCTGGGCTGCCTCCACTGGGGGAGGCAAGGAGGCCTTGTCTCAGGGGCTTCCCAGAGTCAGGGATGCATGGCAGATCTCCATGTGAGAGGCTCCTGAGGGGCAGACGTTGAGGGCATCGCAGTCTCGACCTACTGGAAGTCAGGTAGGCTGGTGTGGAACCTCAGCTCTGGCACACTCGGCGTGACCTGGGACAAGCCACATCAGCCCTCTGAGCCCTGGGTTCCTGACACGGGAAACAAAGAACATGCTATGCAGAGTTGCCATGGCGATTAAATAAGCGAATGCAAAAGAGGCTGGTGCAGGTTGGTTCCCCTGCTTGTATGCAGGGGCTTATGGGGGTACAGTGGGGGGCACTCAGTATCAACACCTGTAGGGGAAGAGAAATAAGCAGGATGGGGCAGAAGAAGCAGTTGGGGTGTGATTCAGGCTCAACAGGGGTCTCAGCTGATCAAGCTGGGGCAGCTTTGGGGCCGAGAATGCTCTTCAAAGTCATCCTGCCTAAAGGTAAGGAGGTTGGGACGGTGTGCCCCCTGCATCGACTAGTCACCAGAAGGAGGTTTGACCTTGGTCAAGGCAGCTCTTTCCAGCTGAGGGCGGTCACCTGCCGGGATCAGGGCTCAGCTGGGAGCTGTCAGCACTCCCAGTAGCTGGGGTGATATCCGGGCAATGCACCAGAGCACCCAGCAAAGAGCCACTTGACACCTGGCTGGGGACAAGCACATCAGTTGCCTTTTCCTCTGCCAGGGAGCCTGCCATGCAGCCAACAAGGGCAGGCAAGGGTGAAAAGGGACGGCTTCCAGGTAGGTAAGAAACCAGGCTAGGGGAGAAGGTGTGATGGATGGCAGCAGACAATTCCGCCCTGCCAGTGTTTAATGGGGCTAAGGTCTTAGGTGAGCCCTTTGTGTGCTGGTAGTGGTGGTGTGCTATGTCCCCTGAATGATACAGCTGGCAGCATCTGGGCGAGTGAGGCAGGAGGATGGAGGAGAAACCGCAGCGCCACATTCCTGCGGCCCCTGCCTTGCCGCGCCTGTCACCCCGCAGGGCTGTGCCTTACAGCCGGCGCTCGACCCTGGAAAAAATTGACTGTCTGTTTCTGCCTGACTGCTCGAGAGTTACAGGCTGCAGGGGCGGGGGGAGGAGGCGCGAGGGCAGGCGGGCGGCTGCCTCCTCATCAGGATGGATTTTTCTGCTTCTCTGCTTGTAGGAAGAGCAGGAACAGGATACGGGAGGCTGCTCAAGGAGTAATCACTGTGCGGGGTGAGGGCATGTCAGGGGCTGGCTTTGTGATGGAGGAAAGAGAAAGGGAGGGGGAGTTAGGGCAGAGAAGCCTCAGGGAAGGCTGAGACCTTGGGGGACCTCAGAGAAAGTGGAACCAGGGGTTCCTCCAGCTGTATGTATGTGCATACTCTCCTTTCCTCCTTTCTTTCCTCCCTCCATCTCTCCCTCTCTCCCTTCCTTCCTTGTTTCCTTCCTTACCTCCTTTCCTCCCTCTTTTCTTTCTTTCCTCCTTCCTCCTTTCCTTCTGTTTATTCATCTGTCACCCACCCATCCACCCACCAACCCATCTTCCTTCCCCTGCCTCTCTCCATCCATCCATCCATCCATCCATCCATCCATCCATCCATCCAACCACCTGTTAACTTATTTATTCACACATTTCCACACCCATTCTTTCTCTCTTCTTTCCTAGCACTCATTTGCCCAGCACACATTTCTCGGGCACTGCCCCATCCCTGGGCTGGTACTGGGTGCTAGTGATAACCAGGTACCAGGTCCTGCCCTCATGGGTTTCACAGTGTGATGGGAGAGGAGATGGATCAGCAGAAAGAGGACCGCATTCTTGGTGGGTCAGAGTTCTTAGGGAGAACCCAAGGTGTGTTGGAACGTTGGAGACACTTGAGGACTTGAGGGGGTCAGAGAGGGCTTCCTGCAGGAGGAAGCACTGGGAGTCAGCCTGGAAAAGGGATGGAGGCGTGGAGGAGCAGAGTGTCTGTGGCCTTAGGAGTATTTGTGTGGCTGGCGGCTGGCATGCAGAGCAGTGATGAGCAGGGAGTGGGAAGAGGTTTTTCTATATCTGGAGAAATGAGTATGATCTGGATTACCCAAACCCAAGACCTTGGGTTAAAGAATTTGGGCTTTACTTTGCATTAAGTAGAGTTGTTCTTACTTAAGCAATGGAACCCCTTTTCACATGAAATCTTATGTGGAATTCCAAACTGCAAAAAACAGAGATAAAAGTGGAGCTGATACTAAAATTAGCCAGGCATGGTGGCACACCTGTAGTCCCAGCTACTTGAGAGGCTGAGGCAGAAGAATCGCTTGAACCTGGGAGGCGGAGGTTGCAGTGAGCCACGATCGCACCACTGCACTCCAACCTGGGTAACAGAGAGAGACTCTACCTCAAAAAAAAAAAAAAAAAAAAAAAAAAAGTGGAGCTGATCTGGTTAAAGCAGAGGGAGATTCCAGAATATTTCCCACTTGAATCTTCTCTTACCTACTTCCCACCATGGAGCTACAGAAAACATGGGCACAGAGCCTCAGGGTTCCATGGAACCCGGTTTAAAAATTGCAGAAATGTTATGTGGATCCTCCTCTGGACTTCGATGAGATCAACATACTGCAGCTTCCACCTCTTGCACGACAAAGAATCAGACTTTGGGGGAAAAGTAAAAGCTGCTTTTCCTCCAAGTTAGGGCCATGCCCCAGGTCCTTAGGCAGATGCACAAGATCCTCCAGAGTGTTCTACATCCCCAGGCTCATCTCCATCAATTTCAGCTTCCACTTTCATTTCACGGTTTCATAAGTGTCCAGGTTGCCTCTATGTGGAGCTGCTCCCCACCACTATCTGTGCCTGGCCCACTCCCCATCTCTGGAGTCTCACCTTAGAGTCCTCTCCACCAACAAGTCACTCTCGGCCTCCTCCCAACTTGGGTGTTTTCCCTGTTGCCCCAAGACCAGCTCTGAGAGCTGAGGTCAGGCCCCGCCCAGCACGTAGTAGGTGCTCAATATGTTTGTTGAATGTTTCAGCCAACAAACCAAGAAAGGCATGCATAAAAAATGTGGACATGCAAGTTCATGAACATCCATCTTCATTCTCCTGGGATCAGTAAATTCACATGAGGTGAGCAGGGAGGGGGCAGGGAGGATGGAGGGGTGGCAGGGCACCATCCTCAGAACAGCTCCAGCACACAGTAGGTGCTCAGAGAGTGTGGATTTAGAGAAAACTGTGAGCCTAGCCATGTATCCAGGAGGTTCTATAGAAGTAACACTGAGCAGGATTTGGAGATCTGAAAACATGGTCATCGGCAGTCCAAAAATGTCCCTTAAACCTCAGGGCACAGTGCCACCTGGCCCAACTTCGCCTCACACACTGAAGAAGACGGTGTAGGACATTTTCTGAATGTGCACCCTCATTCCAACTGTTTACATCATTAATTCATACGGCCCAATTTGCATCTGCACACCAACTCAATACTTTTTATGATGCAATTACTACTCAGAGATGAATTTTTTATGAGTTTCCTTTTAATGTCTCCAGGGCCTTTTATTTTGAAGAAAACCTCCTTGTGGAAAATGGCTAATCTTTCTTACAGTGAAGACTGAAAGCCTTCTGGTTCTCCCAGTCACAACCTAAATGACACTTCTTCCAGGAAGCCTTCGCTGGCCTGGATGAATGGGGAGGTAGAGCTCCCTGTGTGATGGGCAGCAAAGTAGGTTGGTGGTTAAGAGAACAAAAAGTGGGGTCAAAATAACCTGGTTTCAGGTTCTCACTGCAGCACTTAGTAGCTGTGCAAACTTGAATAAGTAACTCAATTTCTCTGAGCCCCAGATACTTCATCTCAACATAGGGTTCAATAGCCTCTCTCCTAGACTTGCCTTTAGAATGAGTGAGATCTTACAGGCTAAGTACTTGGTGCAGAGTTAGCACTCATGAAATATCCACTACTATTATTATAACACACTAGTATAACACAGCAGCTGGCAGCCATCCACACAGATAGGTTCACCTTTTTGGCCTCCATAATTCATTTGGTGGTTATGGAGATAAAGGTGCAGGTGCTCACCCTCCCCCAGAGAGATACATAGCATATCTTAGGAGTTTAATGTCCATGAGCTTTGGTATACATCAAATTGTCTTTCTTTCTTTTTTCTTGATCATCACAGTGTTGATCAGGTCTGTCTACCAAATCAGGAAGGGGAAACAGGAGGGGAAAAGGTAGAGGGAGCCCTGGGGAAGCAGTTTGCCCTGGGGTGAGGTGGTGAAGGCAGCCTGGATTTGAACTCTGCTTCCTAGAGTTTCTGAGGTCTTGGGCTGGGAGGTGCCTTCTTTCCATTTTACAGATGTAACGCTTTAGGTCCACAAAGGGGAGGGAAGGGGCTAAGGTCCTATTGCTCCTCCCAGTGCCTGGAATAATGCGTTTTTAGGGAAGCTTCCTCTGAATGTCTAAGACACCCTGGATTTCCTTTTTAAAACACTCTCCCAACTTCTCGTAAAGGCTTTTTCTTTTTCTTTTATCCTCACACTTTATACTTTATATCTATCTTTCTCTATTCTCCTTCTTTCTCTCTCTCTCATCTATCTACCTTTATCTTCTTATTTTTTATTTGACAAATAAAAATTATACACATTTATGGTATATAGCACGGTATTTTGAAATACGTATACCCTATGGAATGGCCATACCAAGCTAATTAGCATATGTATTACTGCACATACTTAACATTTATTTGTAGTGAGAACACTTCAAATCTATTTTCTTAGCAATTTTCAAGTACACAATATATTGTCATTAACTATAGTCACCCATGCTGTACAACAGATGCCTCGAATTTATTCCTCCTGTCTAACTGAAATTTTGTATTCTTTGACCAACATCTCTAAAATTTCCTTGCCATATTATTGACAAAACATTACACATTCAAAAAATAAAACATTCAAAATAAAACATTCAAGCAGCACAAAAACTCTCTCACCTCTTTGAACCCTAGTACCCCAGCTTTCTCACTAGACACCAACTTTTCCCAATTTCCTGCAGATCCTTCCAGAGACCTTCTCTACAAGAACCAATATATCAAAGCCTATCCAAGGCTCTTGTTTTGTAGAAATGGACATGAAGTGCAGTCATTGCCTGTGCCTTCACTTTTGTCACTTAGGTGTTGTTCTGTCACCATATAGGGATCTGCTTCATTTAAGGGCCACATGGTATCTCATGCTAGAATAAGCCAAATTGCATTTAACCAATCTATCAATGGACGTTTTGGTTGCTCCCAAATCTTCATCTATTACTACATTTTTGATATCTGCCTTTCCCACCTGACTGTAGACTTTATGAGGATAGTGCAGTCTGTGTCTATTTTATTTCTGTCTCTTCAAAGTATAGCATGGGGTGTCTGAAACATGGTAGGTGCTCAATAAACAGTCCTTAGATGGATGGATAAAAGGATGGATGGATGGATGGATGGATGGATGGATGGATAAAAGGATGGATGGATGGATGGATGGATGGATGGATGGATGAATGGATGGATGGATAGATGGATGGATGGATAGATGGATGTATGATGTATGGATGGATGATGGATGGATGGATGGATGGATGGATGATAAATAGATGGATTGGTTAGTTGTAGAACCTGGACTAAGTCTCTGATTCTCCTACCCCACTCTTTTGTGGCCTGAGGGACCCAGCTCTTTGACAGTCTCACCCAAGGAGGAACGCAGTACGGAGTCCCCATCTTCAGGCAGAGCCAACAGTGGAGACGAGCACATGCTGTCCCGCTGTGCTCACAGCTCCATGAGCAATAGCAGGCTCCCAACCAAAGCTCTCCCTTGGACGCTCACAGATAGCAGCGGCTTCCCAAGGCCTGCTGGGTGGAGTTGCACCACGTTATGGAAACTTCTATTTCTGCTTTATAAAAACAAAGTAGGAAAGGAAACCTGGCTCGGCAAGAGACACATGCTGGCCTCGTGAGTCATCTTTCTCCAAGCAAGACCAGAAAATCCTCCCAAAACTGGGGCTTTCACTGAGTCTTTGGCCTACATGCTTATGTTTCTCCCTCCCGAACCCCAGAGCCCTGTACACATGGGAGTTGCAAACTCAAGTGCCCCCCAGGAGACTGGCCAGAAATGTACAATAAAAAGTGAGGCCAGCACATGGCAAAATGAAGGACACTTTTCTCTTCTACACCAGCAATCTTGTGTTTTTTTTTGTTTTTTTTTTTTAATGTGAAATATCTCAACTTTTAAATTTCAGAGACCAATGAAGATATTTTTTAAAATGCTACATAGGCTAAGTCAACTTACAGAGGGCTGGCTTTGGTCAGATGGCCACCTGTGTGAGCCTCTGTTGGATGCTCTGTTGGATGTGAGAGTCAGCAACACTCGAGATCATTTATGTTTTCACCTTCTCTGTGGACTGGGACTCTCTCTGTGCAATTCTGTATCTCTGAGACCCTGCAGAGTGGGAAAATAAAGCAATTGTTGTGTGCTTTTTTTGCTTTTAATTAATGCATTGATTTTACAGATACTTATTGATCATTCCATGTATATGCTAGTCTAGGTGATGTCCGTTTTGCATCTCTTTTCTATCTTCTTTCTGCATCTGCTGCATCCTAGTGGCTATAAGCTTAAGCTCTAGTTTCAAATTGCCTGGGTTCAAATCCTGGCTCTGTCACTTACTAGCTAAGTGACCTTGGACGTGGGATTCAGCTTTTTTCCCCAAGCCTCAGTTTGCTCACTTGTGAAATAGGGGTCATTATAGTCTCTCTCACTGTGAGAACTAAATGAACTGATGTCAGGAAATGTTTAGAATACCCCCTGGCTCCTGTTCAGCTGTTGATCATCACCCATTTGCCACATTCTTGTTAAATGCCCTTTATGGGTTAAGCTTGTGCTTGGCATTAAGGTTTCTGCCACAAGCAAAGTGGGGCCCACTCCCACAAAGACTTTCTTACTAAATTCTCAAAGTAACCCCATTGTACAGATGCAAAAACTGCGGGTCAGGGAGGGAAAGTGACTTTCCTGAGGTCACACAGCTGGTCAGTGTCTGAGATGGGATTCCAATCAAGTACATCTGTCCTTCCTACCAGAACCCATGCTTCTTCTGGGCGCAGAGAGATGGAAAGGATCCCTCTTTTCCCAAGGCTTCCCTTGACAGGCAAGGAGTTGGCCTCCGTTTCTGCAAGAGTCCCTCAGACAGCTCTGATCATTTTCAAGTGGACCCAAAAAGAGAAGGGCTGGCATGTGCTCATGATCCCAAGCCTGGGAGCTTGGCACAGCACAGGCCCTTCTTACTGGGCATGGAACCAAAATTCTTAGAAGCTTCTGACTTGTTTTCTCCTTTGGATGAAGGCATAGTGCATGTTCGCTGTGTGCCTCCATGCATGCCTCGTAACAGAGAATGGTCACACACATAGGGAGTCCACAGCTGAGGGTCATGTACCTTACCTTCCAAAGCCCCAGCCCTCTGCAGGGTGCTGTCTTGCCACCTTTCCAGGAACCGTGACCTCTGGGTTAGTTGGCAGCCAACATTTACTGAGCAGTTAATGCACATCAGACTCTATTCAAAGAACTTTACATTAACAGACTCAGTCTGCACAATCATCCCCAGAGAGGTAGATGCTATGGTACTTCCATTTGACAGATGAGGACACTGAGGCCCAAAAAGCAGAAGTAACTTGCTTAAGGTCATGATGCAACTCAATGTTAGATAAAGCCAAATGTCAAAATATGAGTTCTCAGAGGTCTCTGGGTTAGAGAATGGTCTTTCTGGCTGGTGGCACTTTTATGATGTGCCTCAATATGTCTGGGACAAAGTGGCATTCAATTAACCCAGCTCCATCCACCCATCTGTCCACACACTTATGAGTCGTATGATCCTGGGTTCATCAGTTCACCTTTGGGACACTCACTTCTAAACTGCAGGCCAAAATGCCAGTACTCACCCTTGCAGGAACGAGGACCAGAACACCTGAATGGGTAGTTACCTGCTTTGGGAAAGTGACATGCTGGGTAGGCAGAAGGAAGTGTTCACACCAGTATCCCTCATCTCCATCAGGCTTGGCTCTGAGCCCAGGTCAGGCTTGAGCACAGCCAATCAGTGACTCATCCTTGCTGGGGGCATAGTCTGCTGTTGTGTTAGAAAAGCTAGACCACAATGATTAATTCAAGCATGATAAGAACGTCTGGGCTCTAACCATCTGCTACTGTGTGACCTGGGGTAAGTCCCTTCCCTCTCTGGGCCTCAGCATCTCCAGGTACTTAGACCCTATGAACTCTAGGAACATTTTAGGCTCAGACAATTGATGGAAAATTGCAAAGACTCCACGGGGGGGGGGTCTCCCTCAACTAGTTTCTCTTTGCCCTCATGTCTGGAAATCTAGTGGCAAAAATGCTTGCTCTCCTAACTAATTTGTATCCACCTCTGGCACAAAGAAACCTCAGGACTAGTTTTCTGTTCCCGCAATTAATAATATTATTGTTGTTGTCGTTGTTAATATTCACTGCATTAACTGAACTCAATGTGCTGAGTCTTTTACACCCATTGTCTCTTTGAATCCTCAAACTAATCTCTTGGGCTAGATACTATGATCCCTTTCTCTTAACAGATAAGGAAAGTGAAGCTCCCAAGACTTGATTAAGTAGCTCAAGGTCATCCTCAGTGCCAGGATCAGAAGCTGCAATTTGAACTGGGGAACTCTGGTCTAGCCTTTCAGCTCTCAGCCATGAGACGGCACACCCAGCCCTGCAGATCAAAAAACAAACTTGCCCTTCCTCGCCTGAAAACGCTCCCTCACCTTGGCCACCCGGCATGAAAACATTCTGAATCCAGACTGCCAAGAAAGAAGAATCAAGAAAAAAGGAAGAAAAGAAAAATGAAGAACGCTTTGTTCCTTGAACTGTTCTCCACAAGCATAGTCTCCGCCAGGTACATTACTTAACTGCGGAGGTGACCCCCGACACCCCCCCCCCGCCCCCACCCTGGCTGCCTCGAGCTCCCTTGGCAGCCGGGTAGTCACGTGATGCCCAGACAGCCCTGGCTGCTATTCAAGCGTGTCCATGTGAAGCAGCTCTAGCGAGCATCGCTCCCAGAGGGGGAAGGCGGGGGCCCGAGTCAGCCTTGGACAAGGCCCCTCAGCCCCGCGCCAGAGAAGCCCCTGTCAGTGCCCACTGCCCTTTCAAAGACACTGCACGCTGGGCCTGCTCCCTGCACCCTTCCTTGCCCAGGAAGCAGCAGCGCAGGCCAGATGAAATGGCGGCCACAAGGTAGCATCGCTGAGGGGCTTCTGTTCATCAGAGTTCAGCCTGGTCTCCCGGCTTCACTCATTCATTAACTCACTCACTCATTTGTTCATTCAATCACTCATTCATTCATGCATTCATTCATTCACTCACTCAGTCACTCATTCACTCATTTATTCCTTCATTTACTCCAAACTTCACTCAATCATTCACTCACCCAATTATTCACATGTTCCTTCACTCACTCACTAATATATTCACAAATTACTTCACTTACTCATTCATTTATCCATTCATTCAATCATGTATTAGTCCATTTTCATGCTGCAGATAAAGACATGCCTGAGACTGGGTAATTTATAAAGAAAAAGGAGTTTAATGGACTCTCAGTTCCATGTGGCTGGGGAGGCCTCATAATCATGGAAAAAGGCAAAAGGCACGTTTTACATGGTGGCAGGCAAGAAAGAGTGAGAGCCAAGTGAAAGGGAAAACCCCTTATAAAACCATCAGCTCTCATGAGACTTATTCACTACCATGAGAACAGTATGGGGGAAACCACCCCCATGATTCTATTATCTCCCACCGGGTCCCTCCTATGTCACATGGGAATTGTGGGAGCTACAATTCAAGATGAGATTTGTGTGGGGACACAGTCAAATGATATCAATTCGAACACAACATATCATCCACTCTTCTCTGCACTGGGGACATAACAGTGAGCAAAATAGATGAGATCTTTTTGGAGCCTCAGTCTAGCAGGGTAGATAACCATTAAACAATAAACACTTAATTATTCAATTGCAAACATGCTAAGTTTTAGAAAGGAAGAATAAAGCGTATGATCATATATAATAGGGGCCCAGCCTTTTCAGACACCCAATTACAAAAGCATAGCTCAACTCCCTTTCACTCCCCATATTGCAAAGCAGATATCTACAAGATATCTACAAGAATCATGAAGGCCTAAAAATATGTCAGTGTTGGAAGAAACATCAATGATTATCTGGCTCTTGGTGGCAAAAGGCAGTGACATGGTATGGTCAAGGGCTCAGACCTTTGAGTTGATTTCTGGGTTTGAATCCAGCTCTGCTATCAACTGCATGCCCTTGAATGAGCTATTGAAACAATTGGACTTGGTAGAGTGAGAACAAACAGAGTACTAGAGCTGTGGGGGAAGATTAAATGAGAGCCCTATGCAAATCATTTAGCATGGGCCTGCCCCTGGGCAGCAAACAGTGCATGCTACCCTCGATCATGCTCTACTTTCATTGAGCATTGGAGGAGGGAACCACATGCCTTAGGATGATCCAGTAGGAGCCTGCACTTGAACCCAGGCCTCTGGGCTCCCAGTCCAGTGCTTTTTCCAAGCACAGAAGAACCTTTGATATACAATGGAAGAACCGCCATTCTCCTGTCTCCACCTGCTGTTCACCAGCCTCTGTCATAAATGTCCCAGAATCCTCACCCAAGATCAAGTCCTGACATCCAAGTGTCCCCCACCCCAGGTGGCTGCACAGCTGTCTTCCGGGGCATCTTGGTTGGTGGGAGGGGAGAGAGAAGAAGGCATCTAACACACAGCTTCTATTTGCCATGTCAGGAGCAGTAACTTCTCCTAATTATTTCCTGGCTCCTGGATTCATTAGCCACCCCAGTATTAATTCAGATCACTGCATTTATCCCCATCTGTCCTAGATTCGTCACCAAGACACTGACGATGCTAATGTGGTGGTTTCAGCAATGAAAGAGCACTGCAGAGTTCAAATTGTTGTTCAGAAGGGGGAAGGGCTCTAGCAATTTTTGGTTTAGAACAAGCAACGAGAGTCCCCCACCAAACACACACACACCACCCCCAAGCCCCCAATACCCCAAACCAGGCAGCCCAACGGCCCACGGGCAGATAACCTTCTGCCCTGGCCTCAGCATCAGAGAAATTCCTTTTAAATGACTCCACAGACTTCCCCACCCACTGAGTTCCCCTCTTTGGCTAACAGATGGGCTCAGCTAACCATTCCCAGCTTTCCGATAAAGCAGTGTCAGGCAGTGAGGCCCCCTCGGAAAGGCATGCTTGGATAATAAATTCCAAGGCACCCCTGCCATCTGCAGGCTGCCAATCATGGGGGCGCTGGGCACACTAGGGCTCCCAGTCTGCTGCTGGTAGGGAGCTGGGGTGGGACCTCTGCGTGTGGGGAGGCAGCCTGCCCCTGCCGCCCCATCCTGCTCAGCCTGTGACCTGTCCCTTTTGACACGGTAGGGGCCAGTCCTGCTGCAACCCCTCTGTCTACTCACAACCCTCCCTGTCATGCGAGAACCAGCACACAGGCAGCACTGTAATGGAGGCAATAATCGTGAACCACAAAGGCCGATAGTCAGATCTGCTGCCACATTTTGGCTCAGTCACATTCCAGTGCTTGACCTCAGGCCAGTGGCTTCCCCATAAGAGCCTCAGTTTCCCCATCTGTAAAATGACAGTTAAAGACACTCCCTCCCTGGTAGATTTTGTGTGAAGATGTAAGCAAAATGCGTGGCACAATGCTTGGCCCATGGATATAAGTGGCAGCTGTCATTATCACCATCATCATTATTGTTAATATTATTCGTGTGGTTGTTATCATTTAAAATACCAATTAGGTGCATGGTGGTGCACTCCTGTAGTTCCAGCCACTCAGGAGGCTCAGGCGGGAGGATGGTGTCAGCCCTAGGAGTTCAAGGCTGCGGTGAGCTGTGATCGATCGTGCCACTGCACTCCAGTTTGGGTGAAGGAGCAAGACCCAGTATCTAAAAAATAGTAAAGTGAAATAAAAGGGCAGTTAGCCGGAAAAATTGACTTTATGATACTTGCTTCATATGATACTTATCTTGGAGGTGTGATAAAATATATGAGCTGTCTTAACCCAGCACAGAATGAGCCTTCAGGAAATGTTAATTGCCCCTGTCAATCTCAAATTCTTTCATCTATTCATTCATTCATACAAGAGACATTCACTAAACATTGTGCCAGCCCTTGGGTTAGACCTGAAGAGAGAAAGAACAACCAAAAAAAAAAAAAAAAAGCAATTTTTACCTTTAAATCACTCACAGTCAAGGGAGCAAATAGAGCAGTCCCTGCAAAGACACAGGTTTCCACAGTGTTAGAGTGTGTTTGGAAAGAGGCCAGGCTTCCCAGATGACCCCTCCCTCTATCTCCCAAATAATAATAGAGGCTTTTTGTACCACATTGCTTGAACTCCTTCTGACTGCTGAGGTTTCCTGAGGTCAGGGATGTACAATGTGCAGTATAGGTACTGTTGTCTCCCATCCTGGGCCAAGGCAGACATCACTAATCAATCACAGCTGTCTTTCTCATTGAAGGAAGAAGACAGGACTCAGTCACTAGGAAGATTCCTTCCTCCTGGAAGTCACGGTCAGCTGATAAGAGCTGGCACCCAAGTTTTAAGCAAATATAATCCCAGGCTTAGATTAGGGTTTAGACATGTCCAGCTATGTCTGGCCCAGAGCTTGTTTTTGTAAATAAAGTTTTATCGAAACACAGTCACACCCATTTCTTTACATATTGTCTATGGCTGCTTTTGCACTATATGGGTATAGGATGAATAGCTTTGACAAAGACCATATTTCCCACAAAAGACAAAGTATTGATCCTCTGGCCCTTTACAGAAAACAGTTGTCTTTGCTGCAGAGGGTTTACTGTAAGAACTTGCAGTAAAGTGTGATGAGGCATCGTGAACTGAAACCGTAAGCATCTCGCCCATATTCTGTCCACTCTCATACTCAAGCCTGCTTACTGTGCACACCTGTGACTCCCTGCTTCTAGATGTTGTTCTGGCCTTGGGAGCCTACTCTTCTGTGCAGAGGGCAGGTTGGAAGCAGCAGTGTTATTGCCCCTGAAAGCAGTCCTCAACCAAGAGGACGGTGAGGTGGGTAAACACCCTAGCCCCTGGACTCTCAGGTGAGAGAACACCAAGGTGGGTCACACTGCCTTCTGGAGGCTCCCAGCAGGACAAAACTCTACTTACTCACCATAGATAATAAAATTCCACCTCTCACTCTTAAGATAGTCTTTCCTAGGAATCCTTGCCTCAGAGTTGGCTTCTGAGAGAACCAGACAAAGAAGCTGTTGTTTCTCTCTCTGCCCCAGCTCTTCCAAGTCTAGAATGTGCTATGTGTTTTCAGGGGACTGAATCAGTGACTCATCCCACTGGGATGTTGCAATAGCTGTGGTGACCACGTCTCAGTGTGCATCTCACACGCAGACTTCCTGAGAGAGGGAGGCATTGATTATGCCACTTGTCACCAGCTGATGTAGCAGGATTTTGTGCCAAACCATCAGAGAAGGAGTTTCCATCTCTCGCTCCAGCCTCCCAGTGGCTGCAACTGCACAGGGTTCTGACAGTGAAGCTCTTAGTCTAGTCCACAAAAGCAGATTCCCATCCTGAAATGCCCTACTTCCCTGCTCTAGGCAGACATCACGAATCAATCACAGCCTGACTTCCTCTTGCATCTTTTTCAGTCAAGCACTCCAGGCAGGTGCTATCAGTGGTTGGGAACTGGCACACAAGATTAAACATATTCTATGGGGGAATGCCTAGGACAGAAGGCTGCATGAAAGGTATCACAATAGGAAGTATGGCATGAAATAGTTCTTCAAAAGAGAAACAAAACAGGCAAGTACAAATGATAAATGTAGGAAAGTGATGTCTCACAGTCATGTGTGTGAGTGTGTGTGAGGGAGGGAGGGAAAGAGAGAGAGAGAAAGAGAGACAGAGAGAGAAAGAGAGACAGAGAGGGAAATTGCAATTGTTTTTCTTTTTCTGCTTTGTTTTGTCTCTACACTGAGTGTCTACTTACTTGAGGCATGTTCACATTGAGCACCTATTATGTGCCAGGCCCTGTGTTAGGGGTACAATGACAATCAGGACTAACATGTAATTGCCTAATGGAAAAGATAACTACAACTCAGTGTGGTAAGGCAAAGGCAGAATCTGTGGGAATCTTCACAGATTGGGCCGCAGAGCACCTGAGTTTCTCCTTTATGACAATGAGAATCACAATTAGACAACTAGAATCACAACTAGAATGCTGCAGTTATTTGTGAGATTGTGTGCTAAGCCTCCCTCTCACTCTGTCCCCCTCTCTCTCACTTAGACTACAAACTCCCAGAGGGTAGGCACTGCATCTTGTTTGCTCCTTGCCCCATACACTGGGCCTAGATCGGTGCCTGGCACAGGGCAGGTGCGCATAATCAGTCCCTCTGGCTTCATTAAAAAGTGGAGCTGGGGGCCGGGTGCAGTGGCTCACGCCTGTAATCCCAGCACTTGGGAAGCCGAGGTGGGCAGATCACGAGGTCAGGAGATAGAGACCATCCTGGTTAACATAGTGAAACCCCGTCTCTACTAAAAAAAACCAAAAAAATTAGCCAGACGTGGTGGCGGGCACCTGTAGTCCCAGCTACTTGGGAGGCTGAGGCAGGAGAATGGCGTGAACCTGGGAGGCAGAACTTGCAGTGAGCCGAGATTGCGCCACTGCACTCCAGCCTGGGTGACAGAGCGAGACTCCGTCTCAAAAAAAAAAAAAAAAAAAAAAAAAGTGGGGCTGGGTGCTGTGGCTCACACCTGTAATCCCAGCACTTTGGGAGGCCGAGGCGGGTGGATCACCTGAGGTCAGGAGTTCAAGACCAGCCTGATCAACATGGCGAAACCCCATTTCCACTAAAAATACAAAAGTGGTGGCATGCGCCTGTAGTCCCAGCTACCCAGGAGGCTGAAACAGGAGAATTGCTTGAACCTGGGGGACAGAGGCTGCAGTGAGCCAAGATTGCGCCACTGCACTCCAGCCTGGGCGACAGAGCAAGACTCCATCTCAAAAAAAAAAAAAGTGGGAGGGCGGGTATGGTGAGAGTAGACTCTGATGACTCTGATGAAAGATGAAGGTGGAAGGGGCAGGTCGTGTAAACCATATGAAGGAGTTTCAATGTAACAAAATAAAAGGAAAACAACAAAAAGTTTAGTCTTTGTAAATAAACACAAAATGAACCCCTATACTAGTACCCAGTTATTAACAACTCTGTTCTGAACAGAGTTTAATTTTTCTGTTCACTCATAGGCTCAGGTCTCTGAGATCTTTAGTTGAGAGCACAGGTATCAGCAACCGGGACTTAGGCTATTGATGGACAGGTTTGCGCTCCTGGAGTGTCAATATATAACACGCAATTTGTCTTTCAGCCGCAAGGTCACCTTGATTGCTCTTCTTTCAGTTAGGGGAAAGTATTTTCTACACACTGAGGTTTTGGATCCCCAGAGTTCCAGAGGCAGCTAGCGGAGAGACAAAGCATAACTTTCTACTTTCTGCCTTTGATGCATAGGTTACTGAGCCCTTTGGAACCTTAGTTTTCTCCTCTGTACAGTGGGGCCAATAATGATGACTTGCCCAGAGCAGTTGTGGAGTCCAGTGTCTGACACATACTAAGCGCTCATTATCAAAGGCTGTACTCATGAGGGAGATGATGATGGTGAAGATGATGATAAGATATTGGAGCAGGCAGAGGCCCAGTTTTGCAGAGCAGGAGGGAAACTGAGGCCTAGAGGTTGGAAGTGACTGGACCAAGTTCACCTGAGGAATCACTTACAGAGCTAGAATCCAATGGAAGATCCTAAGAGCCAATTCATATGCTCTTTCCTCTTGAATTGCAATTCCCAAACTGTGTGTCAAGGCACCCTGGGGTGCCTGGGCAGACTCACAGGAACATTGCAAGGTATTATAAATTGTCAAGGTAAACACAGCGATATTGGACATCTGTTAAATGCCATGAGAATGACTAGCTTGAGGTCATTCACAATTCCAGCATTAGATCACCCAACATTCCTTTTGATGATGTCGTATCTTCGTGACCCTGGGTTTTTGGTGGCTGCTGTGATAAAAAGCAAGAACTATGCCAAAGTCAATGTGGAACAGGAAATGAGGGTGACAAAGTCCGATCTGATTTCAAGGTTTCAGAAGCCATGCAGTGCCCAACCGGTGCACACATTTCAATAGGAAGTGATTGTGCTTACAATATTATTTTTTGATTAACTTGTGTGTATTATTTTTTTCAAATGGCTGCTAAGTTGTTAGGATGTAAATGCTTATTACGTTGTTTGCACTTGAAGACCCAATAAGCAGGACTGGCAGAACCATTAAGGATTTATTTTGCTGAAATAATTCCTGAACACTAAGGGTGCCATGTACTGGGAAAGTTTGGGAACTTCTGCTCCATATACTAGGCACCCCCCTACCCCCGTCTGGGAAGGAGGCAGGAAGCTCTGAGCCTCCAGCCAAGACTGAGGCATGTGGGAGAATGGTTAAATGCCTTGCAAACAAGAGGGACATGAACAGTAAACCTGATTTCTCAGTTGCTGCCAAGTCATTGTTTATTTAGAAACAGCAGTGTGGGCACATCAGAAACCATGTCCTCCTTGTTGCTCAGCAAGATGGGCAACTTATCCATTCAGCTAACATACAACTGGCATTTACTCTATGTCTGCACTGTCCTGGTACAGTGGTAAATGAGGCAGTCTCTATCTTCAAAGGTAGGAAAGGAGGAAGGATGGGAAGTTATATGGTTTGGCTGTGTCCCCACATAAATCTCATCTTGAATTATAGCTCCCATAATTCCCACATGTTGTGGGAGGTAATTGAATCATGGGGATGGGTCTTTCCCATGCCTTTCTCATAGTAGTGAATAAGTCTCATGAGATCTGATGGTTTTTTGAAGAGAAATTCCCCTGCACATGCTCTCTTGCCTGCTGCCATGTAAGACGTGACTTTGCTCCTCCTTCACCTTCCACCATGATTGTGAGGCCTCCCCAGCCATATGGAACTATGAGCTCTTTCTTTTATAAATTACCCAGTCTCAGGTATGTATTTATTAGCAGTGTGAGAACAGACTAATACAGGAGAGAAGGAAGAAGAAGAGACTATTCTTTTTACTAATAAAACTCTGAGAAACACAGGCTCAGAGAGGCTAAGTACACTACCCAGAATCACACAGAATAAAAAAAGTTGGATAATTTACAGCTAAGAGAATGCCCTATACCACTCATCTTGAGCACTTATGGTCTAATCTGAGAGATCGACACAAGCATATAAGTAATATTTGGAGGGAAAATTTGACCTCACTCAAGAATGGGTATGGATATCATGGTGCTGGCATAAGGACGGACATATAAATCAGTGGAATCAAATTGAGGGTCTAGAAATAAACCAGACCTCTCTGGGTAACTGATTTCTGACAAGGATGCCAAGATTCTTTAATGGGGGAAAAATAGTCTTTCAACAAATAGTGGTAGAGACAAATGAATATCCATATGAGAAAGAACAAAACTCAAAATGGATCATAGAGCTAAACATAAGAGCTAAAATTATAAAACTCCTAGAAGAAAATTTAGGAGTAACTGTTCATAACTTTGGGTTAGGCAATTGTTTCTTAGATATGATACCAAAAGCACAAAAGACAAAAAAAAATACAAATTAGATTTGATCAACATTAGAAACATTTGTGCTATAAATAAGATCATAAAGAAAGTGAAAAGATAACCCACAGAATGGAAGAAAATATTTGCAAATCATACATCTAATAAGGAATTTGTATCTAGAATATATAAAGAATGCTTAAGACTCAGTAACCAAAAGACAAAAATAACCCAATTCAAACATAAGAAAAGGATTTGAATAGGCATTTCCCCAAAGCAAATGTACAAATGGCCAATAAGGACATGAAAAGATACTCAGCATTATTGAGCATTAGGAAAATTCTCATTAAAAGCACCAGGAGATAGCACTTTGATGCCTACTAAGATAGCTATAATCGAAAAGGCAGACAATAACAACTGTTGGCAAGGATACGGAGAAATTGAAACCTTCATACATTGCTGGTGGGAATATTAAATGGCACAGCCCTTGTAAAGAATTCTGGCAGTTCCTCAAGATGTCAACCATAGAGTTACCATGTGACCCAGCAATTCCACTCCTAAGCATACATCCAAGAGAAACAATAACATATGTCCACACAAAAATTTGCACAAAAATGTTCATTGTGGCACTATTCACAATGGCCAAAATATGGCAACAACCCGAATGTCCATCAATTGCTGAATGGATCAACAAAATATGGAATATCATGGAATATTATTCAATGATAAGAGGGAATGTAGTATTGACACGTGTGACAACATGAATGAGCCTTAATTATGCTACGTGAAAGAAGCCAGTCACAAAAGGCCACATATTGTATGACACTATTTATATGAAATGTCCAGAATAGGCACATCTATAAGAACAGGACATAGATGAGTATTTGTCATGGGCTGAATGCTGGGAGTAAACCGGGGGTGACTAGTAATGGGTCGGGTTTTCTTATTGGGATGGTGAAATAGTCTAAAACTGGATTTTGGTGATAGCTATACAACACTGTGAATAAACTCAATCTATTGAACTGTGCACTTTAAATGGATGAATTTTATGGAATGTTAATGATATCTCCATAAGGCTATTTTAAAAATTAAAAAATATATATGTGTTGGGGGTGGTGGGATGGCTGAGCATACAACTGTGGAGGAGGCAGGGGCCAGAGAGAAGGAACCTGGATTTTTCTCTGGAGGGCAATAGAGAACAGTAGAAGCTTTTCAACAAGGAAGCCACAAGGTTAGAGACCAGGGAGCAGGATCCTGCAGAAACCCAGGGTACATGATCAGACCCGATTTAGGGCAGTGTTCTAGCAGGAAGCAGAGGGAACAAGCAGGTCTGAAAGCAATTTAGCAGGCAAAACTGATAGGACTTAGTAACAGATCGAAGGGAAGTGAAGAATAGCTGGAATGCTACACAGCCATAAAAAGGAATGAAAATCACGTCCTTTACAGAAACGTGGATGAAACTGGGAGGCCATTATTCTAAGTGAATTAATACGGGAACAGAAAAACAAATACATGTTCTCTCTTATAAGTGCGAACTAATCATTGAGCATATATGGACACAAAGAAGGGAATAATAGACACCGGGCCTTTTTGAAGGTGGAGAGTGGGAGGAGGGTGAGGATTGAGAAACTAATTATCAGATACTATACTTATTACCTGGGTCATGAAATAATCTGTATGCCAAACTTCTTCAACATGCAATTTACCCATGTAACAAACCTGCACATGTACCCCTGAACCTAAAATAAAAGTTGGAAAGAGAAAGAAATGAAGTGGAAGAGCAAGGTACAGGGATAGGCACAGAGTCGGTCCTCAGTACAGGCATGCAGAGCCAATAAATGAATAAATGCTGCTTATTCTAGTAGATCTCACTGTTGTTCCTAAGTCTTGATTCTGTTCCTGATAAAACTGTCTAAAATGGCGTGGGGTTCAGGCTCTAGATTCTACCAACATTCTGCAACCTTGCCCTCCATGCTCCCTTCCACTGGAGAAAGGGTTAGGAAACTAACGTGTACTGAGACCAACAGGGGCAGGTGCACTCTGATGGGGAGGTGCCCATCTTGCTTCCTGTTATACCTAGCCTTGAACTGAGAGTGCAGTAGGCACTCAGTAAGTATGGGTTACATTAATGAGTGAATAAAACAGTATCGCATATTGAATTTTCTTAACAATTGTATAAAGTTAATACAATTACCACCACTTTCACCAGAGGGAAACCTAAACACAAAGTGGGCTGAATGACCACCCCGAGGGCTGGAAGGTGGTAACCTCTAGGAGTCAAGACTTAAAAGTCCAGTTGGCCAGGAGCTAGAGTCTTGGAGGATCCCAAACACCATTTATTCAATTGATCCATTCATCTATTTAATTTAATATGATTTTTTGGGATCTTTGGGAGATGCCATCACTGCCCTTTCATACCTTCTTGTCTTCATTTTTCTGGGGCATTCCAGCCCAACCTCCAACTGCCAATGTGTGTATCTTTTTCCCCAAGGGTTTCTCTGGGCACTGGAGCTTTCACTGCCTATGAACATGGTGGAAAGGAACTGCCTGGAAATTAATGATACTCCATCCCCACCCTCAGGAGCAGCCTTCAACCCACAGTATGAAAGTTGGTGTATAAATACCCCAGCTCCCTCTCTCACTCAGTTTCACACTGTCTCCCAGAGGTCCTCAGTAGGAGTAGGTTCCAGTGGCCCATGGTGGTAATGCCCTTCACAATGTACCCCATATTGGTGCCCTTATCATCCTGTCTTACTTCCCCACCACCATACAGGTGCTTCAGGAATCATCCATGTGTACTACAGTCCTGGTTTTAGGGCCTGCTGCTGGAGGGGCCCAAACAAACAGGCACCTCCTCTGTGCCAGGCACTAGGCACTGGGGATATCTGGTAGGGAAACTAGTAAGGTTTGATCTTCTGAGGGCCACCAGGCTCATGGGACTGGTGGACAAGTGTAACACACAATTATATGCAAGTGTAACACACAAGTTAACACACAAGTGTAACACACAAGACATGCCTTCTCAACCAAACTCAATTTATGAAGTCTGTTGCCTTGGAACCAACATCTTCGCCTCTCCCTTTTTTTTTTGCAAGCCAGCTACCTAAACCTAACTAATCCCATTAAATGCCAAGATTCTTGGTGGCAGCCTCACCTCTGGCTCTTGACAACTTGAGCAGCAGAAAGGCAGTAGTTTCTACATCTGACGGAAGCTCATGGAGAAACCACAGCAACATCTAGAATCCAACTGGTGGGAGGAGTGTAGACAGGAGGTTTTCTGCCATCTCACCATCCAGCAAAACCCTCCTGCTCCCCAGGCCCCAGCTCCCGGCTAAAGCAATTAAGTCACTTACTGCCAGGACCTGGAGGTGGCGGTAACATATAATCACAAATATAAACAGTTTTATATGGTAATTATGAATTCTGTCTATTTTTTTTTTATCAGTGCAACCCAGGCTGAAGATTATTTTCTGCTTGATATAATTCTAATTTTGATCCATCCTTCCCACCCACCCCCACCCAACTTCAGAAGGATTAAGATGGGGGTATGGGTAATAATTTGGGATATGACAGAATTGAGGCATCTGTTTTCAGGTCTTGTTCTACACGGATTCGACCAAAGTCGATTTGCTCCTGATGCTCCATCCTATGTTAGGTTAAATATCCTAATGGAATAACTCGCCATTCCACGGTTCTGGTCCCAGCCCAGGCCACCATTGTGTCTCATCTGGATATCAGCAATACTCTCTTCACCAGCCTCCCTGACTCCAGCATTTTTCCTTCCAAATGGGCTAGGCCAAAGTTGTTCTTTTCAAAAACATGAGTCTTCCTGCCTACCCGTTCCTCCCCAATCTCTCAACATCCTGCTAAATGATATCACCATTGACCCAATGGCTTCAGCTGAAAACCTAGGAGTCTTCGTGTCTTCCAAACTAAGTCTTCTTCCAGCTACTTCCTGAATATGCCCACAAGCATCCACAGTTCTGCATCTACTCCACTACAACCTGGTCCAAGTCATCCTCTCTCCCCTGGGTGGCTGAAGATGCTCTCTAACTGACCACCCAGCTTCCCGTCTTCCTCCCACCCCAATAATCCACACTCCATTCAACAGCACAGTGATCTTTGAAGACATAAATAGAATCACAGGATGCCTTTTCACTGGACTTAGAAAAATGTATCCAAGCTTCTTGCTCCTGATACTGCAGGGCTTGGTCTCTGCCTTCATCTCCATTCTCTTGTCCTGTGTCGGCCTCCCTCCCATTTCTCAGGTAGGATAAAGTCATTCCCATCTCAGGGTCTTCATGCAAACTCACTGGCCCCCTACCTCCAGCACTGTGCCCACGTCTCTTGCAGAGGCAATCCCTACTTCTCATTCATGTCTAGCCCAAATACCAGTCCCCAGAGGGACCTTCTCTGACCATCCTAGCCCAAGCCTAACTCTTTCTGGCTCATTGCATCCCATCACTCAGTTTTATTTTCTTTGTAGTCCTTATGTAAAATTATTTCATGTACACATAGATATTTACTTATTTCCTGCCTGTCTCCTCTTGCTCCAGAGTGTTTACACGAAGGCAGGGATTTTCTTTTTTTTTTTTTTTTTTTGAGACGGAGTTACTCTGTGGCCCAGGCTGTAATGCAGTGGCATGATCTTGGCTCACTGCAATCTCCACCGCCTGGGTTCAAGCGATTCTCCTGCCTCAGCCTCCAGAGTAGCTGGGATTACAGGTGTGAGCCACCACATCTGGCTAATTTTTGTATTTTTAGTAGAGATGGGGTTTCCCCATGTTGGCCAGGCTGGTCTCGAACTCCTGACCTCAGGTGATCCACCCACCTCTGCCTTCTGAAGTGCTAGGATTACAGACGTGAGCCACTGTGCCCAGTCGAAGGCAGGGGTTTTGCCTGATGTATTCCCTACTCTATCTCCAAGGCTTCACAGAGGACTTTGCACATAATAGGTGTCCAATAAACAATTGCCGAGTGGGTGAATGAATAGTGCTTTGCACCATTCCTTGAAAAGCCTTTCATGAGCGGCTCCTGGCTTCTTTTTTCCTGTGACTACAATTATATATTTACGAGGTAATCAGCAATCGAAAAGTTCCCCGTAATAGTAACTGGAGCTTAACATACAAATAAACTGAACACCATTAAGGACGTTTTGTGGCCACCGGGGTGGATCAAGTGAGCTAATCGCCCAACTCACAGCAATTAAGTCAATTAACCATTTAGACATATGCTGAGCCATTTCCCGGCTCCAGTTTCCCGGGGCATCTGTGAAATTTGTGCGCTTTATTTATGGCCTGAGCTTCTGGTCGTAGTTAGTAACTGGGATGACTGGGGAAGTGAGAAAAGGTGGCTGGTTAAATTTTTAAAAAGTCAGTGTGATGGCAAAGAACGAGAAGCTGGACCTTTTCCCTCTGTGGACGCTTTCTCCTCCTTCCTTTCCTGTGTGCGGAAAGGATGGGAAAGGCAACTATTTCTTGCCTCGATTTTTTAATTTTGTATGTTTGGGGCTGCTTTTAACACCTGTGCGTGTCATGAAGGGAGATAGAAAAAAAAAGGCGGGGGGATGAATTGGGTGGGGGCGAGGGGTAACTCCTTGGGACACAGACTCAGATCTGGGTTCAAGTCCTGACTCTGCCTCTCAGGAGCTGAGCCTGAATTTCCTTATCTGGGAAATGGGGAATTACAGAGCCTGCCTCAGAAGCTTGGGGTGAGAATTAAAGGGGTGGACAGTGTAAAGTCCTTAAGTAGTGCCCGATGCAGAGAAAGTGCTAAATATGGGGTAGTTATTATTTGTGATTTTTTTTGAAACAAAGTCTTACTCTTGTCACCCAGGCTGGAGCGCAGTGGCGCGATCTCAGCTCACTGCAACCTCCGCCTCCCGAGTTCAAGCGATTCTCCTGTCTCAGCCTCCCGAGTAGCTGGGATTACAAGCGCCTGCCACCACACCTGGCTAATTTTAATATTTTTAGTAGAGATGTGGTTTCACCATGTAGGCCAGGCAGGTCTTGAACTTCTGACCTCAGGTGATCTGCCCGCCTCGGCCTCACAAAGTGTTGGGACTACAGGCGTGAGCTACCGTGCCCAGCCTTTGCGATCATTATTATTGAAAGACTGAAGAAAGGGAGGCAGAAAGGGCCCAGAGACTGGGGTCAGACACGATTGTTGCAACCCCAGCTCTTGCTGGCATCACACTGCCACATACAACTAACTTCACTTCTCTGGGCCTCAGTGTGTGTGCGCATCTGAGAAATGGGACTGATAATGCCAGGAGGGGTCTTCACAGGAAATAGGTCTGATGCTTGCAAGGCTCTGGCCTGTGATCCTCTTCATCCCACTGGTTTCTTCTTTGCATTTTTAAGAAGGAATTCAAGGAGCTTGCCCCAGGTCTCCAAATAAGTTACATAAATGGAGCCCAGGCCTCCAATTCTGATTTCAGAGCAGCTTCCACCCTGCCTTGAGGCACTTTACAATCATGTAAAACAAAGCCATTCTTTAGAAGTGAGGCATGTTCCCAGAGATAATTAGTATGTATAGATTGGATGCTTTTGAAAGTACTGCATAAAGCCTTTCATGGATATTATGTAATTTAAACCTTACAAAGAAACCCTGAGAGCATAGAAAAGGCTCAGGAAAGGCAGGTAACTTACCCCGGGTAACACAGCCTGGAAGTGGCACAGTCAGGATTCGAACCAGGCTCTGGCTGAGTCAGACACTCATACCCACTGTGCTCTCCTGCCCATGGCATGTGTGCTGTGATTTTCTCTACATGGTACTCCAGTTTGCAGGAAAATGAAAGCGTCCCAGTTTCAAGATTAATCACTGGCTTTTGGAGAGAGGCCCTCACCGCCCTCCCTGCTCCCAGCCCCAGCTGTTACCCTCTTCTCCTTTTCTTACTTCCACCCTGAGGGCTCCCAGAAGGCGGCAGGTCCTTGGCTGAGGATGGAGAACTGCCAGATGGATCAGGCTCCGGAGACAGAGACAGAACCTCAACATCAGAGACAGTTCCCACACACCGAGTATGTGCAGGGAGCCACGTCGGACCTGCCAACATCCCGGGCCTTCCGACTCAGCCCGGCAACATCCCTGCATGGGATTTTGGAAAGCATTGAAAACAGACATCCCTGAACCTAAGACGCATTTCTGATCTTCTGTGGCGAGGGTGGCAGGGTTGCCGGAGACTGTTTCTTTCTGGCAATAGTCAACACCAGCTGGTGCCAGAAAGAGGAAGGAACGAATCCCCAGCTGAGAGCATTGCTCAGGTTCCAGCAAGGGCTGAGGCACCCGTCGCTGGCTGCTGGTTCACTTTGACAGCAGGGTGGGGTGGAGGGGCATTTTTCCCATCCCCTCCTTCTGCATAGTGCTATATAGTTAGTAAAACTTCTTATTGAGATGTAATACAATTTATTCAGTATGGTCATAATAATAATTACTTATATACATATATATAAATTTCACATCTGTGCACCTATCTATATATGTCTGCTCCATCTTTATGCAGATTCTCACAGTTTAGAAATTATAAGTTTAACAGACATGAAAACAAACAGTCATGTGCTGTTATAATAGGGAGAACAAGATACGAGGGCTGTGATTATCAAACTTTGGTGTGTGCAAGAATTATCTGGGAACTTTATTAAAAATGCAGATTGCTGCACCCAACACCAGAGCTTTCAGTGCTGTAAGTCTGGGTCAAGGCTCAGGAATTTAGATGCTAAAAATTGACACTGAATCGAACACTTTAAATTGGTTAATTGTATGTTATGTAAATTTCACCCCCTTAAAAAAATTGCCAGCAGACCTCAGACTACGCATTCTCATACACTATACTAAAACAGTTTGAAGAGGGCTTAACACAGATTGGAACATTAAGAAAAGCTACTGATGGAAGGTGCTGTCTGCATTTTCATGGAGATTTCCAGATGGGCAAGGCAGGGAAGGGTATTTCAGGCAGAGGGCACAGCATGGGAAAGATTTGGAGAAAGAGACAATATGAGAATGTAGAGAACATAGGAATTGATGGGGATAGTTGTAGGGTCCAAGACACAGGAGACCTCACCTGCCAGGGCAAGATGTTGAGGATCCCCTGAGGGCCCTGAAAATCCTTGAAGTATGTAAGGTGAGGTTGTGCTTAGAGACAATCCCAGGCTGACTCATAGGGACTGGCTTGGTCGATCATACATACAAAGCACAGAAGCTAATTCCAGTGGTACAAAAAGCCACAAGGACAATAATGCAGAAATCGAGAGTAAAAAGTAAGTGCGTCCCTAAACCACCCTCCCTTTGAGACCTTTATAGGAAACACACTTAAATTAGTTACACAAATTGGACCATGAGATGTAGGCTTTCTAGAAATTCCTTTTCTCTCTTAACAATTTAACATGGACATGTTCTCATAGCATTGCACATGTTAAACTGCCTCATTCGTTTTAATGGCTGCATAGTATTCTATATGGGCACACTAGGTTGAAATTGTGAATACACAATCTAGATCATTTTTGATCTAGAAAACTAGCCATTTTGGTTTACTTGACCATTCCCATTTTGCTGGATTGTTTTCAATGTTCTTCTATGCTATTGTAATCAATGGTACAATGTTTCTCTTTGAAAACATATCTCTAACCAAATGTGCAAGTATCACACTGAGGGAGATTTCTGAAACTGGAATTGCCAGGTCAAAGGTGGATATATTAAAAATTTTGATGGGTACTGATAAGTGTTCCCTAAAGGGAAAAAAAGTCCCTCATTCCCACTACTAAGAAACTGATAGAAACTGTATTGAAATTGTATCTCTCAACTTTTACACAAATATACTTTACGATAAATGACCACAAAAATCTCAAGGCATACAACAAAAATTATTTCTTCTTGTATTCCAGAAAGGTTATACTCAGGGTGTTCAAGAGTGCCTATTTTGTTTGCAGCATCCTCACAAGCAGTGTGTGTTATCATTAAAGAAAAGTTGGCTAATTTGACCATTTTAAGTTGTATCTGTTCAGATTAGGTGTGTTTCTTTTATTGTTAGTGAAGTTTATTTAGCTTGTGCTATGTGCTTATTGGCCCATTTCTATGCCTTCCTTGATTAATTTCACATTCATGCACTTGATTGTTTTTCTCTATTTGCTTTTATTCTTTGTTTTCTTAATCATATCCAAAAGCTCTTAATATATTGTGTTGATTGACCCTTTGCCGGTCAAAATGAGGCAAATAATTTTTCCCCAGTAATTTTATGTCTCTTATTTGTTTAACCTGTAAATATTTTAGTAGTATGTAGCCTAATAAATCTATCTTTACTTTTATAGCTTATTATTTTGTTTTTATACTTAGAAATGTCCTCACTGCTTGAGGTCATAAAATGCTAGCCCACATTTTCATCAGGGGTTAGGGGAATCATAGAGTTGATGCTTTCCAGTTAACACCAATCAATTGGGAACTGATTTTGGTGAATGGCTGTGAAGTAACAATTTAACTCTATTTTCAATCTCTACTAGTTAAACAATCATCCCAGTGCTATTTGTAGAATAATCCTTTCCAAACTGAGTTGAAATGCGACCTTTATTACATGCAGATTTTTACAAATCCTCAGGTCTGTTTCTATATTGTCTTATTTTGAAACTAATAAGCAAAAGCACCTCTAATCCTTCCACCAGATTACATTTCCTGGATCCCAGCTCTGCTTCTGAGGAGACGTTTCCTCTGTTTTCATCCATCCATCCATCCATCCATCCATCCATCCATCCATCCATCCATCCATCTATCCAGCCATGCATCCATGTATTCATTCCCTCCTTCATTCATTCATTCATCCATGCATTCATTTATTTACTTTCCCATATTCATATTTGTTCTAAAGAGTTATGTGGCTCTCAGAATTAATGATACAAAATTAACTCATGCCAGTGAGCTTTCTGCAACAGACACTGGGCTATGCAAGTCACTCGATGAAGAAACTAATGCTCAGAGAGACTAATGAACTTGCCGAAAGTCCCCTAGGTAGTAAGTTCCAAAGCAGAAATTAAAACTCAGATCAGCCTAATTTTAACTTTAACTCTGCTGAGTTCTTTATATACTAATTCCTCATATTTATTGTCCATCTACTATGTGCTGGAAATTGTGGTAGGCAGTGTGAATCCTCCAGTGGCCCAGATTCTGTCTCTGCCTAGAGAAGCTGGTAGAGGCAGGTCACTGGAAATATTACAGTTCAATGTGTCTAAGGCTAAAAGAAGACAGCAAAGTACAAAGCTAAATGAGGGTTTCCCTGGTGAAGCAAAAGCTCCCAGCTTCTGAAAACATGACTTTACTCTCTTCACGGCAAATTAAAAAGCCCATTTACAGGTGAGACCTGAAAGTCCAGAATCGGGATTTTCTAGTCGTGTCAACCATCCATTTCCACCTGGGCTGTGGTAACTGTGCCAGAGATGAAGGACTCTGGGCAGACTTTATAGGAGAGAGTGGAGGCAATAAGAGAAGAAGAAAAAAAAATCAACACCCTTCAAATCGGCCTTCTGGGCCCCATAGCTTCTGAAAACCTTGCCATCTGTTCACATAAGCATGTTCCAAAGTTTTAAGTACCTCTTTTCATGAACTCCGTTAAAGTTAACCTGGCCCCATAATATATGGGAGAAATCTGCTATAAATAGAGGTAAATAGAGATTGTAAAGATAAATAACAATAGCAGCATGTGAGGAGTGATAATGTTCTCTATTTATGGCCCGACTCTAAAAAGGGATGGCCGGCGATACTGCGTCTTTAATGACTTACTTTTGCTTTGGCAGCCGGTACTCCCTGTTAGGGTGCTAAAGATTCAGTGACACAAAAAGCTTACAGATAATTAAATATTGATTTTTGTTTTCTAATCCTACATAAAAATTGTCCTGGGTCTCCCAGTGGTGGTTTTATCTCACCAGGATATGGGGAGAGGCGAGGGCGTCTTTTAACCCTCTTTGCGTTCCCGTTGTGTGAGTCTGGCATGTCCCTTAGAAAAAGGGGAGTGTCCAAGACCGACTTCAAGGGGTGAACAACCTGGGCTGTCACCCACGGTCCTACCCTTGGTTTCATGCTCTGCAGGCACCCTCTTGACATTCTTAGCAGTCTTGGCACAAGAGGTTCTGCATTTTCATTTTGCACCAGGACCCACAGTTATGTACCTGGTCCTGGGGGCTTGGGGTCAGCCTGAGAAATTAGGGGTGGACAGAGCTGGACCCCCTGCTGTTCTGCTGCTGCTCAGCATGCTCACCCACTCGCCTGCCCCAAATCTTGCCAGCCGTGCCAGGAACTTCAAGTCTGGGAAGAGGGCCAGAGAGAAATTTGTGATGAGAACAGTTCTTCTCCCACCCTCTGCTCCCTTTGCTCTCTCTCTTCCTCTTTCTTAAAAGAAAAAAAAAGAAAAAAAGCACTTTATTGTCATTTTGCATCTGGAGTACAGCAAGGGGCATCTGGCAGTGTGGCAGCGTTTTGGGCTGGCTGGCTGGGAGGGTCAGAGAACTTCAGAGAGGAGAGAGGGTTTTGGAGAGCTGGGCTAAGGTTAGGTCTTTCCTTGGGTTTGCTGTGAGGCCTTGGGCAAACGACGATCTCTTCTGTGCCTTAGTTTTCTCATCTGAAAAATGGAGCTATTAACAATGGTTCCTCTGCCTGCCCCTGTCTTCCACCAGGACCGCTGGGGAGAGCCTCTAAGTTTACAAATAATGAAGATCTTCAAAATGCTTAGAATGAAAGTGATGCTGACCTGCTGCTTACGGGATCAGGAATTTTATACAAGTTTCTTATAGATACCATCTCATGTGTACTTACTAAAGGCCTTGCACATTCTGACTCATTCAAATCTCACAACAATGTCATGAAGTTGTTGCTATGATTAACATCACCATTTTACAGACAGAAAAATTGAAGCACAGAGAGGTTGAGTAATTCGGCTTAGGTTGCACAACCAGGAAATAGCAGAGAGGGATTTGAGTCAAGCACTCTGCCTGCAGAGTCCTGGCTCCTAACCACTGTGCAGGATCCTCCCTTGTTCTTTGGGGTGCATCCTGCAGAAGTGCCAACTAGGGGTGTGCAGGCCAAAGGTGGCCCCAAGTGCTTTTTTTAAAAAAAATTATTTTTAATTGACAAATAACCACTGTCTATATGTATAGGGTACAATGTGATACTTTGATATATGTGTACATTCCATTTGAAATTTGAATCAGTTGCCAACATTGAAAACGAATCTCATTATTTCTATATAAAACACAAGGCCAGGCACAGTGGTTCATGCCTATAATTCCAGCACTTTGGGAGGTGGGGGCGGGTGGATCAGTTGAAGCCAGGAGTTTGAGACCAGCCTGGGCAACACAGCAAGATCCCATATCTACAAAAAATAAAAATAAAAAATTAGCCAGTCTTGGTGGTGCCTGTAGCCCCAGCTACTCAGGAGGCTGAGACAGGAAGATCACCTGAGCCAGGGGAGGTTGAGTCTTCTGTGAGCCGTGATTGCATGCACTCCAGCCTGGGTGACAGAGCAAAACCCTGTCTCAGAAACACAAACAAACAAACACCCCACAGATTTCCAGGATCTATCTCTCTCTCGCTCACTAGCTTTTTTTTTTTTTTTTTTTTTTTTGAGACAGAGTCTCACTCTGTTGCTCAGGCTGGAGTGCAGTGGCGTGATCTCCGTTCTCGGCTCACTGCAACCACCGCTTCCCAGGTTCAAGCAATTCTTCTGCCTTGGCATCTGGAGTAGCTGGGATTACAAGTACCTGATACCATGCCTGGCTAATTTTTGTATTTTTAGTAGAGACAGGGTTTCACCATGTTAGCCAGGCTGGTCATGAACTCCTGACCTCAGGTGATCCGCCCACCTCCAGTATCTCTTAGATGCTCTGGTAATGATAGGCTCCTGTACCCACATGGCAAAGATAAGCTGGAGTCAAGCCTCCTCCATTTGCCTCAGTCACCACCACTCCCTACTGTCTCTTTGGCTCTAAGGCCCAGAATCTATTTTCTATTATTTATTTATTTATTCATTTATTTATTTATTGAGACTTAGTCTCACTCTGTCTCCCAGGCTGGAGTGCAGTGGCACGATCTCGACTTATTGCAACCTCTGCCTCCTGGGTTCAAACAATTCTCCTGCCTCAGCCTCCCGAGTAGCTGGGATTATAGGCACATGCCCCCACACCCAGCTAATTTTTTGTATTTTAGTAGAGACAGGGTTTCATCATGTTGCCCAGGCTGGTTGTGAACTCCTGAGCTCAGGCAATCCTCCCACTTTGGCCTCCCAAACTGCTGGGATTGCAGGCGTGAGCCACCGCGCCCGGCCCTATTTCCTGTTATTTTACTGTATCTACTCATTGCCCTCACTTACATCCTGCAGTGTGTCCCTTGGAGGGGTGCTGGCAGAGGACAAACTCAAGACCACTGTGGAAGACATCAAAAAAGAACAGCAGAATGTGGAGAAAAGACTTCAATTTGTCACAGAATAGAGCCTGTGACTCACAGCCACATGCAGATAAGGATTTCTATCAATGACTTAATGTGGACATAATTAGCAATCATATTAGAGGTCTACCGTGTGCCACTTGGAGTCTGTTATGTATAATTATGCTGAAATTATCAGTAGAGTTCTTCCAGAGAGGGGATTCAGTCATTCTCAAAGAATTCTTTCGTGTTGACTTCATTAAGTTTCCGTTGAAGAATTCCTCTAGGTATTACCGTGGATCCAAGTATGCAAGGTGGGCTCTTTTGGACAAAAACAAATATAAAGCTACCCATGTGGGAGACTGCATTAACTAGATGGGTTTCTCTCGGAAGATTCTACATGGCAAGGCAGTAGAATGCCTGATATATAATAAACACTAAATAAACATGAGATAAATAACCAAATAGTTCTCATGGGTCATAGCTCAGAGATAGGACTTACCCTCCGGGGAAAGGTTGGACAATAGGCTTCATATCACCTGTCAACTCGGAGCACGAATAGTTCTGTCCTGAGGCATTGTGTTAAGAAGGATGCTGAGGGTGTGTCCATGCTCAAGATAAATATGATGGACAGAGGATGTCTGCTGTGGGTGGGAGAGAGGCTCTGACAGCCAAGAGCCTAGGAATTTACCCCTTCCAGGCAGTGATCTGATCAAACTGTAATCAGAAAGATTGTTCCAGACACTAGATGGAGGCTGGATTAGAAGAGGTGAGACCCAAAGAATTAGGTTGGTGCACAAGTAATCGTGGTCTTTGCCCTTACTTTCAATGGCAAAGACCACAATTACAAAACAGAAACCATGCCAGGTATTCTAATAGGGTGAGTTTAATATAGGGACCTGGTGTTGACAAACTGGAAAAGCACAAAGAAGAGATGAGGGGGAAGCAGAGACAGTAACTGTGGGGAGCAGCTGCCTTTCTTGGGATGAAAGAGCAAAGGGAGAAGTTGGGGGAAAAAAGCCTGAAGGAAGAACCAGAACTCCGCTGGCACTCAAGAGCCCAGATGAGGGGCCATGCAGAGCTTGGGCACTGACTTCTGAAGAGTTGATATGCAAGGCCACTTGTCATAGTGAAAAAAAAACTGCCCAGGAACCGACTGTCATGGCTGGGATGATGAGCCACTGCTTCCGTCATGCTGACAGAACCTGCAGGCAGGCCAGGTGTGATGGCTGAGGTGTGCAATCCTGCACTTCGGGAAGCCAAGGAGGAAAAATTGCTTGAGACCAGGTGTTTGAGACCAGCCTGAGCAACATAGTGAGACCCATCTCTAAGAAAATAAAAACACCAGGCGTGGTGGCATGCACCTGTGGTCCCAGCTGCTCAGCAGATGGAAGCAGGAGAATGGCTTAAGCTCCAGAGTTCGAGGCTGCAGTGAGCTATAACAGCACCACTGCACTCCAGTCTGGGCAAAAGAGTGAGACCTTGTCTCTAAAAACAACAACAAAGAAAACAGAAAAATGAAAGAAAGAGAAAGAGAGAGAGAGAAAGAAAGAAAGAAAAAAAGAAAGAAAGAAGGGAAGGAAGGAAGGAAGGAGGGAAGGAGGGAAGAAGAGAAGGAGGGAGGGAGGGAAGGAAGGAAGGAAGGAAGGAAGGAAGGAAAGAAAAAAAGAAACTGCAAGCAAAGAGGGACAAGCATGTCCCTTTTCCTGACATCTGCCTCAGGGTTACCTCTAGCACCTGCTATGGGCAGAGGCTTACAGAGGCCCAGCAGGCCCAGCGGCAATACAGGGCACAGAATCCTAGCCCGGGTACCGGAAGGCAGAGTATAAAAGGGTGAGTTTGGAACTAGGAGACAATAGTGTAATGACCTGCACAATTAGGGAGGCTTGGAGAGGTGAACCAGCTCACCTCATCCAAGTGACATGTCTAGAGCCAGACGAACACCCACCTGCCTTCTCACCCTGGTCTGCTGGCTCTGGGCTCTTAATTACATCGAGATTTGCAAGCTTTCTGGTGGACAGGGATGATGTTTTTCATCTTAATCCTCTTCATCCCCCAGCACACATGCACGTGCACCAGCCACTTAGAATCACTCCTTTATCTCCCTTTGCCAGAAATAGGTATTCGAGCAATCATTGTTTCCTGCCTCACCCACGGGGTTATTTCCACTTCTGGTATCACAATCGCCTTGGGTCCAGATCTACTTCCCAAGTTGTGTATGATGTACTTAGTATGAAATGCCTGGGTGCGGCTGCACAACCTGGCAGGCGGGTGGGGGTGTTCGTGAGGGTGGCAACCCAAGGCATCGCGGGGGCTAGTCCCTCTGATGGTGTCCCCAAGCTGCTCAGCCCTCAGACGTGCAATAAGTCAAGTGACTTTGCATCTTTCTTTTTGTTTCAGCAAGTTGCATCTCTCCTGCAAGAAGACTTCCCTTCCTGTCACATCCCAGGGGCCCTAAGAGCAGTAAAGCTCTTCCTCTAATGCACGGGGCAGCAATCCTCACGCACAAGCTACGTTCTCTTTTGGACCCTGCATGCACATTTGTGCCGAAACATCAAATAGTTCGCCCAGGAAAAATAAATATAGAGAGATTTCTTGCAAAGTGAGCTTTCTTGTCTCCTTTAGGGCTTCATCTGTGCCGAACCGTACAAACATTTTTGTGAAGGCAGAGCCAGTGAAAACCCTGCGAATAAAAGTGGGACTGATTTTATGCTAATATATGTAAAGAATGTGACGATAGAGTCATAGGTAACCCAATGAACTTAACTTTTTTCTCCCTTTTTATTGAATTATAATGACTAGTTTCCATAGCAATTACTGCATCACCTTGTACATTACCAGAAAGATCTACTGCACTATTTTCCAGTCATCCTTGTAAACATTTCTACTTTTTTACGATGTTCTAGGGGAAAACACAAGCCCTTTCGGCTTGGCAGCAATTGGAGAGCATATTTCAGGAGATTAATAAAGCCGGCTGGGGTGTTTTTATTTTCTAAGTTCGGCAGTTGGTTTTCCATCTTCGCCCTCACCAGCTTCTTGTCAGGCAGACAAAGAGGAAAAGAGGCGAGCAGGAGAGAACAGAGGTGAAGGGGGAGGTATGCAGTCACCAGGGAGGGCAGAGGGGATGGGGCAAGAGCATGCCTCAGGGGTTCATGTCTGTGAGTCTGCTGATTCTGGAATCGTTTGGAGAGCAACGCCCTCGGGAACAGCCTTCTTCCCACCCTAGGTTTGGAGGAGGATCGGGGGTGTCTATAAGCTCACAAAATATCAGCCATGGAACACACAGATATATCTTGTCTATAGCTTCAAACCTGTGTCTCCAGGCTCCGACTGTGTCCTGGGTCCCTGGAAGGGGATGGGAAGATGGGAATGTGGGCATTCCCCGCACCTCCCCATAGAATGCCCACTTCCAGCCCAGCTTTCTTTAATGGGCTTTTCCTATTGGCTTTCCACATGGTATTTTATTTCCAAAAGGCCGCTGCAGCTGATGGATATTTGAAGATACATGTTTTCAGTTGAGAAATAAGGGAAGTAACACCCGGAGAGGAATGAGTCAGCTACAGTGAGTAAGAGGTGTGGTCAGGCCTGGGACCCACCCAGCTTTCTGATGTCTGACTTGTCCCATTGCACCCTGTGGAAGGGCTGAGCTTTGGGTAGGTAAAAGAAGTCACAGTCACAGGGTCTGGTAGATAGAAAGACCCTGAACTGGGCTGGGGGAACCCCATGCAGGGGTTTTGGAGTTTCCAACCAGAGAGTGGGGCAATGACCCCATCATGAGCCCTCAACACCTTCAGTTCATTTGGTAATGGGGCCTGTTTCACCGCCATTTGTGCATCAGCTCACTGCCTCTGCGGGGAAAGATACCTAGGCATTGTGGAGAGGACTTGCTATTGGGAGCTTGGGCCCCAAAGTCAGAATGCCCGGGCTCCAATCTCTGGGCTGTGCCTGTGCTGAGCTGTGTGGGGGTGAGTGACTTCCCCTGCTCTGCCTCAGTTTCCTCTGCTCTAAAATGAGTCCAATGGTAGAATCCACCTCTGAGGCATTTGTGAGGGTCAACAGAGATGGTGTGGGTTAGGGTTAAGTGCTCGCACTTACAAGGGGCTTCATTGTTTCCAGCGGGCGTTCATGGACTCGCTTGTAGCTGCAGTGAGGCCTTGAATGAGTTAATTAAATTCAGGGAGTCCTGGCTTTTCCAGCTGTAAAATGAGAAATGTATGCTGGCTGGTCTAGAAAGTTACTGCTGGCTCTGAAATTCAAGAGTTGTTGGATTGTAACAGTATAGTTGGAAAAAGGAAAGGAGGGAGAAAAAGAGAGAGAGAGAGAAGAGAGGGGAGAGAAAGAAGAGAGGAAGAGAGAAAAGAGAGGGAAAGAGAGAGAAGAAAGAGAATGAGATAGAAAAGAGAGTGAGAAGAAGGGGGAGAGGGAGAAAGAGAAGGGAAGGGGGAGGGAGGGAGAGACACTGTGTAAGAGCAGATGCCTTAAGCAGAAGGAAAAAGTCCCTAAGTGACAAGAAGCTCTGAGTTCACCAAAATGCTTAACCAAGATAAGAAGGATGTAACTGATGTTGGAAAGATTGTTATGAGATTAATAAAAGTGATTAAGGGATTAAGACTTCTCAAAAGAGATAGTGAAGGGACCTCCAATGGGAAAATCCTCCCTCACCCTCTGTACCCAGCCTCTCTTCTCGGTTTTTAAGTCCTCAGTCATGTAGGCATCTAACAAAATCGTCTCAGCAGATGCTCAAATAGAATAAATAGAATCCTGGCTTAAGCCCATCTTAGACATTGGGAGAGGTCCCCTGTGACACACACACACACAGTCAAATAACTGGATTTATTTCTGGGAATGTCTGGAGGAATTTAAGGTATGCCTTGAGTCATGGGTCCAGGGTCAAGGTTAATCTGTGGGGCTGTTCTACTGAGCACATAAGTCCTAGATAGACACGCCTGTAGGGGAACATAGATATGAACTAGGCATCAGGAGGGAGCCTGGGTAGGTTGGGGGCAGAAGGTGTACTTAGAACTGGGAGATCCTGGGGATGTCAATCTCAGTTTTGACATATGGCAGGTACTCAAAAGAAGAAAAATGCCATCCCCTTCCACTGCTTCAACCCTATCCTCAGTTTTCCCACCTGCAACCTCGGAACAAGGATACTTCTCCAAGACACAATGGGTGGGAAAGCACTTTACAAAGGAATCACTGGCATTCCTTCCCAAAGGGTTTTCCAGCACCCTTGTTGGAAGATTCTTGACTTTTCTGTTGTTCTAGAATAACAAACAGAAACCCGGACCCACTGTCCTGCTCTTCCAGCAATTTTCCCACAGCAGGGGGTAGGGTGGTCAGCTCCAGAGTTGGAAAGGTGGTCCCAGTCACTTTCAGGTTCAAAACCCACCTCCATCTCTTACCAGTTGTGGGTGTGATCTCTGTTTCCTCATCTGAAAAATGGCAGTGATTTTACTGGGTTAGCTGTGAGGGGAAAATAAAATAATGCACAAAAATAGCCTGGGATGGTGCTTGACATACGGCATGTACAAAAAAAAAGAAAAAGAAAAAGAAAAAGAAAAATGCCATCTCCTTCCCCTTTTTCAGACCTATCCTGATATTGGTGAAAAGACTTTGCCCTCTCTCCTCTGCCTTCTGCTCTCTATGGCTTGACACAAACTCTAGATTGAACCATATGGCCACCAGCTTCCCAGATGGCTCAATAAGACACCCACCTCCCGGTGTTCACATCTTCCCAGGCTGTGTGGCCACTGGAGTATGATGGCTGTAATGGCATGCCACCTCCAAGGTTAGGTTATAAAAAGACTGTAGCCTCCATCATGCTTTCCCTCTCCTGCCTCTCTCATGAACCACCCACTCTGGGGAAAGCTGTGCTATGAGTAGCTCTGTGGACAAGCCTACATGGGGAGGAACTGAAGCCTCCAGCCAACAGCCGCTTGAATGAGCTTGGGTCCTTCAGCCTCCATCACATTTTCAGAGACCACAGCCTCAGCCAGAAGCTTGCCGACAACTTCATGAGAGACACTGAGCCAGAACCACTCGGCTAAGCCACTCACAGAATCTTGGCCCTGAGAAACTGTGGGATAATGAAGGCAGGTTGTTTTAAGACGCAAAATGTTGGGATAATTTGTTACACAGCAACAGTTAACAAATACAGGTGATGCAACTAGCTTAAGGTCAGCCTTTCTGAGGTTGAAGTTAACTGTCACACTGTAGATGAAGATGTGCAGTGCAAACATGGTGTTGTGATTTATTTCACAGGGGTCTGTCTCAGTGACAGACCCCTCCCCCACCCAACGTCAAAAACCTTTGCCTTGTCTTCAGAATTTGCTCAACAGGAAAGAATGAGCTCCATTGCGCGGACTGGTACATTGAAGCCTGAGATGGAAAGCTACTTGCTCAAAGTCCCACAGCAAATCCGATGCAAAGCTGGGTAAAAATAAGTCTCCTTACATGCGTGTGTGCATTCCTTCATTCACGAGTAAGTGTTGACTGGAGACCTACTATGCGCTGGGCTCTGCTCCAGGTAGTCTCCTCAGTGCCCTGCCTTAGTAGGGCACCCCAGATAAGCCTGGATTCCGGAAACTCCGGAGAAAGGATGTTGTACACCAATTCTGAGACCTGCTGTGTGCCCCTAGCTATGTTCAGGGGGCAGGAAATAGACCAGACATGGAGGTTCCCGCTTTGAGAGAAATCCTAAAGGGCCCTTCCTCTTTAGGTGGGAGGTGAGCTAGACAGGTACCCAGATTCTCTCGTGAGGCTCAGTGGCTGGCAGAAGCTGAGAAGTACTCAGTCAACTCAGACAGGACAAGTCTCAATCTGGGAGCCTCCTGGCCTGGCAGAGCCAGGTGCTCTCTTCCTACTCAGATGACTTCCATAGGCCCTCAGCCCCTGAGAGCCTTTGCTGGGAAGCCAGGGATGGCCCACATTGCTGCTGCTGGCTGCTTCTCAGCAGCTGGGTGGAACAATTCCTGCTGGCTCAGCTGCTGTAGCCGATGAGAGAGACAGAGGAGGGAATCAAGCGGGATACGGCTGCGGTCACAGCGCAGTGATGGGTAGGTGCACGCCAGCTGAGAGCAGAGTGGTCGGTGCTGGGAGCCCACAACTCCTGGCAGGGCCGGGGCCAGCTTGGAAAATAAACACCCAGGGATGGTACTTTAGGGTGGGGCGTCTGTTTGGAGATAAAGGCACCTCCGCCCCTTGCCCAGGACAAAGGAGCCATCTGGCCAGGCAGGGGCGGGTGCAGGCTCAGCCCCTCGGTGTCCCAGGCAGCTAGGGGGTGGGGTGCTGTCTGCACAGGCAGGCTGAGCTTAGGACCGAGGCCCCTCTCTGCAGCCTGGTACAGGCAGTGTCCACATAGCCCAGGACTTCTCCACCTCAGCACTAATGACACATAGGGGCAGATGATTCTCGGGAGCGGGGCGTGAGGCTGTCCTGTACATTGTAGGATGTTGAGCAGCATCCCCGGCCTCTACCTATTAGATGGCGATAGCATCCCCCGTCTCAAATTATGTAAGGCAAAAAGATTTTCAAATGTCCCCTGGGGACAAAATCAACCCGAGTTAAGAGCCACTGACTGAGACCGGCAGCTCTCTCTCCTCACCCACCAGTTCCCATGTTCCATGCTTTTCCTGGGTAATGAACCCCCGTCAGGGCCCAGGAGCTGACTGCAGCAGCTGCTTCATGTACATCTCACTGCATCCTCCCACCAACGCTGTGATGTGGAGGTGAAGAAGATCTCCATTTTACAGGAGAAGAAACGAAGACCTGGAAAGGTGAGTTTGCAGAGGTTCAAGGTGGAGGGAGGATTTGAAGCCTGTGTTTCTGACTCCCAGCTTGGCTTCTAGAGTGTCTTGTTCTGTGCTGCATACTCAGTGCTTTGCATACAGCAGGCGATCAATAATTAGTTTTCTAGTGAATTAATGAACAAGACAGAGTTTCTCCTAGCATTCTCAGGCAGAATGCTCTAAGTTTGGGAAGCTGCAGACTGCTGTCTAAGCTAGATCAACCTGGCTGAGACAAGATGGGGCTGGGGACTGAGATGCTGTCACAGAGGACAGGGGTGGTGAGGTCCTTTATAACAAAAAGGCCCATTTGGCCCCCATCCTTGCCTGTTTCTCCAGCCTCTTTTTCTTTCATCCATCTTTCTCTCATCAGCCAGCAGCATCCCCAAAACAGGCCAATCTGATCACATCAGAGTCTTCTGTGTTAACCTGTTCTGGCTCCCAGTGGGCCGAAGATTAGAGTCTTTTGATTCATTTGAAAATGCTTCCAATTTGGGTCTGGGTCAACCTAAAATAATCAAAAGAAGGACTGTAACCAAAGTATGCAAAGGAAGCAATCCATGTAACAGTAAGTGACGTGGGCAGGTCTCAATAAATGTGAGCTATTACCATCGTGATTTTTATTGTGCAGGTAACAGTAGGCAGCCTACAGCACTCCTGGGGAAAGCAACACAGCAGGCAGTGGCTGGGAGCACAGTTTGCAGGGTTCACGGTGTGTAAAACTTTCAGCCTCTGGGGTCTGATGAGCCTGAGTTTGAATTTCAGCTCTGCTGCGTAATCTTGGCCAAGTTACTCTACCTCTCTGAGGTTCAGTTACAACTTTTCCATAATGGGTATTTTAAAAAACTGACTTTCTACATTGGTTGTGAGAACAGAAGGAAATGATATATGTCATAATGTAATCACAGTGTGCAGTATACAGTAGGCACTCACTACTTATTATGGCAAGAATTCATGAATCATTCACAACACCCCAGCAAGGTCGACATTGCCGTTATCCCAATTCAAAGTTAAGGAAACTGAGGGCAAAGGTATGTGTCCAAGGGGTCCTGGGCCTAGACTTGACCCAGGGCCGCCTGATTCCCCAGTTTTTCTCCTTTGGAAGGTGGCTCCTTCGGGCCCCAGAGAAAGCTGGGCACCTGGATGCATTATTCCAGGGGCTGCCCTGGCTTCATTCATGCTTTGAATGAAGCCAACCAAAGCAACTTAGTGAGTGAGAAATTTTGGGGTCACTTCCAGACCCCTGGTGTTTGTAGCTTGTGTCTGAGTGAAGCTGAGTCAGGCAGCAGAGGCAACCACTCATGAGATGAAAAAACAAAGTCCCCGCCAACCCCTTAGAGGTTCCTGGCACCGGTCTCCTCTGAGATGAAGCAAATGCCCCCAGACAGGGCAGCAGGGCCAGAGTCCTGCCACTTAGAGGGAGATTTAGGGGGCGACAAGTGGGAAAGCCAGACACACTGGCTGCTGAATTTACTGGTCTTTTCAGCGAGGTCGGCGGGAGGGCCCTTCTGTGTGGAGCTCTGTCGGCAGCTGATATCGCTGAGTTGGTGACAGTGTCCAGCGTCTCCCTGCACAACGCATTGGGCAGAGGAAGCAGACTTGCTCGTGTCCTGGGATCTTTGGGGTGATTCATGGTTATTACACCATGGAATTTCAAAGCATGGCTGTCTGCCAGGGATTCTGCTGTGAAAGTTATAAGACCAGGATGCTCCCATCCAACTGTTTACTGCATGATCACTGGGTACCATACACAAATAGCCCAATTAATAGCCATGAAGGTGTTGCTAGCACTATTCTGTTCCATAGGCAAGGAAGTCTTACAGATGGGCTGAATTTAGTTTTGCATGCATGGACTACTAAAGCCTCCTCAAACTGAGATTCAAAGAGGTGAACTGAGTTGCACAGAGCCAGCAAATTCATAAGAAATTGAGATTTTCCTAAACTCCATTTTCTCATCCACAAAGTAGGTATATTGCTAATGCCTGCCTCACGGGTTGCTGGCAGTACTCACCAAGATAATGCATACAGACTCTTAGCAATGCTCCAGCATGCAGCAAGTCCTCCATAAATGCTAGCAGTTGCTATTATCCTTATTTTGATAGGAACCGACTAAAGAAACATAAACATAAATGAGGATTTTCTTAGAATCAGACTGTTAAAACAATTCATTCACTCATTTGGGCAGCCAATATTGATTGAGCAATGGCTATGTGCTAGGCTCTGTCCTACAAAGTAGGCTTGCAGAAATGAACAAGGCATGGGATTGTCTTCATGACTTTGAGCAATGAAGTGCAAAAGAAATAGATTAATAGATGACTGTACAAAGTGGTAGGAAGGTGAAGGACAGGTTCTGTGGTATAAATGACAGGAGTCTTGGTCTTGGGATTTAAGGAGTGAATTCTTCAGGGAGTGATGCTTGAGACCTGGAGGATGAGTAGGTATGAAACTGGCAGAGGTAAAGTGTGTGTGTGTGCATGCATGCACATGTATGTTAGGGGATAGGTCTGAGCATTCCAGGCAGAGGGAGCAGCATGGACACAGGTCCTGAGGTAGTAAGGAATTTGGTGCACTCCAGTAATTTAAAGAAGGTCAGAATGATTGAGCTAAGAGAAGAAAGGGAGACAGTCTTTGAAAGAGAGGCAGAAGTTAAACCCTGCCATGTCATCTCCCACCTGTCTCCACCCCAAACCTCCCTTCTTGGCATCTGTGGAGTGGGTCTCCATCCTCCCACTGCCAGCACAACTCCCTACCTCCGTGGTCACCATATCCTCAGGCAAATGTTGGCTTTGTGACTTTGAATCTGTCTCCCTGGCCAGACTAGGACCAAGCTCTGCTGTGTGAACTTGGCCAGGCTACTTCACCTGTCAGAGCTTTAATTATGACTTTTCCATAATGAATGTTTTAGAAAACTGACTTTCTACATGGGTTGTGAAAATAAAACAAAATTGCAGATATGTAATCACAGTGTGCAGTATACAGTAGACACTCACTACTTATTATGGCATGAATTCATGAACAAGGTCAACATTGTTGTTATCCCAATTTAAAGACAAGAAAACTGAGAGTGAAGAGACCTGTCCAAGGTGTCCTGGCCCTAGACTTGACCCAGTGCCACCTGAAGGCTGGAGTGCAGTGGCATGATCTTGGCTCATTACAACCTCCACCTCCCTGGTTCAAGCAATTCCCCTGCCTCAGCCTCCCGAGTAGCTGGGATTACAGGTGCGCACCACCACACCTGGCTATTTTTTTTTTTTTTTTTGTATTTTTATTAGAGACGGGGTTTCACTACGTTGGCCAGACTGGTCTCGAACTCCTGACGTCAGGCAATCCGCCAGCCTTGGCCTCCCAAAATGCTGGGATTACAGGTGTGAGCCACTGCACCCGGCCACACATAGCTAATTCTGTAGAAAAAAATGAGGGTTTGAGCTTCTGTATATTTGTAAATTCTATACATTCTTCAGTTGCAAACCTTCTCTCTCTGTTTATGCATGCATACAAGTGTCCTTTCCTGATTCACCTAACAGAGCAAACTTTACTCCTCACTTCTCTTCCTAACAAGGTTCTGGTTTCTTCTCCCTGGAGATTTTCAAACTGCCTGTGAGATTACATCCATAAACACTTCACCTTACAAAAGAAAATAGCAACAAGTCTTCTTCTTCTGAGCACTTGCTCCCTGAATAACTTTGCAAGCAGTTTTTCACAGAGTAAAAGGGCCCCAAAGGGATGGCAGAGTAATCCTTTAAAAATGAAGTTGACTAAGCTATAGGTTTTGGAGGTGGGGGGTGCTGCAGTCACTGGTGTGGGCATCAAAAAACCTGGATATCAGTCCCGTTCTCCCATTTTCTTTGGATAACTTCCCAGTCTTCTTCACCTGCGCTCCTCATTTCCTTAGTCATTTGCCAACTCTTTTTTTTTTCTTTTTTTTTGAGAGAGAGAGAGAGAGAGAGAGAGAGAGAGAGAGTCTCGGCATTTTTTTGAGACACAGAGAGTCTCACTCCATCACCCAGGCTGGAGTGCAGTGGCACAGTCTTGGCTCACTGCAACCTCTGCCTCCTGGGTTCAAGCAATTCTCCTGCCTCAGCCTCCCTAGTAGCTGGAATTACAGGTGTGCACCACCACACCCTGCTAATTTTTTGTATTTTTTTTAGCAGAGACTGGGTTTCACCATGTTGGCCAGGTTGGTCTCGAACTTCACACCTCAAGTGATCCACCCACCTTGTCCTTCCAAAGTGCTGGGATTACAGTTGTGAGCCACTACGCCTGGCCTTTTTGCCAGCTCTTTATTGTGCACCTACTATGTGCACTCGGAAAGAGTTACAGAGAAGAGCAAATCAGACAGGGTTGTTCTTGCCCTTGGGAAGCTCATGCTCTGGAGGGGGACACAGAGCTGAGCTGTGGATCACTGATCATGTAAAAGACAAAGCTCTAGTTTGATGAGGGCTGTAGAGAGGGGATATAGGTTGCTGTGCACTGGGGCCAAGATATAGATAGAGATCAAGATGGTAGAGGAAGGTAGAGGAAGTGCAGGTGCTAACACAGGTGAAGCTGGTGTGTAAGATGAATGTGGGAGTGAAAGTGGAGAGCACTGGAGCCAGCACCTGCCACAACCCCTGTGGACCACTCTCCACCCTGCTCCTCTATGCTTGGTGCTCAGGACAATAACCATGTGGTGTGTCTTTCACAGCACTGATGACTTCAGGTTGCAGCCAGCCATCAGGGAGCCAGCAATAGATGCAAGGATTGGAGGACTCTGAGGTGGGTATATTGTCTCTTCCAGCTTCCTGCATGTAGGGACACTATAGGGCAAGCTGCATTGTCAAGGACCTTCCCACACGGCCTCCTCTCCCCACTCTGTCCCCTGTCCTTCCAGGCCTGGGGGTGGCAGCTCCCCACTGTTACTAGCCCTTGGGGTTCTCCCCTACCTTTGAAAATAGTTCCTGGCTGGGTGTGGTGGCTCATGCCTGTAATCCCAGCACTTTGGGAGGCTGAGGCGGGCAGATCACCTGCGGTCAGGAGTTCGAGACAAGCCTGACCAACATGGAGAAACCCCATCTCTACTGAAAATACAAAATTAGCCAGGCGTGGTGGCGCACACCTGTAATCCCAGCTACACGGGAGGCCGAGGCAGGAGAATCACTTGAACCCAGGAGGCAGAGGTTGCGATGAGCCAAGATTGCACCACTGCACTCCAGCCTGGGCAACAAGAGTGAAACTGTGTTTCAAAAAAAAAAGAAAATAGTTTCTTTTTTCAAAGTCTCCTAAACTGACCCATCTGGGGCTCTCACTTATATAGCTTGGATCACAGAGGCTTGCGGAGATTTATCTTAAGAGCCTCAGGACCCCACTGAGGGTCTTGAGATGCAGTAACATTATCCAGTTTGTATTCTTAGAACTTTTTCTCTGATATAATTGCACATTTACAAAATAGTTGTGAGAATAGTACTGCTCTGTGTCGAAGTGTGTCATCTCAAAAAAGAGATGCTGATGTCCTAATCCCCAGTGCCTTGCAATGGGATCTTCTTTGGAAATGGGGTCTTGTCCGAGGTAACAGAGTAAAAATGAGGTCACTAGGGTGAACCCTAATCCTCCATGACTGGGGTCCTTTTAGAAAGGGGAAATGTGGACAGAGACAGGCATGCACAGAGGGAAGATGATGTGAAGACACACAGGAAGAAGGCCATGTAGAGATTGGAGGAATCCTGCTGTAAGCTAAGGAATGTTTGAGGCCACTAGAAGCAGGAAAAGACGAGGAAGAATCCTTCCCCTACAGGTTGGATGGAGCATGGCCCTGCTGATACCTCAAGCACAGATTTCTGGCCTCCGGAGCTATGGCTCAACACATTTCTGCTGTTCTAAGCCACCCAGTTTTGGGTACTTTATTCTGTCAGCCCCTAGAGCAATACATTTCTCTTTGCTTTTCTCCAGCTTCAGCAATTGGAAATGTTTTGTCACATTTCTCTTTTCTTGGGGTGGGGGGGGGGTGCAGGACAGGGTCTCGCTTTTGTCGCCCAGGCTGAAGTGCAGTGACACGATCTCGGCTCACTGCAACTTCCGCCTCCCAGGTTCAAGCAATTCTCCTGCCTCAGTCTCCTGAGTAGGTGGGACTACAGGTGCGCAGCACCACACCTGGCTAATTTTTGTATTTTTGGTAGAGACGGGGTTTCACCATGTTGGCCAAGCTGGTCTCGAACTCCTGACCTCAGATGAGCCACCCTCCTTGGCCTCCGAAAGTGCTGGGATTACAGGCGTGAGCCACCACACTTGGCCATTGTCACATTTCTTAATCATTTTCTGATTAAATTTATCACCAAATATATAGAAGCTTGCTCTCTCTATATAGGTATACACACACACACACACACACACACACACACACACACACACACACATAAGTATGTACATAAATTAAATTTTTTCTAAACTATTTGATAAAATTGTGGTTTTGATGCTTCATTTCCACAGTGACCAATTATCCTGGTTTGCCTGGTATTTTCCTAGCTCTAGCACAGAAAGCCCTACACATTGGGAAACCCCTCAGCGTCCTGAGCAAACCGGGACAGTTGCTCACCCTCTCATTAAATAGTTCAGTGTGCAGTTTCTAAGTACCAAAGCAAACTCGTACATGGCCACAGTAGAATCACGAAAACAGGAGAATTCACCATGGATGCGCGCACTAGCCTTTCCAGCAGCCCCTACTCAAATTCCACCAGTGGTCCTAATAACACACTTCGGAAATGTTTCCCCATGATCTCTGGGCTAGGATCGCACATTGCATTTAGATGTCATGTTTCTTGAGTTTCTCCTGAGTATCCAACTCTTTATTCTAGAACCATTTCTCAGTCTTTTCTTTTTAATGACCTTAATAATGGATCACAGACCACTGAATAAAGTAAGAATTCATTCTGATAATAAATAGATAAAGGAAAGAAGACACAACCCTTCCTCACACTAGGCAGCCAACTAATAATTGTGGAGGGACCGGGCACGGTGGCTCACGCCTGTAATCCCAGCACTTTGGGAGGCTGAGGCGGGTGGACCACCTGAGGTCAGGCATTCAAGACCAGCCTGGCCAATGTGATGAAACCCTGTCTCTACTAAAAATACAAAAAAGTGTCCAGGCTTGGTGGTGGGTGCCTGTAATTCTAGCTGCTCGGGAGCCTGAAGCAGGAGAATCGCTTGAACCCGGGAGGCAGTGGTTGCAGTGTGCCGAGATCGCATCATTGCGCTCCAGCCTGGGTGACAAGGGAAAACTCCATCTCGAAATTAAATAAAAATAAAAATAAAAATAATTATTAGCAAATCGGTATTTGCAACCACCATGACAGGAGCAGGTTCAGGCAGCTATTACGGAAGAACGCTAAAGCCAGGGAATAAGAATGCGATGGGAATCAGGAGTTGCAGTTTTAATGTTGTCCAGGTAGAGATTTAGGCCAGGCACTCCAGTCATAGAAGAAGTTACTTACTTTGATTGGTCTGACGCCATTGGCACACCAGCTCCATGAGATAGGCAGCTGTTTTGCTCACTGTGGTAGCACCAGCACTTAGACAAGCTCCTGAGACATAAAAGATGCTCAACAAATACCTGTAATGTGAATGAGTGAATGGTTGAGGAAGTTCTCATTTGAGCAGAGGGTGGCAAAAGAGAAATATTAACAAGTTCTGCTGGATCCAATCCCCTTTCCCACAAGTGTGTATTTTCTTCTGTACCAGGTTCCAAAGCAGAAATGACAGTGAGCATCCACTCTTTTAAATGTTAACAGTTTAATAAACATGAATCACCAAAAAGTGCTTTTACAGTAAGGCTAATGGAGCCGAGTTTATTCCATTTTGTTGCATGGTTAACTAGATCCGAATAATTACCAGCTCCACATTTATAGATGCCTGTTTTAAGGTTATTTTTATGTTGCTCTGTGAGGTGAAGGCTCTTGTTTTCTCTTCTGGTTTTATAGGCTAATATGGAGTAGAATGCTCAGTAAATGCCAGCTGCAGTGGGGTGGCCATCCCAGGGGATGATGCCCCAGTGCCCAGGTCCTCTGTGCAAGTTCATCCCAAGCTGTGCCATCCCTTCCAAATCCTTCACAAGCCAGATGCAGGAGCGAATCTTGTCACTGAGTTGCAGTCATGGCCTAAGGGTGTTTCAGGATAAACAGAAGAAGCAGAGGACAGCTGATCTGGATGTGTTGCCTCCCCCACTAACATTATTGTTACCCTCTTGGAATTAGAGACCATGCCAGCCTGTATCTCCTCCTTCCTCTCTGTCCTGTGCAGAGCTGAGTGTGTCCTCAATGTTTACATAAAATGCCATAAATCATGGAATCTTTAAGCACAAGAGACCTCAGAGGCCAACTCCAAGCCACAAACAAGGAACCCTGAATCGAAAGGGAATCTAAAGCTTCAGGCAAAGAGAGAGGAGATTGGATGGTGTGTCAAGCACAGTGCTACCCCCTTTATAGGCATGGCATTGAGGTAGGACATGGGACTTGACTCTGGAGGCAGGGCTCAGGTACGGGACCAAACTGAAGACTAGCTAAAATAGGGACAGGGTGAAAACACCTTTCCATAGGAAATGCCTGTCAGTGTGCCATGTCAGTTTATCATTGCCATGGCAACACCTGGAAGTTACTGCCCCTTTCCATGGCAACAACCCGATGACTGGAAAGTTTCCAACCCTTTTCTAGAAATTTCTGCATAATGCACCCTTTAATTTGCATATAATTAAAAGTGGGTATAAATATGACTGCAGGACTGCCTCTGAGCTGCTACTCTGGGCACATTGCCTATGGGGTAGCCCTGCTCTGCAAGAAGAAGTACCTCTGCTGCTGTGGTACACTGCCACTTCAAGAAAAGTTGCTAACACCACTGGCTAGCCCTTGAAGCCCTTGAATTATTTCCTAGGCAAAGCCAAGAACTCTCGCAAGCTAAACCCCAATTTGGGGGGCTCACCTGCCCTGCATCAGCGTAATTTAATACTCACAGCTACCCTCCAAAGCCAGCATCATGATACCCACCTGAGAGGTCAGAAAACCGAGACACGGAGTGATGGCGGCTGACTCAGTTCCCCTAGCTGGGACTCACAGCTGGATGCAAGCTGCCTAACCTGAGGCTTCAGGCTCTATCCACAGTCTGCAGGCATACTGACTGGCCTCTGTTTATGCATCTGTGAAATGGGGATGATGAGGGCAAGTATTCATACTATGCCCCACCCAGCAGGCTTCAGGCAATGAGGAACTATAAGCATGGATGTGAATGTGTTCTGGACATGGAATGGATGATACAAAGAGAATGGATACTCAGGTGCCCAGAGAGCCCTGGCTTTGTTCCTGGAAGTGGTCAGATAAAAAAACCAAAAAAAAAAAAACAGTTTGGATGTGGAGTCAGGAAGAACTAGGTTCAAATATTACCTTTTCCACTTAATCAGTGCCTGACCTTTGGCAGGTAACTCTACCAACCCTTCCACCCGCCTTTTGTAAATATTCACAGAGTGAGGGTCATGTGCAAGATACAGAAGTCAGTCTGGATTCAAATAGGCTCTGCTGGGGTGACATGTAGGAATCTGCACAAGTGATTTGTCATCGTCACCATCATCATCACTGAGGCACAGCACACATATAATACAATGCATAAATCTAAAAGCAAAACCTGAAGAATTTCTGCATGTGCATAGTGTTGTAGACTAAATTGTGTCCTCCCACCCCCTGAAAAGTTATCTATTGAAGTCCTGACCTTCATAACTTGGGAAAATGGCTGTATTTGAAGACAAGATCTTTAAAGAAGTAAAGTAAAATGAGGCCATTAGGGTGGGCCCTAATCCATTTTACTGATGTCATGCACGGATGCATGTGTACAGAGGAAAGGCCATGTGAGGACACGGCGAGAAGACGGCCACCTGCAAGCCAAGGAGAGAGATCTCAAGAGAGACCAAACCTGCTGGCCCCTGATCTTACACTTCCAGCTTCCAGAATTGTAAGAAAGTAAACTTCGGTTGTCCAACCTACCCAGTCTGTGGTATTTTGTTATGGTAGCCTGGTCAGACTAATACACATAACCTTGTGTAACCAGCACTACGATTAGGAGCAGAATATTTCCAATAACCCAGCAGCCCCTGCCATCATGACCTTCTCAATCTTGCCCTCTACCCCCAGAAGTAATCATTGCTCTGATCCCTGTTATCATCAACTAGTTCTGTCCATTTCTGAACTTCATATAGGTGGAACCATACAATATGTTTCCTTTGTGCCTGGCTTCTTTGACTCAGCATTCCATTTCTGAAATGCATCTTTCCTATTGGGTGCAGCCGTCATTCATTCTTTTTCTTTGCTGTATAATATTCCACCGTGTGACTTCATCACAGTTTGTTTATCCATTTCCCCATTGATACACATTTTGGTTGTTTCTATTTTTTAGCTCTTTTGAATAAAGCTCTTATGGGCATTCTTGTGCAAGTCTTCAATAGCCCTGCACACTCGTTTTTCGAGGGGTATATACTCAGGAATAAAATTGCTGAGTCACAGCTTAAATGTATATTTAGCTTTAATTAATGTTAGAGTTTGTGCTTTAACCTTTCCGCACCTCGCCTTCCTCATCCGTAAAATGGTGCCTGACACCTAAGGCTGTTACGAGGATTAAATGTGATTATCTATGTAAAGTATGAAGAAAAAAGCTAGATGCAGAATGATATGTAGGGCTAGATACCATTTATATAAAGTTTAAAAACCTGCATGAGCAACACGACATAATGTTTATGGATACATAATCGTGTAATAAACATTTAAAAACATCTATTGGCATAATAAACTCCAAATTTAGGCTGGTGGTAGGAGGATAGGAGGGAAAACTGAGATTAGGGTTGGCACACAGAGGGTGATTCTATCTGCAGTGTCTTGTTCAAGAAGAAAAAAATCTGCAGCAAAGAGACCATAAGGTTAAGATTTTTAAAAGCTGGTGTTTATGATATTATCTCTATCTTTATCTGTATGTTGGAAACACTTTTCATTAAATCAGATACATTATTACTAAATATATAATATTAATCTACAAAATATTAATACCATGTAAGATTTACATACTGCCCAGGACACAGTATGCAAATGAGTTCTAGTTATTGTTATTATTAATACTAATTGCCTATTGTATGCCAGATTCTACATCCAAGGGCTCTGGCATGCTGGGTGAATCACACCTAGAAAACTAAATCCAATCCAGACACTGTAGATGCAGCTGTCGCATAGTGCTTGGCTCAGAGTAGGTTCTCAGGAAACGCGAGCTTTTGTAATTTTCTTAAAATGCTCGAACGTCACTAAGCATGCTGGCTTTGGCTAAACATGTCAGCCCTTCTGGGTGTCCCAATCTAACCAAACCAACAAACAAAGAAACCCAGAAAACCAGGCATTGAAGGGAGTCACAGAATACTGCTCCTAGCTTAGCCAGAGAGCCTGGCCCGGTGAATGATTCCATTTCTCTGGACACACGCACAGAGTACCCAACAACCAGGCTGCTCATGACAACGGGCTCCAGCTTTAACAAATGTAGCACTAGCACTATTTATTTTCCAAACGTGGTTGAGTTTCGACTCAAGGGGATGCAGTTAGGAAAAATAATGACCAGGAAACACACACACACACAAGCACACACACACACATGCACACACACGCATGCATGCACACATTGGCTCACACAGAATAAGACAACGGCAACCAGACTTCCTGGGTTAGGAGGGGCAGGAAATGGAAAAGATAAACATAAAGAAAAGGAGCTTCTTTTGTATCACTTTAAGAGGAAGAAAAAAGCCCATCAGGCATGCATGCGTGTGTGCGCATGTACGTGTGTGTGCATGTGCGTGTGTGTTGAAAGGACAGCAATTGAGTGAAGAGGGAACAAGTGTGGTTTGCTTAGAAGACGAGGGGACTTCCTTGACACCAGCCCATAATCCAGCCACCAAAAAGGTGCTTTCTGATTTGCGTTGCACAAGTTGGTTGATCATAATAAGCACACATTTCATTTTAATAATGTATTGGGCAAGAACAAGGGTTCCTCAGCCCCATTAAAACAGTGCCCCAGCCTAGCATAGCATGCTGGATGGAATGCTATTTCTGGGCTCTGGTGAAAGTGGAGCAGAGGAAGTAATTGTGCCGCTAATTGCTCCATCTCGGGCTTGGTTTACAGTGATATTAATGCCCTGGTCTCCAGTAGATCAGCTTCATAAAGAGAGAGAGAGAAATAGCAGCCCATTAGAATGGGAACAGGAGAAACTGGAGCAGGTGGGGGAGGTTCCATGCTTGGGTCTGCTTTGCCGGTTGAATTTCGCTGGTGAAATCTTGTGGGATACTGAGGGGGTTTCTTCTGAAGCCAATGGCATTTGAAGCCTCTGGGTTTGAGATCAGGCTCTGCCATTTTCAAACTATGTGCTGGTCCCCCTCTGAAACTCAGTTTGTTCATCTGCAAAATGGAGCTATGCCATCTGCCCTTAGGGTGACAATTTACAATGAAGAGTGTCTAGCACTGTGCCTGGCACACAGCCATTCATGCTGGCTGGCCCTAATTTTCAAAGGAAAGAAGAAATGAGACTCTTCAAAGGCAAGCAGTTTGGTAAGGAAGGCAAAATCTCAAATGGGGACTAATGGAAAATAGCTCAGGATTGGGGAAGGCTCTGTAAGAAAGGGAGCCAGGTGCTGCTGAGGGACTTGCCTGAGACAGCTGAGTGGGTGCAAATGGCAGGCTGAATTCTTCAAAGCACCAGATTCATTTCATAACAGTATTGACCAGTGAAAGTGGAGAAAAGAGAAAAGTTTGTTTTTTTTGTTTTTTTTTTTTTTTTTTAAGACAGGGTCTGATTGTGTCACCCAGGCTAGAGGGCAGTGTTGTGATCGCAGCTCACTGCAACCTCTGCCTCCCTGGCTCAAGTGATTCTCCCCCCTCAGGCTGCTTAGTAGCTGGGACTACAGGCACCTGCCACCATCACTGGCTATTTTTTAAAAATTTTTTGTAGAGATGGAGTTTCACCATGTTGCCTAGGCTGATCTCGAACTCCTGAGCTCAAGTGATCCACCTGCCTCGGCCTCCCAAAGTGCTGGGATTACAGGCATGAGCCACTGTGCTTCGTTGAGAAAAGCTCTTTGTTAACCTCCTAATGGGTGCTTTAACCGTCTCATGTAATATTCTGTCCTTATAATGATGCTATTTTCCTCTTTTCCTGACATCTGTTGATTCTGCCAGCCCAATTTCCAATCTTCCTTCTTTATGCTAAAGATATGTTGATTTTCTTCCCGAAAAACATTCTCATGTGCTTCTAATAGGGTTGTTCTCTGACTGCTATGGGAGAGCAGGAGTCCAGCCATGGTTTAGCCCTGATTAATAAGTGCGTTCCATTCCTCTGGTATTAGTGATGGTCAGAGAGATGGGCATGTGATAAATTCCAGAAATGAGACTTGATTGCAGGACTTTAGCTGTGACTATCAGGAAAGGGCTGTTTTTTCAATGACAAGGGCTGAACAATAACAGGATGTAGGCTTAGAGTTATTGGCATCCCCTTTGTCATCATGAGGGAAGGTCCTGCCTAAGAATGAAACCAGCACAAAGAAAGCAGAGTGGAGATGAGATACAGTTCTGAGAACACTCTGTGAGCACCTAGATCCAACCATATCTGAAGCTAGTAGAGCTTTTGATTTTACAGTTCTGCGAACTAATACATTCCTCGTCTCTCACGCAAGTTGAATTGGGTTTCTGTTACTCAAATCTGAAAGGATCCTGATGCATCCAATTTTTATATGGACAATATATCACTCAGAGAAGCTAGGAAAATATACTTGCCTGGAACCACACAGCTATTTGATAGAGAAGCCATCATCAACCAAATTTTCCTGAATCCTGAATCCATAATCCCAACCACTGGGTAGTTCTGCTACTGACATTAGAGACTGTTTTTCATTGCTGTCATTGTTGTTGAAAATTTAGGATGGTAATAGCAATAAGTCAGTTGGAAGAGAATAATTAGCTACTGTTGCTGCCATGACTTTTGTACTTTATGATTCTTCCAGGCCTCACTGGTTCTGGAGGTGATGTTTGCTAATTGTGGCCACATTGACATTCAGGGGCATGCTGAACCATGTCTTGAGTTTCTTTCAAATAGCCCTCATTTGCCTTTCTATCCTCAACCACTAACCCTAAGGGCCAGCTGGAGGTAGATTTTTTAAAAATATTTTTTCTTTTCATATTTTTAATATGATTTTATTTGTAAATAGTTTATGATTCCCAAGAAGTTGCAAAAATTGTCACGAGAGTTCCTATGTACCCTTCACCCAGCCTCCCCTAATGATAATATCTTACATGACCATAGTAAAGTTATCAAAACCTGTAAATTGACATTAGTATAATACTATTAATTCGAAAATAACCTAATTTGGATTTCACTGGAGATTTGTTGTTGTTTTTTTTTGTATTTTTGTATTTTTTTTTTTTTTTTTTTTTTTTTTGTAGAGACAGGTTTTCACCATGTCACCCAGGCTGGTCTGGAACTCCTGGACTCAAGCAGGACTCAATCAAGTGCTGGGATTACAGGGATGAGCCACCATGCCCAGCCCTGGATTTCTATACTTTTATGTGAACTTTGCATGTGTGTGTGTGTGTGTGTGTGTGTGTGTGTGTGTGTGTATAAAATTCCATGAAATCCTATCATATATAAATTTGAGTAACGATTACCATGACCAAGATACACAACTGTTGATCATCACAAAAAAACTCAGGCTACCCCTGATAGCCACACCCCACCCCAACCACTCTTGGTAACCACTGATGGGTTCTCCACCATCGTAATGATGTCACTTCGAGAATGTTATGGAAATGAATCACCCAGCCCATCGCCTTCTGAGACTGGCTTTCTTTCATTTGCCATAATGCCTTTGAGATCCATCCAGGGTGTTGCATGTATTAATGATCTTTCCCTTTTCATTGCTGAGTAGTATTTCATCACATGAATGTATCACAGTTTGTTTAAACACTCAACTATTGAAGGACATCTGGGTTATTTCCTGTTTGGGGCTATCATGAATAAACCTGCTACAAACTTTCATGTATAGATTTTTGTGTGAAGATAAATTTTTGTTTCTCTACAGTAAATATCCAGGAGTGAGAATGCTGGGTCATATGATAAGTGTATGTTTAACTTCATAAGAAACTGCCCAGCTGTTTTCCAGAACATTTCCCCAGCAATGGAGTGTGGGGCATGTAACCGTCTTGTCCATCTTCTCTAGATGAGCAGTACCGCACTTGGAGATTGTCCCTGGATCACAGAAAACATACTCTTCTGCTTTAGTAACTGTACTCAGAGCAAACAGGAAATGAAATCCAGACAAGCACGGTGGCTCATGTCTGTAATGCCAGCACATTGGGAGGCCAAGGAGGGAGGATCACTTTAGGCTAGAAGTTTGAAACCAGCCTGGGCAACATAGGGAGACCCCGTTTCTACAAAAAAATAAAAAATAACAATTAATGGGGCATTGTGGAGTATACTGTCGTCCTAGCTACTTGGGAGGCTGAGGAAGGAGGATCACTTGAGCCCAGGAGTTGAAGGCTGCAGGGAGCTATGATTGCATCACTGTACTCCAGCCTGGGCAACAAGCGAGACCCTATTTCTAAAAATAAAAATGAAAGACAGACATGAAATTCAAAACTTGCATCCAAAGCCAACTTTTATTTAATTTTTTCCTCATTAGAAGCACAGTGCTTACTCACAATAAGAATATCTGGCAAAATTTAGCAAAGGATAAAGAAGAAATAAAAGTCTTCCACAACTTCACACTCAGGACAAAATCACAGTTTCAGGGTTGAAATCTCAGAGCTCATTCCAACTCCTTTAAATCTCCACATCTTGCCATCCACCCTCCCAGGTAAATGCAACATTCCCTTTTCCCTTTAGTTAAAAAAAAAAAAAAAAGTGGAAAACAAAACAAAACAAAACAAAACAAAAAAATCGGAGGGGAAATAACACCCAAGGCCTTGACCCTTTTCCTCTCCTATCGGCCTGCTCTTCAGCAAACAGGAGTTTCCTTTTACAGACCTCAAGAATAGACACGTTTCTCGTCTATTCCTGTCGCACGCCTCAAGGTTGCGCGGCCCGTTCTTATCAGCAGAAGGCACCTGGTGCATTGTGGGAGAGCCGGCTGGGTGGGAGCCCTTTCCAGAGAGGTTTCCTCCTGCTAGGCCCCTGGTCAGCCGCCTTGCTGACCCGGAGTTGATTATTGCTTCTCCTCACAACTTCCTCCTCCACCACTTTTTCTTGATTAGAGGATCCCCAACCCAGGAGAGACACCCTCTGAGAGTGTCCCCAGAAGGCCCTTAGCCAGGAGGCATTTGTAAGAAAGTTTAAGCTGTTCATTGAGGGGAGAGGGCAGCCTCTAGGGGAAATAAGAACATCCCAGGGTCCACTCAGTCCCAGCAGCGTAGACTCCAAATCTCGGCAAATGTGAGATTGGTATAGTCTTCCCAGGAGCTCCAGTGTTCTGATGATCCGAATTTTTATTTTATTTTATTTTTTTGACATGGGGTCTCATTCTGTCTCCCAAGCTGGAGTGCATGGCACAATCATACCTTACTGCAGCCTTGAACTCCTGTGCTCAAGCAATCCTCCTGCCTCAACCTCTGGAATAGCTGGGACTATAGATGTGCACCGCCAAGGCTGTCTAATTTTTTGTTTTTTGTAGAGATGGGGTCTTGCTATGTTGCCCAGGCTGATCTCAAATTCCTGAACTCAAGAGGTCCTCTGTCTCAGCCTCCCAAAGTGTTGGGATTATAGATATGAGCCACTGCACCCAGCCCGATTTTTATTATATATATATAATTTTTATTATATATAATAAATAAATAAATAAATAAATATATATATATATATTTCCCATGGTTGGGGATATTCGTTCAAGTTCATGGTGAGAATTCTAATCTGAGAGTGTTTTGCAGTTTTCAAAAGCTCAGGCCCAGTTACTCTCCCATTTCATCCTTAGAATAACCCTTAGCTGAAATTGCTATTATTTTTCCAGTTTTATAAATGAGATACAGGATGGAATAACACAGAGGGGAAAGGACTGGCTCAAGATCACCCAGCCAGGAAGTGACAGAACCAGCATTCTGAGCCAGCTACGCCTGGCTCTGACTACCGGCTATTTCCAACACCCTTCTCCTGGGCCTCAGTGTCCCCATCTGCACTAAATAGGGCTTATTCTTGATCATCTCCATGGCTCCTTCTCATCTGAACTTTTGATGACTCTGCTTCAGGATCAAATATTTGCAAAATCCAGCTCAATATGGGGCCTTGACTTCTGGAACTGAAAACGCGAACAAAGTCAGCTGAGACTTTGCCAAAATGGGAGAAATTGGCCCAGACCCACTCCATCACACACTGATCATGGCACCTGCAGGGAAGGTCAGGCAATCAGACAGGAGAGGAAGGGAAAATGAGATACCAGAGCAATGAGCTTACAGCCATTTTAGGGCTTTGGGGAAAAAAAGTCACAATTAATATGAAATATTCTGGGAGAATGGAAACTTATAACAAAAATCATCAGAAAGCTCCTTGCTTAGGAAGACCATACTTAACATTTAGCTCAAACAGTTCTAACCATCTCTCTCACATATGTGTTTATAGATGAAGAGCCATGGTTTTCAGACATGGCAGCCCCCTCATGTCCCATCATGGTTTGACTTATGCCCTTGGATGAATTCCTTCTTGTGCTCATAAGTGGCCATCTGATGTTCGTGGTGTCAGAATATTCCAGTACTTAAATACAGCGCAATATGTCAAACTAGTGCCTTAGTGATGGGTCTTTCCATAGTTTTCAAATGCTTGCTGTTATGATCAACCCAAAACTGAAATGAGATTTAGATGAAAGATATTGTAGGTACAGATCGCAATATAAATGTGTGTATAGGTAACTAGATTGATATTTAAAGAAGATTTTAACCACTGGTATCAGATTTTACCTTACACTGAGGACTGGCTTTTGGCGGGGGGTCAATGTCTTAACAGCTGATCAATTTTAAGGTGAAAGGTGGAGCCTGAGATTCTCTCTTTAACTTATGGGGCCCAACCTAGGCCGAATGGCAGGTACAGAGTGGGTTCTCTGTAATCATCACTTTCTCCTTTTTTCTTATTCCAGCCTCCCTTTGGAGACAACAAAGAGGCAGCTCTCATTGAATAATTCATTCAAAAATTCAAACAAGGACTTCACACCTCCCATGTGCCAGATTCTATTCTGCATTTGGGATGTAGCCATAAAGAAGGCAGGGCCTTCACTTCCAAGGGGCTTGCAGGCGAGGGAAAAACGCCCAGATGAACCTTGAGGTGGGGTTGAGCTGTGGTGTGAAGAGTTCATTCAAAGAGGCACGCACAAGGTCAAGGGTGACGGATGCTGCTTGGAGGTTTTGGGGGGTAGGTGGCAATGGCCAGTGAACACCTTCTAGTGGAGGAGACGCCAAAGCTGGGCTGGGCGGGAGTGGGTGGTGATAGGAATTTTCGGGAGGAAAGTGCATCTCAGAGAGATGGAAGAAAGTGGTAAATGCAGGGGACTAAGGGAAAGGGAAAGTGGCCAGGCACAGTAGCTCCTTTGCAAGTGGCAGGTGAGCAGGGCCCCCATGGTTCATTACATTCAGTAATGGAGGCAAAAATAAGATACTCACAGGAGCTGGGCTGGGAATAGATGGTGAACAGGAGTCACCCATCCTGTTTCCAGGGCCCGCTGGTGCCAGGCACCAGTGAAGGATGTCCCATGAGGGTGTGGGTTACATGTGGTCAGCTCCCGTCATTTCTCAGGAGGTGGTGAAAATCACAACTTTGATGCGAACACCTCCTTATTTTTAAATGTTGGCAAAGGATTCGATATAAAAAAATGCACTGAAATTTTACAACTACTGTAAAAACAACCCCCCACCCCCCAACCGCCGGCCCCACCCCCAGCCCTCACCTCTATCCTAAAATGCGGTTTGGCTACACAGAAGGCATCCAGGGAGATAATTCTCCCAACAGGGACCCAGTTGGCCAGCTCATTCCTGACACTTCCCCAGGGATTTGTGACATTAAAAGACACTCTCCAAATATAAGCTTCAAAAAAGAGACCTCCCCCCCTTCCATGTGGCTGGGTTTATTTTTAAAGCGAGGCTTCCTTGTCTGTGTTCAACTCGATGGGTGGAGAAAATAATTAGAATTGATTTCTCTGCACCCACTCAGGAATAGAATAGGAGGCAACTTTAGTATCTATACACAGGAGAAGAGAGGAGAAAAAAAAAAAAAGAAAGAAACTTCCTTCCAATCCGTGTCTAATTCCTTGGATAGTCTTCTCACTCCTTGGACTGTTTTAGTGGTGCCTTTTGATTACAACATTGCTTTGAAGAGACACTAATTGTACCCTGCTTACAATGCTTGTAATTATGCGTATTACATTTTGATTCATTTCCATATGTCAACACCACTACGAGATGGGGCGGGGGGGCGGTGGGTGGCTGAGAACCGCTTTTATAATCGGTTATTGTCTATGAAAAAAAATCTGCACAGAACATGAGTGAAGTGTTCTTTGTTGAAATTGGAAATAAGATTATACATAAAAGTCGTCCTCTGACATCCAGAAAATGGACAGTTTAAAATAAATTGCAGCTGCTGATCAACAAGATTGCTAGCTCCCCTTTTCCCTTTTACGTTAATGAGGGAAATACTTTTCAAGCTTCTAATAGCAATATGTTCAAGTGTGTCATTTCAATCGCTTTCTTCTTAATAAAAGATGACCCCAATATTCCCCCCTTAGTGGAAGACATTGTCCTACCCAGACATATTTGTGATTTGAGGCTCCCCGTGGAAAAGAAAAGAAGGAAAGAGTAAGGAGAGGAGGGGAGTCCCAGGAAAAGAGAATGACAAGGGTTCCTAAGGGTTCCTAAGCTTGCAGAAAGAGAGTATCCTAGTAAGAAACAGAATTGGAGCCCCTATGCACGTGCCTGTAGTCCCAGCTATTCGGGAGGCTGAGGCAGGAGAATCGCTTGAACCTGGGAGGCGGAGGTTGCGTGAGCCGAGATCGCGCCACTGCGCTCCAGCCTGGGCGACAGAGCGAGACTCCATCTCAAAAAAAACAAAAAACAAAAAACAAAAAAAAAGAATTGGAGCCTCTATGGTCTGAAGGGAGGTAACTCTGAACCAAATAATACATAAATAGTCCAAACACAAAAGTAGCCTGTAAAAGCCTGCGTGTAGGTAGGCGTCGCTTCCTGCTGAAGGCTTTTCCTGAGCACAGATACCTTTCATGCCTGAGATGAAAGGACATCTACTTCTTAGCCCACATTTCCACATGGAGGCCAGAGCAGGTTGTTGCCTGCAACTCTGGACCCTGGAAGGTGCTGAAGGTTAGCTCGGGATTGCAAATCTTGAAGGTGCGAGTGAACAGAGGGGTGAGGGCTTTGAAGCAGGATTTGCAAAGGGCTTGGGGAGGGCGTGGCTGAAAGGAAAGGACATGGGTTCAGGGTGGCCCTCTCATATCACCACTTATGCGCTGAGTGTTCTGGCCAAATCGCGCCCCCCTCCCAATTCGTATGTTGAAACTTTAACTAACTCCCTCGAGTAACTGTATTTAGAGAGAGGATCTTTTAAAAGGTAATTAAGTTAAAATGAGGTCTTTGAGGTGGATCCTAGTCTAATCTGATTGATGTTTTTTTTAAGAGACGAGCATGTACAGGAAGCACCCGGGCTGTGCACACACAGGAAAGACCACGTGAGGACCCAGCGAGAAGGCGGCCATCCCCAAGCCAAGGAGAAAGGCCTCAAGAACAAACAAATCTGCCAACACCTTGATTTTGAACTTCCAGCCTCCTGAACTGTGGAAAAATAAGTTTCTGCTGTTGAAGCCTCTGAGGCAGTGGTATTTTCTTATGGAAGCCCCAGCAGACCCCTATGTGACTTGGTAGCCCCATCTGTGACTGGAGAAGGTGAAGTCCACCGGCCCTGGTGCTGGGAGAATCACACTGGATGCTGAGACTGGGCCTCACTAAGCTCACAGGTGGGAGATTCTGGGTAAAGAGGTGGAATTTGTGTCACAGTCAATCAACGTGTTCAGTGACAATAATAACAGAAACTACCGTTCATTGAGTCTTTGAGTGTTCGCCTTGAGCCCGTGTTACACAAGGGCTTCCTCCCTTAATCCCTCCTCCCTGTGAAGTGGGTGACTGTTGTCCATACTCAAGGCGGGAATCTCATAAGTGGCCAACTGGGATTTGAAACCATTTCAGCTTACACTGGCTCTTTGTAGTTTAGTATCTCTTGGGCTGAGGTGTGAAAACTGTTCGGACCTTTTCCCCTGCCAATTGAAAAAACAAACAAGTGTGAAATGGGGCAGCCCCTCTTCAGTCTCCTCCCCATCCCCCATGCCGCCTTCCACCTCCCAGGCACTGAATGTCTTCCTTTTGATTCCCGAACCACCACAATGGGAATCCAACATTTTCCCTCGCCTGGAGTTTGGAATCCAGGCTCTGAGCAGAGGTGAATTTCTGATCTGTAACATTCCTGAGAGTGTATCATTTTGGGAAGCGCAGCTGCACAGTGAGCATCCGTGGTGAGCTTTGCATGCTTTGGGGGCACAAATGTGGTGTTTTGCAATTTGGTCTTTTCACAGGACCGCACGTGGCTTTCAGCCTCCTGCCCTGTCACTGTGTGGGACAGCCTCTGGGGTCTTTGCTCTCTGGGATCAGCTGGCCCTGCTGAGAGCCTCAGCTAAACATTCACAGTAACAGTATGGTCTCCCCCTTAAGCTGTGCTTTGAATAAAGAAAGAGACACCCTCAAAGATGTCCTACAGGCAGTGAGAAAGACATCCCCCCAGCCAAGCACTGATCTGTGAATTTGTTCTCAGCAGTCCTGGCTGTCTCCTATGAACTCCAGCCCCCAGCCTATGGCTACTAACATTACTGAATAACAGCAGCTAGCCTTCACTGTTGTGCAGGTCTGTGCTAGAACCTTAGACTCAACAGAATGTGTAAGGGGAGAGGCGAGGATCCCTGTTTTACAAAGGAGAAGACTGAGGCTCCGAGAGACATAGCAACATGTGAAGGTCACACAGGAGCATAGGGGAGCTGAGCTGGGATTTGAACCCAGGTCTGTCTGACTCCAAAGCCCATGCTCCAAATTGTTGGGCTGCTCTGCCATTGGATGCCTCTCTGCCTGGAACCTGCATGCAAACCCCACTTGGGCAGGGAGCCTCCTGTTCCAGTTGGTCCTGACCTTTCCACCAGTTTCCCACAGACTCCAGGGCCATCCTTTCAAGTGTCTGTGCCCTGGCTGCTCTTGGATTCTCATTTTGCTGCCTCTGTCTCCTCTGTGGTCACAATGTGGACAGGACATCCCTGGGCCTTAAGGCCCCTGACCTCACCCCATCTTGATAGAGACCTGCAGGAGTTCCAGCACTGTCCTCCAGCTGGCTTTTGGCCTCTGCCTCATCTGTGTTTTTTCAACTTGTGATCCTTCATATCTCGTTTTGCCTGCAGCTTCTATGCTAATGTGTATTGATTGGGTTCCACCTCGCCTCCACCATCCCCAGGCATTGCTGGGGAGGACAGAAGGGCCTCGGTGGTGCCTTGAGCACCACAAGTTCAGGATCCATTCTGTTTCATTCATCTCTGAGCCTCTCTGCCCTCCTTCAGTCCTGATTCATGCCTAACAAATAGAAGCTCAGCTTACACTGTTGTTATTATCCATTCATTCCTGCCACAGCACCTACTCTATGCCAGACAGTGGATTACATGCTACGGATACTGCAGGGGCCAAAAGAGATAGATATCCCTTTCTTCATGGAGCTTCTATTCTAGTGGAAGGATGGTGATGAGGAATAGAAAGTAGGGAAGAAGGAGGAGGAGTAGGAGAAAGAAGAGGAAGAGGAGAGGGAGAGTGAGAAGGAGGAAGAAGAGAAAAGGGAGAACAGAGGAGGGAGAAAGAGAAGAGAGACTTTTGCATAGAAATATCACAGACTATCAAAAATTAGAAAATGTCCACAGATATTGCCTTGTTCTTCAGTTATTCCTCTCTTTTCTATTACCTTATCTTACTGGGTTTTCTGTCAACATTGAGTCCATACAACATGTTTAACCATTAAAAAAAAAAAAACTCAGAGTTTCTGGACTTGATAAGGTGGAAACCATGGTCTGGCCTAAATGATTAATTTTACCAATGGGGAAGTTGAAACCCAGAGAGGGTGAGTGACTTGTCCAAGGTCACAGTGTATGAGGGACAGAGTGGAGACTGGGATTCTGGGATGTCTTCTTTTCCTGTAAGTGTAGATTCTCAGGAAGTAATACCCCACAGCAATGTCAGAGGGGAGGGCCCCAGGCAATGCTTGAAGACTTATACCCCACAGCCCTCCTGGGACTTCAGCCCTGATTATGGAGGACAGTTCCAGACAGCTTCGACTTGGGCCATGGTGCCCACTTCATGCACAAGCTGGGAGGCTTTTTGCTTTTTGCCTGGGACAACCATGGGAGTACCAACCCATAGAAGAACTGGCCCCACGGTCAACCCTCAATGATAGGGTCCTGGAGTTGGGATTCAACTCCCCACTGTCTGATCCCTGGATGATCAATTCTGAGAGGTACCCAAGGAATAGAACCCACATTCGCAGCAGTGACCATGACCATCTCCCTAAAATTGGTCTTTCCTCCTCCCCATTTCTCTCTCCCTGTTCCCACACTCCTGTTTCCCCAGCATCATCCTTTGAATAAGCCACTTGCATCCCAGCCCAAGTCTACAATTCAGGATTCATCCACCCAACAGATATTCAAGTGTCCACTGCATGTGAGACTCTCTTCTAGGCAGTGTGGCCACGGCAGTTGGCAAAAAGGTGCAGATTCCAGCCCTTGCTGAACAGACATCAAATAAGTTGATGCCCTTTAAATAAAATTTAAAATAAAATTTAAATAAAATGCATAATACGCTAAATGATGCTACCAGCTAAAAGCAAAATAAAGCCAAGTTAGAAGGCTGGAGAGTAACAGAAGATGCTACTTTGGAGAGGTGGTCAGGAAAGGCCTCTCTGAGAAGAAGTCATTTGGACAGAGACCAGAGGAGAGGGAGACAGGGAGCCATGAGGCTATCTGGAGGATGTTCTAGGCAGAGGGGAAAATAAATGCAAACAGGCAGAGGTGGGGGTTCCTGGACAATGAGGAGAAGACCAAGGTAGGGTGGCTGGAAGCTAATGAGCAAAGTGAGAGTGATGAGAGAGGTGAGAAAACCTGGTGTCAGAGAGGGAAGTAATCCCCAAGGTCACACTGTAGGGCTAGGAGTTGAACCCTTTTCCCTCTGAGTCTTTCCTCCACAGCATGCCAAGCATGGCCTTCAAAAATGTTGAGAGGAAAAGAGAAGAAATGAGAGAGGGAGGAATGGGAGAAGGGAGATAAAGAAGGGAAAAGGGAAGGAGGGAGAGAGCAAGGAAGGAAGGAAGGGAAATAGGAAGGAAGGAGGAAGGGAAGGAAGGAAGGAAAGAAGGAAGGAAGGAAGGAAAGAAGGAAGGAAAAGGGAAGGGAGGGAAAGGGGGAGGGAGGAAAGGAGGGAGAAAAGATAGATGGATAACAGATATATGGATGGATGGATGGATGGATGGATGGAAAGAAGAAAGGAAGAAAAGAAGGAATGAAGGAGGAAAGAAGAAAAATGAAAGGGAGAGAGGAAGGATGAAAGAAAAGCTGGATGGATAATGGATATATGAATGAATGGATGGATAATGTATATATGAATGGATGGATGGATGAATAAATGGAAAGAAGAAAGAGAGGAATGAAGGTAAAAGAAAGAAGGAAGGAGAGTAAGAAGAAAAGATGAATGGATGGATAATATATGGGTGGATGGATGATGATAGAAGATGGATGGATGGATGGATGGATGATTAATAGATAAAACAATGGATGGATGGATGGATGGAAAGAAGACAGAAAAGAAAGAAAGGAGGGAAACAGGAAGGGAGGGAGGGAGAATGGATTCTTTATGTATTTAACCTCCAGGTTTCCTAGACTAAATCTGGCTTCTGGAGTGTCAGGGGCTGTACTCCACCTACCCCATTGTTTCTCTGCATCCCGCACTCCACCCATCCATGCTGTTGAGCTCACTGAGCCCTCTCCCCAGAAAGGTAATTCTACCCTCTAATTACAGCACTTGTAAAAGTAGCGGAGGGGCTCATTCTTCAGAAATAAATCAATACAAGTTAAAAGGCCATCCTGTTTGTTTCTGTAACAATGCTCTTTAGAAAATTGGGTGCTGTTCCATTTGCTGACGGGTACCCCATCCGTCATCGGCAGCCCGAGTCACATCACATTATGTTGCCAAACATAATATAGCATGATCAGGAAGATGCATCAAGTTGGAGATTGGCAGGAAAATGAATTTAGCAAAGCGATCTCACTTGAGAAAATATCGAAAGCCAAGAAAGAGGAAGAGCTTAGACGAAGTTTTCATAATCAGAGGTGATATTTAGAAAGCTCCATCATGCGAGAATCTCAAGACCAAGAAAATCACAGCAATAACAATATATAATAAGAAGAACATTAATATTTAGAAGAAAAGGAAGGACAAAACCATCACAAGTGTTCCCTCCACCGAGACACACTATAGCCATGTGACAAGTTTTGTTATTCCCGCTTTGCGGTAAGAGAGCTCCTGCTCAAAGAGGTTAGGTGAGTTCTCCAAAGTCATACAGCTATTAAGCAGCAGAGCCAGGATTTGAAGTCAGATCTGCTGATGCTGGAACCGGGAGCACCAAGATGTATGGATGGGCAAGGGCAAGTTTCCCAATTAGCAAAAAACATTGCACTTGATTTTGTGTGAAAGGCCCGGAAGCTGACCAAAAGCATCAGACGGCACAGATGTCATCCATCTTTGCCAAGGAGGGATGGCTTGCCTGTATGTGCCTTCCAGCCTTGTGGTCCTCTGGGTCTATACATAAGTGGCACCAGGACTGTGTTGATTACTTGGAGGCCAACTGCCTTCATTCTAGGAAACCTAAAACTCTGCCTGGGGCTGGTATTTCTGTGGTTGCTGAGTAGGGATCTGACTTTGTAGCAAGGGTAGGAAGGTACAAGATCAACAAGCACTTTTCCTACTTATGACTCCAGCTGGGGCCTAGCTCTGCTCAAGCCAGGGCTTGGAGGAAGGTGAAGGCTCTGCTCTGCCCTTCTTCTGTCATGGCTGAGCGGTTTCTTTCTAGACTCCCTTGGCCCGTCCTTTCTGGCTGATCCAAGCTGGTGAGATGGGCGTGTGAATTTCAGTCCCTCCAAGGGGACTTGAGCAATTACTCTGACTAGGGGAATGAGGCTCAGTTTTTGCACTGGACGATCACAGGGCAGAATACTTGTAAACAGAAATAATGTGCTTTCCTTTTTTTGTGAACACTCTAATATCTCAATGGCTGAACACAGTACCAGACTCACAGTGGGGTTCAATAATTGGCAAATCATATTGTTGCTACAGTGTGGAATGTTCAACGGCAGAAGCAGGAAGAAGAGAATAATTAACCAAGCTGGGAGGAAGTGGTGAGTTTCAAGTTGGGTTTTGAGGGATGCATAAGAGTTTGATGACAGGCAGACCTATTAGAAGTAAAGACATTCCTGGAAAAGAGGTTAATGGACAGAAAGGCTGGAAGTTATGGTGTGTTTGGGGAATAATGTAATTGAGGAAGGGAGTATTCTCTGGTTTTTCAGGTAGAGTTGGAGGAGGGATAAGAGATAAATTATGAAACCCTCTTAGTAGGTACCAAGCCAGTCCATCCATGGGCAACACTACAAAGAGGGTGTAGGTGCCATATATAACACTTCATATTTCCCTAAATCTGAAGATAATTAACTAGGATGTGCAAATATATTGGACTTTAATGATTATTTTTTCCTTTCTACCCTACTTTCTTTCAAATGATAGGAGACAGAGTCCAGATTTTAGGACATAAAACTGTCCTGAGGTTCTTGTGGAAATGCAGATTCCTGGGCCCATTCCCAGAGGCTTAGACCACACCTGAAGAGATACTGCTGCCTGCAGACCTTGAGCGAGGGCCCCCTAGAGAGAAAATTCTTTATCCTGTAGCAGCCACACCAGGGGTTTGAAGCCACTGATAGACACTCCCCAAGGAGGCACCATCGTTTTAAGTCTGGAAGAAGGGAGGAGGGGTGGCGGCTTTCGATTTCATAGCAAGTATCTCGTGAAATCACAATGGCATAGTTTGCTGCACACCCATAGCGGTGCCTTATTAAAAAAAGATCATCAGGGCCCTTGAAATTGATCATAAACTATTTCCATCAATGTCACACACAACCATGTTTGGGGAAGTTTGCTGGCACATCTGCTAAACTGAAGGGCTTTGGGGTTTGAGAACAAACAAATAATAAATAAATGACTATATAATAAAATGAAGATGGGGGGACAATACCCTTTGAGTTGGGAGATAAGAAATCTTAAGAGAAAGGAAAATGATGTACCAGCGTTGTGTGTGCCCAATATCAAACTTGCGGGAATGCCCAGTGAGTGATGCAAGAATGAATGAATGAATGAATGAATGAATGAATGAATGAAGAATAGCATATTTAAAGGACAATCTGAAGGCAACTGTACCTAGAGCAGGAGCTTAAAAAGAACTCCATTCCCAGTCTCTTGTGGTTGATTTCAGTAGTTGGATATTCTCAGTGTTAAAATGAATTACAAGTTTGGGTATCCCCATGTTACCCTCCTGAGCAACTGCCTGCCTATTGAGAAGAGAGAGATGATATAAAATAAGAAAACCGACTTAAAGAAGAGAATTCCCATTGGTAGAATAGGAAGGGCCTTTGGCTGGCATTCATTCACTGTACAGATGGGCAAATGGGTCAAGCAAGACTCAGAGAGGAGAAATGTTCACTCAAAGTCACATTGTGCTAGAAACCAAGTCTCCAAATTCCTAATCCAGTATATCTTTTTTGTTTTTAACCTCACGCAGAGAGGATCCAATGAAGTAAAGCGTTCCATATCAAGTTTTTAGAACTATCTGGGGTGCACAGAGGAGCTGACAGCAGGCATAGCTATCATAGCTACTTGTGCCACCTTTGGATCTTAAGCAAGACACATGTGTAGACTGATCCTATGTTTGTTGGCACGTGAAAAAATATAAAGCAAGGGACACTTGCAATTGTCAGCGTGGTTCTAAGTGGCCACAGTATTCAGCAAGTCTTGCGGAAGGTTCAGGCTCTGGAGGCCATAGCAGAAGAGAAGACCAGAGCGGGTCCTGCCCTTGTGTCCTTTACCTCCCGCACCATCAGCACCACTCCTCTGTGCCTGGATGCCTCTTCCGTGCTTGTAAGCTTTGCGAATTCCTGCAGATGCTTAAGTGCCATCTCAAATACTCTCTACCTAGAGAGTAGTCATTCCCCCTCTTATGATCTGGAAAGACTTGTTCATACATCGATTAGGGTGTTTTCCACACTGGTCTGTAAGCCTACCCTACACATCTGCCCCACTTCCAGTCTGTGGGCATCTAACACACTGGGATTCCATGGTGCTATGCGTTCTCAGCACAGGACACATGCCTGGCACATGGTAAGAACTCAACACGAGTTTGTTGCATAAATGGCAGGCATGGTAATAAATCTGATTGCAGCCTGGGGACTGTCTCTTAACTACAGACCTCGCAAGGCTTCCTAGTGCCTCTTGGCATTGGCTACAATTGTCAGGTCAGCAGAGAAGGCTTTAGCCCTGAAGGACCATCCAGCCACAGGGGTTCAAGTGATAGAGAGGGCTACAGAGGGCACATCACTGTCCAGCATCTTCTAATGCAGTGTACCCACTCTCTACTAAAATGCAATGAGCCTCTCATAGAATGTGGCTCCATGAACAACACAGACCTCAGTCTGAGAGGCTAAGGCCTCCTTCTTCATTTCTAGGGAAGGCTGAAGAGGGAGTTCTGGACATTGGGACATAGTTCTGTCCCACCAACTATTACCACCATTTTGCAGATGGAAAAACTGAGGCTCAGGGAGGTTAAATAACTTACCCAATGTCACATATTGAGGAAATGATGGGGCTGCGGAATCAACCCTATGTCCATCTGAATCCAGACATGAACTTTCTGGGCTAAGCAGCACTGTGGGGTGCAGGAGTTGGCAGACTGTGGCTGGCACCCTGGGAGATGTGTGGCCCTGAGCAGAGCCACAGATGCAGTGGCTACACAGGGTCCTTTCAGTTACTCTCCCCACTGTAGCCTCAGAGTTCCCACAACCATGTTTGCAGAGCTGCAGGGCCTTCTGGGTACTTGCAACAGCCTAGCCTCCCAAATCTTGGACCTCCTCACCTGTAGGGACATTTGTCTCCCTATTAAATATAGAATCATATCCTTCCCCAGCCTACAAGACCCTGCAAGGCTGGCCCTGAAGCCCTCCCCAGCACCCACTCACACCACAACTCATTTTGTTTGCTGAGGACCAGTTACAGACTCTTAATAGCTCTTGGAGAAATCTATATTCCTTTCCATCGCTTGATTTTCAACCTTCATCTAAGGTTTTCCCACCACTTGGGAGGCTCTTTTCTTTCCTTTTCATCTACTTAGCTCCTATTCATCCCTCTGATCCTTCCATAAATGCCATTCCCTGATCCCACCTAAGTCAGGCCCCCTTTTCTAACCTCTCACCACCCCTCATTCTTCTTCTCCGTATCATTTGTCTCCATTTGAATTGTATGTTTATTTGTATGGTTATCTGGTGAATCTGTCTGCTCTGCTAGACTGTAAGCACCTTGAATGCGGAGACCAGGTCTGGGTTTGCCGTACAGCACAGTGTCTGGCACATAATAGGAGCTCAATAAATATTTGTTGGATGGATAGGTAAATGGAGGGATGGGTGGATTATAACATAGGTGGATGGATGGGTACATGGATGAGATATTGTAGGGTAGGTGGATAGATTGGGTGCATGAATGAATAGAGAGATGGATTTCAGGAGATGTGGATAGATGGGTGGATGTTTGGGTGGTTGGGTGGGTAGGCGGGTTGTTGGGTGGATAGATATAGAGACGAACTTTAGGAGAGGTGGATGAATGGGAGGATTAATGGATGGATGGATAAGTGGATAGATAAATGGATGTTTCATCTGGGTAGATGAATGGATGGATGGATGGATGAAAGGATAGATGGATGGATGACTGGATTAATTTTAGGAGAGATGGATGGACGGATGGATGGATGGATGGTTGGATGGATGGATGGATAAATGTAAAGATGTCTAGGTGGGTAGGTTGATGGACAGATGGATAGAGAGATGGATTTTAGGACAGGTGGATGAATAGATAAATGGATGTATGGATTTTATGGTAGGTGTATTAATGGGTTCATGCATGGATGGATAAATAAATAATACTGCTTCCCTAGACTTTCTCAAAGGAAAGTGGACATTATTCCAATATTTTATCTTCTATAAAATTATGTCAAATAGTCTTACATAAGCCATGATTGAGCCACCTAGAGCTGTTTTCAGAGAGCAGCATTCTACACATGTTTACTCAACACTCTAAGGAGATAGAGAGACTTCTGGTACAGCAGTTACGATAACAAGTTCTTCCATCAGTCTCTCTGGGTCAATTGCCTCACTCCTCTCCCCATCCCCCATCAGCTGTGGGATGTTGAATTAATGCTCTCAGTTCTTGACTTCTGTGTAGGAAGATGACATGTTCACACCTTTGCTGGGGCTTCAAGGTGTGGGGACAAATATTCCCCCAACCCTTGACTCTGGGCTTGAACATGTGGTTTCCTCTGGCCCATGGGACCTTGCCTTTTGCCATGAGTAGTTGTAGGTCCAAGGAGGATGGGAGATCAGTGGAGAAGATCTGGGGCTGAGCTCAGTCAAGACCAGTCTTGGAGACCCCCATTAACTCCTACATGCATGAGGGAGAAGTCAACACTTGTTTTCCTCCAAGATGTCTATGGTCACGTGTCATGTAACATTATTGTGGCCATACCTGACTGATACTTCAACTGTGTGACCTCTAGCAAGTTATTTAAGCTTCCTGTGCCTTAGTTTCCTCATTGGTAAAATAGAGAATAATACTATATTTTTCACCGTAATCAATCTTTCAGAGTTGTTGTGAGAATTATCTGTCATATAACACAAGTAAAGAATTGAGAACAATGCCTGGTTTATAAACGTCCAATAACTTTTGGCAAGTTAATATCATCATCCCTAAGTGACTCCATAAAAGCTGCTGATTACATTGAAGTAGCAATTTGGGGTAGACACCAATCAAGATCAAAGTCCAGCAGTAAATCAGTAGGTAGATAAATTTTCATGTTTGCAAATAATAATAGCACTTGCTGAACTCTTGTCTTATGCCCAACCCTGAGCTGAGATTACATAAGTTTTCATCTTGCTGAATTCCCAGAGCTGGGCTGTGAGGTAGACTTTACTGTTAACCTGTATTGATACATCAGGAAACTGAGAATTGGAGAGCTAGTTCACCTAGTTTGGAAGTGATGGAGCTGGGATTGAAACTGATGGAAACTCCAGGATCCATATCCATAAGCTCCATACTCCACAGCTGAGAGTTTATAGATGAGGAAACTGAGGCTCAGAGAAGGGAGATGCCTTGGCTGTGGTCACACAGCGGCTACTTGACTGAATCAGTTTCCACATGATCTTGTCAGTGCTGTAAGATGAAAGGCATCTCAGAGGGTGGCCCAGAGACAGAGAGAGGGTCTCCATTTTCCAGCTTTATTTCTGGGTGTCCAGGAATGTGTTTTGAGTTGGACTTGAAAAAGAAACTCCCTTGACATCAGAGAGGCAGTACTGGGCTGGGCCAGTGTGTGCCAAGGCTAACTGGGCATGCATTCCTGGACCAACTGCTGGAAAATGTGCAAACGTGGAAATATTTCCCCTGCTGAGTTCTGTAGTGTGCCGCTGTGGAGGCCTGCAAAGCTTGTCAGCCATGACTCACCCCTTCCACAAAGTTGGCCTGGTCATTTCGGGTGAGGACCAGGAGCACACAAGGTTGAATTGGATGTTTATGGCTCCCAAGGGACCCATCAGACGTGCTGCCTGCCTCCCATCTTCTTTCTGGCTGAGTTTTCAGAAATGTAGGTTAGGACAAAGTCCTGGAAGGAATAACAGGAGAATAAAGGGAGTGTATTGATAGAGTGCCTACTGCATACCAAGCCCTGGTTGAGCAGTTCTATATGTTATAAACTTGCTCTTTGAAGGATGATCCCAGCAGCATCAACATCCCTGCAGAGCCCGTTAGAAATGCAGGATTTCCAGCCCCATTGTAGACCTGCTGAATCAAAATCTTCGTCTTTAACCATATCCACAGGGGGTTCATCTACAAATCAGCCCTGTTAAAAATCTCATTGCATTCCCTCCAATGCAAACATGCTGACCCCCATTTTACAGAGGGAAACTGAGGCTCCGAGCAGCCAAGACTTGCAGAAGGTTCCCCCAGTGAAGGAGAGGCTGCACTGTCACCTGCAATGTGTCTATCTATCCCAGAACCCAGGATCTTTGGGGCGCATTACAAGCAAAATGGCTCAAAGCCCTGCGGTTGCAGGACCATAATAAAGAGGAGGGATGATATTGTGGAAAAAGCTTTTCAAAGTCAGCAGTTTATGTCTCAGCTCTGCCATTATCTTGCTAAGCCATCTCCCTAAGGACTCAGTTTCTTCATCCATGAAATGGGGGCAGGCATCAAACCACATGGCCTCTGCAATCATTTTTAGCTGGGAGATTTTGATTTGAGGACCCAGAGGATTGGTGGTGCTCAGGGTCTCTCCCATCTCAACATAAGGTTGAACCACACCCAACCTCCACTTTCCAAGAGCTTCCCAGGGGCCTCTCCCATTCCCCAGTCAAACAGAACTGCCCAACCGCCTCAAACGCCACACAAAATCACAGGCAACAGGGCAGAAAACCCAATTATCTCAGCTGTTACACTGCTTAATTTAATATTTCCAACGAGTTCCTTGAGTCTGCTTCTCAAGAATGAAATGCATATTTGGGCTCTGTCACAAAACATTACATTTTGTCAAGGCAATCCATTTTGCTGCGGTAATTTGTAAGTGTGCAGCGCTCTCCCTCATCACCCCACCCGCCACGTGGTCTGGAGGCTTCTATAGTGTCTTCTGGGAAGAGACAAGAAACTGGGAGTCTCTGCAATGACAGGCAGGTGGGAATGGCAGAGAAACAGGACCTGATATGCATCTGGCTTTCTGAAACTCCACAAAGAAAGAGTTTGGGGAGAACCAATCGAATCTCTTACCACTGGATTACAGAGGCAGGACCTGGATAGGTATTTAGCTGGCCCCAGATGATTGTTTAAACTTTTTAAAAAGATTACACAAATCATCATGCATAGTCATTGAAGAAAAAAATTAAAAATTTAGATAATTTTTTGAAAAAAGAAATTGCCTGCAAACTCTCACCTAGAGATGAAGGTGAGTGTTGTTAAATTATACATTTAGTTTTGACAAGTGAGTAAAAGTGATCCCCATTTTAAATATCAAAAAGTATAGAAATTAAGTTTCAAGTTAATTAATTTTTTCATTGATACATATTAGTTTTACATATTTTGGGGATACATGTGATATTTTGATACCTGTATACAATGTGTAGTGATCAAATCAAAGTAATTGGGGTAGCCATCACCTCAAAAATGTATCTTTTCTTTGTGTTGGGAGTATTACACATCTTTTCTTCCAGTTATTTTGAAATATGCAATAAATTATTGTTAACTGTAATTTTCCTACTGTACTACCTAATACTAGAACTTATTCCTTCTAACTGTATTTTTTGTACTGTTAACCAACTTGATTTATAAACACACACACACAACCAAATAGGATCTCATTCGACATGCTATTTTAAATTTTATTTTACATTGAAATAACTTCAGACTTACAAAAAGTTGTAAGAACCTTGTAGAGTTACTGTGTGTCCTTCATCCACCTTCCCCCATCTTTTATAACAATGGTTCATGATCACAACCAGGAAACTAGCATCCTGCATATGAATTTATTAGCTGACTTTTCTACTCACCACTTTCCCATTAGAGCCTAGCCCTTAGTTTCAGACTTTAGTGATTAAATCCTGGTTCTTTCTACTCAGGGGATCTTGGCCTAGAGACTTTGGTTTCCCATCTGCAAAATGGGTTGGTAAGCAAATGCTCATCTTGTATCAGGCTTGCTGTGAAAATTAAATGATATAATGCAGAATGCGGGACCCACATGAAGTACTGAGAAGATAATATCTGTCCCTGTATAGTTTTATCCTTGTATTATCACTTCAAATCCCAGAGATCTGGGGAGATGCGTAAGGAGTACTGGGTGGCTAGTGTGGAAAGGGGCTAAGAGGCAGGATCTTTGTTTCCCTACCTAACCGTAACTAAGGCAACTGTTTCATTTTTTTCTAAAAACCTACTCCATGTATTTAAATTTTATAGACAAAATCTGGTTTGAAGAAAAGAGAATTTCAGGGTTTTATAAACAGGTGAATCCCAAGATTTTTAAAAAGGTTTTTCTGATCTCAAATGGCTGCATAGAATTTCATTGCATGGAAGCCCCGTTCTTTACTTGGTCAGTTCCTTTTTGTTAGACATGTAGTTGTTTCTAATTTTTATTAATGCAAAAAACTCTAAAATGAACATAATTATGCATATATTTTTGCATACTTGTCCAAATATTCTTCAGATACATTTCTTAATTTTTATTTTTTTTAGAGAAGGGATCTCACTCTATTTGCCCAGGCTGGAGTTCCATGGCACAATCGCAGCCTACTGCAGCCTCAAATTCCCGTGCTCAAGTGATCCTCCAGCCTCAGCCACCTGAGTAGCTGTGAGTACAGACATGAGCTATCATGGTGGACTTTTTAAAGATAAATTTTTATCAATAGAATTTTAAATCAGGGAGACCTGATTAAGAAGGAAACAGGTGCTTCCCTCCCATGAGTCACAGCACTGGGGTCTCCTCTTGCAGAACCATGGAGAGGTGTCACAGAGGAAATCTATTTACAAGCTTTCCGCTTAACCAGCTGATTGTTCTGAATGCTCCCATAGTTAGGTATGACAGGAATTTTCCTTCCCATTTTTTTGACGAGAAGACTGAGTTTCCAGGAGGTTGCAGCCGTTTCTCTCGGGCCATATGGCTAATAAGGAGCTTGAGCAGGGATTCAACCTGTTTGCAACCCAAGTTCTTTCCAAGAGGTCTCAGACTACCTCCTCCATCTCCCCCTCTCCCCCACAACACACAAATACAGAGATTGAATTCAGGAGCCAGTTTCTAGGTGGGCTTTGAGCAATCATACACAGTAATCTCTTGGTGCTTTAGTTTTCTCAAATGGGAAATGGAAATGAGAGATGATATAGTCTAGGAATATTTGAATTTACATGAAATCCAAGCTTTTCTTTACTACAGGACGTCTCATAACTTTTATTATAATAACATATATTATGGATCTCTAAGAAGGGGATTTGCTGGGCTCCTAGACATTGATTACCAAGAAATCCTTTTATCAAAAGCATCTCATGGGGCTATTATTTCATAGGATTCATTTAAAGGACACTTCATCTAACCAGCTAGGTTATCTGTACCTACACTTAACTATGGCCAACATTCACTGAACTCAGTGCGTGTCAGGCATCTTGCTGAGCATGTTATAAATGTAGCGTACGGTTTAGTCCTCATGATCGTCTTTGAAAGCGTGAGTGATTGTGTGGTTGAAAAACTGTAAGAGTGAAGGAATGAGGGGTGGGTACCAATCGGGGCCCCAGCAGGGAACAGATGGCATATTCAAAGAGGCTGTGATGATAGAAAAGAACTGAAAATAACCACAGAGGACCACACATCACCCTAGGGCTTCTAGAGTAAGGACCTGTCACCATCCCTAGGCCTGAGGGGGCAAGGCCAGGGGGCTATTTCAGGGGATCAGAGATAGTAGCTATTGAAGAGGGCTGCTTGGCAATGGATGTGACCTCTGGTAGAGGGACCCAGCCAGCCTGCAGTCCAGCAGAGAGGAAGGCAGGGAATCAATACTCTGATCTCTTTTTCCCCTCCTTTCCTCCTCTTGCTTGCACCTCCCATTGGCAGGACCTACCCAGAAGCTGGAGGGCTCCAGATCCCCTTGGTGTAGCTCACCCTTCCCGGGCACAGAGCAGGGAGAAGAGGGATGGAGAGTGAGTGTGGAGGGGTAAATGGGAGACATCTCACGCTAAGGAGTGAGTGAGGGCAAGACTTGAGTGACTGAATGAGAGCATGAGGGAGTAGGGAAGGAAAGCAGCTGTCTCCCCGTGATCTGAGCCCCTCCCCAAAAGCCACCTTCCCCTCCTGCTCCAAACACCACCCAGGACCCAGACTTGGGGTCAAACCCTCCTTCGCTCCCCTCATTATCCCATCAGATTGGGGCTGTCATTAGCCCCCAGCACTGAACAAAGGGCCCTAGCCCAGGCGGCCGTATCCACGGGGCTAATTAATTGGATTAATGGTAGTGCAGCCCACACTGGGTCTGCCTCGGATAATTTCAATGAACGCTGAACACCAATCCCCAAAGTCATTGGAATATGGATGAGGCAAATTGAGTTAAAATTGAGGAGATTGCTGCATTCATTAGCCCGCCCACCCTCTGAAGTCGCTGGTTAATATGCAAACTATTAATATGCAAATCAGTGCAAATGGAAAAAAAAAAAAAGAAGTGTGAGGTTCCCCCCCAGCAACTCCTTGTTTTTTTGGAAACTCGGCTACACTTGGGCAGCTGCTTCCTGTGAAAGGGAGAGGCAAGTTTGTGTGCAGGTCTCTGAGGCAGAAGGGACTGGGAGCTTTCATGTCAGAAATTAATTAAAAGCAGCAGCAGCGACACAGCACACCTTTATCGCCCGCAAACACATGTTAGAGCGAGCAGGGCAAGGTGGGAAAACCGGATTCCAGGAGAGAAAGCTTGCTTGTTCACCTGGGAGCAGGGCCCTGGCAGCCATAGGGAGGTCTGTTTGGGCTTTGAAAAATTTTTATTTGTGTGTTTGTGATATATACACACACGTGTGTGTGTGTGTGTGTGTGTGCGTGTGTATAACTGCAGAAGTAATACATGTTCATTACAGAAAAATTAGCAAATAGGTTGAGTGGAAGCTTAGTTGTCTAGGATTAGAACCAAATCAGAAGGAAAAGTTAAGTCACTTTATCTCATAAGTCACTTTATCTCATAAGTCACTTAAAGCAAGGAATCTTTTTTAAGTGACACATTCATACGTTGAATATTTTATTCATTTAAAATTTGACTCTTTAATCAATCAGTGATACAGTCACATGGTTCAGAATTCTAAAGGGAAAAAAGCAGAAGGAAGGAAGGAAGGAAGGAAAGAAGGAAGGAAGGAAGGGAGGGAGGAAAGGAGGAAGGAAAGAAAGAGAGAAAGAAGGAAGGGAAGGAGGGAAAGTGGGAGAGGACATAGGGTGGGAAGAAGAAAGAAGAGAAGGAAATAAAGAAGGAAAAAAGAGAGAGGAACGGGAGAAGGAAAGAAGGGAGAGGGAAAGAAGGGAAGGTGGGCAGGAGGGAGGGAAACAGAGTCTCCAGTTTGTCTTCACCCCTCCTAGAGGCAACAATGCTACAGGTTTTTAAGAAGTCTTCCTGAAATATACTATGCACATACAAGCGATTTTATTTATGCATTTCTCTCTTTTGCAGAGATTACTGGGCATGCAATCATGCATCTTGCCTCATTTGCTTAACAATCCGTCTCGGGGATTATTTCCAACGTGTCCATGAAGACCGTCCTCATTCTACTTCACGCTCATGTTATGCCACACATAGAGGGGCCATTCTTTCCTTCACCAGCATATGGTTGATGGATATTTAGGTCGCTTCCTATTTATGTGGCCATTTCAGCCAATTCAGCAATAAGAACCCTTGTCCATATGATATTTTTGTTGTGTGGGAGATTGTCTGCAGGATAGATTCCTGGAGGTGGAATTGTGGGTCACATGGTAGACACATGAGAAGTTATGTTTGTTAGCTGTTGCCAATTGCAGGAAATTTTTGCCAAATTGCAGGAAAGTTGCACCAGCTCCTGCTCTCACCAAGTATCTTAAAATAAAAGTTAAAAATAAATAAATGAAATAAAATAAAGGAGAGCCCGCGCACAGCCTCAATAACATAGCCGGTTCTTGAACTTTTGAATTTTCTTGAACTTTTGAGTCTTCTTGAACTTTTGAATCTTTGCCAATCCCATCCGTGAAAAAAAAATGGTGTCTCTAGAAAGGTTTATTTTGCATTTCTTTTCTCAAAAGTGAAGCTGAGCATTTTATTTTCATGTTTCAGAACGATTTGTATTTTCTTTGTGTTAACTATCTATTAGTCCCTTTAACTATCTTTCTATTAACTAAGTTTTTCTTTCTCATTGATTGGTAAATAGAGCTCTTTACAGACTAAGAAATTAGCCTTCAGTCTGTGATGGGAAGTGCTCTTGCTTTTCCCCAGTTTTCAGTTTGTCTTTGAACTTTGGTGATGGGTAAAACAAAGTAATATTCTATTTCTACTTAAAGCATAGAGTGTACATTTATTCACCAAACTTTTGACGTTAGGCAGAGGCTCTATGCTGGAACTTAGCTTCTCTGCCTGGAGGTCTCTTCTAGCTTATCTTCCTTAAGGAAACCCAGAGTCACAATGCCTCACTTCCCATTGTCAATGCCTGGATTTGATTTCTTTTCAATGGAGCAAGAATAGAAAACATTTAAACAGCCACCTGAATGCTGGATTTTTCTCCATCTTTTAGGATCCTCCTCATCTATCTCTCATAGTTTTCTTGCTTTGCTTTTATATACATACAGTTTTTAAAAGCAACTCACCTTTAAAAAAAAACTATAGAACCATACAACTCACATTTAAAAAACTATACAACTCGCCTTTAGAAAAACTATACAACTCACCTTTAAAAAACTTTTCAAGAAGCGAACTTAATTTTCCTGGAAATGACAGCTTTTCCTTGCACACTCATAGTCATTGGTTTCTCTAAGGTTTAACTAAATGATCTTATTATGCTGGCGAGTATAACTGGAATAAGCAGTTTTGGGAACAAACAGAAGTGACGTCTGGTGAGTGGGTACCTGAACTAGCAAAAGGAGATGCGTCCAGGTGAGGTGAAGAGTGGCCACTGGAGGCTGGGCATGGTGGCTTACGCCTGTAATCCCAGCACTTTGGGAGGATGAAGCGGGTGGATCACTTGAGGTCAGGAGTTCAAGACCAGCCTGGCTAAGATGGTGAAACCCCATCTCTACTAAAAATACAAAAAAAATTCAGCTGGGCATGGTGGTGCATGCCTGTAATCCCAGCTACTCAGGAGGCTGAGGCACGAGAATCACTTGAACCTGGAGGGCAGAGGTTGCAGTGAGCTGAGACTGTGCCACTACACTCCAGCCTGGGCAACAGAGTGAGACTCTTCTCGGAATGGCCACTGGCCAAGAGTGCTTTTGGAGCCATGGGCAATTGCACCATGATGGAAGGAATGAGGAACATTGGTTCATCCAGCCAGCTTGGTAAGTGGATCGGTTCCAAGAATCCTTAGATCAATGGCAACAAATGCTAATCAATTGGAGGGAGAGCAGGAGGTCATTGGCTGAAAGTCTCAAAGTAGCAACTCTTTGGGGCAGCTTACTTATTAAGCACTTATTATCTGCCAAGCACCACGTTAAGCATATCACAAGCTTTCTCTTATTTCTTTATTCCCATTTAATAGACAAGGAAACTGAAGTCCAGAGAGGCGAGGTGATTTGCCCTAGGTCATGTTAAAATGAATACTGTTATTTCACTTGTTTAAACTGATGAAAGAAAAATAGAATCACACTGGATTCCTGTTTTGAAACTGGTTTTTTTTCCTTCTCAAATAAGATCTTGCAATCAGTTTTCTTTGAAGAAATAAAATTAAATATTGGGTGGAAATACTTGAATACTTATTGTGTGGGTAGGGTGTAAAAATAGCAATTAGTGAATCCCTTTTATTCAAAACCCAGTTTAAGCAAAAGACCAGAAAGGTGGGTGGCTTTTCACACCATCATGTGCCCTCCTGGGCATCATTCCCTCCTTCTCTACCACAGAGTAACCACCATCCTGAATTCAGTATTTATCAGCTGTTGCTGTTCTTTGTAATTTTATTTATATGTTTGTAAACCTCAACAACATATTGTTTACTTTTGTCTATTTTTTTAATATTTTAATTTTCTTTTTCTATTGAGACATAATAGGTGTACATATTTCCATGGTACTTGTGATAATTTAACATATTCATATAATTTGTAAAGATCAAATCAATGTAATATGGATATCCATCACCTTAAATATTTGTCTTTTCTTTATATTAGAAACATTTGAATTACTCCTTTTTAGCTACTTTGAAATATACGATAGATTGTTGTAAACTCTAGTCACCCTACCGATCTATCAAACACTAGGTCTTATTTCTTCTATCAAATTGTATATTTGTACCCATTAATCAACCTCTCTTCCTGGTACTTTTGTCTATTTTTGAGCTATCAGTAAACAGAATTGGCCTGGCATACTTCAGGAAGACTCGCCTTTTCCTCTTAATAGGATGCCATGGGCATGCTTCCATGTCAACAGCTGTGCTTCTCATTCTTGGTGTTAATGACGGTGCCCTATGCATTATGTGGGTGAACTCACACTTACTCAGCCAAGGACAATGGTCTGAATGGTCATGCTTCCATCACACCTTGCTTTGCAATGGAGTTTGTTAGGGCCATCCTTCCTGTGCAGGCCCAGAGTGGGGATATAAGCATGGCTGCTTTGCTAACAAGTGAAGGATTCTTGGACTCTGTTCACCATGATAACCTGCGGTTGAGAGACCCCCCAAGAAAGAAGGACCTCCAAGCAGGGTTTCAAAAATGACAGATACCAAATCTCAACTCAATCCTCTCTGCTCTAAGGCCTTCTGGGGTTCCTCTTTGCCTCCACTGGACATCCAAAGTCCAGGAAGTACAGGATATATGTTTTGTCCCCTGCTGGAGTCTAGCTCCAGGCTGGGAATAGAGCAATGCTTAATAATATTGGCTGAAGGAAGGAAGGAAGGTAAGAAGGAAGTCAGTCTTCCCTGGTTCTGTTCTGAAGTCACAAGTCAGCCCTCTTTCCCTCTCATTCCCCATACATACATTTTCCATCCTTCTCTTATACTAAATTGTGTCCATCTTGCAACATTTAGAATTAGCCTCTGCCTATCGGTTCTTTGCACTCAGTGTTGACATGACTTAATCTCCGATTAAGCTGCTGAGTCTCTAAACGTTAAAGACAAGGCAGCACCAATGACCGGCCCCAGCAGAAGTGCACACCTGCAGAAAGGCTTTGCTGGTGAGGATTTCAAGAGTTTCCCATAGAGTCAGCCCACAAATATTGATCAAGCATCTGCCAGACAATAGGCCTAGCTCTAACTCAGTCCACAAACAGCCACAGAGGAGCAGAAAAGAAAGAATTATCTCACTATTATCACTACAAATAACATGTAGGAATCACTCACTGTATACTGTTCCTGCTTCCAAGTGCTGTACATGTTTTAACTCATTGAATCCCCAAAGCACAGGATGATGTAGGTACTGCTGTTATCTGCATTTTGCAGAGAGTAAACTACCTTTTGCAGAGAGGCACAGAGAGCTTAAAGAACTTGCTCAAAAAGTCACACAGGTTATAGGAGAAAGATGAGCTAGTATTTATTAAGGTCCTATTATGGGCTAAGCAATTTAACTCCATCTCTGTATTAAGCCCTCCTGTGAGCCTGTGAGCTTGCTAATGTTGTTTCCCTATTGTAGGCAAGAAGCTGAGAATCAGAGCGATACAGTGACACTCCAGAATCACACAGCCAGTTAGTCGCAGAGTGGGGTCTGTCACTTACGAAGACAACAGCTATTTCCCAGATGGCAAGGTGATGGAACGTGACTAGGACAAAGATGCTGTTCTTGAAGAAGACACAGTCTAAAGGCCGGGGTGGGTAAAGCAGCACAATGAATGGGTGGGACACTGGAGATTCAGTGTGATAATGATGGGTGCAGAAGCAGCTGTAGGGAGCTTCAGAGGGAGATGAGCAAAAAAACATGGGGCAAGTCAGAGCCTAACCCCAGGGGAAAATGGACAACCTCATGGGGTGAGAGTTTAGGGAGGCACAAAGGATGCGATGCTCATAAGAGCCGCATTTCTTGAGCACCTACTATGGGATGGGCCCTGTGCTAGACCTTATGAGTGTTCGCGCCTAATCTTCATATGACCCTCCAAGGTAGGAGCTATTTTTGTGCCCACAATAATAAGGTAGCAGTTTATTAACCCATGCACTCATTCCATGAGGTAGGTACTGTTATTGTTCCCATTTCACAGATGAGGAAATGGAGGCCCCTGGGAGGCTGGCGAATACTCAGGTCACCTAGGTAGTAAGTGGTAAAGCTGGTCTGTCAACTCAGATGGGCTGATTCTGGAGTCCCCCCACTTACCCACCTGGCTGCAGCTCAGATGGGCCCAGCCAAGTCTCCCCAAGACAGCAAGCAGCCCCTGAGACGCACTGAGCACGCCCCTGTCCTCAGTACGGCTCCAAGCTCCACAGCAGACGAGTTTGCCCAGGCAGGTTCTCAGACTCCCCCCAGGCCTGGGGATAGGGACCTGAGCTGGGTCAACTGAAGCCGTGGGTGGCCTGGACCTGCTCTTAAATGGAGAACCCCATGGGGTTGTTTGTGCTGGGTGAAATCACGGCTCCAGTTTGGTCTCGACCTCTCCAAATTAAAGAGAAGTTAATTGACTTTGCGTTAGGAGGGGCCTCTTTTTAATTTCCATCTGTTCTGGATTGATGTGGCCACTGTTGAGTTAGCTCATTCTGGGAAGTTCCTCCAAAGAGGCCTTTCCATCCTCTTTCCATCCAAAGAGGCCTTGTCGTCGTCAGGCTGATGGGGCTGATTCATGGGCAGCTGCTTCCGGAGCTCAGAATGGGCTCCAAGGCCCCACAGCAGATAGAAAGGACCCCATTGAGCAGCCTTGGCAGCTGCCAAGGAGAACTCAGGCCCGTGTCACTCCCAGGCTGGGTGTCAGTGCAGGGTCAGGCAGGAAGATGCAGACTCACATACCTAGAGCACCTACTGCATGCCAGGCTATGCATTGTAAGTCCCCTTGCCTCTGCATCTTCTCAAAAGCCCACAAGGGAGACCTTTATTCCTTCTTCCATTTGGCGGGCCTTTTATCAGACATTTAGCAAATGCTTAAGCCATGTCCTGCTCCATGCTAAGCCTGAAAGGGTGCTTTGAGGAGCAAAAACACTCAAGTTCCTGCCCTAAAGCGGCCCACAGTCCAGTGTGGAGACGCTGATTGTCAAGTGCAACACATGCAAATCACAAGCAAACACATGCAAAATAGCGACTATAAAAAGTGGGTGGATGAGGGCTGCTTCTTCTCCCTAGGTCTATAATTATGGTTAAGAACCCCCTTTTACTAAAGACATTGAGGTTCCTAAACATAAGCAACAAGCCTGAAGGATAATGTCCACACTCCCTGGGGCAGGTTACAGGACCTCTACTTGGGGCCTTCCAGCCTCAACCCTAACACTCTACACCTTCACTACAGGGACCTACAGGCAGATATATTTGTAGCATATTTGCCTTTCTCCTCTCCTTCACCAAATTGCAAGTACCTTCTTAAATAAGGAGTGTTTTTTTACACCCATTGTCCCCTTCTCATGGCAGACTGCTAGTCCTAGTACAGTACTTGACATTTAATAGGTAGTCAGTCAATCTTTGGAGGATGGATGGATGAAAAGTTAGGTGGATAGGTAGGTAGGTGGATGCATGGGATTTGGAATGGGCAGATGGAGGCATAGATGCATAGAGCAATGGTTGGACAGGCAAATGGTTAGATGGTTGGATGAACAGATGGATGAATGAGTGGTTGGCTTGATTAATTCATGGATGATTAGATTGATGGATGGATAGGTGGTTAGTTGGATAGACGGATTGATGGATGAATGAATGGACATTAAGTCTTTACATATTTATTTTTATTCTTTGCTATTCTAGCATTACAAATCAATGCATTTTTCTTTAATAGTTCTAAGAAAGACAATAATGAGGTGAAACTAATATTTTTGGCCTCCTTTCACCCATATGTCCTCCTCCCCACTCATTTCTTGGGAATGCACAATATCCTTTTAAATGCTCTGATAAGCCCTGCGATAAATAAAAATTTAACTTTATGTAACTGAGAGTTTACCAATTTAGTCAATGACAGCTTTTATTTTCCCTAAGACCATTTGACACACCTGGATCTACTCTTCTATGTACAACCTTGTAAATGTAAGTATAAAACATCTTCAGAATTTTTTTTAACTTGGCAATCCCTTACTTCAAGTGTTTCTATGATAGGAAAGCTACTTCGTGTACGTGTGTCTCTGTGTGTGTGTTTGTGTCTATGTATGCCTGTGTATGTGTGTATCTGTGCATGTGTATGCCTATATGTGACTCTGTGTGTGTGTGTGTGTGTATTCTGATGGCATGGTTTTATAAACACTATACCAGGAGAAAGGAGGTGTTTCATGCCCACTTTGCTGGTGATGAAACTTGCTGTGTGACCTTGGTGGTTCAATCCTCTCTGGTCTCCATATGTCATCCATAAAAGTAGGAACATGATGGGCGTGGTCTCTAAATTCTCTTCCAGTTCCAGCCTGGCTCTGCTGCATGATACTGCCTGCCTCCCAAGGGATGCGTCCATATATGGAGGACCTGCCACATCCCTTCCTGGGCTGCCCTCTTTCCAAAGATGCCTGCGCTTCTCCTCTGTCTAAGGAACAGACTTGTCACAAAGGGGTAAATTACCCATACCTGCTCCAAATGTCTAGACACCTTGATGCTATGACTCAATTTTCTTTGCCAGCCCTGCAGGCCTTCGCAGAGCAGGCACGTTCATCTTCCTAGCATGGCCCAGCCCTGCCAGGCATTCAGCTCCCAGCACCGGCTGCTCTGTCCCAGCTGCATGCCCCCACCTGCCCCTCCACGGAGCAAACTAACCCATCACTGTGTTTTGACTGCAGCCACTTGCACCCGCTGCTCTGGTTCCTCCTGTCTCTTGGGAATCAGCAGTGACTGAGCTGACAAACTCATTCTACCCCAAGTGTTCCCATAAGCTCAGAGCAACAGCACTAGGATCATCATCACTACAGTCCCAGTGAGGACTGCCGGGGACCCAGCCCAGTCTCCCTGGGCCCAGGGGACTTGGGGAAGGTGTCTGTCTGACTGGAGATGGACAGCAGGGCACCTGGACAGACTGAACAGAGGCTCAGCTCTCAGGCTCCTGAATGAGAGCTCCTGAGAGGCTGGTGATGGTCACTACCAACCCCAATCTCCACCATCAAGGTGGAATCTGTCTGCACCTCCCGTTCCTTGAACAGAGCTGGCCAATGAACATGGTAAAGGGAACCAAAAGACACCTAAAATCCATCTTCCTAGGACTTCCCAAGAATCCCAGCTTGCCAGGAACCTGCTCCATGGATGAGGAGAGCAGCAGGAACCATGTCCAACACTGGCATATAATAGGTGCTCAGTAAATACCATCCAATAGGCCTTTGCTTGCCACCGCACCATTATTTTATGTTTCACTAAGAAAAAAAATCTACCAATTAAAACATGGCATGTCATGCATTGTATGATGAAACTTGTTTCAGAGATACTAAAAGCTAAACAAGCACACTTGAATCAACTACATAGGGTATCTGTTAAGTGAGAGGATGAATAACAAACGGTGGGAGGTTTAGGTTTACAGTTTTGTATTTACAGATCGTGCTGCTGCTGACTTGCTTTGTAACCTTGAGGAAATCACTTTCCATCCCTAGACCTCAGCTTTCTCACTAGTCACGTGGGATTCACCGTCCTCTCCAGCAACCCCAGAAAGCTACTGTAGAAATCAGATAGGATCCGGGCAGCAGCAAATCTTCAAAAGCTGCAAAGCCATTGAAATAGGAACCCAAAATGGTCAGTCAACCAGTGAAATCCTCATCCAGGGCATTTCCTGTCAGTGTATTTGCTGTGTGACTTCGGATAAGTTGCTTTGCCTCTCTGGGCTTCCATTTTCCCCAGTATCACCTATAGAGACAAAGGAATATCTATATACACACTATATAGGTGTATATATATGATATATATGATATATGTATATATATGACATATATATGATATAGGTGTATATATATGATATATATGATATAGGTGTATATATATGTATATATATGATATAGGTATATATATGATATATATGGTGATATATAGGTATTGATATCTATATATACACCATATATATGATGTATATATAGATCTATATATACATCATATATATACATACACACCATATATATACATATATATACACACCATATATATATACACACACACACCGTATATATACATACATACATACATATATATATATATATATATCTTGCAGGGCTGTTGGGAATATTAGAGGAGGTGATGTTTGTAAGGTGCTTAACACCATGCCTGACACATGGTAAACCAGGCCTATGGCCACCAGCTGCCGTTGGTGTTGGTACACATATTCACATTATCTGAGTGGTGGGAAACATGCTTCCAGCGGCCTCACTCCCCATTTTCTTTAAATCACCATTTGCATCCCCAGTGTCTTGTAGACAGTAATTTGCTCATTGAACAATCTGATGAATGAAAGGATGAATGAATGAATGAATGAATGAATGAATGAATGCATAATCTTGGATGTGCAGGTAAGGCTGAATTCTACAGGCATAAGCTTTTTAAATCACTCACAGGCAAAACAAGAAACAAATCACCTTGGAGATCATGCAGCCTCACCCCCATTTCATTAGAGAAGGAAACTGAGGCTCCAAGAGGTTCAGGAAGTTGTCCAAAGCCACACAGCCCACAAGTAGACTCCAGAACAAGCCCCCAACCACCACCCCCAGTATTTCTCCTTCAGCCTCAGACCCTGGGCCAATGTCCAGTCTCTCTCCGACTCCAGTGACCAAGGACACAGTCTTCCCAGGTTAAGCATTGTTCCATTCTCCCTGACACAAATGCTTCCCAAGGAAGCCCTGGGTGGAGAAACAGCCACTGCCTCCGGGGCCTCAGACCTGGCCCCATTATTATTCCTCTCAGTGTAATAAATACATTTTAAGAGAAACAGATGCTGGAACAGTTGGACAGGAAGGGTCCAGGCCTGTGAAGAGGAATCTGGTTTGTGAAAATCTGTCTATTTGCCAGACGGTGAGCAATATGCTGCTGCCAGCCAGGTCTGGGTCCGGCTGCCAGGTAGGCTAATCGAGCCTTCCCGCCGTGCCTGTGGGTCCTTCCAGACCACCATCCTCAGGCGCTCAAATGGGCATCCAGCTGTCGTGCCTGCTGCCAAGGACCCCAGGATGCCGATCATGTCCCCTTAATCACTTCGGCCACTTTTGTGGGAGGGGCACCTCCAACTCAAAACCCAAAGCAACTTACGCAAAGTGTGGCAGGGATAGGGAGGCATCTTCCGATTCAGACACACCACCATCCATGAGTGGCTTTTATCTTCCATCAATGTCTGAGGATGCTTGTTACCTGCAAATAGCTGCCTCGATACCTGACCCTTTGAAAGCGTGATAGGAAAGGGTCCCCTTACCGCCTTTTCTGTCTAGCAAGTCTCTTCACTCTCCCTGCATCGCTGCCCTGTTGGAAAAAAAGAAATGTGGGCTAATTTACAAAAGGCATCTTGGCTGCTATAGGTGCAGGCTCCAGCTTCCACGAGGTACAGATACCCAGATCAGACTTTTGTCCTGGAATCGACACCCCATCACACACATTCTCCGTTGGCTTGAGCTCATAAATCCCAGTGATTTTTGGCAGGCCCGTGGGCAGGGGCAGGAAAACAGAACACTCAGTGTATGGCCTGACTTCGTGTCCTCATAGCCGTCCAGCAAAGAGAAGAGATTACCTCCACTTTGCAGATGAGAAAGAAGAGGTTCTAGGAAGAACGCAACCTGCCCAAGGTCATGCATCCCAGAAGGGAGTATTGGGGTGGGGACGGGGACACACAGGGCTGTCTGATTGTGATTTCTCGCCTCTTTTTGCTGACTCAGTTGCCTTTCTAGGAACAGACTAATAACTCTCCTCCACCCTCCCAAAACACCGGATGGAGATGAAGATATTCCACTATTTTCTTCACATGCTCTGTAGTCCTAAGCAAAGTGAGGCATTCGTTTGCTTCTGGGAGAACTAATACCAAGAACCTCTTTTTCTTTCTCCTCCCTTCTTGGAGCTGCCCCACAGAGGGGCATTAAATGTATACTAAGCTTTCCCCTCAATACATTTGGTTTTCAGTATTCTTTCCCATTGTCTCCCAAAAGCTAAAGAAAAGCCCTGGTAATTCACGAATTCTGCATCTGAATTATATTTCTCCAAGGAGTCCTTGTTCTTAGAAGTGGTAGGAAAATACTTCGTGTGATTGTGTAACCTGATTTTTTTTTTTTTTTTTTTTTTTTTGGTGGTGGTGGTGTCGGTAGGGAGATGAGAGGAGCTAGTCTTTTCTAAAACTGTGATAATAATAATGGTCTCACTGCCTACCATGTGTTGAGGGCTTAATGGTATTCCAGGCTCTGCACTGAGCATTGTGCAAGCATCATCTTATTTAACCCTTTCAGCCCTGCTAGGAGATGGCTGCTGGCATTGTCATGTCATAGTGACAAGAAAGCAAATCATATTTTTGTCACTTGCCAAAAACCACACAATTAGAGAGTGGCAGAGCTGGAATTCAGTTTCTTAAGTGCTGGGTCATCTGTGCAGCTTCACTGAACTTCCATCCCACCTTCTTTGGCCTGGAGAGGAAGCAAAGTTAAGCAGGATATCTCTTTCTTTCCTTCTTTCCTTCCTTCCTTTCTTTCTTTCCTTTCTTTTTTTCTTTTCTTTTTTCTTTTTTTTTTATGACGTCTCTCTCTGTCGCCCAAGCTAGAGTGCAGTGGCACAATCTCGGCTCACTGCAACCTCCGCCTCCCAGGTTCAAGCAATTCTCCAGCCTCAGCCTCCCTAGTAGCTGGGATTACAGGTGCTCACCACGATGCCTGGCTAATTTCTGTATTTTTTTTTTTAGTAGAAACGGGGTTTCGCCATGTTGGTCAGGCTGATCACGAACTCCTGGCCTCAGGTGATCCACTCACGTCAGCCTCCCAAAATGCTGGGATTACAGGCGTGAGCCACCGCACCTGGCCTAAGCAGGATATTTCTAGACTCTCTTGAAGCTAGGCTTCTGGATGCAGATTTGTTCCTGCCAATGAGAGGTATTGATGTGAGATTTAGGAAGCTAATGTGAGTCCATCCTCTAGCAGTTTGTGGCTATTGCTATCGGCAAATAGTGTGGTGGTAGTAACTGGAGGTTTTCCTGCAACGGGGACCTCACTTCATTCTCCCACATCCTAGACATCAAGAGGCAGTGGTGTTAGAAATACAACAGCGCCTTGCATCTGGCATAAGTCTGGCAGTAACTGTCCAAGTGCCTCTGCTCTGTGTATTCTGGGAGTTATTCTAGGAGACTTAACCTAGAACTTGCTCCTTCTCTGCTTCCAGTGGTCTTACATGCCCTGGATTCCCTGTGTTAAATCCCTTCCTGCTCAAGATACCTAGGCTGGATTCTGTTTCCTGCATGGAGCCTGGACTGATACATTGGGTGGCATCAGGGAAACCCATTCTAGTTTCTGAGCCTTACTTTCTGTACCACTTGCAGAATCATAGAAAGGCTGTAATGAGGGAGTGGAAGCAAAAGAGCTTTCCAAAGGTAAGTCTTTCTGCAGATATCGTGGCCCGATCAGAAGGTACTCTTCCAAATAGAAGACATGGGATGTAGTTTCCCCAGTAAATGGCCCATACTCACCCGTTACTTTGAAAGCCATTATAGAGCCTGCTACCTAAACAGCTCGCCAAGGACTTGGAGAGCACCTGGAATATGGAACAAGGGGCAGGACAGGCTTTTAGCTCATGTCTGTTTCTGCTCCTCTTCACTCTTGATTCTACCACCTGTGCCAGCTCACCTGGGGGCCTTGCTATGATAGCACAGTGAGGAGCTCCTGACATGAGCTACATAACCCTTGCCCTTCTATCTTACAGGAGACATGGCAGAATGCCCCCAGGAACAGACTCCACCTCACCACTCTTGAGATGTTGCAGCTTCAGGAAGTCTGCAGTGCTGATCAGGGACCTGCAGGATCTTGTTCACCTAACAGAGAAATAGGTCTGAAGCAGACTACTATGAGAATGAAGTCAGCTATCTGCCAGGATGCCTCAGCCACCATCAAGACTTTTGTGTGCAGAGAAACAGGATTTAAGAGGGGAGGGACTGAAAGGCTGTGGAAGCCACTGGGTTCAGTCATCCATTCAATCCACATTTTTTGACCACTCCTTATGTGCTAGGCCCTGTGCTTACACTCAGGATTTAATAGTAAAGAAATTATTGGACCCCATTGGGCTGATAGTATTTCAGGGGAGAGAGACGTGAACATGGTTATACATGAGGGTGATTAGTGTCAAATTGTGGGAAGCAAAGTGGGTGGGGTGTGTGTGCTGTGGAAGCCCAGGGAAACCACCTGATTCAGTCAGGGGCAATCAGGGAAGGATACCTGGAAGAGGTGACACCTAAGCCAAGACTTGATGAGCATATACGAATATTTTTGGCAAACAGTGATGGTGAAGTGAGGGGAAAAATGCTTCTAGAGAGAACAGCCTGAGTGAAGACTCTGGAATGAGAATGAATTTATCCCAGGACTCAGAGATGTTCAGAAGTGCTGAGTAAGGGGTGATGGGGAGAAGAGCAGAGCCAGACCTCACAGGGCCCTGGAGACCAGGCTAAGGAGCATGGCTTTGTTGTGAGGACACTGAGAAACCATGGAACGGTTTTGGGCAGGGAAAGGTGTTACAGTTATTGATGGTTGCATAAATCCATAGAGCTTCTATTTCTCTAATAGACTATTTTTTAGAACAGTTTCAAATTCACAGCAACATTGTGAAGAAAGTACAGTGAGTTCCCACCTATCCCTCACCCACCAACATAGCCTCCCGCACCATCAACATCCTTACAATAGATGAACTAACACTGACATATCATTATCAACCAAAGTTCATAGTTTACATTCGGGTTCGCTCTTGGTACTGTACAGTCCATGGTTTTTGACAAATTTATAATGACACGTATCCAGCATTATAATAATGTACAGAATAATTTCGCTACCCTAAAAGCCCTCCAGCTCCCATGGAACTTTTTTAAAGGAAGGATTTGTGGGTTTCTCTCTCACATCTATAGAACTAGAATGCTTACAGGTAAGTCCCAGGAATTTGCATATTAATGTTTCCCCCACTTATTTCCATATAGAGGGTGAAATTTAGACAGCTAATCCAAGCCATGATCTGTCTACAGAAACTTCTGGATGATACAATAGCTAAGGCCTCTTCTCTGCCTTGGCCTGGAAATCCACTTCCAGTTGACTTTAGAAATAACCAAGCAGTTCTCATGGGACCCCGGTGGCCTTCCCTGAATGATTGGTGTTGAGAAAAGATCCTTCCCCCTGCAAAGCTTTTTCTTCCCACCAGGGCTGTTGGACTTCTAGCCTTCCTCTAGGGACACTCAGCAGAACTCTTTCAGGGGAATATGTGGTGCATGATGACCAAAGTTTAGAAACAAAATGAAGGGAAAGAGCAAAAATACATATATCTTCTGGAGTTAGCTCCCCCCATCTTTGCTATAGTAGTCAAGATTCTCGCCTGTAATCCCAGCACTTTGGGAGGCTGAGGCGGGTGGATCATGTAAAGTCAGGAGTTCAAGACCAGCCTGGCCAACATGGGGAAACCCCATCTTCACTAAAAATACAAAAATTAGCCAGGTGTGGTGGTGCACACCTATAATCCCAGCTACTCAGGAGGCTGAGACAGGAGAATAGCTTGAACTCAGGGACGGAGGTTGCAGTGAGCCGAGACCATGCCACTGCACTCCAGCCTGGGTGACAGAGCAAGTCTCCATTAAAAAAAAAATTCTCAAAGTGCTGTAGCAGCTTCCTGTACACTAATGAAAGCACACTTTATGCATTAATGCATGTGGCTCTTGCCATGTCTAAAGTGGAAAAAAATATGACTTGGATCAAGGATGGAAGATTCTCATTCAGTAGAGTGAGTTCTTTGTAAACTAGGAGGTTTTATTATTTCTTTCTGTATCTGTAGTGCTAAAAGGTTACTGGGCCAGGGGGAAGCTTAGTGAGTGTCTGTTGAATGAATGAATGAATGACTTAAATAGTGAAGAGGAGACAGTTTGCTTCAATGCTTGGCACATATAGGTGCTCAATTTAATGACACATTCTTATTGTGAGTCCTAGGTCAGCTGTCAGAAGCCTGGGTTATTAATCTGGCATTACCTTTAAGACACTATAAAATGGTGGGTCAGTCTCTTTTCCTCTCCAGACCTCAGTTTCCTCATCTAAAAGATAAAGGTCCTTCCAGTTCAGGCATTTTATGAAGTGGAAGAGAATTTGGCACTGACTTTTTTAAAGAGGTCTATACACACAGTGAGACTACTACATACCCACAAGAATGAATAACATGAAAAATACTGACAACATCGAATGTTGACAAGGATGTGGAGTAACTGGAACTCTCATACATTGTTGGCAGGAATGTAAAATGGTACCAGAATTTTGGAGAAACATCTTATGTGGTTTCTTACAGCACTCAACATAGTCCTACCTTCTGACCCAGCAATTCAATGCTTAAGTATTTACCAAGAGACATAAAAATAAATGTTCACAAAAAGATTTGTATCACAATGTTCTTGAAGCTTTATTTATAGTGGCCTCAAACTGGAGATAACCCAATGACCATAAACAAGAGAATAAATAAGTCAATTGTGGTATATTCATACATTGGAATCCTACACAACAGTAAAAAGGACAAAGTACTGCTACATGCAACAACAAAAACCAGTCTCCAAAACCTTATGTTGAATGAAAGAAGCCAGACACAAAAGAGTACAAATTGTATGATTCTACTTACACGAAGTTCCCTCTATACTTTACTCATATACTTGCCACCACAGCCCTGTGATGGGTATTGTCCATCATACCCATTTGACAGATGACAAAACTGAGGTTTGGAGAGGGAAGTGAGTCATCTAGGAGGTAGCAGAGTCAGGATTTGAACTTATGACTCTTGAACCTTTTGAGATGCAGCTCTACCTGTAGTGTAGATCAAGGACTGAATGGTGGCTAAAGCCCATTGGATCCATAAGTATGAAATTAATTCTGATATTGACACTAAAATCCAAGGTTTTTTTTTTAAGGTATATTCTGTGCTGCTTTCAGGAAAAAAAAAAAAAAAGAGAGAGAGAGAGGGAGAGAAGAAGTGATTAAGTCTGCCTTCCTCCTGCCCACCCTTCCCCTAACACTTACCCTTTCAAAGGTCCATCGCTGGTCCCATAGGCATGGGTGTGGGGTTTATTGGCATCTACAGCAGCTGAGATGAAGCCATTGCAGGCCACATAGTGCTAAAAATATTTCAAAGTTCACAGGGGAAAGAAAGGGAGAGGAGGGAGCGGTGAGAAGCAACTTTTGCCAACTCTGAAAACAGTTCCGCCCACTAAGTCTTCACCGTGCAGAAGGGGCCAGATCAGATTAGGGCCACCAGTTGCCACATTATCCTGTCTTGAGTCCACTAACTCTCACTAAGCTCCGAAAATCCCATTTACGGTGTTTAGGACACCTCTGGAGGAGTTTGCTGTGTAAATATTATTCCACCATTAAATCCTACAACCAGGCCACCGTCAACAAGTGGATTCGCAATGGTTACGCCAAGGGGGGCTGCGCTGGGGACCTGTGAAGTGCGGCCAAGGGGCTCGGCCCAGAAGCCAGCATGAGTGGTAAAGCGCCTCATTCTCCGACTAAAGCCTCCTGCCACTTGGGCCTGCTTAATAAAACAGGGCCGCTGGGGCACTCGATTTGGGCTGGGAACCAAATACACCTCAGGAGCCACTTAGAGCTAGGGCCTGCCTTAGACAGCTGGCGTTCCTTCTTACCAACCTTAATCTCATGCAGGGCCCTTGTGGGCTGCAGCCCTCTTGGCTGAGACTGGGACTTACCTCCAGTATCTCCCACTTCGGCAGCAGAGCTGACGTGGGCATCGTTCTGGGGAGGTGACTTTTTCCCAGCCGGAGGCAATTTTGCTTTGGGTGCCCTTTCTGTTGTCTGCAAGCCCAGACCCTTTCTTTATTAATTTGTGTATTTGGAGGAGGGAAATGGCTGGATGACGAGCCATCGATTATTGTGGATGGATAACCGATCTGACTCAGCAGATGCTGCTGTTGCTGCTGCTGCGATGGCTGTCACTGTTTTTTGCTTTTTTCTTTCTTTTTTTTAAAATTAATTAATTTCCTTTTAAGCTGATTTGCAGATTGCACTTCTGGGATGTGGTGAGCAAGGATGAAGGACTTAAATTTGAAAAGTGCCTAGCTCAGGTATGGTAGGAATTCATCATTCCAGAATTGTTCTTTGCACTCAACAACGGGCAAGACAAGCCTGGTGCTCTCACAGTGAGAAATCCAATGTTCTGAACCTAAAGGGGTATGACCCAGGTAGGTCCTGACACACAGCGGTGTCCAATAAATGGGGACTGAGGCATATGAAGCCCCAAGCACCACTGTGTCTGGCACATAGCAATTGCTCAATTAACATTCTTCTTTCGGGAGTTTGAGCCCCAGCTCAGTCATGTTTGCAGCTGCGTGATGTTGAGAAAATCCCTTTCCTTTTCTGAGCCTCCGTTTCCACATCTGTAAAATGGAGCTTATATCTGCAACGTGGAGCTGCTTAAAAGGTTCATTCATCCACACACGGGCTTGTTTAATATGTAGTTGTCGACTACCTACTATGTGTTGGTGCTGAGGGTTTTGTGATGAATAAAACCCAGTGTTTCCCTCAAGGAGCTGGTGGTCCACAGAGGAGTTAACAGGTAATTAGGATGTTCTGTTGTCAGTGCTGTGATGTGGAAACCCTGATGAAAGGCCCTTAATGTAGCCTGCCCACAGGACAGGGGGTGACCAGCAATTACCTCCCAGAGCAAGGTTTAGCAAACTACTGCCCCCAGGCTAAATCTGGCCCACTGCCTCTTTCATACAGCTCACAAGCTAAGAATGGTTTTTACACTTTTAAATGGTTTTACACAATCAAAATCATGTTTCATGCCACTTGAAAAGTATACGATATTCAAATTTCAGTGTCCATAAATCACACTTCATTGAAACATAGCCATGCTCATTCATTGGTGTATTGTTTGTGCCTCTTTGCACTTTGACAACAGAGTTGAGTCGTGGCAACAGAGACCAGGTGCCCCCACGAAGTCTAAAATATTTACTGTCTGGCTCTGTACAGAATAAGTTTGCTGACCACTGTCCTAGAGGAAGTGATATGTGAGCCAAGCCAAAGGACAGGGAGAAATTGGTCAGACGGAGATGGATGAAAGGTGTGAGAAGAGAACCTGCTTTGCAGGTTGCAGAAAATTCGTGGCATCTTCAAAGATGATGCAATTCCTGTGCAACAAACTGCAAAGTACCATACCAACTTGAGTGAGTATTCAGAACAGTGGAGGACAGGCTCATCACCAATCTCCTTAGAGAAAGTACCAGGGGAAAAATCATGACACAACATCTCATTTATTCAGCACCTATTTGGTCCACTGTAGTTTTCCTAACACTCTCATATTCAGTCCTCCAAATGGACCTGAGAAATGGGATCATTAACCCACTTCACAGATGAAGAATTGGGAGCTCAGAGAAGTAAAGACACCCAGCCAAGGTCACACAGCAAAACAGAGAACAGAATACCCAGGCTGTCCCCTTTGCAAATTCATGTTCCAAACCCACACTCATAAACCAGTCATTTGTCAGCCCTTATCCTGTAACGTTAAAAAACTACATGTTGGTAAGAAACAAGGAAAATAAATGAAAAATGAAAGAACTAGAATCCAAAGTAGATTTTTTTTTTTGAGACAGGGTCTCATTCTGTTGCCCATGCTGGAGTACAGAGGCGTGATCACAGCTCACCGCAGCCTCGACCTTCTGGGCTCAAGCCATCCCCCCACCTCAGCCTCCCAAGTAGCAGGGACCATAGGCATATGCCACCATCCTCTGCTGATTTTCTTTTTATTTTTTGTAGAGATGAAGTCTCACTGTGTTGCTCAGACTGGTCTCGAACTCCTGGGCTCAAGCGATCCTCCCACCTCAGCCTCCCAAAGTGTTGGGATTAGAGGCATGAGCCACGGCGTTTTGCCCAAAGTAGAAATTTTGCAGCTACTCTCCAGCCTCCAACATCTTGGATGCTGTATCCTCTTCCCTCCCCTCAACTCTTGCAAGTCCTTCTGAAATCCAGCTACACCGCTGGGAAGGAGAAAGAGAAAAATAAAAATAAGCCAGGCTTCCCAGAAAGAGCCAGCAGGAGAGAGCTCTCTGAGATGGGTGGAGAGACGCATCCCTGAACGCAGCAGAGTTGGCAGGCCCAGCTCCCGGCAGCTGTTGGCTGCGCACAGAATAAACACAAGCGGATGGATGGGTTCGGGCAGGGAAGCCACCTCGCCTGGCGGGCTCCAGGCAAAGCCGCGAGGCGCGGGGTGGCAGGCCTGCCAGCTGACGGGAAGTGACTCGGGCGCGGGGTTTGTGCTTTTGGCTGCTTGGCGCAGGTCTGCGCAGCATCGGGGCATTGGTGAGAGACATAGGAAGCTATGGAAGTGGGAGGTCCTGGCAGCTCCTGTCTGTGTGTCCTGGGGTGAGACTGTTTACCCATCTGAACCTCAGTGACCTCATCCATATGTGGAGGTAGCAGTACCCTCCTTTGGGGACAGTTGTGCAGTGGACATTAAGAGGTGCTGCTCGGATCCCTCTTCGAGGAAAGTCTCATCGTCCCAGCATCTGGGAGTGCTCGCCTTAGCCACTGGCCCCTTAAGGGATGGCCCCAGCTCCAGAACTTCATCTGAGGTCATATCCTTGTGGGGATAGGAGGCCTTCATCCAATGACTGATCCATGTAAGTTATAAAGGCCTGGATGGCACTGAAGGGCTATTCTAGCTTCAGGGCTGCCCATGTTGTTGGCTGAGGCCATTGTTCAGCCTGCATCGTGACTCAACTTCTCCCTCCACCCACTTCCCCTCTTCCCTCCCTTCTGTGGGTGTCAATCCGAAGAGTCTTCCTAATAAATGACATGCATGGTAAACTCTGCCTCACTATGCTTCTTGGGCACCCAACTTGGGACTATATGCTTGAGAAATTGTGTTTGGAAAGCACCTATGGCCCAGAGGGAGCTCAATATGTGCGAATAAGCAAAAGGGAGATGAGAACTGCAGAGGAACCTACTTCAACATGTCCACATCCCTCTTGATGTTAAAGATAATGAACAAAGTAAATCAGCAGAGCAGGAGTCCTTTTCTCACACATTGGGGCATTTGTTCTGCCATCAAACACTGAAGCCCAGATATGCACCAGACATGCACAAGCAGCTAAAGGCATTATTATTCCCACTTGACAGAGGTGAAGACTGAGGCCAAGAGAAATGATTACAATCTGGCAGATTATGCTGCATGATCATTTATTCATTTATTCATAAAGTATTGAGTGCTGGGCTCTGGGGCAACTGGAGCCTGCTCAGAGCCCAGAAGAGAGACACTAGGTGAGCCCAGCAATGAAAATGACACAAAGTTTGAGAAAAGTACGATGCACACATGCAGGGGGTGATTAAGGGATAAAATGGGGGAACCTAAGGTGGCCAGGAGGGGTCACAGCAGGATTGAAATTGACATCTTCCAACTCTGCTTCCTCAGCTGCCCAACAAATTTCTGTTTGGAGAGGTAAACTGGAGAGGCTGGGTTCTCAGCCATCCCTAGCTTCTTCCCACTTCTGTGTTTAAGAGCCAACACGAAAACCCCAAATGTCCCCACCCTCTCTGCAACTGAGGAGCCAGAATCCCATAGCTGAGTTTCTTCTCCAGCCAATCCAAGACTTAGCAAACGCGGTTGTCTCCAAAGCAAGATGGCCAAGTTTGGAAGCAACTCCAAATCTTCCCTTTCCTCTGCATGTCTCCAGCGAGTGGACAGCTTCTCTTTCCAGTAATCCAAGCCAAAGTCATCTCTCTCCCTTTTCCTCCTTTTTCTCTCATAGGCTGAAGCATCTGTCCTCTGCAGAAGCTCTTTCCTCCTCTGAAGTCCCCCACCCAGGTCTTTTTCTTGGCAACATCAAGATGCTTTCTCAGCATGGGGAAAAAGAGTCTAGAAGGGTCATGGCTCAGTGGCAGCTATTGGATTCCTGGGAAAAGCCAGGCTCAGAGTGTGAAAGAGAGAGAGGAGACCATCAGAGCTATGTGGATGCAGTGGTGAGTGCAGCAGAAATGCCCCTTCAAAGCCACAGCCTTGGGAAGCTCTCCCAAAGACAGCCTGGAACAGTCTCACTTGTACCAGCACAAGTCCCAGAAAGCCTGGCCCCTGCCCAGGTCTGCAGCCTCCAAGCCCACGGCTCCATGTAAGTGCCCCAGCCTGCACTGCTGCCAAGTTCCTCCCCGCTCTTCCTTCTGTCTGGAATGCTGGTCCTCCTGTTGGCTAGGACCAATAGATTCTTCCAACTGTAGCTCAAGTAGCACCTCCTCTGAGAAGCATTCCTGGCCAGCCCTAGCGCTTTCGTACCTCTCCTATAGACCTCTTCATGTAAGAGCACTTGTCACACTGAATTGTCATTGTGGGTTGACTCATCTTCTTCCCTCACCAGTCTTTGAGCCATTTGAAAGCAGGGAACACTGGAGTTTACTCATGCTGTGACCACCAGAAGTTAGTTCAGAGCCTGCACATAGTAGGTGCTTTGATGTTGTTGCCCGACTTCACCAGGGCTCCCCTTCTCTCTTTTTATCTTGGCTTCATCCTTCAAATAGGCCTCAAATTGTACCTGGGATGGCCATCCACCTTCCTGAACTGGTACATCCCTTGCTTAGTAACCCACCAAGAGAAAAAAAATCTCAGGGAAGATTCTCATTGGTCCAGAATGGGTCATGTGCTTCTCCCTGAAACAATCACATGACCTGGGGAAAAGATGGCTTTGATTGGCCAGGTCTGGGTCACATGTGGCTCCTGTGGCTGGCAGTGAGATCAGCTACATCAGGAAGCAGTAAAGGAAGCAAAAGGAAGCAGTGGTTGTATTTCTGGAAAATGAGGAGGAGTGTGAGACAGGGAGAGACAACATATTTCCACCATGAACCATGTAGATCAATCTTGGGGGGAAAAGATGTGTGTTTGCTTTACCAAACTGATTATTTTGTGGAGTAACTGGTGATTTTCTCCAAAAGGAGAGATTCTGAAATTCCTCTGATAAGAGCCTATATTGGGTTGTGAATGCACCTAGTGAGCAGTTGACAAATATTTAAGAATGAGGCTGGAGTGTGAAAGGCCTTGAATGATTCAAGATGTTTGATCCTGTAGCTGAGCAAACTACAGCCCTGGAACTGGCCATCTGTTTTATAAATAAATCTTTATTGTAAAACAGCCACACACATATTGTCTATGGCTACTTTCACTACATCTGCAGAGTTGAGTGGTTGTGAAAGTGACCGTATAGCCTCAAGCCAGAAATACTTAATGTCTGACAATTTACAGAAGGTATAGGGACAATGGGCCATGTGGTTCATTGGGTGGATCTGTAAGTGGTCGCTGGCCCACTGGTCTTTCTCTCAGGTGGGGCTCCCTAGAAACAGACCCTGAGACAAGGAAACCAGTGGGAGTTTATTTGGAAGGTGATCTCAGGAAGCACCATTAGGAAAGGGGCAGGGAGTCAGAGAGGAAAAGGAAGACAAACTTTAATAGGGGCATTAGGAGTATGTTATCATTGTCAACCAGAGCTTAGTTCCACTGGGAACTCTGGGAGTGGCATAGATTAAGTACTTCTGTGGGGAAAAGGAGCTGGGGTATTTATACACCAACTCCCACCTGGGACTGGTTGAGGACTGTTCCTAGGGCAGTGTAAATTACTTGGCACTTGCATCCTTGCCCATGCATGGGTAGAGCAGGCTCACAGCCAGAGGAAACCAATGAGCCACAGGTGCTGGCAAGCATGCCCTCTTCCCCAAACCCAGGGCAAAGAATCTGGCCCTAGATAATTCCTTGAGGCTGATTTTCTTCAGCTTCTGATGGAGCTGTCTTTGTGAACAGTCTTGAGGAATTCCCAGGGGAGGGCTAGTGGTGGCAGAAAAGGGGAGTGGTTTACACTCCTGGATTGTACAGGTGTTTATAGAATGTCTATGATACGTCCATGAGTTTCCTGGCACATCTGTGGGAGGCAGAGCCCCTCTTCTGCTAAGTACTGGCAGTGAGATCTGGAGTGAGTTTCTACACATTTCTAAGCCTAAATTTCCTTTTCTGTAAAGTGAGGCAACAAAGCTTCCCTGGCAGAGTGATTTGAGGATTAACAAGACACTTAGAATGGCTCCATCATAAATTGAGCCTCAATTATTATTATTTCCCATGTCCCTGGATTCTCCTCTGCCCCTCAACCTTTCTTTTGCATGCCCAGGGACTCTGTACCCCTGGGAATGGAACTCCACTAGGTGGGTTTGGAAACAGTGGGGCTGGAGCCACAAAGCCAACACTCCCAGTGGGACTTGGGGAAGCTGCTTCACCCCTCTGGCCTCAGTTTCCTCATCTGCTGATTTGGGATTGGAGTATCTCGTCTTTTCTGCCCACAGAGTTGGTGGGTGTGAGAATTGAATGATGTGTATTCAAAGTGAGTTGTCAACTGTAGAGCAATGGGATATTTGTTTATTGTTTGCATAAACGTTTTTTGTTTGTTTTGTTGGTTTTTTTGTTGTTGTTGGTGGTGGTGATTTTTCTGTCACTGTATGTGTGTCTGTGTCTGTGTGTGTGTGTGTTCTGTCACCCAGACTGGAGTGCAGCAGCATGATCATAGCTCATGCAGCCTCAACCTCCTGGGCTCAAGCAATCCTCCTACCTCAGCCTCCTGAGTAGCTGGGATTACAGGTAAGCACCTCCATGACCAGCTAAGGTTTTTAATTTTGTTTTTGTAGAAATGGGGTCTTGTTATGTTGCCCAGGCTGCTCTCAAACTCTTGCCTTCAAACAATCCTCCTGCTTTGGCTTCCCAAACTGCTGGGATGACAGGCATGAGGAATTATGCACGGCCTGTTTGGTTTTTCTTATACACGTGTTTCCAAACACATGTATAAAACGTGAGCTCCTCATATCCCAAGTAAGCAGCACCTGCGGCATAGTAGATCCTCAATAAGTGTTTATTTAATAAGTCACTATGCCTGGCATATAGCAGGGCCTTAATACAAGCTCAACAAAAGAGTCAATGAATGAATGAGCAAATGAAATGCATCAGTGAATCAATGAGCGCGTGTAGAGAAAGTAGCCCAAGATCTAGGGTTCCTAAATGGTAGCTTTTGCTCTGCTTTTTTCCAGCTGTTGGACCTTAAGCAAATCACTTTCCTGATCCAAGCCTCAGTTTCCCTATCTGTAAAATGGAAGCGTACCAGGAGTCCTTCCAGCCTGAAAATTGAGGACTTTTCTGCTTCATCCAGACAGCCCAGGGTGACTTTGATGCCACTGGTTTGTCTCCTGGGCCCTCCGGGACCCAGTTGAATGCTTCTTTTTCCTTCAATGTTGTTTGCAATGTGTTTTCTGGGCCACTTCTTATCTAGCATTTTTGCTTTCCTCCACGTGTTAGAATTAACCAGTGGAGTAGAATTCCTTCAAATCTGCTTATGTGTCAGCATCAACATGGTTGATGGTCAAATGCAGAGTCCTGGGCCCTACATCAATAAAAGGTCTTACTAGGTCTTACGTCAGAATCTCAGGGAAGGAGGGTCCAGGCACCTGCATTTCGGAAGCTCCTCTCGGGATGCCGAGGCTGCTAACATTGGGAACCCCGGCAACTGTGATGCAGTGCACAGGCTCTGGGCTCAGGTTGGCACATCTCACTTGCTGAGAGGATTTGGGGAATTATCTACTCTCTCGGATCCGTGCTTCTCTCCATTGTAAAAGCCCTCGTGAGCCAGATGCGGTGGCTCACGCCTGCAATCCCAACACTTTAGGAGGCCAAGGAGGGCAGATCACCTGAGGTCAGCAGTTCGAGACCAGCCTGGTCAACATGGTGAAACCCCATCTCTACTAAAAATAAAAAAGTAGCCTGGTGCCTGTAATCCCAGCTACTCGGGAGGCTGAGGCAGGAGAATTGTTTGAACCCGGGAGGCGGAGGTTGCAGTGAGTCAAGGTCGCACCGCTACACTCCAGCCTGGGTGACAGAGTGAGACTCCATCTCAAAAAACAATAAATAAATAAATAAATAAATAAAGCCTCTGGTCAGATGAGGCTTAAACGAGACACAAATTCAGGCTATCATGACCAGTCCTGTGGCAGGCTTGAACCCTGCCCCCCAGCTCAGGAGTCTGCAAGAAATCACAGCTGTTTATTTTCTGTAAATCAATGTAATTTCTTTCTCCAGCCCCCATTCCGTTGGGCTAGAGGAAAACATAATATAAGGCAGATATTGAGAAAGCTCAGTCCCCACCTGTACCCCCAGGGTGGTGCCATAGCCAGGGTCTTAGTTTTAAAATATCAGAAAGCCAGGGATCTTTGTCAATTCTCTGCATGGCTTGTACCCACCCCCGAATGGTGACGGTAGAGCTGGCAACCTGCTTGAATGAGATGGGGAGAGAAAAAAAGATGCAACCCGGCAGAAAACAGAAACGCGCACATACCGACCAACAATTTCCATTCAAAATATCATCCAAACCCAGTCCCTCTACTCTCCCATCTCACATTGTTGAATTCGACCTTTCCTTATTGGGTGGGTACCATTAAAGGATCATTTTTAAATAAAGGCAAAATCACGACTCTCGTGCAATTACAGAATGAACACCCATCAGAGATTTTATTTAAAGCATTAATTAATGACAGAACAAGGAAAATGGCACAACTGGTTCAAAGGAGAATTTAAGCACCACACATAGACATGCAGGCAAACACAAATGCTGGCATTCATTTACAAGTAGATACGAAATCGGTCAATAACTTGAGGATAATAATCAATTGCATTCCACTGGACACAATTCATTTGCATTTCTATGGCACCAAGCATTTGTATTACTATTGGTTTTTTTCTTAAGCTTCGAGAGTTAGGAAATAGCTCAAAGATGATGAAAGGCATAGATATCCTGGAGAGTTATGCTAGACAGAACATTCAGCAATCTTTATAGATTTTTTGGCCCATATCAACATCTTTTATAATTTTTTCTGACAGTACAGTGCAGCCACCACCATCCCAGAGAAGAAGTGAGGGGCTATGTTGTGTTTCCTGGACCTCTGTTTCTTAATCTGCAAAATGGGCATGATAAGAGCCTTTGACAATCCAGAGACATGAGGTCCTGCTGGGACAAGTACCGTGGGAAACGTGAAGTGCTAAGGGACAGTGTCCCAAACCTCAGTGTGGCCCTCCTTCCTGATTTAGTTCACATCCTTGTTCTACCTTGGAAGATTTATTTTTTTTCCTTTATACCAACTTTGATTTGATAATACCCTTGAAATCAGAGAATGAGGTGCTGATTCTGTATGTTTTTTTTTTCTAATACATATGAATATAGACAAAAAGCCATTGAGATAAGAAAGGTAAGTTCATTCTTGTACCAACTAATCCAGTGCTCTGTGGGAAGTACAGGATTAGGAAGAAATTAAATGATAGCCTACAAACACACACACACACACACACACACACACACACACACTCCACTAACCACCACCACCACCACCGCCGCCACCACCAATGTATTCTGCAAATTCATATACAATTTGCAAACCTCCTCCTGAAATAAGAGAGAGAGGGCAATTGAAACTATCTAAGGCAGCACTTGGAACACGCAGGCCAAAGACTGAGCCAGGGAGGGATTGTTATCACATGGGCTGTGGGGAGGCAGAGCTCCCCTGTGTCCCCGAGAGCACCCCTCCCCGGGGCCCCACCAGCCCCCAACTCGCCTCTCGAATTCCCACCTCTCCCCTTGCTCTGCGCCTTTGGAAACCCAGACAGCGGCCCCACTCCCGTGATTCATCCAGCAGGAATGTGGGAGTTCTCGAATTGCTCCAGCTAAAGCCTTTTAATTCCCCTTCGGTGATGAATGGGTGAGGCCCTCAAATGAAATGTGGAGGCTCCCAGTCCCAGCCCGCGGCCCTCCCCCTCCTCGGCGTAATTATTTCTGTGCAGAACATGTCAAGTGCCCTGCTTCCCGGGAACTTGTTTCGCATGCAAACATTTGGTGATTAAGCGAGGCTTACTTAATTAAGCACTTTGTAATGACTCTTAAACCAAAGAACAGTGGATTAGGAGTCCAGTTCGTGCTGGTGATGGGAAAGGCAGCTTCATATCACAAGGAGGCAGACAGTGATCTGGTGTGGGGAGGCGGCCGGGCCAAGCGGGGCAGAGTAGGCGCTCTGGGAACTCTGCTAGAATCACTCATTCATTCATTCAATCAATTTATTTTTGGAGCACTTCTTGGAGCCAGAGTAGCTGGTGAACAATAATAATAATAATAATAGGGCCAGGCACTGTGCTAATAAGTCTGCTGAATAACAAGAGTGAGGAGGAGCCAGAGATAGTTATTGAGAGCTGACTCTACTAGGCATGAACTGCTAGTAGTAGTGACGGCAATAATAAGCATTTTCATTGCAGCAGCAAATCCTTGAATAGGATTTTGCTGTGGCCCTGCGTGCCCTGAAACTGCTGGGTTTCTGCCATGGACTTGGCCTTTGGAAACAGCCCCCATCTTTGTTGCTGTCTTACTGACTCACTGGCTTCTCACCCACCAGTGGCTCACTTCCCACATCTGTGTAATGGGTAGTTGGATCTAGATCTTCTCTAAGATGCTTTTGGGTCTTAGGAGCCTAGGGTGTCTCCTCTGCTTCTGGGGGCCACAGGAATGGTGGCGCCACTTTGGGGGCCTCAGCTGCAATATTGCAGAAGGCTTCAGAGCCCAGCCCTACACAGCTCCAGGACAGAGCAAGGGTGACTCTCAGCTCAGACCTTCATAAATTGTGGGACCTTCACCAGGTAGCTTGTCCTCTCTGACGGACAAGTCCTTCACCTCTCAATTGAAATAACCCTTCCATCTGCTTCCAGGGCTCCTGTAAGGGAATCACACAGACTCATGGACATAGATGCCCTTTGAAAACCATCTACCTGGTGGCAGAAGCCATCATGTCTCAAACTTGGACCCACGAACACACCCCAATGTATTCACTTGTCTACTTGCTTTGGTTTTCTCATTTCTACCATAACCCGGAAAAGGGTTCTAATTGCCTTCTAACCTGGGAGATCATCTTAGAACAAAGGGCTTCCATGTGACTTCAGTGCCTGAGTTGATATTTGCTTTCGCAGTTGTGAGATTATTGAGTAAAATCCAAAGGATCTCACAGCGTGGTTCCAATGAAGATTCTGCTGGTGTTCTAAGAGTAGTATGTGATGGAAGAGCTGCCTCATCACGTAGCAGATGAAAGCACAGTGGCCTCCGCAAGGTCCAGCCCACTGCATCAGTGCCAGACTCACACGTGAGTGGACACTAGACTCCAGCCCTTCACAGGCCAATGGGCAATCACTCACTGGCAATGAGGGAGGCAGGCAATATGCAGTGAAAACCTTTCTCTCTTTCTGATGCCTTCAGTAATTGTAATAGATGCTCATTTAATGGTGATTTCAAAAATCTGGCTTATGCAAAGCAGACTACCTTCTTGTGTACTCATGTGATGCCTCGTTAAGTTCAGTAGATTAAGTGAAATCTGATTTAACTGAGGTCTGATTATCCAGAGCTAACAGGCTAAAGTTTCCCATTCCACATACCGTTTTGACCAATACCCCATTTCAAAAGGCATTCTTTGCTTGGAATTATACAAGTTAGAAAACAAAAATAGAGTGTGGCAGCCACTGGTACTCTCCTATCCCAAGTCCATTCTTCCCTTTCTCCATAGCGACAGGCCCCTTATTTTATCTGAGGTGCTAATACGCTGAGCTAAAATATTTTATTCTCTGTCTCCCTTAGATATAGAGTTGCCAATGCGGCACAAGCAAAGGTTGTTAGGTGGGATTTATGAGCAGACTTTTCAAAAGAGATGGGTGTACTTGGGGGGCATGATTCCCTCCTTCTATTTTCTTCTTGCAGGGAGTACAGATGCAATAGCTGGAGCCACAGAAGCCATATTGTGACCATCAGGCACCTTGAACTTGCTGGCCTCGTGCTAAGGCTCTTAGCGCAGAAGAGTCCGGATATTTCCTGATTACTCTGACACAAGAGAAAAATAAAACCTCAATTCACTTAAACTGTGGTCTTCTGGGTCTCTTTTATTAGTTGCCATTTCTAACTGATGCAGACTATACATATAGAAGTGGATCTAGAATGTCAATCTTTCTATATTAAGCCTGGCATGTGTGGTTTAGACTCAAACAAACAGCATTCATTCTCCATCATATTAAATTAACGTTGATAATTTAAATTGTATGTTTATGTAGTTATGTTTAGAAGGTGAGGGGGTTTTCTACAAAAATAAGATATAAGAGGTTAATATGTTGATTTACACTGGTATAAATTTAAAATCAACTGATTTAAGTAACTATTAGGAGCCTCTTCATTTTTGTTCCTTAAAATGGACCCTACATTATTTGAGTTTAAGAAATGCTGGACTCGTGGCCAGAACTCCTCCCTGCACCCCGTCATGTTGGAGCTAAGCAGGAGAATCAGGAATTCTCATTAGCAGGTGAGAAGATCTCAAGCTGGGAAGTCTAGGGTTTGGCTTCAAGTGAGAGTGGGGAATAAAAGAAATGCTTTCTTGCATTTTAAAAAACGTTCCCACCCAAGACAAGCCCCAGCAGCATTTGTCTTCTCAGCGTTTCCTGGCCCAGAGTGAGGCCAGAAAGCAGAAACTACGAAACACCTTCATGAGAGGCTGTTTCTATAGTGTCCCCTGCAAGTACCAGTGCAGGAAAGACACAGGACTCAGAGGAAAACCCGCCTGATGAGATTTCCATCTCAGGGCAGATGGAGCTGCTGTGACCAAGAGTGAATCCATCACCTGTCAGGACAGAACTTAGGCTTCCCCTGTGGCTCCACTGAGCATATCCCTCAGTGGGCCCAGTCTCTGCGTCTGGGCAATGGGACCATGGGTTCAGCAGAGCATCTACTGGGCATCTGTAGTTTGAAGCAACTCAATAACATATGTTCACACGGGAGGTATCTAAGTAGAGCAAGGGTTGTATCAGAGTTAACTTAGTTTGTTTAAGGTATTCCTTTTCCTTCCAAAGGGATATTTGTTTCAACCTTTTGTTGCAAATGGCATTTCCAGGCTCCACAGATCTGGGGCCAGGACCACATTTGGATGAATCAGAGCAAATCCTTGGAGCAGTCGGTGCCTAAGTGCAGATAAATGCTGGAGGCTCAGGCTGAGTCCTTAAACAAGCTCAAGAGTAAAGGAGGCTTGAACCAGTGGAACCATGAGAACTCAGATCCAAAACAAATCTCTCCCGGCTAATCCCCACAGTAAGGGGAGAGGGTCTTTGCTTTGGAGGGGCTGCGAGTGTGCCAAGCTACATGCTAAATCTAATGAAGTCAAGTTTAACAGAAATAAGAGCAAAGTCATCCTGCTGGGTCCAAGAAGTCAATGATGCAAGTCAGAGTGGGGATATTTTTTGTTATTATTACAGTGAACATCGAGCATTTGCTATGTACCAGGCATATTGCCAAGCATCTGTGTGTATTATTTCACTCCAAAGAAGGTAGTGGATTTCCCCTGCCAGGGGCTGAGTCCAGCCAGGTGAAGCCCCAGGGTGTGTGGTGATTGCTGAGTCCTCTGTAACATCTCTTACAACCTGGACTCCCCCGGAATCATTATTTATCATTGGTCTCTCCTGCTAGACTGTGAGCCCCACAAGGGCAGAGACTATTTCTAGCTGGTTCACCCTAAATCTCCTGCTTTGAATGGCACCTGGCACATGTAGTTTCTCAGTTAATCCTGGCTGCACAAATGAATGTGGTAATGAATCAAAGCCAGCCTCTTGGAAAACACCTGGGTCTTCAGTGGCCTGCGAACCTCCATAAGATCCCCAGACCAAACTTGAATCACATACCTGGCAGTTCTGTCATTCAAGGTGGCTCATGGGTGAAGCATGGTCTTGAGTCATATGTCCTCTGCCTTTGAATCTTGTCTCAACCATCTACTAGCTGGAAGGCCTTGGGTATGGGAACCAAGCCTCAGTTTCCTCTTCTGAAAATGGGGATAATAACTGAACTGACTCAGAGGGAAGTTGTGGAGGATGAAGAAGACTGCATGCAAAGCCCTTACTTAACAGTTTTTGGCATAGAATGGGATGGTTGTGAGCTTGTGTTATAGCTACTATTATTTGCATTGTGAGCTATTGTTAAAGTGAATATGATTCCTAGAGTTGAATTTTTGGATGCAGCTCTAGGATCTTCAGAGCTCCCTGTTCAATTTTACCTGCCTAGATTTGACCTATTCTCCAATCACCTGAGATCCTTTGAAGTCCTGGGTTTGCCACCTGCTGCCACCCAGCTACCTACCAGTCAGACATCTGGTCATAGATTCTCTGTGTTCCCCTTTGAATCATCAAAGAAAACGTTTAGAAGTGTACGGTCAAGGCAGAGCCACAAGGGACTTTCTGACGAGGAAGCTACATTTCTGCAAAGACACAAGCAGTGGTGATAAGTCCAGTGAAATGGAGTTGATCTACAAGGCAAAGGAGTGGCACGGATTTGATCCAAAAGTCCCCAGAGAGGCTCAAATAATGGCCAACCTTGATCATGACCATCCCGTGTGCCAGGCACTGTGCTAAGTGTTGCTTGTATTTCCTCTCCTTTCATCCTCACAATGACCTGTGAGAGGACCTCTGCTATTATCCCATTTTAAGCATAAGAAACTGAGGTTCACAGAGCCCAAAGTCACACCAGAAGTGGTGAAGAGGGATCTAGGCACGGTTTTGTCATTTGAAGTTTTCACCTAAGACTCAAAACATGTCTGACTCAGCACCTTGTATTAGATATTGACTACAGTCTACCCAACTATGGGAGTCAAGGAATCTGGGGCTCGAAGGATGGATCCCACCTGGGAACTCACCCGCAGCCACTCCCCCGGGCTCTCCTGCACAACAGGCTGTCTTGGGAAATACTGTCTTTCCCAAGCTGTGTGACTGACTCCCTGGCTTCAGTCAAAAGCCACTTATGTGGATGAAATGACACTCCCCTCCAGGGACCAGCGCAACAATTTGTTTTGGCTGCTTTCAAAGCCAGGCTCTGGTGAGGGCCTGATTTCCCACCCTGGAGTGACTCAGAGCATCAGGAAAGAATTGAAAGGTTTTGAAGAAGACACAGAGCCTAGCCTACATACAGATGTGTCATGCCAGGACGTTTACCACTGTGATCCCTAAGGGTAAGAAAACAGAGACAGCCCATGACTTTGACATAGAGGGTTTCCCATCAGCCACTGTTTGCACCTATTTAAAAATATTTACTTTCACTTATTCTCCCTTCTGTTTATTTACTTATTGAGCAAATATTTATTGACCCACAACCATGTGCTATGTATTTCATCTCCTTTCATCCTTAGGAGGACCTGTGAGAGGACCTCTGCTATTATCCCATTTTAAGGATAAGAAACTGAGCAAGGTCTGTTAATACAGCAAAGAATAGGATGGCTGTGTCCCTGCCCTGGGGGAGCAGCCAGCCAATCAAAGCAATGGATGGGTAATTCGGACATGCATGGGATTAGAGAAAATACAGGGGGCCGTACCATCACAGGGCCTCCTAGCATGATTACAGGGTAAATGTTAATGATCTGGGAAAACCCTTATGTGAAAACGTTAAGTGAAAGAACAGGCTACAAAATTTTCTATGAAGCGTAATTCTAACTTTATTATAAAAATATACGTGTTCGTGAATAAGGAAAAAGACCGTGAGGAAATACATTAAAATGTCAACAGTGGTTATCGCTGAGTTGTGGGAATTAAATATTCTTTTTTTTTTTTTTTTTTTTTACCTTAATGCAAGGCTCAGATTCTCAACCACAAGTAGGGATTCATTTCATTTTATAGGTTTATATATGTTTTAATTATAAAAGTAATTTATGCTCTTTGGAAAACTTGAAAGTGCTTAACTCCCCTCTCCCCACTCCAAACCCTATTATTTAAAAATGGGATGTGCTTCAGGCATCACCCATAAGTATCAATTTTGCTGTTTCAATGTATATACTGTTTGTAATGTTGGTTTGTTTCTTAAAGAAACATAGGGCCAGGTACGGTGGCTTACGCCTGTAATCCCAGCACTCTGGGAGGCCAAGGCGGGTGGATGGCCTGAGGTCAGGAGTTCGAGACCAGCCTGGCCAACATAGTGAAAACTCATCTCTACTAAAAATAGAAAAAATTAGCTGGGCGTGGTGGCAGGCACCTGTAATCCCAGCTATTTGGGAGACTGAGGCAGGAGAATCGCTTGAACCCTGGAGGCAGAGTTTGCAGTGAGCCAAGATCGTGCCATTGTACTCCAGCCTGGGCAACAAGAGTGAAACTCTGACTCAAACACACACACACACACATACATATCTATATGTCTATATGTTTCATATATGTTCCTCTAAATTATATGTATATATTACATATGTGCATATATATTATATATAAACATATAATTTCTGCAACTTTCTCCTAATAACATATTTTGGCCATTTCATAACAGTACATGTAAATCTACTCCCATTCTTGTTCACAGCTGAAAGGTATTCCAAAGTATGGCAGTAGAAAATGTACTAAATCCCCCCAAAATGATGGACATCCTTAAATCAATACCTTTGCACATCTGCACAAAGATCCTCTTTCTTTCTTTCTTTCATTTTCTCTTTCTTTCTTTCTTTCTTTCTTTCTTTCTTTCTTTCTTTCTTTCTTTCTTTCTTTCTTTCTTTCCTTCTTTCTTTCTTTCCTTCTTTTCTTTCTTTCTCTGTTTTTCTTGGAGTATTGCTCTATCACCCAGGCTGGAGTGAATGGCACAGTCATGGCTCACTGCAGCCTCGAACCCCTGGGCTCAAGAGATCCTCCCAAGTAGCTGAGACTATAGGTGCATATCACCACACCCAACTAATGCACAAATATTTTAGAGGACAAGTTCCTGCAAGCAGGCTTCCTGGGTGTGGTATATTTGTAATCAGTCGTTAAATTAGTATTGAAATAACACCCATGATATTTGGGTGAGTGGCAGAATGGGGCTACAAGCTCTGTCAGAACAGGGCAGAAAGTACAAACAGTACTTTCTTGGTCCCATTTAACAAATGGGAAAACTGAGCTCAGGGAGGCCAGCTCTTGCCCAAGGTCATGGGTGAGTAGGTGCCACGGCCAAGCCTAGAAGTCGAGACTAACTCCCATCGGGGCTCTTTTCTCTCCCCAAGGCCCCATCCAATACTCCTCAGCTGGGACTCAAGAGACTTGTGTGAGTCTCTCCCTTCAGGCCAGTCTGCCTTTGACCACAGCCGGGTTATTGACTGCACTTTCAATGTGTGGCCTTGTGGGTGGAATTACTGGCCCTTAATTGAATTGAAAACAAAAGGAGATTGAATTTTATGGGGAGCAGGAGGCCATTGGAGGGAGGAAATCAAATGCAGAACAAGCATGAAAGGTTCCTGGAGGAAGATGAGCTGCAGGTGGGAGTGTGGGGCTGATGGGGCTGTTTCTGGGTCTAAGGCGGAAGGGAGCTGCCGCATTTAAGGTCAGTCCCTCCCTGTGGGCCCTCTGTTCTCTCACTCCCCTTGTTCCAACCCGACGCTGTCCTCTGATATGCATCCTGCAGACAAAGAAGCACCCGGATTCCCATGCAGCCAGCTGCAATGGCACTGGCTTTTGATGACTCTGGGATCTTGGGTCTGGTTGTCCCAGGCGAGTGAAGGAGGCCAGCTCCTCACTGCAGATGCCCAGCCCAGGGAGAAAGTATGTTTGCATCATGAATTAACTCCATGCCTGTTCATAGCCCCTCTGTAAGAAAGACAGAGCAGAGGGTGGGAAACAAGTCCAGGGAGGTTCCGCCACCAGATAGGAGCCATCCGGGACTTGAATCTGGGGCTCCAACCTTCCAAGCCTAGCACTTTTCCCCCTCCATTGCCCTCCATTCATCTCTCCATGCGGTATGTCTTTCTATGTCTGCAGACTGAGGAACTTGACAGTTGAGCTCACAGACTATAGATTATTTATTTCTGCTTCCCAAGCTTCAGCTCAGTGCCTTCCACATCCTCGGCCCTTGAGAAGCTTTGCTTAATGGATATATTTGTGTTTATGGAAATAGATAAATATTCATGGGAGCCAAGACCTTCCAGAGGAGTGGGATGAGGATGGACCAGTCTTTCCACAGAGGCACCTACTAACAGAAGAGAGTTTGTGGACATAGAGAGAGGGGTATTTTGGGCAAACGGATGGTGTGAGCAGAATCAAGGAGGCTGGAATCTCAGGGGCTGTTTGAGGGGAAATAGCAAACAGCATTCTGCTCAGCCAGAGAAGGATGGCAAGAGGTGAGAACTGAAGACCAGTAGAGGCTGGATTGGGAAGATCCCTACATACCAAGCCGAGGGCCAGACTTTGACTCCAGATTTTGATGCTTAAACTGTCTTTGCAAGGGGCATGTGGCGTACTCTTGTGAGAAAATGGATCCACTGATAAACACAGCACATCTTTCTGGTGTGTTAACTAATCTTTTAGGGTTGATTATTCTTACCTACAAGATTTTCAGTCTTGGAGGTGGTTAAGCATGAAGCCTCTGGAGTGACTACCTGGGTTCAAATCTTCATTACAAGTGCTGGCTATGAGAGCTTGGGCAAGTCACTTCCCCTCTCTTGCCTCCATCTCCTCATCTGCTGGGTGCAGATCATCACAGAAAAACCTTTACATGCATGTTCGTAGCACTTTATCCACAATAGTCACAAACTGAAAACCACCAGATGTCCTTCGACAGGTGGATAGATAAAGCACGGTACATCTATACAAAGGAATACTGACCAGCAGCAAGAAGAAATGAATCGTTGATACCTCTAGCCACATGGACGGATCTCAAGGGCATTGTGCTGAGTGAAAAAAGTCAACCTCAGAGGCTGTATACTGTATAGTTCCATTTATATGACATTCTTAAAGTGACTAACTTATAGTGATGGGGAACAGCTCAATGACTTCCAGAGCTTAGGGCGGAAGAAAGCGTAAGTTTATGATAGGGTAACCCAAGGGAATTTTATCGAGGGGAGAGAAAAATTCTGTATTCTCATGCGGTGGTGGTTGCTCTAACCTAAACATGTGCTAAAATATCATAGGACTATTTTTCTAAATGCATGTACACACTGGATACAAGCTGCATAAGATGTGTGGCATTGGACCAAAGCTGATTTCCTGGCTTTGACAATGTACTATGGTCATATAGGATATTATCATCGGAGGATGCTGGGGGAAGGGAACCTGAGAACCCTTTGTCCTGATTTTGCAACTTCTTGTGAGTCTTCGACCGTTTCAGACTAAAACATTAGCTTTAAAGTGTAGATCATCACAGTCCCTGCTTCCCCGTGCAGATGACAGGAGATGATTTGTAGAAGTATCTGGTACCCCAGTAAGTTTTTGATAAATGTTAGCCAGTGTTACTGTTCACTCTCAGAAAGGAGTAAGGACAGGATTCTGGGAGCATTGCTGAAGCTGACAGCAATTCCTGATGGAAACTCTTAAGGCTGAAAGAGGATTCAGATTTAATCTCTCAGGAAAAAAAAAAAAAAAGCAAAAGGAAGAAAGACAGGAAGGAACAACTCCGGTTTGTATATAAGCCTGTGCTGTTCTGTCGAGCAATGCCTCCCAATGCTTTGCAAGTTCCTTGCGCAACATCTGTTAATCCCGTGATGTCAAATCCCCAACTCACTGAGCCTGGGAAATCGCTGCTGTGTTTTACTGACTTCCCCACACTTGGCAGCTTCCCTTGGAATTGCAGTGTTAATCAGAAACACGCGGTCCCTATTGTCAACACTTTGTTTAACCACTTCTATAAATTCAGCATTAGTGTTGGAGCGATCCTGAGTTGATGGATGAAATCGTCGGCGGCCCCAGACAGCCAAACCCCATAAAACAAAGTCCAGGGCTCAAGGCTCTAAAGCAGGAGACACTTGACATTCACCAAGACACGTGATGCATGGATGACTCACCTCTGAGCTTGAAAGAGTTGTGGGTCTCAGGGGAGCAATGGCTCCAGGAGCAGGGGAGAAGTGAGAACACACAGGAGTCTCCTCATGAGACCCTGTGGGGAGTCTGTCGAAGTCTCTGTCCCCATTGGATTCTGAAAGGAAGCCAGGGAACACGAGGGAATAAAGGAACCTTGAGGAAGAAGGGAGTCCTTGGGATGGAATGACTGGTCTTCACAGACCAAATAAAGACCTTTCTTTTGAGGCACATGACCTCTTTTGACTGGTGATCACCATATAATGAAGGTGGGTGGGATATATTTATCCCTAGAGTGTGGCTTTCTGCATAATCTTAAGAAGGTGTAGAAGAACTCATCTCCATCTGTCCATCACCTGTCTGGTACCTGCCTGGTGTCCTGGGGTCCAGCAGGACAAATCTGAGCTCTGCCTTTGCACTTGGGTTGGGACACCCACGGCTGTGAGCCCTGCTTGGGAGGTGTTTCCATTCGCTCACTGAGCACCTTTTGTATGTCAGGCGAGAAGCCAAGGAAACCACAGTAAATGAGAAGGACGTGGTTTCTCTCCTCATGGGCCTCAGAGTCAGTGAGAGAGGTAGACACTGGAAAAGGAATTATAGAATTAAATTATGAAATGTGCTCCAAGGAAATACAGAATGCTAGAACAAGGGAGGCCCTGGCTCAGTTTGGGAGATCAGGGAAGGCTTCCCGAGGAGGTGATATTCAAGTGGTGCCAGGAAGACGACAGAGGTAGGTTAGGAGCAAAGAGAAGGGTTCCAGGCAGAAGGGAAGGCCTCAAGGCTGGCAGGACCGTGGGCCTTCTGGGGTCCGAGGGATGGTGAGTGGGGTTGGACCCCAGCCCGTGAAGAAGAGAGTGACGTGGAATGAACCTGCAGGGACAAGCAGGGACTGGGTTACACAAAGCATGCTCAAAGCTCTTGAGCCCAGAGGGGAAACCGAGGCACACAATGAGTCAGCGATATCTAGACAGCACTCCATGAGAAGCAACCCTTGGCTTGGTTGGCCTAAAAGCCAACCAAGATGGTGTCTGTCCACCTCTCCTCTGTCGTCATCCCTGCTCCAGGGAAAGGCCAAGTGATTGAAGCATATTTCTCAAGAGTGAGGCCACAGAGACTGCAATCAGCTTTCATCTTCTAGCAGCCTCTTCCTTTGGTCGGGGATGGCCAGGCTCCCAAGGTCCAGCTCAAGAAGAGACTGAGCAAAGGGTGCCGGCCCTTCTCCCGGCTGCCTCCTCCGTCCCCTCCCCGCAGGCCCACAGCTCTCCATTCCACATCCTGCCTGCCTTGGCCAACTCTTTCCAAGTGCCTGTTTTTCCAGAAACATGAGTTGAGCAAAACAGCCCCCTCCCTGAACTTGAGTCTGAAAAAATAACCCCAAGAAACACACGCTTTCTTGGAAAACCCTTCAGAGCCTCCCGCTGCCTTTGGACACGTCAACACTGGGTTAGTTAAAATAATAATCTTTAGGAACTAGAGTTTCTCTGCCGCCAAATGCCTTGCATAAGAGTATCACACACAACCCCTGTCCCTGACCCAGAAAACCGGGCCATGAGCTAACGTGGCCTGGTATCCAGGGTAAAGTCACTTGATTTCATTCTTTATTACTTTTCTATTATTATTATTATTTAAGGTATAGATGACTTCCTGAATATTGCAAGGTCTGGAGCAGCTGGACAGTGTGTTCCAGAGACAGGCTATTTTGAACGAGGCTGTGGTTGAATTTGGGGGACTAGGCTGGAGGTTTTGTGGAGTGTGGAGTCTCTAGATTTGGTGTCCCTTGAGACATGAATGTCCTGTAGAAAAACAAAGAAGCATCCAGTCTAGCTGACTAGCTGTGACCAGGCAGGGCCAAGCGGTGACCATCTGCCCAGGGCAACGAAGCTGTCTTCGGTACCTTCCTCGGGTATTTGTAGGAAAAAAATTCACATTTCTTAGCTCAGGTGATGGTGGATGGACCGTTGGGCTCCTGAGCTCCATCCTGGCCTCCATTGCTTGCCAGCTGTTGTAATTTGAACAAAGGATCTTGCCTCTCTGACCTCTACTTGCTCACCCATAAAATGGCAAAGCTAAGAGATCTCACTCAGGGGTTGTAGTTAAGACCCTGTAGGATAAAGTATGTAAAGTGCTTAGCACAGAACCATCACGCTATGTGGTGACAGCGTGACCCTGCGGAAGATGTCTGCTACCACGCTCTGGGCAGTGACTTGTAATTTCCTCTAAGCAATCTTGGGAGGAGGAGGCTCCTTAAGGAGGTTGCTAAAGAGGGCATGGAATTCTGCAACCAGATTCGACTGGTCTCTTACATCTGACCTATGCAACAGCTGGGCTTCCACCATTGAAAGCTCATATATTTTCTGCCTCCAAGAGCCTCCTGTGAGTTATCAAACCCCCTAGAGTTGATGGAATATTTATGGACTCAATTAGTTTCTCTAAAGCCTTGATGCCATTCAATTTTTAGATCAATCCAGGGAAGAATGTACTACTTGTGTCCCCATTTTACAGATAAGGAAACTGAGTCCCAGAGACTGTACATCGCTTCACTAGCCCTACAGCTAGTGAAAACTGGATGGCTGGGAAATAAAGCAGAAACTCTGATGCCAGAGGCCCTGAGCTAACCATCAGCTTCCACTGCCTCCCAGTGCATCTTCAGACAAATTTTATTCCCATAGCCTGTGTCAGGCAGGGGTCTACTTATTGGCTGGCATAAGCACTGGATTCAGTGCCAAGTCCTCATCCCAGCTCTGACCATTCCTCACTGTGTAGCCCTGGGCAAGTCACCTTCCCCCTCTGAGCCTTCACTCCTTCATCTCTGAAATGGAAATAAAAATAATAATACCTATTCTTAAGTGGCTGGGTTGGGGGACACAAGGAGGCAAGCCAGGTAAAGCCCCAGACATTTGGGAGGTGCAGCAAATAGTTATCTAAATAGTAGTTCTCTTCTTGTTCCAGGTTGACAGATACACTCATGGCCCAACCACTTAGAGCAAGTATTTTCGCTCAACCCAATGGAATCTTCCTCCTCCTCCTTTTTCTTTTAAACCTCTACTCTGACGCTAAATCAAAGCTGAGTGCTGGTCCCTGACAGGTCTTGCCTTCAGCCAGCTGCTGCCAGCAGACGTCCAAAATGCTTTATGGGTCCCCTACCTTTGCAATTAGCACCACGGCCTCTGCAGGATGCACAGGCCTGAAGGACAGGCAATGTCCTCCTCTCTCGGTGGCACCAACTCCTAGAACTCAGAGAGCCATTCCATGCCCTTCCTGGAGCCGAAGGAAATCTGGGTTGCTTCTTTGGACAGCTGGTTACCCCATTCTCAGCTTTGGAGGAGAACACTGGTCTGGGGGTCTGAATGGGGGTGGGTGGGGACAGATCATATCCTTGGTTTTCAACCTGAATTATTATTATCGTTGTCAACGCCATTGTTGTTGTCATTGTTATTATTTTAGCAGAAGGTTGCTTTTTAACTGAAATCTTCCAGAGATTCTGTCAAGATGTAGTGGGTGCCCTGACCATGCCTGCTTGTCCCTCACCCTTCCCATGCCCACTCACTTTACTACTGCCTTTGCCCAGGGGCTTTCTCTGGCCCACTGAGTACACTGGGCATGTGCAAGGGATTAGGCCAGAGATGTAGGGGAGTTGGAGGATAAATATCCCAACTCCCTCACCCCTGGGAGAGACAACTCCCAGGTGTGCTCTGTGCAGCCTACCAGAGTTCCCCAGCAGGACTGTGCTCCAAGTGCCGGCAGCAGTCACCTGCTCATTCACACACTCTGTATTGGTCTCTTCTTTTCCTGTCTCCCTGGTTACTCCTCTACTGGGGCATCCTGAGTTCACCTCCCAAAGGAACCACCTGCCCTGAAGTCTGTATCTCAAGCTCTGCTACTGAGGGAGCCCAAAGACAGATGCCTAAAAATGACCGTAACTACTCACATTTATTTTGCAGTTTCTCTGTTAGTAGGCACTATATTCAGTGCTTTTCATGGATTGGGTCATTTGAAGATTACAACAGTTCTATCTAGAGGAAGGTATTTTTTTTCAGTCCCTTTTTACAGGCAAGGAGATGCGAGATCAGAGAGGTGGAGTACCTTGCCCAGGGTCACACAGCCAGGAAGTGTCAGAGCTTCTCTGTTGGAGGCAGAAGTGGGCACTTGGACTCCAATGGCTGAACCCTATCTTGACCTTCCGAGTTGCTCCAGTGCTCAGCTCTGGAACTCTGTAAACATTTGTCCTGACACCAACTCACTGCATACAGCCAGGGAAGCCTCAGATACCATCAGAAATAGGAATAGTGATGTCTTTGTTTACAGGGGGCTGCTGAGAGGGCTAAATGGGACACAGCTGGTAATGTGCCTGTGTGTGCTGCTTGCCACAGCCTGGTAGCCCTGTGCTCTCCCTCTAGGGACACACTCCACAGTTGCCCTCGTTCTATCTATTCATGTGGCTGATAAAGCAGCCTAGAGGAGGGATGGAGCCAGGCAGCCTACTGCCTGGGTTTGAAGCCTCATTCAGCCATTGATGAGCCCGTGTGACCTTGGGCAAGTCTTAGTCTTCAGTTTCCCCATTTGCAAAACAGAGATCGTAGTAATAGTTTAGCAATAGTATCTACTCACAGAGTTGATGAGGCCATTTAAGGAGGCAGCCCTTGCAAGGCACTCAGAACAGTGTTCCTCTATCAGCAACCCAGGTCACAGCTGTAACCAACGTTTAACCTTGTGGAGTCCTGAGACTTTCAGCAATAAAACGGGGACAATGGCATTCCCACATTGAGTGATGTGATGACAATGAAGTCATGTGAAGGACATGCCTGGAGCATAGTAGCTACTCAGTAAATGATGAGTTTTAATATTTGTGCTGATTAATATTAATTAACTATATGAATAATCATTAATAATATAGTAATTGATATTAACAAATTAGTATTAGCACTTAATATCTAGTATTCCTGGTGTGGCACTAACAGAAATGGTGACTGGGCTCTGATCACTTTCCCTGGGGTGAAGCACGCCGTGAAGGATGTGTACACACCATTTCACTTTATTGTTACAACATCGAGGGTTGCCAGATCAAATATAGGATGCCCCATTAAATTTGAATTTCAGAGGAACAAAGAAAAATTTCTGGGATAACTGTGTCCCAAATATTGCACAAGCTATACTTACACTAACAAATGTAATTCATTGTTTATCTGGCATTGACATCTAACTGAGCATCCTGTGTTTCTATTTGCTAAATCTGGCAACCTTTACAACAACTCATGAAACAGCCGATGAAGAAACAGATACGAGGAGAGGCAAAGGCTTACCCAAGGCTCAAAGAGCCAGACGCTAGCCAGGTCTCTTAGGTCTGCGCCCCCTGGGTTCATTCAATTTCCCGTGTTGGCTGTTGCTAGTAGGAAGATGTGTTCTCTTGGATGACATTGCTATTTTGGTCAACTGCACTATCTCATTAGGTCATGATGGGAGTGCAGTCTGCTGGTGTTTTGGGGGACCTGCTCCCATTTTCTTACTTCCCCCCTCAAGATCCCAGGGAGTCTGCAGCACCCGCTGCTGTCTATGTACCCAACACCATCTCACTGGCCCCCAGGCAGGCCACCTGTTCTATGCACAATCTGGGTTGGGCTCCCTGAGTCCAGCTGTGCAGAGAACAGGACCAAATTCAAGGCTGGCTAGTGTCAGGCAACCCTGCAGGAAACAAACAAATGCAAATGGAAAAGGAAAAAAAAATCCACCAATTACTTAATGCTTTGCTGATGTCCAAATATTTCGCCTCATGTGAACCGAGCTCTGAGACCTGGCTGGGAAAACGAGATGGGGCAGGGGCCAGACGTTTTCTACGCAAATCCGGAGGGATAAAATTGCACTTTCAGATCCAGAGAGGTGGACTGGGTATCTCTCGTCTGAAAACATCTTGAGGTGAACAACCAAGGTCAAGGATGGGAACTGGGCCCACCTGGAAATGAAAGGCCTCTCGGGCTGCTCTTCCCAGCCCCAGCCTCAGCTTCCATTTCCTGCTGCTGCTGCTCCAGCCTGACTTCCCTCCTGTTCCTCTACCTGTATGGGTCCAGCTCTCCTTTCTTGGCCTGGAATGTTTTCCCTTTCACCTGTGCGAGCTTCTTTTCCCTGTGAAGGTGTCCCTGAGCATGCCCAGAGACACAGACACACACTAAGGCATCTGGATGCAGCCCCACTTTACAGATGCAGAGATTGAGGCCCAGAGAGCCGAACAGGGTTTCTCCAAGCTTCAAGCCAGGTCTCTGGGCCCCACATCCAGGGCCCTCTTCACTGCCAAATGTTGTCTTTATTGGACAACATAAATGGCACTGACCCTGGGCTCTGCTTCTTTCTTGCTGGGGAACCTCAGGAAAGTTGCCTAACTTCTCTGAGCCTCATCCAGATAATGTTGTAAAAAGCATATTGGTGGGAAAGCATGAGACCCAAGTTTTTATGCCAAAATTCATTTTCTTTCTTTCTTTCTTTCTTTCTTTCTTTCTTTCTTTCTTTCTTTCTTTCTTTCTTTCTTTCTTTCTCTCTCTCTCTCTCTCTCTTTCTTTCTTTCTTTCTTTCTGTCTCTCTCTCTCTCTCTCTCTCGCTCCCTCCCTCCCTCCTTCCTTCCTTCCTTCCTCATTCATTCAAAGATGCCTTTGAGCATCTCTCTATGCTGTCATTACCCTATGGCCTAAGGACATGGAGTGAATGGTGCCCACACCAAGTCTCCAAGGACCTTCTGGTCTAGGGGGAGAAGCAAACATCCAAATAGACACAGACAACCTCAAGACAGACTTATTAGTGGTAGGGGGAGTCCAGGGGTCTCTAGGAACACAAAGATGCCCTCCCCCCACCCCACCCAGGCAGGGAAGGCCTTCCTGGAACGTCATCTGGGCTTGAGACCTGAAAGATGAATAGGAATCTGGGTAAAAAGGGATCTGGGTAAAAAGGGATGAGTAGGGATCTGGGCAAAAAGTGAGTGGAAGGGAATTTTAGGAATAAGGAACAACTTTTACAAAGGCCAAGACAGCCAGGGTCATTCTGGGACTTGCACAGAGTTCAAGATGATTTGAGAATGGGGAACAAGGTGAGGAAGGAATCGAACAGGGGAGTGGGGCTGGTCCTGAGGGGTCTTGAGTGCCCACCAAGCTTCTTGGGCTCCACCCAGAGGACCCAACACTAGCCCCTCCATGTGGCTTCACTGAGTTTCTGCTTTCCTGATCTGGTTGGGACCAGATGAGAGTCGCCAGCCTGCAGGCCCCCAGTCCAAGATCTCTGGACTGGACCAGCTCTAAGAACTCTGCTTGTTCTAATGCTCTGATGGAAAAAGGGGTGGAGGGACCCCACTCACACTACGTGCAGGTTGAAGATTAAACAGGATGAAGTGCAGAGCCTGCCTTGTAAACCACAGAGCTGTGTGGAAAGAACATCGTAAAGGTATTGGTTGGGAGGAGGAATCCTCTATCTCCTTCCAAGCCACGAGAGACTGTGACTCAATAATTGAAAACTGCATCTGATTTTCCTTGACTTGTTCTGGGCAGAATCTTGCCTTCTCTCCCCTGCTGACTCATGTGCAGGCTCACACCATCCTTCTTGAATGACAACAGCCAACACTTACTAGGCACCCACGCTGCCCATGTGATGCTCCCAACGACAGCCTTGGAAGTATTTCTAAGCTGCACTTTATAGGTGAGGAAATGGAGGCTCAGAGAAGTGAAACAATCTCCCTGGGATCACAAAGCATACAACGAGCTCAGTGAAAATTAAAAGGCAGGTTTGTATTATTCCAAGATCACCTGAGCCACAGTAGTTCTTGGTTAATAAACTTTGAAGATGCACTTAACCTTGGCAATTGGAGGTTCTAGGATGGGGAGGGAGGTGTTTAAAAATGTCGCATTCACTGCCCAGATGAAAGTTAAACAATAATTATCTCCTTCTTGAGGAGGAAAGACTGCTAGCTCCCTAAGACCCCCCGGATTCATAATAAGCACCTTCAACCCTCCAGAGCCCACTTGGTCTGTTCACAGCTGCCTAGTGCTCTCTGGTATAACAGCAAGATGCCAGAGACCTTGCTAGGGATCCGGGCAAAAAGTGAGCAAGGGTAGCTGGTTCCCCAGTGGTGTGATGCTTGGCTGATAGGAAACTCAAAAGAAACCTTGTACACACACACACACACACACATACAGACACACACACACACACACATACAGACACACACACACACACACACATATAGACACACACACACACACACAGACACACACACACACATACAGACACACACACACACACATACAGACACACACACACACACACATACAGACACACACACACACACATAATTGTAGCACATTCTAGAGTTTATAAAGCCACTGCATCACTGTTCACAGTGATGAAGGTCATTCAAGATGGTTTTATCAGCTGGGTGCGGTGGCTCACGCCTGTAATCCCAGCACTTTGGGAGGCCAAGGTGGGCAGATCATGAGGTCAGGAGATCGAGACCATCCTGGGCAACATGGTGAAACCCCATCTCTACTAAAAATACAAAAATTAGCTGGATGTGGTGGTGTGTAACTGTAGTCCCAGCTACTTGGGAGGCTGAGGCAAGAGAATGGCTTGAACCCTGGAGGTGGAGACTGTAGTGAGCCGAGATCTTGCCACTGCACCACTCCAGCCTGGCGATAGAGTGAGACTCTGTTAAAAAAAAAAAAAAAAAAAAGAAGAAGAAGAAGAAGATTTTCCCAACATTGTCCCCATTTCCCAGAAAAGAAAACTGAGGCCCATCCAGAAGTTAAGGATTCCAGTGGTAGAACCAGCACCAGGTGTCACGATCCAGCTCTGTCACATCATGAGTCCCTAGAGAGCAGAAATTTTGTGCTGACTTCAGGATCTCCCATGAACAGCTCCTCACCTGAATTCCAGAAATCAGTGGGGTGAACCGCACACAGGTAGGAACCAGGTCTGTCTCCTTCACCTCTTAATTCCAGAGCCTAACATAGCACTTGGCACAAAGTAGTAGCACTTGTAAATACTCGGGGGTCTGAATAGAACTGAAAGCTTAGTAAATTAATAAATTAAAATACTTAATAAATAGACACATGGTTAAGTGAATAAATTCATTAATTAACATAAAGGCATTAGGGTGTTCGGATTAAATGAAAAGTATATCAATGGATAATGGATGAATGCAGGATGGGTGAATGGATGATGGATAAGTGGATAGATGGGTGGATGGAAGGATAGGTGGATAAATGGGTGAATGAATGGATGATGGATAAGTGGATAGATGAGTGGATAAATGGATGAGTGGATGGATGGATGGATGCATGGATGGATGGATAGATAGATGGATGACAAATGGATGGTGGATGAATGGGTGAATGGATGGATGATGGATATGTGGATAGATGGGTAGATGGATGGGTTGGTGGATGGATAGATGGATGCATGAAAGAATGGGTGGATGAATGGAAAGATGGGTGGATGGTGGGTGAATGGATCAGTGATGGATAAATGTATAGATGGGTGGATAGATGGAGAGTGGATGGATGGATGAATAGCTGAGTGCATGGATGGATAAATGGATTAATTCATAAGTAAAAAATATAGGATAGATAATGAATGTATAAATAGATAAGCAAATAATAAATAGGGAATTAATTAACAATTGACTTGGTGGAAAGATGGATAAATGAATAAGTGAGTATAATTCAAGTGTGGGTGTGTGGGTAAGTGATCAGACCGGGGTTGCTCAGTGATCAGACTGGGGCTGCTCAGAGAGAAGAGGGCTGCCTCAGTCTTCAGCCTCCCAGTACCCGCCTCCCATCTCCATTAAAATCCTGGAAAATCCTGGCTATTTTCGTCCCTTTTGCAAAGGGGAGCTATTTTTTTTTTTTTTTTTTTTTTAGACACAGCTTATTAAAGGAGAAAGCACACAGAGCCCTTCCTCCCACAGGTGCCTCTTTATCTGCATAAACCCACCCTCTGTCAGGCAGCCAGGAATAAAACTAAGCAGAAAGCCACAGAAAGTGTAAGAAATCAAATACAGAAAGACAGAAAAAGAAGTTGGGCAAATTTTACTGCTCTCTCTAGAGAGAGCCATAGGAGGGAGATTTATTAGGCTGAGCCTAAAATGAGTGATCTCCATTTACCCATGCCTGAGTTATTAGTGAGCTCCATATGCCAGGCTGTGGGGACACATGGATGAACCACGCAGACACAGTCACTGCCCTTATGGAACTTAATGCCTAGTGGGAGAGACGGAGGAAAAAAATCAGCAAACAAAAATATAGTATGGCATCAGAAAAAAGAAATAGTGAGTGTATTGGTAATCTATGGCTGCATAATAAATTTCCCAAAATGTAGTGGCACAATTTCTGGGGGCCAAGAATCCATCTGCATGGCTCTGGCTTAGGAGCTCTTGTGAAGTTGCAGTCCAGATGGTGGCCAGGACTGCAGTCTCATCTGAAGGCTTAACTGGGGCTGAAGGCTCCACTTCCCAGGTGGCTCTCAAACATGCTTGCCAAGTTAGTGCTGGCTGTTGGCAGGAGGCCTCAGTTTCTCTCCATACATACATCTCCAAAAAGTTGCTTGAGCACCCTCATGACATGGCATCTGGCTTCCTCCACTGTGAATCATCCAAGAAATTGCTGGGGGAGGCCGAAATTTCACTTATGACCTAATCTCAGAGGTCACACACCATCCCTCTCCACCACATTCTATTCTCCAAGAGCAAGTCAAAAAGTCCAGCCCACACTCAAGGAGAGGGGAATGAATCATTGCCTTTTGAAGGGAGGAGTGTCAAAGAATGTAATGACATATTTTAAAACCACCACAAAGAGTGCCAGAAGGCCAGAATGATGTGACAAGTAGATGCTGTCAAAGTCTTTGGAAAGAGCCTCCCAGGGAGAAGATCTGCAAGGACAAAGGCCTAGAGGTGGGAGTGAGCTTGTCATGTTTGGAAACAAGAAGGTGTGGATGAGGCTAGAGTGTGTAAAGAAAGCAGGGATCAAAGAAGACCTGGTTGGAGTAAGGCAGGAGGGGGGCTGTGGTGACCAAGGTATGCAGTGTGGATTCTAGCCCACTGCAGATTTTATGGAGTGCTTGCCTGTGCCAATTTTTCGACTCCCTCCAGAACTTCGTGTGAGAGGTGCTATTGTTATTCCCACTGTAAAAAGGAGTATGCTGAGGCCCAGAGAAGTTAAGAAAGGTCACACACCTACCTGTGAATCCGGAGCTCAGGTGTGCATTCAAGCAGGCCAGCCTCAAAGGCAACAGTGCTGATGTATTCCAGAGGGAATGCTGCAAGGAACATACAGAGACATTGGGGTGAAAATGCTTCTGAAGGGAAAATAGGTGGAGAAAGAGAGAGAAACAGAAGACGTGGAACTGAGATGCCAAGAGATACAATGACAGAGAAAGACAGCAAGGGAGACAGAGGAGGATTAAGCATCAGAAATCTTTAGGCAGGCAGACACAAGGAGGTGGAGAGAAAAATAAAGTAAGAGACAGAGACCTGGAGACAGGGGAGGCATGGGATGGAGGAGGTGAGCCAGCATGTGCATGGCGTGCGTGAGTGCAGTGCCTTTGCGCTGGGTGGTGCCGGGACCCCGCTAACTCAGACCATCCATCGCTCCTGTCTCTCATCAGCAGGAGGGCCGGGGGAGGGAGAGAAAGCTGACAGGAGACAGTGTGATTCCAGTAATTCCAGATGAAATCACAGCCAGAAGGCTTGCCAGGAAGTGGGGTGGGGTGGTCAGGGAGAGGGAGGGAACGTCCAGAGAAAGTTTAGCAAATAGCTTTACAATTCCCTCCTCCATACCCTCAAAATGCCGTAGATATGGGGTGGGGAGGATGGCCCTGAGTTTCGGGCTGGGATCAAGGCATCCAGGAGGGGAGCTTGTGCCCACTGACAAGGAGGACGTCTGCCTCCATCAGTCTATGTGAGGATCCAAGGAGGAACACATATTTTCGTGGTTGGTTTTCATACCGCTTTCCTGTCCTTTGCTCTAGAACAGCCCCTCACCTTTTTTCCTTCCTTTTTAATGACATTGACGTTTTTGAAAAGTCTGGACCAACTGTGTTTTGAATGTCTCACGATCTGGGTTTGTCCAGTGATGTCCTCACCATCTGATTGAGGGTAAGCCTTTTGGGCAGTCACATCACAAAGGTATGTGTTGTCCGTTGCATCTCTTCAGGGGACATATGATGTCACTTGGTCCCATTACTGAATATGCTAAGTATTTGGTCAGTTGGTTAAGGTGGGATCCACTAGATGTTTCTACTGTTAAAGAACCCCTTTCCCTGTGTAAATAATATAATCTGTGGGATAGTATTTCGGGAGTATGTAAACACCCCTTTCTCTCGTAAACTTTCAACCAGTAGTTTTGGAATCCATTAATGATCCTTGCCAGAATCAAATATTGCAGGGATGACTGCAACACGGAGTTCTGAAATTTATGTATTTTTTCACACTGTTAACATTCTTTGGTAAAGAAGGGTTTCCCGCTGCTCTCCTCTTATTTTAAATACTATGCATGAGCAATTTTTAATGCTCCAATTGTCCCAGGTTTAGCTGGGTGGACCCCTGCAAGCTGGCCCCTGCATCCTTGTACATGTGCCTCCTTCATTCTTTGAGAACTTCCTAACTTTCTGACACAATAAAATGTTCCAGACTCATCTTCTATTTTCCTTGTTCAAATCCTTAAACCATCCATTTCTCCAAGATGACCTGATCCCTTTCAATGGAAAATGGTATTTAAAAGCCGTGATATCAAGGCAGGAGAATCACTTGAGCCCAGGAGTTCCAGACCAGCCTGGGCAAAATGACAAAACCCCATCTCCACCAAGAAAAATACAAAAATTAGCCAGGCATGGTGGCGCATGCTTATAGTCACAGCTACTCAGGAGGTTGAAGTGGGAGGATCACTTGAGCCCAGGAGGTCAAGGCTGCAGTGGGCCAAGATCATGCCATTGCACTCCAGCCTGAGTGACAGAGTGAGATACTATCTCAAAAATGAATAAAATAAAATAAAAGCCAAAATACATGTTCTAGGTGTGCTTGTTACTACAAAGGTATTGCTATTTCTAGTTTCTTTCAGTAAATAGAAGACACACTTGAGTTCATTCTGATGCCTCCAAATTAAATCCAACATCACAAAGTTCTTTCTCACAATTCCCTCATTCCATATCATATCTCTCTGATTTCACGGTGAGAACCCCATTTCCCCCAATATCAACATATTTGCTCAATGGTTTCAGAATTACACTGATCCTACTATCAACAACTATCTATTCATTCAAGTTCAAGGTTTCTTTGAAGTTCTTGTTGTCCTTAGAGTGTATTTAATTGAGAGCACAGTTAGAGAACAGTGTTCAAAGGTTATTTGAGCTGATTCCCTTCCTACATGGTTACATTTGTATTATTATTGATTGTTGCTTAACAAACTACCCCAGAACTTAGTGGCTTAAAGCAACAACATTTCTTGTCTCACAGTTTCTCTGGATCCAGGTGTGGCTTACCTGGTTCCTCTATTTCCGGAGCTCTCACAGGTTTCGGTCAAGGTGTCCGCAGGGCTGGGTCCTTCTGGGGGCTTGACCGGGGAAGATCTACTTCCATGCTCACTCACATGGCTGTTGTGGGATTTGATTCCTTGGAGACTGCTGGACTGTGGGCCCCAGTTCCTCACTCAGTACATTGCCAGATGTCCTTCAGTTCCTTGCCAGGTCACCTTCTCTATCAAGCTCAGCACATGAGAAGCACCAGGGAGACAGAATACCAACAAGATAGAAGTCACACCCCTTTGGAACCTAATTGTCAGGAGTAACATCTCATTACTTTTTCCATATTTCATTCATTAGAAGTGAGTCACCAGGTCCAGCCAACGTTCAAGGGAAAAGGATTAAACAAAATGCTGGAGTATCCGGAAGTGAGCATCAATGGGGGCCACTTTAGAAGCCTGCCTAGCAGAGTTATCAACGTGATGTGTAGTTAGGCTTGTTTGTTTCTATTTGCCTTCAATTTTAGGGTTTGGTGTCTTTTTCAACATCTTTGATTAAATTTCATCTTTGAATCTGTAAAATATTTATATGATTCAAGAGTATAAATTATAGACAAAGAAGTCCCAAGAGCAGTCTCATTCTTATCTCCATGCTGTCACCCCATTCCCAATTACCTTCTTTTTTAAATTTTTAAATTTTAATTTTAATTTATTTATTTACTTATTTTTTTGAGACGGAGTCTCGCTCTGTCACCCAGGCTGGAGTGCAGTGGCGTGATCTCGGCTCACTGCAAGTTCCGCCTCCCCAGTTCATGCCATCCTTCTCCTGCCTCAGCCTCCTGAGTAGCTGGGACTACAGGCGCCCGCCACCATGCCCGGCTAATTTTTTGTATTTTTAGTAGATATGGAGTTTCATTGTGTTAGCCAGGATGGTCTTGATCTCCTGACCTTGTGATCCACCCGTCTCGGCCTCCCAAAGTGCTGGCATTACAGGCGTGAGCCACCACACCCTGCCCCCAATTACTCTCTATAGTCACTTTTACCCATAAGTGAATCCTGCCAGTTTTTACTTCTATGACTCTATATTCATGTATTTTTAGCTTTCCATATTTTTTAGATAAAAGAGAACATACCATAGGTACTCGCTTGCACTTTGCTTTTTCATTTAAAGCAAAAAAAGATTTAGAAATCATTTTCATTCGTAACAGTTATCCTCAATTTTTTTGTAGCTGCTTAGTACTTCATTATCCAGAAGATTCACAGTTTGTTCAACTGGTCTCCTATGAGTAGGCATTTAGGTTGTTTCTAATATTTTGCTACTACAAATGATATAATGAATAACCACATGCATTTGTTGTTCTGGGCTTGCAGAAGTATATTTTTAGGTAAATTCCAAAATGTAGGATTGAAGGGCTAAAAGGTAAACACATATGTGATATTGTTAGATATTTTCAAATACCCCATTTGCATTTCCACCAGCAATGTATGAGATAATCTGTTTCCCTACATTGTCGCCATGTTCCAACAGAGTATGTGGTCAAGCTTTCACCTTTTGTCAGTCTAAGAGGTAAGAAATACTATGTTTGGGTAGCTTTAATTTGCATTTCTCTTGTGCATGGAGTTGAACACCTTTTCACATTTTGAGGTCCATTTATACATCTCTTTCTGTGAACCATCTAATCACGTTTTTTCCTTATTTTTAAAAACTGAGTTTTTGGTCTTTATTCTTGATTTTTAAGAACTCTTTATGTATTAAGGACATCAACTACTTATCTGTGACATAGATTAAAAATGTTTTCTTCCAGCTTCTCTTTTGACTTCACTTTCGATGTTTGTTACAAAATGGTTATGCATTCAGATTTATCAGTCTTTTTTATTACATTATGTTTTGAATCATAAGTAGAAAGGTTTTTCCCATACTTTAGTCATACAGGAATCTATTCATGCTTTCTTCTAATGTTTATATGGTTTTGTTGTTATTTTTACATTTTTACATTTAGATCTTTGGATAATTTAGATTTAAATCTGGTATAAGAAGACCATTCTCATTTTATAATGGAGAAAACCTCTGAGGCTCAGAGGATTCATGTGACTTTTTTAAGTTCACATGGACAGTAACAAAAGTATTTGTTTAATATCTACTATACACCAGACACCAAAGTATGCATTTTAAATTTATTATCTCATTAAATACACCTTGTATTTATTATCAATAATCTTTTAATCTTTACCAAAACTCTTTGAAGTAGGTTGTGCTCCTGGTTTACGTATAAAGTAACTGAGGCATGAAGACCTGAGGTAACATGTCCAAGTCCACAGGGCAGCAAAATGAAGAAAGGCAGAGAGAAAAGTAGTATGTGCTAGTTGTCATTTAAAAAAGATTTGTAGAAGCTACAATAAAACAACTTACATCCAATAGGACGCAATGTAGTCACATAGACATAGCTAGCTGCAAAGGAGTCTGGGAAATGTAGTCCTTATTCTGGGTGTTCATGCATCCCACTAAATTCATGGAGGCTGTTACCATTGGAAGAAGGGAGAACAGATTTCACATTTCAGCAGGGGTAGGGTAATTGAGGCCTGGGGATGTTTTGCAGTTCCCAAAATGATATCTTTGGTCAGCAACAAATAATGGGACCTAGAAAAATAAGTGTTTATTGAATTTAGGGCTCAGATGCCAATGGCTTTGAACTTAACTCCACACATCGGTTCTGTTTATAGACTGCATGGATCTAAGATGTATATGCTCAGAACCTGCTTCCAGGTCTTCTCTCAGGTTGCCCATCCCTGCCTCATCCCTGGAGTTAACCCTCTGCCTCTTTCTGACTTGTATTTTGTAGGCTCTTGTTCAAGGTAAGGAAGAATACAAATCTGTCCATGTCTCAAGGTCAAAAGTCAAAGAATGGCCTCTCCCCTAAAGAAGAGAGATAAACCTAATGACCTACTGGAATTAAGTCAAGCTGTTTTTTTTTTTTTTTTTTTTTTTTTTGACCCAACTGTAGTGAAAATAATTCTGGCTACTGATTTCTAAGTACCTGCTATATGCTAGTCCCTGTGATGGGCATTTTACATGCATTACTTCTTATCTGCAACTCAGTTTTACCAGTGAAGACAATGGGACTCAGAGAATTTGAGTAAGGTGCCCATGATTTCAAAACTACAAAGTGCTAGAGGACAAATTTGAACCCAGTTCTGCCTGGCTACTCAGAACCCTATTTCCGATTCTAGCTAGTTAGGAAACTACCCATCATGCAGTTGATGTTTAACAGGCTGAATTTTTGCTATATTCATTTATTTTAAAAATATATGTAAAAAGCACCTACCATGTGCCTGGAAATCTGCTGAACACTGGGGATACAGAGAAGAATAAGATAGAGTTCCATCCCTAACAGGGCTCATAGTCTCATGGGAGGACTCAGGCAATGAACAAGTAGTCAATAAACCTACAAATTGATTTCAGATTGTAGTAAGTACAAAACAAATCAAAAACTGGGATAGCTTGTAGCTGGGGGTGGGAGGCAGGTAGGTAGTTATTGATAATGAAGTTCTGAGACCTGAAGAATGAGAAGAAAGCATCCATCAGTGGGTGTAAGAGTATTCCAGGCAGAGGGAATGGCCTGTGCAAAGTCCTTGAGGTTGAAAAGAGCTTGATATATTCTAGGAACTGACCTAAGGTTAGTAGGAGTGTTGTGGAAAGCAGGTCCCTGGCTTGCAATTAAGCTTGAGTGAAAGGAATGAAATAGATCAAACAGTGCCATTAGAGGGAAATTGAATTTACCTTTTCATTTGCCTGGGATAGTCGGGTGAAATTAAGAGTGCCCTTTTTTTTACTCTCAGAACTATTCCAACTTGAATGTTAAATTATATGATGTGTCAGTTAGCTACTGCTGTGTAACAAAGCACCCCTCAATTGTAGTGGTGTAAAATGGTAAGCATTTAGCTAGCTCATGAATCTGTGGCTCAGCTGAGGTTTGTGCCAATCTGGGCTGGGTTCCCTAATGTGTCTGTGGCCAGCTGCAGGGCAGCAGGGCTGCTCTATATCTGGGATTGGCTGGCTGTTGGCTGGGATGCTGGGAGGGACTGGGTCACCTGTCTCTCATCCTCCAGCAGGCCAGCGTGGGTTTGTTCTTATGGCAGCAGCAGGCTTCTACAAGACAGAGAAGTGTGCATGGCTACTTGAGTCACAGGTTTAGAACTGACACAATGTTGTTTCTGCCACATTCTATTGATTAAAGTAAGTCACATGGCTAATGCAGATTCAAGGGATGGGGAAACAGATCTATCTCTTGATGGAGAAACTGCAAAGACAGATTGCAAAGGCTGTGATGGGAGAAATGAAATATGCAGAAAAGTGGACCTTAAACGCAAGTGACTACCACATATGATTGATTACCTTACTAACAGGCCACGCTGAGGAACTGGATATTATTATAAGTCAGGACTCTGGAAACTTTTTTCTGTAGAGGATCAGATAATAAAGATTTCAAGCTTTATAGGTAATATGGTCATATAGTCATAGACTCTGTTGCAGTGATTCAACTCTGTTATCTGTTGTCATGCATGAGCAGCCAGATGCAAATCACAAACAAATGAGTGTAGCTGTGTTCTAATAAAACTTTATTTACAAAAACAGGCAGCTGGCTGGATTTGATCCACAGGCCATAGTTTGCTGACTCCTGTTTTAAACGTATTGGGAAATTATTAAAAGGTTTTAGAAAGAGGAGTTCTGAGAGCAAATTTGAAAAATTATCCCAGGCTAGAGAATGGATTGGAGGGTGGAGACTATGGCAGAAGGATGGAGAGCCCTCAGAAGGCTGCTGTAGTGCCCAGGAAGGAGATGACAGTGGCTCTGGACAGATGGTAACAACAGATATGGGGGAAATTTGATACATTAAAAACGCATGCAGAGGTGGAAATTAGAAGCTGCAGAAGGGTTGGATGTGGGTGATGCACAGTTGCAAAGCGGTGGGTGCAGGTGACTGGGTGCAGGATGATGTAATTTACCCAGATAGTCAAGGCTTGAGCATGGGTGGGTAACCAGAAGATGGGACTGAGAATTCGTCTATGTGTCAGAAAAAGAGGGCGACAAATACTGGAGATTCATAGCCGGGTGAATGAATGGCCAAATGTCACTGGTCCATGGTGGGGCCAATGATATTTCTGAGGTCAGATAGTGATTGGCAGTGAACCCCCAAGCTGGGACTCAGTCTGCAAAGCTTGTTCCCCTGGAAAGCATGGTTGCTCTTCAGTTGCTATCTGTCACCCAACTCCTTAAAAGAAAAAATAAAAAAGGAGAAAAACCTCCTCGGAGGATTTGTAAGCAAGTGAGATGACTTGAGTGATAATTCGCCTCCACAAGGGCTGATGGGTATCTGGCTTAGCCCTGAATAGGGTCTTCAGTTTTTTGAAGCTTAAAAGAAAAAGAACTTTGAGCTCTGGGGCTTTAACATCACAAGGAAATAAAGTCCCTCACAGAATTAGAGGATCAGATAAGTTGAGACAAAAATAGAATTGCGCAAAGTAAAAATATCTATCGGAAATTTTTCCCCTTAACTGTTGGAAACAAGAAATAGCGGGTTGTGCTGGCAACTCTTATTCTGATGAATAGCGTCTGCCCGCTCATTCAGATTCCACGAGGCTCTTGATGAGAGAGAGGTGATTTGGGCGAATGAAGAGGAATGTCGAAAACACAATTGCTCCTCCCCAGCCTCCAGAATAGATGCTCACTGAATAACCATAGAAAAACCCCAGCTTCATGCAGAAGAGATTCTGACCATGCAGGGCTTGTCTGATAAACACTCAAAACAAAAGGAATGGCTTTGCTCCTTGGCTGCCAACTTCTTTCTAGCATTTTCCAGTCTTAGAAACAAAAAGTCTGTCTAAGATGGATAATGCATGCTGGCCTTTCATGCCCAAGTGCCGGCTTCTTTGCCGACAGCAGAAAGGAGGCATGGAGAAGCATACAGTCTGGGGTTAACAGACTGGGTTCAAATCCCACCTCTGTATGACCTTGAGCAAGAATCTGTGCCTCTCAAAGCCTCAGACTTCTCATCTGGACAATGGGGGTGATAATGGTAGGCACTCAGAAGGTTGCTGTGAGAATTCAATGAGATGAGCAAGGACACAATGCAGACGCCAAATAAATGACCACCTTAATAATTCTTTTCCTCAGATCTAATAATCTGAAAAAAAGAAGATTGAAAGAATTGGGAAATAGCATGTACAAAGAACTTGTAATGTGGTAACCATTTCAAAAAACCTATTTCAGGGGCTGGCCATGGTGGCTCGCACTTGTAATTCCAGCACTTTGACAGGTGGAGGTGGGAGGATTGCTTGAGGTCAGGAGTTACAGACCAGCCCAGGAAACAATAGCAAGACCCCGTCTCTACAAAAAATTACAACATTAGCTGGGCATTGTGGAGTATGCCTGTGGTCCCAGCTATTCGGGGCACTGAGGCAAAAGGATCGTTTGAGCCCAGGAGTTCAAGGCTGCAGTGAGCTGTGATTGCACCGCTGTACTCCAGCCTAGGCAACAGAGTGAGACCCCTGTCTCTTAAAAAACGATGTCCCAGGGATGAAGCCAACTTGATCGTGGTGGATAAGCTTTTTGATGTGCTGCCAGATTTAGTTTGCCAGTATTTTATTGAGGATTTTCACATTGATGTTCATCAGGGATATTGGCCTGAAATTTTCTTTTTTGTTGTGTCTCTGCCAGGTTTTGGTATCAGGATGATGCTGACCTGATAAAATGAGTTGGGGAGGAGGCCCTCTTTTTCTATTTTTTGGAATAGTTTCAGAAGGAATGATATCAGCTCCACTTTGTTCCTCTGGGTACAATTCATCTGTGAATCCATCTGGTCCTGGGATTTTTTGGGTTGGTAGGCTATTAATTACTGCCTCAATTTCAGACCTTATTATTGGTTTATTCAGGGATTCGACTTCTTCCTGGCAAGGGTGGTTCAACATACACATATCAATAAATATAATCCAACACATAAACAGAACCAATGACAAAAACCACATGATTATCTTAATGGATGCAGAAAATATCTCAATGGAAGCAGAAAAGGTCTTCAATAAAATTCAACACTCCTTCATGCTAAAAACTCTCAATAAACTAGGTATCGATGGAACATATAATAATAAGAGCTATTTATAAGAAACCCACAGCCAATATCACACTGAATGGGCAAAAGCTGCAAGCATTCCCTTTGAAAACCAGCACAAGACAAGGATTCCCTCTCTCACCACTCCTATTCAACACAGTATTGGAAGTTCTGGCCAGGGCAATCAGGCAAGAGAAAGAAATAAAGCATATTCAGATAGGAAGAGAGGAAGTCAAATTGTCTCTATTTGCAGATGACATGATTGTATATTTAGAAAACTCCATCGTCTCAGCCCAAAATCTCCTTAAGCTGATAAGCAACTTCAGCAAAGTCTCAGGATACAAAATCAACATGCAAAAATCACAAGCATCTCTGTACACCAATAATAGACAAACAGAGAGCCAAATTATGAGTAAACTCCCATTTACAGTTGCTACAAAGAGAATAAAATACCTAGAAATACAGCTTACCAGGGATGTGAAGGATCTCTTCAAGGAGAACTACAAACCTCAAGAACTACAAAGCTCAAGGAAATAAGAGAGGACACAAACAAATGGAAAAACATTCCATGCTCATGGATAGGAAGAATCAATATCATGAAAATGGCCATCCTGCCCAAAGTAATTTATAGATTCAATGCTATCCCCATCAAGCTACCATTGACTGTCTTCATAGAATTGGAAAAAACTACTTTAAATTTTATATGGAACCAAAAAAGAGCCCGTATAGCCAAGACAATGCTAAGCCAAAAGAACAAAGCTGGAGGCATCACACTACCTGACTTCAAACTATACTACAAGGCTACAGTAACCAAAACAGCACGGTACTGGTACCAAAACAGACATATAGACCAATGGAACAGAACATAGGGCTCGGCAATAATGCCACACATCTACAACCATCTGATCTTTGACACACCTGACAAAAACAAGCAATGGGGAAAGGATTCCCTATTTAATAAATGGTGTTGGGAAAAACTGGCTAGCCATATGCAGAAAACTGAAACTGGACCCCTTCCTTACACCTTATACAAAAATTAACTCAAGATGGATTAAAGACTTAAACATGTGCCCTAAAAGCATTAAAACCCTAGAAGAAAAGCTAGGCAATATCATTCAGGACACGGGCAAAGACTTCATGACTAAAACACCAAAAGCAATGGCAACAGAAGCCAAAATTGACAAATGGGATCTAATTAAACTAAAGAGCTTCTGCCCAGCAAAAGAAACTATCATCAGAGTGAACAGGAAACCTACAGAATGGGAGAAAATTTTTGCAATCTATCCATCTGACAAAGGGCTAATATCCAGAACTTAAACAAATTTACAAGAAAAAAACAAGCCCATCAAAAAGTGGGCAAAGAATATGAACAATCACTTCTGAAAAGAAGACATTTATGCGGCCAACAAATTTATGAAAAATGCTCATCATCACTGGTCATTAGACAAATGCAAATCAAAACCACAATGAGATACCATCTCACAGCAGTTAGAATGGTGATCTTTAAAAAGTCAGGAAACAACAGATACTGGAGGGGATGTGGAGAAATAGGAACACTTTTACACCATCGGTGGGAGTATAAATCAGTTCAACCATTGTGGAAGACAGTGTGGCGATTCCTCAAGAATCTAGAACCAGAAATACCACTTGACCCAGCAATCCCATTACTGGGTATATACCCAAAGGATTATAAATCATTCTACTATAAAGACACATGCACACGTATGTTTACTGCAGCACTGTTCACAATAGCAAAGACTTGGAACCATCTAATGCCCATCAATGATAGACTGGATAAAGAAAATGTGGCACATATACACCATGGAATACTACACAACCATAAAAAGGGATGAGTTCATGTCCTTTGTAGGGACATGGATGAATCTGGAAACCACCATTCTCAGCAAACTAACACAGGAACAGAAAACCAAACACCGCATGTTCTCACTCATAAGTGGGAGTTGAACAATAAGAATACATGGACACAGGGATGGGAACATCACACACCAGGGCCTGTCAGGGGGTGAGGGGCTAGGGGAGGGATAGCATTAGGAGAAATATTTAATGTAGATGATGAGTTGATGGGTGCAGCAAACCACCATGGCACGTGTATACCTAGGTAATAAACCTGCGCGTTCGACACATGTATCCCAGAACTTAAAGTATAATTTAAAAACAAAAACAAAACAAAAAAAAAGATGGCATAAGTTTCTCATATAAATATCCTATAAGATGAGTGTGTGTAAAGGAGAGAATGAGACAAAGATTTCCAGGTCCTGTCTAGGACTATAAACCAAAAACATAACAGGTAAAACCCAGCATATACCCAGTTGTTCAAACTCAAAATATCTTCCAGATTAGGTGTCAGCAAATTAACAACCAAATCCAGCCTGCTGCACGTTTTTGTAAGTTTTTATTGGAACACAGCCACTCCCATTCATTTGCATGTTGTCCGTGGCTTTCAGGCTACAGCACTAGAGTTAAGTAGCTTTGACCAAGACCCTCTGGCCTGAAAAGCTGAAAATATTTATGAACTGACCCTAATTTACAGATGGTTTTCTGGATACCTGGTCTAGAGTAATAATGGTAATGATCCCACTACCTATCGAGGGCTTACTGGGTGCCGGGCACAGTGCAGAGCCTGTTAGATGCTCTCCCAGCAGTCCCAAGAAGCAGGCACTATTATTACTCCCCCTTAGGGATGTGGAAGCAGAGGTGCAGTGAGGTGAATAGGGATGGAGGCAGGAAGCCACACAAAGGCAAGATTTGCACCCAGTTCGAGTCTGGCTTTTCCACTTACCCTTTTGCAGGAGGAAGACACAGATATAGGGTCTGGTCTCGATCACATGAAAAGGGCTAAACTGTTATTCTCAGCTTTGCCACTCATTAGAATCACCTAGGGAGCTTTAAAAACTAGGGTCCCCTCCTTTCCCACAACCAGAGAGTTTGACTTAATTGGTCTGGTCTGGAGTAAATATTTTTTACAGGTCCTCGGGTGATAGTAATATGAAGCAAAAGATGAGCTCCACTGGGCTAAAGAGAGGAAACATAACTAGGGTCCCAAACCCCAGCATGATGGGGAGACCACTGAGCTCAGGACCTTTCTGCATGGGTACCATTGAGCGTTCACAGTCAGCCCTCTGATGGTGGCTGGTGTCATGGAGGTGGGGAAAGGATGCACCAGTCCTGAGTCAGGCCCCATAACATCTCCCTCCCCTGATGAAGTGGCCCCAAGGCACACAAGCCAGTCTTGTGTGGGGTAGGGTTAATTAGCATAAGGGTACCCCTAAAGGATCGTAGGGAAAAAAAAATCACTGTTTTAGTTTTAGCCCAGCAGAATTCACCAACACGCTCTCCTATAGGGATCAAGAAACTCACTTCTCTTTGGAAACAATGACATTAACAGAGAAGGTATACTAAATGCCCTCTGTCATTCTTGATCTTATTTAATCCTTGAAGCAACTCTATGATGGGGGTTCCGTTATTAGCCATGTTTTACAGATGAATAAACTGAGGCCCAGAGAAGGGAGGCAATGTGCCCAATTCTTCCTTTTGTAAACGACACCTCAGGGCTGGAACGTGGGTCTCCAGGCTCCCAGCCCCAGGAACATTCTTAGAGCGGGAGGTGTCTCTGAAATGCCTCACGCAGTGTCTCCTTGGCTCGGGAAGATCTTTGTTCTGGGAATGTGTGCTGAAAAATAATAGAACAGGGCGTTTCTTTCCCCCCTTTATCGAGGCCCTCAGTGTTCTCCGGAGAGAACTAAGTGATCAGGAAAAGGTTACTCTGCAGCAGGGCCCCCTCGCTGCCGTAGGTCTAATAAAACAAAACCCCAGCCAAATTAGGGGCATATTTCATCTAATGGGAGGAAATATATGTGGCATTTCTGCCTAGCGGTTGACCGGCCGCATTTATGCGCAGAGAGAGGGTTCAATACATCACAGGACGGTTAAGCGCCGCTTAAGTGGCCTCTCGGGCGGTGGGGGGGACGAGAAGAAAAATCTCAGGCCCTGGTCCCTGTCTTCTTGCATTTCCACTGCCTCACTCTGGCTCCAGCACTTCTAAGGAGTATCTCGAGGTTTGGGCTCAGCAGAAAGACCCCGGGCAATTCCAAGACCTGGATTAGTTCCCCACTGAGCTGCTTACTAGTTCTGTGCCTTTGCATGGGCCACAGCTCTGCTCTGAGCCTCAGCTTCCTCATCTGTGAATGAAGAGGTTGAGGATGAGTGTCTTCAAACTGCACTCAGCAAGGATGTAGAATTTGAGGGGAGAGGGCTGATTTCTAAGACCACCTTGGGGAGCAAATAATACCTAAGAGTGGAAGCCTGTAATCTTCCATCCACTAGAATCCTGCTGCTTGTGTCTGTATAACTCAGGGGTGTCCAAACTACTTGAACTCACACCGTAAAAAATACAAACATATGCACAGATACATACAAACATACATATATAAACAAATACACATGCTTATAAATTGTGACCATGCACTACTGTATTCATAGATTAAGTACCATATAAAACAGACACAAAGATGAAATTTTTAAAGGAAAAGTTAACTATATCCAGAAGTTCTATTAATATTTTTTTTCTGAGATGAAGTTTTACTCTTGTTGCCCAGGCTGGAGTGCAATGGTGGGATCTCAGCTCATTGCAACCTCCGCCTCCTGGGTTCAAGCAATTCTCCTGCCTCAGCCTCCCGAGTAGCTGGGACTACAGGCACCTGCCACCACGCCCGGCTAATTTTTGTATTTTTAGTAGAGACGGGGTTTCACCATGTTGGGCAGGCTGGTCTCGAACTCCTGACCTCAGATGATCTGCACGCCTTGGCCTCCTAAAGTGTTGGGATTACAGGTGTGAGCCACTGCTCCCGGCCAAGTTCTATTAAAATTCTAACACCACCTCCCACCCCTGGGACACTCAATCTCCTTTATCCTCCTCTACTGGTTTCTTTCCCATAGAACTATCACCTTCCAACATGTCATATAGCTTGTTATTTATAACTTTTGCATTCCATGGGGCCATGAAATCAGGCTGGAGGGAAGGGAAGACCAAGTACTGAACCTCTACAACTGGAGGTTCCTCCTCTTAACCCGTGTACTTCCCCAGAAGCGGGTCTCAAACAAGTTCCTGTAAAACTGGGAAACCAATTTGAGTGCATTAAGAGAATGTGCCGGGAGCCATTTGGGGAATAATCTGGAGACATTAACTCAGAAGTAGATTCTGTCCAGAGCTGTATACGGGTAATTGCATTGATCTTACAAAAGGAGCTCTAGAGCTCTGGAGTATATATTTAACGAGACACAGAATGTGCTAGCCAGACCTATTAGGTGCAGTCACATCCACTGTCTTACTTAATCCTCACGGCTACTCGAGGAAGTGGGTCCTGTTAATATTCCCATTTTAGAGAGGAGAAAACTGAGGCAAGTCACTAAGCCCAGCAGTCTGAATTCAAACCCATACCTGTCTGACTCCATGCCATTTCCCTGTTGCAACATCTCTCAGCTGACACACGCCAGACCCAGTGGCTGTGTTGGGAGCTGGCAGGGTCTGTGTGTGTGGGAGGCTGACATGTTATAGTCTGGGCTCCTGGGCTTGGGCGTTGGCTGGGGTCCAGGCTCTGTGTCAGCTGCAGCTGGAGGAGGAAGGGCCCACTGATTTAGGGCCCATCTGGATGGACAGCCGACAGGAACCGGGCTGCTCCAGACGCTTGGGGAGGGTGATAAGCATGGCCCCTGGGTGCCCCTGCATTCCTGGCCAGTGATGCTTCAGGGTAGGCGGCTGCGTGGAATGCCTCAGTAGGTTTTCCTCTCCCCACAGCCCTCCTTGCTGTCTGTGGCCTCCCAAGGACCCCAGGAATCAGCAGTGACCCTTTGCTCCAGAGAGCTCTGACCTCACGCCACCCAGGCTACAAAGGCTAAGGACCCAGAGGATGGGCTTGGGGGTGGGGGAGCTGCTCATCAGAGACAACCTGAGCTTGGGGATGTGGCCTCCTGCCGGAATATGGAACAACATCTCCGCACCCCTGCAGGAGACATTTCCTAGCCATGTTCTGCTTATTTCATGAAAGACAGGGCCACTCCCAACTTTATGCTGCTCTCTACGCTGCACAAAGTCTTTCTCAAACCCTTATCTGACTATATCCCTTCTGTGCCTACAGCCTTCCACGGCTCCCTGCTGCCCTCAAGTTAAGTCCAAACCCTTTTCTCCTTTTGGCTGGAAGATCTGGCCCCTGTTGACCTCCATGCCTCCTTCCTCTATGACCTTCCAACCCCCACTCCTTTCAGGACCCCCTCCCCCATGATCTTCAGTACTATAAAACCTCATTCTGGTCCTCCAACACTCCTGTGGTCTGTCCACCACTAGTCTTTTGCATGTGCTGATCCTACCACCTCCAATCCTGTTTCCTCTCACCTTCTTCTGATTAAGTCCCACCTATCCTCCGAGAAGTCTACGAGGCCCACATCCCACCCTCTGCTGGCTCTGGGGCCTCCTGGGGGCTTCCCTCAGCAGCCCTGATCACTCTGCGTCGAACTGTCAGTTTCCTCATCCATCTCCCCACTAGGCTGGGGGGAGGGGCATGGGACAGCGATGGTGCCTGCCTGCTTCTTCACTATTTCACCCTCAGTGCCTAGCATAGGGCCTGGCACACAGCGGGTGTCCAATAAATACCCTGTGGTTGGCAATGGGTAGCACAGACCTCATCTGTGGTGACAACTCCAGTTTGTAGCGCACCCCTGCCCCAGCGATAGAAGCAGCAGTAGCCATAGTAATCATCACTTATAGTGAGCTCTGGGGTGTGCTGGCATTTTTCTAAGCACTTTAAATAGTCACTACTTTCATTTCCACCCTATGAGGCAAGTACTATTATTAGTCCCAGTTTACAGATGAGGAAAGTAAAGCCCAGAGAGGTTAAGCGACTTGTCTAAGGTCACACAGCTGTCAAAATGCAGATACAGGCAGGCAGATTCCAGAGCCCCTGCTATCACCACTCACAACAAGACCAAGGAGCTGGGACAAGCTCTTGGTAATGAAAAAACATGACACTGAGGCTAGACTGCAATGAACAAGCTAAGTATCAGGAAGCAGGCAGGGAATCTAACTCTGTGCCCAGCTTGGGTGGCTGCCAGAACATTAGGCTGGAGTGTGATTACTGATCACCAGCCACTGCCCCAGGCTGTGAGATCCCCCAGGGTCTACCTGCCCTGTGAGTGCTTAGCTTATGGCCTGGGCACACTGGAGGAAGCTTGACTCCATCCTCAGTGGGAAAGCCGCATGGATAACAGGTAAAAGGTTGGACTCTGGTTCAAACTCCAGCTTTGCCACCAACTGGCTATCTTTATCCGTTTTGTGCTGCTACAATGAAATACCCAAGACTGGGTAATTTATTAAGAAAAGAAATATATTTCTCACACTTCTGGAGTCTGGGAAGTCCAGTAGCAAGGTGCCAGTATCTGGTGAGGGCCTTCATGCTGCATCATCCCACGGCAGAAGGTGGACGGGTAAGAAAAGGTGAGACAGAAAAAGGGTTGAACTCATACTTTTTAAATCAAGTGCCCACACCCATGATAATTCCCATCACTCCTGTGATGTGATAACAACATTAATTCGTTCATGAGGATTGAGTCCTCATGGCCTAGTCACCTCTTAATTGTCCCACCTCTTACCACTGTCACAATGGCAACTAAATTTCAACTTGAGTTTTGGAGAGGACATTCAAACCATAGCACTGGCTGCGTGACCTTGAGCAAGTTACTTAACCTCTCTGAGCCCTCAGAGTCTTCCATTGTCAATGGGGATACTAAAAGTGTCCTAGTAGGGCTTGGGGGAGGATTAAATGGGTTAATCCTTATGTTAATCCAGAGTTCACCTTTTTGTGAGTGCTAGGAATGGCTAAGTTGCCTAATTTTTGTCCTCTGCCCTAACAAGGGCTGGTCATATCACATATTCTAATTACTCTCTGGGCAAACGGACTCCTATTGCTCCTAGGAAGACAAACACATGGGCACATGGGTCTGCTGTCCCGTCTCGCTGTTTGGCCTTTTCCCAGTAGCTTGCCCTCTCTGGGTCACAGTTACCCTGACTCTACAAGAGAAGGGAGCCAATGCTCTCTGAGGGTCCTCCTAGCTCTGACCTGAACCCCTGACTGTCCCATCAGGACCACATGGTCTCTAAGGCAGTGAGGAGATGGTCTCTGTGGAGATGGCTCAGATCTGGGCCCTGAGCAGGAAGAGGGAGGCACCAGGAGCAGGGATTGGCAAGGGTCTCTTGTCTGTCAAGGTCTTGGGCGCTTTTGGTTTCAGCCGGCACCGAGCCAAGGCCAGGGGCAGACAGCCCAGGGCTCCAGCTGCCTCCTGCCTGCTGCCCTGTGTTTGGCTTTATGAGGCCTGTCCAGCTCCCTCTGGGGCTCATTAGCTGGGCAGCCAGCTGGGGCCCAGGCAGCTCTGTTCCCACCAGGTCCTGTGGGAAAGTGCCACTCAGCACCTTCTCCACCCCAGGAGGGACAGTGCCATTAAACCTGTCCTTCCCCAAGGGTAGGGGGTCAGGCAGGCCTGGGAGGGGCCCTGGGAAAGGCTGCATGTCCCCAGCCTGTTTCTTATTCCTCTAACCTTTCTCCTGTCAGCTCTGCTTTTCTGGCAGCCTGAGACCGGGCATGGGGCCACACAGACCGGGGCTCATTCCTGGCTCTGCCACTGGCAAGCTGCAGCTCCCTAAACAAGTGCCGGCCCCTCTCTGAGCCCTAGGTCCCTCATCTGTAAAATGGGACCTATCCTGAAGGTTTGCCTGGAGGGTTGAAAAGAGATGACAGTGAAGGCGCATAGGTTTACATGGGGACTGGCATATTGAGTATGCTGGAAAGAAGGCCCTTCTTCCTCCTCTGCTTCTTTTTGGCTTCTCTCTTGGTTCTTGCCTCATTATTCCAGGTCCTTACAACTACTGATCTTCCTTCCCTGGGAGCAGAGGGGTCAGCGTCTGCTTGCTTTGCCCTAGAAAAGTTCTCCTTCACCTTCCTCTGAATTTTTACTTCCCTTCTTATTTCTCTGTCTGTCTGTCTGTCTCTCCCTATCTCTCTCTCTCTCTCTCTCATTGTTTGTCAATCTCTTAACAATCTATCCAACATTGGTTTCATCCTCCTTTTCTTGGTATATTGGTGAATTCATAGCTTCTAGTTACTTAGGGAATTATTCCTTCTGTTACAGCACCCCCCGCGCACGCGCGCACACACACACACACACAGAGACAGACACAATAATGTCTATCACCATGGGGCAGTTGGCCACTTACTTCCCGGGACCAACAGCCGGTCATCTGGGTGGGAGAAGGGACAGGGACTGTGCTTCTCACAAAAGCAAGACTTATGCTGTGCTCCCAGGGCTCCATGAACACTGCGTGTGAAGCTGATGTCATCAGCCATCAGACTCTGCCCGCTCCCCAAGGGTAGAAGTCACAGTGTGATTCCTGGGAGGGCATTGCTTCTTATCTATTACTTCATTCATATATAAATAAGACATGTTTGCACTTCCAAGGTGCACCCCCGCCCCGAGGAAGAGGGATGCTGACGTGTAGTAGACGCCTTCCACTCCCTTGCAGAGTGGCTGGGGAGGACAAGACACAGGCACGCAGAGACGGAGCAGCTTTAGAGCTGGAAAGGAGGGAGGGGATCAGCAAAGGCTTCTGGGACAGGGGGTGCAAGCTGGGACATGAAGCCACCCCAAAGGAAAGAGGGGGGCAAACGTGGCAGCACAGGTAATGCCAGGGGGCAAGGTGGTGCACTGTGTGGCTATGGAGCAGTGTGACGACGGCTGCAGGGCAGGATGTAGCCACAGAGGGCCATGAGAGGGACAGAGCAGGTGTCAAGAAGTTATAGGGAGAGCCCAGGAAAGACAATTTGAGGCCGCTCTGGGGAAGACCTGGAAAGCCAGGTTAAGGTTCCCTCCTTTGCAAAAATGTTCCTCAATATCCTCCAAGTCACTTCACCCCTTCCAGATTCATCGGTCTGTGTAAGTTCTGGTGCAGACGTTTCTTTGGTAAGATCATGCAGATAGTCACTCCAGCAAGCCGTTTTCCTCTGCAAACTAACGCGGGAACAGAAAACCAAACACAGCACGTTCTCACTCATAGGTGGGAGCTGAACAATGCAAATGCATGGACACAGGGAGGGGAACAATGCACTGGGGCCTGTCATGGGTGCAGAGAGGGAGACCATCACGAAAAATAGCTAATGCATGAGGGGCTTAATACTTAGGTGATGGGTTGATAGGTGCAGCAAACTACCATGACACATGTTTACCTATGTAACAAACCTGCACATCCTACACAGGTACCCCAGAACCTAAAATTAAAAAAAAAAAAAGGAAAGAAAATTTAAAAAAAGAAAGTCACTCTAGCGATTCAAGCCTCAATTACCCCACCGGCAAAATGAGAACACTAATAACAATAATATGTATTAATATGAGTTCTCCAGGGAAACAGAGTAGATATGAAGAGATTTATTGTAAAGAATTGGCTCCTGTGACTATGGAGGCTGGGAAGTCTCAGATCTCTAGTTGGCAAGCTGGAGACCAGGACAGTCAATGGTGTAGTTCCAGTCCAAGTCCAAATTCAAAGGCAGGAGAAAACTGATGTCCCAACTGGAAGACAGTGAGGCGGAGAGATATAATTCTTTCTTACTCAGCCTTTTATTCTATTCAAGGCTTCAGTGGATTGGATGAAGTCTACCCAGGGGACAGCAACCTGCTTTACCCAGTCCACCAATTTGAATGGTAATCTCACCCGGAAATACCCTCACAGACACAGTGAGAGATACTGTTTCACCAAATATCTGGGCACTCTGTGGTCCAGTCAAGTTGACACATAAAATTAACCATTGCGTAATATGTACCAAGAAAATTACACAGGACCGGGGAGATGAGCATTACATTCCTAGGACTCAGATGCTGAATGCTTCTGCTCTTTGTGCAGCACAGGGGCTTGGATAGGTCACAGAGGCCAAGGGTTGGCAAACAATGGCTCTCAGGTCAAACCTAGCCCAGTTCTTCTTTTTGTAAATAAAGTTTTATTGGGTCACAGCTGCACCCATTCATCTATGTATTGTCTGTGACTGCTTTCACACTAAAACAACAGAGTTGAGTGGTTGCAACTGAGCCCACATGGGCTGCAATGCCTAAAATATTTACTGTCCGGTTCTTTAGAGAAAAAGTTTGCCCATTGCTGACTTAGACACATGGTGCCTCAGTCTTCCCATTAGTAAAATGGATACAGCCATGGTACTTCCGTGTAGAGTCGTAGGAAGAACTTTTTGGGGCTGGTGAAGGGCCTGGCATGTAGTGTATGCTCAATAACTGGTGAGGTTGTGGTGGGATTGTGACTGTATTTTTGGGTGCTAGTGTGACCACTAGTCACAGTGATCAGAAGAAACAATATGAAGGGTTGAGGTTTGCCTCCTGCTCTCCGAGAAAGGACCCTGCCAAGGAGGGTGAGGTGACCGGCCCCAGGCCCAGCTGGATCCTTTCCAATACATAAGAGTCATTCCTGGGCATCAGACATAAAAGGGTGACCGGGAAGTCAGGCCAAGCATCCATAATCGCCTGTAATTTGGACTCAGCCTCTTGAGGCAAAAGGATTTTGTCAAAGGCTTTTCACGGTCCAGTACCCCTGTAACCCAAGGTCACACGGATCGAGTCCTCTCTGACACATATTTATTATCAGGTGGAAATGGCACTTGAGTTTCTCCCAAGCTGTGTGCAGATGCTGTCTCGGGCCACTGCCGATCTCCCCAGCCAGCAGCCTTGGCAGAAATGTCGCTGAGAGAGGAGCTGGCAGTGGGGAGGGGTTGTAAGTTAATGGCAATGGGAAATGCCTACTCTTGGGAAAGAGTAGGCAGGGGGCTGTCCCACATGGCAGCTGTGCAATTTACCTTCAGGCCAGGATTTAACCTGTGCCTCAGTTTCCCCATCTGTAAAACATAGACAATAAATGCCTATAAAATGCTTCACACTGTGCCTGGCCCATGGTGAGCTCCTGATGTCTTGCAGTTGCTACGCTTTATTTTTATTAACAACTCCTTCCTCACATCTGGACTCACAAGTGAAACGACAGCACAGTGGGTAAGAGATTGGGCTCTGGGATCAGCCAGAACTCAGTTCCAATGCCTGATCGGATGCTTAGTAACTTGACCTTGAGCAATCAACCCAACCCGAGACTTGGTCTCACCTGCAGAACAAGTTAATATCAGTGTCACCCTCACTAGGAGGCGGAGAGTATTAAACAAGGCACAGGCTTCAAAGTGGCCACCACACAGTGGGGAATCCAGAAATGTCCCTTTCCCAGGTCAAAGGAAACCAGGTTGTGTAATTCCAAAAGGAATTGAAGAGACTAAAATGGGCAAAACCCACAGAACAAGAATGTGCTCAGAAGGCACTAGCTTTCCCAAAGAAAGAGAGATGCTTTCTGCACTGTCTCTGAGGGGGCTGCTACGAGTCATGGTAAGTCCACGTCTCAGAGGAAACCCAGGTGGTATTGCAGAGCAGTGAATGGCCTGGGCTCTAAGCTCAATGGATTTGAGTTCTAATCCTGTCTGGGAGAAACAAAGCAAATTGCTTCTCTTTCTGAGAATCTGTTTCACCTTCCACTTGTTTATTCCTTATTTAACCCAATGTTTTCTTAAAGGTCTACTGTGTACCAGGAACCACCCTAGCTACTGGAAATATAGCAGGGAACAAGATGGACAAAGTCTCTGCCCACTTAATGTGTGCGTCAGAAAACAAACAAGTAAATGAATAAATACTGTGATAATATGACAATGTTAAGGAAAGAAAAAGCAGAGTAAGGGGATTGAAAGGGAAAGAGGTGCTGTTTTAGATTCGGTGGTCAGGGGAGATCTCTTTGCAGAAGTAGCAATTGAGAAAAACAGGGATAGTAACAGTACTAACTTCAGGATGTTGTCAGACTTTAACGGGTAAGTAGATAAACCTCTTACCACATTGCCTAGCGCATACTAGGCACTACGTGCATATATAGGTTGGATAAAAGATGGATGGATAACAGATAGATGGATGGATGATGGATGAATGGATGAATGAAAGGATCTATTGATGGGTAGATGGTAGATGAATGGATGGGAAAGTGGATGGATAACAGATAGATGGATGGATGATGGATGAATGGATGAATGGAAGGATCTATTGATGGGTAGATGGTAGATGAATGGATGGGTAAGTGGATGGATGGATGGATGGATGGATGGACAGGTGGATGGATACATGAATTGGTGGATGATAGATGGATGAGTGAATGAGTGGATAGATGCATAAATAGATGGCATATCTGTGAGAGACCCAGTGGGAAATACGTGGTATTCTCAAACGGCTTCACTGAAAAGATGTTAATCAAAGAACTATATACAGAGGTATGGGCAGAATTTAGGGACCTAACAAGAGATGTTAAGACACACAGGTACTAGCAACAGAGTAACATGTTAGCACTCCTGGTCTTGAAGGAAAGAGCGGGGACAAATGTTCCTAGAACCTGCACCAGGGCCTTATAAGAGCTATGACTGTAGGTGGAAAATCACAGCCACTGCCAAAACAAGAGCCCAGAACGGAGGAAGTGGGCAATAAAAACGACAGCCTCGCTCTCCTCCACTCTCTCATCTCCTCTTGGTGCCTTCCATTGACCCAGTTCACCTGGAAGCCGTTAGGGAGGGAGCCTGGGTTTTGCAGCCCACAGAGGAGAGCCTCTTGTATTCTAGTGGAATACAGCAGAGCAAAGAGGGGTAGAGAGAAGATCTGGAAGACAAAAGGAAAATAATCAGAAAATGAGTAGATGAATAAATGAGCAAATTAGTCTGGAGGGTGCTAAATCAGCAGAGAGGGCTCTGTGACAAGTGGATGTCCCATCCCAGGCCACAAGCCTCCTTGTAAATTTCTTATTAGTCAAAAAAGAGAGCATACTTTCAATTTTAAAAGTAGCGAAATCCTAATAACTGATCATAATGAATGTCTATTTCTCAGTTATTTCACTGTCCGATGCAAGTCAGGGGCTGTTCTCTCAGAGACAACACAGGAAATCATCCCCTCGCTTCCTGGAGACTCCACCGTCTTTAATCTAGGACATGCATCCTGGCTTTTAATTTGCCTCAACCTGAAAGCGATCCGTCACTTCCTCTCACATTCTACCCACCGGAAGTAGCCACGTGACCCTGCCTAGAAGCAAGGAGGCTGGGAAATGCAATTTTCCTTTGTGCCCAACAAGTGCAATCGGTTTGGAGAAAGCAGCTAGCCTATCTGCTCCATGTTGTTTCAGGACTCACAGCTGCCTGACGCAAAGAAAGAAAATCCAGTCTGCTCTGACCTCAGATGATAAGATTTAGGAACATGGATAAAAGCCTAAAGTTTGGAGTCACTACGACCTGGGCTTGAATCCAGTTCAGCTCCTTGCCAGCTAAATGAAACTAGAGAAATCATTCCAATTAGTTTCAGTGTCTCTAAAGTGGAAAATAATCAAGGCTTTGACAGTTGTCTAGCACAGCGCCTGGCACAGAATATGTACTCAAAGTTTTGTTAAGTGAGTTTACAAATGTTCTTATAAGGATTGCAGATGGTGGAGCAGGTGAAGTGCCTTACACTGGAGGACACATCCCATGTTCTCCACCATTGTGAGTGTCATCCCATAAGCATTGGCTCCCTGGATCCAGAGACTTCCCGCTTGCAGGAAGAAGCTGATAATAACCCCAGAGGAGAGGAGGGATGCTTGCTGAGACCACGTTTTATGATGCAAAAATAAGGATGAGGGCTATTTCCCTGATTTGTGAATTTCTTTATATGCAACATCTTACATAGGTATAAAACTGACATTGCATTTAGTTATTCATTTTTCAAATGGCCTTTAGTATAAAGAATATGACTCTGTGGCAGCCTGGGAAAAGCAGATTCCACTCACTGCTGTTGATGGAGGCTCCTAGCTGGCTGCAGGCTTGGCCAGGGCACTCGTGTCCTGGAGACACCTTGGGCTGGGACCCCCACCCCCAGATAAAGACACTCAAGGGTGGGCTAGAGGCTGTGGTCTAGTGGAAAGCAAGGACTGTGAAGTCTGAATGCCTGGGTTCTGACCCATGTCCCCATTCCTCAGCTGTGTGGTTTCAGACATGCTGCATAACCTCTCTCTGCCTCAGTGTTTGTTGTAAGAATTACATTGAGTTTGTATATATGAGTACCCTAGTATGGGGCCAGGAAGATAGGAGGTGCTCAAAAGAAAGTGTGTTTGTTAGAGAAGGGTGAGTCCTTTGGTTATACATTCAACAGACCTAAACTGAACACCCATAGGGTGCTGCTTACCAGGGTGAAAAAGACAGACGTGATCCCTGAGTGCACAATCTGGACACAGGGATGGATGTGGGAGGAACAATTCCACTGATGCATCTTTAACTGCAACTCCAAGGAAAAGTCTGGGGTGAGATGTGGCTAGAATCCCGATGGGCCCCAGATGGCTTTCAGGATCATGGATCCAAAGGCTCATTGTCAGAGCCTGCAGGGACATTTCAGGAGGCAGTGCCCCCGGCCAGTGTATGCTTGTGACATCAGAGCAGAGACCCCAGGCATCAAGGCCACAGAGTCACAAGTCAGCAGAGGCCTGGCCAAGCAGCAGAGGTTGAGATGGAAAGGACTGGACGGTGGTTCAGTTACACCAGCCGTGAATCAAGGCCTGCTTTCTCCATTCAGTAGGCTCCCATCCAGCTGAGGCCCTGCTATAACCTGTCTCCACCTTTCCAAGTGCCATGACTCTCAAGGGAGCTTCAGGCCTCCAGGATACAGGAGAGGATGTTTTAGGCATATCGGTGTCCTGTAGGCCAGAAAGGGGAGGAAGCAAAATAGAGAGAGAGCCTGGGTTGGGAGCCAAAGAATAGAGCTCAAGTCCCAGATTCCCTGCTTGCTATGCAACCTTTGAGAAACAGTTTCTCTGGGTGCTCAGTTTCCCTATCCATACAATGGAAATAACCCTTGTGAGGATGGATGAAGCAAACCATTTGAAAGGACTGTAATTGAGTAGACTTTTGTCAAAGGCAGCAGAGTATTTAATTAAGAGGGAGGACCAGGCTCAGGAGTGGTGCTAGGCTGGATTCTAAACCTAGAGCCACTAGTTACCCACCATATGGCACTGGGTACATCACCAGTGCCTAACCTCTCTGGGCCTCAGTTTCTCTATCTGTAAAACTGGAAAAATGGAAGCAGTACCTGCATCTTTGGTCTGTTGTGAGGTTTAAAAGAAATGCTAGGCCTGGCGCGGTGGCTCACGTCCGTAATCCCAGCACTTTGGGAGGCCGAGGTGAGTGGATCATGAGGTCAAGAGATCGAGACCATCCTGGCCAACATGGTGAAACATGAATCTCTACTAAAAATACAAAAATTAGCTGGGCGTGGTGGCAGGCACCTGTAGTCCCAGCTACTCAGACGGCTGAGGCAGGAGAATCGCCTGAACCTGGGAGGTGGAGGTTGCAGTGAGCCGAGATCATGCCACTGCACTCCAACCTGGGGACAGAGTGAGACTCCATCTCAGAAAAAAAAAAAAAAAAAGAAATTCTAGATCAAAAACACATAGCACAATGCCTGGCAGAGATCCAGGGCTCTGTGAGTGGTAAGTAATATGCAGTCAACAGTCAACAAATATTTTTGAGCACCTACTAAGTGCTGGTCATCTTTATAGGCACTTGAGCTAGAGCAGGGGACAAAACAGCTCTCACAGAGCTTGCAATAATCAAATGGGAGCGGTCAGCACAGACAAGACAGAAAAAACTATATAATAAGGCAAAAGAAGGTAAGTGTTTTGGGGGAAAATAAAACAGGTGAAAAGGAATCTTGGTTGGAATCTTGGCGGGGTGGCCAGGAAAGGCCTCCATGAGAAGGTGACATTTAAGAGCTGAAGGCAGGGAGCAAGTGAGGCTCGAAATCACTTGGGGTGAGAGCAGTCCAGGCAGAGGCACAGCCAGTACAAAGGCCCTGGGGTGTATTGCAGGGGCCAAGGAGCAGGGAAGAAGCAAGAGATGGGGTCAGGGAGGTGATGGGGTAGATTAGGCAGGACTTTGTGGGCCATCGTAAGGGCTTTGGCTTTTATTCTGAGTGGGGTGGGAGCCGTGGAAGGATTTTGAGCATGGCAGTAATATGAGTTGATATGTTCTGAAAAGAGCTCTTCGACTGATTTGTTGAGTACAGGCTAAGGGTGCAAGGCTGGACACAGGGACACCATTAGAAGGCCATGATCTAGCAAGAGGTGAGAGTGGTAACTGTTGTGGGGTGACTATTATCCTTTCCAGGCTTCCCAAGCCATTGCACTCATGTCAGCACACACTTGGCTCACAGTAGGTGTTTCTTCCCAGTAGCTGGGAGCCTGATGGCTGATCCTGCTGGAGTAGCTGACCTCCACCCCATCCCCCTGCCAGAGTCACGTCTCCCATTCCCCTCTTCCAGACATTTTTCGGCCGCTTCCTTCTCTGTAGCCCAGCCAAGCTGAGGTGTCAGCCCCTTTAATCATCCTCGGAGCCAATCTTCCCCTTCCCCTTAATGATGGAAGCCAGCTTGCCCTGGCCCCATTCCAACTTATCTACATCTGTCTGAGACTGAGGGGCTCAGAGTGAACTCCAAATGCTCTCCAGATAACCACAGAGTTGTCCCAGCCCGAAGGAGCCTCAGAAAGCCCCATGTTCAATACCATTTCAGATACAAATGAGGAATGGTGTGGGCAAGTGAGCACCTTGCTCACTGGTTAATTGCACCGTTGGTTAGTTGCAGAGACACCATTGGTTCCCAACTTGGCATTCTTCAGCTCCAACTGAAATGGCTCCCACATTTTGAATAGTTTTTTCCTCCTCCAGTGGAAGCCCTCATCTCTCTGTTCCACAAGCCAGTGGCCCTTCCTCAGCAACCCTGAGAACTGCTGGGTTGTAACCACATTGGATGGTGACTTGGGGTCCACTATGATCCCCTGATTTCCTTACCTCAGTTGGATGTTGAGTGGCCAGAATTGTCTTAGTTCAGATCTACCATGCAGGAAGAAGGGAACACCAAGGAAGCAAGATGGGATCCAGGGAACTCTAACAGGAGCTGGCACTGGAATGTGGGAGGGAGCTTTGGGACCTGCCCTGCACTTCTTGTTACTTCCCAGGGCTGGCGCTGGCATGGCACACGTCTGTCCAGATAACCAGAACTCTGTTCCCTGCACCCTCACTAACATGATGTCATCTTTGCTTAGATAACAGGCAAAACCAAGACTCCTGGTGTAGTTCTAATTCAAATTTCTCTTACTGGAGGTGAAGTTGAGCATCTTTTCATCTATTTTGGAAACATTTTCTTCTTAGTTTGTACTACTGTTTTATAAAGTAAAAAAGTTAGACCTTTTTCTGTAATACAAATCTTAAGTGTTTTCCTGGGCTTGTCTTTTTTATTTTGCATAGATTTTGCAATGCAGGTCTTTTAGTTGGATTTATAAACATTTTATTCAAATATTCCTGGATCATATTTTTATACCATCATTCATTCATTCATTCATTTAAAAATATGTAATGTATACCCATTGTTTGCAGGACTACAGAATGAAACAGGACAGACAAGGCCCTGCCCTCATGGAGCTCAGAATCTAGTAGGGAAGACAGAAGATGAGCACATAAACTCGTATTCACATAAGATACTTCCAGAGAGTGGCAAATGCGTGATGAAAACAATAAAAGGTGACATGAAGGAAGGTCAAGGTTGAGAGAGGACCTGTATTCTATTATATTAGTTATCTATTGCCACATAACAAATGCCATAAATTTAGCAGCTGAAAACAACACACATTTATTGTGCAATGGTTTCTATGAGTCAAGCGTCTGGCTATGACTCGCTGGCGTCTTTACTCAAGGCTGCATTAAGATGCTGGCTGGGGGCTGTGCTTTCATCCCAAGGCTCAGCTGGGGAGCAATCTGCCTCCAAGTTCATTCAGGTTATTGGCAGAATTCATTTCCTTGTGGCTGTTTGATCGAGGGCCCAAGCTTTTTGCTGGCTATCAGCTGGGGACTACCCTCTGGTCTCAGAGGCTACCTGCAGTTCATTACTACATCAAGCCAGCAAGGAGAGTTTCTCCCTTGGTCCCTCTTTTAAGGGATTTTACCTGATTAATTCAGGTCCACCCAGAATACCTCCACCTTTGCTACACAGCATAACCTAACCACGAGAGTGACGCCCCGTGACCTCTGCTACATTTACTGGTTAGGAGCAAGTGGGTCACAAATTCCATCCCTACTCAAGGGTAGGGATGACAAAGGCATGCATGCCAGGAAGGGAAGAATTATTTCCGGCACCCTAGGCTCTGTCCACCACATAGATTGTGGCAAAGAAGGTCTTTCTGAAGAGATGACAAGCTAAAACCTGAACAATCAGAAGGAGACAATTGTACAAAGACATAGGGAAGTGGTTTTCCTGGTAAGAGGGCACAGCAAGTGCAAAGATCGTGAGGTGATTATGAATTTGCAGAAAATTGAGAAGTTGGATATGAGTGGAGGACATTGGAGAGGGAGATGGTAGGATGACACAATGAATGCAATACCATGCAATACAATTACATTAAATTCAATTAAAGTGGAGAGAATTAGAGCCAGGACGGCAGAGCTATAAACCAGAAGACCTGACCTCAAGTCCCAGTTCTGTGAGCCTGGCCTGCAAGCCCCTAAGTTGCAGAGTAACCCTAGGCCACTCTCCTTCCTCCTTAACCTGCTCTTCCTCCTCCGTGGACTGAAGGGGACCGAGGCTAATGACCCTGCAGACCTTTCTAGCTTGAGCAACCCCAGAGTCTCTGATTAACTAAATGACACCTCCAGCTAATTAACCAATAGTGCCAAATTAATTAAGGCCTGAGAAAGTGATTATCTCAACCCTGGGCTTTCTTATGCTTCTTGGATATCATCGGAGGGAAAACGGGGACTATGCAACAACAAAGAATGCAAGAAACACCCAGGGGAGCAGGGGTGGGGGCTTTCAATCGCCTGGAATCAATGCACAGTATTCCTGACTCTCGCTGGAATACTGTGGGTCTGCACAAATCATTAAGCCCCACTCTGTTGGCAGGATACTTGGTCCGAGGTCCAGCTTTCCTCACTGGAAATCCACACGGGGTTAGTTTGGCCCCATGAAGCATGGGGATTGAATTTCTCTGCTCATCCTTGTCATGGAAAAGCAGAAATGTGGTGGTAGTTAGAAGTTTGGGATTTGTTGGGGATTTATTCTTTTTTTTTGGTCAGTTTCAGAAAAGTCATTGACTTTCAGTGGATCTGAAGTGAAGGCCCTGGATGGAAGAACAGGGTAGGCCCCAATCATAGCAGGAATGCATCCAAATTTCTTTGCATCATTTTCAGGGAGAATATAAGCTATACCCTGTTGAGACAGGGACAGAAGGGAGGGACTTTTCATTACCACACAGTTGGTCCTGTTGTGTGGTCACCTTGAAGGTTCATGGTTCGAAAAGGAGCCTGAGTGAATGGGAGGTGCTGAGAGAGAATGCTAAGAATCAAAGTTCAGAAGAGAGAGTTGGGGATTGGGCTGGGGTGCTGTCCAGCCACAGGGCTGATGGTCCCAATAGCCCTTCACTGCAGCAGATAGGGAGTTTGGCTACAGAAAGATTTCCTGTGTGTGGTCGGGTGTGGTGGCTCATGCCTGTAATCCCAGCACTTTGCGAGGCCAAGGCAGCCAGATCACGAGGTCAGGAGATTGAGACTATCCTGGCTAACATGGGGAAACCCCATCTCTACTAAAAATACAAAAAAGTAGCCAGGCGTAGTGGTGGGCACCTGTAGTCCTAGCTACTCAGGAGGCTGAGGCAGGAGAATTGCTTGAACCAGGAGGCAGAGGTTGCAGTGAGCTGAGATCGCACTACTGCCCTCCATCCTGGGTGACGGAGCGAGACTCTGTCTCGAAAAAAAAAAAAAAAAAGGCTTCCCGTGTGTGATGACAATTGATATTGTTTTTGGAAACAGATTTTTTTTTTTTTTTTGTAAAATTGATGCTTTCCAATTGTATAAGAAAACATAAGGGAGGAGGAGGGATGAAGATAGGGAGAAAAGACAAGCATTTAAAAGTACAAGGATGAAAGGAAAAACATCCTTTAGTGCCTCTGGTCTTGCTAGTCCCCCTAGAATGCAGCCCCTTGAAGGGAACCATATTGTCCCACATGTACCTCCAGGGTCTCCGCTAAGGAGAAAAGATACTCCTACAGGGAAAAACATGGTACACTCGAGGACTCTCTTGGGAGGATCATCAATCCCCCAGCTCCATGCATATCCAATTGGTTGGAACCATTTACAGCATAGAAGGGGAGGCAAGACTTGCTGTGCCCACCTTCCCACACCTCCAGGCCTGGTGCCATGTGATATAAATCGTGGGCTCTGCAATTGTGCCTGCGTCCACTTCCCATAATCTTGGAGCTCCCCATGAAGGAGAAAACAGGCAGAGTGTGATTTCACAGAGTGCGATTCACAGCAGAAACTGCCAGAAGGAGACTGGGACAGGACTGGGGGAGTGTGTCACAGGGATCTGTTTTTCAATCATGCTCTGGGGAAGCTGGTACCACTTTTTGCTAGTACTTAAAAAGGCAAGTGGCATCTGGATGCCCAAATAGGGAATAATTTTCTCTTCACCATTTTTGTCTCTGATGAAAATCTCCTAATTAGAATTGGAGCCATTCAATTAGATAGGGCCAGAGTGTACAGTGACAGAATACTCCTCCCAGATATGCTCGATGTTCACAACAGCCTGAAGGTTTATCCTTCCTTGTTTTCAAAACTGAGAAAACTGAGGCCCTGGGATTTGAAGTGACCTCCTCAGGGTCCCTGGATCACTCAGTTGCAGAAAAAGAATAAGTATGCAGACCTCCCCACATCTGGCTTTAGTTCTTCCCTCTCCAGCTTCATTTCCTACCACTCTCCCCCAAGGGCTTTGCTCAGCACGAGTTTTGAACCATGCATGCCTCACACCCTATACTTCCTCATCTTCATGCTGTTACCCATGCTATTTCTTCTCTTTGGAATTTTTTTTCCTTTCTGGCAAGTTCCATCTTGTATTTGTAGACCTAGTTCGGATGTTCTCTGGCTGCCAAGATCTCCAAGTAAAATAACTCCTCCCCTGTTCTTGCACTGGATTTGTGCCATTTACATTTATTGTTGTAATCTCCTACTGTGTCTCCCCAACTACGTTGGTATGATTGCAGACTGTAGCCATGTCCTATTCAGTGATGCTTTCCTAGATATTCGCACAGGTGAATATTTGTCAAATGAATGAATGAATAAATAAATGGATTGGATCTGTAAATAGTCTCATAACTCCTTGCTAAAATGGCAACCATTATATTAAGCTGCCTCATTTAGCATCAGGCACAGACACAGAGACAGCTGGGTGCGTGATGCCTGATATCTTACCACAGTGGTGCTCAGCAGAAGGATCCCAGATAACAATGCCCTTTATTCTGTCCCATGCCATGTGATCCCCCATTAAGCAGATGGAAAGGGCCTGCCTCACTCTCCTGCTTCCAGGAAAGTGATGTGCCCTCTCTTCTTTGGGTTGTCACCAGCAACATGATAAAGTAGATTGCTTTTCAATTATATCTTTTATAATTGAAATATTAATTATAAATATTTCTCCTAATTTTCTAATGAAATGTCCTTGTCTCAAAGCCTATCAACGTTAGAACCAGGAGGAGATTTAGATGATAAATGGCCAAGAATCTCTAGAAATTGCTTTGAGGATTCAAGGTGGCTTCCCAGATGTTGGCCTTAAGCCAGGACACCTTGGCTCTTGTCTTCACAGTCAGTGACTTGCTGTATGACCTTGGACACATCAATTACCTCCTCTGAGCCTCCATCTCTCCACCTGTAACATGGAAATAAATGCATTGTCTACCTTGCAGGGCTGCTATGGCGAGCTCCATGTGGTGTCAGGCATGAACCAAATGATAGCAGTTGTTGTTGTTGTTGTTACAGCAGCTGCAGCCTGACTGCCTAGATTTCACTCCTGGTCTTACTACTTAACCACCTTGGTGGACTTAAGACAAGTAACCTGATGTTTCAAAGTTCACTTTCTCAATTGTGAAAGGGAGTAATATTAATTTCCACCTCATAGGATTGTTGTGAAGACTAGTTGAGATATTACATGTAAACTAGTACATAGATTAGTGGCAGACGCATAGGGAGTGCTCAGTAAATTATAGCTCTTATTAGAGTTTGAAAGTTGACTATTTGCTGGAGACTCAGCATTAACATTCTAAAATCTTAGAGCTAAAATAAGTCATGGGAGGACACTCTTCCCATTTCTCAGCTGGGAAAACTGAGGCCTAGAGTGGTTAGGTCATGGGCTGGAGGACAAAAGCAAAGGTTTCCTGGCCCCCCCAGCCTCCCCCTTTGAACCCACAGTGGGAGGTGGCTGGAGATAGGGTTGACAAATATCTCAATAGAGCTGCTGGGATCTTTCCCCACACCAGGAGCCATGGCTGTTATCTGGGAGGCAGCCACTCCTTGCTTCCATGTCATCATTGTCTTTCCCTCATCCCAGAATCCCATGAGGACTGGATGGGGATCTTGGGGGAGTACTTCCAGCCATTTTGAGGATGCCTTTGCCCTCAAATTCAAGAAACAAGTAAGGACTGAGTGCATTCCAAAAGTTAAATGCACCATTGGAAATCTGTAACAGGCCACTTGACTGTGTGCCTGACAGGGCCCTTGCCCTCCTGGAAAGGGTATTCTATTTGGGAGCTGGCAACAAACAAACCAGCATTAAGATCATGATGAAATAGAGAGAACTGAGTACCGAGCCTTTCCGATGAGGAGACCAGAGAAGGCTCTGCCATTGGCCCTTACACACACAGCCTTAGGACCCCATTCCATCCCCAAATGGATTTTTTCCCAGGGGCCCTATGGGTTCATATGCAAATTAACTCTTGGTGGCTTACCTAGATATCCAAGAATTCCCAAGGTGAGCTTGTAGACCAACTTCCTTGGAAAATGCTTCAACATTTCCTCTTCTTGCCTCTCCATGAGTTGCAACAGTGAGTTTAGGCTGATTCCAAGCTCAATACGTCTACCTTCAAATTGAGAATCCTCCACTCATCTCTGCCATGTGACTTTGGACAACTTACTTAACCTCTCTGAACCTCACTTCCTTGTCACTAATACAAGGTGGTTATGATAATAAAATCTAACTGTAAGGTTGTTGGGATAACTGGATGAGATCATATATAAAAAAGCACATAGATATGCCTCAGAAATGTTAACCGTTATTAATTCTTTTTCTTTATCCTTTCACCTCCATCTCTGTACACTCCTTTTTTCTATACCCTCCTTCTCCTGTCTTCATTCTATCCTCCCATCTTATACCTCTTTCTCTGCTACCTACTTCTTGTCCCCCTCCTCCTCCTTCTCCTCCTCCTGGTAAATATCCAGATAGATTTTATCCTACCAGGACTAAGAACACAAATGCCCTCAAACCATCTCCAAGTGGTCAAACCAAGAATATATTCTGCCCAGATGAGCAAAACCAGAAAGTTTGTCTGAGTGACGCTGCAGATCAGCCTCCTGGTGGTAGGTTCACAGAGGGCTCTTCACTCCATTTTCTGGGCACCGAGGTTGTGGCTGAATCTGCCTTCCCACGACCCACATGCGCCTCCCTATCCTCCATCAATGTGGAGGACAAAATACATCCTGGCCATACTGTAGAGATGTAGGGTGGGGCTTCCTCACAAGCCCCTGAAACAAAGGCATACTGCGTCTAACTTATTTTAGCAGTTTTCAGTAATATAATTTTCAGTTCATTTGGTTATCAGAAACACACTTTTTTTCCCTTTTCTTCTCACCAAAAAGGCAAAGCAGATCTAGGCTGTTCTGGGGGTGCTAGTGGCTTGATATTCTTTATACACATACATATATATATATATATATATATATCTCCTCACTAATTTCTCCATGCTGTGGAGAATTTGTCACACGCACAGGTCTGTTTGATTTCATTAAACAGAATATTTAAGCATAAAAATTGTTTAATCGCCTTGTGTCATTATGAGATGAATTTCATTTTGCATACATTTGCATATTTCATCAGAATTAAGGCTGCTAATATGCAAATGAGAGACAGGTTGTGGCTGAGGTGTTTATTGTAATAGCTGCAGGCTGTTCCACTTGGACAGCTTTCTAGGTGGTGGGGAAGGAGGGGGAAGGAGAACTTGGGGTGGCTCAGAACACCTCAGGAAACCCAGGAGTCTCTGGGGCTTCAGCCGTGGCAGAGCAGAGATGCGTGGGCGTGGCGCACCTTGCTGCCCTACGACACTGGCCAATCAGAGCAGGCTGGGCTGGGGAGGCAGGAGGAAGCCCAGCTGTCTGCCCCAAAGGCTCCTGGGAGCCCGTGGGTACCAGGGATGGAGTGAGGGACCTGGGCAAGGCTGGGGGCATGCTGTTTGCCGAGGTCTCTGCCTCAGCATGAGCAGATGACATTCCGGAGGCCTCCCCAGCCTTCTCCCTTCTCTCTCTGTTGCTGCTTCTTCCTCTGCCTGCTGGTTTTTTTGTTTGTTTTTTGTTTTTTGTTTTTTTCCTTACCTTTTGTTTCCTCCTTGGCTTTGTTTCAGGCCCTATTTAGTTCCTTGTTAGCCTTTCTCTCTTCCTCTTCTTTGTTTTTCCTTTGCCTGTTTCCTCCTGCGCGTTCCTCCACCCCATGGGCTGGCATGCTTGTCTATTGGCTTTCCTGCCCTCTGATGCCTGCCTGCTTTGTTCTTTTCCCCACCCTGCCTTCCTCCTGCCTCAGCTTTCAATTTCGTCCTTCCCAGAGCCCCCTTTCCTCCTGCCCATCGCTCCCCCAGCCTGGAGGGCATCTGCAGCAGCCAGCAATGGCTTGAGGTGAGGACGGAATCAGAGGTGCCCGCCACCCACCCTCACTTCCTTGCACAGCCTCCCACCCCTCCATCTAAATCCTTGATTAATCCCTGTCCTCATTTGAAGGTCAGAGATTAGATACATATCATTTTCCTCTCCAGGGCTGGAGCTGCTGGTCCCCAGGAGAGCCAGTTCCGAGTTACCCCCCAGGCACAGACGGAGGAGCAGAGAACTCGGTGTGTAATGAGCCGGCTTCGAGGTCAAGGGGGTGTTTAATACAGATGCAGATTTCAAAAGAAAGTAGTGAGGAGCTTCTTGCTCCTCTCCTGTGCAGCCCTCCCACAACAATGAGTGAGGATGCTTTGGAAAAAGGACAGTTCATGTGGAGCAAAGTGGAAAGGCAGCTTGAGTCAGGCACTGGCCTGAACAAACCAAGCCCCTCCCTTCTCTGGGCCTCAGTTTCTCGCATTTATCTCTTGCAATTCTTTGGAGACTTCAATGGTAGTTGCAGGCAGGAGGTGATAGGACAGGGTGGAATATGTTTATTGAATCAAACACTATTTATTGAACACCTACTATATGCCAGGCAGTGGGTGGGCACTGGCTACAGCCCTGAACAAGAAAGGCAGCTGATATTAACAAGATCATGTCAGATTGTGACAAATTCCCACAGTGAGCCAGTGAACTAAGACTAGATGCACCCCTTTCTACTTCTCTTTTTGGCTCTTGCTGGTGGCCATGTCTTGGGCCCATTTTCTGAGCCACACTTCCAATGGCTACAGGCCCCTCCCCTCCAGAATGCCCAAGGGCCCTGCAGAGAATCATTGTTTTTTTTCTGACTCTCTGAGCATCTCCCAAGAGCTGGTTGGGCAGCATCTGCCAGGCAAACCACCACCCTCCCCCCACCCCCCCCCCACCAGATTAGCTGTTCAGGCCTGCGTTTTAGAGCCTGAGCAATTAAAGCAGAATTAATTGGCTGGTAGGCAATCACCTTCCAATTGGAGCAGGGAGGGAGTAGGCGGGCCTGTTTTGCTGAGTCGACAAACTGAACACAATGCTCATTGACCAGGGGCAGTGGGGAGGGGGTGGCAAGGCAAGCTGGTGGGAATTAGAGGCATCCCCCTCCCCTAGCCCCGAGCCAAATGCAACAGCAAGCCATGGGGATCTGAGCATCTCTGTGGGGAATCCAGCTTCGCTGGTGCGGAACTTTCTGGAATAGAACTTTGACTTTGCAACTTCAAAACATCCAATCCAAGGTTGTTTTTCAATTTGAGTTAATTTTTAATATCTTTATTCTCTTCCCAATCACCAAAGCAATACATTTTCTATTGATTTTTAAAAATCAAATATTGAAAATATGTATGACTTTAAAAGCCTCATAAAATTATACATCTGCATATATATTAGCATTTGATAGGAGAAAAATCTGCAAGAATATACACGAAACTGTCGACAGAAGCTAGCCCTGGTGTGTGCATGGAGAGGGGAATTGAAAGAAGCTTGGCTGCACGCAATATATTTAAAGGAAAATTTAATGGGCACCAAGATATACAGTGGTGTTTGTTGTTTTTCTTGTTATTTTGGATGATGTCGGTTGGGCTTTATTTTGGTTTTTGTTTGTTTGTTTAGTATTATAAAAATCAAACATGTTCATGGTGGAAAAAAAATACAGAAATATGTAAAAGACCCCTGAACTCCAGCCTCCCATTTCCGCCCGTAAGTGGTAACCCAACTGTGAGAAGCTCCGGTAGGGAAGAGTGTGGCTCTTGGGCTGGAATTCAGGCTCTTCTGTTTGCTGGCTGTGTGACTGTCTCCAAGTCACTTGCCTACTTTGGGCCTCAGTTTCTTCATCTGTAAAATGGGGAGGAGACATAATACTTTCCTTCACCTCCTAGGAGAATTGTAGGTAGAGAACTTTGCACAATGCCTGGCACACAGTAAGTGCTTAACAAATGGCAGCCATTAATCTTAGTTACTGCCAACCCTTTCTAGCAAGGTGCCAGCACACAGGTTTTTAAAGGGATTGATTCGTGGCATCAAAACCACCTAGGATGCAAGGGCCACAAACGTCTGCCTCTGTCACTTCGTTGCACCCAAGTAGGATGCCCAAAATAAGGTAGTTTTACTCTCAGGATACCTAATTTCCCTGCAACTCAAGACACTCAGAAAGAGTTGTTGAAAAATAGTATACGGGCCGGGCATGGTGGCTCACGCCTGCAATCCCAGCACTTTGGGAGGCTGAGGCAGGATGATTGTTTGAGGCTAGGAGTTCAAGACCACGCTGGGTAACACAGTGAGACCCCCACCTCTACAAAAAATATTAGAAATTAGCCAGGCATGGTACCTGTAGTCCCAGCTACTCAGGAGGGTGACATGGGAGAATTGCTTGACCCTAAGAGATCTGGGTTACAGTGAACCACAATTGTGTCACTGCACTCCAGCTTGAATGAGAGAGCAAGATCCTATCTCTAAAAAGAAATAAAAATAATAAAATAAAATAAACTTTTTAAAGGTAGTATATATGGTCCAGAACCCAGAATAGACGACAAGTGGGAGAACAGAGGCTGAGTGACATCAAAGCTGAGATGACAAGGAGAACCTAAAGATACAAGGCCAATTCCTGGCTTTGTCTCTACCCAGCTCATGAGCTTGGGTTCACCCCTTTCCCTCTCGAGGGCCTCAGTTTCCCCCTTGGAGACATGGAACAAGGACAAATAGCTAATCAGCATGTGTTCACTGATGAAAAAATATTTTAAATTTGCATCATCTTTTTTCTTTTAATGAACTTGCATGCCCAGTAGTCAGCATGCGAGGGATTGAGTGAGGGAGAGGTAGCAGTGATGGGAATGCAAGGCAGATAAGTTTGGGTGCCAGAGTGATGAACGGGGGCCCACAAACCCGTGGACAGAGGACCATGTTGTCGGGCATCAAAGCTCCTTTCTGGAAGCCCGCAGCTGGGTCTAAGGCAAGGAAACGAGTCAGGAAGTCCTGGGCCTGGAGGTAAGTGTTTGTGTAAGAAGCAGGGGTGGGAGCCAGGAGGTGGGGGCTGCAATGATTGCACCGAGGAGGCCTCGAAACCTGAGCACATCCTGCAGGCAGTCAGACGGGGTCACCAAACCCAGACTAAATAGTCTGGTGGGCCTGGCTCAGGGCTGTCTGGAAAATGATCCTGGGATGGAAGGAGTAAGTCACGGAGGGGGCTGGGAGGAGAGCACGGTCAAAAACACAGAGGCCTGTATCAGTGGCCACTCTGAGGAGGCTGCCTCCCAAAGGAGGAGCCAAACTGTGAATGAGACAGCGGTTTGTTTGTTTGTTTGTTTGTTTGTTTCTCCATTTCAGTTTCTACTTGATGGAAGAGGGGGAGGCGGAGGGAGGCTAAAGCTCCTTCAGCCCCCTCAACCCTAGGCCCTCTGCTCACCTGTGCAAGGTTCTCAGCTACACACCTTGCTCTGTTCTTCAGGCCTGGAGCCAGGTCCTCACACTCAAAGGGGTCTCAGTACTGCTGTGTGGCCTTAGGCGGGTGCCCTACCAGTCCTCATAAGCCAAACAGGTATAATAAGCCTGTGTGTCTGTATTGATTGAGGCCAGAGTGACACTAGCACCTATGAGCCTTTGTGGAGATGGAACAAAGGTGGCCCCTCCAGACAGATGCTGCCACTGGATTCAGATTGGCAAGTTGAGTACCTGGACCAGGTGTACTTGAACAGTGAACAACATGGCAGTCCTGGGCAGGAGAGTGAAATGAATAAGGCCTACCTAGTACATCACCTAGCATCTGCTCTGCCAGTCACTGCCCTCAGTGCTCTAAACCTCACATCAACATGAGGAGATGGGTGTTTTCATATTTGAACCCAGGTCTAATCCTAAAGCCTTTCCCAGGACACCTCGTTGCCTTATTACTATGAATGCTAACATCTCTTTCTAACGCATTAGGCTTCTGTTTCAATAGCTTTGCCAAAAAGTGGCAAGAATCCAACTGTCCATCACTGGATGAATGGGAAACAAAATGTGGCCTATACATACAATGGAATATTATTCAGCCTCAGAAAGGAATGGCATTCAGATATGTGCTTCAACATGGATGAACCTTGAGGATGTAGTGCTAAACGAAATAAGCCAGGCACAAAGATAACTATTGTATGATTCCAATTATACAGTAGTTTTGCTTGAGGGGACTGAAAGGTAGGGAGAGGTCTTGAGAGGTTTCATGAAGAAGACACTTTGTAAGCTGAATCTCTCAGTATGAGTTTGCTTGTTTATAGTCCAAAGAGGAGAAAGAAAGTCAGGCATCAAGAATAGCATGTGCAAAGGCCCAGGGGCCTGAAAGTACATCGGGCATCTTCAGGAACTGAAGGAATGTTGGGCTTCAGGAACTGAAGGAATGTTGGGCTTCAGTGAGTTACCTAGAGAAGTTAAACTCATAGAGACAGAAAGTGGGGTGGTGGATACCGCAGTGGAAGAGAGGAAAGAGGAGGAAAGAGAAGCTTTAGCAGCTGATATAATCAGAATGCTCAACCTAGTCTGGGGAGGCCCTGGAAGGCTGCTCTGAGCCTCTTCAGATGATCACTTTGGATAAGCAGGCTGAAATCGGATCACGTGGAGGGGGCAGAGAACTTTCCAAGCAGAGGAGACAGCATGTGGAAGGTGGCATGGTGGACCAAGATGCGAATCCCAGAAAGAAAGTCAGTGAGTGTGGCCAGAGCCATGGAAGGGGAGCCACAGAAGGGGGTGGGGAGACGGGCTGGTGGAAAGGAAGGCAGGTGGAGGGAGGGGCATTCATCGCCCTGCAGGAGGGACTCTGTTCCACAGCCTGGGGACAGCAGGAAGTGTGGAAGGGGCTCACCAGGTGGGACGTGATTGAAGGTGTGTCTGAAAAGATCACATTTATTGCTGAGTGTGCAATGGATTCTAGGAAGCTGTAAGGCAGAAGGGAGATGTGTTAAGAGGCCACTGCAGGTATCGTGGTGAGAGATGGTGGTGTTGGCAGCAGACAGGCTGCAGAAGATGGGGTGAAGAAAATGACGACTCAACGGAGATTTAGACAGGAAGATCTCCAGAATCTGCTAACTGTGATGGAGACCCTGGGAGAAGAGCAGGCATGGGGTGGGAAGACAGGAGATGAATCTACAGTCACAAAAATGCTCTTGGCAGCCAGCAATCCCCGCCCTGTTAATTTACAGATGGGAAACTGAGCTGCTTAAAAGCAATGTCTTTCCTAAGATAGCACATTGAGGCCGTGGCCAAGCCAGGCCAAAATTGAGGTCCCATGTGAATGACTATGAGGCATCAGCTATAATCCAGCCAAGACGGAAAACTTCATTCATTCATTTATTTGTTCATTCATTCAATAAGCATTTTTTGATTGGATAAATATATCCCAGTTCCTGCCCTCCAGGAGTTTTTGGTGGGGGAGACAGACACATCCACCTGCCATGGTAACCCAGAGTGGGTAAGTCTCCCAGGGGGGCTCATCACAGCTGCAGAAAGTACAGAGAAAGAAGCACAAATTGTGCTCGAGAGGGTTGAAAGGTAGGGAGGGATCTCAAGAGACTTCATGAAGGAGATACTTTGTGAGTTGAATCTCTAGGTATGAGATTATTCATTGTCCAAAGGGGAAAAAGAAAATCAGGCATCAGGAATAGGATGTGCAAAGGGCCACAGGCATGAAAGTGCATTGGGCATATTCAGGTACTGAAGGATTGGTTGGAATGGAGTAAGTGCCATGAAGCAGGAGTGGCCTGAGGGTCCAGGTCAGATGACACACTCTGGAGGGTTGATCTCAGCTCTCAGGCAAGCCTGAGACCCACCACTTAGAGCCCCAACTTCAGCTCTGTAGGTGATGGCTTTTGCTGTTGCTGCTGTTGCTGTTGTTGTTTTGTTGTTGTCGTTAACAGGAAGCCTCCTTTTGCAGAGCAAAACACTAACATCCCCCTTAATACAAAAACACGTGATGTTTAATAGTTTTATCCACAGGCTAACTGTTAAGTAGCCTTGTTTAACCAAGAGGTAGTGTAGGGTCCTGGGTAACAATGGGACTCTGGAGCAAGGCTCCCTGGGTGCAAACCCCAACTCCATGTGATCCTGACTGACTCACCCCACTCTCTTGGTTTCCTCCTCTCTAAAATAGGATCAGTCTGGTACTGGGAAAATTAGCATATGCAAAGTGCTTAGAAGGGTACCTGCCACATAGTAGGCACTCATCAAATATGAGCCACATTTATTGATTGCATACCAACCTTATAAGAAAGATGTGATTATTATTACCATCTCCATTTTAAAGATGAGTGATCTGAGGCTTACATAGGATGAACAGGACCAAGGCTTCACAGATAGAAGTTGGAAGTCGGCAGAGGTGTCATTGGAACCCAGGTCCTGAACTCTTAATGGCTCTGCTATATGGCTTCTGATCTCAGCCTCAAGGTCAAGGCTACACACAAGTAATACCAAACCTGAGAATCCAGATTCAAGCTGGAAAATGATCTAATCACTTCCACCAAACAGAGCCTGGCATCGCCAAACACATCAGGGGAGGCCAGCTCTGTGTGTGGACCACTGCGGTTGTTCTCCTGGGCCGGGCACTGCTGTGGCAGAAACACAAGATCTGAGACAGGCAGCCATAGGTTCGAGTCCTAGCTACTGGCTAGGGGACCTTGGACAAGGCACTGATAGTCCCAAGACTCAGTTTACCCATCTGTGCAGTGATATATTTGGCTAGCTCAAGTCAAAAAAAATCTTCCGGCACTGCTGTGACCTTTTAACTAATCAGTCTGTGAAGTTAGCCCAGAAAAAGGAAAATGCTATCTCCCGGAGCCTCCTCTGATGTGCTCTATGGTCACCTAACCTGTCTGAGACTCAATATACTCATCTGATAAATAGGCAGAATAAAAATAAGAGGTGCCCTGCCTCTTTTCAGAGTCACTGTGCATGCAAAGACCGCAGCTTTGGAGGCCAGAATTCCCGATGTTGATTCCCACATCTGTTCTTCCCAGCAGATGCCTTTGGGTAAGTCTGAGCCTTAGAGCCCTCATCTGTAACTCAGGAACAGGAATTCCAATTTTGCAGGCTCATTTAAAGATGTAAAGATAACATGCACTTAGGATCTGGCACATAGTAGGCATGTGGTTAACAGTAATTAATGACAATGAAACCAACAAGAGCTAGAGTGTCTTCTTTTTTTAGACAGAGTCTCACTCTGTCGCCCAGGCTGGAGTGCAGTGGTGTGATCTCAGCTCCCTGCTACCTCCATCTCCCAGGTTTAAGTAATTCTCCTGCCTCAGCCTGCCAAGTAGTTGGGATTACAGGTGCCCACCACCGTGCCCGGCTAATTTTTGTATTTGTAGTAGAGATGGGATTTCGCCATGTTGGCCAAGCTGGTCTCAAACTCCTGACCTCATGTGACCCGCCCACCTCGACCTCCCAAAGTTCTGGGATTACAGGTGTGAGCCACCATCCCCAGCCACTAGGGTGTCTTCTTTAGGCCAGGCAGGGTGCTGGCCTTATGCATTTTGAGCTTGTAGCATAACTAAGATTATTAACACGAAGAGGTTTTCTATAAACTGTAAAGTCCAGTGCACACGTACATGACCCCAGCAGAAGGGTCATCAGACGTCCCCAGGGGCCTCCTTAGGAACAGAGACCCTGTATAAGGAGGCCTTACAGTCACCACAAGAGGCTGGGTGCAGGCCTCCCATCCGAAAATTTTCCATTCATTAGAATTTGAGACATTCACAACTCAGCAAAGGCATCTGAGGCTGATGACAGAGCCGCAGCCCGGCCGCTCCAGCAAGGTAGAGATGAAGCACCCATTGAGTTCTTTCCAAGTTCCAATGGCATGTAATGATGGCCTTTTCCTCCACTCATAAACCACATATGGAATTAATAGCACCGGTATCACGCCAGACGAGGCTGGGTTTATTCACCAGAAACAATGAGACATTAAGAAAGCCAGGGCAGGAGAGGCACAGAAGGCTTTAACAAGCTTCTAGGTGGGATGTTTATTCCTCCCTCCCTTTCCCCTTTATTGAATCTGGTCCTTGCTGATTTGGTTACAGCCTGTGATTTCAGTTTATGATTCAATAACCCATTTGAAAGCTTGTAAATAGCACGGTTCTGCTATCTGCTCCCTCCTCCCCAAGGGGGCTGCCACTGAGGAAAGAGTGAGAGCTTGCTCCTTCTCACAGCTGGTTGGGCATCCCTCAGAGGGATGTTCTGAGGATGGGGTCTCTGAGCAAAGTAGATCTGGGGTGGGGTCTTGATCATTAGACAAGGTAGGTCTAGGCCGAAGCATCATCTAGACAACAGGGACCCGCCAATCCAAATGAGGATGTCTGCTACTGCCACTGCAGACATGACCACGTCTGGGTGTTTCTGATCCTCCCCACCAGACCCAGGGCCTGAGGACCCCACTGGCACAAGCCTCAGCTCACCCTCTTAGAAACCCATGAGAGTGACCACAGCAGCTCTGGTTCACAGGTTCTATGAGTCTGCCTAGCCACACTTCCTCTGCCGCTTCCTCACCTCCCCTCCCTCCCCAATTCTCTGCTAACTGGCTAGCCTGCTGGTCCCAAGAGGAGGAGGAGAGACACGTGGAAAGGAACCCTACCCCCAGACAAGCTCAGTCTAAAGCAGATCTTCTGACTGAGCTGCAGATGCATGCGTGAGTGCAGGCAAATAACAGATCAATAAGTTATTGATTATTTAAATCACTGAGCTTGGGGTTGCTTGTTTTGCAGCAATAACTAACTGATACATTATCTAGTGGGGGGCTTTTCAATTTTGTTAACTAAATGAGTGAATGATAAAATGCATGAGGCGGTTCCCTAGATCACTGGGTTTGTAAATTGAAGAGGTGTTAACAGGGGGATCCTGTGCTTCTGTGTTTCTGTTTCTTAAATTCCTAGTGGAGAAGTTGAGGCATGATTCTCTCCAGGGGAGCAGCATGGTCCATGATGAAAGATCCGTGCTGATCTTCACCCCATTCTGAGTCACCTTTTGACCTTAATGAGAGCAGTCTGCTGCCGGGAAGCTGAGCATGAGGGGAAGGGGAAGCTATGGTGTGAACAGCTGAACTAAACATGTCTTCTAGACTACCCTGCCCACAGGGAAAAGCCAAGTGCCAGGGAAGACCTTCAGGCTGGCATTACCCACCTCATGGCCTCATCTCCTGCAGCTCCACACTTCTAAGATGAGACATACCATTTTCCTAAATGGTCCAAAAAAACACAGCTTTTTGGACCATGCTTTTGCATGGATCCCTGCCTTCGTTGCTACCATCTCCCCTGTCTGGTGATCCCTTTTCTATGTAGCCAGTGAATGAACTCCTATTCACACTGTAAAACCTGGCCAACAAAGCCCTCTGTGAGGCCTTCCCCACACTCAGCTCAAACATTCTTCTTCCGATACTGAAATAATTTAACTACATGTGAGGCCACGCAGGTCCCAGGCCCCCAACTAGACTGTGAACTCCTCCAGAACATGCTCGATAAAGTGGAAGACAGTGATGAGTAAATGAGTGAGTAATTAGAGTGGAGACTTTTCCAACCAAGGAAGATCGTTCCATGAAAATACAATGGGCACTGGAATCAACAAATCCTGGGTTCACATCCAGACAATTGTGACTCCGTGAAACCAGGTTAGTTTCATTGTTTTTGAGGTGTCAGTTTCCCTACCTGTAAAATGGGACCATAGAGTAATGATGTAATGACTTACCTTCACCAGGAGAAAGGCTTGCTTCCTTCCCTCTGCCAGGTGACTCATAGGCTTCCTCCTCTTCTTGGGGTCCCTGCCTTTTTGACCTCCTTTCTGGCACCTCTGCCAGGAGTGAAAGGTCCCAAGCATTGGAAATCAAAGAAAGGCTGGAGCTCAGGCTTTGCTGAAGGCAAATTTCCCTCCCTAAAGAGGTACCAGTGAGCAGTGTAATGCAAAAATCATATTAATAATAATAACTCCCACTTATCAGTCACCAATGAGGACTTTTCATTCATCATCTTGCAACAGTCCTGCAGGGTAGGACAATAATATTCTATTGACTGATTGATCTTATCTACTAAAATGAAGTTGCATGGTTATGATTTGTAGGTCTTCAAAATGCTAGTGAGAACAGATTCATGGAAAATAATAGTAATTCAGTTCTATAAGATGATTGAAATCTCAGGTATTCAGTATGCTTATTATAAGTCTATTTTATAATTAAAAAATCCCCATTTTAAAGATGAGAACACTGAGGCTCAGGGAGGTGATGAGACCTGGTGAGATGGCTTTCCTGGGTCCCACTCTTATCTCACCATTCTCTAATTGGTCTGAGGATCTTTTATCTTTGACCCTGTATACCTGTGCTGCTGACCACTGGGATATCATTTTTTGATTTGGAAATGATCTCAATGAGTTTGTGGTTTGGGTTTCCCGGGCTCTGGGCTCTGTTCCCTGGAGACCGCAGGGTGGGGCATGAAAAGCAAGATCCTAAAAAGCTCCTGGGGCGTTTCTCTGTATGTCTGATGGGTTCTCTCCACTTCTAAGATTCCACACTTGACAAACATCTTTTCAGCACCAAGTGTTTGCCAGGCTCTGTGCCCAGAGGGAGAGATGCTTAAATAAATGACACTGTCATGCTCTTGAGAGCTGCCCTGTCTGATGGCCAAGGTAGCCATGAAGACAAGCTTCTGGAGCCCATTTATCTAAAGCCTGTAGTTAGTGACACTTGGGAGTGAGGTCCCATTAAGGCATCATCTTGGTGCCATCTCCTGTCAATGCTCATGGCTGCCTGGAGGCCCCAGGGCTCGGAAAGAAAGGATGCTATGATTGATTAGCAATGTCTGCCACGTGCATGGCTAAGAGAGTTCTAGCCTGTGTGCCAATTATCTGCCACCCCTGCTACAGCAAATGCCACTTACTAGGTGTGGCAGCCTGGCCAATCAGTAGGGATAGAGAGAGCCATAAATAGAATCTCTCCAATCCTGATCTGAGCCTGAGCAATATGCCTCAGAGGAAGGAGGGATTCCTGCTCCTAAGGGAATCTAGAAGGCTTCCCTGAGGGACTGACAAGGGAGCTGAGCTTGATGGATAAGTAAGAGTTCAACATTTACATGTGGATTCGATTGACATGTATTGAGCACCTACTATATTCCATATATTTTCCAGGTGGGGAAGATGGCCAGGAGGTCCCTCCAGGCAGCCAGAGGAGTCAAAGCAAAGCTGTAAGGGACATCACAAAAGCAGGTCTTCAACACAGCATGGCAAGGGTAACCAGAGAAAGGAGGGTGAGGAGAAGGGAGTGGAGGGGGTAGCTTATGAAGGTTCTGGGGTTTGGACTCGGGCTTTCATCCTACAGAATGGGGCACCTGGGAGCAATGCGGGACGTTGTACTTGAGAATAATTTCCCTGGCTCCTTGCAGAGGGGGCACCAGCAAAGAGGCAGCTGCAGGGCTGAGGAATCTTCTCCCTGTTTGTTCTCGGCCGGGAGAAGCAAGCTCCTGCAGCCGTGAGGACGCGCTGCTATTTTAAGCAACCTGCCAACAGCCTGCCTGCCTCCCCCGCTGCTGCCTTGACATGCTGCTCCTGACAGCGAGCCCGGTGTCACCCCAGCAGACAGCGCTGGGCGGCTGGATGCAGACACACTCCCGGGCAGGTGACAGCTGTGGGCACCCTGAGCTCCTGTCCCACCCTTAGCATCCAGCCTTCTTGACACGCCAGCCTCCAGGAAGCGGAAGGGGATGCACCATCCCGCACAGCTCAGGCACTGGGCAGGCAGATTGGGTCCCCTGTCTGGTATTTCCTCCAAGTGTCACCGTGGTAAGACATCGCTCTTCTCAGAGCCTCAGTTCCTCATCTGTAAAATGGGTATGATGATGTAATAAAAGAGCCTACCTCACAGGGTGGTTGAGGTCTCTTCATGAGAACAAATATGTAAGGCACTTTGCACACAGTAGACACCTGATGAAAGTCAGAACATCTACACTAACCACTGAATCCCATGATCACCCTCCTCCCCTTGTCCTGCTTTGTTTCTCAACACCCAACATCATATGAGATGTTTGTTGGACCCAGATAGCGAGGACTTTGAATCCCTGGCATCTCCAACAGCTCCTGGCACGTAGTAGGTGCTCAGGAAACAGTTACTAAATAAGGGGGATGATCCTTGTCAAATTGCTTAACTTCTCTCAGTCTCAGTTTCTCATCTTGAAAGCATTTGTTCAAACAGATGAGCATTCGTTCATTCATTCACTCATTCATTCAGTCATGAGTCACTGAGTCTCTACTATAGGCCAAATCCCATGTGAGGCTCCATGAGTGCAACATTGGGTGAAACCCACAGGACCTCTGCTTGGAGCATCGAGACTGGACCTGGATTCTCTGGTCAAGGATTAAATTCTTAATTCTTAAAGTGGACCAAATAATAGACTATTTGACCTCCAAACAGGCCAGTTTTTACCTGGCCTCCTTGACTTCCATAAAACAAGAGTCTGCCTTGTTTCTCTTGCTGACCACCACCAGATCTGGTGGTCAACCAGTCCAAGTGGGACCAAGGCAGCATTTGATGGTGGGAGGCCAGGCACTGTCCCAGCGGCCTGTAGTTCCCAGAGACATCTGTGTCCACCTAGCCTGTTGGCAGGAGGTCATCAATTGTACCAGCAGGTTCCAGAACATGTAATGCAGTGTCTGGGATCAGAGTGTGTCCTGACAACTCAGGTTGACCCAGAAAGAGCAAGAAAGAGAGACGTGAAGCTCTGCCCACAGGATGGGACTGAGTGAGTGTGACTCTTCTCAAACATGTCCGGACCCTCAGAGGCTGGTCAGTCCTAGAGCAGATACCACCCTGATCCTGCCCAAGTGTATTTCTCAAAGTCAACTGAAGTCTAACTTCTCAAATAGAGCATCTAGCTCCAAAATTCAAACTTCTGCATTACTGTTTGGTTTTATCTAGGGTGGTTCAGGAACAGCCTGGGTTCAAATCCTGACACTGCCCCAACCAGCTGTGTGGTCTCAGGCAAGTTACCTTACCTCTCTGTTCCTCTTTTTTTCTTCTGTGAAACAGGGATAATAATAATACCTACTTTATTGGGTTATTAGGAGGACAAAATGAGTCAGTATATGTAAAGCACTTAGACTAGTACTTTGTCCTGTAGACTTCAGTTAAGGATTTGCCATTTTGTTTTTTATTATCATTTGATTTGTAGGCTTCTCATGTCGTTTAACAAGGAGCCCAATCTGGAGACCAAAGGGTACAAATATTTTTGCAAAAGTGCTATTTTCTTGGGGCAGTGGGGGCAGATTTCTGGATCCCAGAAAGGAATAGCACTACAGTCTCCTTCTTGGTACCTAACTCTTCACTCTCCTCTAGCAGTATTAGACATCTACAAGGTTGCCCTGGACTTATGGTGGGCAAAGTTTACATCCCCACCCGTTGATGCTGGATTTGGCCATGTGATTTGCTTTGGCCAGTGAGCTATTAGCAGACACGATGCAGACAGAGGCTGGACATGCAATTGCCCTTTTGCCATCAGGTAGCTCTGCCCCTCCAGGCTGGACCCCAGAATGAGACACGTAGAATAGACATGACCCAGACCTGCAGCCTGCAGCCAAGCCCCACTGAACACAGCTGAGATCAGCACACGACTGACCTACCTGCAGACCCTTGAGCGAGAAAAATAAATGTGTGTTATTGTTGGCTACTGAAATGCCGAGGCTGTTTGTTATGTGGTATTATCACGCTGATAGCTAACTGACATGTCCGCCAATGCATTGCCATCACGGGGTTCTTGTCATGATTAAAAGAGATTATGCGTGCAACGTGGTTAATACAATGCCAGACACATAGTAAGACTTCAACTAACCTTAACTATTTTTCTGATTATTATTCTCATCATCATCATTAAACCTCTCCTGCAGCTGGAGCCAAGGTTGTCCCCTCCTAACTTGAGGTCAAGTGCCCTCCAAGGACCGGGCACCCACCCCCACCTGCTTTCCACCCTGCCTCTCCTTGATGTTCTGAAGAAATGAGAAAGAAGTGTTAAATTTGTTCTTGGCTACTTTTCCTTGCAACTCCCAGAGGCCCTGCTTACAAACTGAATCAGTTATCAGCTAGTTAGGCTGGCGGTCCCCGGAGGTGCCGCTTGAATACAGATAGGGACCCATGCATTATTCAGTGCGAAGACGGGGAGAAATGAGCAATGCGTCCAAAGCCAGAACAGCAGTGGCAGTAAGGGAATAATTAGCGAGCTGTCACTTGTCCCTGTCACTGTTTCCTCCCTTAACACATGAGGGAAAATAAAAAAATAAAAAAATATACTTTTTGTTAAAAAAAAAAAAAGGAAGACGAAAAAAGGCAGGGAAGATCATCTTGCTTCTCAAGGCAGCTGGTAGGTTAAAATGTGACACTAAAGAAACTCAAAGCCAGGGCTCCGGCTGAGCTCACAAAAGCCATGGCCTGAGGACCCTCCCCCCTCCCCCCCACCCCACCGCCAATATTGTATCGAACTCCCCTTCCTGCCTGACGATTCATGAGTGCGATCCCAGCCTTCCATTCAGATTTTCTGCACGTTTCCATAGCACTGGGAATTAATTTCTTCCCCCTGAGGAGGAGGTGGGGGCCAGGGAGGGGGTAAGGAGGGAGTAAATGTGAGGGACACAGCCACCAGGCCTGCAAAGGTTTGAGGTGACCTTCCAGGAGAAAACTGGGATGAAGTTGACAAGAGCTGCGCTTAGCTCGTTTGGGGACCATGCAATTTGATTATTCATGAGTTTACGCACACAGAAAGAAATCATTTTGTTGCGTGACTCCTCATCGTTTCTTGTGGAAGCTATTTTTATTTATCTATTAATGTCTTGTTAGAATTGTGTGTGTGTGTGTGGTGGTGGTGTGTGCTGGTTTGTCACTTGGGGGGGTTGAGCCAGATGTGTGGAGGTCTGGGATGGGCTGAAGGTGAGGCCAGGTTTCTCAAAGACTTCCCCTCCCTTGGGAAAAAAATAGCAAAGATGGGGTGGGGGCGGTGGGGAGAGCCTCTGAGTCTTTGCTTGTTTGATTCACGCATCTGCTTCCCATTGGAAATGAGGAGGTTACCTTTGGGTAGGACAGTTGCTTTCGGCAGTTCTGAGTGCCGTGAAACTCAACTCATTGCGATGCGGAAAATGCGTTGCATAAAAAGAGTCAGAAAGAGGTTGCAGGAGGAAGCAGGGCTTCTTGCAAAGGAGCACAAAGCTAGATGACATGATGGGGGGGTCTCCAGAATCCAAGTCCAAATGGGACGCAAGGTTGTCCTTGTTTGATTGCCAACTGTTAAAAAAGTCACCCCTCTTTATAAAAATAACCCAGCTTCCTTACTGCACAGTGAAGGTCACTCAGGGATAGATTTCCTTCTGAAACCCCAGAGATAAAGAGAATGCTTTCATAAAGCTACAAGCCAAGACTTCGCAAGTCCATGGCAAGCAAACCACTGCCCCTTTACCCAGTGCCCAAGCAGACATTGCTAGTCAGTTCCAGAACACTCAACTCCCATACAGCCACATAAGTCTCCCAGGCAGCTACTAGCATGCAATCAGAGTTGCCACTGGAATTGGAGCCACGAGAACTCTTACAGTCCTTGCTATGGGAGTGTAAGAGGGTGGATTCTTAAGGGAGGAAGTCATCACACCAAAACTTAGGGAGTCAGACTGTACAATGAAAATATCACGAGTGCTGGATTAGAGAAACAAAGAGTGTGGACCCCAGTGGGAGTCTCAGCAGCTGTGTGACCTCAGGGAAATCTCTCCACAGGTGAGGCCTCAGTTTTGACATCTAGGAAATGGGTCTAATAATACTAACTCACTGGGCAGCTAAGAGGATCCAGTGAAATGCAGCAGACAAACACAGAGCTGTATGCCATACGAAGCCCCTCAACCTACCTCTCTTTTCAGACTCTCAGCCCTCTTCATACATGTTATTCCTTTAGCCTGGAATCTCCCCTGGCTAATATCTACCCAGGCCAAATGCCACCTCCCCCTTGGAGGCTTCAGAAGCTAACCCTTAGTTCCTTCAGGGTAAATTACTTTCTTCGCAGGCCTCCTCTATTCCCTATTTTCACATTTGCTACGTATGTTCAGAAACAGATGACCAGTATAATTTGAAATGTCTTTTCCTCACTAGATTAAAGATACAGGGGATAGGTAACTTCCCTGTCCCCAGCAGACAGCACAGAGGTTGACACATGGAAGGGGATCCAGTAAAGGTTTGTCAAATGAATAAATGAATTGCTATGTGTCTCCAGGCAAATCTGGTCCCTCTCTGGTCCAGATGTCTGGCATTCAGCCCAAGCTTAGACTTAGAGGTGACCAGGCTTTGTGCAGGAGGGTTACAGATGGGGCACAAGTTAGGGGATGCCACCTCTTCAGCCTCATCCTTGGCTCTGTTACCAGCTCCCAGGCTCACAAAGCCAATACTGAGGGGAAAAATAGAGACAGGTTGAGGCAGGAGAATGGTCTTTTTCTGCAATTATCAACCCAGGGAGGTCTAGGATCTGCAGTCAGGAGGAGAAGGAAGGCAAGGTAGAAATGGAACTCCCGATGCTGATGATTCCAGATAAAAGCCCTCAAGTTATGTGATAGTGCCTGGATCTTAAGCCCTTCAAAACTTATGTTGAAATTTGATCGCCAGTGTTGGAGGTGGGGCCTGATGGGAGGTGTTTGTGTCCTCATATTGAGAAACTTCTCTATTTGTTTCCGGGAGATCTGATTGTTTTTAAGAAAGCCTGTTACCTCCTCTCACTCTCTGTGTTTGTCCCTCTCTTACCATGTGGCTTGCCAGCATCCCTTCCCCTTCTGCTATGACTGGAAGCTTCCTGAGGCCCTCACCAGCCACAGATGCTAGTGCCATGCTTCTTGTGCAGCCTGCAGAACGGTGAGCCAAATAAACCTATTTTCTTTATAAATTAACCAGCCTCAAATTTTTTTTTTTTAGATGGAGTCTAGCTCTGTTGCCCAGGCTGGAGTGCAGTGGCACAGTCTCAGCTCACTGCAACCTCTGCTTCCCAGGTTCAAGCAATTCTCCTGTCTCAGCCTCCTGAGTAGTTGGGACTACAGGCACACACCACCATGCCTGGCTAATTTTTGTATGTTTAGTAGAGATGGGGTTTTGCCATGTTGGCTAGAATGGTCTCAAACTCCTGACCTCAGGTGATCTGCCCACTTTGGCCTCCCAAAGTGCTGGGATTATAGGCATGAGCCACCACACCTGGCCAGATATTTCTTTATAGCAACACAAGACAGACTAAGACATCATGTATAGTCTGAAATATGTCCCCCAAACATAGCAAGTCTTTATGTCTAGAACCTGTGTTACTTTTTAAATAAAAAGGTCTTTATAGATGTGATTAAGCTAAAGATCTTGAGATGGGGAGATTATTCTGGACTATTCAGGGATGCCCTAAATATAATACCAAGTGTCCTGAGAAGAGAAAGACAGAGGGAGACCACATGCAGAGGAGAAGGGCATGTGATCACAGAGGCAGAGATTGGAGTGGTGCAGCCACAAGCCAAGGAATGTCTGCAACCTCCAGAAGCTGAAAAAAGCAAGAAATAGATTCTCACCTCTGGAGGGAGTGTGATCCTAACAATACCTTGATTTCTACCCTGTGGCACTGACCAGACTTTTGGCCTCCAGAACTGAGGAAGAATAAATAGCTACTGTTTTCAGCCACCTAGTTAGTGGTAAGTTTCTACAGCCTATAATTAATACAGGCTGAAAATAGGCTAATGACGGAGAGGAAATGGGGCGGAGAAGAGGACCTTGGCTTGTCTAGAGACCAGTCCCTTCTTCCCTGGATATAAGTACCCACTAGAGCAATGTCACAACACCACAGGTGGCATTGTCCCTTCCACATACCTCTGTCACTCAGTGGATACGGTGGCAACACGGACGGACATTAGGCACACAAGCTAAGAACTACTCAGAAGTCAGGCTTTTCTGGGTTCAAATCCTGGCTTTGCCACTTTCTAACTGTATGATCATGAACACGTCATTTAACCTCAGTTTACTCATCTGTAAAATGGGGATAATAAAGTTCAACTACTTCATATAAATGACCCTTGTATGAGGAGGTGACTGGCAACTAGTGGGTGCTTAATGAAAGGCTAACTATTGTTACTACTAATTATTATTTATTGCACATCCATTTATTGAGCACCTACTAGGTGCCAGGGATTCAACCAGGTCCTGGGGATATAACTGTGAATAGAAATTTAGGGAAAGGGACAGGGACAGAGACCGCATCCTTGGAGACAATCCCTTTTCTGTCTCCCATGTGGCATTTTGCCCTTGTCTTTATTTGCCTTGGATTCTGCCCCAAATAGTGTCTTGGTTGATTTTTTTTTTTTTACCAGGGTAGTTTGCTACAAGGGGGAATTTAGAGTCCTGGACTGGGAGACTCACTTTTTCTTCAGTCTTTTGTTTGTTTATTTAATTTGGACAATTGTACAGTGAATTAAGGTTTGCCATGTCTTTAAAATCTGTGATCTCCATCCTCATGGGGTCTACAGGTAGATATTTTTATTCTGATTTTGGAAATGGGAAAATAGAGGTTTCAAAGGGGTAGAACACTTTTAGCAGGGTAAGAGGATGCCACACGGATTCATCATAGTGTCATTTAAATGTATCTGGAGCCTTGGGCAAGGGACCTCATCTCTCCAAGTCTTGGCTTTCCCATCTATAAAATGGGGAGATTGATAAAGTTGGGGGAACCCTGCCAGGTCATTTCCTCTCTCTAGTCCCCCTGTCCTGAGGCCGTGCAGCCTAGGTGGGGGTACAAGACCTGCTCATCATCCCTCCTATCACATTCAGTGCCCCGGGGGACACTGGAAGGTCCTGAACTTGGGGAGGACCTATCCCCCACATACTTTAGAGATGACTCCTGAGAGTTGGGTTGAATGAAAGTTCTTTAGTTAACATAATGTTACATTTTACAGACAGTTGGTTAAACATTTCTTAATTTTAACTTTGCACTTGTCTTAAAATTTTGTAGCCAATGAATTTCGCAACAGGGGGTGGTCTCAAATATTTTTGGAAATCTTCAAAAAGCTGTAGGCAAGAGGTCACAGATTGGAGAAAATCTCTGCCCTATCTCTTTCTTCATATCGCTGTCTGGCTCTTTTCCCTTCCTCCCTCTGTCATTGTCTCCTTTTTTATTTCTGTCTCTCTGTGTCCCTATTTCTCTCTCTGTCTTACTTTCTTTCTGTCTCACACACACGCACCCCCAAGACTCCACGGGTGAATGGTGAAGATGCCTTTCCTTCCTCCCTCTCACCATCTCTTCTAACAACTTTCTCCATCTGTCAGGCCATTCCTCCCTAACGGGACACACATGCATCAGAATCACATTTTCTCCACCATCTTCCCCTTGCCCGTCTAGCCAATGGGCTCCATGAAGAATAGAATTTCCCTCAAGTACCAGGGTCTTCTTAGGAATCAGCATGTGGCCAAAACAAATCTCAAAAGGGAGCCACCGGATTATGTAGCAAGAGAGGGAAGGCAGGACAGAGCAAGCAGGAGCCAGGATGATGAAGGAAACAGCAAGAGAGCTGGCAGCTGATAAGTCAAGAACTTGGCTATTAACTGGCAGAGCCTTGGCACAAAAGACCCAGCAGCCGGGGCTCAGCACATGTTGCCCAGCCCTCTCCATGGAGCCTGAGATGACTCCAGATGACCAGGCATGTGGTGCAGAAGTGGCTGGTTCTCCCACCAGGCATTAGTCCTGGGGCCACCACACCTCCTGCTCAACTGGCATTTCCTAAGAGCATCCTCTGTGCCTGTCCCTTTGTGGAGAGCTTTGCTTCCCAGAGTGTGGCATGATTCCATGTGGCCTTATGACTCACTTAATCCTTTAAAAAAATTTTTAATAGACGTCTTTATTGAGGTGTAACTTAAATATAATAAACTGCGCCAATATGAAGTGAACAACTCAATTAAGGTTTGCAGATGCGTACTCACGAGCCAGGCCAAGATGACACCCCTTTTCAGGCCCCCGGGCGGCTCCCTCATGTCCCGCCCTGTTAAAACCTGCCCCACTGTAATCACTCTGCTGACTCCTACCACTTCTATTCCATTTTTGAACCTCATATGAATAGATTTATCTAGTGTACACTTCTTGGTATCAAACTTTCACTTAATCTTTTATCTTCATCATATTGTTGCATATATCAGTAGTTTGCATGTGTGTTTTTTTTAATTGCTGGGTAGTATTTCTTGCATACATATATCATAATCTATTTATCCAACGCACTACTGATGGACATTTGAGTTGTCCAAATAAAGAGCTGGTATGAAATTTTATCTTGTGTTCTTTTGGTGGTTACAAGCATTTTTTTTCTACAGTTTATATATCCAGAACTGGAATTGCTGGGCTAAAGCATGTAAGCATACAGAATAAATGTATGTTTAGCTCTGGTAGTGGTGCCATATGTTTTTTTGGAGAATATATATATATGTATTATATATATATATATATATATATATATATATATATATATATATATATAGTGGTTCCAGGCATATTTTGTTGCTTAGAATGAGGATATAATTTTTCAAAGTGATTCTGTCTAAAATTAAGTTAAACAAAACTATTAAGTAAATAATGATGCTGGTGACAAGATGACATGGGGCATGGCAAAAACCACCGAGGCAGTGTACAAAATGGCTGGGGTTTAGGGACTACTCAAGCCCTAACTCATTTATTCACCATGTTATTCAAACCATTATTCAGTACATACTTCACTGTTTCAGTTCCCTCAACTGTAAAATGGGGATGAAAGAACAGCCCCTCCTGGGGTTTCATGAGTATTAAATGGGTTTGTTGCACGTAAAGCTCTTAGAACAGCATGTGGCAGAGTAAGTACAAAATAATATGAGGTATTATTGCTGTTTATTGAGCATCTGCTAGGTGCCAGACACTATGAACTCTGTGTGTGTGATCTCACTGAATCCACACAAACACCCTATGGAAGCCTCATGATCACCACTACTTTGCAAATGAGGCAACTTGAGCTCAGAGAGGCTGAGTCCTCTGCCTGAAGTCACACAGCTGGCAAGTAGTAAAGTGGGAAGTGGGGTCTACACATTTCCAATGCTCGTATTATCCTTATTACTCCTTGAAGACAGTAGCTTCTTGTTCACCAATATAGCAATTAATTTCTGCAATGTTAGGAATAGTTGCATGTAACCATATATCCAAGCACAAATGGTGTAAACAAGCATGATAGAAATTATTTTTTTCCTCCTGTAAGTCGGACAGATGGCAGCTCCATAATGCCATCAGGTATCCAAGTTCTTTCTAACTGTCATATATAAATTTTTTAACTGTGACTTGCATTCCAATGCTCTCAGAATGATTGCCAGAGCTCCAACCATCACATCCCCCATTCAGACTAGAAGAAAAATGCGAGTCTAGTGATAAAGACATGAGTGTTAGCTCAGATTGCCTCCTTTGTAAAGGAGCTTTTCTGGAAAATGCACCCAACACCTTCCACTTACAAGTTATTAGACAGAGGTTGCCACATGACAGTCCCACATGTAAGTAAGGCTGAGAAATGTAGATTTTAAAAAATGTTTAGAACATTATGACTCATTCCCTCTCTCCCCCATGAAATAAATGTTATCTAGGTAAGAAGAATTTAATGGAAATGTATGGCAAGTAGCAGCCCAGACCACAACACTAACTCAGGGACCCAAAGTCCTTCCTCAGTTGTGCATAGAGAAGGGTAATAACTAGAAAAGTCCCAACAATGCCATGGTCCTTCATTCTTGCATACATGCAGAGGTGTCTATGTATTATAACCAGCAAGGTTAGATCAGGCATTATAATTCAAAGTGTAAACCTGAGAGACCAAAGGAGAATGAGGGAAATATTGAGGATCACAGAGCATGTGAAAAACCCAGGACTTGGATCTGTCACAGAGCATCTGACAAACCAGGACTCAGTGCTCTTTCAAGGATCCCGGGCTGTTTTGTTTTTCCCCCAGACTCAGTATTTTCCTCCTACTTTTATCCCAGCTTTTAGCCTTGCATACTATGTAATCATTAGTGCAGATCATCAAATATTTCTGGGTTTCTTTCCTTCCAGAACACATTGGGTTGCATTTCCTATACCTGCATGATGGGTGAATAGCTCTGGCCAATAAGTTGGAGGCAGAAACAGTAGTATGTGTCCATTCTGAGTAGCTTTCATAATCAATGCAAGGTCCTTGACAGTTCAGTTTTCCATCAGGCCCTTTGAGCAGTGACTTTCAAGAGGGTGCTAGTCCATTAGCTTGGGTAACCAAATAACTGTGATGAGAGATCTTCTTGCCAACTTGTGATGAATATCCAGCATAAGCACTGAGATCTGAGGCTTGCTTGTTACTGCAGTGTAACCTGCTCTCTCCTGACTGATATACAACAAACTCATGTTTCATTCAGTGAATTCCAGATCAAGTGACCCAAACTGGGGTTGTGGTGCTGTTGAGAACTTCAGTCATGTTCCATGAACTTTGCGAGGATAAGGAAAATTAGAAGAGGATGTATGGTTTTGTTTCCTAGTACAGTAGCCACTAGCTATGTGTGCTACTTAGATTCAAATTAATTACAATGAAGTAAAATTAAAATTCAATTCCTTCTTTACACCAACCACATTTCAGTGCTCAATAGCCACAGGAAGATAGTGGCCACCACACTTCTGTGCTGGAAAACATTGATACAGAATCTTTCCATTGTTGTGGAAAGTGCTCTTGGACAGCCCTGGTCTAGAATCTTAGAAGTTGAATTTGGAATCCCAGAGCTAAGGAATGGTGGAAATCTTAGAAATATAGGATACAGAATCTTAGAATGTTGACATCTTAGTGCGAATGACTCCTAAGATAATCTTGGTCATGCAATGGGAAAGCACTTCCCTCATTACCCTGAAATGATAAATGCCACCATCAGACAATGGCTGCTACCTACAGGAGGGGCTCAGGAGTCACTGTATCCTTGTATTTTTTAGGATCCAGATCTGTTTGAAGAGGAAAGCAAATGGCAGAGCATCTCACCTCTAGACCAACTGACCTTTGCGTCAGCATCCATCAGTGTTCATTACAGGACATGGTGCCCACAACAGGTCAGGAAACCAGGTAGACTCTGATTGAACAATGCAAGAGGAAGAGAGGATTCTCATGTGTGTGGAATATGAATGAGGTCAAGGGTGATATGACTAACAGAGGCCTCTGCAGCCACTCAGTCTTTGGGTCACCATCATCACTGAGTGACCTTGAGAGTCACTCTACCACCACGAGCCTCGATTGCTTCATCTGTAAAATGGCCATAAAAGCTTGTATTTATAGAACTCTGATTTTTGCTGGGCGACATGCCAAAAACGTCACGTGCTTCAACTTCTATCTTCACAATAAGTCCAGGAAGCAGGTTCTAAAATTACATTTATTTCTTTCTCTATCTCTCTCTTTTTAACAATTGGCCCTGTCTCCCCAAGTTGATGAACTGCTAGAAGGCAGTTCATCCCTTAATCCCAAACACCAGGTGGAGAGCAGATAACAACAGAAGGTTTCATCTTCTTTGGGGTGAACCCGAGACACACGGAAAGTGAGTTTGAGTCAGATGCCAAGTTCTTCCCTCTTTTTAGAGGCAGATATTATTACTTCTCCCTGGTATTTCTAATCTGCCCCTCCTTCAGGGAATATGGGAGGATTACTTGAAGTTGGACACCATTATGTAAGCAGATGGGATGTGTGTCACTTCAGGCAGGAGAAATCAAGAGCCAGGTCACCATCCTCCATTCTTCATTTCCCTGCTGTGGAAGCATGTGTGTATTATAAGGTTGAAGCTTTCCAGATTGTTGATTTGCTGTGCAAGGAAAAGCTCTCCTGGAGAGTCACCCAAACTCACCGTGAACTTTGCGAGAATAAGAAACAGGCATTAATTGGCTTTGGTAAGTCACTAAGATTTGGAAGGGGTGGAGGTTGTTACTGCGGCATCACCTGACATATCCTGTCTAAAACAACTTAGAATCCCTGACACACTTTTCGAAGATTTATGGTACTCCCACCTACCACTTCAAATCTCCAGCATAGGATGACCAACGTTTGTGTCCAGTAGGGATTCCAGGCAGTCTTGGCTGGTCCATCAAGTGGACACCACAAGACCTAGACCACTGGGAGGAGGCTATCTTTATTTCTTCATAGGCAGCTGGCCTTGAGGCTTGCCCTTGCACACTCAAAGTTCCTGAGTCAAACACTACTCATGGCTTGAGTTTCCCATGCACTTTATGTAGAGAATCAGGCAATTTTCCAGAGACTACGTCTGTTTTTGAGGCTATCTTCTCTCTCCTTGGGCAGGAAGAAAGTAGAAAACCGTGGTTTCTGTGTGAGAATGCATGGGTTTCCGTCATTAAGGGGAGAAGCATGTGACCCAGGAGGAGCCTATCAGCATAACCCATCCCCAGACCACAGGGATTGGTTCATGGTTGTTGATGGAAACCGAACCGTCCAATCAGAGTGGATCTCAGGGTTTGGGGGCAGTACCCAGATTAAGACACACCCTTTCTTCCCTGCTGAGTGGGAACATGAAATCTTGGTCATTTGCTGTGCAAAGAGCCAGTGGCAGCCATAAAGGGAAGCAGACTTAGAATGAAGACAGGAGACACGTAAAAGATAAAAAAGTAATGGTGTCTTTAATGAGTGAGATCATGGAGCTGCTGGTCCCAGACTCACCTGACAGCTGGAACCTCTGAAGTTTTCTTACCTGAACCCAGACGGTTCATTTTTAAGGTAATTTGAATCAGGTTTCCTGTTACTTAAAACGTAAATTGTCCACTTATGAATCAGAGGACTAGGCCTTCTCTCAGTTCACTCTCCTCCTGGTGTCCTAGAGTTAGAGACCCCAGAAACATGAATTTATCCTAAGACCCGAAGAGGTGAAAAAAGGGTCCAAGTTCACTCAGGAAGTCCCTGGAAGTTCCTGGCTCCTGACTCTGCGCAGAAGGGGAATCGTGCTGGATGTGAGCTCACATTCAGAGAGAGAAAAAGAGAGAGAGGGAGATGCTCCTTTTAGCGCTGGCTGCCTGCAGCATAAATATATGCAAATGTATTCAGAGAAGCGCTGCATGGCATGGGCAGATAGAGGCAAAGTGAGGAGGAAAATTCATCTCCGTCTCAGGGATTTTGCCTCTGATAGGGTTCTCCTGGAGATCTCGGTGAAACCTTCATTATCCCCCCTTCTTCTCTCCAATTGGTCCCCACATCCTGGCTGATTCTGCTTAAAAACTCATCTCTCAAATCTGCCCCTTCTCACCAGCCCTGCACCAGCGCACTGTCTCCTGCCTCCTTTGCTCTCCAAGGAGCTGTTTCTCCAGCTCCCGTCCAGGCTCCCTGCCTCCACCTTTGTTGTCTGCAGGATGGAGCCCCCTGAGGTGCCAATTGGATGGGGCCATGTCCTTGATGAAGGCCTTCCATTGGCTTCCTGTCATCCCCAGGGGGGGGAAAAGAAAACCCAAGTTCAATATCCTAAAATGCAAGGCCTTTGAGATCTACTTCAACACACGTACCTTCTCTCCTTGTGCCCATGGGTCCCATGCTCCTGCCACATCTCCCTCACCTTTTGTTGAATCCTCAGTTGCACCTTCAGACTTCTGTGCAAGCTGCTCTCTCTGCTGGCCATGCTCTTCCCTTCTGGTACCTGAGGAAAGCTTCCCTCTTCTATAAACCCAGCTCAGATATTGTTTCTTTGGTAACATCTTTCCTCATCTTTTCAGTTTGACAGAATTTCTCTTCCTCCTTTGTCCCTATTATTCATGCAACAATCAGAATAGTAAGAAGAAGAAAGTGTATCAGGTGCTAACTATGGCCTGACACTAGGCTAAGTGCTCTATATGGGTTATCTCATCAGATTCTGCCAAGGCCCCTGCCAGGGGTATTAGTATTATTATTAATTATTATTATTAATTATTACCTCCCTTCCCATTTTATAGATGAGGAAACCAAGGCTTCGGAAGAGGAAGTTGTTTACCTGTGGTTCCACAGCTAGATAGAAGGAAGCAGGCTGCTCTAAACTCATTACGGCATTTACATATATGTTATATTTTTAAGAGATTTATAGTTTGTGAAGCACTTTTTATATGCATTAAGTAATTTGAGCTTCACAATGATCCTGGCAGGTGTATGTTTGTCTCCTCCTCTTATCCAAGAGTTTTGTGAGCAGTTTCTTGGTCATCTCTAATTCCCTAGTACTCAGTGCAAAGGCCTATATTGATAAGTGTGGAATGGATGGTTGGATGGATTTGTAGTCAGATGGGTGGATAGGTGGGTGGGTGGGTGGATGGTTGGATGGATGGGTGGATGAACTGGTCAGTGGGTGAATGGATGAATGGATATATGGATAGGCGAATGAATGATGAATAAGTGGATAGGTTGGTGGATGGGTAAGTGAATGGGAAAATGGACAGATGGATAGATGAATGATGGGTATGTGGATGGATTGACAGGTGGATAAGTGGATGGGCAAATGGATGGATGGATAAGTGGGTCAGTAGATGAATGGATGAATGGATGATGGATAAGTGGATAGATTGGTAGGTAGATGGGAAAATGAATGGGCACATGGACGGATAAATGGAGGAATGGCTAGAGAGATGTCTGGAAGAGTGGATCAATGAATAAATGGTCAGACAGATGAAGCAATAAACCCCAATAAAGTCCTCACTGTCAATTCCAATACTTCCTGAATTCAGATGTCACATTAGCCATTAGAGTTATGTGAATGAGCCAAAGAATGAAAGCCCAGTATATCCCAGGCGTCTTTTCCACTTCCCCTACCACAATCCCCGTTCACTGCAGAGGAGCAAAAATATTCCTTCTGAAAAGCTGTCCTTCAGCATCTGATCTCCACGCAGTGGCTGGGCCTAGCATCCTGCATATTCACACACAATGGGGCACTGGATTCGCTGAAGGTGAAACTCAACCAGGAGACTTGGGAGTGGCACTGTGGCCTCCAGCCTGGGGAAACAGACATCCCATGCCACGCTGCGCTCCACAGCCTTCCCCGACCACTGTTGTCTGCTTTCTAAATAAACCCTGAGACAGAGCTGTGTGGGGTTATAAATCAGCCGGAAATCAAATGCTAACATGTAAATAAATTGCAAATCAGCTGAGAAATTGGTTTCATTTTGAGACGATAAAGCACATTTCTCCTGCACTGATTTTGTAAGGCGCCCCTTAAGAATTGTAATATTTCTGTGTGGTAATGATAAACATTAGTGAGTTGCTTTAGAAATGAAAAAATAGACAGCCTCTGGGGATTTGAAAAACATATGCACTTCAAATTTGAAAATCCAATTTAACTGTCCATTATAAGGAGAATAAAAAGGTAAGGATAGGATAATTTTGCAGTTACACAGCATTTGACTAAATCTGATTCTGCGATGACAGGCACACTTTAAAAGCTACAAGTCTGAATGCGAGGAGACAGCAAATCATTTATTTATGATTGTAATCTAGCTCCTGTCTAACAAGTTAGCGACTGTGCTGCTTGCTCTCTGGCTGCGGACGGCATGTGTACATTTGTCAGTTAACACTCTTAAAAATATTTCTCATGGAATTTCTGGGTTTGGAGGGGAAAAAAAAACAAAGAAGAGGGAAGATAAAAGAGATAATCCTTGTCTAATTTACCTAAATAGGCAGATGCTGAAATTGCCAAAGTTTAGAAAGAAACAAAACTTTTGTCTTTAATTTTTGCGGAAAGCAACTTTGGTAAATACGTGTGTGCGCAAATGCGTGCACACCCACAAACACACACATGCTTAAACATGGTGCTGAATACACACACACACACACACACACACACACACACACACACACAGAGGACCAGAGGCTCTGTCTGAAGCTGGAAAAGTTCACAGCACAAAACTTCAACGCAACAGTTGGTTTTCCTCCTGAATAACAGCTCTCCTTAATTCCTGTTGTCAGCATCTCTCTAGTGACATCTCTCCGCCTTTACCCTCCAAACCTATGGGACTCCTCCTACTGCAATTAATTATTGCAAGCATGTTTTCTCAAAATGTGCCAATGTTCCTCCAGAAACAAACTTAGAAGTTTCTAAAAGCCTGACATGGAGGGAAAGGTCAGAAGGACTAAAATGAATAAAGATTCCTTTAGCCCCTACACAATGAATGCCCAAATCCAGGATTCCAACAGTTACATAGCATTAATTTTAACCACAGAATGGAGTCACCCGTGGTATATGACCCTTCCCCATGCCGAGCACTAGATCCTTTCCGTGTTTGGAGCCTGTAAAGTTTCACAATGCTACCAACAAGGTAAGTCCAATTACTTCATCCTTTTTCACAGATGAGGCTCATCGGGTTTAAGTGGCCCAAGGTCACAAAGCTAGCATGTAGTATAGTTTAGGATTTGCATGCCATCTATTTGAATCCTGTGCCTGTCCTACCTGTAACTACATTCATTTATTTGTTCAATGAAACTGAGATTAACTGAGCACCTAGCCTATACCAGTTGCCACTGCAGGCAGGAGGTATGAAACAGTAAGCAAATACACAAGCAAGACAAATTCATGAAGTGAACTTAGACAATCACTATGAAGGAAGAACCCAGGTGTTGGAATAGGGTGTGGCCAGTGGGAGTTGGGGAGGACCATTTTAGGGAAGAGCTTGGAATGCCCCTCAGCAGTGGTGACATTTCTGCTGCCTCCTGCGTGGGTTGGTGGAGCCAGCCGGCCTTGCTTTCTTGTAAGTCTAAACAGATCCCACGAGGTTTCTGACTGCAGGACTTGTCAGCCTTCAGTGCACGGCCATGCCCTGTGCTTTGAACAGTGGGAGGGCAGCAGTATTTTTGGAATCCCTCTCCTAAGGGAACATCTGGAGGGTCATGTCTTATATGAGATGCGTATGAAGACATACCAGATCAGGGCTAGCTTGGACCAACTGTCAACTGGTGCCTGTTGTTTTTCAGTTACTTGACACTCAGGCCCTAAGCAAAAGGCCATCTTGCAGTGTGACTTAGCCCCTCCCATTACCCCCACCTCTGACTTGCAGGCTAGCAGCAGCTCCCTCTGTGCGCTTCTTCTGGGGCATACTTGGGACACTTTGGAGCCTGTTTTACTAGCAAGACAACCGAGGCTCTCTTGTCTCATGGGCCGCCTGAAAATGGAAACTCCTCTCTCTCCTCCCGCGTCCGTGCTCCATGCATCCGGCCTCCGTGGACACCAGCTTCACACTGTGTCCCCATCCCCTTGGCCAACCTGCTGCACTCCCAGTACCCTGTTCCAGGAACAGGATAAACTCACCTCGGAGCGTTGCGTCTGCCACTCCCCAGCCTAAAGCGTGATCCCCAAAACCACCCGTGTGCACATTGGAACCTTCTGGGGGGCTTTCTAAAATACTGGTGATGCCCAGGTCCCACCCCAGACCAATGACATCAGACTGCCTGACTGATGACAATGTGAAGCCACCCTGGTAAATCCTGGCCTTTCTTTCACTTCTGGCCCCTTATCCTTTATTATGGTTTTATCTCAGAGAGACCCACATCTAAAGCGTGTCTTTAATCCCAAGCTGCCTGCAGCCCCAATCCTTTTCCGTCACCTCACTGGGTTCCTGTTCTTCCCAGCACCTATTGCAGTGGAAATTACCTCGCATGGTCATTTGTTTAGTGGCTGACTGTTTATGGTCTGTCTGAGACGGGGGCTCCTGGGGAGCAGCAACTGGTATATTGTGTTCACTTCTACGACCCCAGCATCGGAAGCAGTGTCCAGCACACAACACAGTGGCCTTTAGATCTCTGTTGACTTGAAGGAGGTTCAGAGAGGCTAAGCTACCTTCCCAAGATCTCCCAGCTGGGCCTGGACTCCTACCTGGAATGCTGCACCCTCAGACCCCCTACAGATGAAATAACAGCCCGGGTCTATACTCCTTGTTCCACAAATGGGAAAATTGAGGTCTAGGGGCCCAGGATCATAAGATCATAACCCTATGCCCACTTCAAGGTCTCAGGCTGAGTGTGGGACAGAATCATCTGCCTGCCAGCTGTCCCTCCTCCCAGCACAGCCATCAACAGAAGTCCCGATGAGCACTGCTCTGTCTGATTGCCTAAGCTGACCAGACTTTGTAACCTACAAGGGAAGCTCTAAATTGCCAGGAGACCTCCAGGCAGGGAGGTAGAGGAGTGAGATATTGCATGGGCTTGCCTCAATTTGGAAAGCTGTCTGTGTTTGTCTCTCCAGGCCCATAAACAGGGTCAGAACGGAAGAAAAAAAAATCACCCAGCATCAATTCATGTCTCCTTCATTCCCTGCCCAATCCTATTCCCTCCTATAGGATTCTAAGGGTTGTGGGGCTTGGTTTTTCTCTGATGATGAAGAGATCTAGTGGGTCTTATGAAAGGGAGGAGTTTTGGGGTTGACAGACGGGAGGCCTTGCTTAGGTCCTAGACTGGTTGTTATTTCTCTTTTGACATGGAGAGCATGCATCCTGACCTCACAGCCTTACACTATGCCTGTGTTTTGACCTAGTGGTTATTACTTGGTTGGGAGGGGGGATAGTAGGAGAAAATTAACATGGAAATATACAGCAAATATGTAGCTATAAAGATGTTCAATGCAGCATTATTTACATTAAGAGAAAGCAATTGGAAACAACCTAGTCAGCCATCACTAGTGGGTTGATTTATATATCTATGTAAAAAAATTATATATAAATGTATATTATATAATAATATATAATATATACTTCTGTATACATGTGTACATATATGGAAAGAACAAAATCATTTAAAAATTTGCTGTAGAAAAATATTTTTTGAGGGCCCCTGTTTTCTCTTTTTTTAAATTTTATTTTTCTGTAAGTTATTGGGGTACAGGTGGTATTTGATTACATGAGTAAGTTCTTTAGTGGAGATTTGTGAGAACCTGATGCACTCATCAACTGAGCAGTATGCACTGCACCATATTTGTTGTCTTCTATCCCTCACCCCTTCCTACTCTTCACCCCAAGTCCCCAAAGTCCATTGCATCATTCTTATGCCTCTGCATCCTCACAGCTTAGCTCCCACATATCAGTAAGAACATATGATTTTTTGGTTTTCCATTCCTGAGTTACTTCACTTAGAATAATAGTCTCTATTCTCATCCAGGTCATTGCAAATGCTGTTAATTCATTCCTTTTTATGGCTAAGTAGTACTCCATCGTCTATATATATACCAGAGTTTCTTTATCCACTTGTTGATTGATGGGCATTTGGGTTGGTTCCACGATTTTGCTATTGTGAATTGCTGTTGAAAAATACTGAATGACATGGATAAATATTCTCCCTGTGTTGTGTCATAGTTTTCAAAGAGCTTGTTGCAAATCATGAAACCACAAACAATGTTTTTCTCTTGGAAACAAACAATACACATTCACTGAAAGAAAGACCTTGAAGGATACAGGTTAAACTATTTACCTTGGCTGTGATGGGGCAGGAATTTCAGATAACATTGATATCTTCCTTGCCTGTATTTTTAGTAGTGTACATGCATTACTTTTCTAATAAAATAACACAAAAGGAAAGCTCCACACCACTCTCACCTCCCAATATTGTTTTGAGAATCAACTGAGAGAGATTGTGTGAAAATATTTGCGAAAGTTCCAAGAATGACATGAGTATGAAACATAACCACACTTGGCTAGAAACAGTATTGCTTATGAAAGCTGATGAATATTAAATATATACAGGTACATTTAATGTTCTAATCTGGGGAAAATTTTTTAATACTAGGACAGTTTCCAACTGGTGAACTGCTACTCATCTCACAAGGCCCAGCTCACATTGCCCTTCTTCAGGAACGTCTCCCTTATCGAGCATGCCCAGATTTAAGGCAGTGGGCTCCTTTCTTTATTTTCTTAAAGCATTAATTCATTTCCAGGTTGGGAAACTCATCTGTTAATTATCTCCTTATCATACCAGACTGGGTGTTCCTTGAAGTCTGAAGCCATGATGTTTACTTCTGAATCCCCGGCTCCTTACAGAGTATATGGTACCTAGTAGGTGCTCAGTAATTGCCTGCTGAAAAGCCAGATGAATGAATGACGCTCGTGCCAGCTCCCTTTATTCAAGCAAGGGCTTCCGAAAGCGTGTGTGTAATTCCGAGCTATAAATTGAATCGTATTTTTAAATGCACTAGGGGGACTTGCTATTTAAAGAAATAGTGATGTAAATCCTTTTTATAAAATGAAGACATCTTGAGTAATGTGAATAATTGCTCCTTGACATATCTGTTTATAAGTTGATATTTTTAAGGATCAGAAAGACTGGTGCATTTTTAAAAAATTCATTTGACAAATATTTGTGAAGTCATGCTCTGTGCCAGGCTGGGTGTTGGAAGTGGGTGTGATTGCAGTATGACCCCAACCCTTAAGGACTCACAAACCCAGGTACATTCATTGGTACTGTTGTCTTGGGGATCTGGGGACAAGCATCAGCCTGCTAAGGTAGAATCTTGCCTTCTCTACTTTCTAGCTGTGTGTCCCTGGGCCTCTTACTTAATCTCTCTGAACCTCAACTGTCATGTGTGTCAGCTGATGGTGATAAAAGTGCTTACCTCCTACCAGTCATGAAGATAGAATAAGACAGTACATGTAAACTGATTGGAAAATTGCCTTGCCTAATACGTATTTGCTTTTATCATTAGAAGGTGAGGTGGGGAAGCGTCCATGTGGAATGCCCACCATGGGAAAGCTTCTGCCACTAGAGTCCTGAAGATCTGTGTGGGTTTACCTCTTCCTATCAGCTACAGGACTCAGCCTCAGTTTCTCCATCTGCACAATGAGGGCAATAATACCTACGAAATGAAGACATGTCGAACTCTAAGAAAAATAGGTTTATTTAGTGTTTCAGAGACAATTTAAGAAATTACAATCATTCTTTTCGTTTTAGTAGGTAGAAGATTATTAATTTAAGCCTGTTCCCATTTCCCCCTCAACTCCCCACTCTCTGCACATGGAAGAGGATTTTAGCTTAGAACGGTAATGTCTCTTTTCTCCCTAATGGGTGCCTTTTGGTAGAGCTTCTGTGGATGTGCCCAGCTCTGAGCCAAGGGGGCCCCATGGAGTCCTGCATCAACGGGGTGCTGGAAGTGCCCGTTGTTTGCACAGGCTGAACACGCAGGAGAAGGTGGCTGTTCATTTGTACTAGTGCCTGTGGAAGACAGACCAGCCTTAGTTTTAGATATAGGATAACAATGTTAGATGTAGATAATAATCTTTTGCTCCCATTTTGTGGATGGGAAAACTGAGGTCCTACAGCGTTCAGAAGAAGCAGAACCACACCAAATCTGCAATGTAGGAAAATTCCAGGTTGGAAAATACCTCTGACAGTGGGTGTCTCCCTTTACAAAACCACAGCTCTCTTGGAGGATGGTTTCATTACAGGGCATGGGAGAGCCTTTAGTGTCCAATTGTGGCCCTCCTGAGGGCAGAAGATTGGACTGGGGTTGACAAATGGAATGGGGGTGTTAGAAAACCAGGAGAGAGTGGGATGCAAGCTGGTGTCCCACTGTGAGTCCCGTTTCAGGCAGTTGCCTAAAAATAGTCCTGCTGTGGACTATGAATGGATGAGCGTCACCTCTAGTTCCTGGCCCCAGGCTGCTGAGTGGACTCTGTGAGACAAGGGCTCTCTGAGGCCATGTAGCCCCACCCTTCCCTCTGAACGTACAGATGAGCTAAGAGACTGGCTAGGGCCACCCATTCAGTGAGTGAGATTAGGCACCTAGGGCTCACACCTCACTGGTTCTCTTTGAATCCTCATAATGGCTTGAAACTTGGGGTGCATTTGGTCCTTATTCATGTATTTAACAAACACAGAACATTTGTCATCTGCCAGCTCTCGGTGCTTTCTAGACTTAGCTCATGTCATCCTGATCAGAGTGACCCTTTAAAACAGGTACTACTATTATCCCCATTTCACGGATGTATTAACTGAGACATAGAGACTTAAATCCTTGGTCAAGCTCACAAAGCTAGTGAGCTGCAAACTGGGCCCAGGGTCTCTGCTTCTAACCACCTCACTATGCCACTTGGCCTCTCGTGAAGAGAAACTCATTCCCCTTAAACTTCTCTTTCATTTTCTTCTGATTTCATCAAGAAGAAAGTCTCAACTTGGTGTTAGTCTGCCTTTAACACTTTTCCAATGCTTACTAATATTTTTTAACAAAGAGAAAGCAGGCCTCAGGCTCCGAGCCTTCCTGGCAACTGTGTTTAATGGGAAGTGTTATGAGGGTAGTATGTCCATGAGGAACTTTGGGAAACACTGTCTTTTGTAGAAATAGATTCTGAGGGACGCAGAGACTTGCATGAGGTCTCCGGACAGGCAGGTCACTCAACAAGAAGTAAAAAAAAATTTGGTCTTTTTGACCACCTGCTGTCTTGAGCTTTTTCAATCCAATTCAGTTCAAAACCGATTCAACAAACAGCTTTAGAATGACTGGCAAGAGGCATAACGCATATGTGAATACTGTGAGAATCATAAACGTTATACAAATGTAATGGATCATGAATGCATTATTTTTTTATTGGGGGGAGCTTATTTCTTTAGTTATACTTCTTTTCCTGCAGATACTTTTAGCCTGAAAGGGTTACAATCCCAAGGAAAGCTTTTTTGTAAGCACAAAGAACTAATATTAGCAGATTGGGGTTTCTGTAAATATTCATTGTAATCTGTGACTTGGTGAGCATCAAATTCCACCCTCCCGAAAGCTGCACATTTATAACTTGTGAATTCATAAATATTTACGAATTCACACAATCATCACTGACAAATTATTTCATCTGACAGCTCCACACAGGCTCAGCCTGGTTTTGTGAAATTCTGATCAAATCTCGCGTAAACTTCCCGGGTGACAAGCAGAGACCGAACACAGCTAAAATCACACCAGATCCTGCAGATTCTAGTGGGTCAGTAACTGATATTTACGAAAACAACAACTCCAACAAGAGAGATTTTGTTTTGTGATGGGCTGCCAGATGTTCTCAACAACTGTACACATATTTATAGAGACAAGTCTTTGAAGGTGTCAAAAATGGGGCCTTGTCAGGAGGAGGGAGGTGAGCTTGGAATCTGGACAGGCTGGGTTTGAATCCAGAGTTGGCTATTGAGATCTGTGTGTTCTGTAACAGGTTTCCAAACCTTGCTGAGCCTCAGTTTCTCAGGTTTGAATTCAGGAAAATAAAAGGAGCAATGTAATAAGATTGCCAGAGTGAAACTCTTGGCCGAGGGTCTACCACATAGTAGGCAGCTCAATACATCTTGGTTTTATTATTATTGTGGCAAATAAGAGTTTAAATCATCATGATTTCCAGCATGACCAAGTTTTCAGTGAGTTTGAATGTATACAGAGGAAGAGTTGCTTCAAAGTCCTTTTCCTGCGTTTCTCCCTGACGTTGCTTGGGAGCATGTTTCTGTGTGGCTTTCATTGTGCCCCCAAAAATAAATCATGTGTCTCCCACGCAAAGACTGCAGGACACCCTAAGCATCTGTCTACCAATTGGACTTATTCTTTCATTTATGCACCTTTGCAAGGACAAGAAATAACTTGCCTATTTATTTTACTTTTTTCCAATTTAGTAATTGAACATCATGCTGTTGAATATGAGTTTGCTTCCAGATGAGTCAGAAAAAACTCCCACCATTGTTGATCAGGGTTGAATAAGGAGACCTCAAGCCATGTCTGGAGGAGAAAATCTGACTCTGGTGATGAGAGCTAGGTCTGCCCGTGGCTTAGCTTAGCCCTGGCAGATGGAAGCAGTCCAATTTATTACAATGATTATGGTTTAGCTTTGACTCAATGCGGGGCACTGGAGTCCTGCTGGGGCAGCTATAAAGGCTGGATCAGATCATGCTATTCCTTGGCTTAAAGCATCTAGTAGCTTCCCATAGTGCCCCATATAGCTCTGGTTATCCCACGTGTCCCTGACTCTGTGGCTGCCCTGGACACCTTCTATTTTTTGAACAAATCCATCTCATTCCCATCTCAGGGTTCTTGCCCTTGCTGTTCCTTCTGCCTAAAATCTTTCCCCACCCTGCCAGTTCTTCCCTCTGTCTGTACTCATCACCCATTACCCAATCACTCTCTTTTTGTTACTCTTGTTTCCTTCATAGCACTTACCAATTGAAACGCTAATGTCTCTACTTTTTTCTTATTTTCTGTCTCTATCCACTCACTCTGAAGTCTGCAAAGGCAGGATCTCAACTGCCTTACCATGGATGGATGGATGGATGGATGGATGGATGGATGGATGGATGGATGGATAATGGTTGGATGGATAGGAGAGAGGGAAGGAGGAAGGATAAAAGTGGGAAAGAAGGGAAGAGTGGAAAGGAAGGAGAAAGGAAGAAAGGAAAAGAGGGAGAAAGAAAAAGGCAATAAAGGAAATGAAAAAAACAAGATGGAAGGATGAATGGATGGATAAATGGACAGTGGATGGGTGAAAGGAAAGGAGGGAGGAAGGGAGGAACAAAGGGAAGGAGAGAGATTAGATGAACCTGGTATTTCCCAAACTCAGTTGACCACAAAACCTTCTTTGTCAAAGATACACCTGTTTATAACACTTTGGGAAAGAAAACAAAACTACTCAGCACTCTGACCCCATCGCAGAGAGAAGGACACACAGTCATAGCCCTTAGCTCTGGTCTATATACATACACTATTTTATTGATTTGCTTGCTTTTATTTTTCACCTTCTTACCTTCCCCCAGACAGCAACCACCTGATCTCACACAGGCTCAGGGCACCACATGGCGCCGGGCACCACTTTGCCGCTGCAGCTCAGCCCAGAGCCTGCCGTCGGCACCTCGAGCCCACCGTGCAGTTGCTCAGCCCGTCTGCCTCCTCCATGAGCCACGGGTCCTCAGAGCGTCAGCAGAACAGCCGGGCCCGACTGCAAAGCCCGCAGTAGCACCAGCCTCGGAGGGAAACGAGATCTTGAATGGAAACATATGGATCTGAGAGGTGTGGGAGTCTGTCTTTTTTAAATTGCATCAAACCCTTCCCTTGCCTTGAGAGCTCTATGTGTTTCAAAGGCGCTGAACGCGATGGCAGGCTGCAGTTTGCTTTTCCCTGTTCACCTGCCTTCAGAGCGCCGAAAAATAATGAACCTCTCCCCTCACCCCGCCTTCAGCCTGCACAAGGAAGACGGAAAACAAGCAGCAACCTTCTTCCTAACCGTTTAACATGTCTCGACGCCTTCTTTTCCCCCATAGAAGGAATTGGCATTTTTTTTATATTCCTCTTTTTGCAAGACGTGTTTGTGCTGTGCAGATCAAACCCCTTTATTCCCAGTTTCTTGTTGGCTCCTGTGTTCTGGAACTTCAGAATGCCGTAGTAGGGAAGGCAGGGCTGGGGCCTGCAGAAAACGAGAGGAAACACTGGCTTGCAGATAGCAGAGTTCTCATTCATTCATTCATTCATTCACACAGCAAGCATTACACACTCAGCCTGCCCAGTAACTTTCATCCACTCATCCATCCATCCATCCATCCATCCACCCATCTATCCATTCATTCATTGGGTCTCCCACTATGTGCCTAGCATTATGCCGGGCACCAGGACCAGACATTCAAGTTTCAATAACACTGTTTTCAGAGACCACACTGCAGCTTGCAGATGTGAGGCCGGCTTTATTTTTAGCAGGAAAGCTAGTGGGGAAGCTAAATCAGCACAGGCTATCCCAAGGAAAGGCTTCAATGCTTGTAGGCAAAAGTCGGAGAAGGGGATGGAGGTGAGGAGTCAGGAGTGAGAGGCGCTATGCACATTTGATTCAGGAGTCGCCAGCACCCTGCCAGGAGGTAAGAACAGCCCCATTTTGCTGATGGGAAAACTGAGGCTCAGAGACAGGAAGAGCTGGAAGCAAGCTCATGCCGCAGTAAGATGGGCACAGGTCTCTGTGTGGTCAGTAAATGACCAGAGCCACAATCATTATATAATCAGGACACGGTGGGAGGGGCATAAAGGGGGTCAGAAGCTTCGTCACATTTTACCCTTACTACGGCCCCCATGAGGGTGGGGTAGGTTTTCTTACTGCCCCTGTTTTGCAGATGAGGAGATCTAGGCTCTGAGAGGCTCAGGTTTATTTAAGGTCGCACAATTGACAAAACCAGGATTGATTTCAATGCTTCCCCCTGCCACCCCCCACCCCCAACACACAGTCAGCTCAGCCAGATTCTACCCACACATGGCAGCTTGGAGGACACTTGGAGCCCTGAGTGTGGCTTTTCCCGACAAAGCCAGCGCTCAATTATTGGGAAGTGCCTCCCCCAGCCATTTCTGCATCCATTTGAGAAAAATAAATAAAGCTGGAGTCTGACTCTGCGGTGATAAGATGACAGGGGTGGACAGAGCGGGAGGTCAGCTGGCTTTGCAATGCCCCTGGCGAGAACAGACAGCATTCCCCACCATTAATGGGGTTCCTACACACACCCCCACACCCAGCCTTGGGGAAGTGCTGCTAATTGAATCTGCATAAGAACCTAAGCCTTCACCACTCCTTCCTGTCCATTTGATCTGATTACTTTTTTTGTTATAGTAGCAATGGCTTTAGTAATGTTCAGTTATGATTAAGGGGACAGGAATCTAAGAAAGGATAGATCTGTTAAAGTCACATGGACCTTCCTCTTCCTCTCAGCCCACTCCCACCCCAGCTGGAAAAAATTTAAACAGTTTTCAGGAAATGTGGGCTCTGTGTTAGGTTAGGGCAGTAAAGACTTTGCGTGTGTGTGTGTGTGTGTGTGTGTGTGTGTGTGTGTGTGTGTATGGATCAAAAAGCCCAGATAATTCATGTTTTTCTTGGGTTGTTCCAAACTGTCTTCTTTCCTTTCCTCTTCTTCTCCTCTACCTGAGAAGATGTTATTTTTGTTTTAAATGGAGATTATTATCCTTCAAACAGAAATATTGCCTCCAAATTTGGAGTAAGCAGATAATGAGGCCACTCTGGCAATTTCACACCGATGACAAGAGAAACATCTACATGACTGATTGACAGTTGCCACGGGAAAAGCAGAACCCTCCGAAATCCCTCCTCGGCTGGCTGCAGAAGGGTGGGTGGTGCGGGAGGGGGCCGGGGCTGAGAGATGGTCTGGTCTGAGGAAGCAGGGAAGCCTGGTGGCCCTGTGACCTCTGCCCACAATCTGTGGGGTCTTCACCACCTCGTCAGACATTTGAGCTGACAACTGTGTGAAATTGAAAATTGTGGAGCTGATTAAATGATGTATTTAAGGCTTCATGAAAGGAGGAGGTGGGTATGGGAGTGAGGAGGGGAAGAGTGAGGAGAGATGAAGGAGAGGGGAAGAGGGAGGGGGCAGGAGGAAGAGGGATAGGAAAAGAGAGAAAGGAGGAGAGTGGGGAGAGAGAAGAAGAGACAGAGAGAGATTGGGAGAGGGGAGAGAAATGGAGAATGGGAGAGAGAGGCGAAAGGAGGGAGAGGCAAGGAGGAAGATGGAGAGGAAGGGAGAAAAGGAAGGAGGAAGGGGTGAACGGAAAACAGAGAATTGAGAATTTAGAAGGAGAAAGAGAAGAAGAAGGGAGGAAATAAAAAAGATGAAACATGCAGGCAGAAATGACGAAAAGATGGAGAAAAAGAAATGAGAGAGACAAATATCCCCAGGAGAGAAGGAAAAGAGGAAAAATAGCGGAGGAGGAAGGAAGAGGAAAGAGAAAGAAAGAGAGAGATGAGGGTGCAGGGAAGAGAGACGAAGAGAGGAAGGGGGCCGAGCTGGGGAGGGGGAGGCCGCGCAGACGACGCTGCCGGGAGGGCTGGTGGAGGAGCAGGAAGTCTGGGGGCTCAGATGCGCGCCCTCGGTCCACCCCCTCTCTCCCCTGTAATGTGGGGAGGGTTTATCTCACCAGGAGCAGCAGGCTCAGTCACTGATCTAATCAAATTATTCAGCATTAAAAAACTGCCAAGACATTCCAGTACTTCAGCTCCCAGAGACCCAGCTGGGATCAAATGCTAATCAACATCGCCACGATATTTATTCCCACTGTCAGGCTGCTGCGTGTTTGTTTTCCGAGGGCTGCATACTAAAGCGGAGGAGCGAGATGGATCGGCCCAGTGGCCGGGAGATGAGGAGCCGAGGACGGCAGGGAGGAGGCCAGGCAGGTGGGGAAGAGAAGGCCGGACCCAGGAGAGGCACCCACAGAGCTCACAGGGCGGGGCAATGGCCCCGAAATCACCCCACCAAAATGTCCGGCGTCCTTTTCCAAGATGCCCTCTCCTCACCTCCACTCTCATGAGTCCCATTTCAAGGCAAGTCAGCGGCGGGTCTGGACTCAGAGAGGCTGACCTTTGAACTCAGCCTCTGTGATTCCAGGTACACGGTTTAACCTCTTTGGGCTTTGTGCTTTCTCCTCTGTCGCCTGGGGCCCTAAGCCCACCCCACCAGCTAGCCAGGGATTCACTGAGAGGGAGGTGATAAAAGAAGCAGGGCCAGACGGATGCTGGTCCGGGCCCTCGCTGTGTGACTGTGTGCAGCTTACTTAACCTCTCTGTGCCTCAAGTTTTCTCCTTGGTAACTGGGGATAACAATAGTGACCAATCCCACGAGGGTATCTGTTTAAGTGAATTAATACCCAGAAAGCATATATGAGCACTCAGTATATGTTAGGAATAATTACTAGCTCTCCACATTTTTGCAAGAGTTGGATGAAATAATGCATGTAAAATATTAGCAGGGGAGCTGGAATGGATGAGATCTGATCCCGATTATCAGGATCAAAGAATGAATCAAATGCCCACACTGTCATTGCGTTCGGGTTGCTGGGCTCTTACCTCTCTCAGGGATCCCTCCCTGGATCCCAGAGGGGCCTCTGAGCCAAGATCGCAGGCCCCGGGATGCCTTCCCTGCAGGGGCAGCAGAAACCAGGAAGGACCCTCCCAGACTCATGCCTGAACTTGGCACCCTTCTCCTGGGATCCTGCCCACCCCTCGCCCCCTCCCTGAAGGTCACAGCACAGGGGGGAAGACGAATTAATTTCCTTTGTTTTTCAGAGTTTCATTTTTTAAATTACAGCCTTCCCTCCTCTCTAATAAATACTCAACAATTAAAGCTTTTTTTTCTCAAAGTGTGATTTCAACATTTCAATGTCCCTCCCCTCCTGTCACCTTCGCTGCCATAAACAGATTCGTAAAAACTGCTTTTGACGCCCCAGCTGCCATTAGCCACTTAAAATCCCGTAATTATCATCCTATCACGGGCCTGTTAACGAGCAGTAAAAATAAGGCCATTGAATATGGTAATTTATTCGTAAATTAGCCTAATGAGAATAGGTTTCAGACACTGTTTACTTGCGGGCTGCCTGCGCCAGGCCCAGGCAGCAGCGACAGGAGCTATGCCTGGGAGGGCGGCTGGGCGCCCACCGGGTGGCAATGCCCCCTCCCCATGGCTCTGCACCCATGGCATCCATTCTTGTTCCCTTCATCAAGATGGCATCTGGCTCCGTGGGCTGTGGGGACAAGTGACAGCCCTGCCTGCCCTAGCCTGGCTCCAGACAGTAAGATATGAATGTCAGGGCCTATGGTCAGTGCTGATCGCTACTGGGAAACCTTTACATGCTCAGTGACCTTGGGCATATCACTCTCTGGCCCTCAGTTTTCTCATCTGCAAAATGGGATTAATGTGCCAACTAATGAGGTTATTTTGAAGATGAAGCAAGGTAACATATAGAAATGCTTGGGACAGGGCCTAGCACAGAGTTAGGTGCTTTCTACATATATTATAGCCACTATTATGATCTTTGGGACGTTAGCCCCAGCAGATAAAATCCAGGGCTGGCTGACTTACCCTAAAAAATTATCCCTACTGGGCTGGGCGCGGAGGCTCACGCCTGTAATCCCAGCACTTTGGGAGTCTGAGGCGGGTGGATCACGAGGTCAGGAGATCGAGACCATCCTGGCTAACAAGGTGAAACCCCGTCTCTACTAAAAAATACAAAAAAATTAGCCGGGCGTGGTGGCAGGTGCCTGTAGTCTCAGCTACTCGGGAGGCTGAGGCAGGAGAATGGCGTGAACCCGGGAGGCGGAGCTTGCAGTGGGCCGAGATCACGCCACTGCATTCCAGCCTGGGCGACAGAGCAAGACTCCATCTCAAAAAAAAAAAAAAAATTATCCCTACTGTAGTGAGTGAAATAGTGCCCTCCCGCCCCCTGAAGTCACATCAACTTGGAAATTCATCATGTGATTTTATTTGAAAACAGGGTCTTGGAAGGTGTAATTAAATTAAGATCAGGTTGCGCTGGATTAGGGTGGGCCCTAAATCCAATGACTCATGTTCTTTTTTCTTTTTCTTTTCTTTTTTTTTTCTGAGATAGGGTCTCCCTCGGTCACCCAGGTCGTCAGGCTGGAGTGTGATGGCATGATCACAGTCACTGCAGCCTTGACCTCCCCAGCTCAAGCAATCCTCCCACCTCAGCCTCCCGAGTAGCTAGGACTACAGGCACGTGCCACCACGCCTGGCCAATATCGGGGTTTTTTTTAGAGACAGGTCTCACGATGTTGTCCAGGCTGGTCACAAACTCCTGGCCTCAAGCAAATGGGTGTTTTTGTAAGAAGAGGAGAGAACACACAAAAACATGAAGAAGAGGAGACAGACATGTGAAAATGGGGGCAGAGACTGGAAAGATGCGACCACAAGGTGAGGGACTCCTGGGGCCACCAGAAGCTGGAAAAGGCAAGGAAGGATGATTCCAAGGTTTTGGCCTGAATACCTGGGAGAAGAGAGGCGCCATCTTCTGAAACTTGGCTTTGGCTAAAAGTTGGGCAGAGGAAAGAGCCTGGGGTCTGAGTTGGGCTCAGCTGTACCGTAAACCAGGTGTCCAATGGTCAGTGGAGCTCTGCGAGGGCAAAGACTCTGTCCTCTCAGCTTGACCAGCATATGATGTATGTAATGAATATTTGCTGAGCAAACCACACACCAGGCACCTCGCTGGCCCTGGACCAGTTTGTCAAAGCCCCAGTCTGCCCACCAGGGCTCCAGGCTGACAAGTTCAGCAGGTATCAAAGGAAGCTTCGTGGGAAGTACTTTTACTTTCCACTGGGTGAGTCTGTGGCCTCTGAAGCCCAGAGGAGGCCCCAACCAGTCCGGGGGTCTCAGAGACGTCTTACTGGGCTTGTGGGCTTCATTCACGTGTTGATTGTTCAGTAGGGAGGAACTGCCAAGTCCCCAAGGTGGTAACGGAACACGATGCACACTAAGGCCAGCAAGTGAATGTGCCCGAGCCTCAGTTTCCTCATCTGTAAAATGGGCCCAATGATCTGTACCTCCTAAAACCTGGTGGGGCATGACTGAGATCTAGCACGTCAAGCGTGCAGTGTGGTACTAGGCTGTATGTAGCAAACAGAAGCTGCCGTTGTGGCAGCTGTGGTCATTATTAGCATTCTTAGTGATCCACCTCTTCCTCCGAGTCTGCAAAGACTGGCGGCTTGGCTAGGCATCCTGACTTCTCTGCCTCATCACCCTCTTCTCCCTCCATCCTCAACTTGTTCCAGGTCCCTTTGTCCCCTAAACATTCCACCTGAAACCAAACATGAGGCAGACCCCAAGACTCAAACCCTTAAGGAGAACTGCATTGTTCTCATGCTCCAGATGAGGAAATTGAGGCTCAGAGAGGTGAAGGGACTGCCCAGGGTTGTCCAAGCTTACTGCCCACTTTGTCTGAACCAGCCTAGTGCTCCCTTGCTCCCCTTTAATCTGGTCCCAGTGCTGCCCCAAGGATCTCCTAGCACCTGATGCAGTGATATCCAACTCAACCCCAAACCCAGACCAGGCTCGAGGCACCTGTGACTGAGCTCCAAGCTTTCTCCCAGGCTGGAGGTGGAGGCTGGAAGCACTGGATGCTAGTCCTGTCTCTGCCCCTGACTATTGCTGTGTGACTGCAGGCAAGCCTCTTACCTTCTCTGGTTCTCTGTTTATATATATATAAGTGATAAATATAAATTATGAATACTTACAGGGATTTATTATTATGGTGATTAAATGAAGAAAGCTTATGTCCACGGGGGTTTATCAACCACCTCCCAGTGCCTTGCTTAGTGTGTTAGGAATAGCAGGCAGCTGGCAGCAGGTCCATAAATTAAGTAATTAAACGAATATTTATTGAGCACTTTCTAAATGTTAAGCACTGGTGAGCCAAACAGACACAGTCCGCCTTGGGACTCACAGTCTGGTAGGGAGATGGACACTTTCTTGATTATCACTGGCTAGATGTAAACTGCACCTGTGACAAGAGGTCACATAATGGGAACATGGAACATGGTGTCATGAGCAGAAACCTGACATAGCTGGGGGTCAAGGAATGCCTCCCTGAGGCCATCATCACTGAAATGGATGGTCTCTGCAACAGATACCTAAAGGAGGACAAATGGGCCAAATAATAGGAGCAGACAGAGTGCTCCAGGCAGCAGGGATGGCACATGCAAAGGCCCTGGGGCAGGGAGAGCCCAACAAAGTGCCAGTGTGGCTGGAGCCCAGATGTGGAGGGGGCACTGATGTGGGACAAGATGGGAGCAGTGAGCAGGGGCCAGGCCATACAAGAGCCTATAGGCCTTGAAGAACAGTCAGACCAACATCTCAACAATAATAATAGCTTGAAGTGAGGGCACCTGAGCAAATCAGTGTATGGAGAATGGTGACAGGGGTCTACATATGGCATCAAAGAAGTAAGTTAGAAGGCTCTTTGATTCATGGATCAGAAGGAAAAAATAAAAGCAGGGAGCAAAGGATGCCAAGTACAGTTATTCAGGTTGTGGACTGCACAAAGGCCTTGCAGAGCCATATCCTTGCCTTCATGGCCCAGAAAAAATGAATAAAGGCAGGAAGCAAGGGAGGTCAAGTACAGATATTCAGGTTGTTGACTACACAAGGGCCTTGCAGGGCTAGGTCCACTTGAAGAAGGGGTTATTTTCTCCACCTCCCATCTTCTCTCTATCTCTCTCCTTTCCCTGCCCTGACTCCCCATGATATAACCTTCCTGATTCAGGCTTAAGTTCTCATGTCTTCAACAGTGTCCTCGCAGGTTGCAGGAACCAGATGCCTACATCTCAGCAACTCACCCCAGCCCTGATCCTCCCACTTTCATAAAAGAAAGAAATGAGTCTCAGAGAGATCCAGCGACTTTTCCAAGATCACACAAGCCCAGAGTGGGCAGAACCATGGTTCATGCTAAAATCTGCTGCCCCGTCTAAGGTTTTTTTCTCTCACTGTGATTGTCAGGAAGCAAACCACCAATTCAGATGTCACCATTGGTGGCACATCCTTGGGCAATCTGTCCCTTTCAGGAGCCTGTCACAGGCCATGAAAGGAAAGTAGGGCCACATTTCTGATTTCTATTTGCTCCTCAGGGCCCAATCTCTAGCTCACACTCTGCTCACACTCTTGCAAAAGAAAGGGCCATGTTAGACTGAAGCCAGAGCCATCGGGACCTGGATTTGTTCTTTCCTTGAAACCACAGGATACCCATGGCTTCACTTCCAGATCCACAATTTAAACCACCATATATTCAGATCCATGTAAAAGTTTGGACCCATAGGCAACATTTTTGAAAAATCACACAGTCCCCATCACTCCCCTTCATGGCCTCATCACCTCGACTTCTGCTGGGGACCTGGGCCATTTTCCTTCCACCCCCCTGACAGAGGCTGTGAGTTTTCAGGGGCAATGGTGATGAGGTTTCTGACCGACTTTTGACCAAATGGATTTCCAACTGCATTTGAAAAGGAAAATAACTTTCCAATGTACCAAATAATGAAAAATGACTGGGCGAGTTTATAACTGTTGATTTAGCCACCAACTTCCCCCCAGCCCTGACTCCGGTTCTCTGGAGGTTTTCATTGAGCATTAATTCACTCTCTTTCTCAGCGCACAAACAGGTCCTTCTGAATCCATTCTGCAGCGTATTAGCTTCAAGGCCTGTTGGAAATGGCTTAGCATCTGCTCTTAATAGACACTGCAGCGTGCGGGGTGGGCGAGGGCTGGGATGGGGTCTCACGGCGTCAAAGAACAGACATGAAATTTCAGGGAAGCAGCACCTTGAGAAGCTGTTGCCTGGAACAAGCACAGAATATAGCAGGGAAGGTGGCTTTTGGGGGCCTCAAGAGGCACAGACGTGAGCTAAACCACTCATAAGCCCTCCAACCCATTCAGCCACAAAGAAGATCAAGGTAAAGAGTCAAAGATGAATGCCGGGCTGGAGCTTTTCTGGCTATGCTGCATTTGAAACACGCTGGGAGCTCTTTTTTTAAATATTTTTTATTTTTTGAGACAGAGTCTTGCTCTGTCACCCAGGCTGGAGTGCAGTGGTGCAATCTTGGCTCACTGTAGCCTCCACCTCCCAGGCTCAAGCGATTCTCATGCCTTAGCCTCCTGAGCAGCTGTGACTACAGGTGCATGCCACCTCACCCAGCTAATTTTTGTACTTTTAGTAGAGATGGGATTTCGCCATGTTGGCCAGGCTGGTCTCTAACTCCTGGCCTCAAGTGATCGGCCAACCTTGGCCTCCCAAAGTACTGGGATTACAGGCGTGAGCCACCACACCCTGCCACACTGGGAGCTTTTAAAATCCCCAATGCCTGCCCACACCTCAGATCAATTGCATGAGAATGTCCAGGGAAGGAGCCCAGGAATCTGCATTTTCTTAAATTCCTGCAGCTGGTTCCAATATGCAGTGAAGATTGAGAACCAGTGAGCTAGGGCTGCTAAGACCAGTGGTTCTCAAGGTAGATAGCCCAGACCAGCAGCATCAGCATCACCTGGGAACTTGTCAGAAATGTAGATTCCTGGGTCCAACCCAGACCTGTTGAATCAAACACTCCTGGAGTGTACCCAGCCATCTGTGTTGTCACAAGCTCTCCAAGAGATCCTGATGCTTGCACAAGTTTAGAGGCTGCTGAGCTGGACATTGGCAGGGTAGGAAATATGTATTCATCCTCCCAGTCATTCCTTCACTCCACCAACTGCTCATGCTTTCAGCATACAGTATCCCTACTACAAGCCAAGCACTGTGCCAGATATTGGGAATCCATTAATAGGGCAGAGGTGGTGAATTTTGCATTCAAAGAGCTTGCAGTCCCCATATGGAATTTTCCATATAATAGAACCAAAGATAGTCATCAAAGTAGGAAGGGATTTGAGCTGAGCCTTCCAATAACTGCCTCAGTTTCTCTCTTTTTTCTGCCTGTGTGCATCCAGTGTGAGCAGCTCACATCACTGCAAAGGAATCCGTGTGTGTACTGTCTCACTCACCCAACATTCATTTAGCAGACGCTTCATTAAGCATCTACACAGTTCCAGGTTCTGTGATAGAAGCTAGAGATTGAGGAAGGCTCAAGTCTCCCAAATGACAAACTCCAGAGGTAAGCAGAACAGGTGAGAATAAAAGAGGGTTCAGAGCAGACTGTTCCTGTTGGAAGCTCACCCCATGACAGATGGCAGCATGGGTCTTCCCAGTCTGGCCAGACCGGAATACTAGCCAGTTTCCTTCTCATGTGTAGAAGCAGAAAATTGTAGCAATCAAAACTATGGACTCTGTCCCCAACAGTCTGGGTTTATACTTGGCTCTGAGGCTTACTAGCTGGATGGCCTTCAGCAAGTTATCTTATTTCTTCATGCCTCACTTACTTGATCTATAAATTGGGAATATAAACAGCACCAGCCTCACTGCATTGTTGCAAGAATTAAATGAGAATTGGAAAGCTTAGAACAGTGTCTGGCATGTAAGAATTATTAGTTGTACTAATCACAAACATTACTTTTGAAAAAGTTGCTTGAAAATAAAATTCATTTTAAAAACAGATTGCTTTTCATGTGTACTGGAGATCTTGCTTCTTCAATGATTACTGTAGGGGATCCATTTTATAAAAGGAATAACTTGAGTAACCATATGTTGAATTTGCTTAAAATGAAGTAAACATGTCACCTGCTTCTGAGAGTGGCAGAAAGGGAGCTTTGCTAGGAAGTGTGGCAGGATTATTATGAAACTCTCATCTCAGATGGATCTGGAAATCCCTTGAAGTCCCTGATTTTGCATCCATGCTGGTCTGTCTTCTCTTCTTCCTTTCCCCTGATAGTTCTTTCAACACTGAGAAATAAGAAGATGTTTTAACTGAGAGCTAGTAAGGGACAACACATCCTTCATTCTTAATATGTCAGGATGGGAAATATTAAGAACTTCTATGAATCCACAAGCCACCCTTGCTCTGAAAATGGCTTCCCTATATATTTGTCTCCACTTCCTGTCTCACAGGAAGTGGCCACCTCCCGTCTTTGTGGCATCATAGCCAAGGTGCTTTGCCTAAAATCACTCATCTCTTCAAAGTCCCTGGCATGAGCTACCCATCACTGTCTTATGCTCAGTGACCCAGGACCACCTATGAGCATCTGGGCCCAAGAGATGATCTCAAACTTTTCACAATTATTTCAGGTATCAACAAGATGGAAATAAAGCCAAAAGCTGTGCTGAGATTCAACCATCAACATCCCAAAAGGAATATTCTGTTTCCCAGCATTTCTTGCCAAGGATGATCTCAGATTCGTCTGTTTCCATTCACTGTGAGCAAAGGCCTCAATTTTAATAAGGGTGTGGTTCTGTCTCTCCCTCTCCTGTTCCTGAAATTGGGCTGGGTGGGGACACTGATGGTCAGAACAGGGGCGAATCCAGAGAAAAGTATCTCCACCTTGGCAGCTCGTGAAGTCTGCTACCTACAAGGGTTTGAGTATCTCTCCTTGAGGCTCTGCTCCCACACAATTCCCTCTCCTGTGAACCTCTGTCTGCCCCATCTCCATAGGATTCATTTTTTTTAATGTTGAACATTTATTCTGAGAATGGAGAGTTGGATAAGATATGGCTCTGTCTCATGGGGCTCACAGCTGGAACACAGGATGGGGGCAAGCAGACAAATGCACAGACAGTTAAACACAGTTGCAAGAAGCATGACATTTGGGGAAAGGAGTGCTTAAAAGCATGGGGAAGAGGCATTTAACAGCCAGGAAAGTTCTGTGAGCAAAAGGTATACAGACTGAGAGAGGGTTGTGTAGCAGCCCTGTTGGAAACTTACTTGCAGCCTTCAGCCTTATTAATTCAGTGTGCTCAGCTGTTGGTATCTTTGAGTCTTAGGGATTGTTCTAGAGATCCACAGGGTAGGCTGGAAGTGCCAAGGGATTTTCCTGCCCCAACCCAAAGCAGCTCTCAGCTAGTGACTCTTGGGAGATGGTGTATCAATACCCCAGCTCCCTCACTCCTCAGGTGGGATGAATTCTGAAGCTTGGATTTTAGGGCTTTCTAGAATTTGTCTGCTGGAGTGAGCTCCAGTCACCCACACTGATAACTGGCTTTAAGACATACCCTTTATTGGCTGGATTATTTCTCCCACTCCCATCTTGGGGCTTCCTGGAATCCCCTCCCCAAAAATATTTCTTGTCCCTAGTTCCTTATCTCAAAGTCTGCTTCTGGGGAAATTCAAACTAAGATAGTATGTGAGGAGGAGAGCAATGTGGTCAGGTTTGGGTTTCTGAGGAAGGGCCACTCTTTTTGTCCCTGTGGTTGGAAAGAGTCTCTGAAATGAACAATTATTAGTTATATTTTCATGTCTTAGAGTGGACAAGAGAGAGAGAAGACAGCCAGTTACGATATTCCCAGATGGCTAGGACACAGACCATTCTTCCAGATCTGGAAATGCTAACAATGTTTCATTACCACAGCCCTGACCAGCTTGAAGCAACCTTCCTCATACCCAAATCAAATACCTGTGTGGAGAGACTAAATCTGTCTAAAGGCGACACAACCCACCCCGACTCATGTGTTCATGCATGCACTCAATAGGAAAACAGGGCCAGGTGTGGTGGCTCACGCCTGTAATCCTAGCATTTTGGGAGGCCTAGGTGGGCATATCACCTGAGGTCAGGAGTTCGAGACCAGCCTGGCCAACATGGTGAAACCCCATCTCTACTAAAAACACACACACACAAAATTAGCTGAGCATGGGGTGGGCACCCATAATCCCAGCTACTTGGGAGGCTGAGGCAGGAGGATCACTTGAACCTGGGAGGCGGAGGCTGCAGTGAGCCAAGATTGCACCACCGCACTCCAGCCTGGGTGACAGAGTGAGACTCTGTCTCAAAAAAAACCAAAACCAAAACAAAACAAAATATATATATATATGAAAACAGAAGAAAAGGGCACTGCAAGCTGGAAGGTGTCCTAAGAGAGGATGGCACAGAGGGGATCTCCTAAATTAGCCTGAGCTTTCTTCCAGACCCTTCCTTCCAGGAATGCTAACATTGTTAGCATTTCTCCTAATGCATCCTGCAGAGCTCAAATATTTTCAGAGTGCCTACTTTGTGTAACCACGATTGCACCTCTGGCTATTTTTTAAAGTCCAAGAATAGCCTAGATCAGCCAGATGCTTATAGATCCTGCCAATAACCAGGCCCAGCTTTGCAAGAGCTTTGCAAGAGGTCAAGCTTTGCTTTGCAAAGGCCCAGCTTTGCAAGAGGTCAAGATGCTCCTGGCCCTGCTGGCTCCCAGAGAGCCTTCCTCTCCTCCCCTAAGCCTCACAACTCCCAGGAGAAGATTCTGCAGATGGAAGCCCCGAGGTCCAGGGAGGTTCCAGGATTCACCCAGGGTTGCTCTGCTTGATAGGTGCAGGATTCAGGGCCAGGAGGACCCAGATCCAAGGCACCTGGTCTGGCATATTTTCAGGCCCAGAGATGGGGAATGATCTGTCCAAAGGGGACTTCTGATGAAGGAAAAATGAGACAGTATTCATTGAATACCTATTGCATGCCATGGGGTGACGGTGGGCAGGGCCACATGGTCCCCAGCTGCTATGCTCTCCAGAGGGATGATCAGATTTGTCCCAAGTGTCCTTTACATGGCCAATTGCCATGCGTGTCTCATTATTCAAAAGGAGAAATTAACATTTAATAGAAAAGAAAAAAGAAAGAGATGGAGGAAGATGGGAGGATGGGAAGGAAGGAAGGAGGGAAGGAAGGAAGGAAGGAAGAAGGGAGAGAGAGAAGAGAAGGAGGGAGGAAAGAAGGAAGGAAGGGTACAGGGAAAAAGGAAAAAAGGAAGAGAGGAAGGAAGGAAGGAAGGGAGGGAGGGAAGGAGGGGGGAGGGAGGGAAGGAGGGGGGAGGGAGGGAAGGAGGGGGGAGGGAGGGAGGGCAGGAGACAAACCTCGGAAGGGCTGCCCCTCAGAGACATCAAGTGGAATATGAATACTGATTTCTAACCCCACTTCCAACTCCTGAGTGCTTTACGCTGGGCTACAAGGTTCTCAATGTCTCAGTGCCTCAGCGTTCTGATTTATCTTATGGAAGCCTGCCTCATCTATTCATATATTGCATTCTTAAACACAGAATAACAACAACAGCAATGACAACAATGCTAATAGCGCTCCAACAGAGCTTGCTGTGTGCCCAGCCCTGTTCGAAGTGCTCCCCAACTTTGGCCCCTAGGATGCTCAGGACGGCCCTCTGAGCAGGCACTGATGTCGTCCCCCTCACATGCAGAGAAACCAAGACATGAGCGTGGTCAGGTCGTTCGTGCAGAGCCACCGGGCTGGGGATGGGCAGAGCTGGAGTGTGTGGGCACAGGATCGGGGTTTGTCACCACTGTGCTGCACTGCCTCTGCACCCCAACTAGGCCTCACGCTGATGGAGACATCGCAGTGCATGGGAGAACATTCACTGCGTGGTGCTGAGGACGCAGCAGGCACTCGGTACAACCTGTTCCTTGCGTGGCCCGCTAGCTTTGGGTCCCAAAATAATCTGCCTCCTGAATCTGCAACTTTCTCCCCACCTGCTGGGCATTCTCTTAATTCAACCGAAGCCTCTCCCTGTCCCCATTAGGACGGCCACTCCCAACAGGAGTTCCCGGCCTGTGAAGGCCAACCGGTCGGGGCTCAGCACCCCATTATCATTCTGCCACTTTCCAAAGGAAATTATAAGCACTTTGTGTCAACCCTCATCTGTCCCGGCAGCCGCACCGCAGGAAAGCGATTGAGGTCAGAGAAGGCAGACAGCCTACCCATCACACCCGCCGCGGCCATTCCTCATGTAGTGACATGCAATCTCCCGCCAAGGGTCACCTCTGGGGAAGCGATTCCTTCAAGCCTAGAACAAGTGCCGAATTGCAGCTTTGCCGAATGATCATGTGGAACACATTGAAAATAGCCGCCTCAGTAATAAATGCTTAACCAAAGCAGCCCCTTCCTCCGGCATAACCAGGAGCATATTTACTGTAAATATGTTAACCAATTCATGCTGCAGCACATGGCCGAGGAGTCAGCTTCCCAGGCAGCAAAGAGCAAACCCCCGCTGGGCTGAGAAGGAGCAAGCCGCAAAGGAGAGGATTGTGTCCGCCAGGAAAAGGAAGAGGCAGGAAAAGGCACCTGGGACAGAGGAGCCTCCTGCAGGCCCCACAGCCCCACCCGACAGAGGAGTGGCGAGAAGGGGACTTGGCATTCTGCATCTTGCCGTCACCTCTGTGCCCCACGGAATCTGTGAGTTAAGACTGGCTCCAAGAGAAGTGGCGTTTGTGTTTCTCCTTCATTTCCTGCTCACATGGTGAAGTCCGTAGTGTGACAGCTCTGAACTCCACAGGATGAATCAGGGTCAGGGGAGAGGACAGGAGGAAAGAAGGAGCGAGAGAAAGGGGAGAGAGAGAGAGGAGACGGGAGAGTGATGGCGAGAGACAGAAATATGAATGAGAAACGGGAAAAAAATCGAGAAGATGATGAGAAGCCTGAAAGACAGAGAAAGCAATCTAAGATGAGAAAAAGAGCACTGAGAAAGAAAACATTCTGGAGGAGAGAGAAGGAGGGGCAGAGAGGGGAACAAGGAGGGGGTGGAGAGAGGGAGATTGAGAGGGCATGAGTTGTCTCTGGAAGGCTGGGTTTTGTTTCCACTGGGAAGAAAAAATGTTCTTTGTTATCAAAAGCCTTGAGTGACACCAGCAGCTCCTCCCCACCCCTCTCTAACACACTAGCACCTAGGCTGGTGTACACATACACATGCATACTCAAGTGTGCACACACACACACTAACATGCACATATTTGTACACACACAAACATATGCATGCACACACATATGCACATTCATGTGCACGCATGCATACTCGTGCACATACACACTAACATGCACACATACTCAAGGTACACATATATTCACATGCACCACACATACACACATGCATGTGCATGCACATACAAGCACACACACGCATATGCGCACACCTACTCAAGGCACACACATACACGCACACATTCACACATTCATACATGCACACTCATGTGTACACACACATGCATAGGCACACACACATACATTCACACACACGTATGTGCACACACATACTCACATGCACACATTCACATGCACACACTCGTGCACATACACTCACGTGCCCTCATACATGCACATATATGCACACATGCATGCACACATACATCACATCCAGGCACACAGCCATCTAGAGGCACACATACACTCTTACAGCACACAGTCAATTCCCTCCCCCTACCCCTGAACCTAATTCAGTCCCAGAACAGAGAGAGCAATACAAGGTCTGAGCCAAAGGAAACAGACCAAAGCCAGACTGGGTCTGGGTGTGGGGGAGGAGGAGGAAAGGGGTCGGGAGGAGGCAGCCCAGGTCAGGGGCCCAGAGTGGACCAGCAATGCAATTGGAATGGGAAAGAACCGTAGAGCCCCCTGAGAGGCTGCAGCCCCTCAGGCCTGGCCCTCAGGCCTGGGCCTCCCTTCATCCCAGTTTCAGGCTGCATTCTTAATCGGGCCACGGCCCCGGCTACCTAGAGAGACAGTCACACACTGGCTTCAAGACCAGAGAAACCCCAGCAAAGGGCAGCCAGCTTCTGGGCAAAGAGTGAAGCCACCGGCTCCCTCCGGCTTGCAGCTTCTCCTTTCTGAAGTGGGTGGGCAGTTTCCGGCCAACCTTTTGCCTCCTTCTCTCCAGCCGCCCCTGCTAACTCCCAGTAATTTGCCAAAATTAACAGATTTATGGCAGCATGTTGGTTTGGATCAACTTTTCGTATGTACTTTGCAAGAGAAAAACATTTTCTTCTCCCCCGACTTACTGTTTGCCCATTAATACGCTCCACATTCACTGGTGCTTAATGACTGTTCAAATTTTCTCTGTTCATAGAGAATGTTGTTGTTGTGATTAAGGGTGCCAGGGTGCTTGCAAGTACAAACACACCAAAGCCATGAAAAGGGCAATTAATTCTTTAAAAAAATGCAAGAGAGTGGGAGAGATTGGATGCTCTGTTTACAGAAAAGCAAGAAAGAAAACAGATATTTCTAAGAAGTGTCCTTCCAGGACAGCAACGTCTCCTGTAAAAATGTCTCCTGGAAAAAATGTTGAAATACAAATGTTCATGGAAACTGCTGTCCAGCAGACATTTGGTTATTCAACAACCATGTGTCAACTACTCATTATGGGCCTGGTTCTGGGGTAATTCATAAAGGAAGCCACAGGGTGTGGGCGAAGTGGACATCTGGGCCAGGACTGAAATCCCAGCTCAAGATAAGTCATCCCTTGCCTCTGAGCCTCAGTTTACCCATCTGAAAATTAGGAGGTGGAAATCCCAAGGGTGGCTATCAAAATTCAAGAGGACATGTGTATCAAGGGCTTAGCTTGCTGCTAGCACATAGTAAGTGTACAAGAACTGCCTGGTTCATTATTCGTTCACTCTCCTGAACAAATCAGTGGCCGTTTTAATGGCTTTGGTGTGTTTGGACTTGCAAGCACCCTGGCACCCTTAATCACAGCAACAGCACTCTCTAGCACCAGAGTACGTTCTCTGGGCCATGGGCCATGCCATGGGGCTGGATTTTGAAGTTACAACTTCAAGAAAGGCAAGTTTCTGCCCATGTATGGCTGATGATCCAACGGTGGGAGACAGAAACTACTAAACATCTGCAATGGCAACGTGTCCAACAGTGATAAATGCCTGAAGGGAAATAAAACAAAGTAAGATACAAAGCAGGGCCAAAGTAGATAAGGCCCTGCTGAGCTGTGTTGGATGATGTCATCAGGGGCCTGGGGAGGCCAGCAAGGTGACTTGTGCAGACACCCGAGTCGGGTGTCGATATCTTCCTCCATACCTTTTATCTTTCCTAAAAATATGGTTGGGAAGCCCTGGTCCATCTGCAAAGGACAGGGGCAAGTTGGCCTATGCGCTAGCAATTGCTACATATTGTGAGAGCTCTTAAACCAAAGGTCAGGACACACCCAGTGAATGTTTCCCTTCCAGATAAGAAAAATATTCTGAGCACCTGCTATGCGCCAAGCGTTGTGCTATGTAGTGGGGGCACAACTGCAGGGAAACCAGACATGGTCCCTCCCTGCCTCCTGGCATTTAGAGCCAAGACAGAGGGTCAGATTATAAATGAACACAGGCACCATGATTATTTCATCTCAAACTCTGGTTGGTGCTATGGGAAAGGAGCAGTGATCTTTGAGACCTGAGAGGGGGTCCTGATGGAGCAGACACCAGCAGAAGGATCCTTCCGGGAAGTGACGTTGAAGCTAAGCTTGAAAAGGTAAGTAGGAGGTAGGGAGGAAATGGAGGGTAAAAGAGGGAACACTGTTTCTGACAGAGGGAACAACAGGTGCAAGGGTCAGGTCAGTGGGAAAATGCATGGGCTTTGAAGTCAGAACCCAGGTTCAAATCCCAGCCCCACCACCTTCCAACTGTGTGACCCTGGCCAGGTAACAGGGTCTCATTCCTAAAGTGAACTCAAGGAGACTTCATTGGCTTGTCCTGAGGGCCTGCGTGAGGAGAGTGTTAGTAGAGTGAAGTCCTAAAGGAAGGTTGGTTTCTTGTAGAATCGTGAGATCAGGGGATGGGATGGCCTTGGGACAATGGTCAAGACATCTAGCTTCTAGTCCCTGTTCTGTCAATTTGACTCATCTGACCACCCTCCATTTCCCCCATTATAAAATAAAGGGGTTCTATTCTCTGTTGTAGGAAAGTAACATTGAATCCACAGAATGAATATGTATCAGGGGGCAGGTGTTAATCCAATAACACCCCTGTGGCCAGTTGCAGATTCCCTCATGGCCAAGACTCATCCTGTCTTATTGGGCTTCTCAGAATCAGGTCACTTCTGCCTTCTGCAAAGGAGTCCTTGCCTCCTTCCCGGGCACCTCCCATCCTGCTGTGTTCCCATCACCGGCTGTGCCTTTGATCAGCTCTGTGGGGCCCTCTCCTCCTGACAACAGGACACTCCTGGAGCCACTCTTCTCCCCTGCATGCCCTCCCTAGGACACCTCATTCGGCTAACAGTTTCAATGCCATGTGGGTGCCATCAGCCCCAATGTCTGTGACCAGCCTCCCGTGCCCACCTGCCTCCTCTCCTCCTCTTCATCTCCCCTTTGACATCTAAACAACACCCAGACCTAACATCATCCAAACTCCAACCATGATCCCCACCTGACACCCCCACAACTTACTCCACTTGCACGGGTGTCCCCATTTCAGCCTAGGACAGTGCCACCCTCCCACTTGCTCAGAAAAAGAACCTGGCAGTCATCCTGGACTCCTCTCTCCTGCTCACATCCCAGTCCACATACAGCCAGCCAGCGCTGTTGCTTCCAACTTCATCATTTAGACAGAGTCCACTCAATTCTCACCACCTCCACAGCCACCACCCAAGTCCAGGCCACCTGCACCTTTCGCCTGTTTATGGCAGCAACCTCCAAGAGTCCCCAGGGTTTTTATGCCATTCTCAATTGTTGATTCTGCAAGTTAAAATGTATGTCAGGTCAAGTCCCTCCTCTGCTGGAGACACCCCGACCTGTGTCCCAGCTCCCTCAGAGGAAAACCCCAAGTTCCCACCACTCACCCCACTGTAGCCTGCCCCACATGGTGGCCTCAGGGCCTTTGCACTTGCTGGTCCCTTGGCCTGGGATGTTCTTTCCCCACATGCCACTGCCTTCCCTTTTCCAGTCCCAGCTGTCACCTTAGGGAGAGCTTGCTGCCAGCCCATGTAATAAGACAACACTACCTAGCCTCCTTCCTGCTTCATATTTCTTCATGGCATGTATTCCCTTCCTTGACATTCTCTATTCTTAACCTATTTAGGTGCTCATTCTCTCTCTCTCTCTCTCTCTCTCTCTCTCTCTCTCTCTCTCTCTCTCTATCTCTGTCTCTCTGTTTCCAAAGGCTACCTCCTTGAGGCAGAGATCTTTGTCTGGTTTGTTTGGGATTAACGGGGACACCCAGTAAATATTTGTTGAATGAATGACTTTTGTGACTCAAGCAATTATTCATTCATTGGCTGTTCGACCTCAGAAAGAAGCCAGTGGACATCTTCTGGTGAGACCCAGAGCACCCCACCTGCAAGGGGCCTGATCTCCCTTGAACCAAGAGCCCTGCCACTCGCCCCAGCTGCCTAAAGGCTGACAGGAGAAGAGGGAGTCAGAATGGTGCTCCAAACAGAGCTCACTGGAATCTCAGCTCAGCCATTTACTTGCTCTGTCAACTTGGGCTCTCGCTGCAGGTACCTGAGACTGTTTTCTCGCCTGTAAAATTGGAAGGTGTTATGGGTTGAATTGCTTCCCCCAAAAATATGTTGAGGTCTTAACCCCTTGAAATGTGACCTGAGTTGGAAATGGGATCTTTGCAGATGTCATTAGTGAAGACGAAGTCACACTGGAGTAGGCTGGGCCCTAAATCAAATGGCTGTTAGTTTTATAAGAAGAGGGAAATTTGGACACAGACACACACAAAGAGGAACAACCAGCGTGTGAAGACAGAGGCAGAGATTGGAATGAGGCAGCCACAAGCCAATGAACCGCTGCAGCTCCCAGAGGCCAGAAGAGGCAAGGGAATATCCTCCCCTAGAGGCTGCAGAGGGAGCACAGCCCTGCCAGTGCCTTGATTCGAGACTTCGAGACTTCCAGCCTCCAGAACTGGGAAAGAATAAATATCTGCTGTTTTAAGCACTTTGGTTTGTGGTGCTTTGTCACTGGCAGCCCTGGGAGTAGTCCAGAATTATAACCCCTACCTTCCCCGAGGACTGCTTGTCCAGAGGGTTCCCCAGGGTCCCATTCTTAACAGATCCTCCTTGAATGCCCTGCAGCCACCGCTGATGTGCTGGAAGTCACTTCTGCTGGCTTTGATGAAGGGAAGGAAGCAGATGAGAAAGAGGGTGTATATGAGTGACTCATTGAACCTATTGTCTATCCATAGAGAGAGGGGACGAGAGAGTGCCTTGTCCCCAAGACCTGGGCCCACAGTGGCCCCTTAAGTAAGTTCAGGCCCTCTCACCTGGGCAGGGGTCAGAAGCCTAGAGCAACAGCAACCACTGAAAGCCCTCAGCACTCCACTTAGGCCTCCACTCCAGAGCCTCAGAGCTGCCAGCTTCTTCTCCCTGATACCCCTGCAGAAACTCAGCCACCTTCTATTTAGAAGGATCAGCCATCAGATGCTTCTAAATAAATCCAATCCCTCCACCCTCCTGCTTTCCACTTGCAACTGTCTCTGTCCACTGGCACTTGGACCCAAGAGCTAATTGCAGAAGCTTCATCTTAAAGGAAACCACAAACACGCTCTCACCCACGTTTTACGACTTTATAACTCACCAAATAAACCTGATTCCTATAACCATAAAACAAAGCCGAAATGAGTTGGACATGTACCAGCGAGGAGAAGCAGGAGGCGGGTGGAGATTGCCAGAGGGGGCTCTCAGCTGTGGAGTCGCGGCTCTCCGTGTGGATTTCGGCATCTCAGTCTTGCAGAAACTTAATATTCCAATCAGCACCCAAGCAAGGCGTTGGAAGCCAAGGAGTGCATGAGTGCCCCCATAGCTGGGGGAATATTACTCACCAGGTCATGGTCGGCTGCGTAAAATACAACCCTCATATATCATTATAACTGCCAGCCAACGACAGTTATAATTGAGACGGCAATAACTAGGAGAGAGTTCTTTAATTTAACATCCAATTATTACAAGTTATCACTTCTTAATAAATGTAATATAACAGACAATCAATGTTGCATGCAACGGCCCAGACTGCAATGGGATGGGAAATTTATATCCTGGGGAAAAAAATATACTCTGTGTAGTGTGTGTGCGTTTGCATGCATGTGTGTGTGTGCATGTATGTGTGTGTGTGCGTGTGTGTGTGTTTCAGCCTTTCTAAAGTCTGCAGAGGCTGTGATAAGTGTTGCAAGACTCCAGCTATAAATAGCTGAGCTTCTCTCAATAGCTGACATTGCTGCATTTGCATATGTACAATAGCTCCAGGCCAAGGGAGAGGAAAGAGTAAGAAGGGAAAAAAAGATTTCTTCTCCCTGGTGCAGGCTCTGAGAAACAGCAAGAGGAAGGAAGTAAGGCCCCCTGGCCCAGCTGGCACCAAGGCTCAGGGATGCAGCTGGGAATATCACCCCAAACCTAACTTGGCAGGGCAATTTCTTTTTAAGTAAAATTTTTTTTTGATGTAGGATATATATACACAGAAAAGTGAACACATCATGAGTATGCAACTTGATGACTTTCTACTAGGTGTACACACCCAAGGATTCAGCACCCAGATTGATAAATAGAAATTACCAGCACCCCAAAAACAGCTCTCAAGCCCCAGCACCACTAGTTCTTACACCACCAAGATAACTACTCTTTCCTGCTTTCCACCTTCATAGACTGCTTTCTCTTGTTTTTGAACTTTATGTAAATGGACTTACACAGTATGTTTTCTTTTATGTGTGGCTTCTTTGGTTCAGTATTATTTTGTGAAGTTCATCCATGTCGCTGCATGTCATGTGTTGCAGCAGTTTGTTCATTTTTACTTCTAGATAATATTCCACTGTGGGAATATTTCACAGTTTACACATCCATTCTATCACTGGTGGACATTTGGGTAATCATCAGTTTGGGGACTCTTACACATAGTGCTGTGATGAATATTCTTGGGTGTGACTTTGGTGAACATATGTAGATGTTTCCTAGAAGTGGAATCCTTAGGCTATAGGGTAGGTGTATGTTCAGCTTTAGTAGATGCTGAAAAATAGATCTCCAAAGTGGTTGTACCATTTCACATTCTACCAACTATGAGAGTTCCAGTTGCTCCGTATCTTCATCAATGCTTGATATTATGTTTTATTGTGTTAGCCACCCTGATGGGTTCATAGTGGGATCTCAGTGTGTTTTAATTTGCACTTTTCTGGCGACTAATGAATGAGGTTACCCACCTTTTCACGTGTTTGTCCTCTTTTGTAAAGTTCCTGATCAAGTGTTTTTGCCTGTTTTTCTCTTGAGTTGTCTTTTTTTTTTTTACTCTGGGTACGAATCTTTGCCACTTGCATGTATTGCAAATAGTTTTCTCCCACTCTGTGGCTTGCCTTTTTACTCTGTTGCTGTTAATAAAGAGACACTTTTAATTTTTAATATTAATACAATTTTCAAATCTTTAACAGTTCTTATTCTGTGCAATACAGAATTTTGATCATTTTTTAAGGAAATCAGTTCAAAATGAGTTTTAGCTAGACTTCCAGAAGAAGAAATTGGTTGGGTATTTTGTTTTTGTTCTTATTTTTGTTTTTGATCCACCTACTTACCCCTCAGCTCCATGCACATGGATTCAGTGGGTGGAGAGTGGGATATTATTCACTCACTGCTCACCCATCATACATTTATTCGTTTATTGAGACTTACGTACTAGACACTATGCTAAGTACTAGAGTCACAGAGATGAATGTGACAGACGCTGTTCATGGCCTCAAGAAATATAAAACTCCTATGAAAAAATAAGAGAAAATTCTTCATGACCTTGAGTTTGGGAAAGATTTCTTAAGTAAGACACACACAAAAAAACCCAAAAATGCATGAGTTATACAATTTTAAAAATCAATATATTGAACTTGATCAAATTTAAATAATTTTGCTTTATGAAAGACACTGTTAAGAAGGGCTGATTTAAAAAAAATATTGTGATAATAAAGTATAATGATGTCCCTGGAAGTTTAGAGAATGATACCACGATTCCAGCCAATTTTATAGTTATTCCTCCATTTATTCATCCACTCAATTAGTATGTTATTGCTCCATTTATTCACTTATTCAGTAAGTATTTATTGAGCACATACTATATGGCAGAGATTGTGCTAGGCCCTGGAGAATCGCTGTGTCTTCAAGGAGCTCACACTCAGAGGAGAATGGACAAGCAGACATGTTACAGGACATGATGTGTCAAGGGCTGCTGTGGAAATAGATGCAGAGGTTGTAGGAACAATCAGGAGGACACCAGGAGGGCTTCCGTGAGGAGGTGATGTTTGAACTTGGCCTTGAAAGATGAGTAGCAGAGAGTGTAGCCAAAGGTGTGCAGACAGGAAACAGGTAGCCTGACTGTCATTTTAAGATCCAGTAGAGCATCAAATGAAAGGGCAAGATGTGTCTGGAGAATCGGTGGCTACATCCATGTCTGGTGGCATCTGAGTGCCCTGAGGTAGATTTGCATCTCACTATGCAGGTGCTGGGGGATGTCAGGAAGATGACAACATCCTCTTGTCAGGTGAAGAGCTGTCACACTGCAAATAAGAGCAGGTGGTATTCAGAGCAGGAATTTGGAGTCTGGTGGCCAGGTTTGGATTATGACTATATGACCACAGCTACTCTAGACCTTAGTTTCCTCATCTGTAAAATGGAAATGGTAATGATCACGAACACTCACTGATGACCTGCTCTGTAACCAACACTGCTCTAAGAGTCATTACTTATTTAGTCTCCTCAATCTCCCCATAAGGTGGATTTTAAATCACTCTCCCTATTTAACAGATGAGAAAACAGAGGTCACCCAGCTGGTACAGGTCAGAGCCAAGATGCAAGCCCAGGCCATCTTGCTCCAGGGTCTGGCTCTCTAACCATTGCTTGATGCTGTTTGATAGTGGGGCCAGCATCCTAGGGCTGCCATGAGGACTGATGGAGGCAATGCACATAACATCTGACTCAAGCTAAATGCTGGGGTCAGAACTCAGATTCTCTAAGTGCCAGCTGCCATTAATAAGAAGCCCAGACCATCTAGAGGCTGTGAAAGTCTCTTACCAAGGGCATTGGTCTCCAACAGGACATTTTGGTCTCCTCCAACTTACACATCCCTGCCTCCAAATATCTAACTAGAGCCCCATCCCTCAGCTCCCAGGGAGGACATGACGGGAGATTTCAGATGAGGAAGTGGAGGTTTTAAAGCCATGTGCCCACACTCACAGGGGCATCAGAGGTGAGCTGGGGTTTGAAGCCCTGTTCATGTGCATCTCAGTGCTGTGAACTCACTCATGCCCCATGGTCATGGAGCCCCTGCAGGGCCTGGCATCAGAGCAGGGTGGCCCCTCAGGATGTTCATGCTCAAGCCCAGTGTAGATCGATGCAGATAGTAGCAAGAGTCTGCTAAGCAAAGATAACTCATGAAAATCTTTTAAAACAGAGAGTATTAGTCAGCTCCAGCTGCAGTAACAAAATACCACAGACTGGGTGGCTTAAACAACAGAAATTTATATTCTCACACTTCCAGAGGCCAGAAGTCCAAGATACAAGTGCCAGCAAATTCTGTTTCTGGTGAGTGCTCTCTTCTCTGCTTGCAGACAGCCACCTTCTTGCTGGGTCCTCACATGGCGTTTCTTCTCCCTGTGCTCTGAGAGAGATCTCTGATGTCCCTTCTTCTTCTTATAAGAACACCAGTCCTATTGGGTTAGAGCCCTGCCTTTATGACCTCATTTAATCATAATCATCTCCCTAAAGTCCCTATATCCAAACAGTCACATTGCCAATTGGGGCTTCAACATATGAGCCTGGGGAGGCCACAATTCAGTCTATAACATGAGAGAATGAAAGAAAAATGAAAGTAGGGAGGGAGGAAAGAGAGACTAAAATAACAAGCGAAGAAAACAAGAGAGATGAAGAGGAGAGTAGAAAGAGAGGGTGATAAAAGGAAGGTGAGATGGGATTATGACCTGCATAATGCCTTGAACATGCCATCATTTGCTGGGAATGCTTGCAGCCACCAGAAATTGTTCATCTGGGACCTCTGGAACAACTGGGAGTTTTCTGCTGGCAAAAGATGAAGTTTGAAAACAATAAAGTTTATATTTGAGAGTCATAAATAATAACGCTTTGATATAATGAATTTACAAAGAACAAAAATCTGGTTACCATGGTTGGAATGCCATTCAGAAGTCAACTAACCAAATATCTTCGTTTTGCATTCAGGAAAACGGAAGCCCAGAGTGGGGAAGGCACCTGCCCCAGGTTACACAGCTCGTGCAAATCCAAGTCTTTTGACTGCACCTGCGGTGTTTCTTTCAGGAGGTCAGAGGCTGCGGAGAGAGGCAGTTATTGGCTGGGCAACCAGCATCAGAAAACAAAGAAGAATTGAAGTGTGTGAGACAGAACTAGGCGCTAAAACAAGAGCTATCAATAGAGCCGAGGGCTCCCAGGATACAGAATAGGCGGACAGCTGTGCAGGTTGCACACTGACGAAGAACCCCTGATTGAGTAAAAGACCAGTGGCTGAAACCCAGTTCCCATTCTGTAACAGTCATGCACCCTGGCAGAGAGCTGCATTTACCCAGAGGAATAAACAGGCTTCTAATTTTTAGAAAGGCAACACATTGGCCCGCAGAGGTTCTTTGAGAAGATTAAGATTTATGGGGCACCTACTGTGTGCCAGAACTTTGCAGGGATCGTACTCACATTACTTTGTTTAACCCCTCATGACTAACCCTGCAATAGAGATTGGTATTTTCATCATACAGAAGGGGAAACTGAGGTGTAGAGTACTGAAAAGACTTGTCACAAAGGTGTTGGCACATGGCTTGCTACTCAGCAATGGTAATCGTGTTCGTCAGAGCCTCACTGGGGACTGCCTCTCGCCTGAGAGCTCTGCATGCAATATTGCACCTAATATTCATGGTATTATCCCCGTGTTGGAGAAGGGAAACAGATGCTCAGAGGGGAAATAAATTTCTGAGGCCACCTAGATGTGCCCAGTTCTCCCTTTGCCCATGTGATTTCTAGGGGCTGGGACTTTTCTGTGAGGCTGGACCTCAGGCAGGTGTGGGGCTCCCCAGGCTTGGGAAGCAATTACCATCGCATCTCTTCCACCCTCGTTCTCAGTCTCTTCCTGGCGCTCCCCCGCCCCCACCCCAGGCCAACCCACAAGAGGTGGGAGGGACATCCCACTCCTCAGACAGAAGGTTTCACGTGGCTCCCAAACATGGGGTGTCAGTTCCCGCAGCTCAGGCGCAGCAGCCAAACCCACCCTCCTTCTGGGGGAGGCGAGATGTGGAGAGGCTGGGGGCCCGAGCGCTCGGGCTCAGCAGCCGGACGGGCAGACTGAGGGGCTCCTTGCCAAGGGAGGTGTGATCTCCCCCGGCTCAGCGTCCTGGAGTGCGAACTTCAAACGCCCGATTCTCAACATTTGGCCATATTTTTTTTCTTACCCCAAAGCAAATCCGGCTCCAATGTGGGTTCCCAGTGCCTGGCTGGGTTGCAGTTGGCTGCTTTGTTTAGTGAGAGTAGCTGCTCACACAAGGGGGATTTGAAAGGGAAAACCTGGGTGAGGAAGAGGGGAGCAGGAAAGGGCAACTTTCCCTAAGGTTGACCTTGGGGAGGGTCATTGACGTGTGGTGGGTGGGTGGATGAACAGAAAGATGGAGACATGAGCAGACAGGCACTGAGCAGGCAGTCTGGAGAGGATCAGCCCAGGTCCCACACATTACCTCTCTCTCCCCTGGGCCCCTGGGCACCTTGCAGCCTTTATTATCTCACTCACCTCCCTGGACGGTTAAGGGCCGTGTCCCTGTCTGCCTCTCAAGGGTCTGAGACTTGCCAAGCTCTATATGGCTGGAGCTGAATACAGGGTCTCACATGGCCCATGCCAGAGTTGAGGGAGAAAGGAAGGAAGGAAGGAGGTGGGAGAAAAGGAAGGAGGGGAAGGTGAATCAAGGGAAGTTTGATATATATATAAATAACATGACATCCTACACACAGTAAAGCACAATCTACTGCTACATCCATGTGCGAATCTCACAGGCATATGCATAAGCAAAAGAAGCCGGACACAAAAGGAGAGAAACCGGACAATCCCATTTGCATGAGTTTCCAAACAGGTGCAACCAAGCTATGCTAGGGGTCAGAAGAATGGTTATCTCTGAGGAAATATGAATTTGGGGGATAAGAGGTTGTCTTTTGGGATACTGGAAATGTTCTAAATCTTGTTCTGTCTGACAGTTTCATGGGTGTCTATGTATGTGAAGGCCCAACAAGTTGTACAATGAAGATTGGTGTAGCTTGGCCATATACTTTTCTAATATGTAAGTTTTGTAGCTCATTTGTTTAAATAAATACTGCAACACAAAACGGATGGATGATAAATAGGTAGGTTGATGGACGGGTAGGTGGATGGATGGATAGATAGGTGGGTGGATGGATGGATGAATGGACGGATAGGTAGGTGAATTGTTGGATGGATGGATGGATGGATGGATGGATGGATGGATGGATGGATGGAAGGATTGTTGGATGGATGGATGGATGGATGGATGGATGGATGGATGGATGGGGGAGAGATGGTTGGATGGATGGATGGATGGATAGGTGGATGGATGGATGAATTGATGGATGGATTGTTGGATGGATGGATGGATGGATGGATGGATGGATGGATGGATTGTTGGATGGATGGATGGATGGATGGATGGATGGATGGATGGATGGATAGGTGGATGGATGGATGGATGGATGGATGGATGGATGGATGAATGTGTGTGGATGGGTGGATGGATGGGGGATAGATGGTTGGATGGATGGGTAGACAAAAGGCAGACACTCATTCAGTGGATATTTTTGGAGACTTGGTTCATGTTGGGCCCTTTGCTTGTCTTGGGACATGGAGACAAATGATTTCTAGCCTCTGCCTCCAAGGAACTCAGAGTCACTTGGGAGACCGGTGCATGCAGACATTATAACAAAACAGGATGAAAAGAAAGGAGGAGAATGAAAACATTTGCCAAGACCACCAGATAGGTAGAATGGGATAAAAGCAGAGCCCTAGATGGAAGGCAGGTAGTACAAGAGAAAGATTGTGAAAAATAAAGATAGATGAAAGGTGACTGAGTGGATGGATGGATGGAAGATGGGTCAATGAAGAATTTCTTTTACTCCTCAAAGGTAAAAATTGCCTTGCACATTGTAAATGTTTAATTACATGTTGTGATATTATGAAATATATTTGGTTGTCCCTGGCATAAGGCTCCTGTAACCCCTGGAAGCTCTGGAGTTATGAGTGTCTTTTGTATGCTAATGAGATGACTCGTGGCTGGCTACCTCTAAATACCTTCAAGGTGAGGCCAGGAAAGACCTAGACATAATTAGAGGGTTGAGACTTTCAGCCTCACCCCCACCAACCTCCTGGAAGGAAAATGGGGGTGAAGATTGAGTTGGCCACAAATGGCCAATGATTTAATCAATTAAAAACTATGTAATGAAGCCTCCATAAAAATCCCAAAGGACTGGGTTCTGGGAGCTTCCAGATAGCTGAACACATGCAGGGTCCTTGTGGGTGGTACACCCAGGCGAGGGCATGGAAGCTCTGTGCCCCTTTCCACGTGCCTTGCCCTATGCATCACCTCATCAGACTGTTCATCTGTGTCATTTGTAATATGCTTTATAATAAACTGGTAAACATAAATCACATGTTCCCCCCAAGTTTTGTGAGCCTGCTCTAGCAAATTAATTGAACCCGGAAAGGGATTCATGGGAACCCAAGTTTATAGACAGCAGGTCAGAAGCTCCAGAGGCCTGAACCTGTGACTAGCATCTGACGTGGCGAATGGAGCCCTCACCCTCTGGGATCTGACACTATCTCCAGGTAGACAGTGTCAGAATTCGGTTGAATTAGAGGATACCTAGCTGGTGTCCATCAGAGAATGTGCTAGAGAAATAATTGGTTCCAGGAGGGCAGAAATCTCTGAACATTCTGGTGACCAGGGGTGCTGTGCTGTATTAGTGATGAGACAGAATAGGAAAAAAGTGTTAGGTTTTTTTCCTTTCTATCCTTACACATGTTGAATTTAAGATAAAATAAAATAATTCGTATATATTATAAAAGTATGCATACAATATGAACTCACTAATGTTTAAGTACATTAAAAAAAGGAATTAGAAAAACTTGTGTCAAAGCATTCTGGTGGCTTTCCCTAAGTGGCAGGAGATTTTTGTTTTCTACCTTTTTACATATTTCATGTTAACTGACCACTCCACAGTTACAATATAGGACTTTCATGATTAGGCAAAGAAAGGCCATTCCTGCTTTCCCAACTTCAAGAAAAAAAAAGGGGGGGAATTTGCTCTGAAAAATAATGATGATGTCAGTGATGTAACCATGGCAATCAATTCCAAACTGTTTCATCTTGAAGCTGCCCCTTTTTAGTTCTCAGAGACTCCTGGGTACCTCAAAGCAAAGTTGTACTGAGAGTCTCGCATGGGGCAGATCCATTGGTGTTTTTAGACAGTCCCATCATTCCTCCAACAACATGTTTTTTGAGCACCTACTATGACCCAGGTAGGCCAATGGGCTGCAAGCGAAGCCCATTGCTAGGAGTGAGCGTTTTGTTAGACGCCAAGCCTGAGTTAGCTGGAGTGTCACCTCTACCCACTCAAGCAAGGGATGAGAGGAGTGGCTCACATCTATAGAATCCTTACTTCATGCCAAGGACTTGGCATGCATCAAGACTAATCTTGATCCAGCCCTAAGAGATTTGCACATCTATATTTCACAGATGAGGAAACTGAGGCTCAGAGAGGCCAGGTAACTTCCCTAAGGACACACAGCAAGGATGTGCCAGAGATAGAGCCTGTGGTTCCAAGCACAGAGCTATTCTCTCTCTCTGACCTACTTCAACTCAGGAGTCATGACAATTGCAGCCAGTCATTGGGAGAGGAGAAACAAGAAACAATAGACAGATAATATACTGTGAGAGGCAAATCAAGCAAGACAAAAGGCAGGAAGTGACAAATATGTGCCAGTTTTTAGCCAAAAGGAGTTCAGGGACACTCTCCATGAAGTGGGGCATTTAAGCCAAGACCTGAATGAAGGAGCAAACCATGTACAGAACCAAGAAGAGTGTCCCAGGCTGCAGGCGCAGCAGGTGCAAAGGCCCTGAGGCAGGACAGAGGTGCTTGGCACAAACAAGGAATAGCAGGAGGCCAGTGGAGCTGGAGTAGGGTGGGCACGAGGGGAGAGGGAAGGTGCTAGGAGGTGAAGACAATGAGGTCTCCAGAGCACGTAGGGCCCTGGAGGACTGAGAAACGCCTTGGGTGTTCACCATCCAAGGGTTTTGTGCAAGATCCACATTATAACAAGACCCAGCAGGCTGATGAGGGGGAAGCAAACCACAGTCAGGCAAGGACGGAAGTGGCTGCTGCAAGAGTCCAAGCGAGAGATGAGTGTGGCTTAGCAGGAGCGACCCCTCCCCACTAACAAAACAAAACAGTGATTTAACTCAGTGGAACATGTTTATTCTGTGATGAACTCAGACAAACTGGCTTTGGAGGGACCATCTCCCTCATGAAACTCACAGGCCCAGGACAGGTCAGGAGCAGGTTGGCTGACAGGCTGTGGGATCTGGAACACTCCATAGCAGGAGGAGAGCTTTGCAGGGCTGCTCAGCTGGAAGTGAAGACGTGGGGGCTAGCTTCCTTGGTTGCCACCCCACTATGGGCCAGCTCCCTCAGTCAACTGTCAAAAGCTCCCAACAACACCCGCTTACAACAGTCTGTGAGATTTGGTTATACCATGAGCAGAGACTGAATCTCTCTTGACCACCCAGTTACAGATGAGGAAACTGAGGCTCAGAGAGGCCAGATAACCTGCCTAAGGCCTCACGGGAGGTTCTCCTCTATCACATAGCTGGTGAGTGGCAGGGCCTGGGTTTGAATTGTGACAGCCTGCTCCCGGGCTCACATTGCAACCACCATCATATGGCCCTGACATCCCAGTTGATGAACAAGTATTTTATGAAATGACAAGTCTATTAATCACTGTCTTGGGGCTCCATCCTGTGGCCCCCGAGGGCAGAGAGGCACAACATATAGAACATAGAAGGGGCCAGTGTAAGGCATACTTTCCAGGGCCAGAACTCTTCAAAGCTGAAATTGGCTATGGGCATGTGGTAGAGAGCTCCCCATCCCTGGAGGCAAACAAGCAGAAAGTAGTCAATCACTGTATACACATGGGCTTCAAATGTTCGGTAGGGATATACTAGATGATCTGTATTACTTCTCCCAACCTTAACACCCTATACATGGTCAGTCATTCATCTATAGATTTATTCATGCAATTATTGAGCCTTTACTGGGCACCAGGCACCGGGTTAAACACAAAACAAAAAAAATATCAACGTGGTCCCAGTCCTCATGAAGTTTACAGGGAAAGTGACAGCACAAGCATTTTGGTAACATTTGCTCTCATATCAAAAGTGTTGCCTATAGTCCAGAGATAGTTACATCATGTAACCTCATTAAACTTCTCCCTAGTAGAGGTTAGCATGCTCCCTTTTGGAGGAGGAACTGAGGCATGAAGAAGTGCAGGGAGCTGCCCAAATCGTGTGTTAAAGACAGAGACAGGACACAAACCTTGATCTATATAAAAATCTCTGTAAGAACTTTGTCTCCTACCCAAGGAATAGGTCTACAATCCCTATAGAAAATTCAGGGCCCCCTGGAAGACACTAACCACCGCCCCCCGCCCCACCGCCCCCACCACATACACAGAGAAAAAAAACAACCTTCATGCCAATTTCCCTGGCCAAGGATGCTCTAGGAAACCCCCATCTTCCTTCTTAGGCAGCAGAAGAAGACGTTCGGCAAAAGCCAGATCACTTTCCTCTACGCTTAATGTTTTCTCGACTAAATTAAAGTCATACTTCATTTTAAATTAAGGGGATTTTTAAAAAATGAAATATCTACAACATTTAAATATCATTAGTAATTACATTTTATTTTATTTCGAGCTGGTTGGGAACGTTTTATTTCTAATTAGGTACATTTGTTTTTAATATCCAGTTTACGAAACAGAAGGACCTCGCTGAACTGAATGGGGAGTGGGAGGGAACTAGCTAGGTCTAGCACGTGATTGGAGGAAGTGAGCTCTGCAGAGATCAGAAAGATCCCCAGACCACAGGTGCTGCTCCTTCAACACTCACATCTCTGGGACCAGCAGCTCTTCTGCCTTTGTTGTTAGTCATTGCAGAAGCAATGGGGAGCATGCAAAATTGGGCACTGGTGGAAACGTGTAATAATAATTACAGAAAACTTATTTTAACCAGTGTTTACTATATATAAAGCATTTGTACTAAGCATTTTACTACTTGAAGCACCACTGCTAATGATGATAAAAATCAGCTAACATTTATTGAGTAGTTGCCATATGCCCAACACTTCATATACAGGATTACTTTAATCCTCACAAGGAACTTTCTTAGGTAGATCCAATCCGTCATTCTCAATCTATAATCCGTAAAGCTCTGAAAACTTCAAGTATTTTTGGAATGCATTTGGCGGCAAATCCTGACCTCACCTGACAAGAGGCACTCTGAGGTCTTCATGAACCCTTGGACTGGGAGCCAGCACAATCTGTTGCAGAAAGGCTGGCACTGCCCCAGCTGCTGGTGGTGAGACTTCTCTGAAATATGAACAAGGCCTGGCCCTAAAAGATCTGGATGAGGAATGGTAGGCCTGTGTACTATTTTACCAACTTTACAGGTGAGGAAATAGTTGGATATTGAAATAACTTACCTCAGGGTCACACAGCTCTGGAGTGTGGATTTGAACTTATGTCTTCCTGTTACACTGTTCAGAAAACAGAGGATCAGCCCTGGTGGCCCCCACCTGTGCCCATGTCTTCCCCCCTTGGTCCTGGGACAAGGCTTGGTGTCCCAAGTGGGACTAGAACCCAGGACTCTGCCTTGTTGCCCCATCCACCCCAGTTCAGCTGACTGTGCAGAGTATGTGTTGCCTGGCTCTGTGACTGACATGACAACATTCACCCTAAAGAAATGGGCTTGGGGTTGGCTGATTACTGAGCTAGCAGGGACCTCAGATGTTGTGGGAAATCTGCAGTTAATACTTTGGGGGCATTTTCATATAAAATGTAGGTGTCTGAACTTCACACCTACCTATGGAATAAGAATCTTCAAGGGTGTGACCCAGAAACCTGCATTTTCAATATTCTCTCCCCATCATGATCTGATGGTGAGCAGTTCAGAATCATCTCATTCCCCCTCCACCAGCACCTGTTGTATGAATCTTCTCTCCGGCTTCCCTGACAAAAAGATGCTTGATCTGTTTTGTTTGCATACCTCCAGTAATGGGGAGCTCACTCACTTTCATAGCTATTAAGTCCAAACCTTAAGCTTATGAAACATCCCAATGCTGACCCCTGGAGACATGCAGAACAAACAGCTGCTTCTGCACAGGTTACCTTGACTGGGGGCAGATTACACATGGTGTGTGTGTGGACAGTGGCCAAAGAGGGGGCTGGGACTATATTCCAATGTTGTCAGAAGTCATCATTCAGATGAAGGAACAGTAATGAAGTTTCAAACAAAATATGCATTGCCATATTTGCATTTGAGAAGAATCAAGCTGGGGTCACTACCTGTGGCCAGTAGATTAGATGGTGTCAGGCAAAGTTGACCAACCAGGTGATCCAAAGACCCCAGCTGTGCCCATAACTTCTTTATGATCTCATGCAAGGTCATAAACTCCACCCAAGTTCTTTGAGCCTCAGTTTTGTCTTCTGTAAAATGTAAGAAGCAATAACTACCTCTTAGGGATGTATAGAGAGAATTCCCGCAGGAGAGAGATGGCATATTTCAAATTGAGACTATTCGATCCAGGGGCTGGTCATCAAGATGGAGCAGGGTATAGAGAAGCCATTAGGGATGATACAGAACACCACCAAAGGGTTAGTAACGGTGGGGAACTGTTTGCACCCCGAAGCCTGAAAGAGTGAAGTAGGGTGGGATTACCTGGAAAGAGAGAGAGAGACAGAAGGAGAATGAGATTGAGGGAAGGGCTGCCTGGCAGGGGAAGCTGACGCCTTCAGGCAAGTGAAGAAGCCAGCCCGCAGCAACTCTGCAGGGAAGAATATAGGGAAATAAACGCCTTCATCTCTCTCTTGTCCCACCCGCAGAGCTCCTTCTGGGATTCTCTATTGGCTGAACTCAGCCAGAAGCTGCCAAGGGAGACCCCCACAACTGGATGCAGCCCACTGAAGTCAGCTTCCTGGGGTGCGTAGCTGAAGGTAGCAGGGAGCAAAAAGAATCTGAAGGGGAAGTGAACAATGTAGAGCGTATCTGTGCTGAAGACGTAAGGAGAGAGTGGAGGTCAGAAGCTGGCATGGTCCCTGGTGCATGTATCAGCCGCTAAAGGTAAGTCCCCTCCCACTGCCACAGCCCTGCTGTCCTTGGCATTAACTGACACCCCAAACAGAATACCCAGCTCAAGGACCTTGGGTCGGACCCCTCAGAGATTGTGGGACCCACCAAGTGGCCAGTCCTGGGCACTGCACAGACACGGGGCATGGGTTTGCCAGGAAGCCAGGCAGGCTTGAGGCCAGGGGCCGCTGGGGCTGTTTGTGCAACTCTGCCTGCTTGTAGCTGTGAGCTGCGTAGCCACGAGCTGTCGAAATCAAGAGGCTGACATTTAACATGCAGCAGCTTCCTGTGATGGATAAATATTAAACACAGCACGACCGACAGGACTAAGTAAATATCTATTAGTCTCCGAGATGGAGTCTGCAGGCACAAGGAGAGGATGTCCTAATTGTTCACCCTCCTTGTAATGTTAAATAAGCATCTCGCCAGACTTCAACCAGGAGGAGATGCCTTGCTTGGTTCTCTCAATTTCTCTCTCTCTGTGTCTCTCTTTCCCCCCCATCCCCGGTCTCTCTCTCTCCATCTTTTTTGATTTATCTCAATCTCTTTTTAACTTTATTATATTAACTCGAAGAGTCTTAAATTTTTTGAGACCAGGCCAGAAAAAAAAAAAAAAAAACATGAAAAAGTAAGCATTTTCATGACCTTCCTCCAAAGACTGGAATAGAAAGCAAAACTGCTGGAGACCCTAGTAATGGTACAATTCAACCTATTTCTTTATAAATGTTAAGAAAAAAAATAAATGGTGAAGGACAAGGAGGAAGATTGTGGCAAAAATCCCTAACCCATGAGGTCAAGTCTAGTGCTGGCTATCTTTCGTCTCCATTGGAAAGTCTAATTTTCTACCCTGTGTATGTGTGCATGTGTGTGTATACATATATACACATTATATTATCTATAATGTACTATCTACTATATATGTCTACCCTGAATATTAATATGTATATGATAGTATCTATTACACACACACACACACGCACACAATACATACATACACACACTTTGGCAACATGCTGCAGTGCCATGTTGCTGAGCACCATGCATTAAATCAGCCAATGCATGTTAACTATGCACCTGCTATAAGAGATACACTGTGCCAGGCCTTGAGTCAGAGGCGCAAACAAGAGAGAGTAGGTCATTGACTGTATTTGTTATTTACTGTTATGTAACACGTCACCACAAACTTTGTGGCCGAAAACTACAAACACTTATTATCTCATGTTTTCTGTGGGTCAGGAATCCAGGCTTTGCAAGATCCTCCGCTCAGGATCTCTTATGAAACTGCAGTCACAGTGTTGTCTGGGTCTGCAGTCTCATCTGCAAGGTTGACTGGGGAAGGAGCCACTTCCCAATTCATGTGTTTGTTGGCAGAATTCCGTTCCATTAACACTGAGTAATGAAGCCTTCTGTTTTTCATTGGCTATTGGCTAGAGGCTGTCTCCAGTTCCTTACCCTGGGGGTCTCTCCATAGGTTGGCTTACAACATGGCCACTGGCACCATCTAAGCTAGCAAGGGAGATAATGTATTCGCATATTAGCAAGATAGGCATTACAGTTTTATACAATATAATCATAGAGGTGGCATCCTATCCCCTTTGTAGCATTGGATAGAGGCAAGACACTCAAGGGAAGTGTCACAAAAGAGTGTGAGTACTGGGAAGTGGAGATCATGGGGCCCACCTTATAGTTTATTCTCCACACTGGCAATGGAGCTTATGTTCCAGTAGAGAAGGCAGACAACACATACATAGATCAAGAAAATCATCACTAATAGTGAAAAATGTCAGGAAGATCACCAGGGATCTTTGATCAAAGATAGTGAAGGGCTAGTTCAAGAACAATGTGGAGACAGAAGGAGCTACTTTACATAGGGCCCCAGAAATAGCCTCTCATGAAGAGATCAGTTTAGTGGAGACTTGATGAATGAGAAGAGCCCAATCTTGCTGTGGTGAAAGGTTACTCAGGCAGAGGGAATGGCAAGAACAAAAGTCTGAAGGCAGAAAGGAGGCCAGTGTCGTTGAAGTACAGTGGGCATAGTAGACTGTGGTTTGCAATAAGGTTGAGAGGTAGGCAGAACTCAAGCCATGCAGGGACTTATAGGCCAAGTGAGGGGAGGCATTAAAATTTGATTCTTAGGGTGACAGGCAGTGTATTAGTGCCCTAGGGCTGCTGTAACCAATTGTGACAAACTGTGAGGCTTTCAAAAATAAGAATTCACTTTCTTACAGTTCTGAAAGCCAGAAGTCAAAAACAGGTGTCGGCAAGGCCATGCTCCCTCTGAAGGCTCTAAGAGTTAACCTTTTCAGCGGGGCTTGGTGGCGTGTGCCTGTAGTCCCAGCTACTTGGGAGGCTGAGGCAGGAGAATCGCTTGAACCCGGGAGCTGGAGGTTGCGGTGAGCCGAGATCGCACCACTGCACTCCAGCCTCGTGACAGAGCGAGACTCCATCTCAAAAAGAAAAAAGAAAAAAGGAGTTAATCTTTTCCAGGCCTCTCTCCTGGCTCCCAGGGTTGCTAACACTCCTCAGTGTTCCTTACCTCTCAGGCATGTTGTTCCAGTCCCCGTTTCTGTCACCGCATAGCATTCTCTTCCTCTGTGTCCATTTAGAGTTTCCTTGTCCTCTCTTTATAAGGACACTGGTCTTGTTGGATTAAGGGTCTGCCCTACTCCAGTAGTACTCCCATCATAATGTACAGCTTAATGACATCTGCAAAGACCCTATTTCCAAATAAGATCACAGTCACGGGCTCCAGAGATTAGGACTTTAATATATTCTTTGGGGTGGGGAGACACCATTCAATTCACAACTGGAAGTCATTGGAAGGTTTGAAAAAGAGGAATGGCACTTTTTAAAGAGCCCTTAGGTTACTGTCTACAAAATAAATTTGGGGGCAAGCATCATAACCTGAATTACAGGTAGATGACCATGCAGATTCATGATGAAGATGGCTGAGTCAAGGGTGAGAACAGTGGCAAGGAAGGGAGGTCTCAGTAGGAGGTAGATGCACTGGGGTTGGGAAAGGATGGCTGTGCCCTCTTTGTTGTGATCTGTCATCTCAGTATTCTGGGAAGATGGCATCTGGTTGGCGAATAGGAATAGCAAGAGGAGGTATAGGGGGCACATACTGGAGAAGACCATGGTGGGGGCAGGAGGTGGGTGGCCATTGAGGTCTGTGTACAAATATTCCATCTCTCCTCCCTCCATTTGGAACAGAAGTGGAGAGTATGAACATAAGCAAGAGGAAGTGATGAGTATCCCTTCCAGGAGAACTCTAAGAGGCAGTGAGTGATTTGCTGGGCTCCCAAGCCCTCTGCTCTGATGACAGCAAAGCCCCAAATCATGGTGCCTCCATCAGTCGGGACCCCTCAGCAGAGCCAGCTTCACAGGTGAGCAACCTGTGCAGTCACACAGGGTCCCACAGTTAAAGGGACCCTGCACTTGGTTTATTGCTCTGTTGTCACCATCTTCAAATTCTTAGCAATATTTGAACAAGGGGTCCTGCATTTGCATTGTGCACTGAGCTCTGCAAATTACAGAGCTGGTCCTACCTCTGACTGAAGCCAGCGCTTTGCAACACCTCAGCTGTCTCTTGGGGAGCAAGTAGCATAAGTGAGAAATAAAAATTGTCTGAAGTCACTAAAATTCAGGAATTACTTTGTTACTGCAGAATAGCTTAGCCTATTCTAACTGCCCATGGAAGCAACGGCAAGGCCAAAGGCTTCTAGAGGGGAAAGAAATAAGCCTAGAAGAAAGAGCACTAAGATGGGCTCAAATCTCTTATGTTACGTTTTGAGCTCTGGATGAGATTTGCTTGAAAGGTATTTTTGTTCTTATTCTAAGGGCAACTACATTTCTAACTAGATCTATGGTATATTGGTATATGTCTTGGATAATACCTCTCAGACTTAGGCAGACCTGAGTTGCACTACTGGCTGTGTGACCTTGAGCAGATGACTCAACTCTCCAAGGCTCAAATTCTCACCTGTAACATGGGAGTGATCATGACAGGTTCTCCTTCATAGGGCTGTTATGATAATCCAAGTAAGTGCTCAAATCCTGGTAGCTGTTATCTTTGTTGTTGACTAATGAAGAGTGTGAGGCTTCCCCAAAGCCAGCTTCTCCATCTGATCCCTCTGAGTCTCACCCATTTAGCTGGAGTGGATGAATCAGAACTTTCCCCATGGGAGCATTTATAAAAAGGGGACACCCAGCGCAGAAGATGTTTTCCAGGGAGATCTCGGGGAGCCCAACAAGCCAAGAAGAGCAGAGCAAAGCATTCCAAGGAAGGACTCTAAGTCTGCAACCGAGCACACACGAGGTAGGTGCTTTTACCCCTGCTGTGCATTCAAGGAAAGGAGATCCGGAGAGGTTATAGCATCAGTCCCTAGTCACAAAAATTAGTAGCAGACCTGGGATTCATGCCAAGACATGCTGATGCCCTAACCAGGTCTCTTAACCACACCACTGCATGGCTTTTTGCAAAACTGTGGTTGATAAATTTTCCCTCTTTGTTATTTTGTGTCCTTCATGCCGGTAACTAACACGGTAAATTCCCATGCAAGTTTATTTCAAGGTTAACACTTGCCTTTGTAGATGACTTCCCTTGCTTTCTCTCATCAGAAATCCCTAACCGTGCGGGGTAAGCCTGGATGGCAAGGAGCTTAGAACACAACTCAGTGGTCATGAGCCTGACGTCATTCATCACTTTGCATACCTTCAAGTTCTTCCAACCTCCTCTCTCCTTCAAAAATCTTACTTAGGGCTCTGCCTCTTCCAAGAAGCAGTAGCAAGTCCCCCAGCTGATGAGCAGAATAAAAATTTTTACAAATGTGCATACCAATGGAGTTATTTTAGAATATGCCCAGGCCTGCAGAGGATGACTGCAAAAGCCCCTACTATTGGTAGAGCAGTGAGAAAATTGGTTTCACTGTCATGCCTTGTGTATTAGTTATCTATTGACTTATGCTAATTGACTGATGCTACATTTTTTAAAAAAACCACAAAACCTCAGCAGCATACAGCAATAAGTTTGCATTGCTTGTGCATTTAGGGTGCTCAGCCAGGTGGTTCTGCTGATCTTGCTGGGGATTACTCATGCCCAGGGCTTGGCTGGCTGTTGGCTGATTGAGACTGGCCTCAGTGGGAATGATTCTGGCATCTCAGTTTGCTCCATGTATCTCTCATCCTCCAGGGTAGCCTACGCATGTACGTCTTGCAGTGATGGCAAGGAGCAGGAGAAAGAAAGCCCATCCAAACAAGCATATTGGAAGCCTATGTATCCCATAAGCTGACATCTTGTTGCCCAAAGCATGTCATGTGCGTGGTCCAGAGTCAGTGTTGAAGGGCTCTGCAAAATCACATGGTAAAGACTGTGGTTTCAGGGAGGAGTGAAGATTTGTGCGCATTGCTCCAATTGACAACCATGGCACTAGGCTCAGGCCACACTTCTTCCTAACAAGAGAGCAAGTCAAAGCGTGGTTAGTTAAAGTCCATACAAAAACTCACTTTAACAGGCCTCCTCTGGATTGAACAGCTGATATTAAGTCATAAGGTACCACATCAGAAAGATACTGGGTATCTTTGGTTCAGCAATTCCATCACCAGGGACTTTTTCATCCTAAGGAAATCACTGCACGGTGGACAAAGATATATGCATAAGGATGCTCCTTCTGGCCAAAGACCAAAAACATAACTGGCCATCAGTAAAAGCCAAGTGAGTAAACTATGGTCTATATATGCAATGATCAAAGAAATAAAGGAAAATATATAATTCTCTAGAAAGTATCAAGTAATATGGAAGGAAACTAGGCAGGGGAGGAGAATGGGTGTGGGGGCAACAAGGAGAGGCCAGAGTGAGAAGGTGAGGCTGTGACCTCAGAATGATGAGGTGTGCGGGGAGGAGATTCCAGGCAGTGGGACAGCATGTGCAAAGGGCCAGCGTGTGTGAGGGGTCCTGATGTCACCAACACTACCACTAGCCCTCCTCCAAGTCCTCTCCCATGGGTCACATGAGCTCATATGGTTGCAATCCAATTTCAAAAAGGTCTCCTAACTTACCAGGCTCAAGCTGTTACTGAGAGTCCACCTTGACTTCTCAGGGGTCACTCCATTTTCCAAAGACCAACCAATTAGGTACAAGAGCAGAAGGGCTGTGGCCAAACAGACTTGCTGGAATTGCTCTTTGAAAGGGTATGAGCCAAGATTTTTTTATTTTTTCTTTTTTTAGACAGAGTCTCACTCTGTTACCCAGGCTGGAATGCAGTGGCACGATCTTGGTTCACTGCAACCTCCGCCCTCCAGGTTCAAGTGATTCTTCTGTTTCAGCCCCCCAAGTAGCTGAGACTACAGGCACAAACCACCACGTCCAACTAATTTTTGTATTTTTAGTAGAGACGGGGTTTTGCCATGTTGGCCAGGCTGATCTCAAACTCCTGACCTCAGGTGATCCCTCTGCCTTGGCCTCCCAAAGTGTTGGGATTACAGGTATGAGCCACCCCACCTGGCCCAAGATTTCTAATAGGTGGGTGCTACAGGTTGAATGTGTCCCCCAAAGTTGATGTGCTGGAAACTTGATCCCCAATGCAACAGTGTTGGGAGGTGGGGCCTGATGGGAGGTGTTTAATGAGGGCTCCACTTTCATTAATGAATTAATGCCAATTATAAAAGGGCTGACTCGAGGCTGCAAGTTTAATCTCTTGCTCTCTCACTCTTTCTCGCCCTTCCACCTTCTACCATGGAATGACACAGCATGAAGGTCCTCACTAGATACAGCCCCTCAATCTTAGACATCCCATTCTCCAGAACTGTAAGAAATAAATCTCTGTTCCTCATAAATTACCCAGTCTCAGGCATTCTGTTATAGTAATACTTCATGGACAAAGACAATGTGTGAGCAGAGGGAAGGGAGTAACCAATGGGACCAGAGACAGCCTGGGATGGAGGAGAAGAGAGAGGTTTTGCAAATCAGTTGAGCTGGCTTTGCCTGGCCCCACCATTTACCCACTTTATGACCAAAGGCCTGTCACTTCACCTCTTGGAGCCTCAGTTTCCCCGTGAATATGAGAATCACACCCACTGCTAAGGTCATAAAGATTCAATGGCATGCACAGTACTTGGCACATTGGATATACTCAACTGATGGTAGCTAGATATTGTTGTTGCTGTTTCCTCTATCTCATTCTCTTTTCCTGACTTCATAGAACAAAACCACAATGCACTTCAACCAGGGCCCAAGCTTCTATTGAGCATGAAGCAGTCTTTGTTTTCCCTGAGCCCTCTTTTGAATTTTAGATTATAGGTTTGATTAAGGATTCAAGATATTAGAATATGAGAATGCAAGTAACATTCTGTTTTTCCTGCTTGTAGATATTGATTTTCTGCCCCCATCTTTCTATTCCATGGAGTTTGATGCCCAGGGACACATGTGGGCTGAAACAGACTGCCTCACCCCCACACACTGAGGCAGGCCCAAGCCTCTAATTATAGGGCAAGTTTAGGGTGGTCAGGCAGTCAGTACCTGGGTAAAGTCAGGCCTGAATTCATTCATTTATTTGCTAAGAAACATATGAATTCATTTATTTGCTAGTGAACCCAGCATTTACTGTGAGCAGGCAGTGTACTGGGAGTGGAGAAGCAGTAGACAATACCCAGCCCCAAAGAACTCACTATCGTAAATACCATGATGATAATAATGACAGCTATTTACTAAACACTTGCTACAGGCACTGTCCTTTTATTTTCTAATTTGATTATCCTAACAGTCAACATCCTGCCACCTGCCTACATCTCCCCAGGTACCTGACTGTGATGTAAGACAGGCTAGAGCCCTCAGGGGAAAAGAGGTGTCTTCCCAAAGAACAGACATGGCAAAGGGCTGGCATGGTGGTCACCTTCGTCTGCTGGGCCACACACTCAGAGAGGCATGAGTAGAATGAGACACCAAAGAGGGCCTTGCAGTGACTGCTCACCAAAGAGGGGGCAGTTCTCATCTCCACATTCCCACCCTGGACCACAGCATGCTTGGTCAGAGTCTCTGGGATTTGGACAGTAGTAGCCTTTGGTCACTTGGAGTGGCTCTGTGCTGCATGACACATATCACTTTTTACTCGGAGACAGTGAGATGAACATGGAAAGTTCCCACTCTCTGCCAGGCCTTAGGAAGCAGAGGCAGGTTGAGGAGCACCTGACCCCAGCATGGGAGAAGGGAGGCCAGACAAGTGAACTGATCTTTACAGTGTGGAATGATGGAGGTGATAGTAAATATCTGGATGTCTATTCATGTGCCCATTTTATGGGAAAGCAGACTGAGGCTCCAAGAAGTTAAGCCATTTGTTCTCATTCTCAAAGCAAGCATAAAGTAAGATGGGGGCTTGAACTCAGATCTACTTGATAGGAACAGTCAAGGGCTTATCCATTCCCTCCTACGTGTCAAGTGTGGTTGGGACCTTAGACTAATAAGAGGAAATTTGTGTAGTTCTCACCCTCAGGGGCTGATAGCAGACTCAAATTGCCAAGAGCAGGACTCTGCGATTATGTTTACTTCTAAAATTCTTTCTTATTTCATTGGTTTTGGCATATGTATGCACCTATAAAAGCATCAACACATTCAAGATCATAAACATATGATCAATTGTGCCCCAGAAGTCACCTTGTCATCTTTTCCTCTCATCATTCCCCACTTCCACTATCACCCTGCAATCCAGGCAACCACTGTTCTGCTTTCTGTCAGTATAGATTCCTTTGCTTTTTCTATAATTCTATATGAATGGAATCATATAGCATGTAATCTTTTGTGTCTGGCTTCTTTAACTCAGCATACCTTTGAGTTTTGTCCAAGTTTTTGCATATGTCAACAGCTCATTCCTTTTTATTGCTAAGTAGTATTCCATTGCATGAATGTACTGCAGTCTGTGGATCCATTCACCTTTTGATGGGTGTTATTTAGATTATTTCCAGTTTTTGGCTATTACACATAGAGCTGCCATGAATATTGATGTACAGTCTTTGTATGAATAGATCCCTTCAGTTGGATAAGTATCTAGGAGTGAAATGGCTAGATCACATGGTAGCAGTATGTTTAAGTATTTTTAAAACCACAAACCATTTTTCAAAGAGGCTGTACAGTTTGCATGTCTAACAGAAGTGAATAAGAATTCTAGTGTCTCTCTGTCTTTGCCAACACCTGATAGGAATAGCCTTTTACATTTTGGACTTTCAAATCAGTATACAATGGTATATCATTGAGATTTTAATTTGAAGTATCTTAATGGCTAATGATGTTGAGCATCTCTTCATTGCTTATTTGCCGTCTGTATATTGTCTTTGTTCAAGCATCTATTCAAACTTTTTCGCCCTTTCTCAAAACTAAGCATCTTATTTTGAGATAGTTGTAGCATCAGTTTTGAGCATGTGCCCATTCTTTAATCAGGCTCTTTGTTTGCTTGTTATCAAGCTTTAATAGTTCTTTACGTATTCTGGATAAAAGTACTATATCAAATATGTGTTGTGAAAATATTCTCTCTAACTCTGTGCATTTTTAGATTCCTTTAACAATGCCTTTCAAAGAGCAAAAGTTCTTAATTTTTATGAAGTCCAATTTATCCATATTTTCTTATATGGATAATGGTTTTGGTGTCATATCAAAGATCTTTTTGCCTAACTCAGGGTCACAAAGATTTTCTGATATGCTTTCTTCTAGAAGTTTTATAGTTTTGGGTTTTATATTTCGATCTTTAATCAATTTTAACCTAATTTTTATTTTATTAAGTATGGACAAAAGGTATTAATTCTTTGGATATGAATAGCCCATTTTTCCAACATTATTTGTTGAAAATACTATCTTTCCACCACTAGATTGCCGAGGCACCTGTGTTGAAAGTCAACTGATTGTATATGTATGGGTAAATTTCTAGATTCTATTCTGTTCCATTGATATATTGATCTTTTTGCTAATACCATACTAGGAATAGGAGGAAACTTGGACTTAGCCTTTGAAATCAGGTACTGTAAATATATTTTCAATTTTATTTATCTTTTTAAAGAGGTTTGGGTTTTTTAGGTTCTATACTTTTCCATACAAATTTTAGAATCATTGTATCTTTTTTTCTACCAAATAATAAAAGCCTGCTGGGATTTTGATTGGGATTATGTTGAATCCATAGATCAATTTAGGGAAAATTGGCATCTTGATGACATTGACTCTTTTGTTCCATGAACATGGTATACCTCTTCCTCTATTTTGATGTTCTTTAATTTCTCTTAACAATATTCCCTAGTTTTCAATATGAAGGTTTTGCCCACCTTTTCTCAGATGTATCCCTAGTTCATATTTTCACATGCTATTGCAAGCAGTAGTGGGTTTTCATTTCAATTTTCAATTATTCATTACTAATATATAGAAATGTAGTTGAGTGTGTATATCAATCTTGTATTCTTCAGCCTTGCTAAATTTACAAGCTCTAGTGTAGATACAGCAGGTTTTCCAGAAAGATAATTATATTGTTTGCTAATAAATATAGATGCCTCTTATTACTTTCTTTTTCTTCCTTTATTGTACTGGCCAGAATCTCCAGAAAAATGTTGACTAAAAGTGCTATCAGACGTCATTGCCTTGTTCCTAATATTAAAGGGAAAGCATTCACTTACTTACCATTTAATATTGTGTTTGTTGTAAGTTTTTCATAGATAACCTTTATCAAGTTAAGAAAGTTTCTCTCTGTTTCTAGTTTGCTAGGAGTTTTTAATAGAAATTGATAGATATTGAATTTTTTCAAATTCCTGTTCTGTGAATACTGAGATAATTATATGGTGTTTCATCTTTAGTTTGTAAATATGATGAATTACGCTGATTTTTTAATGTGAAACCAAGGCTTGCATTCCTTTTTATCAATAAAAATATTTTTTGCTCAAGAATTTACTTTGTTTGACATTAATATAGCCACACAAGCTTTCTTTAATTAGTGTTAGGAAGTATATCTTTCCATCTTTTAATTTATTGCATCCTTATATCTAAATTAAATTTCTTATAAGAAGCAATAGTTGGGTCTTGCTTTTTTATTCAATCTAACAACCTCTCCTTTAATTAGGTATTTGAATAATTTTTATTTAACATGATTATTCATATGATTGGACTGAAATCTATCTTCTTACCATATTATTATTTACTTTGTATTTGTCTCATCTGTTTTTTGTTTTATTCTTCTTCTCTTCCAGTCTTCTGGATTTATTGAGTGTTATTTTATTATTCTGTTTTATCCCTTCTGGAATTAACCATAACTTTCTGTGTTATTGGTGGTTGCTTTAGAGTTTATAGCATACATCTTTAACTTATTAGAGCCTACCTTTAAAAAATACTAAGCTACTTCATATATTATATAGGAACCTTTCAACAATATGCTTCTATTTCTCCTCACCTGGCATTTGTGCATTTACTGTAACAATTTACATACTATGTATGTTATAAACCCCACAATACATTGTTAGTGTTCTCCCTTTAAACCATGAATTATCATTTAAAGGGATTTAGATGTTAGGAAAAAAAGTATTTTATATTTTCCTATTCAGTGACCATGCCCAGTGCTCTTTATTTCTTTGAATACCCATATTCCACATTAGTATCATTTTCCTTTGGCCTGTAGGACTTTCTTTAACATTTCCTGCAGAGTTTAACATGTCTTTTTTTAGCTTTAGCTAAAAAACGCTTTAGCTTTCACATCTTTTTTTTTTTTTAAAGAAATCTTTATTTCACTTTATTTTTTGTAAAATATATTTCCTGGATATATAATTCTAAACATTTTTTTTTTAAGATACTGCTTCACTATCTTCTGGCTTGCATTGTTCCTTATGAAAAGTTTACTATAATTCTTATCTTTTTCCATCTGCATGTAATATGTTCTTTTCTCTGTTCCTCTTTTTCATTGTTTTAGGTATTTATCATTTGTCTTGGAATAGATTTTATTTGTTTGTTTTTTGCATTTGAAGTCTGTTAAGCTTCTTGAATCTGAGTTTTCATCAAACTTTTTTTCCATCCTCTCCTTTCAGAACCTCCAATTACATGTGTGTTAGGCTGCTTAAAGTTGTCCCCCAGTTTACTAATGCTTACTAATGCTCTGTTCTATTTTTTAATTCTTTGTTCTTCTGTGTTTTGATTTGGTTTGTTTTTATTTCTGTGTCTTCAGATTCACTAATCTTTTCTCTTGCAATGTCTAATCTTCTGTTAATGCCATTCAATATATTTTTCATTTCAGATATGGTCATTTTTATTTCTGAAAATGTTTATGTCTCCATGTCTCCACTTAATATGCTCAATCTTTTCTCTAGGTTCTTGAACATAAGAAATACAACTTTAAAAGCTCTTTCAATGTCCTTGCCATTTTGACTCAGTTTCAGTAGACTGATTTTCTCCTCATTATGGGTTCTATTTTCCTGCTTCTTTGCATACCTGGTAATATTTTGATTGTGTGCCAGCTATTGTGAATTTTATCCTTTCAGGTGCTAATTTTTTTGTATTTCTATAAATATTCTTGAGCTTTGTTCCTAGATGCAGTTACTTGGAAACAGTTTGATCCTTTCAGGTCTCGCTTTTAAGCTTTGTCAGGTGGGACCAGAAAAATGTTTGAACTAGGAGTAATTATTCCGAGTACTAAGGTAAAATGTTTCTGAGAGCTCCACCTGATGGAACAGGAGTTATTCCTGAGTACTATGGTATCTAATCCTTTCAAGTGCTTCTTCCTCTTTGCCTCTGGTCATTTCCTCACAAGCATTTGTTGATAAGCACTCTGCTGAGTACTTAAGGAGAGCCCTCTGCAAATCCCCAGAGCTCTCTTTTCCAGCTTTCTCTCTCTGGTACTTGGCTCTGCCAATTGTAGCAGATTTGGCCTCCCTGGACACCCAGGCTTATCTCCTCCATTTAAGAACACCCAGATCTGTCTGAGTTCCCTCTCCCTATGTTGTGGACTGGAGTCTCTCTCAAGGTATAAGCTGGGGCAATTGTAGAGCTCACCTCATTTGTTTGCCATCTCTCTGGGATCACTGTTCGTTGATATCTGATGTTCGATGTCTTGAAAACCATTGTTTTATGTGTTTTCTTTTGTTCTGTTTTAGTTGTTTCATATGGGAGGGTAAATCCAGGCCCTGTTATCCCATCTTGCTGGAAGCAAAAGTCCTTGTATGATTAAGTTCTCATAAAAAAAAATAATAAAGATATGAAGAGGGGCTCTAAAATTGGGAAATTGGTGTGATCTAGGGATTTATTTTGTACCGGGCCCTCTAATTTTACCTTCATGTAGATCTCCCCTCTCCGGTACTTGGGGATGGTAATGCTATACTCACTTTATAGAGGTCCCTGGGTCCTCAGGTAAGTGAGGTCCCAGGCCTTTGAGGGAGCTGTCCCAGGTAACAGAACTGACATTTGAATATAGGTCTGTCTAATTACGCTTGCCATCCCACCTCACCAGCTTACTTGTTCACTCAAGCACCAGAATGAATGAATGAATGGAGTGGTAGGAAGAAGTGAGTAAACACATGCATCAATGTTTAACATAGCTGCGGTTCCTCTCATTTCTCACAAATAATAAAAATGTCAGCACTGGAAGGGAACATCTGTAGGTCATCTTGACCCATTTGAAAGGCTCAAGGAAGGCAAGGAATTTACCTGAGGCTGCACAGCCAGGGAATCAGCCCTGAGAAAGATCTCCTCTCCCCCTCTTCCTTCTCCAGTTGAGGCTAATAAAGCAAGAACAGCATTCTCATAGTATGTATATGTGTGTATATATATATTATTTGACTTTAAAGATGTATTTAAATATATCGCTTTCACCTGGGCTTGCAAACAGTCAGGTTTTATTTGAACAAATTAGTCCTGAGTGCATGGCGGAGTGCTGGGTGAGGGAGAGAGGTCAGAGCTAACAAGGAGAAATAAAGCAGGCATGTGCCGTTAGGCTGTGTCGAGGCTTATTTAGAAAACATTCTCAGTCCACTCTCCTCCGCAGCCGGTAACTTAATCTGGAGGGCTCTTCTCCCGGACCCACTCCAGGCTGCTCTCACTCTGTCAAACCTGCTGGGACTGTTTTCTTAGAAAACCAGTTTGAAAGCAAACCATTAAAAATGACCTGTATTAAGGGGCTTTTCAGTGAGAGGAACCTAGGGATGAACATGAGTTTGCAGGAAGATAAAGTCCAACTTGGTCTGCAACAGTGTATTAATTGGGACTCCTTCTGCTATAAATTATAAAACCCAACTCAAACTAGGTTAGTGAATATATAATAACTATATCTATGAATACATTATATAACTATATATACAGTAATATGCTGCATAATGACATTGCAGTCAATGACAGGTCACATACACAACACTGGTCCCATAAGAATACGATACCACATTTTTTTTTTTTTTGAGACGGAGTCTCGTCCTGTTGCCCAGGCTGCAGTGCAGTGGCGCGATCTCGGCTCACTGCAAGCTCCGCCTCCCACGTTCACGCCATTCTCCTACCTCAGCCTCCCGAGTAGCTGGGACTACAGACGCCTGCCACCACGCCCGGTTAATTTTTTTGTATTTTTAGTAGAGACAGGGTTTCACCGTGTTAGCCAGGATGGTCTCCATCTCCCGACCTCGTGATCCGCCCACCACGGCCTCCCAAAGTGCTGGGATTACAGGCGTGAGCCACAGCGCCCGGCCCACATTTTTACTGTACCTTTTCTATGTTTAGATACACAAATACTTACCATTGTGTTACAATTGACTACAGTATTCAGTACAGCAACATGCTGTACAGCTTTGTAGCCTGGGAGTAAGAGCTCCTAGGTTCCATAAAGCCTAGGTATGTAGCGGGCTACACCATCTAGGTTTGTGTAAATGCACTGTGTGATGTTCATACAGTGAAATCATGTATGATGTTCCCACAATGCATTCCTCAGAAATACCCCAATTGTTAGGTGATGCATAACTGTAAATATATGTGTGTGTAAATATACGTGTGTGTGCACATGGCACACACATCTGTTCATGTAACTGGGAAGTTTATTGGACTACTTTAAGGTACAGTTGAGTCCATTTGTTTTTGTTCCCTTTTAAAATAACTTTATCATTGCTCTTACAAAATGAATCCATTGTTGTTTAAGAAAAAAAAGTAATATATTAAAAAGTGGGAAAAAAAAATAAAAATCACCCAAAACCTGTCATGCAAAAATAATCGTAGTTTTTCCTAAGCTTTTTCAAACATCCTTAAGATTGATAGGTATGTAAATATTGTAAATTCTAATGTTTGTCTTCTTTTCTGATTCTAAGGTCAATAAACACTCATGGTCAAACATTTGGGAAAGAGAGAGAAGTATAGAGTAAAAGTAATCAATCAGAATTCAACCAACAAAGAGGTCATCTCTGTTAATGTTATAGGATTTGCTTTTTAACTTTTCACCCTCTTTTTCTGTGTTTAATATATACTGTACATCATACATCATGTATGTGTATTCATTCAAAAGAAGGTAAAGTTAACATTGGATCATTTAGGAATCCCAGGCAGAAGACAACAGGTTGAGCCCTTCAGAATTCCCTAATATTTACCACTGGGCAACCAGTTTGTCTTTCTCAATTAAAAAAAAAAAAAAAGTCCAGTGAAATCAGGTCATTCAATGTCAGTTTTTAATATTTAGAAAATATTTTCTCAGGTTTCTGACAGGAAAAGTAACTCTCATGCTGCTCTCTGAAGCTCTGCTTTTGTGGACACAGAATAGGCCATATTGGTTGCATCCTTTTCTCCTTACCTTCCGCCTAACGCCCCCCAGCCCCCAACTCTTGTGCAAATGGTTCCACCATTGCCGGAAAGTGCTAGAACAGAATGGCTGTGCTTAAGAGCCATCAGTGTGGTCCTGTACCAGTGAGTTAGGGATTAAGTAGGACTTTTGGCTGCTCCCCACCAATCCCCAGCCTGTCTGCTCACTTACAGGAACAGGCTGGAAAACCTCTTTGAGCCTGGGCTTCGGTATTGATACCATTATAGAAATCACAAGTCTCCACTGCGTTTTCTTTGAAAGGTATACAAATACATTATGCTTTTGTGGGGTCTTGGAGACAATCTTCTTGTATTTGGGCAAATTTGGCTTGGCGGTGAGGCCGGAGGTATGGCCAGGAAAACCCTGCACTACTCTTTTAAAGACTGTTGTTAAGAGGAACTTGTTTAAGAATTTTACACATGACTGCTTCCCACTGGGCGTGGAAGAGCTGCTTCTGGGGCATATGCAGACACAGCTTTAAATAGCCTTGACCCATGGAATGAAGTAGACCTTCCACAAATCCCTTTCGATCTGATTATATGGGAAGATTTCACTTGTTATACTTGTTTTTAACACTTCTCTAGCACTTGCTAATCTCCCTTTTTAAGCAGCAAATAGTCTTCAAACACAAAACTTTTGGTGAGAATTGCTTATATGGCCAGCTACATGTAATAGAATATTATAACTGTATTCCACCCACTCTAAGATGCCATGATTGTTCAAATGCGCCATTATTTTTGCATACCTCTAAGAAAGAAAACCAATCTTCCAATTAGTTGTAAAAGACCATTTGTTGTAAGTTACATTTTAATTCCCAAGTTGCTAAAGTATAAAAAAAAGAAACAGACAAAACCCTGTATGTCCTGGTAATGTCAAAATTTAATATTCTCACTGCTTTTATATGTATGATTGCCTTCTATTTATGGCTGATGGTGACGGTTTTACATTTACAAGTGTTACATAAATTATCTTTTGAAATAAATGTTTTTAAAAATCAAGTGGATTGATTTAAAGAAAAACCTCAATTATAACACTATGGATACAGATACTGCAAGCTGGTTTATGAACAACTAAAGATTGTGAAATCTCACTACAAGTGATTTGGCAAGGCTGGTACCACGTCATCTCCAGGACTTTCTTAATACTGAGTGAGAATCTCTTATGACTGGAGACATCTTGTTACCAGCAGAAGAGATCCGGGTTACCCCAAGTTACTGCTCTGTATCTGTGTGGATCTGCAGCAACTTCAGCCCTTGCCTCCTCAGAAAGAAGAATTTGATTGAGGGGCATAAAGCAGAAAAAGAGACTGAGGCAAGTTCCAGAGCAGGAGTGGAGGTTTATTAAAAAGTCTTTAGAACAGGAAAGAGAGGAAAGAACCCTTGGAAGAGATCCAAGTGGGCACCTGAAGGTCAAAGAGAGAGAAAAAAGTAGGTCATTTAATCTTGATCCTAGGACTTTATAGGCTCACCTATTTCCCATGATTCTTCCCTTAGGGTGAGCTTTCTGCATGTTCAGTGTTTTCCTCACCCTTGGGAATTGAGGATGTGCAGTGTATTTAGGGAGTTACATGCATGCCCATCTGAGGCTTTCATCCTTTTTCTGGTGGTGTACCCAGAAGATCATACTTTGCCATTTTTGTCTCTTAATGTGTATGCCCAGGGAGTTGCTTCTCCCTGGGGCCTGGCTTTAATTAACACTTTATTGTTAATAAGTGTGGACCATCAGGAAATAGCCTCTCCCTGGTGCCAGCTGCCAATTTATCACTTTCAGAGAAGCAATGTAATAATTGCTGAGCCATCACCACAAATTTCTAGTGGGTGGGGGGAGAACCCTCTCCTGCCCTGCTCATTCCTAACTACCTGTAATATAGAGAGAGTTTCCCCCTTCTCTTCCTTTGCTGGGACCAAATTCTAAGCTGCATTCTTTACTATATTGGTCAGATGGAATCTCTTGCTGGATTCAAACCAAGACATGGTTTATGTGCAAGTCCTTTCTTATCACCATTTAGCCATTCTTGAGTTCCACATTTTGCTATATTTGTTGTCTGTAGACCATCCTCAAGTAATTTTTTCTAGAAGAGAATATGAAGATATGCTTTTTAATACTAAAAATAGATAAGAATGTTTTCTTCTGCCACTTCCAGACAATAAAAACAGTTTGGCTGGGTATAAAATTATGGGGTCTCATCTTTTATTCTTTTAAGTTGCCCTTTTGGGGACATTTATTATTGCAGGGAGAAATCTTAGTCTTTTGAAGTTAAATTATTATTTTAATGTTTAATGTTTTCTGTCTAAATCCTTAGAAGATTTTTCATTTACCTTTGGAATTCAAAGCCAGAATTAATCTAGTCATGGTCATTTTTTTCATTACTTTGTTCATAACCTGGTGATATTTTTCAAGACACATTATTAAGGTTTCCTTAACTCTGGAACTTTTTTCCATTGTATCTTTGATTAATACTGGTGCTATAATGCCTGACTCTCATGATGGTTATTATAATTAATTGATATTTCTCTCATAAAACAATTAGGGTGATGCCTGGCATCCACTGAGTGCTCAACAATTTTAATTATCTTATCTGTCTCCTTTACAGTCATTTTCTAGGGTATTTGGGCTTCTTATTTGGATAAAGCTCATATTTTTTATAAATTGGTGTTGCCTGTCATTATTTTCATTAGATCCCTAGTAATAGGTCCAAGACAGGACACTTTATGATCCCCTGAAACATAAGATACAACTCCACCTTGGTGAAAGAGACTTTGAGATCTGACCCTAATCTCTAAGAAGGCACCAGACTTTTGATCTCATACAAGCCAAGAATAGACTCTCATAAAACACTTTGAGTATACAGCTATGCATTCCAAACTTTCAGTGAGTAAAAAAGCATAAAAATTTATCAACTTATAAATTCTTTCTACAAGTGCAATTAGGCTGGCTAAGCAAAAGTAAACAGGATAAAAGAGTATCTCTTAAAAGAGGAAGAACTTTTTTCAAGCAGTTGTTAAAGACCTATCTACAAATTGCTTATATGTTAATTATAAATCAAGTACTCTAGAAACACCCATTGATAAATGATTTTCATGCAAATTATAAATTGCTTAAGAGAGCTCATTCACAAAATGATCTGTGCGCTAATTACAAATCAAGAAACTTAAACATACACATATACAAATGGTTTATGTGCTAATTACAAAAGGCATTTTAGAGACTATCATTTACAAATTAAATACATGCTCATTGCCCACTAAATACTTTAGAAATTTCTATGTACCAATAATTTTCATGCTAGTTACACAGCAAATAATCTGAAACATACACAGTGTTTGCAAATAATCCATGTGCTAATTACACAACACACACTTTAAAAACACCAATGTAAAAATGATTTGTGTGCTAATGACATAACAAACACCCTAGAAACTCCCAGATACATATGATTTATGTCTAATTACACATCAGACACTTCAGGAACACCCATGTGCAAATGATTTATGTGCTAATTACACCGACACTTAATTTCAAAAATGTCTAACAACAAATTATTTGTATGCTAATCACAAATCCAAACACTTACAATTGATTTATGTCCTAATGGTTAGCTGCTCTTATTTTGTTTCCTTTAAGGACCCACCATCTCAACAGATTGACAGCTTTCTTCTGATTGGTACTTATTATGAATATAAATAAAATGTCTGAGTCTGTATTTACAAAGGTTTTGGGATCTTCTCTTTATTCTCCCTTCCCCAATTCTGCCCAATTGTTGCAGTCTGATTACATTTTGGGGTATAGTGAATTGAAGGATTTAACCTTTTTTTTTTTTCTGAGATGCAGACTCGCTCTGTCGCCCAGGCTGGAGTGCAGTGTCATGGTCTTGGCTCACTGCAAGCTCCGCCTCCCAGGTTCATGCCATTCTCCTGCCTCAGCCTCCCGAGTAGCTGAGACTACAGGCGCCCGCCACTACACCTGGCTAATTTTTTTTGTATTTTTTTAGTAGAGACAGGGTTTCACCATGTTAGCCAGGATAGTCTCGATCTCCTGACCTCATGAACCACCCGCCTCAGCCTCCCAAAGTGCTGGGATTACAGGCGTGAGCCACTGCACCTAGCCAGGATTTATCTATTAGAGCAGGCTGAGAAGTATTACTTAGGGTAAGAGTGTTCTCTTCCTTTTGTCTGTTTCATTGGAACCATCAAATTAATGTAATGAATGAAGTATAGGTGCTTATTAGCCACTCAGTCTATATACTAATCTTTCATGTTCAAAGACCTATTACTGTCCTCAAATGTATTTATGCAGAAATTTTGTCCATCATGGCCACTACTGCTTCCTTATGCCCTCTCTAGCATGTGATAGCTTACAAAAAAATTTTCCATATTCATTATCTTATTGGACTTGCTTCTTATAAAGGAGGAAGGACTCAAAAATAGAGGTTAAAAGTTCCCGTTTTGCAGATGGGAAAACTGAGGCTCAGCATAGCCAAGCAGTATTTCTCGTGGCAGACTTGACTCCAAAGTCAGCCAAACTTCACAACTAACGGTTTTTCTTCCAGTTGACATTCCTCCACAGGAAAACCTTCCATGGCCATCTTCCCAGAAGTCTCTAGAACAAAAACACCAACACTGCCCATAGGATGGGATCCACTCTCCCCTGCTACTGCATCCCATCCTGTCTCCTCCTGGCTCTCTCAGATCCCTGGCCTCTCCCTCCACACCATGCTGGCGTTTCAAACCAGACTGGGGGCCCCAGCACGCTTCTCACCTCTTTAAGAGTGAAAATGTATATCCCAGAGATTGCTGCTTAATTGGCTGATTAATAACAGAAAACCTAATTGAATGCTCCCAGCTCGTATGTACGATGTCTTAATGTTAGAGCCTTGGGAATAAACACACAGCAGGGAAGTCTGAACCGCAGCACAAGCACTAGCACTTTCAATTTAAAAGTCAATCTCATTATACAAGAAGCTGTTGCCTTTATCCCCCTGGAAAAGCTCACACTCTCAAACCAGATTCCCCTTGTACCAGCATCCTCTGCTCCATCCTGTCTCTGAGTGACGCAAATATTAGGATAGGTCCCCTTTTTCCTTCTTTCCCCTTCCCCTCTCCTTCCCTCTCTCTGTCTCTGTCTCTCTCTCTCTTTCTGTTTGTTCTCCCTGCTGCATATCTGAGCAGCTCAGTAAATATTCATGAAATGCCATTGTGAGGTCTGTGAAGAGCGCAGACAATGGGCCGTCAGAGGTGATGTGCAATTTGGCATCGCCAGCACCCAAGGGTGAGGGAGGCAGTGAGGTGCCTCCAAGTCAAGCCTCATGTTACATACTGGTCCGTTCAGCTTTCTCCTTCAGGGCAGCCTGACTGGAAGTCTTATGGTGCTCAGAAAGCTGAGCTAGGTATTCTTGGCTGGGCTTAGAGTGACCAGGGAAGAGTCAGTAAGGGCTCCCGTACCCTAGGCTCGTCCTGGTCAATCACAGCATCTGAGGTAGGGCTGAAGCTCCTGGACAACTTTATTAATCAGCAAAGGGCTGCCATAACAATGTAGCACAGACTGGGTGGCTACCTTCTAAACAACAGAAATTTATTTTCTCCCTGGTCTGCAGGCTGGAAGTCCCCGTTCAAGGTGTAGCAGGGTTGTTTACTCCTGTGTCCTCTCTCCTTGGCTCAAAGATGGCACCTTTACGTTGTGTCCTCAACATGGTCTTCCCTCTGTGCATGCAGAGTGTCTTTCTCTGTATCCAAGTTTCCTCTTAAAAGGACACCAATCAGACTGGATTAGGACCCCACCCTAAGGACTTCATTTTAACTTAATCATCTCTTTATTTATTGTTATTATTATTATTATTATTTAGAGGCAGGGTCCTGCTGTGTCGTACAGGCTGGAGTGCAGTGGTGCAATCATGGCTTACTGCAGCTTCAACCTCTTGGGCTCAAGCCATCCTCCTGCCTTGGACTCCCAAGTAGCTGGGACTACAGGTATGCACCACCACGTCTGGCTAGTTTTTTAAATTTTTTGTAGAGACGGGGTCTCTCTATGTTGCCCAGGCCCAGGCTGGTCTTGAGCTCCTGGGCTCAAGCGATCCCCCCACCTCAGCCTCTCAAAGTGCTAGGATTATAGGCATGAGCCACTGCACCCTGCTTTAATCACCTTTTTTTTAACTTTTATTTTAGGTTTAGGAGTGCATATGCAGGTTTGTTACATAGGTAAATTGCATGTCATGGGGGTTCGGTGTGCAGATTATTTCATCACACAAGTAATAAGCATAGTACTGAATAGGTGGTTTCTCCATCCTCTCCCTTTTCCCACCTGCCACTCTCAAATACACATGTGGTCATGTTAATCACCTCTTTAAAGGCCCTATCTCCAAATACAGTTGCCTTCTGAGGTACTGAGGGTTAGGGCTTCAACATATAAATTTGGTGGGGGAGTGGAGGGAAGACACAATTCAGCCTATAACAGCTTGTCTTTCTGCTTGGATTATCTCTAAAACTCCTCAACCTCAACATGTCCAAATGAATCCTCATGACCTTGAACCTCCGCCCAGGCCCCTGATGCCCTTGAGAATTTCCCATCTAGCAGAATGTCACCAACACAAGCTGGATACCTTTTGACTTATCCTGTCCACTCATCCCCCTGCCCAATTCATCTCCAACTTGCCCCGTTGACCTGACTCCCCAAATGCCACATCCCCAAGCCCAAGTTCCCATCATCTCTTTCCTGAACCTCCACTCCAACCCCCAGGTGTCTTTCTGCATCTAACCCTGCACATCTGCAGCCTATTCTGCAGAGTGGCAGAGGTATCTTCTTCAAGGCACATCTGATTATGTGCCCTTGCACCTGCTGAGCTTCCTGCATCTTCTCTGACCATCTCTTAAATGCTGATGCTCTTGGAATTCAGTCCCATCCATCTCTCTTCTCTCCATGTCATCTTCCTGAACACTCTCATCCACTTCTACAGCTTCAGTTACCGGCTAAAACCTTGCATTAGTCCGTTTTCATGCTGCTGATAAAGACGTACCTGAGACTGGGTAATTTATTTTTTATTAGAAAACAAACAAAAAAAAGAGGTTTAATGGACTCACAGTTCCACGTGTCTGGGGAGGCCTCACAATCATGGCAGATGGTGAAAGGCACATCTTACATGGCAGCAGACAAGAGATAATGAGAACCAAGAGAAAGGGGTTTCCCTTTATAAAACCATCAGCTCTCATGAAACTTATTCACTACAATGAATAAGAGTATGGGGGAAACTTCCACCATGATTCAATTATCTCCTACTGGGTCCCTCCCACAACACATGGGAATTATGGGAGCTATAATTCAAGATAAGATTTGGGTGGGAACAGGGTGAAGTGACTCACACCTGTAATCCCAGCACTTTGGGAGGCCGAGGCAGGTGGATGACCTGAGGTTAAGAGTTTGAGACCAGCCCCGCCAACATGGCAAAACCCCATCTCTACTACTAAAACACAAAAATTAGCCAGGCGTGGTGGTGCGCACCTGTAATCCCAGCTACTCCAGAGGCTAAGGCAAGAGAATCGCTTGAACCTGGGAGGTGGAAGTTGCAGTGAGCCGAGGTCGTGCCACTGCATTTCAGCCTACGTGACAGAACAAGACTCCATCTCAAAAAAATAAAAATAAAAAAGAGTTGGGTGGGGACACAGCCAAACCATATCAAACCTAGAGGCCACTCTTGATGGCTTCCAGATCATTCCCCAAACCCCAAGCCTCTCAACCAGCTTTCAAACCCAAGGGTCTTAAATGCTTTAATCCATTATCACTAAGCATAATAACAGCCCTGTAAATATTTGTAATGAGATACTTGGTGAAACAGAACTTGTAATTATTATTTTATTTTCATTAAAATATTATTTTAATAAATTAGTTTATTTTCACTAAAAGAACCCACCAGTCACTTCTCTAGGTTGACATGGTAAGTCACCCTGTGGTAAAATTTTGGACTGTAAAAGAGCCACATAAGTGGTGTCTCCAGTTAAGGTGAAAACCCATTCCTTGAAGGAAAGGTATAATAGAACCATTGGCACATGACTGCCACTCTCCCCTCCAAGATTTCTCAATGGGCAAGGATAAATTTACATTGTGGTTGGAAAAGAAGCCACCTGGGAGCAGAGAGATTGAGACCTGAACTCACTTTGTTGCAAAATTCAACATTTTTAGAACTTCTTTGCAGGGTTGGGGAGGTCCTGGATGAAGCAAATTGGTGGCGGGTTCAGGGGGTGGACATCTAAAGCCCTACAGTGGAGATCACTGTGAAGAAATGGGGTGTCTAGTCTAGAGATGCAGCCTCATAATAACATCTGGGTGCTTGGGGAAAAGGACCATAGCTGAAATGGATAGACCCTCTAGTCACAGCCCCCTGATTTGATTGTTTCTAAAACACGACCACCAACCTATAGTGTTCAGTGACTGTGTGGTTGACTGTGGCTTCTAAAAGACTACTTGAGACCCTGAGCATGGAGCAGTTCTGTAATCTGGACAGGAATCTGGAACAACATCCTCAAAACTTGGGAAACAGGTGCCAGACTTCACCAGACAAGTTCCCAACAGTGGCACATTGTGGAGACTAAAGACTAGATAGTGATAATTTATGAATGAAACTCTAGTTTACTCTACACCTGTCTTCAGAAGCAAGACTGACCTCCTTGGAACAGACTTTCTGGACAATTTGCTGGCAGAGGAAGAGACCACAAGAGGAAAAAAGTGGACTTCCTGGTAATTTAGGGGTTTGATTAACAAATTTGAATATTTAAAAGAGATGTTATTTTCACTAAAGAAGATAGCTAAATGGTAAATAAGCCTATTCAACATTATTAGTCATCAAAGAAATTCAAGTTAAAACTACAATGACATATCACCACACACCCTTGAAAATGGCTAAAATAAGGACTGATATTATCAAGTGTTGGGGAAGATGTGGAGCAACTAGAACTCTCATACTCAATTTGGGAGTGCAAATTGGTTCAATCTCTTTGGAAAACTGTTTAGCAGTAGCTACAAAAGCTGAAAGCATAGACTGTGACCCAGTAATTTCATTTCTGGATATTACTACACATATATACACAGGAATGTTTATATATTTCCACCAAAGTGCCTACGCAAGAATATTCATAGCAGCACTATCTGTAATAGCCTAAAACTAGAAACTACCTAAATGTCCATCAACAGGTTAAAAAAAGATAAATTGTGGTATGTTTCTATAATGCATTGTTACTCAGAAAGAAGAAGGATGAGGAGAATGTAACAACATGAAAGAAACTCACTGCCCTAATATTGAGCACAAGAAACCAGAAATACATACAGAAAAGTATACCATACTCATTGTTCTATTTATATGAAATTCAAGAACTGGCTAAACTAATCTATGATGACAGAAGTCAGAATATGATTACTTTTGGAAGGAGGAGCATTAACCAAAATGGGACATAAAGGAGGCTGTTGAGATACCTGAAATATTCTTGTCATAATCTGGGTAGTGTTGTATGGGTATTGCCATGTATTAAATTGTGTCTCCCCACACCTTCAAATTCATACTTTGAAGCCCTATTCCCCAATATGGTTATGTTTAAAACTAGGGCTTTTAGAAGGGAATTAAGGTTAAATGAGACCATCGGTTCCCTGATCCCATAAGATTAGCATCCTTATAAAAGAAACAGCAGAGTTTGTGCGCTCACTCTGTCTTTCACTCTCTGTTTCTCTGTCTGTCTCCCCCTCTCTCCCTCTCTTCCTCCTGCTCTCTGCATGCATAGCACAAGGAAAGACCATGTGAATACACAGCAAGAACGTGGTGCTCTGCAAGTCAGAAACAGACCCGTCATCAGACACCAAATCAGCCAGCACCTTGATCTAGGATTTCTGGCCTCCAAAACAGTGAGAAAATAAAATTCTGTTGTTTAAGCCATGCAGCCTGTTGTATTTCATTATGGCAGCCTGAGCAGAATAAGACAGGTATATACAAATGCAAATTCTATTAAGAAATCTGTATCTTTTACCCTATTGAAGTAAGTTATACCTCAATTGAAGAATAAATAAAAGAGAAAGAAGGAGCAGCACAACCTTGTTTGTATTCCCAACCTGGTGAGTGGGTGATATAGGTTGCCTCTCACTGTGCCCACTCAGCTGATGAGAAAAGTGCAGCTTTGAGTGAAGAAGTGACATGTGGCTATGGTGGCAGAACTAGGCACATAATCCAGTTCAGTTTGGTGAACAATGACAATGTGTGCCCTTTGCAAGCCCCACGGTGGACATTGCTGTCAGGAGTGGCCTCACAGGAGGTGCCCAGGCCTTAAAGGTAAATAAGCATTTACAATACGGTGTGGTCCACACTGTGATGGGCTTCACGGAGGTCACAAGAGCGCCGAAGGACCACCTAGCATAGCCCAGGATGTGGGAGTGGAAACCTGAGCCAAGACTTCAGGGGTACCAGACAAATCCTGTACTTCCCCTTCTCCCAAAGTCAGCCTGGAGCTCCATGTCTTGCTCCTTAAAGTGTGGTCCACAGACCAGCAGTCTCTGTCACCTGGATGCTGGCTGAAATTGTAGAATTGCGGCTCCACCCAGGCCTACTGCATCAGCATCTGCTTTTTACCAAGATCCCCTGGGAAAGCACACTCGCACTGGAAAAGTGCTGGTCTGTATATTTCAGAAGGACACTGGGAGCCATGGACAGCTCTAAACACAAAGTGGCATCCTCCCAGAGCTGAATCCCCCACCGTCTCTATCTTGGCCACAAACACTTCTGAGCACCAGGACATCCACTCAATTCCCACTGACCCAGGTGACTAGGTCCCAGGAGATTGTGTGTCTATATTCACCTCCCCAACAGAGCAAGTCTGGCCCTAGCAGGTGTGCAAGCCAGTGATCTGGCAATTAGAGCCACTGATTGGAAAATGGGCTGCTTACCTGCGACAAAGGAGGGCTTCTCTTCTCTGAGGCCTTAGACAAAGCAGGCTTCCAGGGCAGCTAATTACCTGATAGGTAGCAAAGCTATCACCTACTGGGCCTTTTAGCTCAGTTAATAGAGCAATTTGCCCAGCCTTTTGTCCTTCTCTTGTTGTGATTTCTTGACCTACAATCGTTTTACAAAATGAGAAAGTTACACAAACGCTGCTTAATCCGGAGTTCAGAACTTGGGGCCCAGCTTCTGGCCAGGCCAGCAGCAAAGCTACTGTAGAACCAGGTACCTAGGAAAAGATGTGGGTCCCTGCTCCTGGGTTTGTAGACCAAACAGAGTATATGAATGATGGCACAGTTTGCAGATTGTCCTATGAAATAATTTAAATAAGATCATCTATATGGGGATTAGTAAAATGTAAGCTCTATTGAAGGATAGCAGTTATTTTCTTAGACCAGGTCATTGAAATTTAATGTGAACACTTTCATATCAAAATGCACACACTGTAAGAGCTAAGGTGTCCAATCATTCCAGTTTGCCATAAGCAAGATCCCAGGCCCTGTCCTCATGGAGCTGGGAGTCTAATGGGGGGAAAGAAAAGAAACAAGTAAGAAAATAAAATAGTTACCCATGATAAGTGATATGTTGGAAACAAAGAAAGAAAGGCCATAGAGTGGCCCAGGAAGGCTTCTCCAATGCCTGACAAATGTCAAGTGTCCAGCCATTTGAAGAGATGTGTATGGGGTTTGAGAGAGAGAAAAGTGGGAGTTCCAAGAAGATGCAGCAGCAAGTGCAAGTGTCCTGAGACAGGGCAGAGCTTGGTGTGTGAGATGTCAGAAGCCTGGCATAGACTGTGTTTGTGTGTGTGTGTGTGTGTGTACACAAATGCACACTTGTATGCCTCTGCTGAGGGCAGTGAGAGGAGATGGGGTCAAGGTTGAAGTAGTGAGCAAAGTCCAGACCATGCAGAACTCATAGACCATGGTAGGAGTTGGAATTTTACTCTGAGTATAATAGAAAGCATTAAAGTGTTGGCCCTACTATTCCTTTCCCTAATTTCTCAAGTCAAATACATTGCTCATTACTTGTCAGTCATCCTCCTTTTGAAACAGATTCATTTTAGGTCTGTATATCTGCCACTAAGTGCAGCTATAGCTGCTTTGCATAATTTTTTTAACTAATAAACTTTACTGTGTTTTAGGATCACAGCAAAATTGAATGGAAACAACCGAGAGCTCCCATATGCCCCCTGTCCCCCACATATGCACAAGTTCCCTCACTGTTGAAATCCCCCACCACTGTGGTACACGTGCTACAGTAAATGAACTTACATTGACACATCATTAGCATCCAATGTCCATAGTTTACATTAGGCTTCACTCTTGGTGTCAGACATTCTATGGATTTGTACAAGTGTGTAATGACATGTACCCATACCTGTAGTATTATACAGAATGGTTTCTCTGCCCTAAAAATCTTCTGTGCCCCACCTATTCATCCTTCCCTGAGCCTACCCCATAGAAACCACTGATATTTTTAACTATCTCTACAGGTTTGCCTCTTACAGACTGTCATATATTTGGAAACATACAGTATGTAGGCTTTTTAGACTGGCTTCTTTCATTTTGTAATATGCATTCAAGTTTCCTTCATGTCTTCTTATGGCTTAATAGCTCATTTCTTTCAGTGCTGAATAATATTTCATTGTCTGAATGTACCACCGTTTACTCATTCGCCTACTGATGGACGTCTCAGTTGCTTTCACATTTTGCCAATTCAGAATACAGTTTCTATAAATATCCATATACAGGTTTTCTGTGAAAAGTTTCTACTCCCTCAGGTAAAAGCCAAGGAGTTCAACTGGTGGATTGTATGATAAAAGTATGTTTTGTTTTGTAAGAAACAGCCAAACTGTCTTCCAAAGTGGCTGTACCATTTATTTGCCTTCCCATCAGCAATGAATGAGAGTTCCTGCGGCTCTATATCCTTGCCAGCATTTGGTATTGTCAGTGTTTTGGATTTGGGTCATTCTAATAGGTCTGTAGTAGTATTTCATTGTTGTTTTAATTTGCATTTCCCTGATGACATACTATGCAGAACATCTTTTCATAGCTTATTTCCCACCTATACCTTCTTTGGTGAGGTGTCTGTAAAGGTTTCTGGGCCACTTTTTAATAGGGTTGTTTGTTGTCAAGTTTTAAGAGTCCTGTGTATATTTTGGACAGCAATCCTTTATCACATATGTCTCTTGCAAATATTTTCTCCAAGCTCTCTTAACATTGTTTCTTGCAGGCAGAAAATTTTAATTTTAATTTTAATGAAGTACGGCTTATCAATTATTTCTTTCATGGATTGTGCCCTTGGTGTTGTACTTAAAAAGTCACCACCAAACCCAAGGTCATCTAGATTTTCTCCTATGTTATCTCTAGGAGTTTTAGAGTTTTGCATTTTACATTTAAGTCTGTGATCTATCTTGAGTGAAGGGTAAAAGATTTGCACGTAGATTGACTTTTTTTTGCATGTGGATATCTTGTTGTTCCAACACCATTTATTGAAAAGAGTATCTTTGCTCCATTGCAATGCCTTTGCTCATTTTGTGAAGATCAGCTAACTATATTTCCATGAGGCTACTTCTGGGCTCTCTGTTCTCTTCCATTGCTCTAGTTTTTTTCTTTCACCAATACCATACTGTCTTGATTACTGTAGCTTAATAGTAAGTCTTAAAAGTCAGATAGTGTCAGGTCTGTTTGTTCTCCTTCAGTATTGAGTCGGCTATTCTGGGTCTTTGGCCTCTCCATATAAATTTTGGTTTTGTTGTTTTCTTTTGTTTTTCTTCTTGTAGAGACAAGGTCTTGCTATGTTGTGCCCAAGCTGGTCTCAAACTCCTGGCTTCAAGCATTTTCCCATCTCAGCCTCCCAAAGTGCTGGAATTACAGGTGTGAGCCACTGTGCTCACCAGTTTATATAAACTTCATAATCAGTTTTCCAATATCCACAAAATAACTGTCTGGGATTTGATTGGGTATTGCATTGAATCTTGATGGATCAACTTGGGAAGAACTGACATCTTGACAATATTGGGTCCTCCTATCCATAAACTTGGAATACCTTCCCATTTATTAAGTTATTATTTAGTATCTTTCATCAGAGTTTTGTGGTTTTCCTCACATAGATTTTGTACATTTTTTTAGATTTATACCTAAATGTTTTATTTTAAATGGAAATAATATGCTTTTTATTTTAAATTTCATTTGTTCATTGCTGGCATTTAGAAAAGTGATTGACTTTTGTATATTAACCTTGTATTTTGTAACCTTGCTATAATTAGTTCCAGGCATTCTTTTGTTGATTCTTTCACATTTTGTACATAGACAAGTCATGTCATCTATGAACAAAGACAGCTTTATTTCTTTCTTCCCAATCTGTATGCCTTTTATTTTATTTTCTAGTCTTACTGCATTAGCCAGGATGTATATTGAAAAGGAGTGCTATGAGGGGATATCCTTGCCTTGTTCCTGACCTTAGTGGGAAAGCTTTGAGTTTCTCACTGTTAATCATGAGGTTAGCTGTAGCTTTTTTTTAGATGTTCTTTATCAAGTTGAGGAAGTTCCCCTCTTTTCCTAGTTTGCTGAAAGATTTTATTATGAATGGGTATTGAACTCTGTCAAATGCATTTTCTGCATCTATTGAAAACAAATTTTTTTCTTCACCCTGTTGATGTAATGAATTACACTTATTGATTTTTGAATGTTAAACCAGTGCCACATATATAGAATAAATCTCACTTAGCTGTGGTATATAATTTTTATATGTTGTTGAATTCAATTTTCTAATATTTTGAGAATTTTTACATGTACATTCATGAGAGATATTGGTTTCTAGTTTTCTTGTAATACTTTTTCTGGTTTTGGTTTTAGGGTAATACTGGCCTTATAGAGTTAGTTAAGAAGTAGTTACTCTGCTTCTATCTTGTAAAAGAGGTTGTAGAGAATTGGCATAATTTCATCCTTAAATGTTTGTTAGAATTCACCAATGAGTGTATCTGGGCCTAGTGCTTTCTGTTTTGGAAGGTAATTAATTATTTATCCAATTTCTCTAATAGATACGGGCCTATTCAGATAGTCTGCTTCCTCTTGTGTGAGTGTGTCTTTCAAGGTATTGGTCTCTTTCATCTAGATTATCAAATCTGTGGACATAGACTTGTCCATAATATTTCTTTATTATCATTTCCATGTCCGTGGGATATATAATGATGTTCTTTCTTTCATTTCTGATATTAGTAATTTGTGTCTTCTTTCTTTTTCTTAGGCCAAGTAGAGACTTATCAATTTTATTAATCTTTTCAAAGAACCAGCTTTCCGTTTCATTGATTTTCTCAATTGATTTCCTGCTTTCAATTTTATTACTTTCAGCTCTAGTTTTTATTATTTCTTTTCTTCTGTTTACTTTAGATTAGATTTTCTCCTTTTTTCTAGTTTCCTAAAGTAGAAATTTAGATTATTGATTTTCAATCTTATTTTTAAAACATGCATCTATGCTATAAATTTCCCTCTAAGCACTGCTTTCACTGCATCCCACAAATTTCGACAAGATGTATTTCCATTTTCATTTATTTCAAAATAATTCTTAACTTCCCTTAAGATTTCTTCTGTGATCCAATTCTATTTTAGAAGTATGTTGTTTCATCTTCAGGTATTTGGGGATTTTGCAGCTATCTTTCGGTTATTTATTCCTAATTGTGCTCTGAGAGCAGACATTGTATGATTTCTATTGTTTAAATTTGTTAAGGCATATTTTATAGCCCAAAATGTGGTCTACCTTGGTGGATGTTACATATGAGTTTGAGAAGAATGTGCATTGTGCTATTGCAGGATAAAATTGTCTATAGATGTCAATTATATCCTCTTGATTGATGGTGCTGTTGAGTTCAAGTTCAACCACGTTCTTGCTGATTTTCTGCCTTCTGGAACTGTTCCTTTCTAATAGGGGGGTGTTAAAGTCTCCAGTTACACTGGTGGATTTATCTATATCTCCTTGAGGCTCTATTGGTTTGTGCCTCATGCAGTTCAATGCTCTGTTGTTAGGTACCTCTGTATTAACAATTATTATATCTTCTTAGAGTATTGACCTCTTTATCATTATATAATGCCTCTCTATTCCTGATACTTTCATTGCTTTGAAGTCTACTCTGTCTGAAATTATTATATAGCTACTCCAGCTTTCTTTTGATTGGTGTTAGCATGAGCTACCTTTCTCTACTCTTTTCCCTTTATCCTATATATCTTTATATTTAAAGTGGGTTTCTTTTGGACAGCATATAGTTGAGTCTTGTTTTCTGACCCACTCTGATAATCATTGTCTCTTAATTGGTATATTTAGACCATTGACATTTAAAGTAATTATTGATATAATTGAATTAATATCTATTATATTTGTTACTGTTTCCTATTTGTTGTCTTTGGTTTTTTGTTCCTAATTTTGTCTTCTACACTTTTTCTGACTTTTGATGCTTTACTTGAGCACCTTATACAATTTCAGCCTCTCTCCATTCTTAACATATCGGTTATACTCATTTTTCAAGAGTTTGCAACATACATTCACAACGAATCCAAGTCTACTTTTCAATAACACTATACCTCTTCATTGTTAGTGCAACTACCTTGTAATGACAAAATATTCCAAATTCCTCCCTCCTGACCCTGTATCATTGAAGTCATTATTTTCACTTATGCATATGTGTGTGTGCCTGTGTGTATGTAATCAAATACATTGTTGCTGTTATTATTTTAAACAAATTCTTATCAGTTAACACAATTTGAAATAAGAAAAACAGAAGTTTTCATTTTAATTTCAATTATTTATTCTCTGATGCTCTTTGTGTAGAGCTGAACTTCTGCTACATTATCATTTTCCTTCTCCCTGAAGAACTTCTTTCAACATTTCTTTCAAGGCAGGTCTACTGACACCAAAATTTCTCAATTTTTGTTTGAGAAAGTATTTATCTCTCACATTTAAAGGATAATTTTGCAGGGTACAGAATTCTAGATTGGTGGGGTTTTTTTCTGTTATACTTTCACTCTCTTCCAGTTTGTATGGTTCCTGAGGAGACATTGGATGTAATTCTTACTTTGCTGCTCTATAAGTAAGGTGTTTCTTCCCTCTGGTTTCTTCAATAATTTTTCTAATTTTTGACTTTCAGAAGTTTGAATATATGTTGAGGTGTTAAGTTTTTTGGCATTTTTCCTGTTTGGTATTCTCTGACCTTCCTGGATTTACGTTTTGATGTCTGACATTAATTTGGGAAGATTCTCCATTATTGCTCTAATATTGCTTCTGTTCTCTTCTCTTTTATTCTTCTGATATTGTCATTATGCATATGTTATTTACACCTTTTGTACCTGTCTCATAGTTCTTGGACATTCTGTTATGGGTTTTTTTTTTCAGTCTTTTTTCTCTTTGCTTTTCAGCTTTGAAAGTTTCTGGTGTCATATCCTCAAGCTCAGATATTCTTTATTCAGTCATGTCTGGTCTACTAATGAGCCCGTCAAAGGCATTCTTATTTCTGTTACAGTGTTTTTTATCTCTAGAATTTTTTATTCCTTCTTAGAATTCCCATCTCACTGCTTACTTTGTTCATCTCTTTTTGCATGTTGTCTACTTTTTTCATTAAAGCCCTTAGAATATTCTAAAGGGCTTAATATCAATTATAGTTTTTTAAAAATTCTGTTCTGATCATCTCAACATTCCTGCCATATATGATCTGGTTCTGATGCTTGTTTAATATCTTCAAACTGTGCTTTTTCTACTTTTTGTATGCCTGTAATTTCTTGTTAAAAGGTGAACATAATGTACTGGGTACAAGGAACTATGATAAATAGCCCTTTAGTAATGTGGTGGTAAGCTGTGTGGGGAGAAAAAGTATTCTATAACCCTGTGATTAGGTCTCAGTCTTTTGGTATGAATTTCACTAGTGCTGCTAAGTTATTTTCCCCTCTTAGGTGGGACAGAATTCCTAGAGGTAGGTGGATTTGGGTATTTGCCTTTCCCCACATGGAAGGCTAGAGCCAGCTAGAATAGGATATTTTCCTTTCCCCAGATGGGTTCGGTTCTTCTGAGGATAGGACTTGCTAAGAACAATCAAAATGGCAAAATGGGTCCTTTTCCACATACTCTGATGGAAGCATGGGAATATTTTTTTCCTGTATTTACTATGAATTTACTATGAGAACCTGGCAAACTTCCTGGAGGTAAAACTCACAAACATGTGGTAGCTCCCTATAAACTGGATCCCCCGGGAGTTTTTAACTCTCAGACTTGTCCACACCAAGCATCCAGAAATTTGTCGATTCCAGTTTAGGTTTTCCATCTCTGGCACTGGTTCCCACTGAGGTTTCTGCTAATGGATTTCTGCTATGATAAATTGTGATTCTCTGTATCCACCTGTTCATCGCTCCAGTTTTGGGGGCAGTGGTTTGCTCTGTGATCTCTTTTCCCCCGACATGTTTAACAAGTGTTGTTGACATTTCCTTGTTTTCATTCTTTTACTTGTTGTTAGGACAGAGCAGCAATTTTTAAGTTCCTTACATGCTGGATTAAAAGCCAGAAATCTGTAATTTTTTTCTCTGTTTTTAATCATCATTCAAGACTAAATATTTGTGGTTAATTTCATTACAATGTCTTCTTTAATAATTGAATTACTTATACGTGTTTTAATATCTAAACATATGATAAGGAAAAACTTGTCTTTTTTTCTTTTTTTCCATAATGGTCAATGACAAAATGTGGATTATTTGAAATATACTGAGACTAGCCCTGTAGTCTGGTAAATGGTAAATATTCTATACGTAGTTAAAAATGTTTTGCATTCTCTAATCACTTCAGGCACACATCTATAAACACCAGTTTATAGAGTTTCATTATTCACAAGTTTCGTTATTCAAATTTCCTACGTGCATATTAACTTTTTGTCTCCTTGATCTATCATTTTCGGAGAGCTATGCTAAACATTTCTCATTACAATTATGAATTTGCCTATGTCTTCTGTCAATTTTTTAACATATACTTTGGGGCTTTGTAAGAGGGGACATATAGGTTCAGAATTGTCTTGCTGGCACATTTTGGCTTCCAACTTTACATAATGAGCCTTTCCCTAATGATTTCTCTACTTTATCTGATATTGCTACAGTATTTCTTTTAGTTTAATATTTACCTGGTTTGTCTTTTTACATTCTTTACTTTCAGTAACTGGTTTTCTTTAGTCTTAGGTGGGTCACTTGCAAATAATATATACGTGGCCAGGCACAGTGGCTCACACCTGTAATCCCAGATCTTTAGGAGGCTGAGGTGTGTGGATCACTTGCTCTCAGGAGTTTGAGACCAGCCTCCTCTTTTGGTGAGACCTCATCTCCACAAAAAATACAAAAATTACCCGGGCATGGTGGTACGCACCTGTAGTCCCTGCTACTCAGGAGGCTGAGGTGGGAGGATGGCTTGAGCCTGGGAGGCAAAGGTTGCAGTAAGGTAAGATCGCACGTCTATTCCAGCTTGGGCAACAGAGTGAGACCTTGTCTTCAAAATAATAATAATAATAAGAAGAAGTGGATTTTTTAAAAACTTTGTCCTTATTTAATCTAAATAAATGTATTTTCAGAATGACTTCTGATATATTTTAGCCTGCTTCTGATCCTCCCTACTCACTTTCTATTGTGTGATATTTTCCTTACATCCTCTCCCTTCTCTCTTTTATTTAACGCTACTGATTTAGAAGTTATTTGTTCTATTTTATTCTTCCAGTGCCAACCCATACATTTTTAACATGCAAACTTGTCTTGAATGCTAAGATTTATCATTGTTATTATCTTCCTGTCAAGCAATATAAGAACTCTAGAACTCCTAACTCTCCCCTTTCTTTCGTAACTGATATTTTAGTTTCATTTTTTTTAATTCTCTTAAACCATAGACATTATTATATCTATATTCTCTGTGCTGGTTTGGATTTCTTTAACATCTTTATCTATTTCTTTGCTCAGTGTTGCTTCTTCCATTCTATTTCTTCTCCCTACATTCCAATTTCTACTTATATCCTTTGGTAATTCTTTTAGTGAGTGTCTCTGAGAAGTAAGCTCTCTTCATTTTGTTTTAGAGTATCTATATTTAACCTCCACCCTTTTATAATGGTTTAGTTGTGTGAAAGAAAAGAAAGAAAAGTTTAACCTGACAATCAGTTCCCTCAACACTTTGAAAATATTATATTTGGCCTCCCCACATATACTGGTGCTAAATAAAAATCCACTGTCAGTCTGATTCTTGTTCCTTCGAAGGCCATTTGTCTCTTCTGTCTAATAGTTTTTCAGATTTTTCCCTCTGTCTTTGGTGTTCTGCACTTTTATCAAGATGTGCCTTGGTCAAGACAGTTTGTTATTGATTGATTGATTCATTCATTTCTCTATTGAGAAGAAGGGCTCTGTGATCCACCAATCCGAAAACACACCTTTCCTCAGTTTTGTCTTTATCTCTTTGACTCATGCTCTCTCCCATCACCATTTTTCTGTTCTTTTGGAAGCCCTATCACACTTAAGTTGGATTCACTCATTCTGTCATCCATGTGTCTCAGTTGCCTTTCCATATGTCCCATGTCTTTATTTCTCCCTGACGTACCCAGGATAGTTTCTTCAAGCATATCTTCCTATTCATAATTTCTGTCTTCCCTTGTGTAATTTGCTGTTGGTCCTATCTATTGAGATTTTAATGATTGTGAGTAGATAGATAAATACATAAGGAGATAGACAGATAATTTAGAATAATAAATACTCAAATGCTCCTTGTTTCTTTTTCAAATCTGCTTTCTTTTTTTTTTTTTTTTTTTTTTTTTTTTTTTTTTTTTTTTTTGAGACAGAGTCTCACTCTGTCACCCAGGCTGGAGTGCAGTGGCGCGATCTCAGCTCACTGCAACCTCTGCCTCTCAGGTTCAAGCAATTCTCCTGCCTCAGCCTCCTGAGTAGCTGGGACTGCGGGCATGCACCATCACACCCAGCTAAGTTCTTTTGTATTTTTAGTAGAGATGGGTTTCACCATGTTGGCCAAGCTGGTGACCTCAGGTGATCCACCCACCTTGGCCTCCCAAAGTGTTGGGATTACCGACACGAGCCACCACACCCAGCCTCAAACCTGCCTTTTATAGCATCCTCTTTGTTATTACATTTTCTTGTACTTTTTAAAATCTTTTTAATCCTCTTAAATATCACGTTTAAAAAATCTCCTTCAGACTACTCTATATGTTTGAGTTTTCCAGGTACTGATTTTTCATTAATCGCTCCTGCTGCTGGCCCTCCCCTGGCTGATTTGTTTCCTATGCTTCTCTGTGATTCTGCTTGTGAGCTTGTCTTCAGCAGAACTGACTGTTCCGGGGGATTCTAGTGTACCCTGAATTACAGTACAATCCACATTGAGGGCTTTCTGGCTTCCTACTTTGCAGTTCAAGAGACTTCTATTGTCCTGGGCCAGTTCTTATGTTACTATCTTATTTGTGGTTCCCACACTACAGAGGAAGAGGGCATCTGTACTCCACATCCATGCATAGGGCAGGATAAGGTTTTGACTTCTTTGGGGGATATTTTCTTCTCTTTTTATGATCCTTTGCCACTTTTTTTTTTTGTTTGAGAAGGAGTCTCACTCTGTCACCCAGGTTGAAGTGCAGTGGATCAATCTCAGTTCCCTGCAACCTCCGCCTTCTGGGTTCAAGCGATTCTCCCGCCTCAGCCTGCTGAGTAGCTGGGACTACAGGAGCACGCCACCATGCCTGGCTACTTTTTGTATTTTTAGTAGAGATGGGGTTTCACCGTATTGGCCGGGCTGGTCTCGAACTGCTGACCTCGTGATCCACCTGCCTCAGCCTCTCAAAGTGCTGGGATTACAGGTGTGAGCCACCGTGCCTGACTGATCCTTTGCCACTCTTAAAGCCCCATATTGTGGAGTTTCTGCCTGCTGCTCTCGGCTGGAGGTAGGGGTGAATTATTTCAGTCTATGTGATCCAGGAGCACTTTACAGAGTGAGGGGGAGGAGGAGGGCTTGTTTCTGAGCCCTTTGCTTTGTGACAGATCTGGTTGCCCATGGTGCTAGGACCCCAGACCCCAGCCTCAGGATTTGTGTCTGCTCTGGCCCTGAGGCTGGGATCTGAGGTCTTAACACCAGCCTGCTACTCTTAACGTCAGCTTCTCACACGGCCCCAGCTTGAACCTCTGTCTTCTGTCTTTGTTTCTGAATCCCGGGGATGTTCCTTCTTTTGTTCACACTGGGAAAATTTTTATAATTGTGTTTATTATTTGATTATATTGTATTCACAATTCTATGCATTTGTATTGAGAGAGGGGAAATGCTACACCAGCTCAGGCAACCATGATGCTGAAAGTCCTCCATGATTTACTATTTCTTTAGTGAAATATTTAAATTGATACATCACATGCAAAATCATTAAAAAGGTACACGTCATAAGGTGCAGCATGATTTACAGCTCAAAGAATCCTCATTTAAGTCAACACACCTGTGTAACTAGCACCCAGACTAAGAAGTAGAAAGCTATCAGCACCCTAGAAGCCACATTTGCACCCCACTTTACTCAACCCCCTCAAAATAATTGTTACCCTGCCCATTGACCCCCCACAGTAGCTTTGCCTATTCTTGATTTTTATAAAATGGAAACATACAATATGTTCTTTTTTGCATCTCACTTCATTTACTCAATATTGTTGATATGGCTTGGCTCTGTGTCGCCACCCAAACCTCAGCTCAAATTGTAATCCCCACGTGTCGGGGGAGGGGCCTGCTGGGAGGTGATTGAATCATGGGGTGGACTTCCCCTTTGCTGTTCTCATGATAGTGACTGAGTTCTCATGAGATCCGGTTGTCTGAAAGTGTGTGGCACTTCCCCCTTTGCTTCCTCTGTCTCCTGCCACCATGTGAAGAAAGTGCTTGCTTCCCTTTCACTTTCTGCCATGATTGTAAGTTTCCTGAGGCCTCCCAATCATCCTTCCTGTTAAGCCTGCAGAACTGTGAGTCAATTAAACCTCTTTTCTTCATAAATTACCCAGTCTCAGGTAGTTCTTTATAGCAGCGTGAGAACGGACGAATACAATTGTGTGTTGAGATTCATCCAAACTCTTATGCGCAGTTGTAGATCATTCGTTTTATTACTGTGTAGTATTCCATCATGTGAATAGACCATAATTTATGTATCCATTCTACTACTGATGGGCAGTGGATGGCTATTACAAATACTACTGCTATAAATATTTGGTGACCATATGGGCTCATTGACGTTGGGTGTGTACATTGAAGTGGAATTGCTGGCTCATAGGTAAGTGCATGTCCAGATATACTTGCTTAGATCCTTCTTGCCCTCTCGTACTTGTCTATCTCCCCAGCTATGCTTAAGGGCCTCGAAGGCCAGGTCTCTGTCAGTATTCACTGCTCTCTGCTCAATACCTTATACACAGTGGGTGCTTAATAAATGCTTGCTGCATAAATAAAGGCATCAGTGAACCCAGGTGGCAGATCCAGGCCTGCCTATCAATCTCACCCCACCCCTACCTGCTCCCCCACACCTGGGGAGTCAGACGCAGAAGGGGGATGATGTCTGGAGGGTAACCAGCCCTGCATGTGAGGAGGACAGGGTTGGGGGATTGGGGAGTGGTGCCAGGGGCAGGCACTTGAGCAGCTGAGCAGACCCAGCCTGGCACTGGCTGCTGGTGTCTCCAGCCTTGGACACATTCGCAATGCAGAGCTCCTCACCTTCCCATTGGGCCACAACATCTTTTGAAATAGCCAAAACGTGTGACCTTCAGCCATGCCACAGCAGAGTCTTGGCCACCAGAAAATTCAACTGGACATGTACCTTTGCTTAACGCAGGATTTCAGGGAGCCTAGAGAGGAGGTTTTTGTTCCCAGTCTCCTATCATTTTCAGAAATGTCGAAAACGCTGACAGGTCTGGGAGAGGAAGCAATTCCCCTTTGAGCTAATCAATATAAGAGCCTCAAGGTGCCTCATGCCTGTGTCAAACATGGGGCTTTCAGCATCAAAGTGCTTGCAAGACTTGGTGAGTTCTTTTTTTCTTTTTTTTTTTTTTTTTTTTTTGTCTTTTTGGCCTGTCAGGTTGTAAGGACACTGTACCTTCAATACATACCAAAGTCACAATGTGTCTGGTTCCTGATCTCCTGCCATGTTCTCAAGAAAGTGTGTGTGTGTGTGTGTGTGTGAGAGAGAGAGAGACAGAGAGAAGGAGAGAGGGAGGAAATGGGGAGGAGAGAAGAGGAGACAGGCAGGGTAAAGAGGAGAATAGAAGGAGAGAGAAAAGAAAGACAGACATGGAAATGAAATAGAGCAGGAGAGAGAAGTGGTAAGAGAAGGGAGAAGAAAAAAGTGAAGAATGAGAACAGACAGACAGGAGACAAGGAACAAAAAATTAGCAAAATGGCCAGAGAAAAGAAAAAAAAAGATTGAGAAATAAAAGAGAAGCAAAGAAAAAGAGAGACAGAAAGGAGTGAGAAAATGAAATAGGCAAGCGGTTCTCAAGACAGAAAATGGGAAAGGGAAGAAATGACTGAGAATGAGAGAAAGATAAAAAGAATAAAAAGATGAAACAGAAGGGAAATGCCTCAAGGGCCCTGCCCAAGAGACTCAGAGACACCCATGTTTTCTCATGACCCTTCATGATGGCAGTTGTCAGGCAGACCCCAAGAAACCCTGAGACCAAACAGCAAGGGGAAGTAGCCAGGCTCCAGTGAATTTACCTTCTCTGCCCTTCAGCATGGAATTGGGATGACCTGAAATGCAGCTGAAAATTCATCCTGAGCTCCCCAGCAGCCCCAGAGAGGAGCTGAAGCAGCAGCTCAGCAGCAAAGAACACTTGGGGCTTTGCCTTTCTGTGGAACTGAGAGTGTCTTCAGGTTGGCTGGGTTCACACCCTCCTGGGTACCAGGACCCCACTCTGTCCATATGAGCCTCTCTGCATTCATTCCCTGGGCCCACCTGAAACCACAGGGTCCTCAGAGTGAAGGTGGCCTCTCAGCTTCCAGGAGATCTAGTGCTGTCTGTATTTTGCCATGTGTGAACTTCAAATGATTTCAGGGACATATTATGTTCCCATTTGAAAGATACTTCGGTATGGCATCTCTATTACCTAAGTCCTTAGTGCTTTGTATGAAGCACAGTGGACAAACATTATGCATAAATACCAACCAAACTGAGCATTGCAAAGCAAAGAGAAATCTGATTCATTGTTTTCTACTTTTTAAAATAATATTTGTACCCCATAACATTTGGGAAAATAAGTTCAAAAACTTGTTTAGAAAAATAAGAAGAATCATACCATAGACTAATACAATGGGAATTCAAAAGAAGAAAAAAAAGATCAAAAAAATGGATAAGAATGCTCTGGGCCTCTGTTCCAACATGGCCAAAAAGGAACAGCTCCAGTCTGCAGTGCCCAGCATGATCAACACAGAAGACGGGTGATTTCTGCATTTCCAACTAAGGTAAGTGGTTCATCTTACTGGGACTGGTTGGACAGTGGTACAGCCCATGGAGGGCAAGCTGAAGCAGGGTGGGGTGTCGCCTCCCCTGGGAAGTGCAAAAGGTCAGGGGATTTCTCTTTCTTAGCCAAGGGAACCCATGACAGACTGTACCTGGAAAAACAGGACACTGCCACCGAAATACTGTGCTTTTCCCGAGGTCTTAGCAACCAGTAGACAAGGAGATTCTCTCCCATGCCTGGCTCAGCGGGTCCCATGCCCACAGAGCCTTGCTCGCCACTAGCGCAGCGGTCTGAGATGGAACTGCCAGGCAGCAGCCTTGCTGGGGGAGGGGCGTCCACCATTGCTGAGGCTTGAGTAGGTAAACAAAGCAGCCAGGAAGCTCAAACTGGGCGGAGCCCAACACAGCTCATCAAGGCCTACTGCCTCTAGACTCCACCTCTGTGGGCAGGGCACAGCTGAACAAAAGGCAACAGACAACTTCTGTAGACATAAACATCCCTGTCTGACAGCTCTGAAGAGAGCAGTGGTTCTCCCAGCACGGCGTTTGAGCTCAGAGAATGGACAGACTGCATCCTCAAGTGGGTCCCTGACCACCATGTAGCCTAACTGGGAGATACCTCCCAGTAGGGGCCGACAGACACCTCATATAGGTGGGTGCCCCTCTGGGACGAAGCTTCCAGAGGAAGGATCAGGCAGCAATATTTGCTGTTCTGCAATATTTGCTGTTCTGCAGCCTCCACTGCTCCTAGGCAAACAGGGTCTAGAGTGGACCTCCAGCAAACTCCAACAGATCTATAGCTGAGGGACCTGACTATTAGAAGGAAAACTAACAAACAGAAAGGAATAGCATCAACATCAGCAAAAAGGACATCCACACCAAAACCCCATCTGTAGGTCACCAACATCAAAGACCAAAGGTAGATAAAACCACAAAGATGGGGAGAAACCAGAGCAGAAAAGCTGAAAATTCTAAAAATCAGAGCATTTCTTCTCCTCCAAAGGATTGCAACTCCTACCAGCAATGGAACAGAGCTGGACAGAGAATTATTTTGACAAGTTGACAGAGTAGGCTTCAGAAGGTCGGTAATAACAAACTTCTCTGAGCTAAAGGAACGTGTTCGAACCCATGCAAGGAAGCTAAAAACCTTGAATAAAAATTAGATGAATGGCTAACTAGAATAAACAGTGTAGAGAAGAACTTAAATGACCTGATGGAGCTGAAAACCATGGCATGAGAACTTCATGATGCATGCGCAAGCTTCAGTAGCCGATCTGATCAAGTGGAAGAAAGGGTATCAGTGATTGAAGATCAAATTAATGAAATAAAGCAAGAAGAGAAGGTTAGAGAAAAAAGAAACAAACAAAGCATCCAAGAAATATGGGGCTATGTGAAAAGACCAAATCTATGTTTGATTGGTGTACCTGAAAGTGATAAGGAGAATGGAACCAAGTTGGAAAACGCTCCTCAGGATACTATCCAGAAGAACTCCAACATAGCAAGGCAGGCCAACATTCAAATTCAGGAAATACAGAGAACATCACAAAGATACTCCTTGAGGAGAGCAACCCCAAGACACATAATTGTCAGATTCACCAAGGTCGAAGTGAAGGAAAAAATGTTAGGGGCAGCCAGAGAGAAAGGTCAAGTTACCCACAAAGGGAAGCCCATCAGACTAACAGTGAACCTCTCAGCAGAAACCCTACAAGCCAGAAGAGAGTGGCGGCCAATATTCAACATTCTTAAAGAAAAGAATTTTCAACCCAGAATTTTATATCCAGCTTCATAAGTGAAGGAGAAATAAAATCCTTTACAGACAGGCAAATGCTGAGAGATTTTGTCACCACCAGGCCTGCCTTATAGAGCTCCTGAAGGAAGCGCTAAACACGGAAAGAAACAACCAGTACCAGCCATTGCAAAAACATGCCAAATTGTAAAGACCATCAATGCTAGGAAGAAACTGCATCAATTAACGGGCAAAATAACCAGCTGACATCATAATGACAGGATCAAATTCCCACATAACAATATTAACCTTAAATGTAAATGGGCTAAATACCTCAGTTAAAAGACACAGACTGGCAAATTGGATAAAGAGTCAAGACCCATCAGTGAGCTGTATTCAGGAGACCCATCTCACATGCAGAGACACACATAGGCTCAAAATAAAGGTATGGAGGACGATCTATGAAGCAAATGAAAGCAAAAAAATAGCAGGGCTTGCATTCCTAGTCTCTGATAAAACAGAATTTAAACCAACAAAGATTAAAAGAGACAAAGAAGGCCATTACATAGTGGTAAAGGGATCAATTCAATGAGAAGACCTAACTATCCTAAATATATATGCACCCAATACAGGAGCACACAGACTCATAAAGCAAGTCCTTAGAGACCTACAAAGAGACTTAGACTCCCACACAATAATAATGGGAGACTTTAACACCCCACTCTCAATATTAGACAGATCAACGAGACAGAAGGTTAACAACGATATCCAGGACTTGAACTCAGTTCTGCACCAAGCAGACCCAATAAACATCTACAGAACTCTCCACCCCAAATTAACAGAATATACATTCTTCTCAGCACCACATCGCACTTCAAACAACCCCATCAAAAAGTGGGCAAAGGATATGAACAGACACTTCTCAAAAGAAGACATTTATGCAGCCAACAGACACATGAAAAAATGCTCATCATCACTGGTCATTAGAGAAATGCAAATCAAAACCACAATGAGATACCATCTCATGCCAGTTAGAATGGCAATCATGAAAAAGTCAGGAAACAACAGATGCTGGAGAGGATGTGGAGAAATAGGAACACTTTTACACTGTTGGTGGGAGTGTAAATTAGTTCAAGCATGGTGGAAGACAGTGTGGCAATCCCTCAAGGATCTAGAACTAGAAATACCATTTGACCCAGCAATCTCATTACTGGGTATATACCCAAAGGATTATAAATCATGCTACTATAAAGACACATGCACATGTATGTTTATTGCAGCACTATTCACAATAGCAAAGACTTGGAACCAACCAAAATGTCCATCAATGATAGACTGGATTAAGAAAATGTGGCACATATACACCACAGAATACTATGCAGCCGTAAAAAAGAATGGGTTCATGTCCTTGGCAGGAACATGGTTGAAGCTGGGAACCATCATTCTCAGCAAACTATCACAAGGACAGAAAACCAAACACTGCATGTTCTCACTCATAGGTGGGAATTGAACAATGAGATCACTTGGACACAGGGCGGGGAACATCACCTACCGGGACCTGTCAGAGGGTGGGGGGCTGGAGGAGGGATAGCATTAGGAGAAATAATATAAATGACAAGTTGATGGGTGCAGCAAACCAACGTGGCACATGTATACCTATGTATCAAATCTGCATGTTGTGCACATGTACCCTAGTACTTAACATATAATAAAAAATAAAAATAAAAATAATTCAGAGGAAAATGGAATCAGCTTTTAAAAAAAAAAGAATGCTCTGGCATGAGAAATAAAATCTCACTTGGAACTTTCTAGAGGCCTGGGAAAAGGAATAAAAATAAAATTAATTAAAAAATAAGTTGCAAACCCTTTTCAGAAAATTTTCTTAATGTTGGCCAAATATGTCCTTACTCTCCATTTTGAAATAAATGTATCAAATGGGACTTCACTTAGAGACTAAAGATTGAATTTATGAACAATGCCTTCAAAGGAGCAACATTCGTAGTACTGTTTTAAAATGGCATCACTTCAGTAAATACAATTCTGCAAAAATATATCCTTATGTGATCTAATTCTGTTCCTTGCAAGTATTTGCTAGAGTGCTTTTTCTTGTTGCTTTGTTTTCAGTTGCTGAACAATCTTAGTTTTGCGATTTTGGGGGAGAGACTGAAGACAAACTGTTAAGAAACAGTGAGAAAGACACATATTTGTACCTAGCAGTTAAAATCTTACTTAAGGATTTAAAATATATTTTATAGTCCAGGTGCAGTGGCTTATGTGTGTAATCCCAGCACTTCGTGAGGCCAAGGTGGCTGGATTGCTTTAGCCCAGGAGTTTGAGGCCAGCCTGGACATCATAGCAAGACTCTTTCTCTTAAAAAAATTTTTTTTAATTAGCTAGAGGCTGAGGCAGGAGGATTGTTTGAGCCTGGGAAGTCAAGACTGCAATGAGCAATGATCACACTGCTGCACTCCAGCCTGGGCAACAGGGTGAGACCTTGCCTCCAAAATAAAATAAAACAAATCTTATAATATATATAAAATAAAATATATTATGTAAAATATATAATAAGATATATATGTGGACATGTATTTGTGTAGATGTATATGTTTTGTTCTTGAATGTTGCAATTACTCATTCATTATGGAGAACTCGATTTTGAACAAGGAAAGGAACCTTTCGTGAAAACACATATTAATCCTTCAATTAACTCTGCATAATGATAAAGGCCTTTGGCTGGGCAGACCATACACCCTAGGCCTGCTTCTCCCTGTGCCAACCATGCCGACTCCAGGCAAACGAGTTCAACCTGAAGCCCAGGGACGTGCGAGCAGAAGTCGGCTAAGTGTCTTAGAGTAGGTGTTTTACCTTTAATAACTCCATGGCGTAATTATGCAGGAATTTGTCCAAGCCTTTTTTGAAACTATTTATACATTCAGCATTTACCAAATCAGGGGGGAGGGGGGATGAAAAAAAACAGAGAGATTTTAATCTCATGCGATTTATTTTTTTTTTTTTTTGTCCTAAAATGACTTAAAGAGAAACGGGTTGGGTTAGTGGCAAATTGTCCTGCACTGAGAGCATGCTGTGTGCCAGGCACCACGCTGGGGGCTTCATAAACAGCCTCTCATTTAATCCTCGTAACACCCCTACATGGTAGGGATCACCATAACATTTCACGGATGAGGAACTGGGCTCAGAGAGGTCCTGGCAGTTGCCCAAGGTCATTCAGCTTTCACAGATAGGGTTTGAAACCTGGTGTGTTTGCTCTCAAAGCCTGTGGCTTTTTGCCTGACACCAGCTGTTCCCTGGGTGCCAGAGGGAACAGCAGCACTGCCTCCTTGTAACAGCCTCGCGGGAGCTGAAGTCATGTGTGTCGTCTCAAGTATCTTCTGCAAAAAGTACCTTCCCATCTAAATTCTCTCGCTTGTCCTGCTCACTCCCGAAACTCCAACCCAGTTTTCCTGGAGTTTTCAAAGACAGAGAAGTTTGGGAATATAAAGCTGTATGTTGAAGGGATCTCCCAGCTCTGAGAGTTTGTGAAATACTCAAGAAACCACAAGGACTTTCATAAAAAGGCAATTTCTGTAGCACGTGGTGGGGGGATAAAAGCCACGATATTTTCCCATTCCTTTTCTTCAGAACTTGATGAAAACATGAAACCATCCACAGGCAGGAAGCAGAAAATGATCATTTCACAGCAGGGGGCTGCTGCGGCTGTACACAGTGCGCTGTCAAGCGGGAGGGGGGCGGTCTGGGCTGGTGCCTCTGAGGGATGGTCTCTCCACAGCCTGGCAGGGCCCCTTCCCTCTGCGGGCCCTAGCACCCCCATGATCGCTGTCTCCGCGACCTCCTTGCTCTGATGGTCTCGGATACCCTGAGTTCCCTGGGTAAAGTCCAGGCTCTAGGTGAGCCATGCGCTTTGCTGTGGGGGCGTTAGGAGTTAAAGAAGCCAAGCAAATGCCTTCTGATTTCTAGCAGGAGAGGATGTTCAGGGATGCTAGCAGCCCTGAGTTCATGTGCTGCTCCACTTCTTACTAACTGTTTGAACTTGGGAAACAGCATACCTCTGGGAAGGAACATTGCCCCTCCACCTGCAGCCACTGGGCAACAGGGGCAAGCCTCAGACGCTGGTTCCCACCTCAGACAAATCGTTTGGGCTTCTGTCTTATAGGAGGGTCAGGTTTCTGCAAAAGATTGTTTTTGCAAAAGAAGCAGGTCCAGCAGCCACTGGTGCCACAGAGGAGAGCAGGATTGGAATCCACAGGCTGTGTGAGCTTGAGCAAGTCACTTTACCTCTCTGTTTCCTCCCCTGCAGGATGGGAATAGGGACATCTGCTGCATTTGGCTGTTGGAGAAACACAAGGAAATCATGGACAAGTGCCAGGTGTGGTGACACTCGTCTGTAGTCCTAGCAGCTCAGGAGGCTGAGACGGGAGGATCCCTTGAGTGCAGGAGTTTGAGGCTGCAGTGAGCTATAATGGTACTACTATACTCCAGCCTGCACAATGCAACAAAACCACATCTGTAATCATCATCATCATGATCAGAGCAAACCCTACTCAGTGGCTCACCCCAGCGTGTGATCCTATGTGTTAATTCCCTCCTATACATGAGGGCTGCACAAGCTCAGATGGGCTTATTCTACTGAAAATTCAGATAAACATGGAGAAAAGGTGGGAGGGCAGGTGGGCTGGAGAGGTGCAGTAGGGCAGTCCGGAAGAAGAGGAGCAGCACGTGGTGGAAAAAACTGAGATGGGCCCTAAGTCTCAGCAGGGCCAGGTCACTGGCTTGTGACCCCTGCAGTCTCTCAGAACCCTGAAGGCCTGGAGCTCTGTTTAATGCTCTGTCACCTATGGTCATGAAATTCTTATTATGGGATAAGATCCCTTGTCCAAACAAGGGTCTCTGCATTGTCATTTTGCACTGGGTCCTGCAAGTTATTTGCTAATCCTGAGTCTCAGCCTATGTAGCCCTTCTATGACTGCATTTCGGCTTCTGCATCTGCAAAACAGCTACATTAGATGGGGACCGAGGGAGGCTAAGGGTGATGCCTGCCCACCTCTGAGAGCCTTCCTGAGCTATTGGTAAGCACTTCCCTATGCCCAGCGAGGTGCTTGACACTAAATAAATGTTAAACACCCCAGTGAGTTTTAGACTCAATGACGCCCAAATGCCTAGCTGTGGAATAGTGAGGAGTTAAATCAAAGGAATTTGGAGCCAGGCAGACGTGGGTTCAAATCCTAACCCTTCCACTCACTGGTCATGGGACCTTGGGCAAATTCCCGTACTTTTCTGCAACAGGCTGACTTCATCGCTAAAATGAGGATGATAATAGTCTCTCCTGCCTAGGTTGTTGGATAAGCGGGGGAGTTACGTGAAATTATGTGTGTTAAGTACCATGCCGGGCATTTAAACAGTAACTGCTAACATTCGTTTATTTACCATCTGAACACCTACTTTGTGCCAGGCACTGTGCAAGTCTTTGAGGATACAGTGGTAAACAAGACAGTCGCAGCCCTGACGTGGAGGTGGAATGTAAACAAAAAAGCAGGCAAGGGTGGCAGGTGCCTTCAGATGGTGGCACACACACTCTAAGCATCTTAGTAGAACAAGGGCAAAGAGTGGGGCTAGGCTGCGGGGCGTGTGACAGTCCCTTCCCATTCAGAAATTAAACTCTCTGTGAGCTACAGCCAAAGATTTCAATCCCACTCTCCAATGCATCTCTGTTGTAGAAGAGAATTATTTTCCAGAAATTCCCAGAAGATTCCCCCACCTCTATGTCTGGAGATGGTGCTAGGTTTCTCCCATCTCCAGGAAGGCAAATGACCTCTCCCCCAGAACCCCAAACAAATTCCCCTCACCAGGAGCCCTCAGACCCCACCCTGGAGCTTGTGAGCGCTAAGAACGAGCAGAAAGGGAAATGAACAAATTATCTTGATAATTTGTTTAAGAAGGGGAAAAAAAGTCACCCAAGAAAAATGATATCCAATAAGACGGTGGGTTTCTAATGAATGTGCGGGTAATGAAATAAACCCGTTTAGGCCACGCTTGGCCCTGATCTTCCCAGGCCTAGATTAAAAAATGGAACATCTGTGATGATTTAATTTACATCTTAATAACAAACAGGCCTCGAGAAACCCGCGGATAAATGCCTTTTATTGCCGGCGTATCTTTTGCAGTGCAGCTTGAATGAAAACTCTGGTAATTAATTGTTTTAAGCGATTCTATTAAAAAGTGTCTGCAAGTGCTGCGTGCCGAATGTTTATGTGGGCCCGGCTGCCGACAGGAATACAGACAAGCCCAGAGAACAGGCGCAGAATGAGGTACCTTATTTTCTCCCCCACATTCACTGCCTTAAAGACACGCAGTCCTTTTATTTATTGTTTTCAAAAGAGTTAGATGCAAGGCCTGCTAATTTCTCTTCTATTATTTTTCAAATCTTAATCGTCAGTCTTTGAATTGACAAAATGAAGCTCCCCTCTTTATTCCGATGTTTACTTAACTCTCCTCCAATCCACACTGGGAACAGCACCCAAGATGCTTCTATTCCGAACACACTGGGATTCCTTATCTGGAAAATGGGGACAGTACTGTGACCCATCCGTCTTTTTTTTCTTTTTTTTTTTCCCAGCCATTTGGAACTACTGGAAGGTTCTCAGACGTAGTGTAGATTCTGCAGTGGCTGAGTTTTGCAAGTCAGGATTTTCTGTTGAAAAATCATTCCCCAAATTAAGCATCTCAGATGTGCCAGACCAGGTGCTGGGCTCTGAGGGTGGAGCTGTGGTTTCTGTCATTTGTGAAGCTGACATTGGGGAGGAAGTGAGTGGGACAAGTCAATAACTGAGCAATAAATAAGCATCTCAAACATCCGTGGTCTTGGCCCTGGCTGCACATTAGAATCCCCAGGGGAGCTTTTAAAGCGTAACCCAGGCCCCCATGCACCTCTCAGAGGTCCTGATTTAATTAGTCTGGGGTGGGGCCCGGCCATCAGTATTTTTAAAAGCTCCCAGGAGGATCCTACAGGCAATCAAAGTGAAGAATCAGTGGCAGGCAGAGGCTCCAAGGACATTTCCGAGGCAGTCCAGTGCCAGGAAGAAAAGAAACAGGGTCTCAAGAGGGAGAATGTGAGCAGCAATCAGGGCAGCCTCCTTGAGGTGGTGACATTCAGCCCTGTGCAGATCTGGGGAAGAGCATTCCAAACACAGGGAACAGCATGTGCAAAGTGCACTGAGTGGGTTTCAGGAACAGAAAAGTGGGTGTTCCTGGAAATGCATGAGATGGGAGGTAGGGTAGGAGATGAGGCTGGAGAACGCAAGAGGGCAGAGTGAAGGAGGCTGGATTCCTTTAGGGTAGAAGGCAGACTCCCCCTGTAGGGGAGTGACAGGATCCATCACAGAGTATGTGGCTGCTGTATTGGACTGACTGACTGAGGCTGGACTCTAGAGGTGCTAGAATGGCCAAAGGAGGCCAGTGGGGAAGGCTCTGGTCCCATCCCAACAGGTGATGGTGGTAGCCAGGAGCACCTGCTGTGGGGAAGCCAGGAGACAGTGCCTCCCCAGACAGCTGCCTTCCCCCAACCCCAGGCTGGGTCAGAGACTGTCTTGTACCCATCCCTCCCAGCCCCTGGGCGAGCCTCGTCCCAGCCCAGAGCACAGTGAAACATAATTGCCTGGCTCTGTACTGGAATGGGGAGCGGTCTGAGTTCCGGATGACAGGTGGGTCTCATCCCTTGATGAGCTCACCCTCTCAGCCCCAACCCAAGGTCCATCTGTGTGTGGGAACCCCTCCCCACATTTGAGTCTCCCCAGCTCAACCTCCGACCCAGTACCCACCCACTGCCCACCCCCTGCCCACAGGGCATCAGTGCCTTTTGCGTCCACAGAGGGGAGTGAGATTAGCTGATGAGTTTAACGGACAAGCTCAGGGTCCGTTGCCTGGTTTCTAGATTCCACCTTAATTTCTTGCTTCTGAATATTTTTCAAATTCTATTTTAACTTTAAGAATATTCTTCCCATAAACAGACTCTTTACAAAAGTGGAAATGTATCTGGTTAACAAACATATGGGGAAAAGCTCAGCTTTGTGGGAATCAGAGAAAAAGACATTCAAGTGAGGAGATGCCGTTTTCACTTAATTTTCTCACAGCACATTGTTGCTGCTGTTGTTCAGGTTATGTGTCCATCACCTGAACCAGGATGGGTGAGAAGGGCCCCCTCGTTTGCTGCTGGTGGTGAGGGCAGCGCGTCTTTGAAGCAACGTGGTGCTACACCTCAAGCTCTTTACAAACACGCGTTCCTCGGACCTGTGTCCCAGCTTCTATGGAACATTCTAGATATTGAAGAAAACGACACACAAGGAACGATGCTCCCTGTGACATTAAATATGAGCCCTCAAATGGGCAGCGACCTAAATATCCACCCAAGGGGAAATGAAAAATGAATTATGACTTGTCTATAGGAGAGGATATTACACAGCCGTTCCAATGTTGACAAAAATGAATAACAACATGGAAACATAATTGTAACATAATAGTAATTGAAAAGACAAAAGAGAACAAGACATAACATGACACAGCAAATATGATGCCCAGTATTAAAAGGAGAAAAAGAAAAAAAAGGATGCAAACGACTCTGAAAACAACAAAACAATAAAATACCCTCTAGTTGCATTGATGGGAACGGGAATTAAGACATCTCTTCTGTTTGGTTTTGTGATGTTTTTTTCCCTATGTAGTCCATCCTTTTTATTCCTTATAATAAATTATGGGGGCTGGGCGCAGTGACTCACGCCTTTAATCCCAGCACTTTGGGAGGCCGAGGCAGCCGGATCACGAGGTCAGGAGTTCGAGACCATCCTGGCTAACACGGTGAAAACCTGTCTCTACTAAAAATACAAGAAATTAGCCGGGCGTGGTGGCAGGCGACTGTAGTCCCAGCTACTCGGGAGACTGAGGCAGGAGAATCACTTGAACCTAGGAGGTGGAGGTTGCATTGAGCCAAGATCATGCCACTGCACTCCAGCCTTGGCGATAAAGTAAGACTCTGCCTCAAAAAATAAATAAAATAAAAGGAAAGAAATTATGATGTTTTCCCCACCACTTAGCCCCTTTCCACACAGAGCATAGAGGTAAAAGGCTCAGTCTGGAGCTGAAAACTGGTTCCTGCATTCATCAGCCTTGTGACTTTGGACGAATTACTCCCTTCTCAGAGCCTCAGTTTTCTCATCTGTAAAATGGGCCTAATCAAGCCTTGAAAGGCCATGGTGGGGCAATTAGGGCAAAATCAAGGTATAAGGTTCTTCCTTGCTTCTAACCTGAGCATTGGTCAGCACATATCAAATGACTGGCAATGTTATGATCATTTTCACTAAAATTAGACATTTCTGATCAAAGGCCATTCCGTTTTGTGCATGGAAAAATACACAGCTTTCTTAAATATTTATAATGGCTCTGAATCTGGGCCACAGACTAATAAAAGTAAGCCATGCTCAAATCCATGTCTCTTCCACACTTGCCCCGGCACCCCTGCATACTTCCTGGCAGAGAAAAGGATCCCTCTTCTCCTGAAGTCCTTGGTCAACCACGTGATGTCTTAAAGAAGCCCCTATTGAATGGGGACCTGGGACTGAGAGACGGAGTATATATGTAGGACAAGGCAAAGCTGTCCTAGAAGTCAGAGATCTGCGTCAAGAGTCCGAGACCAATACCCTCAGTTTCCTGAGCTGTGAAATGGGCAGATTGGTCTAGATTGTTTTTTCCCAGCCTCTATTTCCTGGATGTGCATCTGATTCACCCAGCCCAAAATAATGCCCTCCTGAAAAAAATTAGTTTATTATTAAATGTGTTTGAGCATAAACATCCCCTCCAAGATTGTATTGTTATTGTTGTTCGGCTGCATAACTTTTTTTTTTTGAGACAGGGTCTCACTCTGTCACCTATGCTCTCAGCTCACTGGAACCACCACCTGCTAGACTCAAGGGATCCTCTCGCTTTAGCCTCCTGAGTTGCTGGGACTCCAGGCGGGCACAACCACTCTTGGCTAATATTTTTCACATTTATTTGTAGAGACAGGGTCTTCCTGTGTTGTCCAGGCTGGTCTCAAACTCCTGAGCTCAAGTGATCCTCCTGCCTCGGCCTCCCAAAGTGCTGGGATTACAGGCATGAGCCACTGCACCCAGCCACATAATAATATTTATCAACCTGTCAAGAAGACTTTGGGAAGACAAAGCACAGATTACACACATGTGTATTGAGCACCTGGTGTGTGTCAGGCAGAGTGCTGGGTGCTGAGGACATAGCGGGGAACAAGACCCATAAAAAAATCCCTGCTCTTGAAGAAGCAGGCAAAAATAAACAAAATTAACATCATAAATAAATTATAGAGTTTGATAGAAGGTGATACATTAAAAAAATGGCAAACGGGAAAATGCAGGGACAGGATTGCGATTTTCAACGTGGTCTGGAGGTGTGTCCCTGAGAAGGGGACATTTGAGCAGCAACTAGAAGGAGAAGAGGGAGGTGATTGTGCAGGTAACTGGAGAAAGAGTGTTTCAGGCAGGGGTTCTCAGTGCAAAGGCCCTGAGGTAGAAGTATGCCTGGCTTGTAAGAGACCAGGGGCACTGGAGCAGAGGGAGGGAGAAAGAATGAGGACAGAGAGGTGTCAGGGCCACAGCAAGAATGTTGGCTGACATCCTATGTGTTTTATACTGGAGATCTATACATTATGCTCCTCTTCCATCCACCCCCTTCCCACCACCACGTGTATCCGTGAAGCGCAGCCATGCCAAAGCTGAGATGGCCAGGAAGGCTTCCTTCTCTACACCCAAGCCCTTGATGGAGTCCCCACACCCTGCAGGACCTGTGTTCCTGTTCCCCGTTTACAGACGGGCAAATCCAGACTGGCCAAGCTGGAAGTCTCTTGCCGCAGCCTCAAATCCCGGACTCAAGGAGAAGGCACAGACTCCTATCTAAGTGGCTCCATTGCAAGGCCAGCCCATCGTCACCGGCCACCCCTCAGAGAGACACGGTCTCCGTGACAGGGAGCCGGATTGGGGGGAAGACAAGTAACTTCTCTCCTCTCACCTGCATCTCCTGGGGACGCTCAAAGCCATTTTAGGAAAAATTAAAGTGCTAGAGTGCTTTACTCAGTGGGAAGTCAACGTATGAGCCTCATTATCCCAAGAGGTGGTGCAGGCTAAAAATATACGTTGGTTCACTGAGGGTTTTCACTAAAAGCAGGGATGACGGATTCAGAGAGTGCTGTGAAGGAAAGCTGGGAGAGGGAACTGGCCTAGAAGGAGCAAGCCACAGAGGGCAGGTGGGCCACCTGTAACCCACACCCCTTTAGGAGCACTCAGGAGGCAGCCCAGGAGAGGGGATTAGCTGACTTTGGAGCCCCAGCTTCAATGCGCATGCCCTGGCCAAGGCTTCCCAGCTCTCTGACCTCAGGCTCGTCTGTGAAATAAGGTGAGCAGTAAGCCTCGCCTCATAGAACTGACATGACGATTAGATGAGGTAATGCATGGAACCAACAAGCACGGTGTCTCTTAGCAGTGCATGTGTTTGTTCTTGTTCAGCGTCTGTCTCCCACAGGGCTGGAATCCCTGAGGGCAGGGCTGGTGTCTATCCATCCATAGCCTGGCACATTGAAGACACTCAGAGCATATTTGTGGATCTACACATCAGCTTCCCGCCTGGCCACAGGTATCTATCTGGGTCCTGGGCCAACTTCTTCATCTTCCTCAGGGTACTACAGTGGTCCTAGCAAAACCACATCAGCCTGGGGGAACCAAGAGGCGGGTCTCTTTCTCTATCTGGCATCTCACGCAACCAGTTCTTTGAGGATGAAGCTCCAGCCAGCAGCAGCAAGAAGAAGAAAGACTCTCAAGCCCTCAAAATCTGAAAAATGACTCCCAGTCCAGACAGACCTCATTCTCTGCCACCTGCCCCCACAACCCAGAGTAGACAAGAAATACAGTTTGAGGAGGGGGGCCTTTGAAACCGACATTACCAACCCAGGTTTCGTTAATCTCCCATTCTAAAAATTGTTCATTTCAGTGGGGTGGAACTTTTTATTCCTACAATAAAAGAACAATGAAGAGGATAAAAACAACTGCAGACAAGGTGGCTTCACGTCTCAGTGCAGTGAGGCTGATGGATTATTTCCTCGGTGACAGGGACAGGAGGAACAGAATAGGAGCCACCTGTGTCACTTGTAATTTTGTAGAAACCGTGCTTTTAAAAAGTAAAAAGAAACCATGAAATTAGTCTCAATAATATGTTTTATTTAACCCAACTTAACAGAAATACCATCATTCCAATATGCAATCAATCAGTGTTAAAAATGTTGAATTCAGGGAGTTGACATTCATTCTTGGTACTGAGGCTTTGAAATCCAGTGTGTATTTTATAACACATCTCTATTCGGATACTATGGTTGAAAATGTGGATGCATGTGGATCAGTGATTCCAAACATACTTAAACGTTTCCCAATAACTGCATTTTAAAATTTAAATCACTAAAATTAAATGTAACCCATTTTCCATTTAGGAAAAAAGTGCAGCTTGCCGCCAGCACAGTGTTCTTGGGGCAAAGAAGAAATGGGTTAATTTAACATTCAGTTCCTCAGGTAGGTACCACCAGCCAGATGCCACGTGCTCATTGGCCACATATGACAAGGGGTTACCCAAGAGGACTCTCAGGGGCAGGGAAGCTCCCACCCCACCCCCCACCCCCCACCCTACCCCTGAATCCTGCTTTCCCTATCTTTTAGTGTCTCCTGCCCCAACTCCCCAAAAGGCCACAGTCCAGGAGAGGTTTGTAGCACTAGACAGCCTCTGGCAGGAGAGGGTCAGGCTCCCTACCCACCCAGGAAAGCTCTCTTTTTCCAGGCCCTTCCACGGTGAGCCTGTACAGGCATGCACACAAGCACACACACACGCTCACAGGCAACACGAGTGCACGTGCATAAACACACACACACCCCGCCTCTCCCTGAGCTCAGTATAGAAAAAAAAAATGTATGAGAAAGCAGGCCCACGTGCAGAAGACCAGGAGCATTTAGAGAGTCTCTCTGTGGGGTGGAGAATGCAGCCCCTTCCCCCAAGGCAAGCCCCTTCTTCCTACCAGACAACCCCTTCACCTGGCTTCCTCTCTTCCCCCCTCTGAGTTCTGTCGCTTGACATGGCTGTCTTGAGCACTGCCCCACGCTCCCGCCACCTCAGGAGGTGGAAAATAGTGCTTTGTTGGCCAGGGGGGCAGAGGAACCCATAAGAGAAAGAAGGAGAAAGGGTGGAAGGAGACAGACAGACACAGACAGAGAGGCAGAGAAACAGAAAAAGGCCAAGACACTGGTGACCAACTTGCCACAGGGACCGAAAGGGTCTCATGGGATGTGGGACTTTCAGTGCTAAAATTGGGGAAGTCCCCTGATCAGCTCACCAAGAACCACAGACAGCAAGAAGTGATGCTTGCCTGGATGCGAGGGAGAGAGGCAGGGAGGGGGTCACAAAGGGGCTGGCAGGTGCCTCCCTCCAGGCCATGCTTATGGATGGCGTTGCCTCTGAGACCTGGGGCTCCAATCCCATAGGCCTCAATGAAGCTCAAAGAACCACCCCCCCCACCACACACACAAAATGCTCTTGTACATGACATTCCTCTCTGAACAGAGACAGGAAGGGAATACCTGTCCCTCCCTAGTGCTACCTCCCCTCACCCCACCAAGTGCTTTCAGCAAAGGAAACCACAGAGGTTTCTCCCTGCCCCTTCAGGGAGCACAGAGACCTGTTCTCCACATCCACCCGCCCTCTGCCCTCTCCCATCTGGGCCTCTCTCTCACACCCCTTCCCAGGTAGTCTTGAGGCTCCCCCTTTGAGTTTGCAGAATCCCAAACCCCAGATGGAATCAGAAGCATCAGTGGAATGGTGTGATCATCTCCCTGCATGAACCTGTGTGGTCTTCGGCAGGTGACTTGGCCTCTCTGAGCCTTCATTTCCCATCACAGTGGGGGTATAGCAGAGCTCATGGCATCACACCTACGCCATCATTCTATTCAATCCTCATTAGTATCATCCCCATTGTAGAGATGAATGGGCTCAGAGAGAACAGGTGGTGTGCCCCAGTCACACACCTCAAACTTGGCAGAGGCAGGATTTAAACGCAGGTCCACCTGGATCCCAAGCTGTAGCTTCCAGGCATGATTCTACAGGGTGACCTCCATGAGAGGCTGCTCTAACCTCCAGCAATAATTCTAAATTCCAGGATGCCTTCGGTGAGAGTCTCTGACTATAGGATCGTGGCTTCCTTTCAGACTCCGCCAACCCTAAGCCATCTATTCCAAACTCAAGCTCTTAACCACAGACCGCGCCCTCCCCTAATGAAGTCACTCGCTAGGTACCTGACCCCTCCACACTCCCAGGTCTCCCCAGCTCAGGCTGCGGTGCTCTTCATCTTCCACCGGTTCAGCTGTCACCAAATCTCCTAGGCTGAAATATCCCCAGGTCTAGATGCCTGGTGATTTTTTTTTCCCTTTTTTCCCTTTGCTTTAAAATGTTAACCACGAATGGATTTATTTCAAACCAAATCACCTTTCCCCGTTTCCTGGGGAAAGTGTGACAGTTTGCAAAGCCTGTAATTCTTCTCTCCCGAGTTAAGATTTGCTCGAGAGAAATGGTTTTCCCCCAAGTCGCACAAAGAGTGCACAGAAGAAAGGAGGGGGCATTAAAAAGAAAAGAAAAGAAAAGAAAAGAAAAAGCATTTGTCAGATTTGGAGTGCAGGCAGTGTGTGTGTGTGTGTGTGTGTGTGTGTGTGTGTGTGTGTGTTTCCAGCAGTTGCTATTTCCCATAACTTTATTTTCACTAGTTACTACAATTAAAATCACAAGGAGAAGCCGGGTGTAAATCAAATTTCCTTTAAATTTCACCAGAAAGATGTACATATGACTGTCTTTACTCAGCATGCACCAATAAAAGATATGTGGTTGCCTTTGGCAGGAAAGGCAGAAATAAGCAATTTAGGATCTTAAAAGATAAAAGATAATAAAAGTAATTAAGATAATTAACCACCCTGAAGAGAGAAGAATTTACTGCTGTAAATTTTGTATTTTGTTTCGCTTGGCAATATCACAGCTGCCACTCTGCTTAATATACAGCACATCAAGTATCTGAGAGTCTTTTGCTGTCAAAAAACATATATAATAAAAATTTTTTAAGAGAAAAGAAAGGAGGGAAGAAGGATGGGGATTGCAATTATGACACTTTAAAAATCTGGTTAATTGAGCTTAGGGCCAGGTGGGTCCCACAGTGAGGTGGCTTACACTGGCCTGTCTTGCAGACCTGGGAATTATTAATCTTTAGTCTCTCCACGTGTGATCTCTACAGCCATGCAAGAATCTTATCTGCGGCCCCTGGTAGACCTACCCCTCCTCTTGACCCCCAGTGTTACCAACTCAAATCAGCCCTCATTGTCCCCTCCCGGAACGGTTAGCTGGTCTCACTCCTGTAATACTGTCTTCACCAGCAAGGAAGAGATTACACCGAAATCTCAATATGACTGTGTCCCTCCCTGCATACCTCTGTCTCAAGTCCCCACAGGACCCTCAGGAATAATCCTAATTCCTAGTTTTATATTCAAGGTTCTCCAAGATTAGGTCTCTGTCTCAGCCCTGAGTCCCCTACCCTCCTTGCTATGTTGACACTGAGTACTGTCAAGCCTCCCTGAGTGATGTGATGTTTCTCTCCACCAGACCCTTTCCCACGTGAGCCATCTGTCAAATTCCTGCTTCACCAGTCAGCTCAAGTGTCATTAGTTCATGGGAAATGCCCATGGCTGATCTCTTACCCCTAGACCCACCATGGGCACCCCACCCTCCTATGGCACTCGGGCCATGCATATGCATGGTAATATTTATCTCCCTTTGGCACATAGTCTATTCACTTGTCTCCACATTTAGTTGAACAGCTATTTCATCCCTACTATGGGCCAGCTACCGCACTAGCTATTGTAGATTAAAAGGTAAACTCATGCATTCATTTAAAAAATTGCTTATTGAGCACCTATTACATTCCAGTCACTGTTCCAGGTACTGAAAATAAAGTGTACAAATAAAGAGACAGCACATCTCACGCCTGTAATCCCAGCACTTCGGGAGGCTGAGGCGGGCAGATCACGAGGTGAGGAGTTTGAGACCAGCCTGGCCAACATGGTGAAACCCCGTCTCTACTGAAAATACAAAAATTAGCTGGGTGTGGTGGTGGGCACCTGTAATCCCAGCTACTGGTGAGCCTGAGGCAGAAGAATGGCTTGAAGGAGGTGGATGTTGCAGTGAGCTGAGATCGTGACACTGAACTCCAACCTGGGTGACAGAGCAAGACTCTGTCTCAAAAAATAATGATAAATATATAAAATAATAAATATATAAAAAATAATAAAAATTAATAATAATAATAAAAAGAGACAGCACATTTGCCCTGGTGGAACTGAAATTCTAGTAGTAGACAGAAGAGGCAGCAGACAAGAATCCAGGAACAAATAAATATGTACTATGAGAAGCAGTGATAAGGGCTAAGAAGAAAAATAGAGTGAAGAAAGAACAGAGAGTTTAGAGTCAAGCAGAGGCATGACAGAGTTGAAGGAATGAGGCCGATGTTTAGCTGGGAGCACGGCGCTCTTGGCAGAGGGCTCAGTGAGTGCAAAGGCCTGGAGGTGGGACTGAGGCCGGGGTGTGGGAGGGGCTGCAAGGAGACTAGAGTGGCTGGAGCAGATCAGTGAGGGCGATAGTAGGAGGGCAAATCCCAGAGGACCTTGTGGAACATTCTAAGACTCTGGCTTCTCCCCAGGAAAAGGAGGATCTGTCTTACTTTCCAGCTCAGCTTGTGCTGCTCTGGGGGCGGGGGGGTGGGAGGGAATGCAAGGTGGGGAAGGGAGAAGGGAAGAGACCAGGGAGGAAGCTTTTGAAGCTGTTCAGGCTACAGAGGATGGTGACCTGTATGGGACATTGAATGGCTTGAATATCTAGCACCTGCCTGGAGCATGGGAGACTTTCAATTTGGGTGTTTGCATAAGAGCACGCATGCGCGCGTGCACATAGACACACACACACACGCACACACGCACACACGCACACACACGCACACACAATCTAAACCTGTATAGCCTGGAATTTAAGTGGTGAGCAGGGCAAGGTCTTATGGCACTGAGACAGCACATTGTTGAATTCTTACAACAAATATATATTGTGCACCATTTGTCGAACCCACAGTTTAATAAGAGAACCTCTCTCATCTCTTGCACCTTTATATCAAATACGGATGCATCACAGGTGTTCTTGATCTCTTTAATGAATGAATGAATGAGACTCGTAGGAGACACTTGTGAACAAATAGGTATAATGAGATAGCTCTAAACCAGAGAAACAAAATAGAAGCAGAGAGTATGCAAGTGCTGCAGGAAAAGATAGATGGCTTCCCAAGAAGGCAGCACCACCCTGGCCCACCATCCACGCCAGGCACACCCCATTTCTAGGTGTCCCTCTAGCCTTTTACCTCCAAGTCCCTCCTCTCTGAGACCCAGTAGCTGCCTTCCTGTCTGCATCCCCACGGAGACACCTACCAAAAGAGCCCGTCGAGCACCATGTAAATCTGGACCCAAATGAGGCGGGTGCCTCAAATCTCTCAATAATTAGACTTCAAGTGGCCCCCATAACTCAGCAGCTAATTACCTTGCTGGCTCTGTCAGCTTGGCCCTCCGAGGCAACCAGCCCATTTTCCTGGCAGACTGGCCCATAAAAATCCCTGAAGGCACATGGATTTACTGTATTTATTTATTGGGATTTGGAGAAATATACCTGGTACCCAGAGGCCTTGGGATGTGGGGACATAATATTGAAATGTAGGTTGTTAAAATGAGGGAGAATTATAAGTAAGAGGCAGCAGGACCCAGCTCTCCCAGGTAGCAGGAAAGAGGCCACTGGTAATTAGGGACCAGATTTGAATGTGATGTGGAGAAGCCATGTGAAAGTACCCCCAGAGGAGGGCAGGCATGGCCCCTGGTCCCCAGTTCCATTTGCCCAGCAGCCTAATCCCATCACAGGGCCTTTGCACTTGCTCTTCCCTCTGCTGACACTCTGTTCCCTAGACGCCTTGGCAGCGTGGCTCAAACCATCATTTGGTGAGTTCTCAACTCAGATAGTACCCTCTTGGGGAGGCCTTCCCCAAACATGTGTTTTTGTTCTTCTGAGATAGAGTCTCACTCTTGTCGCTCAGGCTGGAGTGCAATGGCGCAATCTTGGCTCACTGCAACCTCCACCTCCCAGGTTCAAGTGATTTTCCTGCCTCAGCCTCTTGAGTAGCTGGGATTACAGGCGCATCACAACACCCGGCTAATTTTTGTACTTTTAGTAAAGATGAGGTTTCGCCATGTTGGCCAGGCTGGTCTCAACCTCCTGACCTCAGGTGATCCACCCGCCTTGGCCTCCCAAAGTGGATCATGTTTCTAATTCTGTCCCTTGTCCAGGCTCATTAGCCCCTCACCTGTTTTAAGTTCTTCACCGAATTTAACCCATGCACCCCCCGCAAAAGTGATTTATTCATCTATTTGCAGACTTGGCTATTATTTTGTTTCCTCCAGGAGAATGTGTCTCCTTGTCCATCTCCATCATCTTTGTATTCCAATGCTGGGCGCTGGGCCAGGTACACAGTAGTGACTCAGGTATTTGTTGTGTGAGTATAGGATCAGATGTTACAGACTGGGGATGGTGGCCTCTGGCTTTTGCTCATTCCCCTTCTTCTGACTGCAACACCCTTCTCGGTCAGTTCAAAGCATTATTTCATTGGATTTCATAGCCACCCAATGAGATGAGCATTCTTCCTATCCCCATTTTAAAGGTTAGGACATTGAGGTTCCAAGAGGTTAAGGAATTTCACTATGAACTGCGGTTGTTCAGGGAGAAAGGCATAGCAGTAGAGGTTGAACCAGGTGTGACTGTCTCCACAACCCCTCTTGTCAGCCATTGCTCAAGGGGTGGTGAGGGTACAGTGCCTGGTCTTGGATAGCCACAGCCCTCCAACGTGCAGGGTCAGAGCCATCTGAGGCTCCACAGATATGTGCTGAGAGGGCGCCCTTCACACTTCCAGCAAAGAGAGGCCCTGGGAATCATTTAGTCCACCCTCTCATGGTACATATAGGGAAATGATGGTTTCCCCATATTGCCCCCATATTGCCTGAGGTCACAATGTGTTTTTGTGGCAGAGCAGGGACCAGCATGAAAGTAGAATTTGGAGTTCCACCAGCCTGGATTGGGCTCCTGGGCCCTGCCCATTTCCTTAACCTCTCGGAGACTCAGTCTTCTCATCTGTAGAATGAGGAGAGTCAGGTCAGCCTGGAGGGAATAGTGATGAGAAAGCACACATGAAGCACGCCCAGGCACATAGTAAATGTTCAGTAGGTAATGACAGAGGGCACGTATTGAGCACATTCTTCAGGCGAGACCCCACGCTAAGCACTTTACAGGCGGCATCTCATTTCGTCTTCACCACAGGTGTGAGGAAGTTAGCATCCTTAGTTCAAGTTTACAGAGAGTAAGTCAAGCTCAGAGGCATTAGTCACTTGCCTGAGATCATACAGCCACCCAATGGGAGAGCCAGAATTTGAACCTGGCTCGATCTGACCTCAGAATCTGCATTCTCTGTCATCCTACTGGAATGGTGGTTTCCTCATATATAAAATGGGAAGAGCCAGGCCAGTGGTCATCTTGCAAACCACTGCTGTATGCAAGGCTGACAGTTGGAATAGGGCATAGATGGGTAAATGGAAAGGAGGATTGAAGGGTGAGGGGTGGGTGGGCAGATGCATGGATGGATGGAGTGGTGGATGGGTCAATGGGTTGATAAATGGGTGAGTGGAAGAGTTGATGGGTGGATAATAAATACGTAGATGGGTATCTGAGTGGGTGAACAGGTGGATATTTGTGGATGGGTGAACAACTGGATACTGGGTAGGTGGATGGATCGTTGAGTGAGTGAGTGGTTGGATGGATGAATGGATGGATGGATAGATAGATGGTGAGTGAATTGATGGATAGGTGGGTGGGTGTTTGAGTGGTTGAATGGGTGGATACACAGATATTAGTGGGTGGGTGAATGGATAGATAATGGATGGGCAGATGGATAGTTGAGTGAGTGAGCAGATGGATGAGGGATGAGTAGATGGCTGGCTGGATGATGTGTGGGTAGATGGATGGTTGGGTGAGTGGATGGATGGATGAATGGATGAATGAGTGGGTAGATAGATGGGTAAATCGGTATGTGAGCAGGTGAAAGAGTGGGTAGACGAATGGATGGATATTGGTGTGTGGTAGATTGATGGTTGGGTGAGTGGATGCATGGATGGATGAATGATGGGTGGGTGAGTGGATGCATGGATGGATGAATGATGGGTGGGTGAATGAATGGATGTATGGGTGGGTAAGTGGATGAATGTATGGATGGATAGATGAGTGAATGAGTAGGTGAGTGGGTGGGTAGGTAGATGGATGAATGGGTGGGTGGGAAGATAGGCAGGTGGGTGACTAGTTGGATGTGTAGGTAAATGGATGGATGGATGGATGGATGGATGGATGGATGGATGGATGAATGAGGGTGTGTATAGTTCAGTGAGTAGGACGGTGGATAGATGAGTGAGTAGATGAGAGGGTGGGTGGATGGGAAGAAGAAAGATAAAAGTTGAAATACTCCCTGCATGCCCAAGTGTTGTTTCTCCCTCTGAAAGGCCATTCCTACCTCTGAATGGCAACTGTTTCCCTCCCATTTCTTGGTCACTACAGGCATTTCATGCACTGTCAGGTTCCCAGAACTTCAGCTAGGGTCCCACCATGTACATGCCTCTCTGCACACGCGCGCACACACACACACACACACACAAACATGCACACACACACACAGAGAGAGAGAACAACACAAAGGCTCCTCCCACCACAAATGTTCTGGAGGTGGTCTACTGGACTTCTCATATCTCAGCACAAGCCCCAGAGCCAAAGGACTTAAACACCTGGTTTTGCAAAACAAATTATTCATTCTATAGCATGTCTCTCCCAAACAAACCTAAAGGAGGGAATTATATTCTATTTTCTATGCTTCATGTTGAAAAAAAGTGTTATCTACTCTGAGTTCCTCCTACTGTTAAGTTCTTCCCCATTGGGAATAGAGTTCCAGTGGCCACCCAGGCCGAGGTGTCTGTACTTTCCCAAACTGAGGGATCTCACTGGAATTTTCTTTAGAGAGTCAGAGAGATCTAAGACCAGCTGTATGCCTCTGGATTTCACACTCACCTCACTGGGCCTTGGTTTCTGCCCTGGATTCCAGAACTAAAAGGCTGACAGTCTTGTTTCTTTCTTTCTTTCTTTCTTTTTTTTTTTTTAAGAGACAGGGTCTTACTCTGTCACCTGGGCTGGAATGCAGTGGAGCAATCATGGTTTACTGCAGCCTCGAACTCTTGGCCTCAAGCAATTCTCCTGCCTCAGCCTTCCAAAGTGTTAGGATTACAGGCATGAGCCACCACACTCAGCCACATAGATACCATGTAGATAACATATGCCTCACCCATGTCATAGGAGTATCAGTGTGGACCAGCTCCCTGAAAACCCTGTGTTTTCTGGGGGGCAAAATGAGATCTCGTCGAAAGAGTGCTAAGGCAGCCCTAGGTCTTAGTTCCCACCACTCCACCTAACTTGCTATGTGACCTTGGGCAAGTGAGTCACTCACCCCCTCTGGGCCAAAATTACCTTACTTAAAAATACCTAGGTTGGTGTAAACCAGTAGTTCCCCACCTTTTATGGAATAGACATCATTCTTTCTTTTGTTTTTCTTTAAAATTAATAAGCCTGGACTAAGGATTTATATATATCATCACATATAAGCAGTGCCATGCCAACCCTGAGAGGCGGCATTTTATACCCCCATTTTACAGGACAGAAAACAAAGGAGGAGAAAGAGTTGAAGGCCAATGGCGCATGGACAGAGTCCACACTCAAATTCTGTGTAAATATAACTCTGCTGCAATAATGTGATTGCCCCAGAATGCATTTTGAAAACTTGCTTCTCTATTCTGTAACATAGCATCGGTGTCTCTCCACGTCATTTCATGCTTCTGTCTCTGCACAGTCAGTAGCAGCATTGTGTTTCAGTGTGTGGGTGCCCCCACGATAATCCCCTCTCCATGGGCATTTAGGTTGAGTCTGAATGAAAATCATTTTAAGGGCAAAATATTTTCCAGTCCTTCCCAGGGCTGGGACAGGAGGTCTTTTCAGAGTCTGTGTTTGGAGATTGTTACAACACAAACCAATGGGTATTTCCCAAGTAATGATAAGAACTCAAGAACTATGCATCTCAGTTGCTTCCATCATTGGAGCAATGGGCAGCTATGTGGTGAGTCTTGGGAGGAATCTGGAAAGCAAACAGACATGGATGTCCTGATTGTCACCTCTTCCTCCTCTTCTTCTCCCCACTCTGATTCTCAAAGCTCATGCCTGGCCCAGGACCCACGACCACCCGCCTAATCCACTAGCAGCCCTGCTTCAGTTCCCAGCTTGCAGGAGCATTTGGAATGAGCCAACCACCAGAGACAGATCCTTCCAATTTCTCTGGAATATCCACTTCTAACCCCCATAGGAGAAGAGTGGCTGCAAAGAGAAACAGCCTGGTCCTAAAAGTGGGATTTTAATGCTTACACTGCATTAAATGCTTACACTGCTTTCACTCACTGGATAATCTTGAGCAAGGCAGTTTATCCTCTGCAGGCCTCAGTCTCTTCATCTGTAGATTGGGAGTAATAATAATTTTTATCAATAACCACCCTCTCCACAGTCCTGGGGCCAGCCACATGACTTAGCATCTCAAAGCCTCAGTTTATGTGCCCATAAAATGGGTTAATAATGACAACAGGCCTCACTGTGTTACTCTGAAACTTTTTTCTCTCTCTCTTTTTGAGACTCTGGAGTCTCACTCTGTCACCCAGGCTGGAGTACAGCGGTGAGATCTAGGCTCACTGCAACCTCCTCCTCCCGGGTTCAAGCGATTCTCCTGCCTCAGCCTCTGGAGCAGCTGGGATTACAGGCATGCACCACAGCGCCCAGCTAATTTTCGTATTTTTAGTAGAGACGGGGTTGCACCATGCTGGCCGGGCTGGTCTCCAACTCCTGACCTCAAGTGATCTGTCCGCCTCAGCCTCTCAAAGTGCTGCGATTAGAGGCGTGAGCCACCGCATCTGGCCAGTCTGAAACTTCAATACAGTCACAGATACCAGAGGCCAGCAAAAGTTTTCAGTAAAGGACGAAATAGTAAATATTTTCAGGCCAGATGTCCTCTGTTGCAACTTCTCAACTCCGCCACTGTGGCATGACAAAGAGCAACGTTAGATGAAACGTAAAAGAATGAATTTGGCTGTGTTCCAATCAAAATGTATTTATGGACACCGAAATTTGAATTTCATATATTTTTTATGTGTCACAGAATATTATTCTTCTTTTGATTTTTTTGCAGTGATTTAGATATGTAAAATTACTTTTAGCCCACAGGTCCTGTAAAAACAGATAGCTGATGTAGTTTGCAGACCTCTGATACATACATAAGTAACACTGTGCCTGGCATGTAGATCGCAGGAAATGTTCAGGTTTTTCCTCTCTATTTCCACTTAAATTTAGAACTTTAGAGGTCATTTGTCCAGTAGTATTTCCATTTCCAGAAACTCATCCATCAGACCCCCCAGAGTTGGCTGCTAGCTTTCTGAATATCAACTTTCCAGGATAGAGTACTTGCTTTCAGCCCTCAAATCACTCTTCCATCTGTGACCGGTCTATCAGACAGCGACTTTACAAGGAAACACATATTCATAGTGAACACATTTCAGCACTTCTTTACAATTTTTATCTCCCTAAATGCTCATGTCATATCCTATTATAGAAGCTGTTGTTATTGTCCCCATTTTGCAGATGAGAAAAATGAGGCCAGAGACGGGGAGTTGTTTACCCAAGGGTTGCACTGCTGGGACCCAGGCAGTCTAGACCCAATGATAGGTCTCTGTGGTGGCTGAGGTCTTTCTCCTTCTGCCAGCTTGGAAGTCAGGGCACCATCCACCCCCTGACACCCCCAAACCAACACCCCAGAGATCACACCCTAGGAGTTCCACCCCGTTGCACCCATTCCCCATGATTCAGTGAAGCTGAGCTGTTTTGCAGGCAAGAACATCATTCTTACAGGGAAGCGAGGTTTCTCTGGTGATGGTAGCGATTCGGGCGGGGGGAGCGGGGACGGGCGTTGGCAGGCAAGAAATCAGCACATAAACAATTAAAATAAGATTTAAAAAATATATATTGCTTCCTCTGCACACGCGAGCTGCAGATCGTGGCAGAAGATCTCACAGAGGCTGAGCGCTGTTCTGTCCCTGGAACGTGGAACACATTCGGCTAATTGAAGCCTCGATGTAGTGTGGCTGGCGGGTGGGGGGACTTCAGGAGTGATCCATCTACCCTGGCAGTCTCATTCCGGGAGGCAAGCGAAGGAGGCCTCCTAGAGCTCCGTGCAAGACTAATATCTCCGCAGTACATGGAACGAGAAGCAGGAACACCCTCGTTTGTTTTTTGGTATTTTTTTATAGGACTGACGTGGCAGTTTTTCCCGATTTTTCAAAGCCACACTTACTTACTGCTCTTTGTACCTCTTGAGAGAAACGGGACCCCCAAATCTTTGTCTGCTTCACAGAGTGATGGGGGAGGAAGATTAGAAGATAGAATTATCGCATTTTAAAAATATCAAATTCTCTGTGTTTTATATTTACATGCAATTAAAACAAATTATAAACGCACAGAAGGGGATAAAATGCAAAGGTCAAATCTGTCTCCTTAGAAATAGTAATCCATCCATCTGCCAAGTGTTTATTGAGCACCTACTACAAGCAGGGCAATACTGAGCACCTACTGTGTATTAGGCTCTGGGGATGGAGAAGTGAACAAAACAGCAAAGTCTCTGCCCCAATTCCCACCCTCAGAGGTAATCAATGTTAACTGTTCCCTGCATTACCTTTCTAGAAATGATTTGTGAATAATCTCTCTCTCTCTTACACTCACACACACATATTTATCTTTTTGAAATGAATTAGATCATACCAGATATACTAATCTGTACCTTGGTGTGACTTTTTCTTTAATTTAATAATATATTTGGGGCATTTCTTTCCATTTTAACAAATAAAAAATCGACCTCATTTTTGTCTAAATAGCTGTGTGATACTTCAAAGCGTGCCTATAGCAACATTTAATTAATCCCCCGTTGATGGACATGTTCATTGCCTCTGGCTTTAGTCTGTTGCAACCAATGTGGCAGTGAACATCCCTGAGCAAAAGGTCTGTTATCATAAATAAGGAAGGAGCTCAGAGATGACCTACGTGGTCGTCATTCATGTTGCTCACTTCATATGCCCTGTTCTTCTCCAGGACTCATAGTAGAACTCCACTTCCTTGCCCACTTAGAGAGAGGTGTGGCTGCGGGACTGGCCTTGATGCCATATGTCGTATTGTGCATGGAAGCTTCGGGATGGTGGTCTTCTGCTCTCTTTTCTTTCTGGGACAGTGACCAACCATACTCCAGAAGGTGACTGCTCTACCCCCCCAAAGTTCTAAACTACAGGTAATGGAAATGAGCAGCACATCCTCCAGCCAACCCACAGTGGACATGCAGTGAGAGCCAGAAACAAACATGTTGTTTTGTACCATTGGGATTTGGGGGCTGTTTGTTACTGCATCATAGCCCAGTTTATTCTGACATATACAAGCTACTACAATTTTTCTATTTCATAGACAGGGACATGAAGGCTACATTTATTGCCTCCAGTCCCTGAAGTGTAAATCTTGATAGCTCCCCACCTCCCACATGTTAGAACGCAGGCTCCTTAGCATGTTATTCAAAGCACTAGTTATTTTACAACAACCTACTAATCATTTCAGTCTATTTCCACCAGGTTTATCCTGTACCTCAGCCACATGTAAGAACGGCCCATAGCTACACATTCTCTAACTCAATTCATGCTGTTCCCTAGTCCTGGGCTGTGCTTCCCTGCCTTTGCTTCAGAAAGAACTCCTACTCATCCTTCAATACCAGGTCAAAATGGTGCCCATCTATCAAGGTTTGCCTGGCCCTCCCAGACAGCTGCTTCCTCCTCAGTGCTTCCCTAACACCTTAAAAAGCCTCCCCTATGGGGAATGTATCACACTCCTTCCTGATTTTCTGTTTATATGCCTGTTTTCCCCACCCCCAGATTGTGAGCTTCTTGAGGGCATGGATATTATCTTATTCATCTCTTCCCAGTGCCCAGCACAGGGACTGGCACACAGTGGGGTGCTTGGTAAATGTTATTATACCATGAATGAATGAATGGATGGATGAATGCATGGATGGATGGATGGATGGATGGATGGATGGATGGATGGATGGATGGATGAATGGATGGATGGATGGATGGATGGATGGATGGATGGAAAGATGAATGGATGGATGATTCTTGATCTTCCAGCCCTGTCTACTTACTGTGCTAGTCTCTCCTTCCACATTCCTTCCAGCATTTCATTGCTGAATAGCAAGTGCATGATTCGTGAGTATAAATTCTTGCCCTCAGACACAAATGGGCAAAACAGTGATGATGAATAGAAGGTTCAGGATGCCAAAGCGATCCCTTTAAACATATCAGCAAGGTCTTCACGGTAAAACAGTGAGGCCAACTGGCAGTTCTTCAAAAAGTTAAACATACCCAATGGCCCAGCAATTCCAGTCCTAGGTATATACCCAAGATAATTGAAAACAGGGACTCAAACAAATCCTTGTTCACAAATGTTCTTACCAGCATTATTTATAATAGTCATAAGTTGAAAATAACCCAAATGTCCATCAGCAAATGAATGGATAAACAAATGGTGGTCTATTTGTGCAATGGAATATTATTCAGCCATGAAAAGGAATGAAGTACAGATTCGTGTTACAACAAGAATGAGCCTTGCAGACATTATGCTAAGAGAAAAAAGCCAGTCACAAAAGGCCACATATTGTATGATTCCATTTACCTAAAATATGCAGAACAGGTAAATTCATGAAAAGCAGAATGCAAATACTAGTGATTGCTGGAGGGGGAGATGAGGATTGACTGCTTAACGGGTGCAGGGGTTTATCTTGGAGTGCTGGGAATGTTTTGGAACTAGACAGTGGTGGTATTTGGACAACATTGTGGATGTGCCAAAGGCCACTTTAAAATGGTTAATACTGCGTTATGTGAATTTTATCTTAATTGTTTAAAATTTAAGTAAGATAAACCAATAAGACAGTTGGTGCATTTCTTCCCAGCCTCCTTCTTGGATGCACCGTGATGGACCAGAAGTGAGGTAGGCGGGCATCCTGAGCAAATGGACCCAGGTACTGAACCACCAGCAGCATGGTTCCAAGGAAGACAATGCTTCCTGGGGGCAGGAAGGTCCCTCCCTCAGGGTCTCTGTGGGATCCAAATATATGAGGGAGATAGAAGGGGAAAGACAAGGACACAGATAGATAGATAGAGGGACAAACATATAGAGACCTGGAGAGAGGGAGAGAGAAACAAAAAAAGAGAAGAAACAGAGAAATAGGAAGGAGGAGAGAAGAACAGGGGGTCTTAGATGAACTAAGCCAGCCAGGAGGACCACGGAGACTCTGATTACTTCCTGCTGGGCAATATTTGGGTAAGGAGCTAAGAAAAAGGCAGAAATTCACTTATTAATATTTTTCTCCTGGTGTCAAATCCATTCCACAGGCCAAGTGGAGGTCCAGCCTCAGGCCTTTATGTGGGACCTAGGGAAGGGAGGCCACCTCACTGGCTCCTGCTTGGGGAGTGGACACTTTCAAAGGGGCTTTCTAGGATGAATGGAGGGGCCAGGCATCCCATGTCGTGTGGGCCTGCACAAAGCCTTTCCTCTTCTGAGCCTCATCAGCCTCGTCTCTAATTACAGCAAATTGTGTTTTCCAAGTTTGCTGAACAAGAAGTGCAGAAAAATTCCCATCCCCTTGAAATGGGGCAGGTCTTTGCAATAGCATAGATGAATGAATACAGCAGAAAGGATGCAGCATGACTTCTGAGATGAGGTCAAGAAAGGTACTATGGCTTCCTCACGGCACACTCTCCTTGGAGAGCTGTGATTGGAACCCAGCTGCCATGTTGTGAGGAAGCCCAGACTACATGGAGAGGCTGTGCTCGAGCATTTCACCCAAAAGCCCCAGCAGGCATCAACTACCTATGTAAGCAAACAAGCTTCAGAAGTTTCCCACTCCCACCCTTAGAGCCATCTCAGTCTGACGCTACATGAAACAGAGACAACCTGACCCTGTTGAACCCTGCCCAACTCACAGATCCACGAGCAAAATTAACATTTTAGGTTGGGTGTGATGGCTCATACCTGTAATCCCAGCACTTCGGGAGGCTAAGTTGGGCAGATCACTTGAGCCCAGGAGGTGGAGACCAGCCTGGGCAACATGGCAAAACCCCATCTCCACTAAAAATACAAAAATTAGCCTGCATGGTGGCACATACCTGTAGTTCAGCTACTTGGGTGGCTGAGGTGAAGGTTGGATTGAGCCCAGGAGGTTCAAGACTGTGGTGGGTTGTGATTACACCATTGCATTCCAGCCTGGGTGACAGAGTGAGACCCTGTCTCAAAAAAATTTTTTTTTATTTAGTTAAATCATTAAAAATCACTTAAAAGTTTTTGTTATGCTGTTGTTGTATAGCCTCAGGCAACTGGATGGATAGGAAACCCTCAGTTGCAGCACTCATGGGCTGAATCGTGTCCCCCAAAAATTTATATGTTGAAGTTCTAAACTTCAGTAGCACAGAATGTTATCTTATTTGGGAATAGGATCTCTAAAGCGGTAATTAAGGTAAAATGATGTCATTGGGGTAGGTCTTGATCCAACACAACTGGTGTCCCTATCTGCAAAAGAGATTAGGACACTGACATGTACAGAAGGAAGATAACATGAAGACAGTGAGGAGAAGACGGCCATCTGCAAGCCAAGGAGAGGGGCCTTGAAAGAAACCAACTCTGCCCACACCTTGACATGGGCTTCTAGCTTCCAAGACTTGGGGAAAGAAATGCCTGTTGTTTAAGCCACTCAGTCTGTGGCACTATGATATGGCAGCCCTGGCAAACTAATACAATACAACTATTGGACCCACTTTCCAGATGAGAAACAAAGCTCTGAGAGTTAGTGCCTCCCCAGGCTCCACAGCTGGCAAGCCATGGAGTCGGCCTGGAACCTTCCTACCTCTCAGGGGTGGCCTCATGTCCTAAACCTGAATGTAGCTACAGTCTATCAGAAATGACCCCTCCAAACCCCCAGGCTGCTACCAGAGCAGACATTACTAATTCATCCCAGAGCACTCTCACTCAGCCCAGATGTGGCCTCAGTCTCTCTAATCGATTCCCATGCAGATGTGGCCTCAGTCTCTCTAATCAAGATTCCCATGGATGGGCCAGCAATGGCCAGAGGGACACTTTTCTGGGCACAGCTCAGTGGAGCCTGCCTAAGGCTGCCTTATTTGGGTCACTCTTTTTTTTGGGGAGGTGTGCATTCTGAGGCTCTACGGGGGTCATTATGGTGCAAAGATTACCCCAGATGGCACCTGTGGTTAACTTACTAGCACAACTGTTACATGGGGTCTATAAGATAGGAAGTCAGGACTCTGCATAGAGAGTCATCCTGGCTCACGTGACCCCCAGGGTAGGGCTGGGCCACAAAGGGGAAAATTACTGATAAATATTATCTTCAAAGAAACCCTCCTCCCCTACACAATGCTAAGCCATTGAAGTTTATCAAAACCACAGCGTTGGAGTCAAGTGATTCTCATGCCTCAGCCTCCCGGGTAGCTGAGACTGCAGGTGCACGCCACCACACCAGGCTAATTTTTGTATGTTTTTTAGTAGAGACGGAGTTTTCACCACGTTGGCCAGGCTGGTCTTGAACTCCTGAGCTCAAACAATCCGCCCTCCTTGGCCTCCCAAAGTGCTGGAATCGCAGGTGTGAGCCACTGTGCCTGGCTTTTTTTTTTTTTTTTTTTTTTTAAGCTCCCTGGTAATTTTCTCAGAGGCTGAGAACCCCTGATATAAACTTCACCGGAATCTGGGGCTGCAGAGGGGTTCCTGGGTTGGAGGGTTGCCATAGCTTCTTCTCCGTTTCTTGATGGGGCAAGCCTCCTCCTACTACAGGACCTTTGCGCAGGCTGGTCCTTCCACCTCCACAGTTTGCAGGCTCCCAATCCTCCCTTAGGCCTCAGCTTTAATACCTCCTCCTTCAGGCTGTCATTCCCTGATTACCTGCCTCCCTCCCTCTTCCCTCTCACTGTTCCCTCTTCATTCCCTTCCAATCTCTTGTAATGCTTCCTAAGTTTGCATTCCGGGGCATTTTTTGTTTGTTTGTTTACTGTATTTCTCCCCACTAAACAGTGAGCTCATGTGATCCATGACTATCTCTATGCCCTTCACCATTGGACCCCCAGGGCTGAGCACAGGGCTCAGCACATACTAGGTGCTCATTAAATATATAGTGAAATAATTTAATGGCAAAAACATGCATTCTCCTTCCTCTCTGAGCCTCACTGTGTTGTGAGGATTAAATGAGTTAATTGCTGTAAAGTGCTTAGAAAGTTCCACCTCGTGTTAATTAAATGAGCTGGCACTGAGCAAATGCTGAGCACATGGCCTGACCCACAGAACATTTTCATTGCTGGTGAATAATTACCATTATTATTATCACTGTCATTGTCATTGTTGGTATTATTTATCCTCTATTCAGCGCAGAGTAGGCGCTTAATAAAACTGTGAACTACCGAAGTGATGTAGCCTTGGACCAGCCACAGGGATGGAGGATGTGGCTGCTGGAGGAAGCCTCCAGGCCAGTCTGATGTGGTGAGGATAGCATGGCTCAGAGAGGGGAATGCACTGCCCCAACGTCACCCAGCAAGTCTAAGCGAGATCCAGCCCCAGAAATCTAGGCTTTCCTCTCTACTCATGGCCGCATGCCCTTGGGCATAGCTCTTCCCCTCTGGGCCCTTGTTACATCTGTGTAATGGGCCTGGGGTTGCAGCAGGGATAGGGAGGTTAGACACAGGTCGGTCCCCAGCCCCCAAGTTTGCCCCATGGTGACATGGGTGGCCACTTGGTGGCACTGTGGAGTCACCACCGACTGGCAGCCACCCGAGGAGCCCCAGTCCAGTGCAGCTTGGCCAGGAGACCTCAGAGGGTGCTCTGCGCTGACCTCCTTCCAGGTGGGGAAACTGAGGCCCAGAAAGGGGCAGCCATGCCTTTACCAAAGTCATGCAGCTAGTCTAAGAAGACTTTAAAAGGTAGTTTATTGAACACCTACTATGTGCCAAGTTTGCAACTGTATCATCCAGTTTCCACAACAACCCAAAGGCAGGAGATAGTCTTTCCATATTCCAGATGAGGAAACTGAGGCACCAAGAGCTTAAGTGGAAATATGGGAGCAATGACAATCATGACAGTAGTGGTTAATATTGAGTAAGTGCAACACATGTAAACAATGGCAATGAGTCAGGCCAGTCCCACAACCAATCCAAGACTTGGACACCAGTACTGACCCATTTTACAGAGATGGAAACTGAGGCTCAGAAAGATGAAACCATTTGCAGAGATCACACAGCCAGGAAGTATCTGCTGCCAGGACATGTCCCTGCCCAGAGGGAACCAGGCCTAATTCCTATCTACTCTCTCCCCAACATTCCAGCCTCAGCCTCAGGCAAGCTTGGGCCAGCATAGCCAGACCTAGGCCTCCAGGGATCAGGGAAGGCTCAGCCTCTTCTCAAAACCCACAGCCTGTCTAGACCAGGCTCCTTCCTGTGGGCTGCCATCAGGGGTCTGGGTGACCACTGGAATTTGGGGGCATGAAGGCGTCCCTGCTTCTCCCCACATCGCCCAATAGCCCCTGCTCCAGATGTGAGCAAGGGTTGCTGCCGTGAGTCCTGGGATGGTCTCCAGGTCTCTTAAGGAAGAAGAAGCAGAGCAGAGGCAAGGAGGGAGACGTGGGGTGGGGGATACAGAGCAAAAGTGACAGAGAGATCATGAAATAGACGGAGACGCAGCGTAGAGACAACGACAGGAAGAGAACAAGAGAGAGCGCCAGAAAAACAAATTAAATCAAAACCGAACAAAACAGAGAGGGAGCGACAGAGCCAGAAAGAAGGGAGTGAAGAGAGGTGCATATTGAGATGGAGACAGACAGACAGATGACGGGGATACAGACTGAGAGAGAGACAGAGACTGGGAGCCAGGAAATCGCAGAGACAGACAGGGACAAAGCGGCGGGGTGCCACAGAGACAGGGAGAGATGCGAGGAGGGGCAGAAGATGGAGACCCGGGGTGAGACAAGGACCAAGGGGCACGAGAGCAAATTCTGGGGTAGCAGACCAGGAGGTCAGGCAGAGACTCAGCAGAGAAGGAAAGGCCGGAGGAGGCTGAGAAGAGAAAAAATGATCAGAGAGAGAGAAGCAAAGAGGAAGGCGACAACATACAGAGGGCAGAGGAAGGGGAATAGAGGAGGGAGGAAGACCAGACAGTCAGAGGGTGGAGGCCAGGGCACGACGAGGGTAGCGGCGGGATCAGGGGTCCTCCCACCCCGTGGACCCTGAACTGGCCCCTGTCCACTGGGCAGCCAGGGTCTTCCACCCACCACCTGCCTCCATACCCCAGAGCTTTTCCCTCCCAGCAGGGGCCTGGCCAGGGTCCTGGAGGGCAAAGGTCAGGTGGGTGGACTCGCCGGAGCCCCCAGGAAGGCATCTTTCATTTCCGCCTGCTCAGCAGGCTCCAAGCACATCGTTTGCATAAAACAATATTCCTGTGGGGGATGCTAATGCGCCCTGCTATTTTTGCCTCTCCTGGATTGTGGTTTGCATACATTTGCATACCCTGGGAGAATTAAGCAGGAATCATGTAAATGAGCCCACCAGCTTGGAGGCGAAGGGGGACCTGGGCTCCCTGCCTCCCGACAGGCTGTGCTGGCCACATCCTTCCCCTGGGGTCACCCTGGCAGGACAGGTTAACATGGAAGGATCAGCTACATGTCTCTCCCAACCTAAGGCTGCTGTCCACTCCAGGTTTGGGGTAGCCAGAGGCAGTTTTCAAAAACCCAGATCTGAGCCTGTCACATCCTTCTTTAAACCTTCCATGGCTTTTGGAATCCTAGGATGGAGGCCAAACTCTCCCTCTCCCCCATAGCCACAAAGACCAACCCCTACCAGCCCCTCTAACCCACACTCTCTTCCTCCCCAGCCTCCACCCACAATGGAACTTCCTCCCGTCAGGGCTTCCCCTCACCACACTTCTGCAAACCACAGGGCCTTTGTACATGCTGTCCCCACTGGCTGCAATGTTTTTCCTTCTTTCTCTTCACTTCCTTACAGCTAACTCATCCTTCAGACTCCAGGCCAAGTACCATTTCCATAGGGACGCCCTTCCTGTCATCTCTGACCTTATCCCTCCATGAAGTACCCTGTTAGGTAGCTGGAATTATTATCAATGCAATAACTTCCTTTGTGCCTGACTCCTCCATGAGACTGTGAGAGCCACTGCCCCCGACACAATACCTAGCGGTGCCGCCAGGTGTTCCTGGCCTTAGTTTAGGTTCCCAATTAATATTTGTTAAATGAAGGTGGCAGACCTGCAAATTTAGCCTCGAACCTGGAGTCCTCAGGAGCCCAGCCCCCAACTCCAGTGGTACACAAGAAGTTTTTAAAAATATATTAATTGAGAACCTACAGCGTGCCAAGCACTGGGTAAAGTATTTGACATATACTGTCTTGGGGACGCCTCTACATCTCTACAAGGGAGGTGTGGAAATTGTGTGCATGTTACGGAAAGTAGGGCCTCTGGGAAGGAAGGCCACCAGGTTCAGGTCACACAGCATGCCTGTGGCAGAGCTAGCAGTCCACCCCAGATTCGTGTGCCCTAGAGGCCTTAGCCCGATCGCTGCACATTTTCCCCTGACCTTCTGGGTGACACGCACCCAGCACACACCTAAGTGGTCTCATGAAAAGGTTGCATGGATTTACACAAGCACATGCAGACTCACGAGAGAATTTGAGTTCACCAGAGCGCACACAGCTGTTGCCTGGCCTATTCGTAACTACCTCATACCCACTATGGAAGTCTATGCCTCACACCTGTGTGCTCCCATACTGACCTACATAGACTCGTGAGCGCACACACACACACACACACACACATACATCCCTCCAGGCCTGCACAGACCTTCACTTAGCCATTCAGCAAACACTTCGTGCAGAACCACGGCATCTAGACTCTGTGTCAAGAGCTGGGGGTATCAGGAAAATGGCATAGATTGACTGGATCTTGCTGGCCAACTTGGGGCTTCCTTTCTGCTGACTTCCCCTGAGGGTGCGTATCTGATCCACACACATTCGAATATCCGTTCACACTGCGCAGGCTCTATTGACACAGGAATGCATAGTTCACAGGGTGCAAAGGCGTGGAGATACACTGTCACACAAGCAAACGCACGGCCTTCTGCAAGCCCGCAAGAAGCGACCACAAGGGAGTAGAGGCTGACTGATCCATCACCATCATTTTCAAGGGCAAACAACTCGACCAGGGTAATTCAGGAAGTCATTGTCTGCTACAGACCTAGACAGAGCTTGAGCAGCCACAGAGCTAAAAAGCCCATAAGTTTGACCCAGATAGGCCTAGGCTCTGATTGGCTCCTGCGCTTATAGGGTCACTTTCTTGCTGAGCCTAATTTCCCCTTCTGCAAAATGGGAATAGTAGACATTTTTTTCTCCAAAGGTCTGGGTGTGTTGGTTGCTTCCACTGTACCGGGCATATGGTAAGGACCCAATAACAGGCACTCTATAATAATTATTATTATTGTAATTATTATTATATCCCTCCTTCAAGTCTCAGGACTCCTGTGGTCCTGTGCTCTGAGCTGCCCCACTGCTCCATCCCAGAAGTCTGATACTTCCACACTGCCTTCTCCTGAGGCCAGGGTCCTGTGAGCATACAGAGGGTAAGGTTGAGAACATGTTTAAGCCTCATAGCAGGCTGGGCGTGGTGGCTCACACCTGTAATCCCAACATTTTGGGAGGCTGAGGCGGGTGGATCACCTGAGATCAGGAGTTCGAGACCAGCCTGGCCAACATGGTGAAACCCTGTCTCTACTAAAAATACAAAAATTAGCCAGATGTGGTGGTACATGCCTGTAGTCCCAGCTACTTGGGAGGCTGAGGCAAGAGAATTGCTTGAGCCTGGGAGGCGGAGGTTGCAGTGAGCCGAGATCACACAATTGCACTCCAGCTTGGGCAACAAAAGCAAAACTCCATCTAAAAAAAAAAAAATCTCATAGCAGCTGAGCAACATTTACTCAGAAAATGAAATGCTTTCCTTCCACAAAGTTCTGCCACTGACATCAAAGCTCCCACCTGCTCAACAAACCAATACCAGTTTAATTATTGAGAGCCATTTGTCTGCCAGGGCACCGTTCGGCCAGCCGGGGATTTGCAGAGGGGCCGGTGTGCACCTAGAGCAGGCCTCTGGAGATGGAAGAGAAAGGTGTGTGGACCAAGGAGCTGGAGGAGGGAATGATGGGCACCGAGGCAAGATCAGGTGATGCTTTGCTGGCCTGCTGTGTCCAGCACTCCCAACAGACTCCCGGGATATTTTGGAAAATGGGGGAAACTTTCTTTTCTTACCTCAGCCCTCTCTTTGGGGGACAGTCGTTTCTATCCGAACACACAGCCTGCATCCTGCTCTGAGGCCGAAAGGCAGAGGTGTATGGATTGTCCTTAAAGATCTCCTTGGTGCAATAACCCCGGGGCCACGTGCATTGTGGGAACAGGGAAATAATCCTTCCATTACCTGAAGCTGACAGAGGGAGGAAATCTAGCTCTTTGCAGAGATGGCCACTTGCCATCTGGGGCTTCTGGGGATAGATGGGGCAGGCTGGGGAAGGAGCCTGGGCTGAGGGAAGCTCCCACTGACCCAGCCCACACAAGAGCCTTGTGGAGTCTCCTGGTTTCCTCCTTGTCAGGAAAGACCACTCAGGGCTTGCCTATGGGGAGCAGAATTCTCCTAGGAGGTTGTCATTGCTGGGGGTGGAAACCCTGGTAGTCATGGCTCACATACCCGGATCCCCAATGTATCAAACCAAGAGAAGCAAAGAGTCTTCCATTGAATTGCCAAAGGGGTTCCAGCCTCCCCCAGTGCCTCCTAGTCCCCCATTGGAGAGCCAAGTGGGCATGAATGCCAGCTCTGGGCTGAACACACTGAGGTTCAAATCCTGATTCCACTCTTACAGACTGATTGATCTGTTCAGTCTCTCTGAGACTCAGTTTTCTCATCTGAAAAATGGAATAGTTCTCAGACCTACCTCATACAGCTATGGTTAAGGGTTAAACAAAACAGTGCAAGGGGCATGCTTGGCACATAATAAGCGCTCAATAAATGCATCTTCTTTATCACGGCCATTCTCGTCAAGCCTTGGGTTTACGCTGAGTTCACCTTGCGCAAGTTCTGATCCTGCTGTCAGCCTCAGTTTCCCCATTTGAAAAGCAAAGGGCTGGGCCCAAATGATCTTCTGGGATCCTTGCTGCTTTACCATTTCCGGTTGGAAATTCTGTCCCTTGAACTTCGTGAATTTCTCTGCCACCACAGTTGGATTCACCCTTTTTCAGGAGATCAGCCCCAAGGATTAAAAGGTTAACTTAAAAATGTGAATAGTGGCTCACGCCTGCAATAATAAATGTGAATAGTGGCTCACGCCTGTAATTCCAGCACTTTGGGAAGCCAAGGAAGGCGGATCACTTTAAGCTCACAAGTTCGAGACCAGCATGGGCAACGTGGTGAAACCCCATCTCTACTAAAAATACGAAATAATTAGCCAGGCGTGGTGGCACATGCTTGCAATCCCAGCTACTTGGAAAATGGAGGTGGGAGGATCACTTGAGCCTGGAAGGCAGAGGTTGCAGTGAGCCATGATAGCACCACTGTACTCCAGCCTGGGTGATAGTGCCCGACCGTGTCTTTAAAAAAAACAATAGCAAAGAATAAACTGCATTGATCCTCTATTAAGTCCCCTTCCTCGCCCTGCCCACAACTCCCCAAAAACAACAGTAACAGCGACAGAAATAATGGCCACATGGACACAGAACTTACTACATGCCAGGTGCTGTTCTACATACAAAAACCCCATGAGATATGACTAGTACCTCCAGTTTACATATGAGGAAACCAAGGCACAGAGAGGTTAAGCAATTTCCCCAGGATCACACAGCTCAAAGATGGCCCATCTGGGATGTAAACCCAGCCACCTGGGTCTCAACCCCAATGCCCCTCAACCCAAAGACTCAACAAAGGGTAGAGTATCAGGCACATGACAAAGCCATGAGAGGAGGCGTTTTGGGTGAGTGGAGCCTTTCAGTGCTGTAGATCCTCTCCTACTCTCGGCAGACGCCCCAGACTGGCCTCACGGAACCACGTTAAGATGCCTGCCCAGTGCAGGGGAGAACAGACAGCCTGTTGGTTTAAAGAAGATATTCAATTATCTCAGCCGCAGTGCTCGCACGTGCTCGGATGAGCTGAAAAGGGAGAATAAGGAGCACACGCCACGTCCTGTCGGAGATAATTAGAGGTAACATCACTTTTAAGAAAACAAGCCTGTGGCCAATTGTTCAAGATTGATGAAGTTGGTGGCCAGCATGGGCAACCTAGGAAGGGGACATCATCAGTCTGCCCTGAATACAGTGTCTGCACTTTGCAGAGATGACCTTGACCAAGGGCCATGGGCTGGGTTGGGTGGGTAGGGTGTGTAACTGGCAACCCCCCAGCCAACATCATTCCTGTCCCTGGGGCTGCTGGAAACTGCTGTAATGGAGACTTACGGGTGCATGTGTGGGAGTTGATGCTTGTTCCCTCAAGGTAGGACAAAGGCAGATTTCAGGCCTTGCTAGACTGTGAGCATGAGCTGGGCGGCCTCTCTGAGACATACAAGGACCTTCATCTCACAACAGTTCAGGCAATGGTTATGAAGCCCCTACCATGGGCCATGGGGATACAGCTGGAAAGTGGGTTCCAGGCTGAGCAGGCAGCATATGCAAAGGCCCTGAGGCAGCAGTAGGCTTGGCACATTTGAGGCAATGCAGGAAGTCCTGCCTGGCTGGAGAGAGGGTTCCCAGGAGGAAAGCAGCTCTTCCAAGAGCTCAGTAAATGAGGCACTCAGATGGATCGAGTATTTCCTCTGTGCCCGGTCTCGTGTTCCATCTGCCCTCTGAGGAAGGTGCCAAGATGAATCTCTTACACATTCCAGATGAGAAGTCGGAACGTCAGAGAGGTGACATCATTGCCAAAGTCCCACAGGGAAAACATGGCAGGCTGGGACCTGTTTCCAGAGCACCTTAACTGTTTCTTCTCTTCCTTTTTGTTCCCCGTCCCCCAACAGTCCAACTGTTCCTCCTTTAACACCACTCTCATAAGCCCAAACCCAACCATCCCAAGCCCCAGCTTTCCAGTGGGTCAGAGCTAGAAGTTACCTTGAAAGGCTAACAGATCCACCTTGTTCATTGCTCATAATGGGAAAACTGAGCTAGGACTGGGGGATGAGAGGGAAATAGAGGGCACACCCCTATGCTGAGAGTCACGTATGAATTCAACTTCGCATCAGCCATCACACGTGCCATTTTGAGGCACCCACAATATAAGAAGCCACTGTAAGGAGATGCTGTAACAGAACCAACAGGCTGGTTTTCTATGGGCTAACGGGCATTATCCTTTGGTTTGCCACTTCCCACTCCAGAGCCACACCAAAACAGCATTTTGGAATTGTTTTTAGGGGATGCATGCCCTCTGGGATGCCCTTTGGAAACCCCTGAATCCACAGTCACTTGAGTTTGTGAAGTGCTGCCTACTCCACTCCCTTTGAGAATCCTAGTGTGTATCAATCATCTAAGGCTCTGATAAGTCCTGCTGCAAAGCAACAAGCTTATATTTCCCTAACCCAGCATGTCCAAAATTCATCCGAACATAAAATTCTTACAAACATGACCAGAATTGGGATTTTTTTCAGAAGTGATCATGAGAAATACTGGTCTTGATAACTACGAGATGTTGAAACAGTCCTTCTGACCCTGGAGAAAAGAATTCTGAATACATTTTGGATGATGGGTGAGATGATGAAGTGATGGGGAAGGATTTAAAGAGTCAGAGGACTATGCAGAAAAAAAAGACCCAGAACAGGAAATAGTGGCTGCCTTCTAATCCCTGAGAGTCTCCCAAAGTTGACTGTGGAGAGGTTTCCCCCCCCAGTTCCAGAGAACAGAGCTAGGGTAGGTAAGTATAGGAAAGGAGTTGGAGCTTGCACCTGAGACTGGCTGTCTTAACAGGAAATGAGTTCCCCATCACCAGAGGTATGCAAGGAGAAACTGGAAGACTATCGCATTAAGGCTGCTAAAGAAAATTCCTTCTACAATTCTAGAATTTCCAGGGCAAAGGAATGCGAACCAGACCCAGTCCATGCTAAATACCTCTCTTCTCTCAATAGCGGGCAGAAAGAAACCAGGCATGTCACATCCATCTGACATTAGGAAAATTCTTATAAATAAAATAGTTCCTATAAAAGCTGTATGAGCTCTCTCCAGTCCATCTCATCTCGACAGTAATAAAACCAAGCCCGTAACTCCAGCGTCGTCTTGCCATCTACAAGAGGAAACGCTTATTTTAAGAAGTATAAAAAGAAAAGTAATTTACAGTCTATTAACATTTTAAAAAGTGTGTTAGCAAGAAGGGGGAATACATTACTGGCTCGATGAGGGATCCAGAGAGATGAGGAAAGTGGAATCATATGAATTTCCCTTGGTCTCCATTTTAACCTGGAGAACTTCACATTCATTCCAAATCTCCTAGCAGCTGTTAGCTCATTTTTCCCCCTTCCTTAAGAAGAAGGTTTGGTTGAGGAATGGTGGCCAGGAAGGATGCAATGAAGTAGGTCCATGAGGCAAGGCAGGGCTTAAATTCAGGAGTCAGATCTGGGTTCCCATATTGGCTTAGGTCCCCAGTTGTTCTATTTTGATACAAGGTTCCCAACTTCCATGAGCTTCAGGCAAGTTGTCTAGTCGTGGTGATAGTAAATCCCAGCGTCCTCTTTTTTAATGCAAAATCTTAGCTTTCACTCAAGACTTGCAAGGGCTCAGTAACTGCAGGAGTGTAACTGACCCTGCCAGGTGTGTGGCACATAGTAGGTCTTCACCTAGCATCCGCCCCTTGTCCAGCAGAAAGGATACCATTTGCATTCCCAGAACTGAGCTGAGCCCTGGGTGGGGGACTGGAGCAGGCTGGGGATGGTTTGTTTTTTGTTTGTTTGTGTGTGTGTTTGTTTTGAGACAGAGTTTCGCTCTTGTTGCCCAGGCTGGAGTGCAATGGCACGATCTCAGCTCACCGCAATCCCCGCCTCCCGGGTTCAAGCGATTCTCCGGCTTCAGCCTCCCGAGTAGCTGGGATTACAGGCATGCGCTACCACCATCGGCTAATTTTGTATTTTTAGTAGAGACGGGGTTTCTCCATGTTGGTTAGGCTGGTCTCAAACTCCTGACCCCAGGTGATCCGCCTGCCTCAGCCTCCCAAAGTGCTGGGATTACAGGCGTGAGCCACCGTGCCCCGCCAGGGATGGATTTTAACCTACAAATCCAGAGAAATACATGGAAAGAATTATAGAAGGATGGACTTCAAGGGAAAACAAATCATTCCCTCCTAGGAATGCAGCCATACATGACTAGCCTGCAGGAGGACCTGGGGCCCTGGGGGAGATGCCAGGCTGTGGGCAGGGACTGCAGACCAGGGGCATCCCAGGAGGGGGCTGCTTTCCACGTGGTTGTCACTCAGAACTTGGACAAGGGCTGAGCCCTAACTTGGGTCTTCCCCTGCAAAGCATCACAAACAAGCCCTTCCCCTTTTCACATGCACACACACACACACACACACACACACACACACACACACACACACCCTTATATCCACACATGCACGTGCACATACCATAGCTTATACATATATACACAGGCACGACCAACAATCACACACATGTGCACACCCCTACCCATCCCTTACCTACACATGTGCATGCACAAAATGTAACTTTTACACACACACACCTACACAATCATACCTACAGGCACACCACATGTCCATTCTTTATCATCCCACATAATGTACCACACCATCCCTCGTGCATGCTTCAAACGTGCATGGCAACACAATTGCCTATGTGCACACACATATGCATATGCACAGACTTAACATCTGCACCTGCACACAAGCACACTCCCAGTCACTCGCATTTACACACTTACATGTACACACAGGTGATATACCCACATCCTAATCCATGTCCCGCACTCACAGCCACGTGCCCAGCACATGCATGTGTGAAACACACAGGCATGCCACACGCACACACACAAACACACACATACACACAAATACATTCATGCAGCAACCTTCCCACCCTCCCGCCCCCTCCACACGGCATCTCACATCCCGGCCCCCTCTGGCACCCCCGGCCTGTGTTTGTGCAGCTGTTCCCTCTCCCTCAAGTGTGGGGAGGGGGCAGGAAGAGCAACATCAGGGGAGGGGGCAGGCCACAGTCAGCCCTAATCAAGAATTTCACACCCACCCCCCTACAGCGACCCGGCCCCTCTGCAAAGCCCCCACATCCAGTTGGAAGAAAGCCCAGAGCTGGCTTTGTTAACAGGCTCCCTAGGACAGCAGGGGGCCTGCTCCCGGAGCGTACCCCCTCCCTGCTCAGAGGCCAGGGCTCAAAACTTGCCCATCTTGGCGTGTTGGGCGGGGGGTGGGGGGCTCTTGAATGCCTGAATCCTGCTTCCCCCAGCTGGGTGCCCAGCCAAAGGCTGGCAGGCACCAAAAGGGCCTCTCCCCTTATCACCCTTCCCCAGGCCTTATCAGGTGGGGGGAGCAAGGCAGGAGCTGTGGGCCCCAGACACATCGGGCTGGCAGGCTGGGGTTCCCAGTGAGGCTGAGCACGTCCGATTTTAAGATCTGAATCTTGATAGGCCCATTCTCAGAAATACACGCCAGCTCCTCCCCTCCATTCTCCAGCCAGCTCAGCATCCTCAAAAATGCCTTGTGGCCTCACTTCCTGGCCTTTGTCCAAGCTCTTCCTCACTCCTGCCAACCACCAGCACCCTCTCAAAGACATTTCTCTCTCCTTAGCATGCACGACTCTTACACATCATCTTTCAGACCAGAGCAGGTGCCTCCTCCTCCAGGAAGCTCTCTCTGACTCCCTCCTGCCTCCCCAGGATTTAGTGGGCAGGTCCCTCCGTGCTCCCCCTGGCTGCCTGTTCTTCCTCCATCTTGCCCTTCTCACACTGCTGAGCCTCCATCACCATAGCAACTCCAAAACTGGCCCAAGGCCTGGCTCAAGGTAGGTATTTGCTGAAGGAAGGAGGGATGGGGTGGAACTCTGTTTCGGAGCCTCATATCCTCGAGCCTCCTGAAATGAATTAGGTCCCTGATCTTAATTTAAGAGTTAAATAATACCACACATATATTACAAAAGTTAGGTAAATTTCCCCTTCCCTCCTGTCATTACCTAGAAAGCTGCCAACTTCTAGATTGTAATTATGTACATGAATAATGAAATTAGCATATCTATCAGCTCACTCCCTGCTCATTATGTACAGGGAAGAGCCTGTGTGTTTCCATCCCAAATCACCCTCTTCTGGAGGCCCGCTGGGCTCCAGGCTCTGCAAAGACCCCAGGGGAGGGGCTGCGTGCCTACTGCACACCTGGGAGCATCTACAAGCCCTGAGAGACCTTCCTGGGTGGGGTGTTCACGTCTGATCAGCCCTGAACTGCAACTGATGGGTGGGTGGGAAGCATTGGTTGAAATTGGCATGGCAGGGGTAGGGCTATGGGATGGGGGGTAGCCCTGCCGTTGCAGAGGGAACTACCTCAGTTCCCGGTTCACTCCACATGGCTGTGGGCCAGTGGGCGGGCCTCTCTGGGGCTTCTTTCACCTGTAAAGTGGGGATGACATGTAAGTCAGCAAATGCGCTCCTAAAAGCAGCGTCAGGACACAGCAAGCTTGCATTGAAATTCTAGCCCCGCCATACATCTGCTACATGATGTCTTCTCTCTAGGCCTCAGTTTCCCCTTCTGCAGAATGGGAACAACGAAGCAAGTGTAAGGATCCCATGACATTCCTTGTGCAATGTGGAGCATTGTGCTTGGCACAGAGTGAGTGCTCCATAAACATGAGGGATTGTGGCTGTTGATGTCAAGACTGGCGTTTACCTTAGGCCTGAGGTGGACCCTCTCTCCTAGTAGAAATTCTCGTCCAATAATTGCATGGGAATCATCCAAAAAGTAGGACTCGGGCTTGCCGTGTGTCTATACTAGGCATCCCCAACTCCTCAGTCTCCTGGAATTCAGTGGGAATGCCAAGCTCTGGGCTCTCCCCACTCAACTCTGTCCAAAATATCTTCCACGTGGGGAGGAGGCCATGGACAGGTGGATAGGGAAGGACTCATCAAGCCCGAGGGTGCCTGCGTGTATGTGGTGTTTACTTATTCACTTACACACACTCATTCACATTTTCATTGCGGGATCCCTATGGGCAATGTAAGAGGCAATAGGGAGCCAGTGAATGCTTGTGAGAAGAGGAGGGCTGAGTTTAGTCTGGCTTTGCAAACTTGCTGAATATATGAATGAATGAATGAATGAATGAATGAATGAACAAGGCAAATCTTTTTACTCCAACCCAGTGCTGGGATTCAGACAGGTTACTTGGGGACCTTAGTCCAGACCCCCTTGATCCTACAGAGAAAGGTTCAGGGCCTCAGCTAGGAACACCCTCACTCCCTGACTCTACCTACCCAATGCTGCAGGGCTGGCTGACTCCTTCCCAAGCCCACTAGCACCCCTTCATAGCTGGGCACCTTCACAAGCATCAGTGCTGTCCCTGGGGCCACCAAGAAAGTCAAGGCCTCCTCCCAGAGCTTACTGTCTAGAGCTTTGCCAGCACAAGCTACTAAGCTTCTTTGCCCCATCACTCTGATTGGGGGCAAACTGTGGCCCATTCCATAGATTAGAAATGGTGGGATCAATTCCAGGGCCTATATGGAAGCTTCTAACTCAGACCCATGAGGCTGGGCATCTTCAAAAGAAGAAGCTACACATTACTCATATTTTACAGCTTCTTGCCCACCCCACCTCTATGCCTGGGCAGGACACACCCTGCTGTAAATTGATCCATGTTGGTAATAATAATAATAATAATATGAGCTAGGAAACCAAGCAGTTCTTACCTGCTCCATGCACTTTACATGTATTCCTTCATTTAACCCTTGCAAACTTAGCATAGTGGCTGGCACACAGTAAAAGCTCAATAAATGTTTGCTGAATATATGAATGAATGAATCAATGAACAAGGCGAGTCTCTTTACTCTGGCCCAGTGCTGGGATTCAGACAGACCCGGGCTCAAATTCTTGCACTGCCACTTACCAATCGGTTCCCTTGGTCAAGTCACTTCCCTTCTTGGAGATTTTAGTTTTCCTGTCGATAAAGTAGGCGTGATGATATCTTCCTATCAGGTTGATGTGAGATTTCAATGAAGCTCCGCATACAAAATGCTTGCATGACACCTAGGGTGGCCCAGAGTAGAAACAAAAGGTTTTTGTTATTGCTATTGTTGTGGATGATGTCATTGTCTCCATCTGTCCACTCGGCTTGCAGTTATGGGTCAGGAATTCAGAGACCAGAGGTCACACATTGGTGATCTGGAGACCTTGTCCAGCTCCCAGATGTATTTTGTTTGGCTAATACAGCACTTCATTGATTTTTTTAAAAAAATCTAATTAGTTGCCAATATTTAGAGATGGGGAGATTTCGCGTAAAATACACTTTGGGGTCTCTCTTGGAATTTCAGATGTTTGGACCACATGAGAATTATATTCACCCAGAGCAGCTGGGCTTTGCTAGAGCTGAGAAGAACCCACTCCCTTATTTATTTATTTAGTTATTTATTTATTATTTTTTGAGACAGAGTCTCACTCTGTTACCCAGGCTGGAGTGCAGTGGCATAATCTTGGCTCACTGCAACTTCCACCTCCTGGGTTCAAGCAATTCTCCTGCCTCAGCTTCCAGAGTAGCTGGGATTACTGTCGTGTGACACCACACCCGGCTAATATTTGTATTTTTAGTAGAGATGGGTTTCACTATGTTGCCCAAGCTGGTCTTGAACTCTTGGACTCAAGTGATCCTCCTGCCTTAGCCTCCCAAAGTGCTGAAATTACAGGCACCCGCCCCTTTAGAAAGGGTATGAGCTCCCATTCTGCCCCAGTCCCCGCCGCTCCCTGTTGCCTCACTCTTGGCCAGCTCCATTCATTTACGTAGTTTGCCTACCACTGGAGTATTTTCCATCTGGAAGCCCTGCTCTAGATTTTCTCTTCCATGAGATCCACCAAGAAAGCTCCAAGTCACAGTTAGCCAAATGGAGTTAAACAAGAAGAAGAAAAACACACACCTCACAGTGATGGTGTGGCCACTTCTCCCAATTTCACAGCCTGGGCCCAGAATGGAGTCGGCACATCCCCTTCAAAGCTCCATCATTCTGAGGATGCTGAATGCCACTTTCCCACCCATGCCCACTGGGGAAGCCCACAGAAAGCCCCCTAAATAGCCCTGATCCCTCCAGGAAAGGGGAGGGCACACCGAGAAAATGGCTCCCATCTGACCAGCCTGGGCACAGCTTCTTGACTCTAATTGGGGATGTGGTAATTAGATGATGGCAAAGTACACCCCAGGCTCAGCTTTCAGCCCCAGGTCCCACCAACAGGCCATCCCACTTGGAAAGTTTGCCTGACATTCCTGAGCCGGGCCGCCTTGCCAAAGAAAACTCAAGCGAGGCTTGTCTTGGCATGGACTCAACCCCTAGCCTCAGCAGGAAAACCAAAAACATTTACACAGCTGGGCCTGCGACGCCCGCTTCCCTCAAGAGTTTGTCAGGGCTTGGATGGCTCGGTAGACTCGGGGGGCACTTCTGAAGGGGACTGTGTTCCCGAGCACGGCCAGGCATCGCCAGCCAGACAGAAAACACCACGGCCACCCCCGGGAGGTGGGAAAGAAGACGCAAGAAAACACGCTCTGGGGAGCCGGAGAGGGGCTACCTGGGGACTGGGTTTTCATCTATTCGTTGATCACTGCACGCCTCCCCCCTCCAGCTGCAACCACATCTGCACGGGTCGTCCTGGCCAGCTCACCACCCGACCTGTGCGTGTTGGCCAAAAAACAATCCAAAGAAGCTGCTTATGGCACGCGGAGCGCCTGGGGCCCCATGCTGACAGCTCTAAAGGACCGCCTCTTCACCGCTCTCTCTTTGCACTCAACTTCCCCATCTCTTTTCCTGGCCGCCTTTCCATGGCATTCTCCGAAGCTCTTCACATTCTCTGTCCTGGGGGCACCCCAATGAGGCCCATTTGGCCTCCTGGTTCTGAATGTCAGGGACTATGAACAGGAAGTCCTGGAGCCAGTGGTTCAAAGCCAGGAGCTCAAACACATTGGTGAACACACTGGGGGTTGCCAAATTATCTGCTAAGTCCCTCGTGAATCCCTCTGGTCCCTCCATCCCAGTGGTCCCCACTGCAGTCCAGGCCACCATCGGTGCAGTGGTGACTGCAGCAGCCTCCTCTCAAACCCTCCCACCTCCACTCCTGCCCTCAGAGTCCATTCTCTGAGCTAAGGATAGCACAACCTTTATTATTCTCTCAATTATAAAACATTTAAAAACTACAGCAAAATGCAGAAAATATGACTTTGCATAATTGAATGATTCACTATCAAGCAAATACCCATGTAACCACCAGCCAGCGCAAGAAACAACCTAAAGCACTTTCTCTTTTTTCTTTTTCTTTTTTCTTTTTTTTTTTTTTTTGAGGCGGGGTCTCGCTCTCTTGCCCAGGCTGGAGTGTAGTGGCACGATCTCTGCTCACTGCAAACTCCAGCTCCCAGGTTCAAGCAATTCTCCTGCCTCAGCCTCCCAAGTAGCTGAGATTACAGGCGTCCACCACCATGCCCAGCTAATTTTTGTATTTTTAGTAGGGAAGTGGTTTCACCATGTTGGTCAGGCTGGTCTCAAACTCCTGACCTCAAGTGATCTGCCTGCCTCAGCCTCCCAAAGTGCTGGGATTACAGGCGTGAGCCACCGCGCCCAGCCAGAAGCACTTTCTTGACTCTCTTCGATTCTACTCCCTCCCTCCCCACAATATTTCATGACTATCCTGACTTTTGTGGTCATGATTTCCTTGCGTTTTCTTCAGACCTAAAAACAACATAGTTTAGCCTTGTCTGTTTTGGGGTTTTATGTAAAGGGAATAGTCATAGTAATCATATTATTATTATTTTGTGTCTGGTTTCTTCTTTCCAATATTATACAGTGAGATTTCTCCATGTTATTGCACAGAGCTATAGTCTATTCATTTTCACTGCTGTATAATATTCTTTTGTGTGAACATACCAGAGTTTTAAAATCTGTTTTACTGTTGATGTGGTTTGGGTCATTTCCAGCTGGGAGATGTTGTAAAACTAGAAATAGTCTTAGCCCAAGTACCTGGCACATAGCAGGGTTTACAGTCACAAACAGGTTCCAGAGTCAAGCACAAGTTCAAACAAAGCTGTATTACACAAAACTAAAATGGTTTGTTTTCTTGCAAGACTTGTCAAAGCCTTTAATGCTTTAAGGTGTCAATGTGCATTATGACACTCCACAAGCATCACCTCTGTGCTAGCTAGGCCCAGGTGATGCAAAGGTAAATAAATCTGCCTTAGGGAGTAAGTAGTGTGGATGGAAAGTATTGGCCTTAAAATCTGGTCATGGTTTTTTACCTCTTCCTGACTTGCTGTGCAGCTTGGATAAGTTTCTTGCCATCTCTGGGCTTCTGTCTGCTCATCTGCAAAGTGTAAGTTTAGAAATTGTTACTCCCTAAGAGCTTTCCCCTCTGACATTTCAATACCCATGGACCAGTATTTTAATTGGCCAGAAAGATTCTAGAGGACGGGATGCCTGGATCTTGAGGATTTGGATGAGTTGGGTGTCAGGGGGAGAACAGCATGACAAAATGAGTCTGGACTGCCTAGAGGTCATTTAGGGGGAAGTAAGGAGAGCAGCAAGGCCAAAATGGAGTGCTCATCCAGGGAATATAAGAGAGAAATGATTACAAAGATCAGCTCATCTCATTGCCAACCCACTTTCCATCCCTACTGCATCATGAGAACCATCAGAGACAGGCAGAGACTTTATAACCTAGAGCCTGGATTCTCCACAGGGGTGAAGTTTTCCCCTTGGAGGGCACAAAGTCTTACAGACATACATACAGTGCATAAACAGATATCCAATATATCTGTGCTATTAAAATTTCATTGGTGGGGGCAGGGAGTGAGTAGGGAAAAATGTCTGAAAGAGTTACTTAGGGGCCAATAAAAAAAAAAAAAAAAAGAAGTGAAGAAAAAAAGGTGAAGGTGATCTATAGGTTGCCTATTCAAATGCACATAGGGGCCAGGCAGGAAACTTTGAAAGTAGATGGTATAGGAGGCAATAAGGAGTGGTGGGGACTGTGGCAAACTGGCATGCCCAGACTATATATATTATAGCCATTTTTTTTAAAGAGTCATTTTGTTCAGGCCAAACAAAACACATCTGCAAGTTGGATCAGGCCTGCCATCCACCATTTTCAACTCCAGATTTAAATGAAGAATCCAGTCCAGTCCCAGCTTCCATGACCAATGCAAACGCAGCACTCATTCTGGCCCAATGCTCATGGGCTGCTGCCATGTGAGGTGCCCCTGCTCACACACACACACACACACACACACACACATATCCTCCCCACGACAGGACCAGCAGCCTTGTTCCACAGCATGCACACATGCATATTATGGGGATTAATGCTGTGTGATGCATAATTAATGATGCTGAATAAACATGCAGATTGGCAATCACCGATTGACTGCCATGATCAGATTCCTGAACAAGGGCTAATTGATTGGCTGCCTGTAATCATCATATTCAACACTATTTTCTTCAGCACATGTGCAAACAGATCCTTGTGAAAGGGGCCTATGGCCCTGTCTGTTTCAAAAGACACAGACCCTATGTTGGAAACTTTGATCATTGCTCCAAGCAAGGAGGCTTTGGCTCCTGGGCTCTTTTTCACCAGTGAGCACCAATGATGTACCACAATGGGCCAGGTATTTTACAGTCATCGAGGGAAGTGTAATTATCACCATTTTGCAAATGTACACAGAATCAGGGTGCCACGGCTATCAGAAGGGGGAGCCAGGACTCCAAACCAGTCTGTTGATTCCAAAATCCACCCTCTTTCTTTTTCCAAATAGTTTCTGACCTCCTAAAGTTGATGGCACAGCAGAGGAGAAAAGCAATTTATTTACTCATCAGTTCATCCCAGACACTGGCAATACAACAGTGAATCAAACCAGCTGCCTCCCTGGTGACAGCTATGTTCTGGTACAGATTGCATTTTGAGAGTCCCAGAGATGGTATCTCTCCATGAGTGCCTCATAGAGGAGGTGATGTCAGAGCAGGGTTTTGAGGAATGGAAAGCATCTGCAAAGGAGATTATGAGAGAAGCTCATGGCAAAGACAAGAGCAGCAGCAAATGTGGAGGTGGGAAAATAAAAGGTGTTGCCTGAGGAGAAACAAATGAGCCTATTGGGGGTCTTGTGGGGAGACCCCCACAAGACTTATCTATCTTCTAGGAAGATAAATATGTATAAGGAAAAGAGCTCAGGGCCATCTGGTGGGATCTCTGAATACCAGGATTGAAGGGAATGGAATGGGGTAAGACTGGGACCTGAGTCCTCCAGAACAGAGCAGATGCTGAGTGTCAGGGACTTCCTTGGGTCTCTGCTGACTTCTGCTCCATATTTATTTCCTCCTCCCACCAAGCGCACCTAGATGTTTTCTCTGGGGGAACATCTCTTCCTCATTTTCACCTGTGTGGCTTAGGTGGGATTGGCCCCACCCTTCCCAAAGAGTAGGACCTGCTACTTGATCAACTTTTCTCATTCTCCTGGATGCAGAGATTGATACGAGATCATGGAACCCAATCAGGCCCATGACATGAAAAGAGATTGTGCAGAGACATCAGAAGACATGGTTCTCTCTTAAGTGAGGGTTACCAGAGGGTCATCCATGACCTTTCAGATGGGACAGAATGAGGATATGAGGCCTGATGAGGCCACATCCATTATCATGAAGGGAGCCTCTGGCTCAAACTATACCTGAAGGCTATTTTACACTGGGGCTTTTCAGTTATAGAAACCAATAAATTCCTTTTTGTTTGTTTGTTTGTTTAAGCCACTTTGAGCTGGGTTTTTTGTTTGTTTTTTACAACCAAAGACTCCTAACAGATATAGGGAGATTTTACTTTTTAGTTCCTTTTGGAGAAATGTATTTAATTAAAGGTCAAAGCACAAAAGACCTTGGAGTTCTCTCCATTGTTGAGAGGAGGAGAGGGTGGCGCACAGTTTGGTCATCTCAGCAAGATCTTTTGGTTCTTGTTTTGTCATTTGCCACTCCTTCTCCTGCCCTCTCCAACATCTTCCTTCCCTTCTCCATCGTCTTCCTCCCCCTGCACATCATTACCAAGGCTCTGCTCCTCTTTTTCCAACCACCCCTGGAGGACCTGCTCATAGCAAATGACCAGGGCTTCGGTCACTTACACCCTACTGATGAAAAGTCATATTACATTTTGCAGTTGAAAGGGCTTCACAGTCATTCTCTCATCTACTGTAAATTACATGTGGTAAAAGTATAAAATGAGCTTGGGACAAGGCCCACCCCATGGCAATCCTTGGATACATGCTTATAGCCAGCCTGACCAACATGGTGAATGTTAAAACGTGGTAAAAATACAAAACTAGCTGGGTGTGATCGCAAATGCCTGCAGTCCCAGCTACTCGGGAGGCAGAAGCAGGAGAATCGCTTGAGCTTGGGAGGTGGAGGTTGCAGTGAGTCAAGATCAAGCCACTCCACTCCAGCCTGGGTGATGAGTGAGACTCCGTCTCAAAAAAAAAAAAAAAAAAGTTCAAGAGATCGATTGATTGTACCACAAGGTGACTATGGTTAATAACAATGTAGTATATTCTTGAAAATTGCTAGAGCAGATTTTTTTCTTTTTAAGACAGGGTTTTGCTCTGTTACTCAGGGTGGAGTGCACTGGTGTGATCTCAGCTCACTGCAGCCTCAACTTCCCAGGCTCAAGTAATTCCTCCCACCTCAGCCTCCCAAAGAGCTGAGACTACAGACTTGCACCACTATGCCCAGCTAACTTTTTCTACTTTTTGTAGAGCTGGGGTCCCACTATGTTGCCTAGGCAGGTCTCAAACTCCTAGGCTCAAGCAATCTGTCCTCCTTAGCCTCCCAAAGTGCTGGGATGACAGGTGTGAGCCACTGTGCCCGGCTGCTAGAGTAGATTTTAAGTGTTCTCACCACAAAATGTTAATAGCTGTATGACATAAAGCATATGTTAATTAGTTTGATTTAGCCATCCCACAATGCATACCTATTTCAAAACAATACACTGTGCATCATATGCAATTTTTATTTGTCAGTACAAAATAATAAAGCAAAGTGAGGTAATGAACATACATGCTCTAAAAGTTGGCAGGACTTGCCAGTGCCTTTACTATGTTCATGTACATTGACCATCCAGACTGAAGAAATACATGTGGCATTTCCCAAACTTATTTGTCCACAGAACCACTTAGTGTTCTGGGGAACACGGTTTGGGAAAGAGTGGTTTGGGATGGTCCCTGATGATTTCTTTGGTACGTTACAGGCTTTCCCACTTGCCAAGTGGTAGCCTCTCAGCAAGATGCATCCCTTTGCTGGACCTCAGTTTCCTCCTCTGCAAAGTAGAGAAGAAACCCAATATAAACATAGCTGGCAGCGCCCAGGTGAGGATGAGAAGTGCCCAAAAGCATGAGTCCTGAAGGAAATATGTGAATTCTAGGCCTGATCCCTCTTCCCTACCCCTGCCCATCTTGGAAATATATAATGACAGCTAAAAGCAAAGTCACCAAAAACATCTGATGAGAGACTGGGCTTGAGGGTTCCTGCCATCCACTGCTGTCTCTAAATATCTGTAGAATCTCCACATTTCAATAACTCACTTGATATCTTCACAGGGAAAGAGTCAGAGAGAGGACTCACAGCCACGGGCTAACAGTTACTATCACTTGTGGTGTTGACAACAAATGATCTCCCCACTTTGTGTTTCCTTATTTCCATTTTTTTAAATTATTCTACAATAATAAACATAAATAAATTGTAAATTTGTACCATGATTTAAACAGTGCTTTGGGACCTAGCCTGCCCTGGGTTCTGATTCTGGGGTAAACAGAACAGTCCTTTCCCTCTTAGCAGCCATTTTCTCACCTCTTAAATAAGAATGATACTCACTGTCATCTTTTGCTGTGTGATAAGCTATCTCAAAGCTTCGTGGTTTTAAAAAAAAATCAGTCTTGCTCACAACATTGTGAGTTCAGGGACTTGGGAAGGGCTCAGCTGGGCAGTTCATTTCTGACCTATGAGATATCTGCCGGGGCAAAATGAATTGGGGAATCCGCTTCCAAAATGCCTTCTTCACTCACTCACACATCTGGCACTTCAGGGTTCCTGGTCTGTCTGTCTGCCTCTCTCTCTCTCTGTCTCTCTCTCTCTCTCTCTCTTTCTCTTTCTCTCTTTCCCTCTTTCTCTCTCCTCACTCCCACAGGCATCTCATCCTCCAGGCCTTCTTCATGTGACTTGGGCTTCCTTACAACATGGCAGCTCAGAACACATAGAGCAAGAGCTCCATGAGAGCTGGGTGAAAGCCGTAAGGCTTCTGATGACCTGGCCTCAAAAGTTCTAGAACATCATTTTCGCCACTTTTTATTGGTCAAAGCAAGTTGCAAGGTTAACCCAGATTCAAAAAGAGGCATATTTCTCCCACTCTTAATGGTAGGAATGGCAAAGAATCGGCAGTCATTTTTAATCCACCACACCCACCTACCCTCCTGAAGATTCTTATGAGAACTGGATTTCAGATGTCTATGAAGGGCTTAGCTCCACGCCTGCCATCTGAGATTCTGAAAATGTGAATCTAATCAGATCGCCACCACACCTAGCTTTGATCATCTAATTCTCTGACATCTTCACCAAAATTGCCAAGTTTCTGTGAGGTTGCACCTCTGCATCTCTCTGACTGCCCCACCCACCACTCCCTCCCTTCCCATCATTCAGTGTTCCAGCCTTCTGGCCCCTTTCCCCTCTTAAACATACCACCGTTCCTCCTGCCCCAGGGCCTTTGCCCACGCAATGTTTTCTGCCTAAGATGCTCTTCTGCCCACCTCCTCTGAGCTGATTAACCACACCTCATACTTTTGATCTTCTGCCCAAAGCGTTGTCTCTTCCAGGAAGTCCATCCTGATTGCCTAACAGGTTGGTTCCCTTGCTATGTATTCTCTCTATTAAGCCCAGTGGCTCGCCATGAGAGTGAGGAGTACAGCTTATAATCACACAATCATTTGGGTTATTATTGAATTACAATGCTGTCTCCCCATGAGACTGGGGATGTCTTGTTTCCTGCCATCGCCCCTCCTGCCCAGCACAGAGCATGGCACCAGGACCCCATAAATGCTTGTTGATGGGATGACAGGAAGGAAAGACAGTCCATGCAGGAGGCCTTACCATCATTATTCTGCTGTCACCTACACTGTCCCCATCAACAGCAGTCTCAGGAACACAACAGTCTCTGCCCTCCCTTCTACCATCACTTGGGGGTCCCACTTGAGCATTCTCGATCCTCTGTGCCCCAGACAGCTCTGCCAACACTCATGCCCAATACATGCCTTCTCCTTTGGGGACGTCTGCCTGCCGTGAAATAGCAAAGACCACAGACCCCTGGGTGGAAACTGCTTCCTTTCTGCAGAGACAGCTGCTGAACAGAGCCCTGCACTGTGAGAGCCTGTGAAATCAGAAAGAGACTCTTTGGTCTGTCCTATGACTCCTCATAGTTTCAGGGCCTCTCCACCTTCCCTGGCCCTGACCCCAAGAGCCAGGATCCTTTTTGAAGAAGACCTTGTTTAGGCAGCAAGCAGGCATGCACTCTGTCCCACCTGAGGAGATACACTGAACACAGAACACATGCCCTTACACCGAAAGCTCCTTTTGTTGCACTCAGGAATTTGTTCATGGCTGCAGCTACCATTGAAAGGGCACCTGCTATCTTCCAGGCACCTCCTGATCACCCCATGAAGTGAGTACTGTAGTTAAACCAATGTTACAGATGAGGAAACTGAGGCCCAGAGAGGGGAGGTAACTTGCTCAAGGTCATATGGTTTGCAGATGGTGAAAAACAGAAGATGAGTTCAGTTCTGTTGGGCCGGCTTCTCCACCCATATGATTATGGCCTTTAGGGGTCCTGGAGAATTGAAGGGAACTGACCTAGAGTCACTATGAGAGGGAGGAAGGGAATAATAATGACAGGAAAAGCAGCATCCCCAAAATGCATCCCTGTGCATGCACATCCACACATACTCCTACAAACATGCACGCTCCACACAGACTTACACACACTTACATGCTTATGTTCACACATTCGCCTTCACATGCAAACACACTCACACCCGCTCACATGCTTAGCCACATGTTCACACGTTCACATACAATCCCACACTCACACTTGCGTACACGCCCACGTGTTCACACTCGCATGCTCACACATACTCAAATGTTGAGACTCATGCATACCTATGTGGCTACCAGAAGCATCCCCTGCCCAGGTCGGAAGCCTCACATTGGCCGGAAGTGTGGTGCCTGGTGCAGGACACAGCCCCTGGAGAAGGTCTTGGCTGCAACAGCTGACTCCAGCGCTGGACAGACACGTGCTCCAGGAAGCCAGGAGGATGCCCTCCCAGCCCTTCCACTGCAGTATCTGGGTAACAGGAACGTGTAGACTGAATCTCTGGGTCAGGTCCTCCAAGGAGGCAGAATAGGTTAGTGATCAGATCCCAGGCTTGAGAGTCGGTTGGCCCCAGGTTCAGTTCTGGCTCCCCTACCTTTTGGGGCAAGGTCCTTATACCCACTTGACCTCAGCATCTTCACCTGTAAAATGGTAATAACCAAACCATCCACCAAGAGGATCTGAGTCTAAATGAGATGAGTCCTCTCAAGTATTTGGCTAGAGCAAAGTTGGTTAGAGCAAAGCTCTAACACGTAGAGCTCTTATGTGTTATTGTTCATCGCGATTCTTTGTATGATTATTTCGGCAGATGGTTGTTGTTATTTCGCAGTGCGTGATGCCAGAGATGAGGCAGAGAGTTGCTCCTCAAAGCAAGCTTTGGCATGGCTAGGAAATGAAAGGGGAAGAAGCTGGTGTCACCAGAAAACACAGAGATTGGGGCTATTTAGCAACGGGGCCAAAAAGCGGCCTTGGGAACCCTTTGGCGTCCCCCAGGAGCCACGCCACATCACCAAGGAGAGGTCACATCTGTTCATTCCACTTCCTCAGCTGAGACCCAGGGTCAGGTCTCAGAAAAGATAGAAAAGACAGAGCCATCCTACCCCAAGAAGTGATTCTAGTTTGGTTCTAACAGGTTGCAGTGTAGAAATAAACAGAAACGTTGCCAAGAGTCTCTTGACGCCTCGGACGATTTCCTTGGGTTGTCCTTCAACTATGTTGAATAGGAAGAGGACGAAAGACACAATTAAAGCAACGTATGATTTGCCATAAATAATAAATCAATAGCCATCGGTGATTCGCCCATCTCTCTTCAACTGGGTTTAAAACAAAAAATTAAATATAGAACAAAGGAAACTATAAAGGAAATACAAGAAGCAGCGGGAGAGAGATTTTCCTGCTGTTTCTTGCCTTTAAAAAAAAAAATACCTTCCAAGGGAATCGGTCTTGGCTGAGGAGGAGGGCTGGGTGGCTCCGTGGGGGGTCGTCATACCAGCAAGCCGCCTGACTAAACACTCCCCCGCCGAACCACAGATCTTGTGCTGCACAAAAAAGAATGAAACCCACCCAGAGTGGGGCTGGGGGCTGCATGGGGAAGAGCTGAAGTCTGAGAATCTTGGACTGGACTTCGAACTCTGCCCTTTCACTGGCTGGTGACCTCACCTCAGGCATTGCTGCACTTCCAAGCTCTTCATTTGCAAAATGAGGGACCAGCTCTGTATCCCCTGGTTGGGGGCGGGGGGCGCGCAGAGGGGGCTGTCGGGAGGATGGAATGAGATAGACCAGAAGGCTCTGGAACCTTGGAGATAACAAGGGAGCTCATTCAGGTCAAATGCCATTCTGGAATGAAAATGTGTCACCAGTTTTGTTCAAAGCAGGGCCTGCAACAACAACATGTCCCTGATTGAATTCCACAGAGCTTTCCCTGGAGGGAGAGGCCCTGTGGCTCATGCCAGCTCCTACAACCATGCACAGCGCACACTGGTGCCGGGATTTGCCTGCTGACCCATAAAGGGTTAACCTGCCAACCTGACTAGCTGTGTTCTTGCAACTTGTATTTTTTTGAGTATGTACTATGTTCACGCCAGAGGGGGCCTCCACTGACACCCTGAGCTCTGAGGTCTTCTCTCCCACAAGAAGGCAGAGGAGGGTTGGGAGGTAAAGAGAAATGGAGAGGGTCCCCCAGGTATCCAACATCGTTCTCAGCCTCTGGCCTGGTGGTCAGTGGCCTTCCCTCCCATTGCTCCAGAGACCGTCCATTGTCAACCACCTCAAATCCATGAGCGTTACACATTTCTCCACTTGCTGGTTTGTCAACCCCTCATGGGCCTCTATTCTTTCCCTTCTCTGTATCCCCAACCTTGACCGTTGGCAAGGAAGGGCACCCAGTGCCCTTCCTCTCTGACTCTAGGATCAGCCAAGTGACTTGCTTTGTCAACGGGATGTTAGCAAACGTGAGGCAAGTGGAAGTATCAAAAGCACTGTGTGATTGGGCTCACTCTCACTTTTGTACCTCTGCCAAGGCCATGAGGACATACTCGAGCTAGTCTGCTGGAGGATGAGACATGTGAGGCTGAGCCCAGTCATCCCAGCCATGCCAGATGAAGCCAGTCTAGATCAGCCAGCTGCCAACCAGGACTTGTAAACCCAGCCAAGATCAGCCAAGCCCAGCCCAGAGCTGCCCAGCCCAGCAAGCCTGGCAGAGACGCTGAACCTCATGAATACATGAGCTAAATATATGTCCAAGGTTGAATCCACTGAGTGTCAGTGGCTGTTTGTTATGCAGCATTATTGTGGTCATAGGTAACTGATACACTTGCCAGCTCCTGAGCCTTGATATATGCCCAGTTAAACTCACTTTCTTTGCCTCCAAGCTGCCCACTGAGACACCATCACTCTTCCCACTGGGCACCAGAAGCTGTGCCATAAATTTCACCCCTAAGCATCTCTGAATTTGGACTCCTCTTACCTGACCATCAGTCAGGCTCCTGTGCCTGGATTACTGCCACAGCCACCACCTGTGAACTAGTCTCCCCCATCTAGTATTGTCCCTGCCAACTTCTTACCAATTCAGCCCCCAGGAAGAATTTTCTAAATGTGTATCTACTTAAGACCATCCACCACCAGCCAGAAATGCACTCCATCCTGGCTCACCTCCCCAAATGTCTACTCATATTTTACTCCTTTGGGGGTCCTTCACTCCAGCACATGGAACTACCACACTCTTTTCTGCAAACATCATCCTGTTTCATGACTCTGTGCCTTTGCATACACTGTTCCCACTACCAAAGATGCTCTTCCCTGCTTCTTCTATCTTGGCAATTTCTTTCTTTTTTCTTTTTCTTTTGTTGTTGTTGTTTTTGTTGTTGTTTTTAAGAGACAGGGTCTCACTCTGTCACCCAAACAGGAGTGCAGTGATGCCATCATAGCTCACTGTGCCCTCAAACACCAGGGCTCAATTGATCCTCCCACCTCATCTTCCTGAATAGCTGGTACTACAGGCATGCACCACCACATCTGACTAATTTTAAAAATTTTTGTAGAGATAGGGGTCTCACTATATTGTCCAGGCTGGTCTTGAACTGCTGGCCTCAAGTGATCCTCCCACCTCGGCCTCCCAAAGCACTGGAATTACTGATGTGAGCCACCTCATTTAGCCCATCTTGGTAACTTCTATAAAAAAAACTCCTTCATAAACAACTGCAGGTGTCACCCTCTTCAGGAAATTGCAAGCTGTCCCAAGGACGAAATGCAGCAGCCCAGGTAAGAACTTCTTATCTGTGGGACATAATTCACCTTCTTCCTGCAACTGTCAGAAAGCTTGGAGTGAGATTTTGAGCTTTGACCTCCACCAGTCTGCTGTGGGGGACACACAGCCATTGGACACACTGGACTGGTTTTAAATCCCCACTTGTCCTCTCCCTGGCTGGGACTTCAGCTCTCTGGGCCTCAGTGTTCTTAGCAGTCCCAAGTTCCTGGTGGAATGTTAGAGCTGAGGACCCACACAGCCATGCAGGCAACACAAGATCTCACGGGGTCATCCCTGACCCCACTGTGCACAGGGGAATGCTGAGGCTTCAAGAGGCCGAATGGCATGCCCAAGGCCACGTAACTTTAGTGCTGGCAGGCCTGGAGTTGGAGGTACACCCCCAGGGCTGAGCGGTCTCAGAGGTTCCCACCACCATCTTCCCTTCCCCTACCTCGCTCTCTCCTCCTCCCAAGACCCATTTGATCACTCTCCTCCTGTTTCATTCCAGCAGTGGCCCTGACCTCTGTCCCAGGGGCCAGCATTAGATTACAGATAAAGCTCAGCCAGGCAGGCAGGAGAGCCCCTCCCCCACCCATGACCTCTGCCAACAGATGAGTGGGGTGGGGGAGAGGCAGAGGCGAGGTTGCAGAGCAGAGGGAGGAGATAAGACCATTCAAGCAAACTGGGGTGGTGGGACAAGAGTTGGGAGCCCAGGGCACCCCTGGGAGCTGGGAGAGACTATGAGTCACAAATGGGAAAACAGGTTTGTCCCGCATCCCACGACTCTCAGTGACTAGTGTGGGAACAGAACTCCTGATCCAGTGCTCCTCCAAGTGGCGAGAACGAGCCCCACCTGACCTCAGATGGAGCTCTTCCTTTCCCAGAGCCCTGGGCAGGCAAGGGGTTTGTTTATCCTCTCTACAACCCAGAGAGGTGGGTAACAGCGACACGCCTGGACCTATTTTACAGATGGAGCAACTGAGGCCCTGAGTGTTGCACTGCCACACCCAACATCTTGCAGAGAGACCGTAGAGGAGCTGGGATAAACCCCAGCCCACTGCCTCCACTTCAGCGTAGACATGGATGTTCCTAGATCCTAAAGTGGAGAGGGTGGGGAGTGGCAGGGCTGGAAGGCACTAATGTTTTTGGCACCTACTATGTGCTGGTGCCTGGATTCGAAGGTATGTGGGACAGGTGTGGCCCCCACCCTTTCAGAGCTCACAGCCACAGTCCTTCTGTAGGACACAGAAACACAGGCCGGACAGTGCGGTAACAGAAGACCCAGTCATTGCTATGCCTGTTTCACACATGCGGAAAAGGAGCTCAGAGCTCAGGTGGAGACTTGGTTCCCCACCCTGGACTTCCTTTTCCACCAACTCACCGCCCTCCTCACAGTCAGGACCTTCCTAGACTGGATTCTCAAGTTCTAAAGGCTGGGTCAGCCTTTGCTTGTTCCTGTGGGAGATGCAGAGGCCTGGCTGGTCACAGCAAGCCATGGGTATCCACCAGTCACCCACCCATGGCCTTGAAGGTTTCAAGAGGGGCTCCCCAGACAGGGGCCAAAGTGCAGTCTCCCCGGATACCAGGGGGACTCTGGATGCTGTGGAGTCTTGGGATGAGTGTATCACTTACAGTGGGGTGTAGACACACAGGCGAGCAATGCACGTACAGGTGCAGACACACACACACATGCATGCACACATGCACACAATCATGTTGGCCTTGGAAGCAGCTAGTCTGTAGCCACTAGACATCAGGGCCAAGACCAAAGCAAACAGAGAAATCAAATTTCTCTCAAAATCCCTTGCAATGTGTTCCTGTGGGGCTGAGAAATCCTTCCATTTCATGGGTTGTGAAAGATGCCGACTCCGAGACAAGATAACGGGATTTATTTCGCAAGCCCAGTGCGTTCCTGCAGGGCCGCCCCTTCCCACTCTTCTCAAATTTTTCACCCTCCTTGGCATCCCTGGAGAAGCCTCAGAGACCATCAAGTCCCCGGCGAGCTCATTTAACAGACAGGGAGACTGAGGCCGGGGTAGGAGGTGAGGGAGACAGAACTTGCCCAAGGTCACCTGGGGCCAGGAAGTGAATCAAACTCAGGCCTGTCTGAGGCCAGGCCGGGGATTCCGACCTCCTCCTGTTAGGATTCCGGAAAATCATCTCAGGATCTTTTTCGGTTTTCTTTTTTTTCTGGCCCTTACTTGCTCTTCTCTGTTTGTCTCTCTCCATTTAAAAAAATTCTCTCCTTAATCCTTCCTCTCCTTGCCCCTACTCCTAAGACTCTCTCTCTGTCTCTTTCTCAGGGGCTCACTCTCTCTTTCTTCATTTCTCTACCTCCTTTTCCCTCCCACACCATCTCCATCATTCTCTCTCCCTTACCTCAATTGTCTCCTTGTCCTCCCTTTTGCTCCTAAAGCCCTTCCCCTCTCTTCTGCACCTTTCTTGCAGGCCTACTCATGCCCTTCACACACTCACCTAATTTGGGGGCTGCCCTCTGCCTCCCTGCCTCCACCAGCATCGCCTTTGCCAGATCCCCTACCTTTAGCTCCAAAGCACATGCCACCTAGAGGGTCCTAAACCAGCTAGGAAGCCCCCACCCGGGACCACCAGGCCCCAACCCCGGCTGTATTTGCAGCCACAGAGGAGCCCCCCACCCAGAGTGAGAACAGACACCTGATGGAAGCGGGGCTGGGGCCGAGCAGCTGTGAGCCCTGATTAAAGCACGCACTTCTTCCCGGCTGCCTGGTTTGCATTACATCCGGCCGGGCGGGCTCCAGGCTGACAGCTGGACGCACTTTTCCAGGGCGCAAGGAAGGCAGTCAGACCGTGTGTGTGCACACATGCGTGGGCTCCGTCCCGGACAGGCCCGTAATGGCTTTCACATGGAGAATGCAGCAAACTTCTCCAACCTCAAGCACCGATTTTCCTGTCAAGAGATGTTGGATTCCAAAAAAAAAAAAAAAAAAAAAATTATAATCACAAAGAAAAGGGCTTTGGAATTTGCACAAAAGGGTCAGACCCTGTGAAGTCAGATTCTGAAATGGAACCAGAATCTGGAGACAATGGAAGGAGGAAGAAAGAGGGAGGGAGAAAGACCCTAGTGTCTGTCCTCAGCGGCTGCGGCCAGGGCTGGAGAGGTGTTCATGGCCCAGGAAGGACAGAAAAGAAACCACTGCCTGAGGGTCTGGCTCAGCTCTGCAATCCCTCCTCCCCAGGTAGGACAGACAGCCCAGGGGTATGAGGCCAGGTTCCAGCATTTGACTGTGGGTTTGAATCCAAACTCCTTTGCTGACTGCAGTGATAGAACTTACCAAGTATCAGCTTCCCCCTCTGTTAAACGGGGCTCCTGTGCCTCATTCCTGGGGCTTCAGAGAAATTCGCTGAGCTGAGACTTGCACACCCGTCAGCTCATGGCTTGAACCTCTCCTAGCTGTCGTGAGCTTGTCCTCCCTGGAGAAGAGTGCTGGAGCAGAAGGCAACAAACCCCGATCCATTCTGGCTTTGCCTGTTGGGTTATCTCAGGCTCAGTTTGCCCATCTGCAAAATGCGCACACAGGACACTGAGCCCTCCTGCGTCCTGCTAGTTTCCTGACCTGCCCTAGAGCCTGACTCACAGAGGGACTCACGGGACAGGGCACCACTGCTCCTCCCTGTTTCATGGCCTTTGCCCATGCACACCCCCTGCCTGGAACACTCTTCCTCTGACCCAAAGGCCCCTTGGGAGATGACCCCTCCTGGAAAAGGCCTCTCTGACCCCAGCAGATAGGATTTCACTCGTGTAGCCCTGCACATCCTTTTTATGACACCTATTACCTCTAGGAAGCCTCATTCAATATCTTCCTGGGGATTTTTGGACCCTAGGCTCCGTGACAGGCCCGAACCTGCCATGGTCCCCTTTGCCCCTGCTGAAGCCCGCAGCACCCAGCACTACGATTGCATGTCTAATCACAGGAAATCCACTTTGGGAGGCTGAGACAGGAGGATCCCTCAAGGCCAAGAGTTCAAGACCAGCCTGGGCAACATAGTGAAACCCCGTCTCTACATAAATAAAAATAAAAAATAAAAACAAATTAGCCAGGTGTGGTGGCACATGCCTGTAGTCCTGGCTACTACGGAGGCTGAGGTGGGAGGATCACTTGAGCCCAGGAGGTTGAGGCTTCAGTGAGCTACGATTGTACTACTGCACTCCAGTTGGGGTGACAGAGTCAGGTCCTGTCTCTAATGAATAATAATAATAAACTATTTATTTTTATTATATAAATGTATAGTAACTATTATTATTATAAGATATTAAATACTTATAGAACACCAGTCATGCGTGAGGCCCTGCAGTCACAGCAGTGAATGAGTGAATGAATGAATGAATGAATGGTGATAAATGAAAGCACGAACTTATAGGACACTTATTGGTGTACGTCTGAGCTGAGTCCTCTACATGAATCATCTTATTTAATTCCCACATCAACACCAGAAGGCAGGTGCTGTTATTATCCCCACTTCACAGATGAGGAAGCTGAGGCCCAGAGAAGTTAGGCAACTTGTAAAAGGCCACACAGCCAGGGCAGTGGAGACAAAATCCAATCCCAGGCAGTCTGGTTCCAGAGCTTATGGGCCCAGCCACCAGACTAGACTGGAGCCCACAGGAGGGGATCATGAGGGTTGTTTGAAGACATGTTTCCTTCTGCCCGCCTGGGACAGCAGGTACCTGGGAGTAAGTGCCGGGGCTGGCTCATTTCTGCAAGGAGCAGCCTGGGATGCAGAACAGAGAGGCAGGGGCTGGCCAGCCTGAGAAGTGGCTCCAGATCCTCCATGGGACAGTTTGCGCCCATTTGACCACTGTGAGATGTGGAATCAGACATGACTCTGAATCTCCCCTTCCCTGCCCTTCACCTAGAAAGGGACCGCTGACGTTCTGTGTGACCTCTGGCAGAACACCTACCCCCAGAATCTTGGTGTGCTCATCTGGGCAATGGGAATGATAAAATCTGCCCTGCAAACACACACCACACACATCCACCCAGCTAGGGGCTGGGCATGGCCAGGAGCTGAACCCTGGGGACTGTTTCAGGGGCAGCCAGGGCAGCAGCTGGGGAAGGACTCGAGCCTCCCCAGCCCAGCTGGCTTCTGGCGGGGGTCCAGCCTGGCCACAGCCACCAGTCCTCCAGGCTTAATATCCTTGGCGGCAAGGCTAGAATAAGCTGTCTTTCAAGAGGGGAGCTTTATTTATACGCCGATGCCAGTCGCGCTCCTGCTATTAGAAATCTCATCGGCTCCTTTGATTTAGGGCTTACCACAAGCTGCCAATCGCGGCCGCCTCCTGGCCCAGCCCTGCAGCTCGGCCAGCCTTGTTCCGGCTCACAGCAGCAGAAACGAACATTATTTAATTTCCCGCCAGCGGGCAGTGAAAGCCGGAGCTCCCCCTCCCGCTGGACGTATTTATTTAATCCTTTTTGGAAATAGTGTCTGGGGATGGATCTGAAGGCCAGCCCTGGGGACTCTGCTAATCCCCCAGGCCTGGGCAGGCGGGGCCTTGGGGTGGAGACTGAGTGAGGCCTCTTGGGAGGATTCTAGAGGAACCTCAACCTGGGAGCCCAGGGCGATCTGCCACTCACTGACCCCTGAGGTGTCTGCTTGGGAGGTGTCACCAGCAGACTTCGAGATAAGCACTGCAGGGCTAGTTTATCTGGGAGGGGGATCCCAGGATGTATCAACAGGGGATGGGGACTTGAGGCAAAGAGGGGAGGTGGTCAAGTCTGGCTGCCATTAAGCAGCCAGTTTTTGCTGTGGGTGACTGGGGCTCAGTTGTGCTGAGGACCTTTTGCAAGAACACTCACCTCAGAGTCATCCGCCCAAGGAGCAAGGAAACCAGGGTATTTATACTCCAGCTCCCATCTGTCATTGGTGGAGGGCTGCTTCCCCCAGGAAGGGGCATTTATTCCCTACACTCCTCTTCCTTCTACACTGGGGCCAAGCAGGCGCCTGCAGACATCTCCCCACCTTGCAGGCGAGTGGTGAGTGACAGGAGGATATGGGCAGAGCACCAACCACTTGAAGCTATTTATCCTCCTTGTCACCTGTCAACTCTTTCTCTTTCTTTAGCCTCTGCCCAAAAGACACCTCCTCCAGGAAGCCCTCCTTGACCACCCCAGGAAAAATCTTATCCATTACCATCTTGTCATTCAGATATTTCCTTCCGAACATATAGCATGTGCCAGGATTATCCATTTACTTACTTGTTTGTGGGTTTACTGCCTATCACTCCCACTAGACTGGACGCCTCCTGAAGCAGGGGGTCATGTGTATCTTAATCTGCATTGCAGCCCTTGCACACAGTAGGCACTCAACAACTATTTTTGGAATGGGGGTGGGGACTCCTGATTTATGTAATTCAGGCTCTGCGTCGCTTACCACAGTGCTTGGCAGTAGGCTAGGCTCCTTACATGTGATGATGGTTCCTTTAACACTCAGCCAAGCTTTCAAGGATGGGATCAGCACACCCATTTGACAGATTGGAAAGGTGAATGTACCGAGAAGATGCTGCATCAAACTCAGCTGTGGGTTTGCATAGCACCAAATCTTACTCCGCTCTCCCTGCAGCCCCAGAGAGTGGATGGAAAGGTTTTCTGGGTTTCATTTCACAGCTGTGAGAATTGGGGCCCTCTGGGATACGCCCCCATCAGGCGGGGAGACAACGGGGATCCAGGCCACATAGAGTCTATGATGTCTTAAGCACTGGAGGGTATCAGTAGAGAGAAGTATGAGAAGTATGAGAAAGTGCTGAAGAAATCACGGGATGCTTCCTGGAGAAGGTGACTCTTCTTTTCCTATTATAAATATTAAAATGAGAAAGAAAATCAGTCTCTTTGGGAAAGCAGGAAATTCAAAATATTTGATGACCCAGAAGCCCTGGCAGCACAGAGCCTAGAGACTTGTTTGCACAAAACACTCCCAAAGCAGAAATGTATTATATGTAATATAAAGTATAATACGAGGTTTTATATGTCATCATTTTAATACGTCATGATGCCAAATTGTCCAAGCTAAAAGGCTAAATACAGAAAAGTTAAAGATGAAAGGGGAAGAGGAAGACACTGAGGTCAAGGTGGCAAAAGTAGACAAAGTGCAGGAGGGAGGAGGCATTTTCCCTGGGCAATTGATTCAGCACCGAGGCGCTTCTGGAGCCTTTGTCTATGTGACGTGGTTGTGGCAGCAGCCCGTTGAGTGTTAATTGTCCATGAGTTCTAATAGGTGTAATATTCTCGAGTGTTACATGTGCATTAATTAAGTAACACTGCATTTAGCCCCAAATCATGCAAAAGGCTTGTGTGGTGTTTGCAGAGGCATAAATATCCTCACAGTTAGTGAGTTGCTGGCACTGTTTTCTCTCTGCCCACAGCAGTCCAAAAACATAGATTGAGAGAAATGGGAAGTGGTGGAAACAGGAAGGAGTGCGAAGGGTGAGGAAAGCCTCTGCCACCCTCCAGACCAGGAGGAAAGAAGAATTAAAGATGAGATACATACATAGTATAGCCAGTGGGCTTTGAAGTCAGACAGATGCAAGTTTGAATCCCAGCACAGTCACTGACTTACTGTGTGATCTTGGACAAGTGGCTTGGCTTCTCTGAGCCTCAGAAAGCAAGAATCATAATAGGACCCTCCCCTTAAAAAGTGGTTGTGAGCAGTCAGTGGGATGAGGCATGGAAGGAGCTTAGTGCAAAGTGCTTTATAATGTATGGGATGATGGGGGTCGCGGTGGGAGTGGTAATTTAGGGGTCCTGTGACAGACCTGGATTTCGCTAAATTGGGATGAGAGCCCAGGTGAGGGCTGGTGTAGGGGATACTTTGGGATTATGGGAAGCAAGAACCGCATTCTTTTCTGGGCAGTACTGAGCTCCCCATATGGGAAGGAAGCACCTAACCAGGAGAGGTAGCTTGGGGTGCGAAGAGGATAGAATTGTCCCAGGATGACAGTACAGATAGGCAGTCTAATCCTTGTTCTGCCTCCTACAGGACATAGCTTTGGCTTGACCCTCTGCTGCTGTGAGCTGCACTCTGTGAAATGGGATCATGTTCTCAACCAGCCTCCCTGACATGAGTTGATTGCACCAAAACCCTATGGATAAAAGAGTTGTTGCCATAGAAAAAGAGACAAGCGCGATTTGCAGAGCAAGCTGAAGCCCCAGAGATCTTCCCTGTCCCCACAGACCCCTGCTGTGCCCATTTGGTCAGCCCTGCCTCGAGCCCAGTGGGATCCCCCCGCTACGCCCCATCCACATTTCAAATGACAGCATTGTCAGGCTTTGGCTATCTTCCCCTTCTGCAAATGGGAAACTGAGGCTGCAAGAAGGGAAGTGACTTGCTCAAAGACACCTTGCAATTTGGTGGCAGCCTGGAGCTCAGACCCCCTGACTCCCATGCAGGGCCTACCACTCCATCCCCCTCAAAACCCACAAAGATTCCGTTCTGTTCTGTCCTCAGCCAACGCGGTGGCCCACCCACCTTGGGCGACCAGAGCCAAGAGGTTGTTTGTCTGTTTTAGACACTCTCGTCGCTGTGTTTCTTCTTTATCTTTTAAGGGCTCGAGACTCAGGAAAACCAACTCAACGTGCATAATTTGGCAATTATTTCTTGTGTTCATCCTCACGGCCGTGGCTGCATACAGATATTGGAATTTGCATAAAACAATCTTGCTACCAGTCCCACGGCTTCCTGGGAAGAAGACGCCCAGGTGGGGGTGGGGAAGGTTTCAGGTCGCGTCCACCTGTTCCCCCTCTGTCCCCGGCCACAAAGGGAAATAAAGGTAACACATGGTGTGGAGAAGGGTGCTCAGCCCTCGGCACCCCTGCCCAAGGGAGAGAGAAGGGGTGGGACCCACTGGGGCCTCTGTGGCAGGATAAATGCCCCCTGGCAGCCTGGAACCCTTCCGATTAGTATTCAGCAAGCATCTCGCTCAGAAAGGATTAATGGAGTCTGATGTTTAATATCCTGGAGAACAATTAATTTGCCCACAGTTTTGTCATGGTTGAAAGTCAAATGCTGGAACAGATCGATGCTCGCATGGCGAGCTGGAGCCCAGAAACCCTGGGCAGGAGCAGAATTTTAATGTTCCCATCCTGGCCCCCCTTTCCCCCCCATTCCCAGCACACCCACTTTCTAATAGTTCTAAAAGCCACTTTATCCCTGCACAGTGCTTGCTGTCTTCACAAGAGTCCACTGGGAGCCTTCGAAGGCAAAATCCGGCCCCCACAAGACTTCCATTATGGGATTGAAGTTGGCCGGTCCTTCTTGGGGGTCTGACCTCCGTTTTATTCCAATTGTCCTCGCCAGCGCCCCAGCCCTACCCTCTTCCCCGGCAGGGCCGCTGATGTCTGGACATTGTCACCAAGACACTTGTTCTTGAAAAGACACCGGGGCGAAGAGGAACGTGGTGGGGTTGCAGTGGTGATTTGTTTATTTATTCGCTTGCCGGAGTTTTGCTGTCTGTTTACGCCTCACTGTTGGCTTGGCAAGGACACTGCAGTGTGGTGGTGGGCTTGGGAACCCAGAAATCAATAGGCTCACCAGGAACGTGGGCTTTGTTTAAAAATCATTCCCAGCTGGGCAGGATGGCGGAGGCGACTTTGGCAATTTGATCCTGGCTGGTGGTTTAAAGGCCACGGGTTGGAGATGACATGGGAAGACAGGGTGCCAGAGGGGAGGTGGCTTAGAGGCCATCACGGCTGACCCTCTCCCCTTCCATTTGGGGAGACCGAGTCCCAGAGAGGCCAAGGTCGTGGTCCAAGTTCACAAGGCTAGAACCCGAGTCTCCTGACACCGGCTGAGCATTTAATGCTTCCCTGGCTACCATTTAAACTCCAGCTCCTCAAAGCGTGGCCGGGACCAGCAGCATCAGTTTCACCTGGAGCTAATTAAAATGCAGAGTCTTAGGCCAGCTTCACAGGCACTCGACCTGCAAAGACACACACAAGCAGCCCCGAGTGGGAAGGGCCCCACCCTTGGCTTCATGCTCCGCTGTTGCCATCTTGAAATTCCTTCAAACAATTTTTTAACAAGGGGCCCGCATTGTCATTTTGCACTGGGCCCTGCAAATTGAGTGCCCAGATCTGTTGAATCCAAATCTGTATTTTGACAGGAGCTCCAAGTGATTCCCAGGGCCCATTGAAGTTTGGGAAGCGACTGATTTAAAATCCCACATACCATCCCCCAACGAGGAGGGCCAGCCAGGGTTGTCATCATCCAGAAATCACAATGGAACCAACAGAGGCCTCCCACCCTCCCTCCTCAAGGAGAGAGCCAGCTGGCTCTGAGACCCACCCCAGGGGGCAGGCGGGGTCATGATTGTCCTTGCCCTCAGTCTTAGGGCAGGCCAGAGATTCTGCGGCTTTGGGAAATTTCAAGTTTGCCTCCCGATGAGTTTTATTTAGGGGTTTCACGCTGGAGAAGACTTTAGAAGTGAAAAGGCCGTCACTCTATGGCACCCTAACCCCCAGAATGTCACTCTCACCCCCAGCATTTTCTAACTTAGCCCTGTCCTCCATCTCTAATGACCACCCCCCCATGCGGAGATACCCCTGGGGACCCCACCTTGAGGCCCGGCATCCCCAGGAACCCCCCAAAGCAGACTTTATCTCATTCCCTCATTGTAACAAGGCAAATCCCCAATGCAAATTTCACTATCCCCATCTCTCGGGTGAAAAATAGAGGCTCAGAGCAGTAAAGGAACGGACCAAAGATCTGACCCCAGACGTCCTGAGTCTCCACAGTGAAGCCTGAGGTGACAGGTGCATCACCATCCCAGGGTGAAGGTGACTCTGCCTGTGAAAAGGTGCTTGTAGGCAGCGGGACGTGTCCTGCCCCTCATACTCCTCTCCTCCAACTCGGGGAGCTTGAGGGGAGGGTATCTTGGGCTCCTTTCCTTAGAAGCCCCCTGCATAGGGCAGACCACCCACAGGAGGAGAAACTGCTGGCATCACCCCTCCCTTGTCCCTGTTGGGCGCTACTGTTGGGGAGGGAGGATTGAAAAAGGAGATAGAGGAGGAGGAAGCGGAGTGGGGAGAGGAAGGAGGAAAGAGGAAGAGGAAGCCGGGCGCAGTGGCTCACTCCTGTAATCCCAACACTTTGGGAGGCCAAGGAAGGAAGATCACTTGAGGCCAGGAGTTTGGGACCAGCCTGGGCAACATAGTGAGACCCCATCTCTACTAAAAATAAAAAAATTAGCCAGATGTGGCAGCACGTGCCTGTGATCACAACTACTTGGAAGGTTGAGGCCAAAGCATCACTTGAGCCTAGGAATTTGAGGTTATAGCAAGCTATAAACCCACCACTGCACTCCAGCCTGGGCAACAGAGGAGACCCCAGCTTTATTTAAAAAAAAAAAAAGAAGCACTTTGGGAGGCCGAGGTGGGCAGATCACGAGGTCAGGAGATCGAGACCATCCTGGCTAACACGGTGAAACCCCGTCTCTACTAAAAATAGAAAAAATTAGCTGGGTGTGGTGGCGGGTGCCTGTAGTCCCAGCTACTCGGGAGGCTGAGGCAGAAGAATAGCGTGAACCCGGGAGGCAGAGCTTGCAGTGAGAGGAGATCACGCCAGTGCACTCCAGCCTGGGCAACAGAGCGAGACTCCATCTCAAAAAAAAAAAAAAAAAAAAAAGAAAAGAAAAAGAAAGAAGAAGAAGAAAAGGAAGGAAGAACGGGAAGAGAGGAGAAAGAAAGTGGAGTGTGATTTATAAACTTTGTCCCTTTATTCCTCTTTCTCCATCCTCACAGAATCTATGAGTTATTCAAATCCCACTCCACGAAGGAGGAAACTAAGGTTCACCTGGATGGAAATTGGCACAGCAGGGACTTGACCTCACACCTGGCTGTCCCCACCAGCTAAAATATGGTGTTTAACCCCCTCATTGGAGGGTTTTCTGATTATGCTGCTTTTTCATTTTAATAGTAACATCTCGGCCAGGTGAGGTGGTTCAGGCCTATAATCCCAGCACTTTGGGAGGCCGAGGTGGGTGGATCACAAGGTCAAGAAATCGAGACCATCCTGGCCAACATGGTGAAACCCTGTCTCTACTAAGAATAAAAAAAATTGGCTGGGTGTCGCAGCAGGTGCCTGTAGTCTCAGCTACTTCGGAGGCTGAGAATTGCTTAAACCTGGGAGGCGGAGGTTGCAGTGAGCCGAGATCATGCCACTGTACTCCAGCCTGGTGACAGAGTGAGACTCTGTCTCAAACTAATAATAATAATAATAATAATAATAATAATAATAATAATAACATCTCCTACTTCTTCAGTGTGGATCCTGGGTAGAGCCCCGCTAAGATCATCACATTAACCATGAGGTAGGCATTATAATGAGACCCATTTTACAGATAGGGACACTGTGGAGCCCAGAGGGAAAATCCTTTGTGAAAGCCCTGATGGGAGGCAGTGTTGTCTTTCTGGGCTGCTATCTGGGTTCTTTGAGGGCCAGAGAAACTATGGGAGATGATCTAGCCTGTCTGACTCCTTCTTACAGTTGAGGAGAATAAGGCCCAGAGAGGGTGAGTGACCTGCCCAGGTTACACAGCCAGTCATTTGGAACCTCCTGCTTGGCCTACAGTAGCCAGCCCCAAGGTAACCCTAACATTTGTGGGTGTTGGGGTGGGAGGCACTAAAGGGCAGGGTCAGTGGGACCTCCTCAGCCCGGGGGATGGATCCAGAAGGTTCCTGCAAGCCCTCATGCCTACACAGGTGCTTCCCCAGCCCACGCCCGACCTTGGGCTGAACCCTGCAGCTGAGGGTGTCCCTCTCAGCCCCACGGGGTCAGCCAAGGAGGCCCTGGGTGTCCGGGACCACAGCTGGAGCCTGCTCTTCGGACACCAAACATCTGGCTGCTGGTTTCCGGAGCTACAGACAGGCCATGGGGAGGGAGGCCCCTTGAGAACGCCTCTGTCTCATCTTCCCCAGGAGGCTCCAGGCCAGGATCTGCTTACACAGAAAGGAAGAAAATGTAAGTGAACACAGGAAAAACCGTACATGTGCTTTTCTGGTGGGGTCGACCCTGTCACTAGCGATGTGGCCTCAGTGCGGGGGCGAGGGGTCACCTCATCTCAGGGAGCCTCGGTTCCTTCTCTTGCAATATGGGGACCATAAGACCCTACCCACAGATTCAGAGTATGCTGAGCTGACAGAGATTAAGTGCTCAGTAAATGGTCATTGCCAATATTACCATTTTTACCTAGAAAGACTCCTTGCATGCACCCTACCACGCATGCTCCAAGCTCCACTTCTAGCACAGAGAGTCCAAGGTCAAGGGAAAACACTCTACTGGAGATGCAACCATGACAAGAGAGGCAGCATGGTGTGGGAAATGAAAGCACAAGGGCTTGAGCTCTGCTGATCCTGGGTTCAAATCATGTTTCTATCCGTCAAAATCTTATATCCTCGGGCAAATTCCCTACAGGACTGAGACTCGACTTTCTCATCTGTAAGATGGGGATGGTGCCTCCATCATAAGATTATCTGATAGCTGGGCTCGGGGTCATGCCTGTAATCCCAGCACTTTGGGAGGCCAAGGCAGGAGGATCACAGGAGCCCAGGAGTTCGACACCAGCCTGGGCAACATGGAGAAACCCCATCTCTACTAAAAATACAAAAATTATCCATGCTTCTAGTGGCAGGCGCCTGTAGTCCCAGCTACTCAGGAGGCTGAGTTGGGAGGATTGCTTGAGCTCTGGAGATTGAGGTTGCAGTGAGCCGAAATCAAGCCACTGCACTCCAGCTTGGGTGACAGAGTGTGACCCTGTCTCTAAATCAGTAAATATATATATAAATAAATAAAAGATTGCCTGATAAGCAAGGCACTGACTGTTAGAGTTCAGGGCTCTGGGTAAACAGTGAAGGTCATTATCATTACTATAATTTTTGTTATCACTGTTGTTTTATGTAAGTGCCAGGCTCTGCCCTGGGCTGACTGCTGGGATATAAAGGTGTCTCTGAGCTAGTCCTTGCCCTCTGATCAGGCTGTTCCAATGTAGTCTGGACTCAGTTTCCTCCACTGTAAAATAGGAAGAATGCTTTGGCCAAGGTCGGCATGCCTCAGCGCCTCCCTCTATGCCCTCTCCTGATACGGAAGAGGAGCCAAAGGTGGCCTCTTGGCAAAGGCCACATTCCCTGAGGAAGAAGGCAGGAGACAGAGGTGGGCGTGGTGGGGGAGGTCAGAGACACTATCCATCTTCCAGGCCTGCTCCACGTGCCTGCACGGTTATTAGCACCGTGAAGAGACGATAATGGTACTCATCAGTCTGGGAGCCACATCACTTTCCAGCTGTCTCCCCTGTGGCCCACCCAGATACCACGGATGTAAGGGAGGAATTAGGGACAAGGCAGGTGCTGTTCTTTACTGGCCCTGGGGAGCCTGGGACAGTCCAGGCCAGGACGAGGCATCCTCCACTGAGCCTGTCCGGGAGACACACTACGGCTTAGGAGAGAGTGTTCAGATCCTGGCTATGCTTCTCCTCTCTGTGTGGCCATTCTTCTCTGAGCCTCAGTCTCCTCATCGGTAAAATGGAGGCCCCAGTAAGGATTGGTGCAATAGCTCTGGTTGTGCCAGGCCCGTGGTCAGTGCTCAAGAAACAGGAGGTGGGTTTGAATTACGTGGATTTTCTTCCACCTCTGCAACCTCTGAGACAGCAAGACCAGCCCCTCCTCTTCTCCCCTCAGCCTACTCACCTTGAAGGTGACCAGGTTGATGACCTTTATGATGATCCACTTCATTTAATCAATAGTAAATATATTTTCTCTTCCTTGTGGTTTTCTTAATAACATTCTCTTTTCCCTAGCTTACTTTATTGTAAGAATGTATATATATAATCCAAAATATGTGTTATCCCACAGTTTATGCTCTCAGTAAGGGTTCTGGTCAACTTTAGGCTCTTGGTTGTTAAGCTTTCGGGAGTAAAAAGTTATATGCAGATTTGTGTCTGTGCACAGCTGGGGGCTCAGCACCCTTAACCCCTGCATTGTTTGGGGGTCAATTGTACTGATAATGCACCTCATCTGCAGACTGAGCAGGGTTTGAAAGAACACTAAATGTGCCCCATTAGCATGGAGCAGAAAGGAGCGATGGCGAGAGGGGATCCTCAAATCAGGACAGGTTCAGGCTCAAGTGCCAGCTCCGCCACTCGCCATAATTGTGGACTCCATTAACCTCTCTGGGTCTGCTTCCCTGTCTGTGAAATGAAAAGATCATCCCCGCCTTGTAGAATTTGGGGAACATACAGAAGAACAAGTTAGTATTAAATTAACATAAGAATCATCCTGGTATTCAGTAGGAGCTGGATGAATGTTTATTTTCATCCCTTCACGCTAGGGTCTGGCTTTTTATTCATTCTTAAAGAAACGTATCACCTTCTGTTGGATGGGGACAATGACTTTATTCACAGATAGCCACCTTTGATTGTGCCCATTTCACAGATGTTTCAGATGGTGCCAAAGCAGGGGAAATAGGTCAGGAGCTCCAGGCTTGGGAATCCCAGCCCTGCCATGAATTCGTTGGGTGACCTTGAGGACCAGAGATCCCCTCTGATCCTCAGTTTCCACATCTGTGAACTGAAGAGGTGGAGGTTGTCAGCCATGAGCATTTCCACGCAAGAGAAAAATCCTTCGTTCCCCCTTCATTTTACTCTGTGGCCATCCACTGAGTACCAGGCCCTGGGCCAGCCACTAGGAATCCTCAGATAAATTAGCCAGCAAGAGATTTGGGGGTGCCATTGGCAGCCCCCTTCTAGCCACTCTAAATGTGAAGGTGTCAGAAAATGCAGTTGAACCAAGGAAGGCCGTTACCCTGATAGTGGAGCCCCTCTGTAGACTCCACTGCTTCCAGACTCTCAACCCCTACATAACAAGGGCCTACCCCATTCAGTTCTTCAAGGAGCCAGCAAGGTCTTCTAAAGCCAATTTTCTGAGTCAGATACTTGCATGCTGTTTCTGAGAACATCTTGTGAGATGTGAGGCCTGCAGCCTTCCTTGTGAAGGATGCCATGCAGAGACCTGCTGTCCTGGAGTCTCAGAAATACAGAGGAGTGGGTCGCTCCCTGAAGATGGTGTGGCTGGCTGCCCAGGCATGGGAGGGGATGAAGAAGACTGAAACTAGCTAGCCCTGGTTTCTGATCCCAGATGTGGCAGAACAGATGGTTTGGATTGTGTGTCCTTGGAGGGACATACCTTCCTCCGCAGCCACACATGATCACACCTGGAAAGGCAAATAATGTGGATCTCATGCTCCAAGTTTGGTGATAGATTGGTAATGGCTACCAGGAACACTAGGTTGGGCGGATTTTAAAGTAGGATGTCCAAACACCCTGGTCTTCGGAGGGCCATCCAGTTTATGCCTGTTGTTCAGACATCATTATGAATCAAAATTATTTCCCCTTTTTAACTTTCAAAAGTGTCCTGGTTTGCATAGTAAATTACATGGTCACCCTATTTTGAGGCTGTGTCCAGCTTAGTGGGAATAATTCTGTGATCACTTAGCAATGTCTGCAGAGATCATAGAAAGACGAGTAGGAGGACCAATGTCATGCAGCTGCCTTCCTTAATCCCAGAATCAGAGCCCACTCTGGGAAACGTTGACACAGGTATCTATCCTCACAGGTAAATATTCTATCAGTCTGATTTCACTTCCTTAAAAGAGAGCCGTGGGAATGACACCATGAAAAAGAGAAAGAGAGAGGTGGGAAATAAGGTTTTTTAAAAATAAGACAACCTTAACTTATATTATCCATCTCAGGTTTAGAGAGGAAAATTCTAATTCAGGTCCCTTTTATAAGACTACCTAAATGAGAGTACCTTACATATCCCTGCAAGTGATCACTAAGTGGCATGGAATTTACAATCTAATGACGTTTCCTCCAGGTTGAGGATGTGTAGCTTCCCTCAAAAATATCAAAGAACTCCTGAGACCCCACTGGGATTTCCCTAGGTTGGGGGCTACCTGTCCTCTTCAGAGCCCTTGGAATTTTCCCATCTCCACAACCCAAAGACAGTACTCACACCCTGCACCCTTCCCTTCTCTGACTTCAACCTGATACTAGAGCTACTCCCTTTCCTACAGCAATCCTTGGCCTATACCTGTGCTAGAACCGTCTCTACCTGCCATGAAAATGCACCACCCAGATCTAATTAACAGCACTGACTCTTCCACCATGTTTGCACCAAGGCCAGGCTTCCCATGAGCTACTCTCAGACAGAGAATGAGTCTGATGGGTATACTGAGGTAGGCCCAGTTTTGCAAGAGACAGACTCCTCTGTTGTGTGACTTTGGCTCAAGGAGTCCCCACTGATCTGGCTGAAACTTTTTCTTAGAACTGTGTGGCCACCTGAGACTCTTCCTTGACTTCCTCTCCTTCCTTCCCCCTCTCCTGGCACAGGAGTCAGACCAGCATCACTGCCTGGCAGCCATCCCCACTTCCTCCTTCAGCACCCTCCTCTTGCTATTCCCATCTTACCTTCTGTTTCTGAGAGGATGTGATTGACAGAATAGGGGTCCCCCAAAGATATCTACACCCTAATCCCCAGAACCTGTGAATGTATTACCTTCCATGGCAGAAGGGACTTTGCAAATATGTAGTTAAGGATTTCAATACGGGGAGATTACCCTGGATGATGAAGGCAGCCCCCATCTCAACATGAGAGTCCTTATAAGGGGGAGACAAGAGGATCAGGACAAGAGAAAGGAGTTGTGATAACAGAAGCAGAAGTTGATGCCCTTTAAAGGGGGTGGAAGGGACCATGAACCAAAGAATGAAAGTGGTTTCAAGGTACAAGAAAAGACCAGGAGCAGATTCTCTCTTAGGGAAGAAACAGAGGAATGCAGCTCTGCTGACACCTCAGTCTTAGCCTCTAAGATGCATTTGGACTTATGTCCTCCAGAACTAAAAAAAAAAATTGTATGGTTTTAAGTCACTAAGATTGTGGTAATTTGTTAGAGCAGCAATGGAAAACTCATACAGAGGACATGAATTAATGCACCTTTTAATGCTGTACAAAACCTCAGAGGGCAGTGACAATTCATATTTTATAGATGAGGATACTGAACTTCAGGGGAAGAGGGCTTCATGAGTTATCTTCACGTGTTGGGCCTGGGATTTGGGCCCACCTGGTTTCAGAGTATCGTGTCCATCACTGTCTAGCTGCATAGGCCCTTAATCTTGACTGAGGGTCTGGCCTGGACATCGCTGCCATTCTCATATACTCTGTCATTTTCTCCCTCTTCTTGGTCTAGCCATCTGCATTCATCTGTTCCTCAAACATTTGTAGCACACCTACTATGGGCCAGGCGAGGAAGGAATAAGACATAGACCCAACTCCAAAAGTTGGTGGAAAATTGCAATCCAGAGAAAAGAGTAAGGACGATTGGAGACAGCTCTCTCATGAGGTGCACCAGGCTTCAACTTAAGTGATAAGTGGGAGTGATCCAGATGACAAGGGGAGGGAAGAGTGTTCCAGCCAGAGGAACAGCATCTGTGAAGGCTCCAAGGAAACTGAGGCAGCATGGTCCTCCTCTGGGCACCCAGAGTTCTCTGTGCTGCTCTGATCACAGTGCTGATCTGTCTAGGCTATAATTGTCTGTATTGTGAACATCTCCATTACTGGAGACTCTGTTAATGCATTGGCCCTATCACAGCCTCACTGTTGTGCCCAATATATGGAACAAATCCTGGCACAGACTAGATGGTAGACTGATTAGGTTAATGGGGGTATGAGGGTTTGGGATGGATGGATGAATGGATGGACAGGTGGTTGGATGTGTGGGTGGATGGATGGATGGATGGATGGGTGGATGGATGGATGGATGGATGAGTAAATGGATGGGTGGGTGAATGGGTGTGTGGAGAAGTAAATAGATGAGTGGCTGGGTGGATGGATAAGTAAGCAGATGGATGGGTAAATAAGTGGATGGATGGATGGATGGATGGATGGATGGACGACCAGTAGATAAATGGGTGGATGGATGGATGGATGGATGGATGAGTAGATGGCTGGGTGGGTGGGTGAGTGGATGAATGGATGGATGGATGGATGAGGAGTGAATGGATGGGTGGATGGATGGATATGTAGATAAATAAATGGGTGGATGAGTGTTTCCGGTAGATAGCTGGGTGGGTGGATGGATAGATGGATGGATGGGTGGATGGAGGGATGGATGGATGAGCGAAAGGATAGATGTGTGGATGCACGGATAAATAAGTGGATGGATGGATGGATGGATGGATGGATGGATGGATGGATGGATGGGTAGGTGAGTGGGTAGATGGATGGATGGGTAGATGGATAGGCTGGTGAATGAGTGGTGGATGGGTGAGTAGATGGGTAGTTGAGGGAGGAGTTAGGAGAATGAGTAGATGAACGGTTGGATAAATAGATGGCTAGATGATGGGTAAGTAAAAACTAAATATGTGAGTGGGTGAATGGTTAGAAAGGACATCAAACAAAGAAACAGCAAAATAACAAATAAAATCCCCAAGATTTGCTGGTGGCAGAGAACTTCTGCATCTTCCCTCCAGATCCCTCCAAACAATATCTTCAGAGCCTGGCACTGCTCTGCGGGATTCTACAGATGGCATGAGAGTGAATAAGGGCCAGACATGGTGGCTGACACCTGTAATTCCAGCACTTTGGGAGGCCAAGGCAGGAGGATCACTTGAAGCCAGGAGTTTGAGACTAGCCTGGACAACAAAGTGAGACCTCCATCTCCATACATTTTTAAAAAATTAGCTGGGAGTGATGCTGCATGCCTATAATCCCAGCTACTCAGGAGGTTGACGTGGGAGGATTGCTTGAGCCCAGGAATTTGAGGCTGCAGCGAGCTATGCTTGCATGACTGCAATCCAGCCTGGGTGACAGAGACTGTCTCTAAAAAATTTGTTAAGTAAATAAGCCTAGTTTCTTGCTTGTTTTTCACATCATACCTGCTACCTCACAGGACAGGATGTTCCTGTGATATCCCCTGTGCCTGAGGACACAGGTCCTGAACGTAGATGTCACCGCCACTTAAAACCCAGTAGCCTGGAGTAGAGGACCATCTGACTGGGATTCTCCCAGCCACTTCAGAGGCAAAATGAGGTGTTCTACAGAATCTGGGGTTGGGGAGCCCTCTTTGGAAACAGTCTTCAAACACAAACAGCCAGCCCTGAGTTCCAGGATGCAAACCACCAGCCCAAATAGGCTTCACCAGAGCCTGCTCAGTGATGCTCAGGTGCAGCTGCTTATCCAAACACTGGCTCCTTCACTTAATCAATACCCATTCGTTCATCTGTACATTCATCTGTTCATCCACCCAGCCAGCCATTATTTTTTGGTGTTTATTTGGTGCCTGCTATGTTCTGGGTATCATAAAAATACCATTTGGCACCCCAAAATGGCAAGGCCTTAGGGACTCATAACTCGTCAATTAGACAAATTGGAACAGAGATTGCCAGAGAGAAGAAAGGAATGTGATCTCTGGTGCTCCCATCCTCTCTGCCCCCCAGCCTAGCAGGGACTAGCAGGAAGGTGGCCCAGCTCATGAGGCCCATCAGGACTCACTAACCTGGCCACTTGCCCTTAGCATTTAGCACATGCCCAGTCTTTCAACCCAATTCACACCAAAGTGTGAACGACTATGTACTTCTAACCCCTGGGGTGTTTTCCGTTGCAAGTAAAAGCTGCTTAACCCCAGGGCTTCTCTGGCAAAGCCTGCCTTCAGTTTCCGACTCAAAAGCCTAATTAAGAAAAAACTTGAGACAAGATCTCAGTGGGGGTGTCATGATGAGGGAGAGAGCCTGAAAAGTCCACTTTGCATAACAGCCTGACATAGGAGAGTCTGGAGTATACCATGTCCGGCACAGATGTCTTCAGCTCTTTCTTCTATGCAGAGGACTCAACAGTTTGCACAGTGTCACTGGGCAGACAACTACATCTCATCCTGCAGAGAGGGAACTGTCCTGAGGCCAAGGCCAGGTAACATTCCTCTTTCTATTGCCCCCAATAAATAAATCAATAATACATGCATGAGGCCCATTTCCTCACTTGGCCTCAGCAGGGCAGACCTCTGAAGTCAGAAGGCAGAAACAGAGGAGAAGGAAGGAAGAAATAAAGGGTTTCCAAGTGCCCGCCATACATAAGTCTCTGTGTTAGCCACCACTGCAGATGCAACCATCTTTCTTCTCGTAACAGCTCTGGGGAACGCGGAGGGCAGGGTTGACCATGAACTCAATTGGGCAGTGAGGAAACCAAGATCTGGCGAGGGATGTCACTTGATCCAGGTGATACAGAGAGTTGATGGTGCCAGCCCAGCCTCATCTCCCACCTGGACAACCTTAGCAGCATGGTCTCTGCTCTGTGCATCCTCGCCCCACCTGCCATGCACACCCATTCTCTACACAGAAGCCAGGATGAGCTTTTAAAGTTGCATATCTGATGTCCTTGTCCCTGGTTCTTTGATGACTCCCTCTCCACCAGAGGCCTTGAGTCCCACATGGTCTGAGTTGGGTTCAGCCCCCTCCTGTCCCATGTGCTGTTTCTTTACACCTCATTCTCTTTGTTCTAACCACCTGGGCCCTGTCAGTCCTCAAAAGCACCACACTCCTTCTGCCTCTGAACCTTATTTGCATACACTATTCCCCCTTCCTAGAATGCTCTTTCCTCCACATCCCACCCCATTTAACTCCTTCTCAGTTTCAACTTCCTCCAGGAAGGCCACCTTGATCACCCAGCTGACCCCGGCTCCCCACTGTACCAATGTGGGAGCTGTCCATGGTGCCACCAGCCACACCCTCTTGACCCACTGATTCCAGCCCATCAGTGGTGGACATGACCTTGCATGTGGCCAGCGTCCCGTAAGTGGGTGTCTCCCTGCTTTCCTGCCTCAGGGTTTTCAAAGCTGTGGCCCATTCTACACTGTTCCTCAGAAGGTCTCTAGCAGTGTTAAGCCCCAGTTACCCACAGTGATGACCAGATCAACAGCATGCCTTTCACTGGAATTTTCTTCTCTTTCCTGTCTCTCCCCCTGCTCCCCAGTCCTGCTACCTGGGAACACTTCCAAATACACTCCCTGCCCCCAAGTCTTTTGCATATCTGAGATCCTTGTCCCCGGTCTCCTGCTTTTGAGGAGGTGAAAACTAAGATACTCTGTGAGCCAGCTGTTTCTCACTAATCATATATTCTGACTCCTGGAGGGCAGAACCTGGACACACTTGGGTTATTATAGCCTCCTGGTGCCTAGCAGTGGGCCAGAGATAAAGTTGGAAGTTAACTAATATTCATAGGAAGAAGGGAGGGAAGGAAAGAAAAGGAGAGAAGGATGCAGGTCTTGAACCCAGGTCTGTTTTTCTCCACTGCCCAGACATGGTCACATCCTTCAAGATATAGCCTGTGTAGACAAAATAAGCCCCTTTGTGGACATCTTCCCTCATTCTTCTCTAGTCACCACTCAGTGTAATTCTACTTCCCACATCCCCCGCTGCCTACCCTCCCCCACACACATGCAATGAATTATGTACTCTGAAAGTCCTACTTGGGTATTAAAAAAGGAAAAAAAAAGAGCCCATGATAGAAAACTCTACCAGCCATTTTTTTCCCTTTTTGTCCTCATGAGCAGGTGCACGATGTAATGCCCCTGATTTTCAAGATCTGATTAAACTGTCATAGGTGTGGCACAATTGCAATAACTCCTCCGCCTCAGTGAGGCCCAAATCATTATAGACCTGTGTACACCCAGAGATGCCGTAGATAAGGGTCTGTCAGCGTTTCCATTACTGGGCCCTGTTTGGGGGATTTGTTTATTTAAATTGGATGGATTGGGTGCACTGAGGAGCGATGGATGGGCTGGCAGCACAGGTGGTGGCTGGGTGAAGAAAATGTCACCTTCACGCTGCCATTTGTTGACATCACGCATGTCTCAGGCTCAACGGGGCATGCCCTGGTGGCTTATGGTGGATGGAGCAGGGAGTTGAAGCTGGCGATATTTGCCCCAACAGAGTGGGCAGAGCAGCTGCAGGAAGCTGGGGTAAAAGGCAGTTGAGGGAAAGATTAAGGGGGTGTACCAGATGGGGGCAAAGATCACCAAGCTGGTAGTGATTTTGGAAGGATGAAGGACCCAAAAAAATGGGGAAAGGGGCTGAGTGCGGTGGCTCACACCTGTAATCCCAATACTTTGGGAGGCTGAGGTGGGCAGATCATGAAGTCAGGAGATCGAGAGCATCCAGGCCAACATGGTGAAACCCTGTCTCTACTAAAAATACAAAAAAAAATTAGCTGGGCATGGTGGTGCGCGCCGGTGGTCCCAGCTACTGGGGAGGCTGAGGCAGAAGAATTGCTTGAACCCCAGAGGCGGAGGTTGCAGTGAGTGGAGACTGCGCCACTGCACAACAGTCTGGCGACAGAGCGAGACTCCATCTCAAAAAAAAAAAATAGTGGGGAAAAGAACTAACAGATTTTAAAAATGTGCACATGTAAAATAACTCCATGCCAGGCATTTGGGGTACAATACGTGTAAACTTAAATTGGGTCTTGCTTTTTGCTCACAGGCTTAAATCCCAACTCTTATCATGGCCTTCAAGACACTGTGTGGTCAAGCCTCATCTCTGCCATGCCCCAATTTCTTCAGGCTGCTCCAGCCACGTGGCCACTTAAGTCTTTGAATATGCCACGCTTTCACATCTCAGGGCCTCTGCGTGGGTTAAACTCTGCCTGAAGCCCAGTCTTTCCCCCGGCTGATCCCTTCTCACTCTTCAAGCCTCGGTATAAATCACCTCCTCTGAAGATAGTCCCTGATTACTCAGTCCAAGGCTCCATCTCCACTGCCCACCCCACCTGAGTCACTCTTACAAGCATCCTGTCTTTTGCCAACAGAGCACTTTTCACCGTGGATCATTATGTACTTGTGTGTTTATTTATTTATTATTCAGAAAGGACATATGTTTTTGTCTGCCTGCCGTCCCTTGTTTGGAGAAACCTCAGTCTCTCATTGTACACAGTTCTGGTCTGGCTGTGAGTTCACAGTCTCAGCCTTCTCCCCATATATTCACACTGGCCCCAGGAAGGGAGGTTTGACTCAGGACTGAAAAATCCCAACCTCCCATCCCCCAGTAAAAAGGAGTAGCCCACAGAGTATACATGGGACCAGAACAAGGATAATCAGTGTCCACAGAGCAGGGGCTGTATGTTTTGAAACATGTCCGCAAATTCTTTGGCACTGCTCCCTACAAACGGTGGAATCCAGTCCCCTACCCCTTGAATATGGACAGTCTTTGTGACTGCCTCAGTGAATAGAGGCAGGGTGGTGGAAGGGACTCTGCATGAGCTCTAAGGCTAGGTTACAAAAGGCAGTGAAGCTTTCACCGGGCTCTGCCTCAGCACGCTCACTGTTGGAACTCGTCGCCATGTTGTAAGGAAGCTCCAGCCACGTGGGAAGGCCAATGTTCAGTGTTCCAGCTGATAGCGCCCTCTGAGATTCCATCCAATAGGCAGCATGAACTGTCAGACATGTGAATAAATGAGCTTTTGGTGATTCCAACCCCCCAGCCTTTGAGTCCCTGAAGCTGATGTCACATGGAGCTGACACAAGCTGTCCCACTGGGTTCTGCCCAATTGCAGATTTATGAACAAAATAAACGGTGTAGTTTAAGACACTCCACTTTGGGGTGGTTAGTTATACAGCCATGGAAGACTCAGACAGGGTGCTGAGCTGAAAGAATGTGATGTTGGAAGCCTGAGCAGCCACCATCCCACCACCTGGAGATCCCACAACCTGGAGCTCCCACCACCTGGAGTGAGCTGGTCTGCAGAGGGATGCCAAGTGGAGATGAGCAGTGATGGGGAACAGATAAGCAGAGACTGTGGGGAGCCTGGGTCTGCAGCTTTTCCTGTAGTTCCGTGGGGCCACTCCCAGGGGTCTTTCCCAGTGACCAGCCTCAGCAAGTTCCCTGTGTGCTTCAGCAAGCTGGAGTGGACTCTGTCTCTGGTGCTCACAGCTTTCTGGACCCATTCACCATCATCCCACTGGACCTGAGCTCCATGAGGCAGTGCCCATTTCTACTCTGGTCCATGCTGTACCTATGGCATCCATGAAGTGCTGCACAGTTTGGTGTTAAAGATTGATTCTAGAAGGGAATGAGCTCGTTGGTCCTCTCACCATCCTCAGTTCTGGGTAAACAGGGAGGCTCAGAGAGGTGAGAGGCTCCTAAGGGTACTTGGATAATGTATCCTGGTGATGACAGGATATGAATCTGGATGATACTTTGAAGTTCAGGATCCTGGATCTGGTTGAAAACACTCTGGAGGGGATTTCCAGGGGTGTCATGTGGGGCCCAGTGTAAGAGGCATCAGGCAGGTAACCAAGATAACCATCAGTGATGGGGATGGGGGGCAAAATAGGGACAAGCTCTGGTAGTAAACAAGAGTCCTGTGGTCAGACCAAGGCTCTGAGAGGATTGGAGGCCAAGGTCAGGCTGTGGGAAGGAGCTGAGGAATGACCTTTAATGCCTGTCCAAGGTGGCGTGGGGACTCTGGGAAGGGCTGAGCCTGCAGGGAGGAATCATGCTAAAGCTTATCATTGTCAGAGTAGAGGTTCTGTTCATCTCACCCTGCTGTGGATTTGCACGTGGTACAGATGCAAACAGTGCCTCTGTGGGCATATACCCCAAACTTACCATCCCAGTGCATGCTGAATGCACATGACAGCAAGCACCTGCAACTCCCTACCAGCACTTTTGCTCAGATGATGTGCATGAGGGCAAGGTCAGAAGCACCAGGAGTTAATGCTCCAAAAGCACCCTTCCAGTGATGGACAGGAGTTGGAGGATAAATATCTCAGCTCCCTCGCTCCCTGGGTAGATAACTGAGGTGTGTGTTTTACACTGGTTCTCAGACTTCCCCAGTGGGATTGAGTTCCAGCTGCTCAACGTGATAACCTGCTCATTAGTGCACCCTGGATAGGCTCTTTCCCTTCTCTGTCTCACTCCCTTCCTTCCCCACCAGTGCTTCCTGGATTATCCCCCTAAAATGCCACTTGCCTTCACATCCCTGTCTTGGGGTCTGTTTTAGGGAAGCCCATATTTAGACAGCACACATCCTGGGTGCAGGACTGGCTTATGGCTGGCTCTCCAGCCATTTAAAAGCAGCTTATCGTTTTCAGTTTCCATGTAAACCATTTGTTCTGGAAGCCCTTCCTGCCTTGGCCAGGTCTCCCTGGCATTTGCTCTCAGGAACTCATGAAACTTCCTACTTAATTTTGCATGACTCCCTTGCACTGGACTTTGAGTCCATGTGGGCAGGGCTACCATTGTTGTGTCATCCCCCAAGCCCCCAG